>NC_000021.9:12965808-14215808 GCF_000001405.40 Homo sapiens | reverse complement strand
GGCAAATGCGGGGAGATACATTTCTTTGGGTCCAAAGAATAAATGAACAAATCATGAAGATATTAAACTATAAATAATTTTTGAAAGAATCGATGTTTGCATGGATGTGGATACAACAGAAAACTAGAATTAAAGTTTATTTTCCTAGAAAGTGCTCCCTAGATGAGTTTTTGAAACTGGTCGCAGAGGTTTTAAGTGGACTCCAAAAGGAACTTGAGAAAGCAAATACCAAGGGATATACTGGTGAGAGTGAGCCAGTTTTGTGTCTAAGCCAGAATTTTTGAGGATGGCAGCTAGGGTTTGTGTCAGGATCCAACGGCTGTACTTTGTTTCAGGGCTATACTTTGTATATGGTGTACCAGGCTAAAGGCTTAGTTCTTTCTTGGGGATAATTTTTGTTTTTAATAAAAGTCTTATGAACAATAAAATTACAAGAAAGGAGAAAGAAAACTTAGAATCTCAATACTTTGATAAATCAGCTGTCAACTGTTAACTTGGCTTCCTTTCTGAAGCTACCATACGTCTACATAGGACCTTGAGATCATCTCATGAATATCATATAGGTGATCAGAACATTATTTGACCTTTAGTTTGGCATCGTGATAAAATTTCATTTTGAATTGAGGAAGCATGCTTTTATCTGGTTGATGGACCAAAAAAAGTCATCTTTTCTAATGAAAAGGTACACATTTTAGGAAATCCTAATTTCTAATTGATCTCTGACATTACATAGTTTTATTACTTTGAACAAGTAATTTCTCTTTGGAATTCGGATTCTGTTTCTTAAGGAATGGATTGGACTAAATATAGTTACTTCATTTAATAGGTATTTTCTGAATGCTTAATTCTTGGAAAACAAAGGGAAATATAAAAGTCTGACCTCCTAAAGCTTATACTTTGGGAGAGACAGCCTTTCTACCCTCACAAATATAATATAAATGCTAGTAACTTCAGTAGTTACCTTCAACTGATATAAGTCCTGTCTCCATTTTTTTTTTTCCTTTTTCTTTCCTCTATCATCAGTAGAGTTGCGGTACAGTAAGAAGGAGTTAAGGAAACACTCATATTGTAGGCAAATAAATATATGTTGATCAAATGAATGGATACTTGCAAGTCTCTGTTATGTGTAGACCTCTTGATTTATTTGTATTCATTTACTTCATAAATCTCATCAAAGCAACATATTTCCTCCTTGAATTCCCCTCAGACACTTCTTATATGCAAGCTGTATCTTCAGGTTTCAGTTTAAACCATTGCATGTATATGAGTGCGTATGCTACAAACCTTTAACTACACTTGTAATTAATGTTCATATTATATTGTTCTATTGAAATTTGCATCCTTCTTTGTCTACAAATGTGCATAATTTTGGTGTTATAATATCCTCTTCTGGCCGTACATAAGTTTATAGTGCTTATAATTCTAGAATACTTAGTTAATATTATAAACTCTGAAAGTCAGCTTCTGTAGTTAGCAATTTTTTCAGAATATGATCTCAATATATCATTTTTCTAATGTAAGCATGTTCTGTTTCTTAACTCATATTGAATGCATGCATGGTAATAAATCTAGTAGTAGGTTAAAAATAATTCACTTCACTTTCAGTATTTACTGTACCATTAGTCATATATCAGGTTTTAATGGGTTAAATACATGTAACACTCTATAAAGAGCTAGCCTTTCTTCATTTATATCAGGATGTCTGATGTCCCTAGCTGAATGAACATATAATAAATGAAAATATATGTATATATACATGTATACCTCTGTATGTCTATATATGTATAATTAGAGCTCATTTCTTTATCTTCTTTTGCCCAGCCAACTTTTTTTTTTTTGAGATGGAGTTTTGTTCTTGTCGCCCAGGCTGGAGTGCAATGGCCCAATCTCGGCTCACTGCAACCTCCGCCTCCCAGATTCAAGCAATTCTCCTGCCTCAGCCTCTGAGTAGCTGGAATTACAGGTGTGTGCCACCATGCCCGGCTAATTTTTGTACTTTTAGTAGAGACAGGGTTTCACCATGTTGGCCAGGATGGTCTCAAACTCCTGACCTCAGGTGATCTACCCGCCTTGGCCTCTCAAAGTACTGGGATTATAGGCGTGAGCCACTGTGCCCGGCCCTGTGCAGCCAACTCTTACTCTCTTTTGTAGTTAAGCCCAGGCAACATGTCCTGCAATGCTTCTCTGAACTCTGCCTTCCAAATTAGCTGGCCACTCCACTTGTGTGCTTCCATAGTTCCCTAGGTACACTTCTGTCAAGTCCTTCTCACTGGGAACTAGTATAGAGTAAATATATTTCAGTACCTAAGACAATCTTTGACACACCTGTAGGTGTATAATAAATAGCTATTGAAAGAATACAGATTAAATAAATTAATGTCTTTACTTTGTATCCCCAACAACAAAGTCTGTGCCTGGAAATCAATAGGTACTTAATAAAAGTTGCATAAGTGAATGAACAACTGAAACAGAAGGAAGGAAGGAAGGAAGGAAGGAAGGAAGGAAGGAAGGAAGGAAAGGAGGTTGGCCAACTACTATTAAGGGATTTTATTGGATGCTTTTTTAAATTGAACTCATTTTTGTCTTCACTTTTTTAAACACTTATTTTGTCTTTATTCTGATTTTTTCTGAACCATATTTTTGTCAAGTAAATACAGTTTTTCAATTGTTTTATGTGTATTAGATGTTTATTATAAATAAATATTGTTAAAATTTAAGGAAATAAAGTAAAAATTACTGACAAATTTATCATGCAGAGATAACTATTTTGGAGGAAAACCTTCCAGACTTTGAAATATATATATATCACACTTTAGGAAAATATATATATATATTTATATATATCACACTTTAGGAAAATAAAGCATGCTATATAATACTGTTTTTTAGCTTGCCCTCTGCCCTCTAAAACTTTTTGTAATGAAAAAGGTGTAATGAAGGCCTTTTACACCAATAAATACTGATCAATCTGTATCATTAGTTTTAATCCACAGTAGATACCTAATTAGACTAATCTCTCATTGTTAGATTTTATATTGCTTTCATTTTTTGACTGTTATTGGAATGGTGAGATGAATGTCTTTGCTCATATATTTGTGCACATGTAGGCCATTTGCCACATAAAAGGACCTTGGATGTGTCTGTAGGAAAGTGTCTTGGATTTCTGTAGGAAGTATCTTTGTTGCTTAATTGCTGAGTCAAAGGGTAAGATTGTTAAACATTTTGACACATTGACAAATTAATAAAAGGTTGTGACAAAATATATTGTGATAAACAATGATTTTCCATCTCAAACACTAATTAACTCACTTGTAAAGTGCTTGAAGAACGCCTGATACATAGGGCTCAATAAATTTTAAATCTTCATCATCATCATCACATCATCATCATGAACATCCCCTTTGAGTTAATGTTTACATTGTAAGTGTGTATGTAAGCTACTTACAATCATTTTTTATATCCAAGGAGGACTAAACAAGTGCTCAAATAGATTGTCTTACTAAACTATTGGCATTTTGTAACTTTGTCATCCCCCAATATTTTCCTATTTAATGCAATGAACATTAATAACCTCATCTTTCTCATATTGGCAGTAGGCAAAATACATGATAATGAAGAAGCATGATTTTTAATTTTGAAACTCTATATTATACTGCCTGATATGCCAGTATTTTTCAGTATGAACTCATAAAGATGAAAGTAAATGTGCAAGAGTCATATTATAATGCCACATTGAAAGCACAAAGAGAAAAGGAAATTATAAGTGAAGGAGGAAAGATTTGTATTTTAATTTATTAAGTAAAATTTGTTAGGAAAAATTTGTTCTAGGATGTATGACACATTATCTTTCTTCCCATATTCTGAAATGATGTGGCTTATTTATATCTTTGTTAGAGAGGTGCAGTTCTTACAGCTAAGTGCTGTGGAAGGACCTAGATTATTTTTGGTCTTCAAACAAATTGTAGTGGTGGTATTTTTTAAAAAATGGAAATCTCATGTAAAACACCCAGAGATCAGACAGTTCAAAATAATGATGGAACTTCCTCAGCAGTTAAATGTTTGTGATTTTTTTAAACTAATACTTCATTTTGTTTGTGAATTTTCTCAAATACTTCCCCAGACCTCAGATTAGTTTCTGCAGATTTATAACATACAAAAAACACTTCTGTTCTTACTGTATTTTTGGAACTTTAGAGAAACTTGAATTTTTTAAAAATGAATTAATTTTTAAACTTTCAATTTATGTACTTAGAACAACTCCCAATTTTTCTTGCTTACTAAAGTCCATTGCTAAGAAAAGAAGATAATTAAGTAAACATGTAAAAAGAAAATGTATGCTAATTTTAAAATGGTCATCATATTAAATACTTTTTTTTTTATAATTTTCACCTTTTAGCCTCAAGTGATGAGCCAAAATTTTGAATGTTAAAATAGCCCCTGCTTTGGGGATGTAAAATAACATAAATATGAAAAGCTCATCTTTTATACTTGAAAGAGCTTAATGGATATGGCTTTCATTATTGATTTATGGTATATAAAGATATCTTAGTTTGTAGTCAAAGTGAATATAAACCACAACTTTTTCTGACTCTTTCCATTTCTAGCATTTTCTAACATCACATTTGCATATTTTCCTGACCGCTTCTGAAATCCTGAGGTTAAAAGGAATACAGAAAGATGTAATTAGATTTATCATTCCCTTAAATTCAACTTGTGTAGCTGAAGGTTTGTTTGTGACTTATTACAGAGCCTGTGACTTAAAAATCCTTCCCACAACCACAAGCTAAAGTGGGAGAAAACAAACTACCTCACCTTTTCAACCAAGAGGGAGGAGCAAAAATCAGTGAACTTTTACAGAAGAACCTGCCAGCCTGTGATGATCCTACCAAAGAGAAACCTCAATGAGTTACGGAATTTCCTTTTTGGTGAATTGAGTGCTGTTTTTGCTTTTCTCAGATTCCAAATGAGAGTATACATTTTTCTTTGTTTGATGTGCTGGGTGAGATCTGGTAAGATATTAATTAATAATTTGATTTATCTTTAAAAATTGCATATAAAATAGTGTGGTCTGTATTCTGGGATAAAGAATGTTATGATATAATGGGATAAAAATATGTTAGATTATTGGTACTAATTATAACAAACATTACTATTAAGAAAACTTCTGTGTGTGTACGTGTGTGTGTGCATGTGTTTGTTTAATAAGTTGACATTTTGCATTTTATTTCCTTGCCAGATAATTAGTAACTAGAAAACCTTTTTTTAAAAAAAGATGTAACTAGAGAATAAATAGAAATACTCAAGAGAAAAAAATTCAGTAATGGAGAAATTAATTTGGTATTTAAAATTATGCCTTAAATATCTTGTTTCAATTTTATTTGTTTAACTAGCTCTACTTTTGAAGAAAATTCTTACTTGGATAAATTATCGATTGCAAAACAAACAAAATAACCAGATACTACAACTTTTGCTCTCATTCAGTATGACGAAAAACAAAGCTGGTTTATGGTAATAAGGTAGAACTTTATTCTGGTTTATTGGCGTACAGTAATAAAGTTTATCAATATTAAGAGTATCGTTTTCTACTTTATGAGAAAGTAGAATTACTTGTTCGACTTATAAGTAGAACAATTAGTTCTACTTTATGGTAATAACAGTGGCAAATTTAAAATTCAAGATGATAGTTTTCTGTAGGGGTTTTATGAGAGCAGATTATTTCCTTTATGTTTTAAATTTATTTGAAATTTGTTAATGCATACTTGAATAACTTTAAAATTAACTAGAAATTACCATTATTTCTTATGTTTTCAATTGGCTATTTGAGATAACCATAAATTCTGGAAATGTTTGAATTTTATATTTAAATATAGAAACTAAATGATACTGATATGTAGTTTATAATTTATATTATTACTCTTAAGTTTCTTGATAGGGATTTTATGTTATTATAATGTAAAATAGTGGCACCTTCAGTTGAAAGCCAGAGAAATTTGAAGTCTAGGCCCCTAATCTTATGTGTCATTTTTAATACAGTTATAATCATTTTAATATCATAGTTTACATTAAAAACTTATTTGACAGACTTTCTGATATTATTGTTTTGATTAGTATTTATTTAGTCAGTTGCCTAAATTTTCAGTTGGGAAAATTCAAACATAATTGCTTTGTATGTTTCTGTCTGCTAATTCTTGTGTAATGATGATTAAAATACAATAGTAGAACTTTTAGATATTAACAGTAGTAAATAGAAAATAAGTGAATTACAAATTTTACTGATCCTCAAATTCATTTTTAACCCATGTAGACTCTATGCATTCTCTCATTTTCCTTGAATCTCTACTTGATTAAAAAATTTTGTTGATTTCCAGTAGTTTATTTCATACAAGTGTGTTTTATTTATTACACATGCTCCTTTCTTCTCCACTAGAGATTCTGATATATACCTCAAGGAGGGCATGTTTCATGGTTGTCAACATGAAAATCATTGATTAAATCTGCCTTTAATAAAGAAACGACATTCCGAAAAGCAGTTTAGTCAGGTGTTTTTAAAAATTGTAAGTAGAATAAAATGGGAGAGGAGAGATAGATCAAAAAACTTTATACAGATATACAGTACATCTATGTATCTGTATATTCAAATTATATGCATATATGCATATTTATTCTTAGTACAGTTACCAACTTATTGTAACCATTTACACTGAAATTTTTGTTGTTGCTGTTATTATATTGCAAGGGTCAGAAATTCTTTTTTTCTTTGGACAGGGTCTCATTCTGTCACCCAGGCTGGAGTACAGTGTGAAGTTCATGGCTCACTACAGCCTCGACCTCCTAGGTTCAAGAAATCCTCTGGCTTCAGCTTGCAGGGTAGCTGGGGCTGCAGGCACACACCACCACGCCTGGCTAATTTTGTAATTTTTGGAGAGACAGCGTTTCACTATGTTACCCAGGCTGGTCTCCAACTCTTGGGCTCAAGTGATCTGCCCTTCTCAGCCTCCCAAAGTGCTGGGATTACAGGCATGAGCCACTGAGCCAGCCAGGAAATATTTTTGTAAACGACCAGATAGTAAATATTTTACGTTTTGTGGGCCATACAGTCTCTTTTGCACCTACTCAGCTTTGTTACCAAAGCAAGAAAGCAGCAGTAGATAATGCATAAACAAGTAAATGTGCATGTGCACGTGCACGAATACAACTTTATTTATGGACACTCACATTTGAATTTGTTGTAACTTTCATGTCACCAAATATTATAATTTTGATTTTTTCCCAACCATTTAAACATGTAAAAAACATTCTTAGCTTGCCAACCAGACTTGACCACAGGACATAGTTTCCCACTCCTGTGTGCTTTGGAAGAGATGTTAAAGGTAGAATAATTCAGCTTTCTCATTTCACAGTTGAGGAAAGTGAAAAACAGAATAAAATGAAGTTATTTTTGTAAAGTCACAGAACTTGTAGTATGTGATAAAAATGCGAATTCTTATCCATAGGCTGGAGGTGAAGCCCAAGATTAGCAATTCTACTAAGCACTCAGGTGATGCCTACGGGTACGCAGACCACCTTGGAGTAATAAGGGTATAGGAAGTTACAGAACCTTAGAAGCCTGTTTGTAGGGCAGTAATCTTTCCAGAACCCATGGGATTCTGAGCTGAGTGCCTCAACAAAATCATTATTTTTCTCTAAATTGTGTCAGTATTTTTCTGATATGATCCACGATTAATTTTTCTTGACTTACTAAAATCAGATGCCCTCAAGGAATTTTAATTTATTGTACCAAAATCTCTTTAAACAAGGATCATGTGAAAGAAAATGAAATTTGGAACTAAAAGACCCAGATTCATGTCCTGGTGGCATGTCATCTTGTGCCAAGTCACTTAACCCTCTACATGCAGTTAATAGCTGTAATACTATCTCACTCTATTGTGAAGCTCAAAGAAGGTAACATAAATGTTGATTTGGTCACGTAGAAAGCAATATAAATTAGGTTAGAATAATCCACTGTGTTTTTTTCCGTGTTCATTTTCTCTTTAATTCTTTTAGATAATTTCCAGATGTAAAACTTCTCCGTGTGTGCTTCATGAACTACCATATGAGAATTCTCTGGGTTACCCACTTAAAAAAATGCAGATATATCTACCAAATCAGAATCTCTGGGGTTGGCCCCAGGAAATTACATTCTGAAAATTCTGATGTACCCAGTCATTTTTTTTTACATCCATTTTTAAGATCATTCTTGGGAATTCCTGGTATAAAGACTTGTTAGACACCTACTTTATTTTGCTTGTGTAGTCAGATTCATTTTCAGCAGCTTTCCTAACATTTGCATAAATGAGTTGCTGACTATCTTGTTTTTTCATTAAAAAATTAATTGACATAGTTGTGCCTATTATTTCTAGAGTACATAGTAATATTTTGATAGATATAATGCATAGTGATCATATCAAAGTAATTAGTGTATTGATATCTCAAACAGTTACCATTTCTTTATGTTGGGAACACTCAATATCCTCCTAGCTATTTGAAACTATGTATTATTGTTAACTATAGTCATTCTACGCTGATGTAGAACACTAGAACTTATTTCTCCTATCTAGCTATAATTTTGTATTCTTTCTAAATGTGTGTTTTGATTGCTTCACAACTACATAATTAAAGCTATATTTGCCTTTTATTTTGCTTTCTGCCACTAGCATTCAGGGATTTTAACATTTTACCTACAGTGTTGTGTCTTAACTGGCTCTGTGGCCATAGAAGCCACTGTCTTCGTAGCATAAAGTGGGTCAATTGTTTCGTACTTGGAATTCTGCTGGCCCAAAAGGGTCTTCCTTCTTATTATACATGAATAAACAAAGAGCTAGTGAACTTCTGATAGGGTCTTATTTATGTTGCTCAAATGTTTACATAATAACTTGTGCCAAAAATATAGTGCTCATGCTTTTCAGTTCTCACCCAGAAATGTCCTGTGGCTTCTAGTTGTGTGCCTGAGATCAGGTAATCTCTTTTAACTTCACTTTCTTCATATATAAAATGAAGAAAAGAAGAGGAAATATAAAACAACACTGGGCTTGCCATGAAGTGATAGCTGAATATAAACTATTATCATGTGGTTAATATTGTTGTTGTTAACAAATCCGTTTTTTTTCCAGAAATGAGGAAAGAGAATGAAGGAGGTTTTCATGTAGGATTTTTGGGATGAGAATGGGGGTTTAGATTATCAGAAAAAAAAAGGGTTAAATCTTTCTAAGATGTGTGAGGATTGTAGCTTTTTATGGCTAAGTTTTAAGGCTCTCTGTTCTTGAGTCAGCAAAACTAGTGGTTCTTTTGTTCATTTTGATTACAAACTAAGTTATCTTTATACACCATAAAATCAATAATGAAAACACTGAAAATTGCAAGACAAACTTATCTCAGCAGCTTGCCCAGCATGAAAAAGCATTTGAAATCAAAGAATGTTACAGTAACAGGAGACCATTTCTTTCAACTCCTTCCATTTAAACATGAGGAAACTGAGACTCAGAGATGAGAGGTAAAATAACTTGCTCAGAGTCACAAGAGATGTTTGAGAGAGGCTAGAGGTACTTGAGTCTCAGCTGCTCACGTCCAGGGCACTATGCCTGCCTCTGGACTGTCTGTTTTAATCTCCTTGCTCTCAATTTCACAGGCATTGTAACTGTAATGGAAATATGTTTCAGAGAGAATGCTGGACAACCTACAATGATTATTTATAACTTCCCCATGTGTCTTTGGTATTTTTAACATTTTTGCTGCTTCTATAATTTGAAACCTAATAAGATTTTCAGTATTATTTCTCAGCTTACCTCTCTGTTGAGATTACTGCTAGAGTCATTATCTTCCTACATCTTTGGAAATAAAATTCTATATTATGTACCTGCTAGTGAATTTTGAATCACAATAGAGTTACTTAGTCTATTTCTCAGATCCTCAATTTGTTAATTTTTCAAACAGGTACAAAAATTAATACTAATCTTTCTGTTTTAGATATATTCAGTTTTTGCTGATACCATTCATTTTGGCAATTTTTATTCTTAATTAACTGAAGTCTATTAAATCTATTTTTTCTCATTAAACTAAGAAATGAATATTTTAGACATAGGAAACTAAAAATATTAAAATACAGACAATAGAAATCACACAGAGAAATACAGATAAACTGAGAACACAATTTAATCAGCATCACTGCAAACTACATTTGTGTTGGTTAATATCTTACCCAATAAAGATGTGTGTGTGGGGGGAGGTATGTGCACAAATATATACATGTGTTTACAGTGTATTATATATACGCTATATCATGGATAAAATGAGTACTATATAAATATGGGCTATATATGCAGAAATATATATTCATATGGTTCATGTGTATGGTTTTTATTATCTTATTGTATTTCATTTTACATAATACGTGCTTTCTGATGTTATCCTTAGTTTTCAGAAACATAATTTCTTAAATGCTGCATAGTCCCCATCTTAGAAATACATGATAATTTATTTTTCCAGTCTATAATTTCCATGTATTTAATTGAATCCTAAATATTCTGTATTGAAATGTTGCAATATACATTGATGTTAGTAGTCAATGAGTATAAAGGTAAAAATGATATGGTAATTTTATTTTAATTAAAATTTATTGATTTTTTAAGGAGACTAAGCATATGTTTAATACATTTATGAACTCTTTGAATATTTTTAGAAAATATCTGTTTATATCCCTTACCTGGTGTTCAACTATAGTATTCTTTTTCTTTTTTCTCATTTATGGTTTTGTATATATATATTAGTTCCTTTCCTACCTTATATTGAAAACACTTCCGTAGTTCATTTTTTGTCTTTTGTCTAGTTTATAGTGTTTCTTTATGTACAGATGTTTTAAATGTATGTGCTATGAAATCTATTGGCTTCCTGGTTTCTTCCTTTGTTTTTATGCTGAAAAATTATTCTTCAATCTGAGATCATATATATATTAACTGTGTCCTTCTTCTAGTTCATATGATTTTACTTTTACATGGAATACTTTAATATAACTAGAATCAAATAATTATCCTAGCATTGTTTATTTAAAAATCCATCACCTTTGACTGCTTTTAATTGCCATAATTATTATAGTTAAAATGATATATTTATGGGTGTCCCCATTCTATTTCATTAAACTATTTTTGGTTCTGTTTCACAGGCCTCTTTTTAATTGGTTTATTATGTGAACATAATTTTAATCATGGTCCTATTATCTTCAAAATGTCATTTATTTTTCTTATACAGTTTCTGCCTCTCCTTAGTTATTGTATTGAGATTATTTTAGAATTGCACTGCACATATAAATTAATTTGAGCAGAATTTACTTCATGATATTAATGCTTATATTCAATCATGGTGTATTTCAGTACTGTATTTTTAAAAATTTCTTTTTTCATTTTTTCCTCTTTTCTCTTTTCCTCTTCTTTCTGTTTTCTTTTCCTTCTTTTCTCTCTCTCCTCCCAAACCCTTCTACCTCTTTTTTAAAAAAAAGACTAATTTGCAAATCATAGGAACCTAGTTTAAACCGGCTTAAACCCACTCATCCTTCAAAAAATAGTAATTGATTATATCATATAACTGAAAATTTTTGAATTAAATACCACTACATTTATTTATACCAGTACACATATTAAGCCTAGCATCCATTAGATATTCTTCCTGATGCTCTCGCTCCCCATAACCCCCACAAACAGGGCCCAGTGTGTGTTGTTCTCCCCCATGTGTCCATGTGATTTCAGCATTTAGCTCCCACTTAGAAGTGAGAACATGTGGCATTTGGTTTTCTGTTTCTGTGTTAATTTGCTAAGGATAATGGCCTTTAGCTCCATTCGTGTCCCTGTGAAGGCTATGATCTCATTCATTTTTAAGGCTGCATAGTATTCCATGGTGTATATGTACCACATTTTCTTTCTTTCTCTTTTTATTATATTTTAAGTTTTAGGGTACATGTGCACAACGTGCAGGTTAGTTACATATGTATACATGTGCCATGTTGGTGTGCTGCACCCATTAACATTAATGTTACATTAAATATCATGTAACATTAGGTATATCTCCTAATGCTATCCCTCCCCCCTACCCACACCCCACAACAGGCCCCAGTGTGTGATGTTCACCTTCCTGTGTCCATGTGTTCTCATTGTTCAATTCCCACCTATGAGTGAGAACATGCGGTGTTTGGTTTTTTGTCCTTGTGATAGTTTGCTGTGAATGATGGTTTCCAGCTTCATCCATGTCCCTACAAAGGACATGAACTCATCCTTTTTTATGGCTGCATAGTATTCCATGGTGTATATGTGCCACATTTTCTTAATCCAGTCTATCATTGATGGACATTTGGGTTGGTTCCAAGTCTTTGCTATTGTGAATAGTGCTGCAATAAACGTAAGTGTGTATGTATCTTTATAGCAGCATGATTTATAATCCTTTGGGTATATACCCAGTAATGGGATTGCTGGGTCAAATGGTATTTCTAGTTCTAGATCCCTGAGGAATCGCCACACTGACTTCCACAATGGTTGAACTAGTTTACAGTCCCACCAACAGTGTAAAAGTGTTCCTATTTCTCCACATCCTCTCCAGCACCTGTTGTTTCCTGACTTTTTAATGATCACCATTCTAGCTGGTGTGAGATAGTATCTCATTGTGGTTTTGATTTGCATTTCTCTGATGGCCAGTGATGACGAGCATTTTTTCATGTGTCTTTTGGCTGCATAAATGTCTTCTTTTGAGAAGTGTCTGTTCATATCCTTCGCCCACTTTTTGATGGGTTTGTTTGTTTTTTTCTTGTAAATTTGTTTGAATTCATTGTAGATTCTGGATATTAGCCCTTTGTCAGATGGGTAGATTGCAAAAATTTTCTCCCATTCTGTAGGTTGCCTGTTCACTCTGATGGTAGTTTTTTTTGCTGTGCAGAAGCTCTTTAGTTTAATTAGATCCCATTTGTCAGTTTTGGCTTTTGTTGCCATTGCTTTTGGTGTTTTAGACATGAGGTCCTTGCCCATGCCTATGTCCTGAATGGTATGGCCTAGGTTTTCTTCTAGGGTTTTTATGGTTTTAGGTCTAACATTTAAGTCTTTAATCCATCTTGAATTAATTTTTGTATAAGGGGTGAGGAAGGGATCCAGTTTCAGCTTTCTACATATGGCTAGCCAGTTTTCCCAGCACCATTTATTAAATAGGGAATCCTTTCCCCATTTCTTGTTTTTCTCAGGTTTGTCAAAGATCAGATGGTTGTAGATATGCGGCATTATTTCTGAGGGCTCTGTTCTGTTCCATTGATCTATATCTCTGTTTTGGTACCAGTACCATGCTGTTTTGGATACTGTAGCCTTGTAGTATAGTTTGAAGTCAGGTAGCATGATGCCTCCAGCTTTGTTCTTTTGGCTTAGGATTGACTTGGCAATGTGGGCTCTTTATTGGTTCCATATGAACTTTAAAATAGTTTTTTCGAATTCTGTGAAGAAAGTCATTGGTAGCTTGATGGGGATGGCATTGAATCTATAAATTACCTTGGGCAGTATGGCCATTTTCACGATATTGATTCTTCCTACCCATGAGCATGGAATATTCTTCCATTTGTTTGTATCCTCTTTTATTTCATTGAGCAGTGGTTTGTAGTTCTTCTTGAAGAGGTCCTTCACATCCCTTGTAAGTTGGATTCCTAGGCATTTTATTCTCTTTGAAGCAATTGTGAATGGGAGTTCATGATTTGCCTCTCTGTTTGTCTGTTATTGGTGTATAAGAATGCTTGTGATTTTTGCACATTGATTTTGTATCCTGAGACTTTGCTGAAGTTGCCTATCAGCTTAAGGAGATTTTGGGCTGAGACAATGGGGTTTTCTAGATATACAATCACGTCATCTGCAAACAGGGACAATTTGACTTCCTCTTTTCCTAATTGAATACCCTGTATTTCCTTCTCCAGCCTGATTGCCCTGGCCAGAACTTCCAACACTATGTTGAATAGGATTGGTGAGAGAGGGCATCCCTGTCTTGTGCCAGTTTTCAAAGGGAATGCTTCCAGTTTTTGCCCACTCACTATGATATTGGCTGTGGGCTTGTCATAGATAGCTCTTATTATTTTGAGATACGTCCCATCAATACCTAATTTATTGAGAGTTTTTAGCATGAAGGGTTGTTGAATTTTGTCAAAGGCCTTTTCTGCATCTACTGAGATAATCATATGGTTTTTGTCGTTGGTTCTGTTTATATGCTGGATTACTTTTATTGATTTGCGTATGTTGAACCAGCCTTGCATGCCAGGGATGAAGCCCACTTGATCATGGTGGATAAGCTTCTTGATGTGCTCATGTCATTTGCCCACTATTTAATGGAGTTGTTAGTTTTTATTCTTGTAAATTTGTTTAAGTTCCTTATAGATTTATAGATTCTGGATATTAGACCTTTGTTGGATGCATAGTTTGCAAAAATTTTCTCCCATTCTGTAGGTTGTTTAGTCTGTTGATAGTTACTTTTGTTGTGCAGAAGCTCTTTAGTTTAATTAGATCCCACTTGTTAATTTTTGTTTTAGTTGCAATTGCGTTTGGTGTCTTTGTCGTGAAATCTTAGCCTGTGTCTATGTTCTGAATGGTATTGCCTAAGTTGTCTTTCAGGGCTTTTGTAGTGTTGGGTTTTACATTTTATGTTTTTAATCCCTCTTCAGTTAATTTTTGTATATGATGTAAGGAAGGAGTCCAGTTTCAATCTTCTTCATATGGCTAGTCAGTTATCCCAGCACCACTTATTCGACAGGGAATCCTTTCCATTGTTTTTGGCAGGTTTGTTGAAGATCAGCTAGTTGTAGGTGTGCAGCATTATGTCTGGGTTCTCTACTCTGTTCCACTGGTTTATGTGTCTGCTTTTGTACTAGGATCATGCTGTTTTGGTTATTGTAGCCCTGTAGTATAGTTTGAAGTCAGGTAGTGTGATGCCTCCAGCCTTGTTCTTTGTGCTTAGGATTGCCTTGGCTATTTGGGCCCTTTTTTGGTTCCATGTGAATTTTAAAATAGTTTTTTTTTTCTCATTCTGTGAATACTCTCAATGGTAGTTTAATAGGAATCACATTGAATCTATAAATTGCTTTGGGCAGTATGGTCATTTTAATGATACTGATTCTTTCTATCCATGAGCATGGTATGTTTTTCGATTATTTTTGTGTGCCATCTCTGATTTATCTGGGCAGTGTTTTGTTGTTCTCCTAGTAGAGACCTTTCACTACCCTAGTTAGTTAGATGTATTCCTAGGTATTTTATTCTTTTTGTGGCAATTGTGAATGAGAGTTAATTCCTGATTTGGCTCTAGGCTTGACTTTGTTGGTGTATAGGAATAATAGTGATTTTTGCACATTGATTTTGTATCCTAAGACTTTGCTGAAGTTCTTCTTTATCAATTTAAGAGGCATTTGGGCAGAGACTATAGGGTTTTCTAGAGATAGGATCATGTTGTCTGCAAACAGTGGTAGTTCATCTTCCTCTCTCCCTATTTGGATGCCTTTTATTTCTTTCAAATCTTGCCTGATTGCCCTGGTCAGGACCAATACTATGTTGAACAGGAGTGGTGAGAGAGGGTATCCTTGTCTTGGCTGGTTTTCAAGGGGAATGCTTTCAGCTTTTACACATTTAGTATGATGTTGGCTGTGGGTTTGTCATATATGGCTCTTATTATCTTGAGGCATGTTCCTTCAATACATAGTTTATTGAGAGTTTTTAGCATGAAGCGATGTTGAATTTTACTGAAGGCCTTTTCTGCATCTATTGAGATAATCATGTGGTTTTTGTCTTTAGTTCTGTTTATGTGATGAATCACATTTATTGATTTGTGTATGTTGAACCAACCTTCCATCTCAGGGATAAAGCCTACTTGATCATGGTGGATAAGCTTTTTGATGTGCTACTGGATTCAGTTTTCCAGTATTTTGTTGAGGATTTTTGCATTGATATTCATCAATGATATTGGCCTGAAGTTTTTTGTGGTGTTGTTAAATCTCTGCCAGATTTTGGTATCAGGATGATGATGGCTTCATAGAATGATTTAGGGAGGAGTCCCTCCTCCTCATTTTTTCTGGAACAGTTTCAGTAGGAATGGTACCAGCTCTTCTTTTATATCTAGTAGAATTCAGCTGTGAATACATGTGGTCCCAGACTTTTCTTAGGCTTTTTTTTTTTGGTTGGTAGGCTATTTATTCCTAAATTTCAGAGCTCATCACTGGTATGTTCAGGGATTCCAATTCTTCCTGAAGTCTGTCTTGGGAGGATGTATTTGTCCAGGAATTTATCAATTTCTTCTAGATTTTCTGGTTGATATGCATAGAAGTGTCCATAATATTCTCTGGTGGTTGTGTTTCTGTGGGTTAAGTAGTAATATAACCCTTGTTACTGATTCCGTTTATTTGACTCTCCTCCTTTTCTTCTTTATTAGTCTAGCTAGCAGTCTATTTATTGTATTTTTTTTTGCAGAAAACCACCTCCTAGATTCATTGATCTCTTGAATAGTTTTTCATTTCTCAGTCTCCGTCAGTTCAGCTCTGATTTTGGTTATTTGTTGTCTCTGCTAGTTTGTGATTTGTTTGTTCTTGGTTCCCTAGTTCTTTTAGTTGTGATGTTAGATTGTTAACTTGAGATCTTTCTAACTTTTTGATGTGGTCATTTAGTGCTATCAATTTCTCTCTTATCACTGCCTTAGCTGTGTCCCAAAGATTCTGGTATGTTGCATCTTTGTTCTCATTAGTTTCAAATAATTTCTTGAAACCTTAATTTTACCCAGTATTCACTTAGGAGTAGGCTATTCTATTTCATGTAATTGTATCATTTTGAGTGAATTTCTTAGTGTTAATTTCTAATTTGATTACACTGTGGTATGAGAGACTTTTTGTTATGATTTCATTTCTTTTGTTTTGCTGAGGAGTGTTTTACTTTCAATTATGTGTCTGATTTTAGACTATTTGCCATGTGGCCTTGAAAAAAATGTGTATTCTATTGTTTTATGTGGAGATATCTATCAGGTCCATTTGACCCAGTGCTGAGTTCTGATCCTAAATATCTTTATTAATTTTCTGTCTCAATAATGTATCTCATATTATCAGTGGGTTGTTGAAGTCTCCCATTATTATTGTGTGGGATTCTGAGTCTCTTTGAAGATCTCTGAGAAAGAGCATGCTTTACAAATCTGGGTGCTCCTGTGTTGGGTACATATATATTTAGGATGGTTAGATTTTCTTGTTGAATGGAACCCTTTACCATTATGTAATGTTTTGTCTTTTTTTAATCTTTGTTGGTTTAAAATCTGTTTTGTCAGAAACTAGGATTGCAACCCCTATTTTTTTTCTGTTTTATGTTTGCTTGGTAGATTCTTCTCCATCCCTTTATTTTGAGCCCATGTTTGTCATTGCATGTGAGATGGGTCTTTTGAAGACAGCATACAAATGGGTCTTGGCACTTTATCCAGTTTGCCACTCTGTGTCTTTCAATTGGGGCATTTATCCCATTGACATTTAAGGTTAGTATTGATATATGTGGATTTTATCCTGTCCTCATGATGTTGGCTGGTTATTTTGCAGACTTGCTTATGTGGTTGCTTTATAGTGTCACTGGTCGTGTACTTCAGTATATTTTTGTAATGGCTGGTAAAGATCTTTCCTTTCCATATCTAGTGCTTTCTTCCAGAGCTCTTGTAAGGCAGGTCTGGTGGTAACAAATTCCCTCAGCCTTTGCTTGTCTGAAAAAGATCTTATATCTCTTTTGCTTATGAAGCTTAGTTTGCCCAGATATGAAATTCTAGACTGGAATTTATTTTCTTTAAGAATCTTGAACATTGGCTCCCAATCTGTTCTGGCTTGTAGGGTTTCAGCTGAAAGGTGCTCTGTTAGTCTGATGGCTCCCCTTTGTAGGTGACCTGGTTTTTCTCTCTGGCTGCCTTTAACATTTTTTTTTTTCATTTCAACCTTGGAGAATCTGATGATTATGTGTCTTGGGGATGATCTTCTTGTGAAGTATCTTACTGAGGTTCTTTGCATTTCCTGAATTTGAATGTTGGCCTCTCCGGTAGGTTGGGGAAATTTTTCTGGATGATATCCTGAAATATGTTTTCCAATTTTGTTCTATTCTCCTCATCTCTTTCAGGTACACCAGTGAGTCATAGATTTATTTGGTATCTTTACATAATCCCATATTTCTCTGAGGTTTTGTTCTTCCTTTTCATTCTTTTCTCTCTACTCTTGTCTGCCTGTCTTATTTCAGAAAGAATCTAACCCGGAGATTCTTTCCTCTGCTTGGTCTATTCTGCTATTAATGCCTGTGATTGCATTATGAAATTCTTGTAGTGTGTTTTTCAGCTCTAGCCAGTCAGTTACATTATCCTCTATACTGGCTATTTTGTTTGTCAGCACCTGCAACATTTTATCATGATTTTTAGCTTCCTACTTTTCAAATCTTAATGCTAAGTTAGAATATTAAAAAATAATACATAGTATGATAGCACTTTTTATACTTTCTTAATTTTAATGGAAATATGCCCTAGTGTTTTATCATTAGTATGATGATTCCAATTGGCATAAAATAAAAAAGCATTCTGTTATTTTAATAAATTATATTTCTATTTTAACTTATATTTAAAATAGTATAAATTATTTTTTTGTTCTTATGCTCTGTATTTTTGTGATTTGGGAATTTTGCCATTAGATTGTTGTATGGGTTACAATGACTTATATCTCATTTATCTGGTGTATGTGTGTGTGTGTGTGTGTGTGTATTTGTCCTATCTTTATGTTTGATATTAGGGTTATTCCAGGTTTTAAGAATTATTTGTTGAACTTTATATTTTTTCTATTATTTAAAAAGTATTGGACCTTTACTATGTTTTTTAAAACTAATTTTATTGATGTTTACTATAAATACAATAAAATGTACACACATTTAAATGTACTTTGATTATTTTTTGTTGTTGTTGTTGAGATAGGTTCTCCTTCTGTTGCCCAGGCTGGAGTGCAGTGGTGCTACCATGGCTCACTGCAGCCTTGATCTTCTGGGTTCAAGCAATCCTCCTACCTCAGCCTCCTGAGTAGGCAGGACCACAGGTGTGCACTACCAGACCTAGATTTTTACTTTTTTTTTGTAAAGACATCATCTTGCTACCTTGCTCAGGCTTGTCTTGAACTCCTAGCCTCCAGCTATTCTCCTGCCTTGGCCTCCCAGAGTTCTGGGATTACAGATGTGAGCCACTGCACCAAGCCTAATGAGTTTTGAAAAAATAGGTGCACCATACTTCTTATGTGCACTTATATAACAACCATAAAATCAAGATATAAAACACTTCCTGCACCCTTAAAAGTTAGTTAGCTTTTTGCAATTAATCCCTTCCACACCTCTGGTTCGATATAACCCAGACCTTCTTTATGACGCTAGATTAAATATTTCTTTTATAGAATTTCATATACATGAAAATTTAAAATATGTACTTTTTTGTTTCTGGAGTCTTTTGCTCAGCATAATGCTTTTGTGATTCATCAAAGTTTTTGCATGCATAAAAAGTTTATTTCTTTTTATTGCTGGGTAGTATTAAATTACACAGACATGCCACAGTTTATTTACCCATATACTTCTTGTTTTGTTTTTTTTTTTTACAATTTGGTGTCATGTAAAAAAAAAAAACGCTACGAACTCGTAAATGTGGTAAGGACATGTTTTTATTTCTCATGCATTAACATCCACAAGTTAATTTTTCGGGTCATATAAGTGCATGTAACCTTATAAGAAACTAACAATAATTGTATCATTTTGTCATTTCCCCCAGCAATGTTCAAGGGTTTCAGTTGCTTTACATCCTCATTGGTTTTGTCAGTTTTTAATGTTAGCCATTCTCCTGGGTATGTAGTGGTATATTATTTTGGTTTTAATTCACATTGTTTTGATGACTAGTGATGTCGAGTATTATTTCTTGAGCTTCTTAGACATTATGCCATCTTTTGTAAAATGTCTTTAATTCTTTTGCCGATTGAAACATTGAATTTTCTTATTATAATACATATACATGTTAGTCTAGATACAAGTATTTTTCAGATACACAAGTCTGCATATTCATATTCTTAACAGTGTCCTTTTAGAAGATATGTATTATTATGTAAAAGCCCAATTTATCACTTTTTTCTGTTTCATGTTTACTGTGTATCGTATCTTAGAGTCCTTTGCCTATGCCAAGATTGTTAATGTTTTCCTTAAATATTTTATATGCATAGCCTGTCCTTTGCCAGATAATGAGGCTGAATGAAAGCAAGCAGAGCTTGGAGAATGAGAGAAGGAGGATGACTCTAAGTTCTCTTTTATTCTAGACTTGGTTTAGTGCCATTTAAACTAAAGTCTGACCATTCTGGGGATCCTACTGAATGTCCCTGCATTTATTAAGGTCTTCCTACTTTGCCTAGTTGCAACTTCAATCTCTCCTAGTCTAATGTGACCTCGAAAATTGTTCAGCTTTCAGCTCTTTGTGATTCTATCCCATGTATGCAAAGGATCATATCCAGCAACATATGGATCCAGCAACATCCAGATATAAGAGACCCCTATGCAGATTTCAGAGTTTTTCTTCTGCCTGGCTCCTTCCTCTCTGACACTTTGCCTTTCAAATTCTAGTTGTCTCAGACTTCCCAGACTCTGATGTTTCTCCCCGACTTGACAAGACTGCTATACTCTGATTAATTGAGCCCTTTTTACACAGCAGTCTGGAAATGGCCTCCAAGCAGAAAGCTATGAGTTTATAGGGTTCAAATACATTGCTTCCCTTTCAGCAATCACAATTCTGTGTTTTTTGTTGTCCAGTGTCTAAATTTTTTTCCCATATAGTTTATCCACTGTTCTGGTTGTTTACAGCAGTAAGGCAAATCTGGGATGAGATATCTATAATGACAGGAATTGGATTCTTAATGTTTTGTTTTGTTTTCTTTCAATTGTGTCAAACACACAGAAAAAATTATTATTTTAGCCATTTTTAAGTTTATAGGTTAGTGGCATTAACTGCATGCACACTGTCATGCAACCATGATCATCATCCATCGCCAGAATTTTTTATCTTTCAAAACTCAAATTCTGTACCCATCAACTCTATATCTATTAAATATAACTCCTCATTTCCCCTTTTCCCTCAGCCCAGGGCAACCACAATCCTACTTTCCGTCTCTATAAATTTGACTGATCTCGGTATCTCATTTAAATTGAATCATATGGTATTTGTCCTTTTATGTCCAGTTTATTTTCACTTGACATAATGTCTTCAAAGTTATTCTTATTGTAGTATGTGTCAATTTCACCTTTTCAAAGCTGAACAATATTCCATTCTAGATATCTACCAGGTTTTGTTCATTCACCTGTTGATGGATACTTGTGTGGCTTCCACCTTTTAGCTATTGTAAATAATGCTTCTATAAACATGGGTATACAAATATATTTTCCAGTTACTGTTTTCAATTCTTTTGGGTGTATATACAGAAGTGGAATTGCTGGATAATATGGTAGGTTTATTTTCAATTTTTGAGGAGCCACCATACCATTTTCCACAGCAGCTACACCATTTTATAACCCATCAGCAATGCACAATGGTTCCAATTTCTGTACATCCTCACCAACAGTTGTTATTTTCCATTTTTGTGTGTGTGTGTTTTTAGCAAGTATCATAATAGGTAGGAAGTGGCATCTCATTATACTTTTGATTTCTGTTTCCCCAATTATTAGTGATAGTGATATTGAGCTTGTTTTCATAAGCTTATGGAACTTTTGGATATCTTCATTGATAAGTCAATTTAAGTCTTTGCCCAGTTTTAATTGGGTTGTTTGTGTTTTTGTTGTTGAGTGATAGAAGTTCATTATAATATTCTGATATTAATTAATTAATCCATATCAGATATATGATTAATAAATATTTTCTCACATTCAGTGGGTTGCCTTTTTACTTTGTTGATAATGTCCTTTGATGCATAAAAGTTTTACTTTTGATTAAGTCCAATTTACTCATTTTTTTTTTCTGTTGTCGCCTGTGGTTCTGTTCTTGTAATATTCAAGAAATCAATGCCAAATCCAAGGTATGAATGTTTCCCCCTTGTTTTCTTCTAAGAATTTTTACTGTTTCAGCATTTTAATATATTTGTCTCTTGTAACAGATTTTAACTTAGTTAATTTGCTTGATGTTAGTGCAGCATTTCTGCTCACTTTTAGTTACATTTTGCATTGAATATCTTTTTACATTCTTTAAGTTTCAGCCTATATGTCTTTAAATCTAAACTGAGTCTCTTGTAGGTAACATATAGTCTGGTCCTGATTTTTATTCATTCTGCCAATATGTTTTCAGTTGGGGGGGTTGTTTAGTCTACCTACATTTAAAATTATCATTGATAGCAAAGCACTTATTTTTACCACTTTGTTATTAGTTTTCTGTATGTCTTAAAGCCTTTTTGTCCCTCATTTCCTCCACTACTGCCTTTCTTTGTGTTTAATTGATTTTTTTGGTAGCAGCGTGTTTTGATTCTCTTCTCATTTTCTTTCTTAAATATTCTATAGATGTTTTCTTTTTGATTACATTGAGGATTACAAATAATAGCCCAAAATCATTATCTTTTTAAAATTGATACTAACTTAACTCCAATACCATAACAAAATTCTCTACTTCTTTACAGTTCCACTCTCCCCTACTTAATTTTACCGATGACACAAATTACATCATTATATATTGTGTACCCATTAACATGCATTCATAATTATTTTTATTCATTTGTCTTTTAAGTCCTGTAGAAAATAAAAAGTAAAGTTACAAAGCAAAACTGTTTTTATTTGTCATATATTTGTCTTTACCACAGAAACTTATATTTTTGTATTTTTGTATGACTTCTAGTTACTTGTCTAGTGTACTTTCTTTTAAATGTGAAGGACTTGCATTAACATTTCATGTAGAGTGGGTCTGGAGGTAAGGAATTCCCAGCTTATGCTTGTGTGGGAATGTTGGAATGTTTTAATTTCTTCCTCATTTTTAAAGGACAATTTTGTTGGATATGGAATTCTAGGTTGATAGTTTTTCTTTCAACATTTAAAATATATCTTTCCATTGCCTTCTGCCCTGCAAAGTTTCTGCTGAAGAGTCCACTTATAATCTCATCAGGGATTTCTGTAAGTTTTTGTTGTCTAGAATTTTATTTTTCTTTCTATTCCTAAATCTAGTAGAATTGAATCAATTTAATGTTCCTTAAGAGTTTGACAATACATTAGTTTAACTTTTTTGTGTGTCATTTGATAACTGTTTTTGTTGTTGTTGTTTGTTTCTTTGTTTGTTTTGAGACAGAGTCTTGCTCTGTTACCCAGGCTGGAGTGCAGTGGTGTGAACTCGGTCACTGCAGCCTCCACCTCCCAGGTTCAAGTGATTCTCCTGCCTCAGCCTCCCAAGTAGCTGGGATTACAGGCGCCCACAACCACACCCAGCTAATTTTTGTATTTTTAGTAGAAATGAGGTTTCACCATGTTGTCCAGGCTTATCTCGAACTCCTGATCTCAGGTGACCCACCCAGCTCGGCCTCCCAAAGTGGTGAGATTACAGGCGTTAGCCACCGTGCCCACTGTATCATTTGATGACTTTTGTTTTTATTCTCTTTACTTGATATTAATGTTGCTGATGAAATCGACTATATGATGTCACAATAATGCCAAAATAAAATAAAAATAAAATAAAACTCTTAACCCTCAGTGGGATTTGATGTTAAGCAGCTGTTACTCACACTTGTGGAGTCATATGGGAGTTGGTTAGGTAACACTGTTTTTCTTGGTTCAATTCATGTCTGGCTATTGAATGACTGTCAGTCAGCTGGGGTGACTAGAACCTAGCACATTGGAGGACTTTGCACTGTTACAACTGTCTTTCCTTTTCTAACAGGCCAGACTATGGATGCTTTTGTGGTGATAGCAGAGGTTAGGACGTCCAAGCCCACATACACAAGCTGATTTTAAGCCTCTGCTTGCATTAAGTTTCCTAAGGTTCTATTTTCTAGGGCACGCCCTACATTTGTGTCCATATCAAGGAGTGGAACAAGTCACCCCACTTATGATGTAACTAAAATTTCCAAGAGAAATGAGATGGATTCAGGGAGTGGTGAATTGGTGCCATTATTGCACTATAACACACCAACCTATTTTCTTTTTATTTTGTATAGAATATACTTAGTTCTCTATTTATTTAAAATTGCCTGTGTACCTCCTTTAAATATCTTGTTACTTTTTAAAAAAAGTTTATTTTTATTTTTTGCTTTTTAATAGGCAGGGTACAGAACTGCTCACATATCATATATATTCTTTTCTCTAGTGTAATTTCATCATTTTGTTTCATTCTTTCTACTTTATATATTTCCATTTTCTTTTTTTTTTTTTTTTTGAGACGGAGTCTTGCTCTGTCGCCCAGGCTGGAGTGCAGTGGCGGGATCTCGGCTCACTGCAAGCTCCGCCTCCCGGGTTCCCGCCATTCTCCTGCCTCAGCCTCCCAAGTAGCTAGGACTACAGGCGCCCGCCACTACGCCCGGCTATTTTTTGTAGTTTTAGTAGAGACGGGGTTTCACCGTTTTAGCCGGGATGGTCTCGATCTCCTGACCTCGTGATCCGCCCGCCTCGGCCTCCTGAGTAGCTGGGATTACAGGCATGCACCACCATGTCTGGCTAATTTTTGTATTTTTTACTCCTGCTCCAGTTTTTGAGATGTATTTTTTCTTGCATTCTAATGAAAAATATTTTATATCTTTTAATAGATAATAGATATATTTGTTGATTATATTAGGTGATGATTTCTTTCTCTTGTATTTATCACCAGGATCCTACTGGTTTATTCCTCATTACTTATTCTAGGGCCAGGTAAAATTGACTTTAGCTTGGAGTGGACCAGCACTTTGGATGTATTGATTGGTATTGATATGTATTAAATTCTTGTCAGAATTCCAGGTGGTGAGAAGGTGGATGTATAGATTTCCCACACAATTTGCACGGTGTAGCATGCATTCATATTGTATTGTGTTTCAATATATTTCTCTTCCTCATTCTCTGATATTTACAACAAATGAAATAATTTTTCCAAATATCTCTCAGCTGTTAATATAGGAATGGAATGCAAGTCTTGCTTCTCCTTCATTGCCTTCCTTATTTCTCTTCATCTAATCAATTGTGACAATATTGTGTATATACTTGAAAACTAGAATTATTGTAAGAAATGCATATTATCTCAGTATTAAAATAATACGTTACCTCTTGTTTTGCTATGTTTTTCTGGGATAGATTCTTTAAAGTGGAATTACTGGCATAAAGTGCATTAATACTTTTGTTAATTTTTGGTATGGATTGAAAAATTATTTCCTGAATATTATTATCAAATTAAAGTGCTAGAAGCAGTATGAACATATACTATCATCTGGAAAAAAAACCACTATGGGGATTATTTGCTTATTATGAAAAAAATAGAATCACAAAAATCTGTGAAAAAGAAAACAAAAGGCAGTCATCATTTCATTGTCTAGCAATGACTATTGCTATTCATCTGGTTTAGTTATTTATTTTCTGCCCTAGTTCTTTCTAGGGTAGATAGATAAGTATATAGAGCAATATATAGATAGATAGTTAATAGTTATAGAATGCACACATGGATGAAAATACTATAAGGATGAGATTTAAGATGTTTTACATTTTTGTCCCATTATACATAACCCAGCGGTTAAAGTCTTTACACTTATTACAAATGGTTTGTAAGTCCTAGAAAGAAAATTAAGAAAAAGATTTGTTAAGTTTATGTGTACAGTAAGCACACACATGCAAAATTTCAAAGGAATGTTGTATCAACTTATGATCTCAACATTCATGTTATATTAATATTTATTATTTAATTTTTTGAAACATTTTAAATTTTATGGGGAAAATATTACTTTATTGTTTTGTATTGATGACTAGACAAGTTAAATATATTTTATGCTAATGCTTATTGTACAAGGACTACTCTGTAAAACTTTTGTTAAAGTTTATAATCAATGTATCAACTTTGATTAGTACCCATTGCACTTTATTAACAATCTTATTTTCGCTCACACCCATTACTATTATATTTTGTACAGATAAAAATCTCTTCTTAATTTTTTAACCAATCACATTTATATTTTCCATTACTTTTGGTTCAGAAAATCTTTTTACATAATTAATACATTACCTTCAACATTGCAGTTGCTCAGTAAATTATGTTGAAGGGCTCATGAAATGAAATCCTCCCTACCCTCCACATTTAATTCTGTTCTTTGCAATAGCAACAGGAATAAAATACTATCCCAGTACTCAGCTTGACTGACATTTTCTTATTTCAGATAATAAAAGACCATGCCTTGAATTCTCTCAGCTAAGTGTAAAGGATTCCTTCAGAGATTTATTTATTCCGAGAATAGAGACCATTCTGATGATGTATACAAGGAACAACCTAAACTGTGCTGAGCCACTGTTTGAACAAAATAACTCACTTAATGTTAATTTCAACACACAAAAGAAAACAGTCTGGCTTATTCACGGATACAGACCAGTAGGCTCCATCCCATTATGGCTTCAGAACTTCGTAAGGATTTTGCTGAATGAAGAAGATATGAATGTAATTGTAGTAGACTGGAGCCGGGGTGCTACAACTTTTATTTATAATAGAGCAGTTAAAAACACCAGAAAAGTTGCTGTGAGTTTGAGTGTGCACATTAAAAATCTTTTGGTAAGTCTGGGAATTTTATGTATTATACATGCTATACAATATATTATACGTGCTATACAATATGCAGTGTGTTACATTCAATACCACAAAGTGATAATAAACTATATACTTTTCCCCATAAGCATTAACAATTACTGGTTTGATATACCAATGTATGCAGCCATCTTTTCTTTGTCTGCCTAAATGAATAATTCTATACCTAGACATATCCTGTGTTATTTTTAAAACATTATATTAAAATTTAGTAATTATTAGGTTTTATTTAAAAATCTTCTGAGATTTCTTTTAACTCTACCTATACCAACCTCAGAATAAAATAGTTATCCTATGTGGGTGGGGGAAATAAACTTTATAATTATTACAATCTTCAGGTATCTTTTAAAATATACGGCTAAAATATTTGCATATAATCGAGTGTGAATTGGTAAAAGTAAAGAAAAATCTTTTTTTTTTTTTTTTTTTTTTTGAGACAGGTTCTCACTCTGTTGCCCAAGCTGGAGTACAGTGGCACGATCTTGGCTCACTGCAGCCTGCACCTCCCAGGGTCAAGTGATACTCCTGCATCAGCCACCCGAGTAGCTGGGATTACTGGTGCCCACCACAATGCCCAGCTAATTTTTGTATTTTTAGTAGAGACGAGGTTTCACCATGTTGGCCAGGCTGGTCTCGAACTCCTGACCTCAGGTGATCTGCCCACCTTGGCCTCCCAAAGTGCTGGGATTACAGGCAAAAAATCATTTTGAAAAGTAGCATACTTCTGTCAGCTTTGGAGGTGAACATCAGATTCATTCAAGTCTGCTCAGGATTTGAATGGATCAAATAAAATTCAGTCCAGTTCTATGTTATCTGCACTGTGAATGATTTTTGTTTATTAAGTCAACCCTTAGGGAGATCCATGTCTATCCTAAAAGAAAGTAGGTAGTTGTGGGTACTTGAGAGAAAGAAGGGTGATATCTGATTCGGGGGCATTATTGAGCTTGAAATTTAAACTTGAGTTGTGTTGTGCTGAACTTTCAAGACTCTGCTAAAAATTGAACAAATAACAACACTTCCAAGAAGCCGTTATATGTAGTGGCCAGGGGTCAGACTGGATGGGTTCAAACTGTATGTCCATCTTTTATCATCTGTGTAATTTTGAACAATTACATAGCCTCTCTGTGCTGCATTTCCTTATTTGTACATATAGAATAACAACATGTTACAAAAATATTTATATGAATATTGAATTAATATATATGTGCTTAATCAGTGGGTGACATTTAGTAATCATTAAGATCAACTTTCATTATTATTTTTACACCCCCAAATTTGGACAAAACAATACCATTGCTGTAGAGAGACAGAGGAGGTAATTGATTCAACCATCTCCACCAACAGACTATTAATTACATCATTGATTTTTCCTGATGTTACTGGTGTTTTCTCAACTAATAAATATGTGCCTCAAAGTGTGGAGAATGTGAATATTAAATAGAAATATTTAGGAAAATTTGTAATATTAGATAAAATTCTAACAGTGCCTTTGCTTACAGAGGCTTCATATTACAGAGGAAGATTTAAATGACCGGCAGCACTGGAGTCTCGAGAGATACTCCCTTATGTTTTGGGGCATGGCTGTGAGAAATCTGAAGAAAATCATAACCTTGTGCCTTGAAAGCCTGAGGGTAGTTTTTCATTAGTGGCAAGCGCTCCACATCTTTCTGTAAGCCATCAGACATATCACTGTGTGGGCTGGACCATGATCTGTCCACAAGTCTCACAATAGCTCCCCAAGAGTGTGGTGGAAGTACACTCTCATGTAGTCTTCTAATTTCCCTTCCTGGAGCTGAGACTAAGAGGTATTCAGACGTTGGCCTTGGAAGATTGGATGCATCACTCCTGAGCTGGTGATCAGGGGAAGGAAGTCACCTAAAATCCATAAAATTAATTTCATCATCTCTGAAGTGAGAATCATTATTGAACTTTTGTGAATCTTCCTAAGGTTTTTGACACAACCTGATCAGATAAAACAAGAAGGCAAATTAGCATAATTTTGGAGTGAGACCTAGGTTTGTGTTTTAGTCCATTTGGGCTGCTGTAACAAAATACCATAGGCTAGGTAGCTTATAAACAAGAAACATTTATTTCTCATAGTTTCAGGGTCTGAGAAGTCCAAGGAGAAGGCATCAGCAGATTCAGTGTCTGGTGAGGGCCCAATTCCTGGTTCATAGATTATGCCTTTTCACTGTGTCCTCACATGGTGGAAGAGTAGAAGGAGATCCCTCAGGTCTCTTCTATCTGGGCAGTAATCCCTTTCATGAGGGTTCCACACTCATGACATAATTCTCCTAACCCACAAGAAGGCCTCACCTCCAAATATCATCACCTTGGGGATTAGAATTCCAACATATGAATTTTAGGGAGACACAAACATTCAGACCACAGCAGCTTGGAATCCATCTTTTCCTCTTATGAATCTATGTGGCTTTGGGAAAGTTGTTACTTCTGGCAGTTTCCTTAATAAAATTGGAATTGATCCAATATTATTTATTTAGCATTTAATAGGTGCTACTGACAGTTTTAGGCATTAGAATAAAAATGAATAACTCATAACGAAATTGGAAGTATTAAATATGAACTTTGTAAGGCCCATATCGAGGTAGCTAGCAGAAAGTAAGCACCTAGTAATGTTGATTATTATAAAACACTCTGCTAATTAATTGCATTTTGCATACTGTTCTGCATGAGATGATACAATTTTAAAATAAATTGATATTAAAAATGAATAAAGAAAAATCAAATATTTTGTGGCAAAAGTTGAACAAATATATAGTCATCTTGAAATTATAAAGTCTCTTTCCCGATATCCCCAAAATGAATCAAGCCAGAAAAATAATGAATTTTGAAATGTCGATATATGAGGGGGGCATGATTTGTTATTACTTGAAATGAATACTGTAATATTGCCTTTCTCTTTAATTGCAGAAGCATGGTGCATCTCTTGACAATTTTCATTTCATAGGTGTGAGCTTAGGGGCTCATATCAGTGGATTTGTTGGAAAGATATTTCATGGTCAACTTGGAAGAATAACAGGTAAAATTATTTTTATAAAATTATTGCTTTAGCATACTTTTAAGTATCAGAAGTTACTTTGCTAATTTTTTTTTTTTTGAGACAGAGTCTCGCTCTGTTGCCCAGGCTGCAGTGCAGTGGTGCGATCTCGGCTCACTGCAACCTCTGCTTCGTGGGCTTAAGTGATTCTCCTGCCTCAGCCTCCTGAGTAGCTGGGATTACAGGTGCCCACTCACTACCACACCGGCTAATTTTTGTTTTTTTTAAGTAGAGACAGGGTTTCACCATGTTGGCCAGACTGGTCTCTAACTCCTGACCTCAAGTAATCTGCCTGCCTCGGCCTTCCAAAGTACTTGGATTACAGGCATGAGCCACTGTGGCCAGCCACTTTGCTTAAAATTTAGTGGGTACAATAATTACTCAATAGAAATTATGTACAAACATTTATTTTTTCTATGTTATATTTAAATATTGGCTTTGTTTTAGTTAGACTCTAAAGTTTTGTTAAGTTCTCAACAGAGCTTAAGTTACCCAAATGGAAATGGGAGAAAAACATCTATTCCTGCAGTCCCAGCTAAATTTTAAGGACATACTATCGTAAGAATACAGAAGTAAATATGACTCATTAAAGAAAAATACTTTATGTATTAGCTAAGAATATAACTATTTACTTAGTTATCACAAACTTTGATGCATTTCAACTCTCTAAAAATTTTTACTTGAATGCTACAAAAGAATCAGGAGTTGCATCCAATTTGAGGGACTCTGGGTCCCCCTTCATATTTCTATAACAAAGTTACTGCATCCAGGAAGCTCAGTCATCTAATAAGGCTGATATGGATTTTCATTCTTTCCTCTATGAGTGGTAGTGACTTTAGGAATAGGAGGATAATATTCCTTTCAACCAATTTACCTTTTTTGTTTTGAAAAAAAAGCAATTATTCATATCTATGGCCATAGAAGACTTATAATAACTTTAAGTGTTGATAAAAGAAAATAGTGTCCTTAGTTAAGTTTCAAAAAAGGGGGAAAGAGGTGAATAACATATAGATAGTTATCTTTACAAACCTTATGCATACCCTTACTTACTCTGATTAGTTTTAATGTTATCAAATATGTGTGAAAACAAATTAACTGAATGAATGTAGGAGGGTCAAGAAATAGCAGTTTAGCCAGGATTTACTTATACAAAGTTCCCTAGTGCTTAAAGCTCATTCTCTTTCCAAAACCACACTTGCTCAATTTGTACTTTAAATTGTGTTTACACATATTAGTCTAGCTTGAATGGCCCAAATACCAGGCAATCATCAGGTACTAAAAGGCCACCAAACATGGAGGTTCTATATCAGAATGATTTATAGGAAGATAGATGATTCTGTCTCATTCAGTCAAGTGGGTTAAATAAAATGGGGATAATAGAGGTTTTTGAAATGAAAAACATTATATTTTACTTTTTTTCTAGGAATTTTTCAGTTTTATTTAAATTTTTTTTAAATTTTATTATTATTATACTTTAAGTTTTAGGGTACATGTGCACAACGTGCAGGTTTGTTACATATGTATACATGTGCCATGTTGGTGTGCTGCACCCATTAACTCATCATTTAGCATTAGGTATATCGCCTAATGCTATCCCTCCCCACTTCCCCCACCCCACAACAGTCCCCAGTGTGTGATGTTCCCCTTCCTGTGTCCATGTGTTCTCACTGTTCAATTCCCACCTATGAGTGAGAACATGCGGTGTTTGGTTTTTTGTCCTTGCGATAGTTTGCTGAGAATGATGGTTTCCAGTTTCATTCATGTCCCTACAAAGGACATGAACTCATCCTTTTTTATGGCTGCATAGTATTCCATGCTGTGTATGTGCCACATTTTCTTAATCCGGTCTATCGTTGTTGGACATTTAGGTTGGTTCCAAGTCTTTGCTATTGTGAATAGTGCCGCTATAAACATACATGTGCATGTGTCTTTATAGCAGCATGATTTATAATCCTTTGCGTATATACCCAGTAATGGGATTGCTGGGTCAAATGGTATTTCTAGTTCTAGATCCCTGAGGAATCGCCACACTGACTTCCACAGTGGTTGAACTAGTTTACAGTCCCACCAACAGTGTAAAAGTATTCCTATTTCTCCACATCCTCTCCAGCACCTATTGTTTCCTGACTTTTTAATGATCGCCATTCTAACTGGTGTGAGATGGTATCTCATTGTGGTTTTGATTTGCATTTCTCTGATGGCCAGTGATGATGAGCATTTTTTCATGTGTTTTTTGGCTGCATAGGTGTCTTCTTTTGAGAAGTGTCTGCTCATATCCTTCACCCACTTTTTGATGGGGTTGTTCGTTTTTTTCTTGTAAATTTGTTTGAGTTCATTGTAGATTTTGGATATTAGCCCTTTGTCAGATGAGTAGATTGCAAAAATTTTCTCCCATTCTATAGGTTGCCTGTTCACTCTGATGGTAGTTTCTTTTGCTGTGCAGAAGCTCTTTAGTTTAATTAGATCCCATTTCTCAATTTTGGCTTTTGTTGCCATTGCTTTTGGTGATTTAGACATGAAGTCCTTGCCCATGCCTATGTCCTGAATGGTATTGCCTAAGTTTTCTTCTAGGGTTTTTATCGCTTTAAGACTAACATGTAAGTCTTTAATCCATCTTGAATTAATTTTTGTATAAGGTGTAAGGAAGGGATCCAGTTTCAGCTTTCTACATATGGCTAGCCAGTTTTCCCAGCACCATTTATTAAATAGGGAATCCTTTCCCCATTTCTTGTTTTTCTCAGGTTTGTCAAAGATCAGATAGTTGTAGATATGCAGCATTATTTCTGAGGGCTCTGTTCTGTTCCATTGGTCTATTTCTCTGTTTTGGTACCAGTACCATGCTGTTTTGGTTACTGTAGCCTTGTAGCATAGTTTGAAGTCAGGTAGCATGATGCCTCCAGCTTTGTTCTTTTGGCTTAGGATTGACTTGGCGATGCGGGCTCTTTTTTGGTTCCATATGAACTTTAAAGTAGTTTTTTCGAATTCTGTGAAGAAAGTCATTGGTAGCTTGATGGGGATGGCATTGAATCTATAAATTACCTTTTCACAATATATTGATTCTTCCTACCCATGAGCATGGAATGTTCTTCCATTTGTTTGTATCCTCTTTTATTTCATTGAGCAGTGGTTTGTAGTTCTCCTTGAAGAGGTCCTTCACATCCCTTGTAAGTTGGATTCCTAGGTATTTTATTCTCTTTGAAGCAACTGTGAATGCCATTTGTTTGTATCCTCTTTTATTTCATTGAGCAGTGGTTTGTAGTTCTCCTTGAAGAGGTCCTTCACATCCCTTGTAAGTTGGATTCCTAGGTATTTTATTCTCTTTGAAGCAATTGTGAATGGGAGTTCACTCATGATTTGGCTCTCTGTTTGTCTGTTATTGGTGCTATATTTTACTTTCAAATATCTTTTTAAGATGATTGTTTCTTCATTGTATAGATGTTCTCAAAAAACTGAATTTTATCTTCTCTCTCCTCTTTTTGACAATTCCCAGAAAGTCATGAGCCTAGCATTTTTATTTAGAAATTAAGATAACCCAGAAATAATATTCACACTCCATGGAATTTAAAATATATTTTTTCTTTTCTTAAGAGTGTGTGAGAAAGTCTTACGAGAAATGGATAAGATAACATGATTTATCCCATAGCCCAAATTATATTTGGCACCTAAAAAAGCTTTTCAGGTCTATCTACAGATAAATCCAAAGTGAGCTAGTAATGTACAGAGTTCAAGAGAGGACCAGATGGTATTCATTATTTTTTTCCTTCAGGAGAAATAGTTGTAGTTATTATTAAATATAAACTACTTTATTACTCCTAATTCAGTCTCACAGAAAAATACTCCAAAAATTCCGACAATATTTTGTTGCGGCTTAACCTGAAAAGCTCTGAAGGTTAGTAGTATTATTCAAATACTGAAGTTACCTGCTATTCATTCACTTCCATTTGTTTTTAGATATGTTCTTGGATAGGTTTAAACTAAAAGTATAAATGCTTTTTATGTTTATAATGCAGTAATAATGGAAGTATGCAATGTAAGGAGCTCTGTGGACTTGATGAGACTGATTATTTCTTTCTTGCTTTCCAGGTCTTGACCCTGCTGGGCCAAGGTTCTCCAGAAAACCACCATATAGCAGATTAGATTACACGGATGCAAAGTTTGTGGATGTCATCCATTCTGACTCCAATGGTAACAAATCAGGATTTATTACCTAATTATTTGAAAATGAAAAGGAAAATGTAGACCTTGGGCAAGAGGAGGGCATAAGAAGAAAAAACATCATGGATAAAATGATTTTAAATCTGTAATTATAGAATGATAATATTTCCCAAGCAATATTTCTTAGGGTTAGTGATTTCCTGCATTGTCAAATGGCACTCTTTGACTTCAGTTTGCCTCCTTCGGGTTTCAAGATGTGTCATGTCATCCTAAAACACTGAAATAGATAACTAAGAGTTCATTCTGTTCATGCTGTTGACAATTTTATTGATTTGATCACATTTTCCCCCATGTTTAATGTTCCTGATGTATTTAGGTTACCATTCTCCCCGCTTATTTTCTTGCTATGATATATATCGACTAGAACTGAACACAGCATTTCAGCCACAAATAAAGAATAGTCTTCCTTAAATGTAAGGAAATAATCTTTCTATTGTTTTTAATTATCTTAGCTGAAAATCTCTAACAGGGTATTGGATTTTTGGCCAGAGTACAATTGAACAGACACTTTTAAGAAACAGACTGTCCTCGTGCCTTTCCTGATTTGAATTTGTTGATACTAATATTTACTGAGCACTTCCTATACATTAGGCAGTGTTTTGAGTGCTTGTATGAATTAATTAGTGAATTCTACTAAATTTCCGTTAGATAGATAACAACTGTCATTCCCTTTACAGTTGAGGAAACTAGAATAAAGGTTGTAAGGTCAGTAAATGGCAGAGTCAGAATTTGAAATCATATGTTTTGATTCCAGATGATGCACTTAACCAGTATATTATTCTTATAAACCGAATCAGGAGAGGATATGGTGGTAAGATAGAGACAAGGGCAGTGACACTAAGATTGCTCCTCTGAATTTATCTTGTGGTGATCTATACTTGGGTTTATGTGTCTGTGTGTGAGATACGTAAATGCCATAGATGCAATTTTTCAACCACCATGACTACATGTCAATAGACTGAGACTCCACTGGTAACAATTCTGCTCCTTTTTGGAATCTAGGTTCACCTACTTCTATAAGCAGTCAAAACCAAAGAAGTCATAGTTTAGTGTTATCCAAACCTCTCATGTCTTATTATCTCTAACTCTTTATATCAGCTTGGCACATCCACATAAAACACATCTATTGGCCAATTAATGTGTAGTCCCTTGTCTGAATTTTTTCTGAAACTCTAACTTATTGGGGGAACCCACCCCCGATATTTCAATGTAGGTTCTTTCTATTTTCCATAAGTGTCGGCCAGCTGAGAAATAAAGAGAGACAGTACAAAGAGAGGAATTTTACAGCTGGTCCACCAGGGGTGACATCACATATCAGTAGGACCACAATGCCCGCTTGAGTCTCAGACCAGCAAGTTTTTATTAAGGGTTTTAAAAAGGGAAGGGGGTGTAAGAACAGGGAGTAGGTACAAAGATCACATGCTTCAAAGGGCAAAAAGCAGAAATATTGATAAGGTTCTATGTTCAGCAGTGCATGTATTGTCTTGATAAACATCTTAAACAACAAAAAACAGGGTTCAAGAGCAGAGAACTGGTCCAACCACAAGTTACCAGGGCGGAGCTTTTCCCCACCCTAGGAAGCCTGAGGGTACTGCAGGAGACCAGGGCATATCTCAGTCTTTATCTCAACCACATAAGACAGACATTCCCAGAGCGGCCATTTATAGATCTCCTCCCAGGAATGCATTCATTTCCCAGGGTATTAATATTAATATTCCTCGCTAGGAAAAGAATTTAGCGATATCTTTCCTGCTTGCACGTCCGTTTATACGCTCTCTGCAAGAAGAAAAATATGGCTCTTTTTGCCCGACCCCACAGGCAGTCAGACCTTATGGTTGTCTTCCCTTGTTCCCTAAAAGCCGCTGTTATTCTGTTCTTTTTCAAGGTGCACTGATTTCATATTGTTCAAACGCATATGTTTTACAATCAATGTGTATGGTTAACACAATTATCACAGTGGTCCTGAGGTGACATATATCCTCAGCTTATGAAGATAACAGGATTAAGGGATTAAAGTAAAGACAGGCATAAGAAGTTATAAAAGTATTATTTGGGAACTGATAAATGTCCAGGAAATCTTCACAATTTATGTTCCTCTGCTGCGGCTCCAGCCGGTCCCTCTATTTGGGGTCCCTGACTTCCTGCAACACTAACTTCAATTCTGCCTATGGCCTTTTGACTTAGCTCTTCATACTTTTTATTATTTTTGTTTGCATTTTTGACTTATCCTAATGAACTGTCTTGGATTGTCTTATATTTGCAACATCTTTTGATGATGCAACCTATCAGATCTAATCTGCCACTAGAGGCCACATAGTTGGAACATTGGATTGATCTTTTCATGACTATCACAAATAAGAAACACAGATTTTTTGATGCTGCATATGTACCTGTCCGAGAAATTTCTGAATGATATGCGTGGACTCAGCACATACCTGGTGAACTGCCTTTTCCTTGAATACTAGATAATGACCACATCTTCTACTTGCCAGTAATCCTCATTTTTATTCAGTTGTGAGTGTTCAGAAAGCCATGTGGCCTTTCAAATTTGTGGATTAGATAATTAGGGCATACATTTTTGCTGAGATATTGGGGAAAATTATGAGTCCAATATCCAAAAGATAGATGCTTTTGAAACCCTCATATTGGGTTTGCAAAACATCTCATCTGTTATTCTTGTCTGGAACTCCAAAGGACATTATAGAAGCATGGGTAAAGCTGAACAAATCAGCCTTCTTATGGTCTGCAGAAAGCTTCTCGTTATCTGAGTTGCCTCTGCCAAAATCACGTTTACTGAGTTTTTTGTTTAAGTAGATTCTGAATTGTTAGAACTCCTAGTTATCTGACAGAAGCAAACAATAGCCTTCTTTGTAGGAAATTCACATAATTCAATCTCAAATTATTTTTACAAAAACATATTAAAATAAATGTTTAGCATCCAAGATAGCCAGGCACACTTGGAGCAAGACAGCGTGAATGAGAAACAGCAGAAACAACAGTCAATAGACAACACCCATAGGCCTCCAGATATTGGAATTATTATACACTGGCTATAAAAAATGTGCTTATTATTAAGTTGGTGCAAAAGTAATTGTGGTTTTTGCTATTAATATTTTCAAAAAGGTAGAAGACTGAAAAATTTAACAAAAAATTAGTAAGTATAAATTTATCAATTATATTTGACAAAAATAATGAAAGTTCTTACCCTAAAAAGTAAAATAATTGACATCCATTGAATGGGTTTAACAGAAAATTAGAAATAGGTAAAGAGAGAGTGAGCGAGTGAACTAAAAAGTAGGTGAAAAGTAAATTTCTAGACTGAAGCAAATGGGTACCAAAGAATAGACAATATAGACCAACAGTTAAGAGATGCATAGGATAGGCAATGACATGGTAAATTACATTGTGTTAGAATTCTGGAATAAAAAGGCAGAAAAATGGAACAAAGACTATATTTAAAGAGATATTATCTCATAATTTTCCCAAACTGAGTAATATAATCAGTCTACAAGTTCAAAATGCCCAATTAATTCCATTCAATAAGAAAAATAATAAAGATTAATCTCCATTGAGATGTATGATAGTGAATTGCAGAAAAGGCCATCATCAAACCATACAAGTTTATTTAAATAAGGTGAATAAAATTGACCAGAGTTACAATTGAGTTCTCAACAGAAACAATGGAATATAGGAAACAACAGAATGATTGCTTCCATATGGTGAAAGGAAACAACTGCTAAGATAGTATCTCAATCTGTTTCAAGAATAAATGTATTTTATTTCAGACAAATTTAAACTGGAGAGAAACTGTCATGAGCAGAAAGGTTACCCTTCAGACATTCATGAGCAGAAATGTATTCTTCAGGTGGAAGGAAAATTATTCTTAGATTGTGGCTATTTTGGAAGGAAGAACAATGAACTAGTTAAATCTAAGCATATGTTGATGGCATAAAATACTATTAATAATGTTTTATGGACTTGAAATATAGAAAATTAAAATAAGCTAAAAATAGCATATGATTTTGGGTGATAAATGAATTTCCAGCTTTCTGTGTTCCTTTCATTGTATAGAAAGAAGGTGAAAATGACCTTCAGTAATTGATATTCATAAGTATAGTATTCATGTTGAATCTTTAGGGTATCTAGCAAGAAAAGAAGCAAGAAAATGAAGGACAAAAATTGAATATACTTTTTATGAAGTCTAAAAGAAGGCAAGAAAAGAGAGAAAGAATGCATACAACAGCTAAAGCAAATAGAAGGTAGATAATAAGATAGTAAAATCAAACACAACTATACAATTAAGATAAATGGACTTATGCTCTAATTAAAATATTATGGCTGTCAAACTTGATTAAAAAGAAAAAATCCAACTCTTATTTATTAAAGACATATATAAAAGCAAGGAAGCAAAATATTTGAAAGTAGAAGGGTGATAAAAAATATGCAAATATTATCCTCCAAATGGTGGTAAATCTATATTAGACAAAATTGATTTTATATAAACTAATAAAAATATGGACAAACTTTAAAATAATAAAACTTTGAACTCACAAAGAAGATATAACAATTGTAGTTTGTATGTACCTAATAACACAGCTTCAAATACATAATGCAGTATTAACAATAACACATTGCAAAAAAAGGCAACTACACAATCATAGTGAATAATTTTAATTAACACAATTGATCTAATAGACATTTATAGAACATTACACCTGAGAACTGCAGAATTTACAGTCTTCTGAAACACAAATGGATATTTTAGCTAAGTTAAGCATATACTGAGCCTTAAAAATATTCTCAAACATTTCGATATACCTAATGTAAATGAGGCGTTAACGGGTGCAGCACACTAACATGGCACATGTATACATATGTAACAAACCTGCACGTAGTGCACATGTACCATAGAACTTAAAGTATAATAATAATAATAAAAGAATAAATAAATAAATATAATCAGAGCTATGAGGGCATTATTAGCGAAATGTAACCAAAAAAAAAAAGAATTGAAAGCAAATAAAAATGTTTGTATCTGAAAAAAAAACAATATTCTCAAACATTTCAAAGTGTAGAAATCATAATCTTTTCTATCTTTAATGCACTTAATCCAAATAAATAACAAAAATATAACTAAAATCCATACATTTTTGAAAGTGAAAAATCACATTTAAAAATAACTAATGAATACAATAATAAATAATATAATCAAATATTTTGAATTGAATATTCACATTATTGCATATTAAACCTTTTTGGATTCAGCAAAGGCCATGGCTAGAAGTTAATGTATAGTTTTGAGTACAGCTGTTTTAAAAGGCTGAAAATCAATAATCTAAGCATCTATTTTGAAAAATTAAGAATTAAACGATAGAAACACACAGAAATGGAGAAAGAAGCAAATATTAAACATACCAAAGAAATTAATGGAATAAAAATTATGAATTGCAGATGATTTAAAAAGCCAAATTTTGCACTTTAGAAAAGATAAAAATTAATTATTATTTTAAAATTTATTTATATCACTTTTGCCTTCTTTTTTTTTTTTTTTTGAGACGGAGTCTCACTGTCGCCCAGGCTGGAGTGCAGTGGCGCGATCTCAGCTCACTGCAAGCTCCAACTCCCGGGTTCACGCCATTCTCCTGCCTCAGCCTCCCGAGTAGCTGGGACCACAGGCGCCCACCACCAGGCCCGGCTAATTTTTTGTATTTTTAGTAGAGACGGGGTTTCACCGTGTTAGCCAGGACGGTCTGGATCTCCTGACCTTGTGATCCGCCCGCCTCGGCCTCCCAAAGTGCTGGGATTACAGACTTGAGCCACCGCGCCCGGCCCACTTGTGCCTTCTTTCCATACAATGAAAGGAACATAGAATGCTTGAACTTCATACATCTCTTCTAAAAATAAATTCTTGGAGAGAAAAAACAGAACAAAAAGAGAAGACACAGCTAGTATCAGTAATTACCTGGTTCTGTTTCAGTCAACTGGATTCTGAAGATGAAAAAAACCTTGAACTCATATAAAACACAAAAATTATTTCCTTGTGGTATGCATACATGTGAAAGGAAAATAAATGGTTTATGAGCTATTATTTTTAAAGCCTTCATAACACTGGGATAATGAATAATATTTTCCCAAAGTACACAAAAATTTCTAACCCAAATGAAAAGATTAAAATGTCAGATTATATAAAAATTGAGACTGTTATAAATACTTTAAGAATGTGAAGAGCAAGCCATAAAAAAAAGCAGTAAAAGAGATAAAGACCTACTATCAGTCAGTAATAAAGACAAAGACAACCTAGTTAAGAAAAAGTCAGGACATTATGAAGGATACATTCTGAATAGGCAATAAACATATAAAAAGTTTTTAAAGTTAGTAAGAAAAAAATATAAATTAAAACCCAAACAAGAAGCCACATGCTTAAAATTCAAAAGCTTGACAAGACCATTTATTGGCAAAGATACGCTACAACTATTCAGCATTATTTATTAAAATCAAAGATACTCATAATCTATAACAATTCCACTCCTAGGTATGTAACCAACAGATGTACCTTCACATATGCATTAATATATGTGTTCAAAATGTTCATAGTTTGAACACATTAGCCTCAAATAGGAAACAATACAAATGCACCACAATAGGAGAATGGAAAAATAAGTTGTGATATGTTCATACAATGAAATACTATATGACAATAAATGACTGTTTTTACACCTGACAATGTGGATTGATAGCACAAACATACTAATAATCTAAAAAGCCAGAAACAAAAGCCTACATAAAATATGAGTAAGTTCATATATTTTTTCACAAAGGTGAAATCTAAACTATAGGGTTTTGGGAGTCATCCTTAGAAGATAAAGAATGAAAACAGGCCGGGTGCGGTGGCTCACGCCTGTAATCCAAGCACTTTGGGAGGCCGAGGCGGGGGATCACGAGGTCAGGAGTTCGAGACCAGCCTGGCTGGCATGGTGAAAGCCCATCTCTGCTAAAAATACCAAAAATTAGCTGGGCATGGTGGCATGCACCTTTAGTCCCAGCTACTTGGGAGGCTGAGGCAGGAGAATTGCTTAAACCCGGTAGGCAGAGATCACAGTGAGCGGAGATCATGCCATTGCACTCCAGCCTGGGCGACAGAGCCAGACTCCATTTCTAAAAAATAAAATAAAATAAAATAAAATAAACAACAGATGATTTTATTTAAAAAAAAATGATGGGTTAGCGATTAGGGGACAGAGAGACACTTGTGGCTGGGTAAGGGCACACTGGGAGCTCCCAGGTGCTATTTCTTTACATTAGTGTGGTAGCCCCATGGCTGTTTGCTTTATAATAATTAATTAGCCTATAGATTTATGTTTAATGTTCTTTTTCTGCATGTGTCTTATATTTTACAATAAAAGGAAAATTAAAAAGTCATAGCTGCTCTCCCCACCCTTCTTGAAACCAAGAGAATGAATGATCTAAGCAGACCAAGCTGCCCCCCACCCAATCTGATAAAAGGGAAATGACATGCCTGAATCAAGGGCTGCTTCAAAGTTAATGACAAATTTCTTTTATCCCTCCTGATTCCTAAGCAGTCCTGTTGGTTTGAGTCTCCTTCAGTGGCAGGTTGGAGAAAATGACAGTTCCAAACTGGAAACCCCTAGTCTTGGAACTCCATGTCGAGTTCATATATGAGGAAATTTCACAAATCTCTGACCCTGTTAAATTTTTTTCTTGTTTTAAAAACTTTTTGGTCTTATTTAGGAAGCATGCCCTTCCTTGCGTGAATTTCACAGGCTAAGAAGATGATGGGATTTTAAGACAGACTGGCTAGCATACCCTCACCATTGTCCCAATCAAGTCACCATTGTCCCAATCAAGCTTTCCTGAATTCTAGGGACCTGTCATGAAGTCATCTACATTGTCCTTTGTCTTTCCTTACCCATTAAATAGTGCTCTTCTCCCCTCCCTCCAGCCTCAGTGTACATGCCCAGTGTTCTCATGTGCTACTAACAACTCATTAGAGGTTCTGTTACATCCTAGAACTAAGTCAGGTTGCAGCATCTAAACCCTTACTGTCAGAACCATCTATTTATCTTTGTTTTATGCTAAATCTATTACTGATGTCTTTCATGAGTTCACTGTGTTGTAGGAAATCTTTTGTGCCCCAGATTAAAGCATTGTTATCTTATTTAGCAACACAATTTTGTATCAAATCACAGTCCTGAGTATTCTGAGCTTGCTAGCCCTTTTCACTGTTAAGGCTTCTCTGAGTTATATGCCGGTAATGGGCTCAGAATCTGTACATTCACCAGTGGTCCAATGATCTACAGGGCTACATAAACCCTTGAATCAAAGCTATGTGTTTCATGTCACTCTGACTCAAACTGCTCCAGCCAAGGCAACTTAGTTGTTAGATTTTTTTCCAGTTAGTGAATCCAGCACCAGCAGGTCTTAGAAATTATGACCAAAAGTGAAAGCAAATCATCACACTGATCGAAAAGGATCTGTAGGACTTGGCTTCCTTTGCTCCGAAGCTCCCTCTTACACATTAGACTTCAGCCACGCTGGCTTCTTCGCCGAGCGTATTCGCACAAATATCCACTGGGGTCACCGCCTCACATCCTTCACATTTGTGCTCCACTCCAACTTCTTCAAGTGGCAAATTCCTAAACCAAATAACTTAAACATGCAACTACCACCCTCACTAGACCCTTCCTGTCCTCTTGTTCTACTTAACTGTTCTCCATAGCACTTATTATTATTTCACATACTCTGTATTTACTTGTTTATTATGGTTTCCTTCCACTATAAAGTATTTTCGACTGCAAGGAATTTTGCTCTATTCTTTTTTCTTTTTATTTTATTTTATTATTATTATACTTTAAGTTTTAGGGTACATGTGCACAATGTGCAGGTTAGTTACATATGTATACATGTGCCATGCTGGTGTGCTGCACCCATTAACTCGTCATTTAGCATTAGGTATATCTCCTAGTGCTATCCCTCCCCCCTTCCCCCACCCCACAACAGTCCCCAGAGTGTGATGTTCCCCTTCTTGTGTCCATGTGTTCTCATTGTTCAATTCCCACCTATGAGTGAGAATATGCGGTGTTTGGTTTTTTGTTCTTGCGATAGTTTACCGAGAATGATGATTTCCAATTTCATCCATGTCCCTACAAAGGACATGAACTCATCATTTTTTATGGCTGCATAGTATTCCATGGTGTATATGTGCCACATTTTCTTAATCCAGTCTATCATTGTTGGACATTTGGGTTGGTTCCAAGTCTTTGCTATTGTGAATAGTGCTGCAATAAACATACGTGTGCATGTGTCTTTAAGCAGCATGATTTATAGTCCTTTGGGTATATACCCAGTAATGGGATTGCTGGGTCAAATGCTATTTCTAGTTCTAGATCCCTGAGGAATCGCCACACTGACTTCCACAATGGTTGAACTAGTTTACAGTTCCACCAACAGTGTAAAAGTGTTCCTATTTCTCCACATCCTCTCCAGCACCTGTTGTTTCCTGACTTTTTAATGATTGCCATTCTAACTGGTGTGAGATGGTATCTCATTGTGGTTTTGATTTGCATTTCTCTGATGGCCAGTGATGGTGAGCATTTTTTCATGTGTTTTTTGGCTGCATAGGTGTCTTCTTTTGAGAAGTGTTGGTTCATGTCCTTCACCCATTTTTTGATGGGGTTGTTTGTTTTTTTCTTGTAAATTTGTTTGAGTTCATTGTAGATTCTGGATATTAGCCCTTTGTCAGATGAGTAGGTTGTGAAAATTTTCTCCCATTTTGTAGGTTGCCTGTTCACTCTGATGGTAGTTTCTTTTGCTGTGCAGAAGCTCTTTAGTTTAATTAGATCCCATTTCTCAATTTTGGCTTTTGTTGCCATTGCTTTTGGTGTTTTAGACATGAAGTCCTTGCCCATGCCTATGTCCTGAATGGTATTGCCTAGGTTTTCTTCTAGGGTTTTTATGGTTTTAGGTCTAATGTTTAAGTCTTTAATCCGTCTTGAATTAATTTTTGTATAAGGTGTAAGGAAGGGATCCAGTTTCAGCTTTCTACATATGGCTAGCCAGTTTTCCCAGCACCATTTATTAAATAGGGAATCCTTTCCCCATTTCTTGTTTTTCTCAGGTTTGTCAAAGATCAGATAGTTGTAGATATGCGGCATTGTTTCTGAGAGCTCTGTTCTGTTCCATTGATCTATATCTCTGTTTTGGTACCAGTACCATGCTGTTTTGGTTACTGTAGCCTTGTAGTATAGTTTGAAGTCAGGTAGCGTGATGCCTCCAACTTTGTTCTTTTGGCTTAGGATTGACTTGGCGATGCGGGCTCTTTTTTGGTTCCATATGAACTTTAAAGTAGTTTTTTCCAATTCTGTGAAGAAAGTCATTGGTAGCTTGATGGGGATGGCATTGAATCTATAAATTACCTTGGGCAGTATGGCCATTTTCACGATATTGATTCTTCCTACCCATGAGCATGGAATGTTCTTCCATTTGTTTGTATCCTCTTTTATTTCATTGAGCAGTGGTTTGTAGTTCTTCTTGAAGAGGTCAATCACATCCCTTGTAAGTTGGATTCCTAGGTATTTTATTCTCTTTGAAGCAATTGTGAATGGGAGTTCACTCATGATTTGGCTCTCTGTTTGTCTGTTATTGGTGTATAAGAATGCTTGTGATTTTTGCACATTGATTTTGTATCCTGAGACTTTGCTGAAGTTGCTTATCAGCTTAAGGAGATTTTGGGCTGAGAAAATGGGGTTTTCTAGATATACAATCATGTCATCTGCAAACAGGTACAATTTGACTTTCTCTTTTCCTAATTGAATACCCTTTATTTCCTTCTCCTGCCTAATTGCCCTGGCCAGAACTTCCAACACTATGTTGAATAGGAGTGGTGAGAGAGGGCACCCCTGTCTTGTGCCAGTTTTCAAAGGGAATGCTTCCAGTTTTTGCCCATTCAGCATGATATTGGCTGTGGGTTTGTCATAGATAGCTGTTATTATTTTGAGATACATCCCATCAATACCTAATTTATTGAGAGTTTTTAGCATGAAGGGTTGTTGAATTTTGTCAAAAAACTTTTCTGCATCTGTTGAGATAATCATGTGGTTTTTGTCTTTGGTTCTGTTTCTATGCTGGATTACATTTATTGATTTGCGTATATTGAACCAGCCTTGCATGCCAGGGATGAAGCCCACTTGATCATGGTGGATAAGCTTCTTGATGTGCTGCTGGATTCGGTTTGCCAGTATTTTATTGAGGATTTTTGCATCAATGTTCATCAAGGATATTGGTCTAAAATTCTCTTTTTTTGTTGTGTCTCTGCCAGGCTTTGGTATCAGGATGATGCTGGCCTCATAAAATGAGTTAGGGAGGATTCCCTCTTTTTCTATTGATTGGAATAGTTTCAGAAGGAATGGTACCGGTTCCTCCTTGTACTTCTGGTAGAATTCGGCTGTGAATCCATCTGGTCCTGGACTCTTTTTGGTTGGTAAGCTATTGATTATTGCCACAACTTCAGAGCCTGTTACTGGTTTATTCAGAGATTCAACTTCTTCCTGGTTTAGTCTTCAGAGGGTGTATGTGTTGAGGAATTTATCCATTTCTTCTAGATTTTCTAGTTTATTTGCGTCGAGGTGTTTGTAGTATTCTCTGATGGTAGTTTGTATTTCTGTGGGATGGGTGGTGATATCCCCTTTTTCATTTTTTATTGCATCTATTTGATTCTTCTCTCTTTTCTTCTTTATTAGTCTTGCTAGCGGTCTATCAATTTTGTTGATCCTTTCAAAAAACCAGCTCCTGGATTCATTAATTTTTTGAAGGGTTTTTTGTGTCTCTATTTCCTTCAGTTCTGCTCTGATTTTAGTTATTTCTTGCCTTCTGCTAGCTTATGAATGTGTTTGCTCTTGCTTTTCTAGTTCTTTTAATTGTGATGTTAGGGTGTCAATTTTGGATCTTTCCTGCTTTCTCTTGTGGGCATTTAGTGCTACAAATTTCCCTCTACACACTGCTTTGAATGTGTCCCAGGGATTCTGGTATGTTGTGTCTTTGTTCTCATTGGTTTCAAACAACATCTTTATTTCTGCCTTCATTTCGTTATGTACCCAGTAGTCATTCAGGAGCAGATTGTTCAGTTTCCATGTAGTTGAACGGTTTTGAGTGAGTTTCTTAATCCTGAGTTCTAGTTTGATTGCACTGTGGTCTGAGAGACAGTTTGTTATAATTTCTGTTCTTTTACATTTGCTGAGGAGAGCTTTACTTCCAACTATGTGGTCAATTTTGGAATAGGTGTGGTGTGGTGCTGAATAAAATGTATATTCTGTTGATTTGGGGTGGAGAGTTCTGTAGATGTCTATTAGGTCCACTTGGTGCAGAGCTGAGTTCAATTCCTGGGTATCCTTGTTAACTTTCTGTCTCGTTGATCTGTCTAATGTTGACAGTGAGGTGTTAAAGTCTCCCATTATTAATGTGTGGGAGTCTAAGTCTCTTTGTAGGTCACTCAGGACTTGCTTTATGAATCTGGATGCTCCTGTATTGGGTGCATATACATTTAGGATAGTTAGCTCTTCTTGTTGAATTGATCCCTTTACCATTATGTAATGGCCTTCTTTGTCTCTTTTGATCTTTGTTGGTTTAAAGTCTATTTCATCACAGACTAGGATTGCAACCCCTGCCTTTTTTTGTTTTCCATTTGCTTGGTAGATCTTCCTCCATCCTTTTATTTTGAGCCTATGTGTGTCTCTGCACTTGAGATGGGTTTCCTGAATACAGCACACTGATGGGTCTTGACTCTTTATCCAATTTGCCAGTCTGTGTCTTTTAATTGGAGCATTTAGTCCATTTACATTTAAAGTTAATATTGTTATGTGTGAATTTGATCCTGTCATTATGTTAGCTGGTTATTTTGCTTGTTAGTTGATGCAGTTTCTTCCTAGCCTCAGTGGTCTTTACAATTTGGCATGATTTTGCAGTGGCTGGTACCGGTTTTTCCTTTCCATGTTTAGTGCTTCCTTCAGGAGCTCTTTTAGGGCAGGCCTGGTGGTGACAAAAATCTCTCAGCATTTGCTTGTCTGTAAAGTATTTTATTTCTCCTTCACTTATGAAGCTTAGTTTGGCTGGATATGAAATTCTGGGTTGACAATTCTTTCCTTTCAGAATGTTGAATATCGGCCCCCACTCTCTCCTGGCTTGTAGAGTTTCTGCCGAGAGATCCGCTGTTAGTCTGATGGGCTTCCCTTTGTGGGTAACCCGACCTTTCTCTCTGGCTGCCCTTAACATTTTTTCCTTCATTTCAACTTTGGTGAATCTGACAATTGTGTGTCTTGGAGTTGCTCTTCTCGAGGAGTATCTTTGTGGAGTTCTCTGTATTTCCTGAATCTGAATGTTGGCCTTCCTCGCTAGATTGGGGAAGTCCTCCTGGATAATATCTTGCAGAGTGTTTTCCAACTTGGTTCCATTCTCCCTGTCACTTTCAGGTACACCAATCAGATGTAGATTTGGTCTTTTCACATAGTCCCATATTTCTTGGAGGCTTTGTTCATTTCTTTTTATTCTTTTTTCTCTAAACTTCCCTTCTTGCTTCATTCATTCATTTCATCTTCCATCACTGATACCCTTTCTTCCAGTTGATCGCATCGGCCCCTGAGTCTTCTGCATTCTTCACATAGTTCTCGAGCCTTGGCTTTCAGCTCCATTAGCTCCTTTAAGCACTTCCCTGTATGGCTTATTCTAGTTATACATTCGTCTAAATTTTTTTCAAAGTTTTCAACTTCTTTGCGTTTGGTTTGAATGTCCTCCCGTAGTTCGGAGTAATTTGATCATCTGAAGCCTTCTTCTCTCAGCTTGTCAAAGTCATTCTCCAGCCAGCTTTGTTCCATTGTTGGTGAGGAACTGCATTCCTTTGGAGGAGGAGAGGCACTCTGCTTTTTAGAGTTTCCAGTTTTTCTGCTCTGTTTTTTCCCCATTTTTGTGGTTTCATCTACTTTTGGTCTTTGATGATGGTGATGTACAGATGGGTTTTTGGTGTGGATGTCCTTTCTGTTTGTTAGTTTTCCTTCTAACAGACAGGACCCTCAGCTGCAGGTCTGTTGGAGTTTGCTAGAGGTCCACTCCAGACTCTGTTTGCCTGGGTATCAGCCGTGGTGGCTGCAGAACAGTGGATTTTCGTGAACTGCGAATGCTGCTGTCTGATCATTCCTCTGGAAGTTTTGTCTCAGAGGAGTACCCGGCTGTGTGAGGTGTCTGTCTGCCCCTACTGGGGGGTGCCTCCCAGTTAGTCTGCTTGGAGGTCGGGGGTCAGGGACCCACTTGAGGAGACAGTCTGCCCGTTCTCAGATCTCCAGCTGCGTGCTGGGAGAACCACAGCTCTCTTCAAAGCTGTCAGACAGAGACATTTAAGTCTGCAGAGGTTACTGCTGTCTTTTTGTTTGTCTGTGCCCTGCCCCTAGAGGTGGAGCCTACAGAGGCAGGCAGGCCTCCTTGAGCTGTGGTGGGCTCCACCCAGTTCAAGCTTCCCAGCTGCTTTGTTTACCTAAGCAAGCCTGGGCAATGGCAGGCACCCCTCCCCCAGCCTTGCTGCCGCCTTGCAGTTTGATCTCAGACTGCTGTGCTAGCCATCAGTGAGACTCCGTGGGCGTAGGACCCTCCGAGCCATGTGTGGGATATAATCTCCTGGTGGGCCGTTTTTTAAGCCCATCGCAGAAGCGCAGTATTAGGGTGGGAGTGACCCGATTTTCCAGGTGCCATCTGTCACCCTTTCTTTGACTAGGAAAGGGAACTCCCTGATCCCTTGTGCTTCCCGAGTAAGGTAATGCCTCACCCTGCTTCGGCTTGCACATGGTGCGCTGCACCCACTTTCCTCCGCCCACTGTCTGGCACTCCCTAGTGAGATGAACCCGGTACCTCAGATGGAAATGCTGCCTTCTGCACCTGCCTTCTGCACCACTCACACTGGGAGCTGAAGACTGGAGCTCTTCCTATTCGGCCATCTTGGCTGCCCTCTCTATTTCTTTTTTCACTTATGCGGTCATACCACAAAAAACTGTGACTGACCGATAGTAAACTGCTGACTGGCAAATATATTAAATTAATGAAATATACTTTTCATGAAGGAATTATAGAAGAAAAACTTATCTTTATAAAAACAGCACTTATTTTCAATTCTAATATTTAAAGAGTAACTTTCAATGGATTTTATAGGCTATTTTGTTTTATGCAAGATACTCACCTGATTATATACATGTTGTGATTCTTGGGTGCCTTTCTTCTCAGGTTTAGGCATTCAAGAGCCCTTGGGACATATAGATTTTTATCCAAATGGAGGAAATAAACAACCTGGCTGTCCTAAATCAATTTTCTCAGGTATACTGACAGTATTTTTGAATGAACTACATAATATTCGAAATGATGAAAGAAAATAACTTACTTTTCCCCTCTTAATCTGTAGGCAGTGTTTTGATTTCATCATCATTGCCCATGACTCAGGAGAGTCATTGGTTAACAATGGTTTAATTTGACCATGCTTAGTTCATAAAGGTTACCAGTAGACATCCATTAGGTCATGGATGAGACCTCTTATATTATATTTTTAATAATTTTATTCCATCATTTTAAACATTAGGAGAAGTCGTAAGTCATTGAGGAAGCACATGTAGCTCAAGTATCATATAATACAACTTTGATCTCAGGATTTAATCTTAACCATCACCATATTACTGTACAAAGACAATTGTAAAAACTCTTGACACTTGATTGTTCTGTACATAAAGATAGCTGAGCAACTTCCCCAGGTGTGGAATTTGGCTCACATCAGAGCCATTGCAAGAAATGTTCTTAGGTCCACAACGGCAACTGGTCAAATAACACGTGACCAAAGGGCACTGTAGCTAAAGAAGTTTGGTGAAAAGGAGGAGGATGTGCAAGGTTGGAAAAGAAAAGGAAGGTAATAAAGTTTTAAGGTCAGCTGGTTTCATGGTCATCTTTGTCATTAGGTGGAAATGTTAGGAGTGCAGTATTAGAAGGAAAAGATGTGTACACTAGTTATTAAGTATAGTAGCACTGTGTAGAGCTTGTGAAACACTGAAATGAAACATTTTTGCTATGTTAATTATTACTTTAAAAATTCATTATAAATCTCATGCAAAAGACATACTAAATTTAAGTTTTCATTGGTACTATTTGTTTAGTGGTTTGACATAAAACTGTGTATTATAGTCAGTAATATTCATAAGGTACATAGTATTTAGCAAAACTTCATCTTTACTTTGTTTTTAAATGTACTTGAACATGGCTTAATACATCTACAGTTCTTTGTTTTTTTTTTAACCCTTAAGGAATTCAATTCATTAAATGCAACCACCAGAGAGCAGTTCACTTGTTCATGGCATCTTTAGAAACAAACTGCAATTTTATTTCATTTCCTTGTCGTTCATACAAAGATTACAAGACTAGCTTATGTGTGGACTGTGACTGTTTTAAGGAAAAATCATGTCCTCGGCTGGGTAAGAGAGATTATTATAGTTACTATCATTCTTATTTAATATGAATAACATAATTGTTAGTATTTTCTGCTGGAAGCTAAACTGTGCACTCTGTTTACTTGTTAATACATGACCATTTTATGGAAAAATCATCTGTAGAGATGTGGTACAGAGTAAATATTTCATTCCCTACTAAACATTTTTAATATATTTAAAGAGAAGAACATGATCAACTGCCTTTTTATGTTCAGTGTAGTGGGCAGATTAGATGGCTTTATAATGATTCTTGTTCCTGATGTACAAAAATATCTAACTATCATCCAACTATATTTTCACTTAAAGAAAGAAACTTGCACAGTCTTGGCAACACTGAGGTTTTTTTGTTTTTTTGAGATTTTAGGAACAAGTGAAGAGGTGTGAGCCATGGTTAGCTTCTCATTTGCTATCACCAAGTAGACATGAAACATGGTTCATACCTTCTAAATGGATAAACCTGCTAAGAGCAGTTAAGTATTGCTACTTCTGATAACTAAAACCTGCCAATAGGGAATTATAGAGAAAAAAATCCACATAAAAATATAATATTGGAACTGGAAAGAATTTCAGAGGCTGTTTGCTCAGGGTTTTTCAAAAAGAGCACCAGATCCAAGCATGCCATGAGCATGTAAACATCTGGTCAGTATCATGGCAGAATTCCCCAGAGATGTTTCCAAAGCCAAAGGGGTTCGAGGAATAGGTAGTGATTACAAAGGCTAAATTAAACCAACTGCTGAAGCAGGATCAGCACACACTGAGAACACCCTAGGAGGGGTATGCACTGTTCAGGCATTGCCAATTTGATTTTTCTCATAGACTTTTCTGTCTATAAGACACCATGTGGGATTAGTTTTCTTCAGACCTCCTGTTGTGGATTGCTTTTCTGGCCCCATCCTTCTTCCATGTAATGAGAAATTGTAACCCAGAGTGAATATATAAATCACATAAAGGCATAAGTTAGAACTTGAGTAAAACCTCTGAATTCTTAATTTACTATTCTTTCTACCATATTCAAATCTCAAATTTGGAGGTAGCAATGTGGGAACAAAGAAATACATGAGGCATATGAAATATATATTAACATAAACTTTATTTTATAAGTAATTTTTATCAATATATCAACATATTATATATAATAAATATTTTATATGTACACATATGTATCTGAAATATGTATATTATATGCACAACATACAGTACATGTAAAGTATACCTATACTACATATATATAATATATATAATGTATACACATGCATGCCATATCTGTATGTATTATACGTATTGGAGAATTAGGGAGCTATACTCATGGAGCTATATTGTATGTTTAAGTTTTATGTAGTCAATTTACTCTGCTGAACTTATTAGAAGGAATTACAGGTAAAATCCTGAATTTATAACAGTAAAACTTCTACAAATGGACTATAGCCATACGGATGGAGTATGCTAAGCTCTGATAAGATTTTCAGGGAGCAGATTTATTTGTGAATCCTGAATTTAAGAGTTGTTATTGTAATTAAAATAAATGGAATGCTACATTATTTGAAAAAATGCTTTTTAAGTTATCAAAATCCATGATGATCATTATGATGATTATATGCACTGATCTTTTAGTTACTTTAGTGATTTGACATTTTTGTTATTTGATGGAAATCCAATTTCTAATGTTCTATTTCTCAAATCTCAGGTTATCAAGCCAAGCTATTTAAAGGTGTTTTAAAAGAAAGGATGGAAGGAAGACCTCTTAGGACCACTGTGTTTTTGGATACAAGTGGTACATATCCATTCTGTAGTAAGTTATTAACAATTTTAACAAATAAACAAATTTTTAGTTTTTTTTGCACTAATCTACATTTGATTCAAAGTGTTCTTTGCACCCACTCAAATTCCATCATGTTCTTTCAGGCAAATTTAAAATTTGCTATAGCCAGTGGGACAAATTCAACTAAGGACTTGATCTTTTTTTAGATAAAATGGAGAGACGCTTGGGTAATATTTTCCCAAAGAAACAATCAAGGTTGCATTCCTTCATCCTAAATTTGCATATTGCCCTTTTCACCTCTAGAGTTATTTTGGCATGTAACATATTAAGGAGCCTATGATATATATATATATATACAGTCTGAACACCCATTATTAATAAAACTAGATTATTAATATATAAATATAAAAAAGGACAAGAAAGTAGTAATCCTCATAATACATTTAGAGTTAGGTAAGAGGAGAAAACTTGTAGAAGAAGAGAGAATCTCATAGAAATATAATAAATAATAGATTTATAAGGAAGTATTAAAGAAAGCAAAATTATTCTGTTTGGAAATGAAAAACTGGAAGTGGTTTGTAAATAAAATGAGTCCTTTTTATGTGAAGAATCTTATGGAGGAAGTTTTGAATTACTGTCATTAATTTTGATTACTGAGAGATAAGTACTTAAAATAGATTCTCATAAAATATTTTAGGTCAGTCATTTTTAATGTCTTCCAGTCACAGTCACTGCCAACTTCAATATATTATTCTTCAAACATTAGTGATGTGTCCTGTCAAACAGAATTGGGGCTGTCCATTTTTCAAATTAAAAATTTTATTGAGTTAATTTTAGATTTACATGTAGAAGTAAGAAATCATACACAGAGATACTGTATATACTTTAGTTTCCTTAAATGATAAACATTTTGCAGTGCCATAGAGTAGTAGCAGGATATTGACATTGATACAATGCACCCATCTTAATCAGATTTTCCTATACACTTGCCTGCGTGTGTGGCTATATGTGTATTTGGCTCCATACAAAATAGTCATATTTATAGGGCTCTGTATCTACCACCACAATGAAGCTGCTGAACAGTTCATCACCACAAGGAATCTTTGTGTTGTGCCTTTAAAACTACGTACCCCATCCCCCCGGTATCCATTCACACATTTCTAGAACTTTGTTATTTCAAGATTGTTATATAAAGAGAATCATCCAGCATGTGACCTTTTTAATTGGCTTATTTTTTCACTCAGCATAGTTCCCTGGAGGTTCATCCATGTAGCATGTATCAGTGATTCACTATACTTTTAGTGGCTGAGTAGTATTCCATAGTAATATATCCAGAGATATGATATATATATCAATACATATTGATCTATCTATCTATCTATCAATAGGGGTAGAGATATGTTCCTATGGGATACTACTCAGCAACTAAAGGTATAGTGAATCATTGATATATGCTACAGGGATGAACCTCCAGGGAATTATGCTGAGTGAAATAATATATCTATATATCTATAAATAGAGAAATACATATATCTATATGTTATATATCTATATTATATTAATATAATATATGTTATATTATATGTAATTATATATAATAATGTATATATTATATATTAATATATATTTGTATATATTATACATTAATATATAATAATGTATATATTATATATTAATATATAATAATGTATATATTATATATTAATATATAATAATGTATATATTATATATTAATATATAATAATGTATATATTATACATTAATATATAATAATGTATATATTATACATTAATATATAATAATGTATATATTATATATTAATATATTATATATGTATATTATATATTAATATATTATATAGATATATATTATATATATAATAGATATAATATATTAATATATAATAGATATGGATATTATATCTATATCTATATATCTATATATTATAGATATCTATATATTAGATCTATTTCTATATATAATAGCTATATAATATCTATATATAATATATATTGATATTATACTCATGTATATATAATATACATATATAACATAGATATTATATGTCATATATAATAGATATTACCTATATTACTATATATTATATATAACTATATATTACATATATATCTATAGGGATATATAGATACTATTTATGGAATATACGTATACATTTACATAGATACAGGATGTGCCACCATTTGTTTAACCAATCACCTGTTGAAGAGCATCTGGGATGTTTTAAGGTTTTGGCTATGACAAATAAAGCTGCTTGAATATAGTGTATAAGTTTTTGTGTGAATATGTCTTCATTTATCTGTCATAAATTCCCAGGAGTGTTATTGCTGGGACAGAAACTAATTGCACATTTAGCTTTGAAAAAATTTAACATTTTTTTGGAGTGACTGTACCACTTTACATTATCCCAATTAAAATATAAGTGATCTAATTTTTCCGATTTTTTTCAGAATTTGGTGGTGTCATTATTTTAAAAATTCTTACGCATTCTGACAGGCATACAGTGATGCTTCAGTGGTTTTAGTATTCATTGCCCTGATGGATGATTATATTGACTATTTCTTCTACTTATCACCTTTGGTGAAATGTGTATTCGTGTCTTTTGGATATTTTTCAATTGGGCTTTTTTTTAAGCTGTTGACTTTTGATAATTCTTTATATAATTTCTAAACTAGTCCTTGTCAATATTTGATCTACAAATATTTTCATACAGTTTGTAACTTGTCTTTTTATCTGTTTCACAAAAGCATGGGCAGAGAAAAAGTGATTAGTTTTGATGAGGAGTAATTGATCATTATTTTAGGTATGTATCACGCTTTAGGTGTCAAGTCTAAGAACTCTGTGTTGAGCCCTAGGTCCTGAGGGTTTTCTCCTGTAATTTTTTCTAAAAATAATAGTTCTATGTGTTACATTTACATCTGAAATCCATTTCTATTTAGTTTTTTTTATAGCTCCAGCATCATTTGTTGATAGATTCTCTTTTATTAAGTGCTTTTGCATCTTTATCAACAATTGGTTAAAATATATCTCTGTAGATGAGATATATAATATAGATATCAATATATATCGATATGTTTATTGACATATGTTTGTACCTATTTGTGTTGGGTCTGTATTTTGATATGTATATTTTTTCATTTATGTATGTGTTCATTTCTTTTTCTAGTACCACATAGCATTTAATTAATGTAGCTATATAGTAAGCATTAATATCAAGTAGACTGATTATTTCCTCTTCATTCTTCTTTGTCATGATTATTTTAGATCTTCTAGTGTATGTACATTTCAATATAAATTTTAGCATAACGTTGTCTATATTTGCAAAAATTTGTCTGAGGTTTCAACAGAAATTACATTAACCACATCTTTCAATTCGGGGAGAGCTGATGTCTTTACCATGCTGAATATTCTAATTCATGAATATGGTATGTCTTTCCATATACTTTGATTCTTTGATTTCTTCAGTCAGCATTTTACAATTTTCAACATACAGATCCTGTGCATCTTTTGTTGTGTGTATACCACATATTCATTTTGGGGAGTAATTGTAAAATGTATTTCTAAATTTTGGTATCTCCACATTCAATGTTGGTATATAGTAATGAGATCGCATCTTTTGTGTTGAATTTGTTTCCTGGGAACTTGCTGAATTCATTTATTGTTTCTAGGTTAAAACAATAGATTCATTGGAATTTTCTATGTAAGCAATTATGTTTTCTGCAAATAAGAATGCTTTTATTTCTTCTATTACAATCTGTGTGCATTTAATTTTTTTAAATCTACTTGCTGCCATGGCTAGAACTTCCAGTGCTATTTTGAATAATAGTGGTAAGCACAGATACCTTTGCCTTAGAGAAAAAAAAAATCCAATCTTTTGCCATTAAAGTGTGATGTGACTTATAGTTTTTTTTGTAGATACACTATAAAATTGAGTTAGTTCCCCTCTATTCCTAACTTGCCAAGAATTTTACCTCATAAATATGTGTTGGATTTTGCCATATGCTTTTTATGCATAATTGATATGATCATATAATTTTTTTCTTTAGTTTGTTGATATGTTGAACTATATTAATTGATTCTAGAATGTTGAACAAGCTTTGCATTCCAGTAATAAATTCTACTTGGGCTTAGTGCGTATTTTAAAATACATTGTTGAATTTCATTCGTTAATATTTTGTTGAGAATTTTTCTAAGTTCATAAGAGGTATTTGTTAGTAGTGTTCCTTTCTTATTGTCTTTGTCTGGTTTTGGCATAACAGTAATAGCGTATTCGTACTACTATAATAATACAACGTCATAAAAAAAGTGGGCAAGTTTTCCCTTCTCTGTTGTCTGTTCTGAAAGAGATCGTGCAAGATTTGTGTTAATTCTTTAAATGTTTGGCAGAATTTTCCAGTGAAACCATTTGGGTCTGGAGACTTTTTTGGGAGGAAGTTTTTACTACAAATTTAATTTATTTAATAATTTTAAGACTATTTGGATTATCTATTTCAGCTTGGTTGAGGTTTTGTAGTTTGTGGTTTTTGGGGAATTGGTCCTTTTTTTTAAGGTGTTGAATTGTGAACAGTAGGTTTTTTAAAATTTATCTTTTTAATGATTGCATTATCTTTAGTAATGCCTTTTGTTTTATTCCTAACAGTGATTTGTGTCTTGATTCTTTTTATTTTGTCTGTCTTGCTAGACAAAATGGTTTATCGATTTTATTGGTTTTTATTCAAGAATCAGATTTTTGTTTAATTTTCTATCATGTTCTGTTATTAAATTTCATTAATTTCTGCTTTGTTCTCTCTCTATATATATATTTCTACACACACATATATATATTTTAATATATATATAAAATATATATTTCTACACACACATCTTTTCTTCTACTCTATTTGGGTTTATTTTGTTCTTTTTCTATTTTCTTGAGGCAGAAACTTAAATTATTGGCCTCAGATATTTCTTCATTTCTAATGTAATCATTTAGTCTGTGAAATTTCCTCTCAGTACTGCCTGATTTGTGTCTCATGTGTTTTGATATGTTGTATCTTTTTTATTCTGTTCTATGTATTTTTTAGAGAACTCTTCTTTGACCATGGGTTATTTATAAGCACGCTGTTGAATTTCCACAGTTTAGAAATTTTCCTGTTGTCTGTTACTGACCTTTAGATTAATTTTATTATGGCTAGAAATCAAACTCTGTATAAATTTTTTAACAACGTCCTGAGGTATTTTAGTAGTCAAGCATTGATCTCTTTAGGCTCATGCTTCATGTGTACTGGCAATACATGTGTATTCTGCTTTTTTGGGTATAAAGTAATATTTTGTTGGTTGATCTCAGACATCATCAAGTCATTACAGCATCAACTTAAAGTAAAAAATCTCCTCTAAACTCAACAGATACAAAGTTCTAAATCTTGTTGCCTAATTCATCTAAATCAGATTTGGCTACAGCTCTGGATATAAGTACTTGGACATAATTTTTCTTCATCTGTGAACCTGTGAATCTCAGGAATCAAATTACCTCCCCCTCAAATACAGTGATGAGACAGGGATACGATACCAGTTATAGCATTCTTGTTCAAAGAGAAGAAAAGTAGAAGAAAAATAGAGTCAACACTCCATGCAATTTTTAAATTCAGCCAGGCAAACTCCATCTGATTTAAAGGCCTGGGAATAATTCTCTGTGGTTCATGGCTCTGCTCCCTGGGTTCATGGCTTCGCATGTTGGTCTCTTAGAGTCCTTCTCTCTTTCTTTCACCCCCTTCTTCTTTAAATGTAGAAATGGTAGCATATGTTTGCATCTGAGTAGTTTTTTCATCTTGTTTCTTGTTTGTAGACGTTTTCCAGGCCTCAAAACTTTTTCTCATTTTATACTCTGTTGCTTTTAGTCCAAGTTGGCACTATTTATACCACTATAACGTTCTCCAAAGCCTGGTGGATCTCCGTATATGTCACAGAGAGTCATTCTATTAAAAAAGAGACTCCTCCATATTTTTTCTAGACAATCCTGCCTCTATTATTGGCCTCTGCCAAGATGGCTAAAGGAATCTGTGAGTCATGTGCTTAATATTTTCAAAGACCCTTTTGTGTGACTAAATGCTCTGATTTTTAAAATCTTTCTGAGGGAAAAGGTTGTGCCAGCTACACCCTCAGCTTTTTCTCTAGAGCTTCATTTCCCATTGATAAATTTCTTAACATGGGTATCTTAGTAAACTTGCTAGGCTGAGGATTTCCCAAATCAGCAAGTCAGGATTCTTTTTAATTTAACGGTTTCATCTCAATTTCTGTCTTTCCTCACACAATTCATGATGAGCACCAAGGAGAAATCTGGCCACACTTTCAACCCCTGTCTTATAAATCCCCTTGGTTAAATTTCCAATTTCTTCATTTACAATTTCTGCTTTCCACATAAATTGCAGTACATAATTCCACTAAGCTACCTGCCACGATGTAGTGAGGATTCTTCTTCTACCAGTTTCCAATAATATATTTCTAATTTCCGTTTGAGTCCTCAATGACGGCAAGATTAACATCCTTATTCATTCCATTAGACATCCATATTTCTCACCAACAGCCTTTTTGTAATGTGTATTTTCTCTGCCATGTTCCTTATTTCCTCCTGTGTCCTTACTAGCACATTTCTAGTTAGTTGAATAAACTAACAATTTATTCAAGGAAATCTAGGCTTTCCTATTATGTTCCTAAAAATTTTTCCAGCTTCTTCTTATTTCTAATTTAGAAGCCACTTTTCCACTTGTATATGTTTTTTATAGCTATATCACATTATTTGTATCAAAATGTATATTGATTTTCTATAACTACACTAACAAATTACCACAAATTTGGTGGCTTAAAACAACACAAATATACTATCTTAAAGTTCGGTAGTCCAGAAGTCTAATACAGATGTCACTGTGCTAAAGTCAAGGTGTTAGCAGGTGCATTCCTTTCTGGAGGCTCAGGGGAGAATATACTTTCTTAACTTTTCCAGCTCTAGAAATTGTTCATATTTGTTGGCTTGTGGCCTTTTCATTCACATTAGTGGGCTGAGTCTTCATATTATATCATTTTGACCCTTTTTCTGCACGACATCTCTGTTTCTGATTCTCCTCTTTTGTCTTCCTCTTCCTCTTCCTCTTTTAAGGCCCCTTGTGATTACATTGGGTCCACCTAGATAATTCAATAAAATGTCGCTATTTTAAGAATAGCTGGTTAGCAACTCTAATTTTATTTGCAATCTTAATTATCCTTTGCTATATAAGATAACATACTTGTAGGTTCCAGGGATTAGGACAAGGATATATTTGGGGAGGCCTACAACAATTACAATATGCATACATTATTCATCACTGTTTAATGATTCCAACATTTAACCATTTGAAGTAAAATGTGGAAACCTCACTTCCATGTAGGCCCCTTTACATTCCCCACATTTAATTATCATGATTTTGAATATTAGATTGTGTAAAAATTTTTGTTTCAATCCTTAACATTTACAAAATCAATGAGAAAAAGATAACCTATTGTATGTACCCATATTTATTCTCTTCTCATTGTTCATTCTTTCTTCATAATGATTCATGATTATTTCATTAATTCCTTTCTGTATGAAGAAATTACTTCTGACTATCTCTAAGGATAATTCTGCTAGTGAGATTTGTTTTTTACTGTTTCTTTGTCTGACAATGTCTCTATTTCCCCTTCATTCTCAAAGGACAGTTTTGTTGGATGTAAGATTTGAGGTTGGCAGTATTTTCTTTCAGCACTTGAAAAATGTTATATTTTCTTTTGACCTCCATGACTTTCAGATGTGAAATCCATTATGATTCAAACTGGTGTTCTCCTGTAGGTAATGCATCATTTCTTTCTGGCTGCTTTCAAGACTTTTATTTCTTTGTTTTTACTTTTGCAGCTTTATTATGATGTCTCTTGGTTAGAATTTCATGAAGTTTATTATATTTCAGGTTCACTTAGCTTTTTCAATCTGTGTTTATTTTTTTCACCAAATTTAGAAAGTTTCCAGGCATCATGTCACAGCCCCACACTCTCTTCTCTTTCTGACACTCTAATAGCAGAAATATTACATCTTTTATTATAGTCCCACAGATCCCTGAGGCTTTGTTCATTTATTTTTCTCCATCTTTTTTTCTCTGTCATTAAGATTGACTGGCCCTCAAGTTCACTGATTTCTTCTTTTATTATCTCTACTCACTATTGAGTATATCATGTGAGTTTTGTATCTGCAATTGTATTTTTTGTTTCTGTAATTTTGGAAGTCCAATGCACTATTCATTGCACGATGGAGCCACCTTTGTTTCTGTAACTTCATTTTTTCTTTTACAACTTTTTTTCTTTGCTAAGGTTTTAATTTTTTCTCATTTTTTCAAGAGACATGTTAACTTTGAATCATTATTGTGATGGCTCCTTTAAAATAAATGTCAGATAATCTCAGCATCTAATTTATCTCAGGGTTAGCATCAGGTAATTTTCTTAACAATGTTGTGATTTTCTTTGTTCTTGGTATTATGGGCAATTTTTGATCATATCTTGGACATTGTATCTCTTGTGTCAAAATCTGAGATCTATTTAAAACTTTTATTTTAGCGGGCAGTTCCTCTGTTTAGGTGTTGGCTTTAGATATTCCAAGGCCGTGATTTTTAGATGCATAAAACTTTTGGGACATCATATTTTCTCAGCGACTAACTTATTTTTTTGCTTTTTATGCATTTATACATGAATATGGATCTTGCTTCACAGACTATTTTATCAGACTCTGTCACAGCTACAAGTTGCCTCAGAGAGCCTTAGAATCTTTATTCTTCTTTTCTATCTTCAATATTATATCCTGTAGTATTTTCCTTCCATTTCTCATTTAATAATACATATTAATTATAAATAGTATCATCAAATACTTCCTTATATTTACCAATTTCAGTTTTCTACATTTTGTCTTATTCCCTCCTTCAACTCCTTCCTTCTGGTTTTAACGTTTTTCTTGCTGAAGTATATCCTAGTAGTAGCTTTTCAATAGTAGTCTTTCTCAGTCTTTTTCTTTTTTTGTCTTTCCTGAAAATGTCCTTATCCTTCCCTCAGTCAGAAATGAAAAGATAGTTTAGGACAGAATTCTATATTGAAAGTTTATATGCTCAGCACATTGAAAATACGACTTCTCTTGTTTTCAGATACACTTTTTTTCATTTATCTTCTATCTAATTTTTCTGTGAAGATAATCTATCATTTCATCAGACTGAATGTATTCATTGATTTATTTTTTTATATTGTTATTTTCCAGTCTCAGTGGTTTGTCAAGTCTGGATTAAAAATTAATTAAAAAAAACCTATTTGTGCTACTTCAAAATAGAGATTCATGTCTATCTTTGATATAAAAAACTCTCAGAAATCAGCTCTTCTTCAAAGTTCCCCTTCAGAGCAAGTCAGATTTTCTTTTTTCAGAACCATATTACCACAATCCTGAAGCATTTTAATGTAAATTTGTGGGGGTCTTTCAACATATAAATAGTGTAAACTTAAATTTCATGTTTTCTGGAGTTTTATTTAATCTCAAGAAACAATTTATGTTTTCACGTAAGACCCAGACTGAAAAAATAGGAAGAATTTTCCTAGTTCCTCTTTCAATGATGGGTCAGGGAATTTCAATTATGAGGTTTATGGCTCTGTGCAGGGACCTCCATTTCAGCTTTGTCCTTTAGCATCATTTCTCCTGTTCCTGCATGGAGGTTGACACTTCAGCCTCCATCTTCATGCTACAACAGGCTCTGAAGTCCCAGAGGGGTCCAGGGCTTCAGTTCTTCTGGCCTTGGCTTTAATTTCTCTTTGTTTCTGCTTTCTGACACTTCCCCTTCCTTCTTCAGAGCTTGGTTGCATATTGAAACATGGATTGTACACCTAGCATTTCCATGTATTTATAGTGGGAGGGTGGCTTAATCTGTAACATCTCAATATTCTGTGCTGTCAGAAATAATCTGAGCAAGTCTGAATGCCCATTTATATGGGCAAGGTGAATCAAAGTACTTTGCCTAAGGCTGTGAGGTAACTTCAAAGTGAGAAGTGTTTCCTTATACCTCTTGTGTCAGAAATGGGGAAAATCCAATTATAAATCCGTTCTGTTCTAGAAGGGGGGTGCACAAAACTTGGGATAACTCCTGTAGTCAAAATTTCCTGTACAGGCCTGGCAATATATAGAAGTGAGTTCAGCATCCTTTCCTGTGCAAGATATACTCTACCAAAGTTTAGTAAAGGCAATTTGAATAAGAACTGCTATGACCTTACCTTATATATATATTCACAGTCATTCTGGAACAGCCAGTGAAATTAGGACTTACGTTTGGCAAGCAATAGCTGGTACTATTAATCAGATAATTAAGAAATCTTACCATATTCACCTTAGATCTGCTATTGAAAAGTAAAAGTTGCTTAATTGGCCTAATTTCTGAAAAGTTTTTGTTTTTCAGACAAGCCAGTATTTAGGATCTATTTGTTCAATACTTCACCATACCCATTACTGGCTGGCAGGCTTTTTCATCTCTCATGTTTAAGAGTAGTCAAAAATTGACAAACAAAAGGTAAAATATATTACCCATTTACCAAATGAGTCCTCTCAATAATATTATTTGCATATGTAATATGAGCCTAGATTACATATCTATCTATACATACACATATATATATATCTGAATATGTACCAAAACCAAAAATTAAAAAATAATGTGAGTTGTATTCTATATTTTTATTTTGTAGCCTATTATTTTGTTCTCAGTATAATTGTTCCAGATAAAACTATGATGGATGGCTCGTTTTCATTTAAATTATTAAATCAGCTTGGAATGATTGAAGAGCCAAGGCTTTATGAGTAAGTAAAATTTACTATTTTCTTCTCTCATATATTCAATGTTTGCTTTCTTCAGTATCCCATCCAACAGATAATTTAAATAGTGTAGTTTATTTTTTAATCTAGAGAGTCTTAAAATGTTAAATATTAAAAGGATCTCATATGTTATATTCTAATTCCTTTATTTTACAGAGAAAGATAACATATGTTAAAGAGGCACCCTTACTCTAAACAACTAGTGACTTTAAAAGTTCTAAGCGTATCAGGAGATGGAGACCATCCTGGCTAACATGGTGAAACCCTGTCTCTACTAAAAATTCAGAAAATTAGCTGGGCATGGTGGCACGTGCCTGTAGTCCCAGCTACTCAGGAGGCTGAGGCAAGAGAATTGCTTGAACCCAGGAGGTGGAGGTTGCAGTGAGCTGAGATTGCACCGCTGCCCTCCAGCCTGGGTGACAGAGCAAGACTCCATTTCAAATAAATAAATAAATAAATAAATAAATAAATAAATAAATAAATAAAATAAGTTAAAGAGTAAAAGACGACTTTGTGTCTTTCTCTCTCTTATGACTCTCATTGGAGTGTTTTTCCTAACCATATTGCCTTCTAATTCCCTCCAGTTTTCAGTTAATATCATGTTCACAGTGATGTGACTTCTTTAAATAGAGTGACACAATTTTAGTGTTTCAGAGAACTATTCCCACCTACAAGGCTCCCAAACAATAGGGGAGGGTTTTGTTTTTTTCTCAATCTTTTATTTAACTTTTTATGTATGTACATATGTATGTGCAAGTGTGTGTACATATTTTAAGGTTATATAATTATATAAAAGAATGCTCTTGGCTTGAGCTTGTTGAATATATATTTCTGTGTTTAATAAATTCTTAAACTAGAAAATTATTTTTTTCTTAAATAAAAGAATGATATAAACGGGCACACTACCATATAGTTGTGGTTTCCAACCTGCTGTGCTAGACTTCTAACTAGCCATTAAATGATGAAACGATTTTCAAAAGGCTCACAGACACCATATCTAGTGATTAAAAGAAATATAAAAGTGTATTTTGTTGTGGATAGACAGAGCAATTTGGCTTAAGTTTTGACTGGTTATTGAACACATTAGGGTTTCAGGAAGCATGGTTGGTATTTCCAACATTTACTGCTGTCACAGTATAGGTAGTTACAGTACATAAATTAACTAATTAACTAAATTAATGTGCGATGGACCTTGGACCTGAGTACATAGTGACATCTAAACTCTGTGAGCCAGGAGAAAGTCCCTGACTACTTATTTATTTGCACATTCACAAACAATGGCAGTGAAAGTATTTAATGTTACAGTATTATTAGCACAGGTAAAATCTGAAACGATATTAAAATATAAAAAGTAGCCATAGCTCATAATAGTAGGTAAACCTTTCAAACATTGGAATCCACAAAGAAAATAATGATAAGTTCACCATAACGAAAATATAAAATACCTGTGTACTGAAGTAACATAAAAACCATTCCATCAAGGGATGCCATGATTATCCTGAGATAGTACCCTGGGTTACAAGTCCAGCAAAATGTTTAAAATTTTGGATAAACATATGTTTAATATTAGATTGTATAAATGTAATTTTCTTAAAGTTAATAAAGACATTGCAGATGATTTAACAGTCGTATAGAACTGGTAGTGAAAGAGTAACAATTATCCGTTTTCCTTTCCCTTTTTAAACTAACCTTCCGTCACCCAAAGAAGATAAAAGAAATTAAACAAAAATTCCAATCCAAATTCTTGACTTTCGTCAAGACCCATCTTTTATTGAGAGAAACTTTTCGGCCCTTTTCACCTAATTTTGAACACTGAATGTTCTAAAATAATAACTAATATTATTCCATAATTGTTCATTACTTTAAATTGCTTACAATTGTATTTATGTATGTATATACATACACATTCACACATGATCTATTATTTATTCTTATCAAAAACAGGATTTTTGGCTATTAAATTGATTCAATTGCTTATTCAAATTATTCAGCATCAAACTTATTCAGGCATTTCTCAAAATAATGGGGATCCAAACTGACACAGACAGTATTTTGTTCTCAAGAAAGTCACAGAATACTGGAGACTCATGCATAATTGTAGCTTTTAGTAAAATGTTTTATAAAAGAAGATCACTTAATGTACTGTTGGAGCCCAGAGAAGAATCAAGGAAGTATTTGAAAGCAAGGCAATACAGTCAGGGAACAGAAAGCATGTATCAAAAACCTAGAGATAGGAGAGTACCTGATATAGTTTGGCTGTTTGTCCCCACCCAAATCTCACCTTGAATTGTAGTAATCCCCACGTGTCAAGGATTGGACCAGGTTGAGATAATTGAATCATGGGAGTGGTTTCCCCCATACTATTCTTGTTGGTTCTGTAGGTTGCAGAAGACAAGAATTGAGGTTTGGGAACCTCCACCTAGATTTCAGAGGGTGTGTGGAAATGCCTGGAGCTCCAAGTGGAAATCTGGTGCAGGGGCAGAGCCCTCATGGAGAACCTCTGCTAGGGCAGTGTGGAAAGGAAATGTGGGATTGGAGCCCTATACAGAGTTCCCACTGGGGCACTGCCTCGTGGAGCTGTGAAAAAAAGGCTACATTCCTCCAGACTCTAGATTGGTAGATCCACTGACAGCTTGCACCATGCACCTGGAAAACCTGCAGACACCCAACGCTAGCCATGAAAGCAGCTGGAAGAGGGGCCGTACCCTGCAAAGCCGCAGGGGTGGAGCTGCCTAAAGCTATGGGAGCTCACCTCTTGCATCAGCGTGTCCTGAATGTGAGACATGAGTTAAAGGGGATCATTTTGGAACTTTAGGGTTTAATGACTGCCCTATTGGATTTCAGACTTGGATGGGGCCTGTAGCCCCTTTGTTTTGGCCAATTGCTCTCATTTGGAATGGGTGTATTTACCCAATGCTTGTACCCCCATTGTATCTAGGAAGTAACTAACTTGCTTTTGATTTTACAGGCTCATAGGTGGAAGGGACTAACCTTGTCTCAAATGAGACTTTGGACTTGGACTTTTGGGTGAATATTGGAATGAGTTAAGACTTTGGGGGACTGTTGGAAGGGCATAATTGTGTTTTGAAATGTGAGAACATGAGATTTGGGAAGGCCAGGGGTGGAATGATTTGGTTTAACTCTGTGTTCCTACCGAAGTCTCACCTTGAATTGTAATAATCCCCACCTGTCAAGGGCGGGACCAGGTGGAGATAATTGAATCACAGGGGTGGTTTCCCCTATATTATTCTCTTGATAGAGAGTAAGTTCTCAAGAGATCTGATGGTTTTATATGGGGCTTCTCTATTTGCTCGATTCTCATTCTTCTCTCTCCTGCCACCATATGAAGTAGGTCATGTTGCTTTCCCTTCTGCCATGTTTGTAAGTTTCCTGAGGCCTCCTCAGCAATGCAGACCTGTTGAGTCAGTTGAACCTCTTTTCTTTATAAATTACCAAGTCTTGGGTATTTCTCCATAGCCACATGAGAACAGACTAATACAGTATCTAAATTCAAAAATTGCACATGAACACAGGCCTAGAACAGATGTTTCAAATTTGTTCAGAAGGCAAAGAAACTGTTGGTCTTGAGTTAATTTACAAACATTATATTCTATGTGGAACAGCATGAAATAGTGATTAATTTTATTCAGCTACTTGGATTAGTTAGTGCACTGTTGTGAAGGAATATAAAATACAGGAACATATACGCATGTGTTGTAATCTGTCCACCTAATCTTGGCTAATGGGTTTACTGTTTTTCTGTTAATAATTATTTGCTAATACAGTCATTCATCATTTAACAATGGGAATATCCTCTGAGAAATGCATATTTAGGTGATTCTGTCATTGCTTGGACATTATAGAGTCCAAACTTAGATGGTATAGCCTGCTACACACGTAGGCTATATGGAGTGTAGCATAGGTTTATAACCTAGAAGCAATAAGTTACAAACCTGTACAGCATGCTACGGTATTGAATACTGGAGGCAATTGTAACACAATGGTAAATATTTGTCTATGTAAAAATATCTAAGCATAGAAAAAGGTACAGTGAAAATATAGTGTCATAATTTTATGGGACCACTGTCATATATTCAGTCCTTTGTTGACAAAAAAATCATTGTGCAGCACATGAGTATACATTTAATTATGTTTTGGGATTTTAATTGTCTTTAAGATGGCACAGGAGTCAAAGAATTTTAAATGATCTTTTATTTTCCTTTTTAAAATGGAAACAGGAATATTTACTCACTGTAGAAAATGTATAATATTATATAATAGAAAATAGGGATCACCTGTAATTATACCATCCAGGAATACCTACACTTTGCATTTGGTTTATAATCATTCTTCCCCTTCCTCCTTCTTGTACATGCCCCTATGTGCAGACATATGATTTTTTTTATTTAGCAAAATTAGGATCTGATTGAAATGTGTTCTGCATCCTGATTTTTATACTGAATGTTATTTTTTCTATACTACTAATGATTCATTGGACCAGATATATTAATATGCCAATATAGGATGTTAAATGGGAAATATCAATATTGGATATTCAGGATAGAAAGATGGCCCAGACATATGAGTAATGGAGAGATTAGAGGGAGCAAGACGTGAGATAGGAGGCTACAGAAGTAGTTACTGTGATAATTCATATGAAAGATAACATGAGCCTGGATCCAAATCAGTGGGAACAAAAAAACAGGGTAAGGGAGATTCCAGAGGTTTTGGGGCTTTAGAATAGACATGTTGTGTGTTTGCATGGTTAATTGAATAAGTGAACGTTAAGGAAAGAAACCAATCTAGAGTGACTTCAAGTTTTGAGCTTTGTGACTATTTAAAAAGTATAATGCTATTATACTGAGCTAAAAGATACATGGAGAGAATCCAATTTAATCCATTCATTACAAATTATTGAGTTCTTCTATAGACCCGGATCTGTGCTAGGAATAGGGGATACAATTCTGGACAAATTAAATGTCTGCTCTTATATAAATTAGATGTCTATAGCAGATAGATTTTAAATTAATAATAAAAATAAAACAACGATGTCCATCATTCTACTATTCAAACAATTTTTAATGATTATCTACACGGAGCCAGGCACTGTGTTAAGTGCTGGGGATACTGTGGTGAGAAAATCAGTCATGGTCTTACCTTCATTAAGCTTGTAGCATAATGAGACATATAAGGATAGTCAAATAATTATAAAATTATATAAGTAAAATCTGTTCATAAAAAAGTCTTGACATAAATCATAATGTATATAGAAAATTAAAATAGGGGATGTCAATTAGTGGGGTGACTAAAAGTTTCTCTATTGATGCTTATATTAGTCGAGTCCTGAATGGTGAACAGCAGTCATTGCCCTACTGCATTCTAGGCAGAAGGACCAATAAATACAGAAAATCTGAAGCATAGAGAAGCATGACCCACTTCAGGAGCTGAAGGCAGTTTAGTGTGTTTAAGAATAAAGGCTGGGGCTGGGCATGGTGGCTCACGCTTGTAATCTCAGCACTGTGGTAGTTCAAGGTGGGTGGATCACAAGGTCAGGAGTTCGAGGCCAGCCTGGCCAATATGGTGAAACCCTGTCTCTAATAAAAATACAAAAATTAGCTGGGTGTGGTGGCGTGTGCCTGTAGTCCCAGCTGCTCAGGAAGCTGAGGCAGGAGAATCACTTGAACCTGGGAGATGGAGGTTTCAGTGAGCCGAGATTGCACCACTGCACTCCAGCCTGGGTGACAGTGAGACTCCATCTCAAAAAAAAAAAAAAAAAAAAAAAAAATAGAGACTGGGAAAGTAAGAAAGAGAGGAGAAATCTAGAGAACACTTAGATATATTATAGAAATTAGAACTCATAGGCCATGTTCCAGAATTTATATTTTATTCACTGGGCACATGAAAACCACTGAAGTATTTTAGTTGTGGCAGTCAGGTTGAGGCCACAGTTGGATTTTTCTTTTGGAAAAACAATTTAACCACAGTGGATTGGAGAGATACAAAGCAAGATGCTGTTGCAGGAATATAGACATGACACAATGGTGCCCTGGGTTTGAAGGTTTATAGTTGAAATGGAAAAATGAGGGATTCAAATCAGTTTTGATATTTCAGAGGTAAAGTCAATATAAATTTCTGATAGATTGAATGTGGAGGTTGAAAGAAGGGCACTATCAAGGGTGAATCCTAGTTATTTGACTTGGGTAATAGGTGGTGATGCCATTTAATACTCTGAGACAATGTAAGTTTTAGTTTTAGTATTTTTTTTTTTTTTGGTTGGAGAAAGTGTTGGAGAAGATGAGTCATTTAGATTTGAACCTAGTGAGCTTCAGGCATCCTTAAGATATCCACATGGACACGATAAATGACAGTGGATACATGTAACTAAAACTTAGCATACAGGCCTTAGCTGAAGGTAGAGATTTTGTAGTCATGAGCAAACTGTTGGTAATTGAAAACACTGGTGTGGCTGTGAGTTTGTATGGAAAGATAACACATTCCTATCTGGATATGTTGAATTTGAATTATCACTGAAAAATTTGGATATGTTCATGGAAAGACATTAGTGATATATCTAATGACATTATAGTCTGTGAAAAAGAAGGTGGTAACCCTGCCAGGAGGTAGCAGAAATGGACTTTGAGTAGAATGATCATGTCCTTTTTCTGGTGTCTAACTGCTGCAAGGAATCAAAAAGAGAGCAGGAAAAAATATGAGATGGCAGGGAGTGCTGGGTGCCCTACTAGTTACTCTTCAGCTGTTCTCTGTGTGATTGTCACCTTTGATTAACCAAGTTGTTGTTGGCTCAAAAGAGAAACTTCTTTGAACTGATTTTTTAAAAAACTTTTTTTCCCTTCACTTCTGTCCTCTTCTTTAGTCCCTTCCCTTTCTCCTCCTTCTTCTCCTCCACCTCCGCCTTCTACTTTTCTTTCTCTTCCTTCATCTCTTCCTCCTACACCTCTTCTTCCTCCTTCTCCTTCTCTTTCTCCTCTTTGCCATCAGTTTTTTCTAGTGAGAAAAAGTGCAATAGAGTAGCTGGAGTTCCTCTTGGGGTCATGAAAGCCCAGGTTGAGATAAATGACTCCAGGGACCCACATTTCTGGCACATAGGGATGAGAAATTGAGCAGAGCAGTGAGGAGCATTATTAGCTGTGTGGCTTTGGGAAAGACATTTATATGCTCTGATGCTCAGTTTTCTTATCTGTAAAATGGTAATACTCATAGTACCTAATAAAAGGAGTTTTTCAGGTAGTTAAATGAGGTTAAGCATGTAAAGCTTAATTACATTGTAAATGCACAGAAAATTGTACTTATTAAACACTGTATTTCTGTTTTGAATCTCAGGCCTTTATAAGTTATTGCTCTAGGTCAAAAATATTTGATAAAATATTTTTAAGTTGTCCGTTAAGCACCTAGTCTATTTAAGGAACTGTAAAAAACACATATAGGATGACTTCTCTAATTCTAGTCAAATGTAAAATCTAGACATCTACTCAGAAAGACATGTCACTTTTTCCCAAAAGAAGCATTTTCAAAATAGTTCTATGAGGGAATGCATTTATTATTATTTTGCATTTATTATTTTGTTCTGTTATAAATTACGGTTTTAATTATTTTAATAAATACTGCAATAATATTTTGTTTGGCCTTTTCCCTATAATTTTGTTCTCTGTGGCCTCCCTTATTAGGATTATATTGATTTTAGAATTGAGTTATGTTTCAAATTATTAATATGCTGCGTGTATCAAATTTTCTCTCTAGAAAGAACAAACCATTTTATAAACTTCAAGAAGTCAAGATTCTTGCTCAATTTTATAATGACTTTGTAAATATTTCAAGCATTGGTTTGACATATTTCCAGAGCTCAAATCTGCAGTGTTCCACATGCACATACAAGATCCAGAGTCTCATGTTAAAATCACTTACATACCCAGAAAGGTAAGAAAATTAAATTTTGATTTCAACATGTTATCTTTTAAACTTGAAAATATTGGTTTCTTAAGTAATGGTTTAAAAATTCATGTATTCAAATATCTGTTTATTGTGTATTTCAGACTATATTTTACATAAATATTAGAATCTCAAAAAGGTATAAAGGTTTTTTTGGCTTTAATAAAATTTATTTGGGAATCTCATTGTCTAATCAAAGAAAAAATACACACAATCATTTCACAGACACAATAAAGATAAAAAAAAGTAACACCAATGCCTGCCTTAGAAGTTTACCAGTAATTTCTTTCATATACATACATATTAACAGACTGGTGAGAGTCCTTTTTCACAATTTTTTAGATGAGGGTCAATGTCTAAAACTCTCTAAGGAAACATATGGTCACAGAAGATAGACTTTATCATGACTTCCAGCAATATCTTCTTTCTCTCAACTTCATTGCTGTTTACTTAGGAAGACAGAAAAGCCTATTTTCATCTGCTTTATCTAAGATTCTATGGATCACTTGAGATTCAACCCCAAGAATATGCTGACAGGAGTGAGGTTCTCAGATGTCTACTATAAAGGTGTGAGGAGAAGCTGACACTTTACATTGCAGTTTTATAGTCACCTGTCTTGGTTTGTCAGTATATCACAAATATCCCCATTCCTATTAAAATGTAACACAATCCTGACTGTCTGGGCACCATTTTCTTGAAGACGACATGCTCCAGAAGTGTTTTTCTTATGACATTTCATATGCTCTTCTCAGTTCTACGTCCTCACAATCAGAGGTTTTCCCACTATCCTTGTTCCACATGATATAGATGTACATGTTTGCTGTAGAAGAATCCATATTTCCATTGACAACACCCTGTGAAATCATTAAGAATTATTAAAAATCTCTTTTATAAGTTGGTCATCTGTCAATCTGCATGTGTGAGTTGTCCAAACACTAAGCATCAGCTGAGAGCCTATAGAAATGGTTGTGTAGGTTGCTGGGAATCTCTCTTTTTTAGTTGACTGTGGTGCTTCCTCTTTATTTCTCTTTATGTTCCTGTATTTATATATATTTATTTCCTAATTATCTTCTTGTCAATGTTAAACATAGTACACAAGAACCTGTGGAGAGTAAAAATAAAAATAATAAATGATAATAATATACATTTAGGTGGGGTCTATATCAACAGAAGAGAGTTGGGAAGTCATTTTATAACTTTTGGTGTGATATTATTTAGTTACTGAAAAGTCAATAAATCAGATGTTGCTATAATGGCAAAAATCTAGGAGTAATTGTATTGTTCCTTGCCTTTGAAAATGCCAAAATATCTGAACATTTTCGGCAGGAACATTAGCAATATCATTCCCTATGAAAGTATATAGTGGGGAGGGATCATGCCTTGAAGGACTAGAGCTGTAAGATTTTCAATCTTCAACTAATCTCTGTATCTGTTATTATTATTGTTATTTTTGCTTCTCATCACTCTCTCTTTTCCAAAACATCTAATACTTTTAATGGTAAAGGGCTACTGTATTTGGGGATTCCATTATCTGGTCATTAGAACAGCAAATACAATTGTGGAGTAGGCATATTTCGCTGGGTTTTTCTAGAGTTTCTATAAAACACTCTTCCAGGGCAATTTTTACTCTATGATTCTGATTAAAATTCAAGTAGCATGCTGATTAAAGTTCACATCTTAGGGAACTTGATGTCAGGAAAGTACTTCCTAGGACAGATAATGCAAATAATTGAGTTGATAGATATTAAAATATTTATCAAATATAAGTGTAAGTTAATATACTAATTATAGTATAAATATAAAATCTAAATTATAAGTATACAAATTGGCCAAGAGTGGTGGCTCACGCCTGTAATCCCAGCATTTTCAGAGGCCAAGTCGGGAGGATCACTAGAGGCCAAGAGTTTGAGACCAGCGTGGGCAACAAGGCAAAATCCTATCTCTACAAAAAATTTAAAAAATTAGCCATGCATGATGGTGCGTGCCTGTAGTCCCAGCTGCTAAGGAGGCTGAGGTGGGAAAATCACTTGAGCCTGGAGGTCAAGGCTGCAGTGAGCCATAATTGTGCCACTGCACTCCAGCCTGAGCAACAGAGCAGGACACTGTCTCAACAACAACAACAAAATATATATATAATATATTATCTATAATCTATAAATATACTTATATAATACATAATTATTATAATCTATAATTAAGCCATTGACCTAATATGCTGACATTTTTGTTTATTTCCTTTAGGTTAGTTTATGTATTCATTTATTTATTCAATGTTATTTCAATTTATTCTATTTTTTAATTATACTTTAAGTTTTGGGATACATGTGCAGAATGTGCAGGTTTGTTACATAGGTATACATGTACGATGGTGGTTTGCTGCACCCATCAACCTGTCATCTACATTAGGTATTTCTCCTAATGCTATCCCTCCCCTAGTCCCCCAACCCCCGACTGTTATTTTGAAGATGCAAAGCCTCCACTAAACATAAGAATAGAAATTATATTTGTAGTCCACTAAGGCTAGGCTGTAAAGGGGCCAGGAGTTTTGCATCATTGTAACAGGGGTTGTTGTCCCCTTGTTGCCTTATTAATACCTTCTAAATGTAAAGTTGGAGTATAATTAGAGATGTCTAGAAGTTGTAGTGCATGCTTTCTTCCTGGGATTTAAATTTAAAGAATTTATATTATCCAGGGATGAAGTTTTCTCCCTGTGGTATCATAAATACAAGAGAATTTCCTCCTCAGTCGAGAGGCAGCACACAATGTAAATCTTGGCCAGACATCAGAAATTTAGCTAGAATATTTGCATATAAAACAACACATAAGCTCAAGATGAGAAACAGAAATTTAGTTCCATTCATATGGACGGTAAAAAGAACCAAGGATAATCCACCCTCTGTGTACATGGGCAAATGCCAGGGCAGCTACCACTTTCGTCATTTAAGCAGAAGTGGACAAGAAAAACACAACAAAACAACAACAAAATGAGGCCTAATGCAGCATAGCAATGCAAGAAGAAAAGGTATAACAATCAAGATTTAGAAATAAGGTTGACTTTTTAAAAGATTTATAACAGGAAACAGAAGAAAGTTCCATAAAGCATTGCTCAATGTTCTCAATGGTAGTTAAGAAAACAAAAATCCATATAAGAACGAGTGAAGAGTGAGATGATGGGACAACTGATTGCAGTTAAAAGAAGGTTGGCTGAGTTAAAAAAAAAAAAACAACTAAAGTTATTTGGTATCAACATTAAAATAGTAAATAATAGATTTGACCAATAATGTAGAAAATATATTTATCAATAACTTATAGAATAAGGAGATATAAAAATAGAGAAAATAGGGTCTTAGGGTGAAATAACTGAAATGCAATATTTTGGATACCTAATGTTGCTGAAGAGGAGACACAGCAGAAGAACTAACTACGGATGTAATAAAAAAAAATTCCCCTTCAACTGAGGAAAAGAAGATACAGATCTCAAATGGAAAGGATGAACTGAAAACCAGGAACTAAAAGAACGAAAAGAACAAACATTTAGACCCATTCTTATAAATTTTATTTTAAAACTTTGATGATGAAGAGAATTCTGCAAATATTCAAAAAATTATCAACGGAGTAGAAGATTCAATGTTATAGCAATAGCCATTCTTGTTAAATGCACCTACAAGATTAACATGACTCCAGTCAAAATCTAAGGTAGATGTTGCTTGGTTGTTCCTAATCAACTTGGAATTACAAATAATAAGATGAGCCAAACAGACTGAATAATGAATGTAATGTTCACAGCTTTATGAAACAGTAATATTCCAAAACAACAATAAAGATATTTGATGCTTGAGGAAGAATATAATGGAATAAATGGAAAATTCCAAAATAGAATTTTATAGATGATAAGAAGAGCATTACAGAAAATGATGCTGGAATAAATGACAAGTGAAAAAGACTTTGATATGTCATATATCAAGATTAATTTTAGATATGGTAAAGTATTAAATGTATACTGATAAACAAAAAAATGGAGGAAAATCTAGGCAAATGTTTATATTTGCACAATAATGAAAGCCAAAACAGGAAACTGAAAGAAAAATATTACGGTTGCCTACAAATATACAAAATTAAAACTGTATGTCACAAACAAAATTAACAAAAGTAAACTGAGAAAACTTTTGTAATGTATATGACATAGATGGATTTAAATTATTTATATATAAATAACTTTTACAAAAATATTTTTAAAATACGTTCTAGTTGAAACATGGAAAGAAATATCCTTCCAGTTGTTTAAGCCAAGAAACCTGGGTTCATCATAGACTAGTCTTTTTCTTCTCACTCATCATCCAATCATGAAATCTCTTTGTTCCTACCTTCTGAAAATATCCAGAATTCTTTACCACCTGTACTGCTACAAACTCACTAAGTTTTATCATCTCTCCTTGAATTCTTAAAATAGCCTCTTAAGTGTTCTCTTGCTTTTAGCTTTGTGTCCTATAATTTGTTGTCCTATAATTTGTTGTCCAGAGTGACCCTTTTAAAAGTGGGTTATGTCACACCTCTGCTCAACAATCTCAAAAGTCTTGCCTTCACACTTCATATAAAAGCCAAAGTCTTCACAATAGCTTACAAACTCCACATGACCTAACTAGTATCTCCACTGCCTCATACCTCCCAATTTCAACGCCTTGACTACTGTACCTGCACACTTAGCTATATCCTGACAGCCTTCTTTGCTGTTCCTTGGACACACCAGGTAGGATCCTCCTTAGAACCTTTGTACTGGATGTTCCCTCTGCCTAGAAATTTCTTCCCCTTGAAGTGCCGATGGCTAACTTTCTCACCTCCAAGCTTTTGCTCAAATGCCATTTTCTCAATGAAGCCTACTTTTATCATCCTGTTTACAATTGTGAGCAGCAGCTCTTCCACTATCAATCCTCTTACCTGGAATTTTTTGTTGTTCTCGTAGGAGTTATTATCTATACTGTCCTCTGTACTTATGTTTGCTGTTTATTGTTTGTATCTCTGCAAGTAGAAGATAAGTTTCTTGAGGATGTTGAGTCTATGTATTTTCTTCAAAGACTTATTTCAAGTGCCTTGAACTGTGCCTGGTACATATTGGGCACTAAAGGAATAGTTGTTGAATGAATAAATGCAGAAATAAATACATTGGCATGGAACAATTTTAAAAAGAAAGAAAAAATGATTAATAGACATGTTTTTAAATGCTTAAACCCAATTGAAGGCTATGAGACATAATATATCTCTTCCCAAACTGTAAAAAAAGTATATTGTTGAAGTTATACTGAAATTGCCATCTTGTTTCACCAATTGTAGGTATGTAAAATTGTATACATATACTGGAAATAAGTGAATAAAATACATTAATAATCCCCACTAATAATAAAATACACTAATAAATTGTATACTGGGTATAGTATACAATTTGGAAATAAGTGAATAAAATACTCTAATAATCCCCAAGTGTTAATACTTCTGGCCCTATCCTCTTCTAGAATTTATACTTCAGAGACATAGCAGAAAGTAACATTTAAGAGTGTCAGCTTTGGAGCCAGAGTATCCTGGTTCGAATTTCAGTTCAGCTAATTACTAGCTTTATTACCTTGAAAATATGATTAACCTTTCTGTGCCTCATTTTCCTTACCTGTAAAATGGGAGTAGTTATAGTCTATTTTGCAGAATTGTTAAGAAGATTAAATAATGTAATATTTATAAAGAATGTAATATATTGCCTGGCATATAAGTGTTATGTAAATGTTTGTTAAATAAATAAAATGAAAGATCTAAAATGCACGTATGTATTTCTATAGAAGACATTTACAATTTGATTAACAATGCTAAAAATTATAAATAAATCGACTGCTCAATAATAGGGTAATTTATACATTGATTATGGAATAGCTGTAATATTAAATGTTATGCAATCATTAAAATTGCAGAACTATCACAACATAATGATGGCTAGGGACAATTTTTTCCAAATATATAATAAATATATAAGTATTCCATAATTGGAGAAAATTAAGTGACTTTTTCTTATAAAAATACCTTGATTAAAAAATTAATAAAATTTATATGGATACCAAAATTTTGCAGCTTTAGTCTGAGTGCCTTGCACACTTGTTTTAACTCCTCTAGTTATTCAGCTTAATTGGATTTAGTTCAATCATTTCCAGATTCTTTTAAAAATATTATGCTGTTCTCTAGATAAATGAGAGCACTTATTCACTGAAGAACAGCCAAAAAGCTGTCTTTAATTTAGAGAATAAACTTAGACAGCCAATATGCAGTTATATTATTTGTCCTGAAATCTTTATTTTTTTATCTATCTATCTATCCTGTTATATTACTTGTCCTGAAATCTTTTTTAATTTTTTAATCTTTATTTTTATTTTTTATCTATGTTTAGGGGGTTCAGGTGCATATTTCTCACATGAATATATTGTGGAGTGGTGAAGTCTGGGCTATTAGTGTGCCCAAAACCTCAATGGTGAACATTGTAATCAATACGGTCTGGTATCAATGAAATCCCTCAGCTTTTGTTTTTCTGGGAAAGTCTTTATTTCTTCTTCATGCTTGAAAAATACTTTCCCTGGATATACTACTCTATGGTAAACTTATTTTTTTCCTTCAGCACTTTAAATATGTCATGCCACTCTCTCCTGGCCTACATGGTTTCCACTGAAAGTCTGGCACCAGGAGTACTGGAGCTCCATAACATTTTATTTGTTTCTTTTGCTGCTCTTAGGTCCCTTTTTTTATCCTTGACCTTTGGGAGTTTGATTATTAAATGCCTCAAGGTAGTCTTTCGGTTAAATCTGTTTGATATTCTATAACTTTCTTATACTTGGATATTGATATCTTTCTCTAGGTTTGGGTATTATCCCTGTTATTTGTTATTATCTTGGATCAGTTATTATCCCTTTGAATAAAACTTTCTACCCCTATCTCTTTCTCTACCTCCTTTTTCAGGTGAATAAATCTTGTATTTCCCCTTTTAAGGCTATTTTCTAGATCCTGTAAGCATGCTACCTTGCTTTATATTCTTTTTTCTCTTCTGACTGTATTTTCAAATAGCCTGTCTTTAAGTTCACTAATTCTTCTTTCTGCTATATCCATTCTGCTTTTAAAGGACTGTGATGCTTTTGTTAGTGTGCCAACTGCATTTTTTAGCTCCAGAGTTTCTGCTTGATTCTTTTTAATTATTTCAATCTCTTTGTTAAATTTATCTGATAGAATTCTGAATTCCTTCTCTGTGTTATTTTGAATTCCTTTTAGTTTCCTCAACACTGCTATTTTGAATTTTTTGTCTAAAAGGTCACATAGTTCTGTTTCTCCAGGATTGTTTACTGGTGCCTTATTTAGTTCCTTTGTTGATGTCATGTTTTCCTGCATGGTGTTGATGCTAGTAGATGTTCTTCGGTGTCTGAGTATTGAAGAGTTAGGTGTTTATTGTAGTCCTCACTTTCTGGGCTTATTTCTGGTCATCCTTCTTAGGACAGCACTCCAGACCTTTTAAAACACTTGGGTCACAACTTGAGTGTTGTGATCTAAGCTGTTCCTGCTTTAGGGAGCACCCCAGGCCCAGTAATGCTGTGGTTCTTGGAGACTCATAGAGGTACCACCTTGATGGTCTTGGACAAGATCCAGGAGAATTATCTGGATTACCAGCAGAGACTCTTGTTCTCTTTCCTTATATTTTCCCATACATATAGAGTCTCTCTGTCTCTGCTCTGAGCCACCTAAATCTGGGGGTGGAGTGACACAAGCACACCTGTGGCCACCAACACTATGACTGTGTTGGGTCAGACCTGAAGCCAGTACAGCACTGGGTCTTGCCCAAGACCTACTGTAACTCCTCCCTGGAAACTGCCTATGTTCACTCAAGGCCCTGGTGTTCTACAATCAGCAGGTGGCCAAGCCGTTCAGACCTGTGTTTTTCCTTTTAGGGTGGTGAGGTCCCCCAGGCCCTGAGTGGATCCAGAAGTACTATCCAGGGGTCAGCGACTAGAGTCAAAAACCTTAGAAGTCTACCTGGTATTCTACTATATTGCAGTTGAGCTGGCACTCAAATTACAAGACACAGTCATTCCCCCTCTTCCCTCCCCTTTCCAAAGACAGGGGAGCCTCACCCCATAGGCACCACCACCCTTGGACAGAAGAAGTACTGCCAGACTACCAGTGATTTTCCCTTAAGTCCCAATTTCTCTTAAGACAGCTGGTGGTGAATGCTAACTAGCCTGGGACTCACCATTTAGGGCAGTGGGCTCCCTCTGGATCAGGGCAGGTCCAGAAATGCCATCCAAGAATCAAGTCCTGGAATTGTGAACCCCACGAGCCCACTTGGTGCTCTACCCTCCTGTAGCAGTTTTGTCCCTGAAGCCAGCAAATCTCTGAGGCTCGCCAAGGCCCTCCATGCAGTACCTGGGTATTGCTGCTGGTTATTCAGGGCCCAAGGGCTCTTCAGTTAGCAGGTGATGAATGCTGTCAGGACTGGGTTCTTTCCTCAAAGGCAGTGGGGTTCCTTCTGGGCCAGGGCATGTCTAGAAATGTTTTCTAGGAGCTAGAGCCTGGAACAGGGGAGACGGGGCCTTAGGACTCTGACTGTTGCCTTATCGTGTTGTGGCTGAGCTGCTATGCTAGATGCAAGACAAAGTCCTCCCCACCTTTACCTCTCCTTCCTTCAAGTGGGAAGAAGGGGTCTTTTTTTGGAGCCACGAGTTGTGCAGCCTGAGGTTAGGGAAGGGGTAATGCCAGTACTCCCTTAACTTCCCTAACTGATGTCTCAGTATGTGACATGGCCCCTCAATCTATTGCCTCTGGGCCTAGTTCAGCCCTAGGACTCACCTACAAGTTGCAGTCCTGAAGGCCTAGACTGCCTTTCAAGCTTACTTAGAGGCAAAGAGTACTTTGGGCCTCAGTGGCCAGGTTTCTTGACACTAAAGTTTAGGCTACTGGGATTGCTGATTCCCCTGTGGCAAGGCCTGGTTTAAATACTCCCTCCGTGGGCTGGTGTCAACTGAGTTTGATCTGGTTTTTCCTTTTGCTCTAACAGAACAGCACAGAATTCAATGCCTCTCAATTGCTGTGTTCTCCTTCCCCTAGCACCCAGAGAGGGTCTCTGCACCATGCCGCCACTCCTGGGGATGGGGGAGGAGTGGTGTCAGTGACTCAGAGCTGATTTTTCTATCTCCTCAATTCCTCTTTTAGTGATATGAAGTTAAAACTAGGTACTATGAGTGCTCATCTGATTTTTTGGTTATGAAGGTGTTTTTTTCCGTGTAGATACTTGTTAACTTGATGTCTTTGCAGTGGGGAATAGTGGAGCTTTCTATTCCACCATCTTGCCCTGCCTCCCAAAATCCCACTGTGCTTTTAATTTGCATTTCTCTGATGATTAGTGATGTCAACTGTTTTCTCATATATTTCTTGGTTGCTTGTATGTCTTCTTTACAAAAATGTATGTTCATGTCCTCGCCCACTTTTTAATTGGATTATTATTTTGCTTTTTGAGCTGTTTGAGTTACTTATAGATTCTGAGTATTAACCCATTGTCAGGTGCATAGTTTGCATATAATTTTTTTCCCATCCTGTAAGTTTTCTGTTTACTCGGTTGATTGTTTCTTTTTTGTGTAGAAGCTTTTTAGTTTAATTAAGTCCCATTTGTCTATTTTTGTTTCTTTGCATTTGCTTTTGAGGATTTGACCATATATTCTTTGCCAATGGCCAGAAGAGGTTTTCCTAGGTTTTCTTCTAAGATTTTTTTTAATAGTTTCTGGTCTTATGTTTATGTGTTCAATTTATCTCGAATTAACCTTTGTATATGGTGGGAGACAGGGGTCCAGTTTCATTATTCTGCCTATGGCTATTCAATTTTCCTACTACTATTTATTGAATTGGCTGTCCTTTTATCAGTGTGTTATTTTGTTGACTTTGTTGGAGATCAGTTGGTTGTAGGGTATGGCTTTATTACTGTGTTCTCTATTCTGTTCCATTGATCTGTGTGTCTATTTTTATACCAGTACCATGCTGTTTTGGCTACTCTAGCCTTGTAGTATAATTTGAAGTTAGGTAATATGATGCCTCCAACTTTGTTCTTTTTGCTTAGGATTGCTTTGGTTATTTGGGCTCTCTTCTGATTCCATACGAATTTTAGATTTTTTTTCTAATTCTATAAAAATGACTTTGGTAATCCAATAGAAATTGTATTGAATCTATAGATTGCTTTGGGCAGTATGGTCATTTTAATGATACTGATTTTTCCAATCCACGAGCACGGGCCATTTTCCATTTGTTTGTGTCATCTATGATTTCTCTCATCAGTAATTTGTTGTTATCCTTACAGAGTTTTGTTTTTGTTTTGTTTTTTTGACAGAATCTCATTCTATCATCCAGGCTGAAGTATACTGGCATGATCACAGTTCACTACAGCCTTGACTTCTTGGGCCCAAGTGATCCTCCCACCTCAGCCTCCCAAGTAGCTGGGACCACAGGCATGCACCACCATGCCTGACTATTTTTTTTAAAATTATTTTTGTAGAAATGGGTTGTCCCTATGTTGCCCAGGCTGATCTTGAACTCTGGAGCTCAAGCAATCCTCCAGCTTCAGCCTCCCAAGGAGCTCACAGCCTCCCACAGTGGCAAGCCACTGTGCTTGGCCAAGTGATGATTTACCTCCTTGATTAACTATATTCCTAAGTATTTTAATGTGTTGTAGCATTGCAAAATGAAATTGTCTTTTTAACTTTGTCCTTGGCTAGATCATTATTGATGTATAGAAACACTACTGGTTTTTGTATGGTAATTTTGTATGCTGAAACTTTTCTGAATTCACTTATTAAATTTAAGAGTTTTTTTGGTGGAGTCTTTAGGGTTTTCAAGATATAAGCATATATCATCAGCAAACAGAGATAATTTTACTTCCTCTTTTCCAATTTGTGTGCCTTTTATTTTGTTGTCTTGGTTGATTTATCTGGGGTGAGAACTTACAGTACTGCGTTGAATAAGAGTGGTGAAAGTGAACTTCCTTATATTTTTCCAATTTTTAAAGGAAATGCTTTCAACTTTTCCCCATTAAGTTTGATGCTGGCTGTGAGTCTGTCATTTATTGTCTTTATTATGTGAGGTATGTTCCTTCTATGTCTAGTTTGTTGAGAATTTTTCTCGTGAAAAGATGTGGAATTTTATCAAATGCTTTTTCTAGATCTATTGAGATGATGTCTTTCATTCTGCTTATGTGATATGTCATAGTTATTAATTTGCACATGTGGAACTATCCTTGCATCCCTGCAATAAATCCCACATGATCACAGTGTATTATTTTTTTAATGTGCTATGGCATTTGATTTGCTATTTTTTGCATCTATTTTCTTCAGGAATATTAATCTGTAGTTTTGTTGTGTCTTTATCTGGTTTTCATATGAGGGTGATACTGGCCTCTTAGAATGAGTTAGAAAGAATAGAATTCCTTCCTCCTCAATTTTTGGAGTTGTTTCATGAGGATATGTATTAGTTTCTTGTGTGTTTGGTAGAATTTGGTTGTGAATCCATCTGGTCCTGGGCATTTTTTGTTGTTGTTGTTGTTGTGAGATTTTATTGTTGATTCAATCTTGCTACTCATTTTTGGTCTGTTGAGGTGTTTTATTTCTTCTAGGTTCAGTCTTGGGAGGTTGTATGTTTCTAGAAGTTTACTCCCTTCCTCTAGGTTTCCTAGTTTGTGAGCACATAGTTGTTAATAATAGTCTCTCAAGATCTTTTGTATTTCTGTGGTGTCAGTTGTAATATCCCTTTTTTCTTTACAGATTGTGTTTATTTGGATCTTCTCTGTTTTTGGTTAGCCTAGCTAGTGGTTTATCAATTTTATTTATCTTTTTGAAGAACTTTGTGGTTTTATGAGATTCTGTAGTGTTGCCATTTTATTCCTGTATCTTCTTCCTTTGTGTGAGTGTTTTATAAGAACTGTGAGTTTTATATTTTTGTGTTTTTGTGATGGTGAATATTGACTTTTTGTTTCCATGTTTAGGATCCCTTTGAGCATTTCCTGTAGGACTTGTTAATTGGTGAAAAATTTTCTTTGCATTTGCTTGTCTGGGAAATACTTTATTTCTCCTTCATTTATGCAGCTTATTCTGGAAGGATATAAATATTTTGGCCAAAACTTTTTTGTGTGTGTGTGTTTTCAGCACTTTGAAAATGTCATTCAATTATCTTCTGGCTCATAAGGTTTCTGCTAAAAAGTCTGTTGTTATTCTGATGGGGCTTCCTTTATAGGTGACTAGATACATTTCATTTGCTAATTTAAAAATTCTTTCAGTTTGCCTTTAGACCTCCTAAAGGTAATATGCCACAGTGATGTACTATTTGCAGTGTATTTGCCTGGGAAATAGTGGGACTCCTGTATTTGCATGTCTGACTCTCCTGTTAGATTGAGAAGTTTTTATCCACTTTCCTTAAGTAGTTTTTCTAAGCTTTGTGATCTCTCCTCCTTCTTTGGAATACCAATAATTAATACGTTTGGTCACTTCATGTAGTAAAAGATGTTAAAGGCTTTGTTTTTTTGTTTGTTTATTTGCTTGTTTTTTGCCCGACTGGATTATTTTTAAAAACGTATCTTTGAGTTCTGAGATTCTTTCTTCTTCTTGGTCTAATTTATTGTTGAAGCTTATTGAAGCTTTTGGATGTATTTTGTATTTCCTTCAGTGAAATTTTTACTTCTAGAATTTATGCTTTTTTTCTTTCAAGAAACTTTGTAAATTTCTCATTAATATCCTGAATTGATTTTCTGATGTCTTTGTATGAGTCTTCAGATTTCTCTTACATCTCATTGAGCTTCTTTAAATTCTATATTTTGAATTATTTACCTGGCACTTTGAGGAATTCTTTCTGGTTGGGATCTATTGCTTGAGTACTGTTGCGGTCCCTTGGTGGTGTCATATTTCCCTGCTTTTTCATGTTTCTGTGTCCTTCTACTGATATCTACACATCTGGTGTAGCAGTCACTTGTTTCAGTTTTTTAAAGTGCTTCTATAGGGGAGAATTTTTTCCTAAAGATGTTTGTAGATTGTTGGTTGAGTAGGATATATTGGTTTTGATTTTGGGTGCCTGTGATAGTATAATTTTGTATGACTTCTTCAGCAGTACACAGAGTCTGTATTAACTGTGATTTCCTCAGTGACTTAAGGTAGTTATTAGTTGATGTTGTGGCAAAGTTTTGATGGGGACTTGGATGCTAACTGAACCAGGCTTCAGACCCCAGTGGTGGCAGAGTGGGGTAAATGTGCCTGTTTTTAGGCCCCAGAACAGCCTATACTGGCCCCAGTGCTAGTTGGTCCTGGAGGGATGATTTTGGGGCCTCCAAGTAGCTTGTTTAAGTTAGTAGTGGGTCACTTTGGGAGGCCGAGGTGGGTGGATCATGAGATCAGGGGATCGAGACCATCCTGGCTAACATGATGAAACCCCATCTCTACTAAAAATACAAAAAATTAGCCGGGTGTGGTGGCAGGCGCCTGTAGTCCCAGCCACTCAGGAGGCTGAGGCAGGAGAGTGGCATGAACCTGGGAGGCAGAGCTTGCAGTGAGCTGAGATCGTGCCACTGCACTCCAGCCTGGTTGACAGAGCAAGACTCCGTCTCAAAACGAAACAAAACAACAACAACAAAAAAGTTAGTAGTGGGAGTGGTGAGCCAGCTGTGTGGGAAGGCTCTCAGATCTCTGGGTAGCATGTGGATGATGAGTGGTGGTGGAGCAATGCACTGGGACACAACTGGTCCATGTTGGTGTTCCTGGTGGCTGTGTTGGGTGGGGCAGGCTAGACCTCAGTCCCACAGCTGCTGGCATTAGGGGAGTAGTTATTGTCCTAAGTGTGCTTAGAAGAGCTTGATCTCTCCATCCCTCCTCTGGCTGGTTGGCAGCTGCAGCTGCATCTCCTCAAACTTGGCCCAAGGGTCAGGCACAGCATATCACTAAACTCTCAAAATGATGCTAGGTGTGGGCTTGTGACCAGAGAGGGCGGTGCTCCACTCAGGTGTGCTGAATGAGCAAGAAACTGTGGGCAGTGCAGTCTGTTCAAGTCTTGGTCTGTCAGCAGCCCATAGCATGGTAGTGGGTATTATCCTAGATATACAGAGCAGAGAGAGCCTGGTTTCCTCATCCTTCCTTGGCGAGGTGGTGGTGGTAGCAATGTCAACTTGAACTTGGTCCAAGGGCAGGGCACAGATGCTAAAATCTTTCACATTTCACTTTTGTCTCTCTCTCTCTCTCTTAGACAGAGTCTTGCACTGTTGCCTGGGCTGGAGTGCAATAGCACAATCTCGGCTCACTGCAACTTCCGCATCCAGGGTTCACACGATTCTCCTGCCTCAGCCTCCCAAACAGCTGGGGTTACAGGTGCACACCCCCACACCTGGCTATCTTTCACTTTTTCTCTTAAACATTATGGCTAAACTTTGGGAGAATATGGGGACTGGGACTCTAGAACTCTGAAGAGTGTCTAAAAGTAGCAATTTTTTAAAAACTAACTTTACAATTTTACAAAGTTTGTTGATCCATCCTAAAATGTTTCCTCCACTGTCACTCTCCACCACCCCCTCTCCAATTTTTCCTTGGTCCTCAAATGATGCTGTCCAGGTTCAGAGAAATGTTGAGAAGTGATACAAATAAGGAACAGGAACTTCAAACAAAATCAACAGTGAGAGTACCATATGTATGTTTTTCTATGTTGTGTGAGTTGTGCCTCACTTGAGAAGAATCAAATTGTTTAAGGAAGGTGAGAAATAAGCTTTTTTTTTTTTTAAAAAAAAAAACAATTAGAGTCATTATTGAACAAATAGATTATTATACTTAGGTTTTTTTAAAAATCAGCATTTTACCTATCATATTAAGGAATATTTTAATTCACAATCGACTTTTAAAATTGTTATTTTTTTCTTTTTTCTGACTTCATTCTTCCATGACATCAAACTGTTTTTATTAATTTTTTTCTGCAGTTATATTACATAAGAATTTTAAAATACAAATAATTAAAATAAATGATTCTCTCTTTAGTTTGCCTAGAAGTTGTTATGACATAATTCTAGGTGGTAATTGTATAATTGGGTACACATCTTAAGAATTTTTTAGTTTGAAATCCTGAAAATTACAACACATATTTTCACTAACTGTTGTGGGACACAATTATAGTTATTACCTAGGTATTCAATAATCAATACACATCTTAACAAAATTTGATTAAGATATATTACAAATATATATAAATGCATTCAATAATTCTTATTCATAAAATGGTTGCTTTTCTTTCTATATTTGTCTCGCCATTCTGTACATTTATTTTTAGTGGTATAATATATGTAAAGTGTTTAGTTAATATTAGGTGCTAAATCATTTCTTCTCATTTTCTTCCCTTCCCTGATTGGTCCCCAATTTGACTTTCATTATGCCTTCTCTTATCTATAAATACACAGCTCAATGAACAGGCTGACCACGTCATAATTATATAAAACATACTTGTCTATTTTGTTGAAATATTTAATCAACAAAATTCCTTATTCCAAATACTTCTGTGAAACTATGTCTCCTTCTCTAACTATATAAATACTCCTAGATTCTTGGAAAATTTGTATTATTACTACTTTCTAAACATCTTGTTCAAACTCTTTATTCACTTCTGCTACCATTCTCACTCTGAGAACTATAATGATCAATACTCTCACCCAGGGCGTTGTTAAGGATATAGGAAGGCTCTGATCACAGTTGACTAAGAAAGTTAGATAATAAAATCTGCATTGATTGCAATTTTATCTCTGAAAGTAGAATTTATCTTTAGAGTTATCTGCCCCAAAGTGAATTTAATTATTTCCTATAGAGAACTAATATGTAAGCAAGGAATTTTCAGTTTTCTCCAACATGCATGCTTTGGATGACACACTTAAGATATATCGTGTACCTAAGATTGATGATTTCTTTGACTATTTAGGCATCTTTAAGGATATATCCTTGATAATTATTTTATATTAGTGAACTGCTTTCTAGATGAGTAACAGTGGAAACATTTAATTGGTGTCTACTACATTACAAATGCTATTTTTTCAGTCCTTGCAACAAATCTATGAGGTATCCTCTCTATTAGTTTAAGAAATAGAAATCCAGAGTTGATACACAGGCTACCTAAGGTTTCTCAGCTCAGAAGCACCTTTGCAATGACTTGAAACTAAAATCTTTCTTGGAGTTTTTAATTTGTCCTTGTTTTATTTTTCTTTTGTTTTTAGTTATTACTAGTTTAAAAATAACAGCTTTTTCAATAAGAAATATAGTCAATTATTCCCATTGTGGAAGATTTGGAAATTTTAATTCATATGTAATTCTGCAACTATGAGATAGTAATTGTTAATATTTTGTTATATTTACTCATAAACACATATGTTACAGTTGAAACATGCATTTAATTTTTTACATTATATGACACAGTGTCTGTGTGTATACATCATTCAGCCTACACTGCAGTATCTTCAAGTCTCATTATTTACATAAAAAACAAGGTGAACACAACGTTATTGGTTCTATGTTATATCATGAACTGGGTTGTAAGCATTTTTTTTCCCTAAGTTAATGGCTACTTTGTATTCTATCTTTTGTGGATTATTAAATTTAGTGTCCTTTATTATTGGATCCTTCATTTTTCCCCAAAGTTTGTTTTATCATAAATAGTTAATATCTATACATATGTAACTATCTTCATTTTAGACAATTTCATTTTTATATATGCTTAGAAGAGACGTCAAGGAGGAGGAACATTTTTAAATCTTCTATCTCAGGTTATGATATTTACACCTTAGTACAGAATGTTGGTGAGCACACAACCATTGTTCTCTGCATACATTTCTTTTTCTTAGCCACTTATTATAAAGGAAAGGGAAAAGACAAACAGGTCTGTCCATATTTTATTTATCTCACTGTCTTCTTAATCATTTTTACATAGAGAAATATTATATTTTACTTATTCATGTGTTAGGTAAAAAATAGGGTGAAGTCATTAGGATATGCAACAGAGCAAAAGAAAACAGAACAAGTATGCAATTTTAACTTTTATGTAAAATTTAAACATGGATAAACTATGAAAATTTATTAAATGTATGAAATCTGGATGCAATTGTTTCTACTCTGGGGAAAAAATACTAAAATACATTTTGTGGTTGTTGAGCAAAACTCTCTACATTCCCTGCTGGCTGGAGATGCTAACACATGTTTGGATCAATGTATGCTTAAGTTTAATTACCTAGGTAATTGCTGAAACCATCTATTTGCTTTTCCTATTTAGATCTGTCCATACAGATAATGTGCAATTAGTGAGATTTAATACTGCCAAATTATTGGGAATGTGAGTTATAAAAATGTGATGCCTTATGGTCCAGATTAAACTATGCATGCAGTCAACAAGTAATTATCTTTTTGTAACAGACTGTGATAGAGACAACAGCAGAGCTCTCCTTCTAGGTGCTTCCAGTAGAGTAGGACCTCAGACCTTAGGGCTGAGAGGGATTATGCACGACAGAGGTGACTTCAGATGACTTCTAGAAAATGTTGTGCTAAAGCTACTTTCAAAAATTTTATGTAACAGTAAAACTTATTCTTTTGTTGTATAGTTCTATGGATTTTCATACATACAAAGAGTTATATAATCACCACCCCAATCAAAATTTACATTTTCATCAATCATAAAAACTTCCTGATGCTGCTTTTTGGGTTTCAAGTCCACCTGCTGGCAACCACTGTGCCCAAGTTTGACTTCTCCAGACATATACATAGAATTAGAGTTGCTCCTCAGTATCTGTGGCAGATTGGTTTCAGGAACCCTGTGTATACAAAAATCCACAGGTCCTCAAGTACTGATATAAAAGTATGTACTATTTACATATAGTTTATGCATATCCTCTCTTAAACCTTATCTGTAGATTACTTACAGTATTTAATACAATATAAATGATATATAAATAGTTGCTATACTAAATTATTTAGGGGATAATGACAAGGAAAAAAGTCTGTACATGTTCAATACAGGCACAACCATCTATTTTTCCCCCAAATATTTTTGATCTGCTATTGGTTGAATCCATGGATGTAGAATCCATAGATACAGAGGGTTGACTGTGTAGCATGAGGTCTTTTAAATATTGTTTATTTCACTTAACCATATACATATAAAATTTATCTATGTTGTTACTTATGTCAATGGCATGTTATTATGAATAGTATTCTATTGTATAGATATGCCACAGTTTGTTTATTCATCCACCAGTAAGAGGACATATGGTTTGCTTGCAGTTTTTGATGTTTATAATAATGCTGCTGTTAATATTGGACATGTAGGTGTTTAAGTAAACATAAGTTTTCATTTGTCTTGGATAGATATTTAGAATTGGAATATCTGGGTCATATGGTAAATGTGAGTTGAACTTTATAAGAAACTGCCAGTCTCTTTTCCAAAGTGACTGTACAGTTTGCATTCCTACCAGCAAAATGTAAGAGCTCCACGTTCTCCTAAACCCAAACTGCACCTTCACCAGCCTTTTTTTTTTAAATGTTTGATTTTCATTTTATCTTTTCTAGTAGGTGTGTAGAGGTATCTCATTTTTCTTAAAATTTCCATGTCTCAAATGAAAAATGATGATGATCTCTGCCATTTAATTGAGGATATTTACATCTTTTAATTTAATGTCACTACTGATATAGTTGGGTTTAAAACTATCATCTTGGCCTGGCGCGGTGGCTCACATCTGTTAACCCAGCACTTTGGGAGGCGGAGGCGGGCGGATCACGAGGTCAGATGGAGACCATCCTGGCTAACATGGTGAAGACCTGTCTCTACTAAAAACACAAAAAAATTACGTAGGCATTGTGGCACATGCCTGTAGTCCTAGCTACCCGGTAGGCTGAGGCAGGAGAATCACTTGAACCTGGGAGGCAGAGGTTGCAGTGAGCAGAGATCGCGCCACTGCTCTCCAGGCTGGGTGACAGAGTGAGGCTCTATGTCAAAGCAAAGCCAAGCAAAACAAAACAAAACAAAACACTATCATCTTGCTGTTTTGTTTTCTGTTCGGTCCATCTGTCCTTTGTTCCGTTTTTCCTCATCGTCTGCCTTTTTGGATGAACCAAGTAGTTTCATGATTAAATTTTATCTCTTTTGTCAGTTTGCTAATTATTATTCTTTTATTATTTTAGTGATTTATTTAGGGTTTATAACTTTATTACAGTCTAACTTCATGTAAGTTTTACCACTTCACATAGAAGATGAGAACTTTACAATAGTATACTTACATTTCTCTTATCCCAGGTTTTGTGCTGTTCTATTAAAGAGATATAAATAATTAAGTAAAAGCTTATTTATTTACCCACAGAGTCACCATTTCTAGTGCTTTTCAAACTCTTATGCATGTGTGTATTTTCATCTGGTATAATTTAACTTCAGATTGAAGGAGCTTCTCAAACTTTTTTGTAGTATAGTGCTGGTAGTGAATTTTTCAACATTTAGTGTCTAAAAATGTCTTCAAGTTATCTTCATTTTGAAAGATAATTTCTCTGGGTATATAATTCTAGTTTGACATTTTTTTTTTTCGAGGTGGAGTTTCACTCTTGTTGCAGGCTGGAGTGCAATGACATGATCTTGGCTCACCGCAACCTCCACCTCCCGGGTTCAAGCAATTCTCCTGCCTCAGCGTCCTGAGTAGCTGGGATTACAGGCATGTGCGTGCCACCACGCCTGGCTAATTTTTGTATTTTTAGCAGAGATGGGGTTTCACTGTTGCAGGACAATCAGAGATAAGAGAGACCGAACAGAGTTCAGGAAAGGTCTTTATTAAAAGATGATCACCTGGCTTAGTTGGACTAGTGTCCAGAAAAGTCTGAGCCCCGGACAAAGAAAGCAGCCACCTTTTAAGCTGTCAGTGTCCGGGAGCTACTTGATGCAGGAAGCGTACTTAGGCAGTTGATCAGTCTTTTACATTTATTTATACTACATGTTACACATACCTGGGAAACCATGTTTCTGTATCAACCTTGTAACTTTGCAGCTGCCCTAGAGAGGTGAAGCAGGAACTCACTGAGCCTCAAGGAATGTGAAACTAGCAAGTACAGATAAGGCTCGCTGAGCACAGAAGGAAAAACAGGCAGTTAGTATTCTACCGGGGCGGGGTCGGGGGAGGTGGGTGAGGTTGCTACACTACACTTAGCTTTTGAAGGAAAAAGTAAAAATGTCTTGTCTTTGATTATACTTGTAAAATTCATGAATTCTTTCTTCATCTCCCCCTTTGGTGCTCGCTATAAATGTAGATTAATAAAGAGCACCATAATCGTTTATCTCTTCCTGTGTAGGCACATATTCTTCCCAGGGGATCGGTTGGTATTTTTGTAGCACCATCATTTTGGTGGTAGTTTTTCGGTCCACTATTGCTTCAATAGTAGACTGGATGCTTCTGAAGAGGAGAGGTAAAAGACAAGGCAGTATTAGACATCCTCCAATTATAGCTACAAAACCAATTATCAAAGTTTTAAAGCCTCCAAACCATGAGAACCATCCTCCAAAAAGTGAGTTTGGGCTCCACCTGGACCAAGTCTGGACTGGGACATGGGCCAACCTCCGCATTCTGGCAGTAATTTCCATAACAGCTCTTCTATTATCATTGATTTGTGAGGAACAGTTGGTTAAATTAAGCTTGCCACAAACTCCTCCTGAGGCCAGGAGGTAGTCTAATGCTAGCCTATTTTGGTATATAGTGTCTCTCATTTGAGTGGCTTGTATGGCTAACAGATCCACGGCTCGAGCTGTCTTATTGACTATGATCTCTAGTACTGCTTTGCAATCTTATAATTTGGTTTCACATGTAAATAGGGGTGCGGTAGACTCATGATCCATCTTGGGCCCACTTAGCTGGCCCATAGCATTTGATAATTCTTTCAGGAGGCCATTTGTTATCTTTCCAGCTACCTATCTTAATGTCCTTCTTTATGTTTGTGTTTATCTTTTCTACAGTACTTATCTGAGTAAAGATGTTTCTTCTGGTCCTTTTTCTTTCTTCATTATAGACTGGGTAACTTAAATCTTCCCTTGTTTTGGTGGGAGCAAGAGGAAGGATGGTCTTATTGTCCCTAACACACAGGCTCCAGTCCACTTCTCGGGCAATAGTTGGTAGGCTTTTGTCTTACAGATCCAATATAGTCCTGATGGTGCTCTCCAAACATTTGTAGTGTCTAGTTGATACCACAACTGATTCAGCGCTGGAAACTGAGAGAGAGGGTTAAAATCTGATACAGAGGAATTGTCTATGAAGCTTCTCCACTGTGTCTTGTTCTTAGACTCTTCAAAATATTGCTGATCTAAACAGGTTGTATCTCCTACGGGAGTCTGAAAGTCTTTTCCTATCATGCTATGCAGTATCTTCCAATGATAGGGGTTTTTAATAGACAGACACTTGGATATACATTGAACCTTGTAACAAATTCCAGTATGGTGAAGTTATCTTGTGGCATTAGTTTTCTAGCCTCCCAGGGCCATTGGTTACTTATACTGGTACTTTCATATACATAACATGAGGTGACTCAAAGATTAGTAGCAATACTTTCAGCTAGCTGAGTAAATAGGTTCTTGGCTGACATTGGTGGAATCTGAACTTTTGGATCCTTGGGGTTAAAATGTTTATTGAAGGATCTGAAAAATCTGAACTGTGACATTGGACTGACTTGAACTTTAGCTCATTGAGTCTTTTTAATAATGACCAATGAAACACCTAGGTTTGCTCTTTCTTGATCAAAGCTTAGCTCTCCTTGATGTCCTTTAGTCCAAAAAGGTATGTTTGGCTTTAATATGGTCAAATTAAGGGGGTTGCATGTGTTAGTCACACAACCAATCTTTGCTTTTTGGCTGGCAAGCAGAGCTACTCCCCCTGTATATAGGTGTTGGCTGAATTCATGTGTGGTCCGTTGAAAGTTACAATCAGGACATTCTTCTTCTGGTTCTTCTATTATGATCTTAGCAGCCTTACTGCTGACTCTTTCTTGTCCTAAGTTCTTGCAGACTTCTCCTGGATTAGGTTGCTGAGGTGTGCAGCCTGACAGGCATCAAAATATATAGAAACTGATTCTTTATGTGAATAAGGTAATACCCGTGTTTTGCTTATGAGTTTCCCAGTTCCAACGTTATTAGGATTGGCATATGTGGGTAACAAAGGTTTCCCTATTTGAATTTCAAACCAAAAGTTGTAGGGTAGGAGGCCTAGATCATAACATACTTGAGGTTGCCCATGACTTGGGTCATAGACAGAGTAGCTGGTTTGATTATAAACACATGTCCCCAGGGGATTCCTGTACACTAATAATAAGTTTGATATAACAGGGTTTTTGTTATACCTTTACCAAACCAAGCTTCTATCATATAATGATGACAATTATCTTGGTTTCCTCCCGTGCCTGTTAGCATTATTGTCACTACTGTGATCAAGTTTACACTATGCACAGGCATCCTCCTGGGCAACAAGTTTGATAGCAATTGCAAAGATAGCATGACAGCAAAACAATCAGTATAAGCAATAGTATAACTACACTTGCAAATTTAATCCACATTTACTTATCTAGCACCAACTTCCTCAGGCTTCAGCCATGCGTAGACTAGTCAGCTTCCTGTTGTGTGACTAGAGCAGGGCTTGACGTTTCCTCAAGCTTCATCAGTGCATTTACCAACCAGCCTCTGGTGTGGTTGGGGCAGGGCAGTCATCTTTTTCTGCTGTGCCTTGGTTCCTCCGCAAGATCAGTCGAGTTGGATGATCTGGATCTTGCTGACTTGTCCACTGGTCTTGAACTGAGGCTGCAGGTTTGTCGGCTGTGATGGATCCAAGGTGTAATACTTGCAACTTTAACAGTGGTAGGGGTAGACATGATTACAATATGGGGGCCATCCCATAAGGGCCCGAGGGTGGTAGGATTCCAGCGTTTAACCCACACAGAGTCAGCAGGTTTAAAGGGATGTATTGCATCTGTAAGGCTAACAGGTATTGTTTCTCTTACCCACCCTTGTACTTCTTGTATTACCTCACCTAATGCCTGCATTTGTCTTCTTAGGGTCAGTTCTCCAATTTCCTTTAAATTTCCTTTTACCTGAGATATAAGTGCAGTTGGTCGGCTGTACACTATCTCATAGGGTGAATACCCGTTTAATGTAGTAGGGGTACACCTGACTCAGAGAAGGACCATGGGTAATACCTGATCCCATCTTAAATGAGTCTCTTGGCAAAACTTCTTCAACAGTTGTTTCGGTGTCTTGTTCATTCTCTCAACCTTTCCAGAACTTTGTGGTTGATAGGCTGTATGCAGTTTTCATTTAATCTATAAGATCTGAGTCAGTTGCTGTACTACTTCTGCTACAAAAGCTGGTCTGTTGTCCGAGCCTAAAGGTAGAGGCATTCTAAATCTAAGAATAATATCTTTTAATAATATCCTGGTTATTTCTCATGCCTTTTCTGTCCTGGTGGGGAATGCCTTGATCCACCCTGAAAAGGTGCAAACACTAATATGTACTGACAGCCTCCAGCCTGAGGCAGTTTGGTAAAGTTTACAAGCAGGTTTTCACATGGCACTGCTCCTGTTTCCTGAATTCCTGGGGTCTGAGTAGGCCCTTTCCTTAGGTTATTCTGGATGCAAGTAACACACTGCTCACAGATGGCTCGAGTGATGGCAGTTAGGCATGGCACATAGAAATATTGCCCTACGAGAATTTCTAAAGCTGTCTTCCCCATGTGTGTTCCTTGGTGAAACTGCATTATAAATTGGGGGGCAATGGCTTCTGGAATGGCACGCCTCCCCATCTGAAAACTTCCACCAGCCTCCTTTTTGATAACACCCATTTTCCTGTGTGAACCACACCTTCTCACTGGATGAGTAGTTAGGAGTCTCTGCAAGGGGAGGCTCTAATGAGGGCATAACATAAGTCTCTTCTTTCTTTGTTATTTCTGTCATTGCAGCCCTTTTCACTTCTTTGTCTGCTTTTCTGTTTCCTGTAGTCTCATCACTTCCTCCTGTTTGATGTCCCTTACAGTGGAAGACTGCTACTTCCTTTGGAGCCCATACAGCCTCTAGGACCTGCCCTATTTCCTTTTTGTTCTTTATTTCCTTTCCTTCAGTAGTTAACAGTTCTCTTTCTTTGTAAATGGCTCCATGAGCATGCAAGGTGGCAAAAGCATATCTTGAGTCAGTATAGATATTCGCTGACTTTCTCTTTGCTAGAAGTAGTGCTCTTGTGAGAGCTATTCTGCCTTCTGTGCTGAGGTTCCTACCGCTAGGGGGCGGGCCTTGGCCACCGAGCTTAATGTGACTATGGCAAATCTGGCCTTTTTGACACCCTTGGATATGAAGCTGCTTCCATCAGTAAAATATTCAACATCTGGGTCTTTTAAGGGTTGATCCTTTAAGTCTTTCTGGCTTGAAAAGACTTCATCCACTGTTTCTACACAGCAGTGGTACCCTGGGGCACATAACGGGGGCTTCCCATGTTCCACATATTCTATTGGTAACAGTGTGGCTGGATTTAGGGTATTCACAGTCTCTAAGGTGATGTATGTATTCTCACATAGGAGCCCTTGATATCTTAGCATCTTAGGGTTAGAGAGCCAATGATGTCCTCTCTGTTCCGTCAGGGTGACAACTGTGTGGGGCACCTGAATTATCAGCTTCTGTCCAAATGTGAGCTTGTTAGCATCCTCGGCTAACAAGGCAGTGGCGGCCAGTTCCTTGAAACAGGGTGGCCATCCCTTAGCCACAAAGTCTAGTTGCTTGGACAAATATGCTACAGGCCAATACCATGACCCTAGCATTTGCACTAAGACTACTGTAGCCATTTCTTTTCTTTCATGAACATACAGGTAAAAGGCCTTTGTCATGTCTGGCAGCCCTAGTGCTGGTGCCTGAATTAAAGCTTTCTTGATTTCCTTGAAAGCCATATCCTGTTCTTTTCCCCAAAGGAGGGGCTCCTTTCCCTGCCCTTTCATCGCCTCATATAAAGGTTTTGCTAGGAGTGAGTAGTTGGGGATCCATATACGGGAGAAACCAGCTGCCCCTAGGAATTCCCGCACTTGCCGCCTTGTGTCTGGCTGAGGAATGCTACAGACAGTCTCCTTTTGCTCCCACCCAAGCTCATGCTGCCCTTGAGAGATGTAAAAGCCAAGATACTGAACTCCTTGGCCACAGATCTGTGCCTTTTCCTTGGACACTTTATAGCCAGCTTTCCACAGCGCTCAAAGGAGACTCTCTGTTCCTTGCATACATTCCTTTCTGGTGGGTGTAGCTAGTAACAAATCATCTATGTATGGCAGTAAGATACATGGGTCGCTAGGTGGAGTGAAAGCCTTTAAGTCTGAGGCTAGTGCTTCTTCAAAGATAGTTGGGGAGTTTTTAAATCCTTGGAGAAGTCTAGTCCAGGTATACTGAGATGGGCCCAATCAAAGGCAAAAATGTCTCGGCTTACAGGGGCTAATTGGATGCAGAAGAATGCATCTTTTATGTGTAAGCATGTGAACCAAGCAGCACTAGCAGGTATTTGTGCAAGCATAGCGTACAGGTTAGGCACAATAGCATGCAGTGTAGCCACCACCTCGTTGATTGCCTTTAAGGCTTGTATAGGCCAGTAGTCACCAGAAAGTTTTAACACCAGCAATAGGGGAGCATTCCATGAGGAGACACATCTCTCTATTATTCCAAATTCAAGGAGCCATTTTAAGTGTTTTGCAATCCCTTGGTTAACCTCTGTGGGAATGGGATACTGACAGATCTGCACCAGGTAGGTTCCTTGTAGTAGTTCTACTATGACAGGTGCTTGATTCACTACCAGCCCCGGGGGACTGTCCTCTGCCCAGACTCCTGATAACTTAAGAAGTAAGTCTGTGAATAGTTTTTCTCTTTCAGCCACACTATATCTTCTTCCATACTCCTGGCAACTACTTTCATGAAGTCTCCATTCATCTGTTTTGGGGATTGTGAGTGTTAATACCATAACCTTTCTTTGCCTTAGGCTTAAGGTCCTATCTCCACTTGGTGTAAAGGAGATCTGAGCCTGCAGTTTTGTAGTAAGTCTCTTCCTAATAGTGGCACTGGGCAGTTTGGCAAATATAAGAACTTACGTTGGACTTTTCGGTCTCCAGTCATACATCTCTTTCATTTGAAAAAAGGTGTCTTTTCTGTGATAACTGTGGCTCTGATAATATTAGCATAGTCTTTTGATAACGGCCCAATTTTTTGAGTCACAACCGAGTGTTCAGCACCTGTGTCTACCATAAAGTCTATTTTTCAGCGCCCTACTACAATTGAGACCATAGGCTCCTTGGGGCCTAATGAGATGGAGCCCGATCTGTCTCAGTCTTCAAGGTAGTCATTGGCTTCTGCCAGCCCAATTAGATCCACGTCAGATCTTACTATGCCTTGCCCAGTGACGGAAGGGGGCTCTGTCCAGTCATTCTGTCTCTGGTTGTTGCCCTTGTCCTATTCTTTCTCTGGACATTCATCTTTCCAATGCCCTCTTTGCTTGCATCTCACACATTGATCTCTCTCTAGTCTAGGCTGACCTTCCTGACCTGTCCTGGTCTCCTGATCTGGCCTAGCTTGTCCTCTACTGTGACCACATCCATGACACATTCATGTCCTCTTGCAAATCCAGCCTCTCTTTCAACCAGGGCTGTGGCCAAGAACTCTGCCTTTTCCTTCACTCTACGCTTGGCCTCCCACTTTGCTTTTTCATCTCAATTTACAAACACTTTGGTTGCCACCTGGATAAGCTGGGGAATGTTCATACCTTCAAACCCCTCCAGCCTCTGCAACTTTTGCTTAATATCATTTTGTGCTTCACTCATGAATGCTGCATTAACCATGCACTGATTCCCTGCCACTTCTGGGTCAAAAGGTGTGTAGAGTCAGTAAGCCTCACAAGGCCTCTCTTAGAACTCACTGGGGCTTTCATCTGGTTTCTAATGAACCTCTGAAACCTTTCCAGTGTTTGTTGCCTTTTTCCCTCCAGCCTTTATTCCTTGTATCAGAGCCTCTCAGTATCTCAGAAAGTTTAGCAGCCCTTGGGCCTGATTTCAGTCCCAGCCTGGATCAGTTTCTATTGGTAAAGTCTGTTGTGCATACTCTTTGACATCTGCCATGCCTACTGGGGTGTTGCTTTCTAGCCACTGATTAGCCACTTGTATTACTCTGCAGCGTTCTTCTGTATTGAACAGTGACAGAAGGAGCTGCTTGCAGGTCAGCCCAGGTTGGGCTGTGAGTTAAGAAGATGGACAGCATTAGGTCAATAAGAGCCTGGGGTTTTTCCGTATAGGAGGGAGTATGCTGTTTACAGTTGAAAATGTCTGTAGTAGAGAAGGGCTTATAAAGATAAAGCTGTTCTCCTCCTTGAACCTCATTTTGTGCATCTAAATAGATCTGTCCTCTAGTTTCTCTGAGGGGCATCTGCATGGCTTGGGTGTGTCCTGACCAGGGACGGCCAACCTCATCCTGGAGTTCCTCCTTTGATTTATCAAGCAGTGGGCCTGGCTCTTCCTTATGTGGTGAAGTTTGGGGGGTACTCTCCTCTGAGTCCAACCCTCTGGAGGCAGCTGCTGGAGTGGCTTCCCGCCTAAGCCTTGCCAGAGATGGATAAATTAGAACATAAGGGGATGGAGTCTCTAGCTCCTCTGGCGGGGCCTGTAGGACAGGCTTTTCCTGTTGTCCTTGCTACTCTTTCTCCTGGGCCTGCACTTTGTGGGTCTTTTCTATTGTTCTTTGTTTTGTTCGAGCCACTAGAGTCTTACAATAATCTTCAAAGCAGGCCTGTAGCCATTTTGGACGGGTCTGAATCACGTTCAGCCAGGAGTCTATGTATGGGAACTGATCAGGGTACCCAGGCTGTTGTCTGACCCCAGTGACCACCCAAAACACTTGGCCAATTATTTCCATATCTATGGTTCCCTCAGCTGGCCACCCTACATTAGAGGGCCAGTCAATTTCAAAAAGGGTTCTTAGCCTCTGCGGTCTTAACTTCATTCCATAATCACCATCAAAGCCTTTCTTAAAGTTCTTCAACATACATTCTAATGGAGTCGGCTTCAATGCTTTTTCTCCAATTTCCTCCCTCACAGCACACTTTCACTCTCACTTTCACTCTCAGATTCACCAGACCGGGTCCTATTACAGGAGGTTTGGGTGCTGCTTGGCCAGGTCACACCCAACTACTGCTGTGAAGCTATGAAACTAATCCTGTCGGCCTTACGCACTGACCTAGGTCTGGCTCATCCCACACTCGCCTCGGAGGACACAGTCTGCACTAAGAGATCTGCACCTCCCCACATCACTCCCCACATTGGCCTCTCCTGAGACCATCTCTTTCACACACTGTCACACACCTCCCCTGCCCTAGGACTCCTCATCAGATGAAACGAGCCTCTCTCATGTCCCAGATGAGCCTAGTTAGGCTCCCACATTCACACACATACACACACCACTCCTACCCCAGGACTCCTCATCAGGTGAAATGAGTCTCTCTTGTGTCCCAGGTAGGTTCACACACACCCACACACTCCCACACACTCCCAGTTGGGGTGGCAAACCACTCTTGTCACCCTGCCAGCAAGCTCTACCTTGCTGCACTTGCCACTCTTCCAGCCCATTTTCTCCCTTTTTCCAGTGTGAGTGGGGACACGAGGTTCATCAAAATTGGCAAGCCACTCCTGCTGCACCCAGCTACTCTGGGTTGGATAAGTGGTCGTTCCCTGGGAGGTGATCAAGCTCCCCTTCTGTCCTTATGGGACAGGCTTCCCTAGGGACCAACCTTACCTTGGTTCAGTAGTCTGCCTGCGCACTGCTCTGTGACTCTCCTGCAACTCCTGAGTCGGTTCCGTTTGCACTGTCAAGGGAAGGCTCCAAGACACGGGAAAACCGTTCTCCTTCTGGGCTGTGTTACTCAGTGGTGCCAAGAGTCCCAAATCTCCCACGTCCTGGGGCTCTAACCCATAGGCAAAGGAGACAGAAACCTACAATCTCCAATCCCAGATGAGCCCCCAGAAATGTTGTGGGGCAATCAGAGATAAGAGAGATCGAACAGAGTTCAGGAAAGGTCTTTATTAAAAGGTGATCACCTGGCTCAGTTGGACTAGTGTCCAGAAAAGTCTGAGCCCCGGACAAAGAAAGCAGCCACCTTTTAAGCTGTCAGTGGCCGGGAGCTATGTGATGCAGGAAGCCTACTTACAGAAGCGAGAAAAAAGGCAGTTGATCAGTCTTTTACATTTATTTATGCTATATGTTCCACATCCCTGGGAAACTATGTTTCTGTATCAACCTTGTAACTTTGCAGCTGCACTAGGGAGGTGAAGCAGGAACTCGCTGAGCCTCAAGGAATATGAAATTAGCAAGTAGGTAAGGCTTGCTGAGCACAGAAGGAAAAACAGGTAGTTAGTATTCTTCTCTAACTTAGACTATGGGGGGTGGGGAGCGGGGTGCGGAGGTTGCTATACTAAGCTTTTGAAGGAAAAAGTAAAAATGTCTTGGTTGTCTTTGATTATACTTGTAAAATTCATGAATTCCTTCTTCACCACCATGTTGGTCAGGCTGGTCTATCAATTCTTTAAGGATGTTGTTTTGCCATCTTCTACCATGCACTGAACCTAAAGAGAAATATGTTGCTATCCTTTCTTTGTTGCCCCAAAGATAATCTACTTTTCTTCTTGGCTGGTTTTAAGATTTTTCTCTTTGTCACTGATTTTGAGCAATTTGATTATGATGTACCATGCTGTAATTTTCTTCATACTTCTTGTATTTTGAAGTTTGTTGGCTTTCTTGGACCTGTGGGTGACATGGTTTGGCGATGTCCCCACCCAAATCTAGTTTCTCTGAGGGGAATCTGCATGACTCAGGCATGTCCTGACCAAAGACCGCCAACCTTATCCTGGAGTTCCTCTTTGATTTATCGGGCAGTGGTCATGGCTCTTCCCTACATGTTGAAGTTTCGGGGATACTCTCCTCTGAGTCCGACCCTCCAGAGGCAGCTGCTGGAGTGGCTTCCTGCCTAAGCCTTGCCAGAGAAGGGTAAATTGGAACATAAGGGGGTGGAGTCTCTAGCTCCTCTGGCAGGGCCTGTAGGACAGGTTTTTCCTGTTTTCCTTGCTGCTCTTTCTCCTGGGCCTGCACTTTGTGGGTCTTTTCTATGGTCCCTTGTTTTGTTAGAGCCACTGGAGTCTTACAATAATCTTCAAAACAGGCCTGTAGCCATTTTGGGTGGGTCTGATTGTAGTTCCCATAATCCCCACATGTCATGAGAGGGACCTGGTGGAGATAATTGAATAATTGATTCATTGTGGTGGTTCCCCCATCCTGTTCCTGTGATAGTTAGTTCCCATGAGATCAGAACTTTTTTTTTTTTTTTTGAGACAGAGTCTTGCCCTGTTGCCCAGGCTGGAGTGCAGTGGCATGATCTTGGCTTGCTGCAACCTCTGCCTCCCGGGTTGAAGTGATTCTCCTGCCTCACCCTCCCAAGTAGCTGGGACTACAGGTGCATGCCACCACGCCTGGCTAATTTTTTGTAGAGACAGGGTTTCACCATGTTAGCCAGGATGGTCTCAATCTGCTGACCTCATGATCCACCTGCCTTGGCCTCCCAAGGTGTTGGGATTACAGGTGTGAGCCACTGAGCCCGGCCAAGATCTGAAAGTTTTTTAAGGGGCTTCCCCTTCGCTGGGCACTCATTCTCTCTCCTTCTGCCCTGTGAAGATGTGCCTTCTGCCATGATTGTTAAGTTTCCTGAGGCCTTCCAAGCCATGCTGAACTGTGAGTCAATTACACCTCTTTCCTTTATAAATTACCCAGTCTTGGGCAGTTCTTTATAGCAGTGTGAGAACAGACTAATACAGTGGGTTTATAGTTTTCATCAAGTTTCATCTAAATTTCCAGCTATTTTTTTGAGATTTTTTTTCTGTGTTCCTCTACTACTTCTCCTCTGAGGATTCCAATTTTAAGTATTTTTGGCTACTTGAAGTAAGATCTAATATTTGATAGTACAACAGTGTGATGATAGCTTTGGTAATTTTAAAATTCTATTTTCTCTTTGCATTTTATTTTGAATAGTTTCTGTTGCTATGTTATCAAGTTCACTGATTTTTTCTGCAATATCTAATCTGCTTTTAATCTCATAAGTGTATTATTCATCTCAAACATCGTAGTTCTCACCTCTTTATATCTCTCATGTCTCCACTTCACTTTTGAAGATCTGAAATAAAGGTATAATAACTGTTTTAATGCATTTATCTGCTGAGTCTCACATTTGTGCTAGTTCTGGGTTAGTTTCAATTGGTTGATTTTTCACCTCATATGGGTCCATTTTCCAGCTTCACAATGCTTAGTAATTCTCAATTAGATCACAGATGCTGTGAATTTTATCTTATTGAATGTTCTATATTTTTGTATTCCTACAAATGCTCTTAAATTCTATTCTCAAAATACTGTTATGTTACTGGGGTTAAACCTTTCAGGTCCTGCTTTCAAAATTTATTAAGCTAGCTTGGATAAGTGCTCAGTCTAGGTGTAATGATTCCCACTACTTAGAGAAGACCCTTCTATGTGCCTTATCGAGTGGACTATGAATTGGGTTTTCTCACATGGCAGGTGGAAATAGGCACTATTCTTTTCCCTGTGTTATTGCTGGAAACCTTATCCAAGTAACATTTTAAAAGAATATTAGGAATAAGTTACATTGCAGGAAACAAAATCAATATACAAGAATTAGTAGTTTTTCTTTTTTAATATATTTTAAATGCTTATTTATATTTATGAAAAGATTCATAATATATTGCCTGGTGAGAAAAGCATGATGTCTTATAAGAGTATGATTCCATTTTTAAAAACAAAATGCATGAATATGTATAAATATTAATATAACATTCTCAAAGATAGCTTTGAAAATGCAATATAGCAAAGTATCTGAAAAATAAGAACACAATTGTATTTACAATAGCTATAAAATGATAAAATACCTAGGAATAAATTTAATCAAAAAGGTAAACAATTCTTACACAGAAAACTGTAAAACATTGATGAAATAAATTGAAGAAGACACAAATAAATGAAAGATATCCCATGTTTGTAGCTTGGAGGGGTTAATATTGTTAAAAATGTCCATAACAACCAAAGGGATCTACAGATTTAATGAAATCTCTATCAAAATACCAATGACATTCTCCATTGAAATAGAAAAAAAACCTTAAAATTTGTATGAAACCACAAAATACTTTAAATAGCTAAAGCAATTTTGAGCAAAAAGAACAAAGCTAGAGACATCACACCAAATAACTTCAAAATATATTAGAAAGCTATAGTAACCAAAGTAGTATAATACTGGCATAAAAACAGAGACATGGACCAATGGAACAGAACAGAGAGCCTAGAAATAAAATAAATTCACCCATTTAAAAATTAATTTTCAACAAAGGTTCCAAGAGCACACAATGGAGAAAGGACAGTCTCTTCAATAAATAGTGTTGGAGTGGGTAACCATGGAAATACAGAGGGAAATAATCAATACCAGGATTCTAAAAGAGATTAGTGTGGGAGAGGGATGCGAATTGAAAAATTACCTATTGAGTACAACATTCACTATTCGGGTGATTGGGTACACAGGAAGCCCAAACTTCATCACTACACAATATATTCTTGTAACAAACCTGCACATGTACCCCCTGAATCTATTTTAAAAAAACAAAACAAAATGAAAATAAATGGTGTTGGAAAAACTGTATAGTCACATGCCAAAGAATAAAATTAGACCTTTATGTCACACCTTATACAAAAAATTCAACTCCAAATGGACTAAAGACTAAAATCTAAGGCTTGAAACTATAAACTTGCTAGAAGAAAATATAAGGAACATCTTCTTGACATCAGTCTGGACAATGATATTTTGGATATGACCTCAAAAGCACAGGCAACAAATGCAAAAATAGACAAATGGGATTACATTAAACTAAAAAGCTTATGCTCATCAAAGGAAATAATTAACAGAGGTAAGAGACAATCTACAGAATGGGAGAAATTATTTGCAAAGTATATATATGATAAGGGGTGAATCTCCAAGATATATAAGGAACTCAAACAACTCAATATCAAGAAAACAAATAACCTAATTAAAAATTGGGCAAAGGATCTGAAAACACATTTTTCAAAAGAAGACATACAAGTGGCCAACAGGTATATGAAAATGTGTTCAATGTCACTAACCATGAGGGAAACGCAAATTAAAACCACAATGAGCTATCACCTCATGACTGTTAGAATGGCTATTACCATAAAGACAAAAGTTATAACAAATGTTGGTGAGAACATGGAAAAAAGGGAATGGTTGATAACTACTGATAAGAATGTAAATTAGAAAAGTTGTTAGGAAAAACAGTTTGGAAATTCCTAAAAACATTAAAAATAGAACTAATATATGATTCAGCAATCCCACTACTGGGTGTATATCAAAGGAAATGAAATCAGTATGTTGAAGAGATATCTGCACTTCCATGTTAATTACAGCATTAGTCACTATAACCAAGATAAAAAATAAAACTAAGATTTCAATAGTGGATGAAGCTGTAAGAAAAATATAATATGTATATTATATATATATAGTATATGGTATATACTATATATATTAAAAATATAGTATGCATATATATATCACCTATATATAGAGAGAGATAGATGATAGATAGATAGAGATCTATAAATTGGAATACTATTCAGACATAATAAAGAAGGAAATCCCATCATTGGCAACAGCATGAATGAACCTGAAGGACATTATGTTAAGTATAATAAGCCAGGCACACAAAGACAAAGACTGTAGGATTTCACTCACATGTGGAATCTAAAAAAGTTGATCTCATAGAAGCAGAGAGTAGAACCATGGTTACCAGAGGCTGGGCAGTTGGGAGGGGAAGGTGTTAAGGAGATGTTGGTCAAAGGATAGAAAATTACAGTTAGATAGAAGGAATGAGTTCAAGAGATTTATTGTGCAGCATGGTGACCACAGTTAATAACAAAATATTATATTCCTGAAAAATGCAGAGTAGATGTTGAATGCTTTTGTTGCAAAATAACTATATGAGGTAATGTGTATTTTAATTAACTATATTTAACCATTCCACAATGTATTTATTCTTCAAAACACCATGTACATAATGAATACATAGAATTTTATGAATTTAAAATAAACAAATAAATAAAAAAATGAAGTCAAATTTAGGGGCCTCTATATTAATGGCAAAAAAAAGAGAATATTAAATGGACAGATGTGGTGATAGGTTGAGCAAAAGCCTTAGGGAGATTTTTCAAGTAAAGAAGCTTATATATTTTTTGTACTTTGGTATAATATATATGGATTAAAATAGAAAACTGGATTGTACTTGAATTCATAAAAAATTTTTATTACTATATTTCTTTTTTATTATTTTAGATCAATCTTATACTTTATCAATGTAATGTGTTCATTTTTGGTAATGTGTGGTAAGCAAAGCATTAGAAGTACAAATTCAGTATGCATTTTGAAATTAGAAAGATAGATACATAATATTCTTTTCCCTTGGTAATTCAAAATGTATCACAAAATTATAGTGTTTTTATTTTTTATTGCCTGGGAGAAGGAACTATTAAACATAAGATAAAAAAGATATCAAAATTCATGACAGTGATAACTAGATGAACTTTTACAATGTAAAAGGACAGCAAATTAATTTTTCTCAAAGGCTTTGGTAAAATTTAACATTGATAGGCATTGTGAACCTGCCTAAGCTGTTTTGTGATGCTTGTAGAGGCTTTGTAAAATATAGGATATTTGCAAAAATATGTATTTACTATATATGCACTAATAGAAGATAATTCAATGCTATGCTACTAAGGTCATGAGCTTTTAGTCTATTGCAGAAAAAAGAAAACACACTTGTCTTACTATTTTATTATAAATATGTGAACAGTGCTGCAGTGACTTGGCTTCTTGGAAAGCTTGAAATATTAAATATAAAATCTGTCCAAGATATAGAATACTTTAGGATTTATTATTTCCATTTTAGTAGGTGGCATAAGAGGACTGATTAAATTGCTTCGGCAAACTTTGTCTATGTGATTCACCCTGACTCTCTTCTGGTGACCATCATGATGGAAGGAATGGCCTGGATACTGAGTTGAGTTCAAGTTTCAACTGTATCAGTATCTAACTGTATCTCTAATACAATTAAGTTTTCCAATAAAGCAGTGAGAAAAGAAGTTGAAACAGATTTTTTTCTTTCTTATAAGCATTATGTCTATTTCATCCCTACACAGCCAAATGAGATAGAATGGAAATGATCCCATATATTTGTTCCAACTCCCTACATTTAGAGAACTAGCTAGTTACAGGCATGGACTATTCTAATATTAATGAGAGAAGGAAATCAACTCTGTTGTTTTACTAATAGTTATTTTTTTGTTCTCTCCATTTTTCTCTTTCTCAGACCACCACTTTGCAGGTATAATATTGTACTTAAAGACAGAGAGGAAGTGTTTCTTAATCCAAACACATGTACACCAAAGAACACATAAGATGCCTTCTTCCATCAAATGCACTTGCTTGTGAATTAATGGACTTGTAAATGAAACAATGCAATCAGTCTTTTATAATGCACTGTTCAATTTGAGATTCAAGTATTTCTATTTCTTGGAAAAAATTTTAAGAATCAAAAATAAAGAAAATAAAAAATGCATACAGTTAAACATTCCAAATATATTCTGAAAGTTGTTTATTTCTGTTTACTTTTTCTGCTTCCTCAATTTAATACTTATCATTGACTGTTTACCTTAATTATTTATTAATAATGAATAAATGCCTTTTGAAAAATAGGCAAGTTTAGTGAATACTTCAATTCACTGTTTTCAACAGAACCATTCTACCTCAGTAGTAAAATAAATGAACACACTATTTTATTTGTAAATTTTCATTTGGAGAAGTCACTTGTATTAATGTGAACCTAGTAAACATATACTTATTTAATCATCTACTTGGCATCTTTTTTTAGTCCTTTGTAAATAATGGCTTTGCTTCTATGGAGTACAATAAATAACCTATGGTCAAATACTGGTGCCATTACCTATTAATGATGTGATCTTGAGTAAGTTAATTTACCTCACCATATCTCAGTTGCCCAAGTAATTTTTGTGAAAATTGCTTTTAATAAAGTATTTTGAGCAGTGTTTGTTCATAATGACAATAATAAGAAGATAGCTAACTCTTATGTATATCACTGTGTTCCTGGAACAGTTTAAATGCTTTATACATATTAATTTATTTAATCCTTATGAAAACCATATGCAGCTAGCCATATTATCTCTGCAGATGAAGAAGCCAAGAGATAGAGGCCAAATAACACGTCCAGAATAATGCACAGGACCAGAATTCAAAACTAAGATGTCTGGGTCCCTGTTCTTAACTCCTATGTTGAATGAATCCCCTAAGTTCAGTATGTGTTATCTGTTTACTCGATTTACAAATGATCACATTCAAAATCATAATCTAAATGTTCTTAGCATTCTCTAATTCCCCTGTTCAGTCCAGCAATTTCTAGTGTTGAGCTCTCTCTCACTTGTGTCTGAATACCCCAAGGATTTATGTGTGTTTCTAACACACTCTGCCAACCACAGTCACAGCCTTTGTGCCTTTGTTTGCCTGTTGAATTAGTTTGCTTGAGCTGCCATAACAAAATACCACAAACTAGGTGGCTTAAGCAGCACAAATTTATTTTCCCACAATTCTGGAGGCCAGAAGTCCAAGTCAAGGTGTCAGCAGGCTTGGTTTCTCATTGACATGGTTTGGCTCTATGTCCCCACCCAAATCTCATCTTGAATTGTAATCCTCATGTGTCAAGGGAGGAACCTGGTGAGAGGTGATTGCATTATGGGGGCTGTTTCTCCCATACTGTTCTTGTGATAGTGAGTGAGTCTCATACAATCTGATGGTTTTAAAAGTGACAGTTTTCCTGTGCTCACACTTCACACTTCTGTCTCCTGCCACTTGTGAAAAAGGTGCCTGCTTCCCCTTCTGCCATGATTCTAAGTTTCCTGAGGCCTCCTCATATGAGTCAATTAAACCTCTTTCCTTTATAAATTACCAGTCTTGGGTATTTCTTTATAGCAGTGTGATAATGACTAACATGCTTATGAAGCCCTTCTTTTATCCTTGCAGATGGCTGCCCTATTGCTGTAACCTCACATGGTCTTTCCTCTGTATATGCACATCCCTGGTGTCTCAGTATGTCTAAATTTCCTCTTCTTTTAAGGGGACCATTCAGATTAGATTAGGGCCCACTCTAGCAGTCTCATTTTGACTTCATTACCCACTGAAGGGCCCTATCTCCAAGTATAGTCACATTCTGAGGAACTAGGGGTTAGAGTTTTAAAATATGAATTTTTGTGCGTACACAATTTATAACACTTGCCATGACCTGATAGTATCATAATGATGTACTTTGATAATAATCCACTTGAAGGTGAATTGGGGCCATTGTTGGTGCTCACCTGGAAGTAGGTGAAGGTGCTTCAGATATTAGATACATGTTCTACGCAAAAACGCAAACACTCTACTTTTTCCCTAGGGATTTAAGCAGTGCTGCCTGTAGCTCTACTGTCTGACAGATTTTCATTAAAACAGTTACTTCAGTTTACACTGCAGCCCTTCCCTCCACAGTCCTTTCTCCAATCCACAGAGATACTGTTTCTCTCTTCTCCACCCCTTGGGCATCTGCTCACAATCTTCATGCATTCTTTAACACACACACACACACACACACACACACACAACCTCATGCTATTTTACTTTTCTAATGCCCATTAATTTTTCATATATCCCCAGAAGCTTTTCAATCTCAGCTTGTGATATTAATGACACCTATGAAATGCACTGCAAACGTTACCAAGAGCAGAAATTTTGTTACTGTCTTCCTGATTGCTTAGGGCCTCTGGGTAACAGACAAGGCAGTAGCCAACCGTTTCATGTACATTAGAACCCATTAACCTCCTAATGAACCTTCCTTGCCAGAGGTGATAACAGTCTTCCAGAATAACTCAAAGATGTAAACTTGTGAAATGTGTACATGTTACCACACTGCAATACCTTAGACCACATTGCACATGTGTGTGAATGAGTGTGTGTGTGAGTGTGTAATGTATATTTTGTCTGTTTCTATATATAATGTATATTTTATCTATATATTATAAATAATATATACATAATACATAGCATATATAAAGATAATACACACACATACACTACATGACTGAAAACATGTATTTTTATATATATATATATATATATATATATATATATATATATATATATTTTTTTTTTTTTTTTTTTTTTTTTTTTTTTTTTTTTGAGATGGAGTCTCACACTGTCACCCAGGCTGGAGTGCAGTGGCACGATCTCAGCTCACTGCTACCTCCACCTCCCAGGTTGAAGCAGTTCTCCTGCCTCAGCCTCCTGAGTAGCTGGGATTACAGGCGCCCACCACCATGCCTGGCTTTTTTTTTTTTTTTTTTTTTTGTATTTTTAGTGGAGACGGAGTTTCACTATGTTGGCCAGGCTAGTCTCAAACTCATGATCTTGTGATCCATCTGCCTTGGCCTCTCAAAGTGCTGGGATTACAAGCATGAGCCACCGTGCCAGGCCTGTATTATATTTTTATTAGTGTTTAATTTACTGGTGCCCACAAGAAAAAAAAAGAAAATACATTTTACAAGTAAAATCAAAGCACTAGTTGTTAATCCCTGCATCTAGTCTTTTTTCAAAATGAGGGCTGGTGTAATTAAATAACAAACTGGGCTGGGCGCAGTGGCTCATGCCTGTCATCCCAGCACTTTGGGAGGCCGGCCGAGGTGAGCTGACCACTTGAGGCCAAGAGTTGAAGACCAGCCTGGCCAACATGGCAAAACCCCATCTCTACTAAAAATACAAAAAATTAGCTGGACATCATGGCACGTGCCTGTATTTCCAACTACTAGGGAGGCTGTGGTGGGAGAATCACTTGAACCCGGGAGGCAGAGCTGGCAGTGAGCTAAGCTCAGGCCACTGCACTCCAGCCAGGGAGATAAAGCAAGATCCTGTCTCAAAAATAAATAAATAAATAAGTAACATTAGCATGAAAATAATTTTTGTATTTTTCTCTATTGTTTTTCCCATCAGGTTTCAATCTTTATTTAGAAACTTTCACTTTTTTAAAGATCTATTCCACACTCTTCTGCCAAACTCTCACTGCCAAAACCTTAGCTTTCTGAAGTTTTTTATTTTAGTCCCTGACTCCTGAATAGCACCTCTGAACCAACCTAGGGCCTAAAGAAACTTGCTAAACTGAAGGGAGTAATCGAGGCCTGGCTGACTTTTTCACCTGCTGATTGTAGAGCCACAGTGCCCTGAATGAACATAGACAGTTGTTGTAACCGAGTGAGTTACAGAGAAACGCCACATGCTGAGATGAATTCAGGAGTCCTTTATTAGCCGGTGACCAAGAGATGGCTAGTACTTAAAATTCTCTTGGCCCCAAAGAAGGTGTTAGATTTTCTTATGTACTTTGGTTTAGAAAGGGGAGGTGGGGGGAGTCTAGTTAAAACAATCTTACAGAAGTAAAGCAGGCAAAAAGTTAAAAGGATAAATGGTTACAGGAAAACAAACAGTTCCAGGTGCAGGGGCTTTAAATCCATTACAAGGTGATAGACGCAGGGCTTTGGGTGTTATCAACTGGACACAAACACAGGGGCTCTGGGTGCTATCAACTGGGCGAATTCCTAGGAACTGCGGACATAGCTTGCCACAGTATCTTATTAGTTAATTGCGTCCTTGGATGTGCTGGGAGACTGCTTGCACAAGTTAAGTCCTTGAGGAAGGGGGTGGGTAAGGGGCTGTAAGTGAAGGAGCCAAGATGGAGTCTGTCTGGCTCTCTCAGCTAAGGGAAAGTCAATTCAGGTTAAAACAAGGTTGGGTATCACACAGTAACCAGGAAGCTGTGATGGCAGGCCTTGGGTGAGATCAAGCACTCTGCTGGATTCAGGTCTGACCCAGTGCAGTCATAGTGGTCATGGCCACAGAGATGTTTGGGTCACTCCACTTCACTTTCATGTGTCTCAGAACACACACACACAGATAAACACACACACAGACTCCATTTGTTTGGGAGAAAGTAAAAGAAGAAGAGTCCCTGCCAGATAATTCAGAAAATTCTGCAAGACCATGTTGTCCAAGACCATCAAGGTAGTACCTCTGTGAGCCTGCAAGAACCACAGTGTTACTGGGCTTGAGATGTCCCATAAAGTAGAAAGAGCTTAGATCACAACACCCAAGTCGTTTTGAATATCTCTAAAGCCTTCCTAGGAACAATGGCTACAAACAAACCCAGGCAGTGTTGACTACAATAAATATTAAAATCTTCAATGGTGAGACACCCACAAAGATCTACTGGCATCAACAAATCATTAAAAGAAATACTTAATCAAACAAACTAAAAAAGGAGCCAGGGACCAATCCTGGAGAAACAAAAATGTGTCATTTTTCTGAAAGAGAATTCTAAATAGCTGTATTAGAGAAACAAAGAAATTCAAAATAACAAAAAAAATTCAAAATTCTATCAGATACCTTTAACAAGCAGATTAAAATAATTGTATTTATTTATTTACCTCTTTATTTATTTAGACAGAGGTTCACTTTTTTTGCCCAGGCTGGAGTGCAGTGGTGCGATCTTGGCTCACTGCAGCCTCTGCCTCCTGGCTTCCAGTGATTCTCCTGCCTCATCCTCCAGAGTAGCTGGGATTACAGGAGCCCTCCACCACACCTGCCTAATTTTGTGTTTGTAAAAGAGATGGGGTTTCACCATATTGACCAGGCTGTTTTCAAACTCCTGACCTCTGGTGATCCACCCACCTCAGCCTCCCAAATTGCTGAGATTACAGGCGTGAGACACCATGCCCAGCCTATCATTTGCTTTTCTTTCTTCCTTTGTTTCTTTAACAAGCATGGCTACTTCTACCTGGGTTTTAAAAATTGTGTAAAAGAAAAATAAATCTTGGGGCTCCAAATCACTAAGCTAAAGGGAAAAGTCAAGCTGGGAACTGCTTAGGGCCATCCTGCCTCCCATTCTATTCAAAGTCACTCCTCTGCTCACAGAGATAAATGCATATTTAATTTCCTCCTTTGGGAAGGGTAATCAGAAACTCAAAAGAATGCAACCATTTGTCTCTCAACTACCTATGTCCCAGAAGTGCCCTCCTTGCTTTGAGAATTCCCGCCTTTGCTTCAAGTTGTCCCGCCTTTGCAGACTGACCCAATGTTAATCTTGTACACATTGATTGATGTCTTCTGTATTCCTAGAATGTATAAAACCAAACTGCTCTGATGACCTTGGGCACACGTCCTCAGAACTTACTGAGGCTGTGTCACGGGTGTGCGTCCTCAATCTTGGCCAGATAAACTTTCTAAATTCACTGAGACCTATCTCAAGTTATCAGGGTTCACAATGGATAGTGCATTATAGCTTCACCCTATGACTTCTCATTAACAAGAACTATCCTGAATCTCTCCAGATGCAGCAAAACCAGGTATATGTAAACTGTATGAAACTAAATGGCACTTCCTAGAAGTATATGAATGAATGCTGAGGAAAAACCACGGACCGCCCACCTTTCAAAGAAGCAATAACACTGTAAATTCTGTGTCATTTTCAGAGTCAGCTTGTTTCCAGAGTCGTCCCCACTAAACTTGAAAATATTCCAGGGTGAGCTATTGTCCCTCCAGCCTTTGGCCCTCCCCCTTCCTTCCCCTGCGCCCTCCCCTCAACCGTTGCAGTGATCACATTCTCTGATTCTGCAAAAGCAGATGGGAGCCCTTCTTTTTTTTTCTTTTTTTGAGATGGAGTCTTGCTCAGCTGCCCAAGCTGGAGTGTAATGGCGCAATCTCTGCTCACTGCAACCTCAACCTCCCGGGTTCCAGCTATTCTCCTGCCTCAGCCCCCCGAGTAGCTGGGATTACAGGCATGCGCCACCACACCCAGCTGATTGTATTTTTAGTAGAGACAGGGTTTCACCATTTTGGCCAGGCTGGTCTCAGGTGAACGGCCCTTCTTGGCCTCCCAAAGTGCTGGGATTACAGGCATGAGCCAACGCGCCTGGCCGGAGAACAATGGTTTGTAAATAATTTTTTTGAGTCATGAACTCCTTTGAGAATATTACAAAAGTTAGGAGCTCTCTCTCCAGTAAAATGCACACACACATACAGAATGTTCCCAGAGCCTCTGAAGCCCCACCATGCATGCCTGGCTAAGAATCCCTTGTCTATAGAATGTATTCTACTTATAGTGCTATATGTCACAAAACAAGTTGCCCCATCACGACCTGTTGAAATGCACATTTGGAATCTTGCAGTCCCATAACCTCAAGTGTTTGGTCAAGAAACACAGATTCCTCCCATAGCTATGTGGCAAAAACTTCGCATAGTACACCAGGGCCTCCTTCTGGAATGTTTATGATTCCTCTATACTCTTGAGCATGTACACAACAATCTGAGATGCGAAAGGCACAGAACATGGTCTTATTCTGAGCAAATCAACAGCTTTCAGAAGCTGCAGGGAAATGAAGCATCAGAGAAAGTGAAAATTGTCCCTAACAATAGCTCAGAAAATAGGGCTGATTAGGCAAACTGTATCCCGGAGTTTCAGTGGATCCCAGACATTATGGATCACCAACCACTGTTACCAACCTCCTAGGAGCATTCTGCTCACCTGTTTGGCAGTCAAACTCAATAGAACAGATTTTAGAGTCAGGAAGGCCTGGATTTAAATGCTGACTTTCTTTGCCATATAAATCTGTGGAGGCTGCTTAGCTTCTCTGATCCTTGGTTACCTCATCTGTAAAATGGGAATAACAAAAGAATCTACCTCATAGGATTATTGTGAACATTAAATGAAATAAGGCATGTAAAGTGCTCAGCACCCTACTCAGCGAGTGGGAAGTACTCAGTAATATGGCTGTTACTACGGACAGTAGCAGAGGGCAATAACAGTGTAACTCCGGAGTTAGGAAAACTCGATTCCAGGCTGGATGCAGTGGCTCACACCTGTAATCCCAGCACTTTGGGAGGCCAAGGTGGATGGTGGATTGCTTGAACCCAGCAGTTCAAGACCAGCCAGGACAACATAATGAAACCCTGTCTCTACAAAAAATACAAAAATTAGCCAGGTGTGGTGGTGCATGCCTGTGATCCCAGCTACTCAGTAGGCTGAGGTGGGAGGATCGCTTGAGCCCAGGAGGTTGAAGCTAAAGTGAGCTGTGATTGCACCACCATGCTCCAACCTGGGCGACATGGCAAGGCCCTGTCTCCAAAATAAAAAATAAACAAAAAACCCTTGATTCTAGATTTCGACTTCAATTACTTGCTGGTTTAACTTTGTACTGAACTCTCCCATTTTTAGTTTCCTCAACTGAAGCACAGGGTTAACCCTTACTTCAAAGTGTAGTTCAGCAAGGCACAGTGGTTCATGCCTGTAATCTCAGCACTTTGGAAGGTCAAGGTGGGCATATCACTTGAGGTCAGGAGTTCAAGACCAGCCTGGCCAACATGGTGAAACCCTGTCTCTACTAAAAATACAAAAATTAGCCGGGTGTGGTGGCACATGCCTGTAGTCCCAGCTACTTGGGATGCTGAAGCAGGAGAATTGCTTAAACCTGGGGGGCAGAGGTTGCAGTGAGCCGAGATCACACCACTGCACTGCCACCTGGGTGACAGAGTGAGATTCTGTCACAAAAAACAACAAACCCCGCCCTACCCCCCCCCCCAAAAAAATGAAGTGAAGTTCAATGAGCTAATAATGCATGTACTATATGTGCTTAGACATGTCTGGTACATATTAAATACTCAGTAGATAGTGGCAATAAAGATGATGATGGTACTAATATTAGTTAATACTTACAAAGCTCTTACTAAGTGCCAGGAACTGTTCTAAGCACTTTTCATGTATTATTTTTTATTTAGTTGTCACAACAAATAAGGTAAGTCCAATTATTATCTTTGGATGAGGCCTGCAAAACTCAAATAAATTGTGCTAGATCACAGAGCTGGTAAAGATTGTTTTTTTTTTTTTTTTGAGGCAGGGTCTTGCTCTGTTGCCCAGGCTGGAGTGCTGTGGCATGATCACAGCTCATCACAACCTCAACCTCCTGGGATCAAGTGATCCTTCTGCCTCAGCCTCCTCAGTAGCTGGAATTACAGGTGTGTGCCACCATGCCCAGCTAATTTTTGAATTTTTTGTAGAGATGGTATCTCACTATGTTGCTCAGACTGGTCTCAAACTTCTGAGCTCAAGCGATCCTCCCACCTTTGCCTCCCAAAGTGCTTGGATTACAAATGTGAGCTAACATGCCTGACAGAATTTCAATCTAGATAGAGCTTGAGACCATGACCTAAACCACTGTTTTCTTGAGAATAATGTGTCAAAATCAGCCCTGTAAATCAGATTCAAGATCACTTCACTAAGGTTTGAGACACTTCCCATTTCTGGCTGGAGCTCCCCTCCCTGCCCCATCAGTTTTCATGACTTGCAGGGGCTCCACTGTCCCCAAAACAGGCACACTACTAGGGCCACATGCTGTTCTAAGAGAACCAAGACAGCATTCTCCAAATCCTTCTAGATCTGCTGTTAGTCTCAGTCAGCCAATGGCCATTGACTGCTCTAGTATGAGAGAGACACCCCTTCTGCCTGACCACACCAAGAGAAAGCATGCAGGGTTTGCTTGATGATTTCATGAGGGGAACGTACTGGGGTGGAAGAATGTTCCCTGCATGTTTGTTTTGCAACTTCCCAGCTCGGGAAGGCTCCAGTGATAATCATGTGATTAGGGAGACCAGACTGATGGCAGACCCAGGGCCTCCTGCTCTCCTCCAAAAGCCACAAGTCTCCCATTGTCACAGCTCACAGGAAGCCAAGAAGAGCACCAGGGACAGGTGGCAGACATCCCGACATCATGAAAAGGATGGGTAATTGAACATAGCTAGGTTACATTAATCACCCAGGGTCAGAGAACAGAACCAGGAAAGGAGAGAGGGGAGAAATCAGTCCAGCTTTTCTGGTGAGTTGGCACAGGAGCAGTGGCACAAAATAGCTTTATGTGGGGGATTTAGCCCACAAAATCTCTATCAGGGCACCCCTTCCTTGCAAATTGCCCCAAATATACATACAATCTAAATTCAAGGCCAGCCCCAGCCTCCCTTCTGATGAGATTGCTGCCCTGCGCTCCTCCTTTATAGAAATGCTGGCAACACCATGGCTCCTCAGCCACCTATGGTTTAGGGGGAACATAGAGGCTTGCATTTGCACTGCTGGATTCAGAGGCAGGGAGCCCTGAAGCTCAGGGACAGTCTCCTAGATCTAACTATCTGCAGGGATTAACCGGTCATTATCACCTCTGGGATGTGTGTTCTGCAGGCCCTGTTTTCTATTTGTTCCTTGCATCTGACCCTGCCCAGAGAATTGATTTCAGCAACTATAAATTTGGAGGGAGCTGTCCATCTTGGAAAAGATTCTGGAATGGAAACCTGAAAGTGAGGAGGAAACGTGATTCTCAGGAACCAAATACAAATATGTTCAAAAACAAATCATGTCCGACCACTCCCTAGGCTTCTCTGAGTGGGTTACAAGACTACAGGCTCAGGGAGCTTCAGGAGATGTGCACCATCGGGCTTCAGTGAGCAGAATCTGTAGGGAATTGCTGCATGGCCTCTGACCTTGTGCATGATCTAGGTGAAGATACATATTTTTCTCACAATATGACAGACAGCATGAAGCTAGGAGGCAGATACACTTGGGATGACAGAACCAGGAATCCAAAAGATAGTGTAAAATAAGGATAAAGTGCTGACTAAAAGATGAAATTTATGAATAGCAGGAGCAGATATGGTCTTGCACGTTGGTCAACAACATAACAAACAAAACCAACCAAAGGACCCTGCCCAGGTTTAGATTCTTGTCACTGTTACCCTCGGCACAAAACATAATCTTATGAGGTCCCACTTTCTCACTTGTAAAACTGGGATAATAATTGCCCCTACATTATGAAGTTGTTACGAGAATTAAATCAGTTAACATAGGCAAAGTGCTTACTTAACATGGTGATGATGATGTGATGGTGATGCTGATGATGGTGGTGGTGGCAATGATAATGGTGATGGTATGATGATGGTGGTGGTGAAGATGATGGTGGTGATAGTGATGGTGGTGATGGTGATGGGTGATGGTGATGGTGCTGATGATTATGGTGATGGTGGTGATGGTGGTGATAGTGATGGTGATGATTGGTGATGGTGGTGATAGTGATGGTGATGATGGTGATGGTGGTATGATGGTGATAGCGATGGTAATGATGGTGATGGTAATAATGGTAGTGACAGTGATGGTGATGGTGGTGATAGTGTTGATGGTGATGTGATGATGGTGATGGTGATGGTGGTGATGATAGTGTTGATGGTGATGTGATGATGGTGATGGTGATGATGATGGTGGTGATAGTGATGGTGATGGTGATGATGGTGGTGATAGTGATGGTGATGTTGATGATGATGGTGGTGATAGTGATGGTGATGGATGATGATGATGGTGATGGTGATAGATAACACATGGTGCCAATCATAGTGCTTCCCACTAAGCAGTCTCATTCCAGAGCCTATGTTCTTAACCATCTTGCTATACTAAGTCTCATAAGTGTTAAGTATAATTATAATTATTACTGACTAGGAAGAAATGTGGCTGATCCACAGCATGTGTAAAAATGACTTTAAGGATGATGGCTGACAGCAAGTACAACACGAGTCACATGAAGTCTATCTGTAATGAGGTGGTGACAGTCCCAAGCTAATTTTTGCAGCATGGATATCACAAGAGGAGAGGCCTAAAGACACACAGAGCAGGATCCAGAAGGAAATGACTAGGCCCAGGTGTGGTGGCTCATGCCTGTAATCCCAGCACTTTGGGAGGCTAAGGCAGGTGGATCGCCTGAAATCAGAAGTTCGAGACCAGCCTGGTCAACATGGTGAATCCCCATCTCTACCAAAAATACAAAAATTAGCTGGGCATGGTGGTGGGCACCTGCAATCCCAGCTACTTGGGAGGCTGAGGCAGGGGAATTGCTTGAACCTGGGAGGCAGTGGTTGCAGTGAGTTGAGATCATGCCATTGCGCTCCAGCCTGGGTGACAAGAGTGAGACTCCATCTAAAAAAAAAATAAAAATAAAAATAAAAAAGAAGGAAATGACCAGAATAACCAAACTATAGCATAAGAAGAATAGCCAAGACCAGTTATGGTGGCTTATGCCTGTAATTTCAGTATTTTGGGAGCCTGAGGCAGGAGGATCACTTAAGCCCAGGAGTTTGAGACCAGCATGGCAACATGGTGAGACCCTGTCTCTAAAAAAAATTAAAAAATAATAGCCAGAGGACCTGGCAGGTTTTGCCTGAAGAAAATACCTGGGGGACATGCCAGCCACTTTCTAAGGCCTTAAGCCTGCTACGTAGAATCCAAGGCCCAGAAGTAGGCCAGGTGAAGGTGAGCCCTACGTAGGCAGATCTCAGCTCAATACAGGAAGGTCTCTCTGACGTGTTGACCCAAGATGAACAGGAAGCGTCCTGTCCCAGAAGCATCTGAGTGCTAGCATAATCCAGAAGTCTGGGACTCAAACACTGGATAGGGGAGTAGCTATTTTACAGGCTCTAAATATCTCGTCCGAGTGTGGAACTAGGACCATCTGATGACCACGTGCACCACCATGGGGCTTGTTAGACACATAGATCCAGAGGCACCACCCCAGCCATTAAGTCTGAATCTGCATTTTCACAAGTTGCACAGGTGATCTGTGTGCACATGAATGCTGATAAGCACTGATGTGGAGATCATCTGAGGAAGACCCAGGTTTGGGTGGGCTGCTGCTCTGAAAAGCAAGAGTGAGGAGAAACGCTGGGGAAGGAAGAGCACGTGGTGCTAGAATCTTGTCTCCATGGGGATGGCCCAGCTGTGCTTCCAGCCCAGCTGCTCCAATTATGTCTGTTTTTTTATCTAGTCGGGCTCAGAAGAGTCAGTCAAATTTGTATAAGGAGGCCTGAGGTAAAGGGGCTTGTGGGAATGAGTACTCATCTGACACCTCATTAAGCCATCTTGGTAAATCATCTCTAGAATACCTGTTGTTATTTTAGGAAACAACATAAAGAGGATGAAAATTAAAAGTAACAACCTGCGTGGGAATTTCTACTTCCTTCCAGTGGTGGGCAAATAAAGCACCTTGGGAATTTTTGGGTAAGGTAACATTTCTATACATTTTCACAGATCACACAATGTCAAAGCTTGTGTATGCTGCAGGTTTTTTTCCCTTTCCTCTCCTGGTGCTTTGGGTTTGCAGCTTTATTCTATTGCTGGTTTTTTGCCTTCTGGTTTTTTTGTTCGTTTGCTTGTTTTTGTTTTTTTGTTTTGTTTTGTTTTTTTCCTTTCCACTGAGCATTTTCTGATTTTACTTTGACTTGCAATGGAGGAGGGTATTGCTTCTGGATGTTACATGACATCCAAAACATAAAATGGTAAATGAAGCTGCAGGTCATTTTCAGGTGAAAAGGCAATTTTATGCTTCATGGTTAGGACCATGTAAGGCATTTTCATGGCGGAGTATTTTTCATCTTAGATCTCCATCGGGATGGCATCCAGGGATCTGCTGTCCAGCAGAAAGTTCACCTTTCAGTTATCCACTGTCTGTCTGCAGCCTCCTAGCCTTGCTGCTCTCCTGCACAGGTGCAAGGGTGTTCCTGTTAGACCTGCTCCCCTCCTGGGACTGCCAGGGCTCTGTTGTTGCCAAATTCCCCTGGTTTTCAGGGCCTCTTGTCATGCATCTACCCCATCCTTCACGACCCTCACTGCCTACCTGCTAGGCCCACTGTCTAGGACCTGAGCCCCTTAGTAACACTCCTTGATCTGCCTTACACCCTGTCCTCCTGCTCCTCCTCTCTGATGAAACCCCAACTTCGGGTCATCCCACCAACTGCCTTCTCTGCTCCTGACTCCACCCTGCTGAGAGCTGGAGAAAGCCCACAGAAGCACCTGCTGAGGCTGCCACAGTTTCACGGTCTCAAACTTCCCTAGATTCTTGTACTCTCTCACAACCATTTTAGCTGTCCTAAATCAGCTCCTCTCCTCCTCCACAAAAAAAAAAAAAAAGCAAAAAACAAACAAAAAAACCCCCTGTTGTTTGGCCCCACTTCCCTGCCTCACAGAGGAGGCTTCTTTTTGTCACAGCTTGTTGACAGTTCTTTCAATACCAGCCCTTTTGTTAACTCACTGAGGCAGCTTTTAGGATGCTGGGACAGATTCCATGACCCCGTGCTAAAGCAAATGAATTTGAATCTCTAATGTGGAGCCCAGGGTTCCTTTTTATTTACTTTTATTTATTTTTTTAGAGACAGGGTCTTGCTCTGTCACCCAGGCTGGAGTGCAGTGGCGTGATCATAGCTCACTGTAGCCCCTAACTCTCTGGGCTCAAGAGATCCTCCTGCCTCAGCCTCCTGAGCAGCTGGTACTATAGGTGCAAGCCACCATGGCCAGCTATTTTATTTTATTTTATTTTTGAAACAGAGTCTTGCTCTGTTTCTGCATTAAACCTTGAATACTATCTAGGAGGGACCTATCATACAATAAACAGCTCTAGGGTAAACACATTTCATAAGGTCCAATGTCATGTGTTTAACTTTTTTACTGTTATCCAAGTACTTTCTTACCTGTAGTCTTTTTCTTTCTTTCTTTCTTTTTTTTTTTTTTTTTTTTTTAAGACAGGGTCTTGCCGTGTCACCCAGGCTGAGTGCAGTGGCACAATTATAGCTCAATGCAGCCTTGCACTCCTGGGTTCAAGCAATCCTCTGCCTCAGCCTCACAAGTGGCTGGCAATACAGGTGAATGCCACTGGGCCCAGCTAATGTTTTTATTTTTTTCATGGTAGAAATGGGGTCTCTGTATTTCTCAGGTTCTTGAACTCCTGGACTCAATCAATCCTCCTGCATTGGTCTCTCAAAGTTCTGGGATTCAAGGCGTGAACCACCGTGCCCAGCCTAAAAAAAAAATATTTTTTTAATTAGCTGGGCATGGTGGGGTGTGCCTGTGATCCTAGCTACTCAGGAGGCTGAGGTGCGATGACTGCTTGAACCCAGGAGACCAAGGCTGCAGTGAGCTATAATCATGCCACTGCACTCCAGTCTGGATAACAGAGTGAGACCCTGTCTCTAAAAAAATAAAATAATAAATAAAATAATAAAAAGAGAGTACATAGTAGGGCAACCATAGACTATCATTACCTTGGAAGAGAGAAAAAAAGATAAGAAAACCCCCTCTGTGGGGCAAGGTGATGCAGCCAGCTCACACAGGATTTTACACAGAATTAAATTAATTAATTAATTTATTTATTTATTTATTTATTTATTTATTTATTCAGACAGAGTTTCTCCTTGTCTCCCAGGCTGGAGGGCAGTGGCACAATCTCAGCTCACTGCAACTTCCTCTGCCTCCAGGATTCAAGCAATTCTCATGTCTCAACCTCCTGAGTAGCTGGGACTACAGGCACGCGCCACCACACTTGGCTGATTATTTTGTATTTTAATAGAGATGGGGTTTCACCACGTTGCCCAGGCTGGTCTTGAACTCCTGAGCTCAGGTAATCCACCTGTCATGGCCTCCCAAAGTGCTGGGATTACAGGCGTGAGCCACCATGCCCAGCCTTGGATTTTACATAGAAGTTAAAGAGCTCATGATCCCCTTGAAGTTCTTTCATCATCTTCCCAGACATACAAGAAGCCTAGTTAAGAACATCTGGGTTAGAGGTTATATGCAGTCTTTGAATCAGGGTGTAAGAAATGGACAGGACCTCAGAGTTCAATGAATATAATCCTCATAAAGTCAGATTTTACAGATTTAGTCAATGAGGCCCAGAGAGTTTTCATGGCTAACTCATAGTGAAAGGTGACAGTGTGCTGGCAGCCCTCGCAGCCCTGGCTCACTCTCGGTGCCTCCTCAGCCTCGGCGCCTACTCTGGCCACGCTTGAGGAGCGCTTCAGCCTGCTGCTGCACTGTGGGAGCCCCTTTCTTGGCTGGCCGAGGATGGCACTGGCTCCCTCAGCTTGCGGAGAGGTGTGGAGGGAGAGGCACGGGCGGGAACCAGGGCTGTGCAAGGCACTTGTGGGCCAGTGAGAGTTCCAGGGGGGTGTGGGCTAGGCAGGCCCCACACTCAGAGCAGCCGCTGGCCTGGCTGGCCCCGGGCAGTGATATGCTTAGCACAAGGGCCAGCAGCTGTGGAGGGTGCACCGGGTCCCCCAGCAATGCCGGCCCACTGGTGCTGTGCTCAATTTCTCCCCGGACCTTAGCTGCCTCCCTGTGGGGCGGGGCTTGGGACCTGCAGCCTGCCATGCCTGAGTCTCCCCCACTGCGCCATGGGCTCCTGTGTGGCCTGAGCCTCCCCAACGAGTGCCACCCCCTGCTCCATGGCACCTGGTCCCGTCAACAGCCCAAGGGCTGAGGAGTGCGGGCGGGTGCATGGCAAGGGACTGGCAGGCAGCTCCACCTGTGGCCCCTGTGCGAGATCCACTGGGTGAAGCCAGCTGGGCTCCTGAGTCTAGTGGGGACTTGGGGAACCTTTATGTCTAGCTAAGGGATTGTAAATACACCAATCAGCACTCTGTATCTAGCTCAAGGTTTGTAAATACACCAATCAGCACCCTGTGTCTAGCTCAGTGTGAATTCACCAATTGGCATTCTGTATCTAGTTAATCTGGTGGGGACTTGGAGAATCTTTATGTCTAGCTAAGGGATTGTGAATGCACCAATTGGCACTCTGTATCCAGCTCAAGGTTTGTAAATGCACCAATCAGCACTCTGTGTCTAGCTCAGGGTTTGTAAATACACCAATCAACACTCTGTATCTAGCTAATCTAGTGGGGAAGTGGAGAATTTTGTGTCTAGCTCAGGGATTGTAAATGCACCAGTCAGCACCGTGTCAAAATGGACCAATCAGCTCTCCGTAAAACAGACCAATTGGCCCTTTGTAAAATGGACCAATCAGCAGCATGTGGGTGGGGCCGGATAAGAGAATAAAAGCAGGCTGCCCGAGCCAGCAGTGGCAACCCGCTGGGGTCCCCTTCCACACCGTGGAAGCTTTGTTCTTTCGGTCTTTGCAATAAATCTTGCTGCTGCTCACTCTTTGGGTCCACACCGTCTCTATGAGCTGTAACACTCACCGCGAAGGTCTGCAGCTTCTCTCCTGAGGCCAGCGAGACCATGAACCCACCAGGAGGAATGAACAACTCCAGATGGGAGGAACAAACAACTCCAGATGCCCCACCTTAAGAACTGTAACACTCACTGAGAGTGTCCACCGCTTCATTCTTGAAGTCAGTGAGACCAAGAACCCATCAATTCTGGACACAATAGCATAGCTGGTGGAGACCTATATCTTGGTTTTCTGAATCCCAGTTCTTACACAGTGTTGTGTTAACATACTGTGTTTAAAAGAAATGTAAAGAAGGAGAGAGGACTGCGGAGAGACTGGCTGGGGGCAAAAAAAACAATAGTTATTCCTAGGATGTGTAGGTTGGCTATTACTCAGCTTCTTTTTTGTGTTCAGCATAGATTAGTTTTCTAGCTTCAACCCAAAGAGACCAAGCCTGAAGCTCCCCTCTGGCTCCTTACTTTGGATCTGTGACTAAATCCTGATGGATTGTCTGAGCAAGATCTGTGGAAAGGCAGATAGTGGGGCCTGGGCACATCATGAGTTCTAAATGGCTGATGTCATTACAAAAACCATAAGCAAAAAAGAATCTACTGTTTCCAGGAAGTGGGGGGCAAGTTTCTAAGGAGAATATATGAGTCTTGAGGAAGGAGGGTAAGGGTTATGTAGCAAAGAAGAGGTTATTGGGTGGTCCCTGTAGGCTGGGGTTTGGAGAGGGGTGCACAGCAGGGCAGGGTGTGACTGAGGCATGCTCAGAGATCTTTTTTTTGTTTGTTTTTTGACCAATGAAATGTTCAATTTTTTTTAGTTTTAAAATTTTTAAGTTTTATTTTTTTGATCAGTGAATTGAGAGATGGTTTTGGGGATGCCTGGGAGCCATCTAAGCTATTAAGCTGGAGATTATCAAAGTAAGATTTGCATTTTAGATAGATGCTTTTACATGGAAGATAGATCTAAGATTTTGTTTTTCAGTCAAGTGTTAGAGTGCACTTGTCCAGATTATGAATCATTCATTCATTGATCCAACTTTTCGAAGCTCATAATATAAGCCAGGCACTGATCTAGACAAGAAAAGATACTCTAAAGCAGCACAGTGACAATGGAGATGGAGTTATATAACCAACAATACACACTGAGGAGACAGATTTGAGAAATACTTAGGAGTTAAAAATCAGTAGGACCTGATGACTAATGGGGGCAGTGGAGAGTTTAATGAAAAGAATAAGGATATTGACAGATGCGTGAAACAAATATGTCCAATATTTTAGAATTATATAATAAATTTAAAGAAATTTTCTGCCAGGAGCCCCAGAAAGATTAAAACTCAAATGCTAATACATGAAGATCAAAACAGCTTTCATTTGCAACATCTTTGAATGAGGAGAGTACTTTGGACTTTGTTATTTCTCCAAGGCAGAGATACAGACCTGTCCAAGGGAGGTAATTATATCACCTACCAAATTGTAGGTTTAACCGAGAGGGGTTGAAATAAAAAGAACAAAAGTCTTCCTGGGCCTCTCTCAACAGCCTCATGGTAAGCCATCGCTACCAGAATTCTAATTTTGTCAAAATGGGGTTGCTTTCATGTAATTTTAGAGTAAGCTTTTAAAAACTGACAGCAGCAAGAACAGCAAGTGAACACAGATGGGCTGGGGGGCAGAGTGAATTAGGTGAAGTTTACAAGAATAAAAAAGAAGAGAGGATTTTACTAATGCTATTTTCAAAGGCAAAAGACCTAGTCAAAGCACTTATTTTTGCTTTCTTAATTCCTTATCTACTACTACAAATAAAGAGCAGCAAAATTAAAAGGAAAACTAAAAGCTATGTGCTGTAAATGCCTTTAAAGACACCTCCTTAGTAGTTCACTGTGTTGTATACATCATAATGTCTTTCTGGGCAGGCTGCCCAGCTCACTTTCTAACCTCACAGTTCTGTGAGATGAAAAGTGAAATGTAATATTTACAATCCTGGGAATGAATTAATCCCTGGCAAAATAGAAAGATTTGATTTTTTCATCTGCTCTCATCTAGCTGGCTTAGTACCTAAGCAGGGTACCAGGGATCTGTTTCTATTTGTCACCACAGGGCAGGAACTAGAATCAGGTCCTGAAGCTAAATGCCTGACATGTCTGAGACAAGCAAAAACTGACAGAATTCATCACCACTAGACCAGCCTTACAAGAAATGCTCAACAGAGTCCCACATCTGGAAGTGAAATGATAGTTACTATCAAGAAAGCACGAAAAAAGTATAAAACTCACTGGTACAGCACATACACAAAGGAGAAAGAGAAAAGAAATTTTACCACTACAGAAAACCACCAAATTACAAGGATGAACAATAAGAGGGGAAGAAAGGAACAAAGGATATATTTAAAAAACAGAAAATAATTAACAAAATGACAGAAGCCCTCACCTATCAGTAACAATCTTGAATGTAAACTGATTAAATTTCCCCCCTTAAAATATATAGACTGGCTGAATGGATTAAAAAACATGGCCCAACTATAGGTTGCCTACAAGAAACTCACTTCATCTGTAAAGACACACATAGACTGAAAGGGTGGAAAAAGATATTCCATGCAAACAGAAACCAAAAGCAAGCAGGGTAGCTGTACTCATATCAGATAAAACAGACTTTAACTCAAAAGTGATTAAAAAAAGATGAAGGTTATTATATATTGATAAAGGGATCAATTCAGCAAAAGGATGTAACAATTCTAAATATATATGCACCCAACACTGGAGCACCGAGATATATAATATAAACCAAATATTATTAGGTCTAAAGGGAGATATAGATGCCAATACAATAGCTGGGGAATTCAATACCCCATTCTCAGCACTGAACAGATTGTCTAGATAGAAGATCAAAAACAAAACATTAGATTTATACTGTACTTTAGGCTGGATGCGGTGGCTCACACCTATAGTACCAGCACCTTGGGAGGCCAAGGCAGGCGGATCCCTTGAGGCCAGGAGTTTGAGACCAGCCTGGCCAGCATGGTAAAACACTGTCTCTACTAAAAATACAAAAATTGGCTGGGTGTGGTGGTGGGCATCTGTAATTCCAGCTACTTGGGAGGCTGAGGCATGAGAATTGCTTGAACCTGGGAGGTGGAGGTTGCAGTGAGTCAAGATCATGCTACTGCACTCCAGCCTGGGCAACAGAGTGAGACTCTCCTAAAAAAACAAAAAACAAAAAACTGCATTTTAGACTAACAAAGAGACATTTACAGAACATTTCATCCAACAGATGCAAAAAACACATTCTTTCATCAGCACAAGAAACATTCTCCAGAATAGACCATATGTTAGGCCACAAAACAAGTCTCAACAAATTTAAAATAATTGAAATTATATCGAGTATCTTTCCTGACCACAATGGAATAAAACTAGAAGTCAACAACAAGGTGAACTTTTGAAATTGTACAAATACATGGAAATTAAACATGCTCCTGAATGATCAATGAAGAAAATTTTAAATTTTCCTTTCTTTTCTTTTCTTTTTTTAAGTAGCTAAGAACAATTGCTCTGAAGACGCAAAGCTAAACTAACTGCTAACATCCAAACACAGCCTGACAGTGTAGCTGCAAACTCTGCTCCTGATCCATGGGTAAAAGGAGCTCTCAGCTTTGCAGAAGCCTTCTGTTGGTGCCGCCTGCCGTGGGACAGAAGAGAAGCACCTGTGAGCAAGAGTCATACACTCAATACACCACTGTTGACTCCTAAGTGCCCGGACTTTCATCGGGAGAAGTAGCTTTAGAAGTTAGGTGATGAATTCTATTCATTTATTAAAACGAATTATTAAAAAATACATAAAAATATAATTATAATTATATACTATATTTATAATTATATATTATATTTTTAATTATATTATTAATTATATTATTATATATGATATATTATTATTAATGATATATTATTAATTGATTATATATAATAATTTATAATTATATATAATATATAAAAATATATTATATATTTATAATTATATATTATATAAAAATATATTATATATTTATATATATAATATATTTATATATTATATATAATTATATAATATATAAAAATATATTATATATTTATATATATAATATATTTATAAATTATATATAATTATATATAATATATTTATATATTATATATAATTATATATAATATATATAAGTATATTTATATATTATATTTATATTTATATATTTTTAGGCAGAGTCTTGCTCTGTTGCCTAGGCTGGAGTGCAGTGGTGCACTCGGCTCACGGCAACCTCCGCCTCCTGGGTTCGAGTGATTCTTCTGCCTCAGCCTCTTGAGTCGCTGGGATTACAGGCGTCCGCCACCACGCCTGGCTAACCTTCGTATTTTTAGTAGAGATGGGGTTTCACCATGTTGGCCGGGCTGGTCTCAAACTCCTGACCTCAAGTGATCCGCCTGCCTCAGCCTCCCCAAGTGTTGGGATTACAGGCGTGAGCCACTGTGCCCGGGCATTTTTTTTTCTCAAACAGAAGAGCAAAGATGAGGGAGTCTTCCAGCCTAATAGCACACCAAGGATATTATCTGCCTGCATTAGGAAGCCTCCAGGGCAGACAGGATGGCAGAAACTTCCAATGGGGTGAATGAGAGTGATTTGGAATTACTTGATGGGATCCCTTTGGATGTTTCTGATACCGCCATGCTTCCTGAGGCTTTTCCACTGGGCTTGGGAAAAGGAGAACCCTTTAATATTTAGGAGAGCAGAGAAAGAGGGAGAATGGAGAAGCCACATAACACAGTCTTCTGTGTTTTTCTGGCTGAAAAGCCTGCAGACATTTTACATGCCCCTCAAATTGTCAACAGGCAGGGCACGATGACTCACACCTGTAATCCCAGCACTTTGAAAGGCTGAGGTGGGCAGATCACTTGAGATCAGGAGTCGAGATCAGCCTGGGCAGTGTAGCGAAACCCCATCTCTACTAAAAATACAAAAATTAGCTGTCCGTGGTGATGCGCACCTGTAGTCCCAGCTAATTGGGAGGCTGAGACAAGAGGATCACTTGAACCTGGGAGGCAGAGGCTGCAGTGAGCCGAGATCGCACCACTGCACTCCAGCCCGGTGATGGAGTGAGACTCTGTCTTAACAAAAAAAAAACCCAAAAACCAAAATTGCCAACAGGAAGAAGGCAAAAGCAAAACAGGTGCTCACGGCTGCCAGAGATTTGTGGGCCCTGCCTGGAGTAGAGGTCTAAATGCCGGCTCTGCATTGAAGACATGAGGGAATTTTTTTGTCTTGCTCTTTCCCCGGCTCCCTGTAACTGCATACCATCGTATCTCTTTCCTTTCTGGGTGACAATACCCCATCCACAAGCAGGTTACTAACAAAATGGAGGACAGGACTTCACTCCTCCCCAAACACCTACAGGGGGAAGGTCCTCTTTTACTGAGCACCATGGCTACAATTTTAACAGTTACTGCAAAATGAAATTTGCTACATTCTCATGATGATGGGTTTTCCCATCACCTGAAAAATTACTCACCAAGTGTCTGCAGCCAGGGTGGAAAACACCCTTAAAGTTTAGATATGCATCAGTATTTCCCTCAAGAATAGCACAGGTTAAAAGCTTTCACAAAGAGAAAACAAAAATAAGGAGTTGAAAAACATGTAAGTATAAATTAATAGCCACAAAAGGGAGAAGTTAGAGAAACACTATGAAAAACATCTTTGTCTTGAGGAAAGATACAATCTGAGAAGCAATTCTGCAGGACTTGGCTGAAAGTCAATGGGAGGCTGATCAAATGAAGTGATAGAAACCGTGTAATTTGTCACATCAAGCATCTGCGACAAACCCACATAGAATCCAAGGAATGTAGGTGATCTGACAAAAGTCCTCATGTTTAAAATTTGCCCTAAGTTTCCCCAAATCCACCAAAAGTTTCCCAGCATAAGCCACTTTTTCAGATACAGTTTTACTATCTGTTCTTGTGACACTAGGTGCATTTGAAGAGTTCTTGGGAGCCACGTGTGGTGGCTCACGCCCATGATCCCAGCACTTTGGGATGCCAAGGCAGGTGGATCACCTGAGGTCAGGAGTTCCAGAACAGACTGACCAACATGGTGAAATCCTGTCTCTACTAAAAACACAAAATTAGCCACGCGTGGTGGCACATGCCTGTAATCCCAGCTACTTGGGAGGCCGAGGCAGGAGAATCGCTTGAACCTGGGAGGCAGAGGTTGCAGTGAGCTGAGATCCGGCCATTGCACTCCAGTCTGGGCAATAAGAGCGAAACTCTGTCCCAAAAGAAAAAAAAAAAAAAGCTCTACTTTTTTTTTACTGTTACAATGACAATAATAGAGGCTTTTCTCTCAAGGAGCTCTAAGTGAAATTAATAAGAATTCTCATGACCCTAGAAAGAGAGACTTAAAAAGCAAACACATAGGCCGGGTGCAGTGGCTCACTCCTGTAATCCCAGCACTTTGGGAGGCTAAGGCAAGCAGATTGCTTGAGGTCAGGAGTTCAAGACCAGCCTGGTCAACGTGGTGAAACCCCGTTTCTACTAAAAATACAAAAATTAGCCGGGTGTGGTGGCATGCACGCCTGTAGTCCCAGCTACTTGGGAGGCAGAGGCAGGAGAATCACTTGAACCCGGGAGGTGGAGGTTGTCGCAGAAATCAAGCCACTGCACTCCAGCCTGGGCAATAGAGCCCATCTAATTATTTGTATCTTTTTTATTTTATTTATTTTTTTGAGACGTATTTTCGCTCTTGTTGCCTAGGCTGGAGTGCAATGGCGCCATCTCGGCCCACTGCAACCTCCGCCTCCCAGGTTCAAGCGATTCTCCCACCTCAGCAACCTGGGTAGCTGGGATTACAGGCACCCACCATCATGCCCGGCTAATTTTTGTATTTTTGTAGAGAAAGGGTTTCACTATGTTGGCCAAGCTGATCTTGAACTCCTGATCTCAGGTGATCCGCCCTCCTCAGCCTCCCAAATTGTTGGGATTACAGGCACCAGCCACCGCACCTGGAGAGTTCTCTTTTCTTTGCAAAGGGCAAGGCAAACTGGAATGGATTCACCCGCGAGCGGTGTGCATGCCTTGGAAAGCATTATGGTTAGACTCATGTGAGACGTGTTAGTTTTACTGTGTGTGTTCCCCATGTGTTGCTGCCCATGCGTTGCTGCCATGGTAATCCTGCTCAGTAGGAGAGGAACCCCAGGTTCAGACATTTGGTGTATGTCCTTGGCTGAGGAGCCAATGGGGTAAAGCTACCATATGTGGGATTATGACTGAACGACTCTAAGTCAGAATCCCGCCGAGGAGGAACGATTTGGCAGCGCCGCGGAGCGTTTTTTGGCCTCGGAAAGGCGGTCCTCTGCGGTCCCAGCTGGCGGGCCACTCCGCCCCGCGCGGGGCATGTCCCGCTGTGCACCGGGAACCGGCGTCCGGTGCAGACAGCCCCTCGTCCTGGGAAACGGGCTGCTGCCAGAAAGGTGGTCACTCCCTGACCCATCAGGTAACGTGTTTGTGGGGAACCTGATGCTAAACTATTGGTAGACGCCCTGCTTCTGGGTCAGGATTTTCTATGGAGCAGAGCAGCTCCCTCGCTGCGATCTGCTGAAAGTCAGACCTCCACACAAGGTTCTCTCCACCCGTGTGCGGGGGACCTGGTGATATGGCGTGTCCTGTGTAATTCAGCCCATGAGGTCTACCTTCCTTCCTCCCTCCTGTTGCCCCCGGGGACCTCCTTCCCTGGCCCGCTTATGCCCACCCGCCCCGGAGCCCCGGAGCACGCAGCGGGTGTCTCTTGCGAAAGCCCATCGGCGCCCGCTGTGCATTCGGGAGGCGCCCGTCCCCACTCGCGGTCTTTCCAAGGTGCCGCGCGGGGGGTTGCCGATGTAGGGTTGGCGCCCCTGCTCGTCGTTCCACCTCACCGATTCCACCTCCTCCCCGCAACCCGCTGGGAACTCCTCCAGGGGCTGGGATGGAGCCTGTTGAGAATGGCTGACGCTTGGGTGTTGGAGGGTGTGCCCCTGCGGTTCCTGTCCCGGTAGTGTTCACGCATGCCCGGTGGTGGCCGTTGGGCCCCTCTCCCCACCCCAGGTGCGCGGGAATGGGACATGAGCCAGTCACTGCCCTTGTGCCTTACCTCCTCTCTCCGCTGCCCGGGTCAACCAGCGAACAGTGGAGGAACGGTGGGCCGGTCAGCGGAGTTAGATGGCAGCAAAGGTGGGCCAGATTGGTGGGATAAGGATCCAACTAGGTCTGTCCGCTTCCGTCCGCGAGCGCCGGGTCCACTAGATGTCTGCAGCGAGCGTTGGACTTGACGGTCAACTTGGGATTTCTAAAGTAGAACAGATAACTCTGGTCACCTCATGTTTGAAAAACAGATCTGCTCCCAAGTTCAGTGGAGGGATGTGGCATGTAGGACGAGGGACTTTTCCTTCTGACTTAGTCTGCACGGTGGGGCCTAGGGCTGGAGCTGAGTGCAGATCGATGGCTCCCTCTACCTTGGGTTCCCTTGTCCCCACCCTGGAAGACGGGCCTTGGCAGATCCTGCCCTTCCTGGCCCTTCCTTGCCCTTAAGGCGCTGTCAGAAACCCCATCCCGAGCTCGGATGCTCTGAATGACTGTGGCTCGAGCCTCTCCGGAAATATTTGAAATCTATCCTCCATGCGTGGCCACCTAAAACCACAGGAGCGCGGGACAATCCACCGCCATCCACCTCTCTGCTTTCGGGACACTCCACCGCCATCCACCTCACTGCTTTTGGGACACTCCACCGCCATCCACCTCACTGCTTTCGGGAGACAATGCTGAAAGTCTCTTGCTGACTCTCTCGACTCGAGTTCTTTAAGGGCATGTGGTCAGGACACAGTGAGAACAGATGTATTAAGTCAGGCCGGGTTCGGTGGCTCAGGCCTGTAACCCCAACACTTTGGGAGGCCGAGGCGGTAGGATCTTTTGAGCCCGGGAGCTGGAGACCAGCCTTGGACAACACGCCAAAACCCGAGGTGCATGCCTGTGGTCTCAGCTACTCAGGAGGCTGAAGTGGGAGAATCACCTAACCCTGGGGTGGTTGAGGCTGCCGTGAGCCGTGATGGTGTCACTGCACTCCAGCCTGGGCGACAGACAGAGTGAGACCCTATCACAAACAGATGGACAGACAGACAACAGCTATATTACTTCCTTCTCAGGGTAGGAAGCAAAAATAACAGAATACAGCATTTAAGATTTTTTTTAAATTTTAAATTTCAATCTATTTATTTATTAATTTTGAGTCCAGATTATGAAACCAGCTGAATTTTGTATTTTTGTAGAGACAAGGTTTCACCATGTTGCCAAGGCTGGTCTCGATTGCCTGGGATCAAGGAATCCACCCGTCCTCAGGCTCCCGAAGTGCAGGGATGAAAGACGTGAGCCACTGCTCCTGACAGCATTGTTTTTTTTTTCTTTTTTTTAATCACTTGTCTTTCCAGGAGTTTCATGGCAGAGTGTTTGGATGGCTTGTTTAAATTCATTCTAAATAGGAACTGAGGATGTCAGCTTCTGGCTTCATGGACTCTGAGCTGACGAGTCCCCTTCTTACTGTACACGTAAGAAGTTAAAAAGAAAAGGAGTAAAAAACTTGTAACATTTAAAATAAATAACTTTGTTGTACAGAAATACACGGATGCACCCAAAACACAGAAACGATTCTTTTAAAAGTTGTCTTAGTCCTGGTGGGTGTGCCAGTGATTCTTTTAGGTTTGGAGCTTGACTGAATTTCCAATCGGTCTCTGGACGGAATTTCTAGATGATCCGATGGGTGGGGACTTAGGCTGTGTCCCTCCAGGGGCCCCGGTTGATTAGTTGTGGGGACTGCCTGGGAGGGCGCGGTGACCCACTGTACTGTGGGTGCCTCCATTCTTCCCCTCCCCTCTCCCCTCCGGGTGATCCCAATTCATTCCAGGCTGACACTCTAATTGGCAGACGTTGGGCATCACCTAGAGGCCACTGTTACTCTGAAAACCAAGGCCTCAAGGAGGAAGAAAGCTTGTGGTGCCTGCATGCAGCCCGGGGCAACTGCGTCTTCTCCACTGCCCCTGCCCCCACCTCCAAGTTTCTCCCTCCCTTATTGCCTAGGGAATTGCCACCCTGATGACTGGGTCTGACTGTTCTTTGATCAGTTGAAAAAGAAATAAATATGCCAGGTGTGGTGGCTCACACCTGTAATCCCAGCACTTTGGGAGGCAGAGGCGGGCAGATCATGAGGTCAGGAGTCCAAGTCCAGCCTGGCCAGTATGGTGAAAACCTCCCTCTACTAAAAATACAAAAAATTAGCCAGGCGCGCCTGTAATCTCAGCTACTCAGGAGGTTGAGGCAGGAGAATTGCTTGAACCCGGGAGGTGAAGGTTGCCGTGAGCTGAGATAGCACCACTGCACTCCAGCCTGGGTGACAGAGTGAGACTCCGTCTCAAAAACAAAACAAAACAAAACCAAAGAGGCCAGGCGCGTTGGCTCATGCATGTAATCCTGGCACTTACAGAGGCTGATGCGGGGGAATCACCTGAGGTTGGGAGTTCGAGACCAGCCTGACCAACATGGAGAAACCCTATCTGTACTAAAAATACCAAGTTAGCTGGGCATGGCAGCACTTGCTTGTAATCCTTGAATCCGTGAGACAGAGGTTGCGGTGAGCCGAGATTGCACCATTACTCTCCAGCCTGGGCAAGAAGAGTGAAACTCCGTATCCAAAATACTACTACTACTACTACTACTACTACTACTAATAATAATAATAAAAAATGAGTTTCCAGGAAAAAAGAAAAAAATAAAACCAATAGTGACATAAACACACGCCTCTGTCCTTTCGAGGCAGCAATGATGCTACAAAGTGATCCACCTGTCTCAGCCTCCCAAAGTGCTGAGATTACAGGCGTGAGCCACTGCACTTGGCTATGTGTAATTTCTATGTGTACTTTCTTTTTTTAAATTAAATTAAATTTTTGTTTGGAGACAGAGTCTCACTGTGTCACCCAGCCTGGAGCACAGCGGCATGCTCGCAGCTCACTGCAACCTCCACCTCCCAGGTTCAAGCAATTTTCCTGCCTTAGCCTCCCTAGTAGCTGGGAATATTGGCACGCGCCACTGCACCTGACTAATTTTTATATTTTTAGTAGAGACAGGGTTTTGCCGTGGTTGCCAGGCTGGTCTCAAACTCCTGACCTCAAGTGATCCACCCATCTCACCCTCCCAAAGTGTGGGAAAGAGAGTTTCTGGGGTGCCAGATGAGTTGGTCTCCCCTGTGAGACACCCATGGGGAGCCATGGGCAGCCTCTGAGAAGAAAACTCTCCTTATTGCCTTCATGTCTTTATGCCCCGAGAGCATAACAGCTCAGAGGCATTCCACAGGTTGCTAAGGGAGATAACACTCCCTTGAAACAGTGGAGTATCATCAAACATCTTGGCTCCTCCTGAAACCCACTCCCTCCCATTTCAGTCCCGATAAGTTAAAGATCTTAAGTAGTTTAGACACACGCCTTTGCTCAAGGAAATTCACAAAAACCGCCACTGCTATACATCTTATTGAAGGACTCACGAGTTCTCCTTCGGTGATTAATCCTTTTCCTCATCCCTTTCTACCCCTCCCATCTGCCCTAAGAACAAAGAGCTTGTAAACCATTGAATTCCGCCGGAGCCCGAGAGCTCTGGGCCTGGAGCAAGCCTCCGACGCTCCGGTCCCCTGGACCCGCCTTTTAAACACTTATTTTGTCTCTTTCTAACTCCTTTGTGTCCACTGGACTCGGGGTACCCGCCGGATGGTGTGGGGCTGCTTTCCCCAACACAAACTGCTGAGGTTACAGGCATGAGCCACTGTGCCCAGCTATGTGTAATTTCTTAGCTCATTTCTTGACTGGGTACCATGGGCATTTGGGCCACTTTCTCGTGGAACTTACTTGCGCTTCAGGATCTGTTTGGACCCAATCCGGTCCACAGCCCTTGCGTGTCACCCCGGAGTGCTGCTGTGCACACCCACTTACGCCCAGTGTGTGATGAGTGGCTGAGCTCACACGATAACTTCGTGGCCCCACGGTTGGGCGTTTGGTTTCTACCAACTGCCAGAGGCTAGCTGAGATAGCCTGTGGCTCCAAAGAAGAATGGTTATCTGCAGATAATGGCAGGGCCTTGCTCCGAAATCCTCAAGGCCTCCACTGTGATTCGGAATAGCATATATCTCAAACGGATGGTCCTGTTTTTCTGCTCTGGTCTTTAGGAACGAGTGGAGCCTTCCCGTGCTCTGCCACCTCCTTGCATTTTTTTTTTTTTACATTCATCTATTCATTCATTCATGTATTTTTTAGAGACGGAGTCTTCCTGTGTCACCGAGGCTGGAGTGCAGTGGTAGGATCATAGCTCACTGTGACCTTGAACTGCTGGGCTTAAAGCGATCTTCCTCTGCCTCAGCCTCCCGAGTAGCTGGGCCTACAGGCGCGGGCGCGAGCCACAACACAGCACAACGCCCGGCTAATATCTTCATTTTTTTTTTATTGTTTTCTTGTTTCTTTTCTGAGGCAAAATATCCCTCTGTCACCCGGGCTGGAGTTTAATTGTTCCCGGACCAAACTGAGGGTCAGGCTGCTTATTCTCGCGGCCTGATAACGAGATGCAGATGAGCTGAAAAAGGAGGGAGTTTTTATTTCTGTGACCACTTACAGGGAGAAGGCCTGGAAATATCGCCAGACTGACTCAAAATTACAAATGTTTATAAAGCTTATGTACCTTCCAAGCTATCTGTCTAAGCGTAAGAGTGTATTCGTCTAAAGATGGAAGCGATTGACTCTTTTTTTTTTTTTTTTTTTTTTGAGACGGAGTCTTCCTCTGTTGCCCAGGCTGGAGTGTGGTGGTTAGATCTCAGCTCACTGCAACCTCCACCTCCCGAGTTCAAGTGATTCTCGCGCCCCAGGAGTTGGGATTAAAGGAACCCACCACCACCCCGGCTAATTTTTGCATTTTTCTTAGAGACGGGATTTCGCTGTGTTGACCAGGCTGGTTTGGAACTCTTGACCTCAGGTGGTCTGCCCGCCTTGGCCTCCCAGATTGCTGGGGTGACGGGCGTGGGCCGCCGCGCCCAGCCTGCTGCTTTTGTTACTAGAAATGGATTCTCTCACTATCACGGTATAAACTCGTCTATATTGTGGGATATGGCGTGCACGTGTGTACATGCTTAGGCGCATGTTTCTCCATGTTTTCCCGAGCCACGGTGCTTCTTCCCCCGCAGGGGCTCTGGTCGATTAGTTGTTGGGAGCTCCTGGGAGGGTGCCGGGCTGACACTTCCATGCGTTGTCATCGGTCGTCATCTAGCGGTCAACGTTTTTGAAGTCTAGGCGGCGCACAGGACGCTCTGGCCGCCCGCCCACGGTACGGAAGGAGCGTGGCTTCTCTCCGCTCCCCCCGCCCCCACCCCGCTCTCTGAGGCCCGCTCTACCTCCGTCCCTCTGTTTCCCACTCCTTCATTGCCCAGAAAACCTCTGGAGATTCTGGTTGGGCCAGATTGTTGCTCTTTTGATCAGTTGTTTCCTTTTCTTTATTTGTGTGTTTAACCCGCGTGGACTCTTCTGCCTGGGTTTTACAGATGGCAGCTCCACCCTAGGCCTTTTCGTTAGTAGGGACTTTTCTGATTCTCCCCAGATATTGTGAAAGCAGGTAGATGTCAAGCCTGTGGGACTAAACGACCGAAGGAGGTTATTATGCAGTGCACACCTTTCAAGGCAGCGATGGCAGCACTATGAATTCGGTGTCATTTCTGGAGTCAGCTTGTTTCCTGAGTTGCCCTCCGTGTCTCCCCATCCACCCCAGGCTAGAAAACATTCCAGAGTGAACTACTGTGCCTCCATCCCTTCCCCCTCCTATTTTGTCCCCTCCCCCTCACCTCGGTTTCTCTCCTTCGACGCTGACAGTTTCCTCTTCCTCTCTCCCTCCCTCCCTAGGGAAACTCAACCACCCTGGCTAAGCCGCCATAGTCACTTTTTACCGTTACGTTATGTTTAACATTTTTCTTTCCCTGGCCAGCATATTGGTAAAGTGGAAAGTGCATCATAGCCCCGCCCTGGGCCTTACTATTTTTTTAGAGGTTTTTTTTTTCATCTTTCTCCTTTCATTTCTGTCTTCTTAATTTCTCCAGTTCCCTCTTTCTTTCTCTTTCTTTTTTCTTTTTCTATTTCCTTTTTCCTTTCTTTTTCTTCCTTCCTTTTTCCTTTCTTTCTTCTTTCTCTCTTTCCATATTTCTCTCTTCCTCTTTTTTTCTTTTTCTTTCTTTTTTGATTTTTTTTGAGACAGAGTCTCGCTCTGTCACCCAGGCTGGAGTGCAGTGGCGCCATCTCAACTCACGGCAACCTCCGCCTCCCGGGTTCAAGCGATTCTTCTGCCTCACACACACCCCAGGTAGCTGGGACTACAGGCGCGCGCCACCACGCCCGGCTAATTTTTGTAATTTTAGTAGAGATGGGGTTTCACCATATTGGCCAGGCTGGTCTTGAATACTTGACCTCCCACATTGCTGGGATTACAGCCAAGAGCCACCGCATCCGCCCATTGTTTCTTTTTAAAATATTTTTCCTTTCAGAACGCGACCTCCTTCTTCATTTCCTTTATATCTTTTTCTTGCAGGACTCGCAATCTTTATTCGTTCAAGTTTTTTCAGACGAAGTCTCGCTCTGTCACCCGGGCTGCAGTGCATTGGCCTGACCCTGGCTCACCACAGCCTTGACCTTCCGAGTCCAAGAGATGGTCTTATCTCAGCCTTTCGAGGAGCTGTGACTACAGACGCATGCCATCGTGCCCGGCTAACTTTTTTTTTCTTTTTTTTTTTCTTTAAGTGAGACAAGGTCTCGCTATGTTGCCAGAGCTGGTCTCAAACTCCTGGGCTCAGGTGATTCTCCCAACTAACCTTGCAAAGTGTTGGGATTATAGATGTGAGTCACCATGCCCTGTCCTCTTTGTTATTTTCTCCTCTTTTCTTTCTTTCTTTCTTTCTTTCTTTCTTCCTTCCTTCCTTCCTTCCTTCCTTCCTTTCTTCTTCCTTCCTTTCCTTTCTTTCCTTTCTTCTTTCTGCCTTTTATTCTTTTTCTTTTTTCTTCTTTCTTTTTTCTTTCCTTTGTTTTTTCCTCCTGGCTTTCCTCTATTTCTTTCCTTATTCTTTATCTCTTTCATCTTTCTTCCCTTTCTATGTCTCTTTCTCTCTTTCTTTATACTTCTTTCTCTAGATTTTTAAAATTCTGTCTCTCTCTGTTTCTCATTTCCTTCCTCACTTCCTCCCTCGCTGCTCCTTTCCCTCCCTCCTTCCCTTCCTCTGTCTGTCTCTTTTCTCCATTTCCTTTCTCCCTCCCTTCCTCTGTCTGTCTTTGTCTGGATTCTAGAAGACTCTCCTCATTCTGTATCTCCCTGTGTCCTAACCGATCCGCGACCAAGTCCCGTTTCTTCTTTCTCCTTCTGAGATGCATCTTCAAACTCCCAAGTTGTCTTTTGACTCTGTTGCAGCCTATGCAGAGACACGTTGGGGAACGGTTTCTGTGAAGTTGGGGAGGAGGTGCTGCGTTTTGGGCCTTCAAAAGACTTCCACTCATGGTTTTGGTTTCCCAGTCATGGGCTGCCCTGCCATCTGGAGCTCTGGCGCGTCACTTGTGAGTCAGAGCTCGGGCGTGCAGGGCTTGTGGGGGGAGGCTGTCGCCGCGCTTCCCTGCTCAATGGCAGTGTGGGGCTGCCCTGGCTGGTCAAACAGCACGCCCCCAACTCCCAAGGCTTGACCCAAGACCCGCGGGGACGTATTGGGCATTTTGCGGGTGGCTGGGGACGAACTTCCCAGCCTGGTGGCAGGCCAGTACAGGTCCTGGACATCTGAGGCACCTGCCGAATTATTTTCCAAGTCCCCGGGGGAGTCAGGGACCGTCCTTTACTGTCCTTTGGTTGCCGAGGAGCGGTCACCGGGCCCGGCCCCAGTCCCTCTGCCCTGATCTTTTTTTCCAAGTCCCCATGCCGAGTTGGAGAGCGGTCCCTGAGCACGCATGTGGTCCGAAAGGTGGCAGCTGGCCGGGCTTGGGTCCCTCATGTGATCCAGTCATGCGAGGGACCGGCTGAAAATGACTCCGAGTCTCGCTCTGGAGAAATGGGCCAGCCCCTGCATTGCACGGGTGGCCGGGAGGGTGTCCCTGACCCTCTGCTGCTCCTGTGTGTGTCCCGGGGTCCACAGAAGGCCTGGGTGTTCCATATCTGGCTGCCATGGTGGCCTTTTTGAGGACAGATGTCCAGGTCGCGCATTTCTGGGCCGGTGGTGTGGTCGGTGACTTGACACCCCGCCCCCAGGCGAGGTATATCTTTCACTCCGAGTTGGCATTTTGGGCCACCAGATTGTTGCTGACATGCTGTCTGGCGATTAGATTGGGCCTCTAGATGCATGTGAAGCTCTGGTATAGCAGTAACCCGGCTAACCGGCCCTGCCCCAGCTTGAGCTGATTGCTGGGACCTGTGTGCCTGCTCTCATGCATCGTAGTGTCATAACTGTCTCTGGGCCTTTGACCCTGGTGGGGAAGGCAGCATGGGCTCCTCTGACCCGTGTGCTCCCTGCTGCGGGCACACGGGGTGGTCAGAACAACCCCATCCTGTTGGCTTTGTGCTGTGCACGTCAGCCATTCTCTTCCTTAAATTGTCTGCTGTCCCTATCCCGGAGCGAGGCTGGCTGGGCTGTTATGATCATCAGCTTCGTCAAGAAAGACCCTCACTCAACCACCGCCCCGCTATGGGGCTTTTCATGATCAATGTGATGTCACGCTCTCCCAGGTCGGGACTAAGCCACGAGGAGCAAAGGATGGAAATTCATGGTGAATGGAACCGTTCTTCTCATTCTGCTCGCGGGGCCCCTCGTCTGTCCTCCCCGCTCGTGGGTAGTGTGTTGGGAGGCATGGGGCAGGGAATTTGGCATGACCTCGCTGCCCTCATGCCTTGTGCCTCATGGCTTTGAGAAGATTGGTGGGGTCCTCTGACACAGCAGGCACCTTTGCTCTGGCTTCCTGTGGTTGTTGCCTTGGGGGTGGACCCGGCACCTCTCTGCGGCCATGGGGGACTGTCCCTACAAAACATCATGCTGCCCTTTCTGGGATACGAGAGGGTTGGCACCACCTGGGCCTTTGTGGTGATCCAGGAGTGCTCCAGATTGCCCCCACGTGCCCGAGACAAACGGTGGCGGGTTGTGCCAACCCCATGCCCTCTGCTACAACAGCCACCACGGTGTTTGCCAGTGCTTCCTGAAGAGGTCCTTGGATGGGGAGAGGCGGATGAGTGAGGCAGGCCCCTCCCACTCTATAAGAGATGCTGCCTTGTCTGTCCAGCGCAAGTCCCTTGCTCCACTCTGCCAAGTGCGCGCAAGTACCCGGAGTGATTGTGGTAAGATTCTGTGTACTACCGTGGTGTATGGGCCTCGGGGAGGACTTTTGCCCCAGAGAGAAAGGTGGATAAAGGGAGGGACTTTAGGGGTGAGTGCATGCACACCAGGCAACGGCCCTGATGGAAAGCACTCAAAATTTGCCACAGGCTTTTGGTCGTAAGGCAGACCACTTTCTTCCTCAGGCGTTCAAGAGCGAATCTTCAGGCACAACGAGGGGCAACGGGCGGGGAAGGAGTGTGACCAAAACTCAGTAAGAAAGCCTTCTCTGGTAAAACGAAAGGTGAGCCAATGGGGTACAAAATGCCCCAGTCCAAGGCCTCTGCGTATAATAATGATTCCGTTGATGTGCATAAGCAGAGTTCCCTACTTTTACCATAAACAAGGACAGAAGCCGCGGGGGGCCGTGGAGTCCCTGGCTTACACCCAGGGTGTGTGTCGCCCCCACTAGGGGCACCAGAAAGCGGCAAGAAGACCCCCGGGGGAAGGGAACAGGAGGCCAGGTTTTAAAGGAGACGTTGAGGCAGTCCGGGGAAAAAACTTCCCAAGGAAAACAGTGCCTGCCAGCAGACCCTGGGCCGGGCTTTGCGAAGCCGTGGAGTCCCTGACTTGCACCCAGGGTGCGTGTCACGTCCATGGGGGACACCCCAAAGCGGCAAGAAGTCCTCCGGGGTAAGGGAACAGGATGCCAGTCTTGATAGGGGACGTTGAGGCAGCACGGAAAAAAAAAAGGGGGCGGGCCAGGGTCGTCCAACGGATGACAGTGCCTTCCCTGCAGCCCCTGTGTTGGGCCCGTGGGTTCGTGGAGTCCCTGGCTTGCACTCAGGGTACGTGTCACGCCCATGGGGGGGGCACCTCAAAGCGGCAAGAAGACTCCTGGGGAATGAGAACAGAGCGCCAGGCTTGAAGGCCCCCAGGGGAAGGGAACAGGACGCCAGGCTTGAAAGGGGATGTTGAGGCATTCCAGGGAAAAACTTCCCATGGACGACACCTGCGCCTGGCCCAGGGGGAGGGGGGGTCGTGGAGTCCCTGTCTTGCACGCAGTGCGTGTCTCACCTAAAAGCGCACCCCAATGCGGCAAGAAGGGCTCCGGGGGAGTGGAACAGGACGCCAGGCTTGAAAGGGGACTTTGAGGCAGTCCAGGGAAAAACTTTCCACGGAGGACAGTGACTTCCCGGCAGCCCCTGCGCCTGGCCCCAGGGGGTCTTGGAGACCCTGGCTTGCACCCTGGGTGCGTGCCTCGCCCACAGGTGGCACCCCAAAGCTGCAAGAAAGCCCCCAGGGGAAAAGAACAGGATGCCAGACTTGAAAGGGGATGCTGAGGCAGCCCGGGGAAAAAAGGGGCAAGGCTGGCGTCCTCTCACGGACGACAGTGCCTTCCCTGCAGCCCCCTATTCTGGGCCCGGGAGGGTCCTGGAGTCCTTGTCTTGCACACAGTGTGCGTATCTCGCCCACAGGGGGCACCCCAAAGCGGCAAGAAGTCCTCCGTGGGAAAGCAACAGGATGCCAGGCTTGAACAGGGACGTTTAGGTAGCCGGGGGAAAAAAAGCAGCGCGGCTGGGGTGGTCCCACGGATGACAGTGCCTTCCTGGCAGCTCCTGGGCCGGGCCCGGCGGTGTTGTGGAGTCCCTGGCTTGTACTCAGAATGCATGTCTCGCCCACAGGAGTCACCCCAAAGCGGCATGAAGGTCCTCGGGGGAAGGGGACAAGACGTTAGGCTTAAAAGGGGATGTTGAGGCAGCCCGGGGTAAAAGGTAGCGAGGCAGGTCCTTCGAACGACAGTGCCTTCCCGGCAGCCTCTCGCCCTGCCCAATGGGGTTGTGGAGTCGCTGGCTTGCACCCAGGGTGCGTGTGGCGCCCACGGGGAGCACCCCAAAGCGCCAAGAAGGCCTCCGGGGGAAGGGAAGAGGATGCCAGGCCTGAAAGGGGATGTTGAGGCAGCACGGGAAAGAAAGCAGTGGGCCGCGGTCGTCCCACGGACCACAGTGCCTTTCCAGCAGCCCCTGCGCCGGGCCCGGGGTTGTCGTGGAGTCCCTGGCCTGCACCCAGGGTGCCGATCGCGCCCATGGGGGCACCCCAAAGTGGCAAGAAAGCTCCGGGGGAAGGAAACAGGACGCAGGGCTTGAAAGCGGACTTTGAGGGAGTCCGGGAAAAAACTTCCCCTGGATGATAGAGCCTTCCTGGCAGCCCCTTTGCTGGGCATGGGGGGGTTGTTGATTCCCTGGCTTGCACTCGGGGTGCGTGTTGTGCCCATGGGGGCACCCCAAAGTGGCAAGAAGTCTTCCAAGGGAAGAGAACAGGACGCCAGGCTTGAAAGGTGATGTTGAGGCAGCACGGGGGAAAAAGTGGCGAGCCGGGTTCCTCCCACGGAGGACAGTGCCTTCCCGGCAGCCCCTGCGCCAGGCCCGGGGCGTCGGGGAGTCCCTGGCTTGCACCCAGGGTGCGTGTCTCTCCCACGGGGTGCGCCCCAAAGCGGCAAGTAGGCCCCCGGGGGAAGGAGACAGCACTTCAGGTTTGAAGGGGGACATTGAGGCAGCCCGGGGAAAACAACATCAACGCTGGGGTTCTCCCACGGACGACAGTGCCTTCCTGGCAGCCCCTGCCCTGGGCCCGAGGGTTTCATGGAGTCCCTGGCTTGCACCCAGGATGCGTATCTCGCCCACGGGGGGCACCCCAAAGGGGCACGAAGACCTCCAGGGGAAGGGAACAGGACGCCAGGCTTGAAAGGTGATGTTGAGGCAGCACGGGGGAAGAAGTGGCGGGCCAGGCCCTCCCACGGACGACAGTGCCTTCCCGGCAGCCCCTGCGGAGGGCCCGGGGTGGTCGTGGAGTCTCTGGCTTGTACCCAGGGTGCGAGTCGCACCCACGACGGGCACCCCAAAGCGGCAAGATGTACCCTGGTGGAAGGGAACAGGATGTCAGGCTTGAAAGGGGATGTTGAGGCAGTCCGGGGGGGGGTGCGGGAAATCCCACGAAAAACAGTGCCTTCCCTGCAGTCTCTGTGCCGGGCCCGGGGTGGTCGTGGGATGTCCCTGGCTTGCACCCAGGGTGCATGTCTTTCAAGCGGGGCATCCTGTTACCTTTCTCTGGGGGAATTCTTGCCGCTATGGGGTGCCCCCTGAGGGCGAGACAAGCACCCTGGGTGCAAGACAGGGACTCCACGCTCCCCCTCCCATTCTGCCGCAGGGTCTGTCGGGAAGGCACTGTCATCCCTGGGAAGTTTTTCCACGGACTGCCTCAACGTCCTCTTCAAAGCCAGGCTTCCTGTTCCCATCACCCGGTGTCTTCTTGCCGCTTTGGGGTGCTCCTGTGGGCGAGACACGCACCCTGGGTGCAATCCAGGGAATCCTCGCCTGAGGCCTGAGTCTCTCTCGTGTCCTCGGGACGGGAGTTTACACGAAGTCGGTAGCAATGGGAATCCGGGTTCACAAGGACGTTTTCCTGGTAGCTGGCAAAGGCAATGTCCTTCCCTGGAAAAAGCAGCCCGTGCGTTCTGGAGGAGCTCTTGGCTGGCATCTGTGGGACCCTCTGCCCCTGCCCGCAACTTCCCCAGGCTTGGATGTTTGCGGCGGCGCCAGATGAGTGAATTGAATTACGTGGGCGTTCCTGGAGCAGGAAGATAACCAGGATGGCAGGGAACCTGGGCCTGTGCCTTTGGGGGTCTGGTCCTGGCCTGCCCCGGCCTGGCTAGAGCCGGGGACCTGGTGGAGCTGCAGCAAGGCGGAAGAGGTGGGATGCTGCTGCCTGGCGGTACTGCAGCGGTGGACCCCCACGAGGAGGTCCTGGGGTGCGATGGGGACTCAGGCAGCCGGAAAAGGGGTAGCAGAGTCAGGGGGTGGTTGGGAGGCAGAGCAACAAAAGGGGGAAAGAGGGAGAGAGCGGGAAGCCAAAAGCCCACAGCGTCCAGTAGTCCCACGCGGTCTCCCTCAAACTGAAACAAGCCCCACCCTGCGTAGCTTCACAGACCAGAGGAGAGCAGGCGTCTTCAGGGCGGTAAGGCCTTAGACAGCGGCAGTGATACCTGGCTGACACAAGAGCCGGGCCCGGCCACGCCCGCCTGGCTCCAGGCATCACCGCCACTCCAGGGCCGCGGGGCTCCGATCGGTCACCTCTGAGCCACTCGCCCGCTGCTGGGCTGCTCTCCCCCTCCACGCCCCAGCACTGTGGGTCTCCGCGCTGGACCTTCCGCCGGCCTCCAAGAGCCTCCCGCCATCGCTGGCGAGGCCATGCACCGGACCGCCGTGGTGGCACCCTGCTGTTGAGTGGGGACGCCAGAGGTTTCCATCCCCTGCCCAGACTTCGGGCTCTCTGGGTGGCCTCCATTCTTCCGACGCTCCAGGCCTTCCCCAGGCTCCTGAGCTCCCAAGCTTCCACCACATCGCGCCTGCTCAGGACAGTTTGTGCTCCCAGCCCTCAGGGCCCTGGGCCCACGGTCCTGGGATACCCTCCTGTCCTCCTCCTTGCCGCCCGAGGGATTGTTTTGGTTCCCTTGCCGCCCCACCTGCAAGGCCCCCTCTTTCCTCACCCACCCAGAGCTACCAGGGCTGCCCAGGGGTGAACAGCCGCCCTAGCCCTACGAGCCCTTTCTCTCACAATGTCACTAACAGCGTCGCTTGTCCCGACAAGGACATGGCCCGTGGCCAAGTGAGTGGGAGGAGCTGCTTTGCCCGGCGCTGCCACTAGAGCTGGCAGACTGATCCCAGGAGAGAGAGGCTGATGGACAGCCAGACACACCTCACCACCACCACGAGCAAACCCACACCCACAGACACACATGGGTGCATGCGCGCGGGCACACAGACACAGACACACACAGATACACAAAGATACAGCTTGAAGGAGAGCAAGGGAAAGAGGATGGAGAGATAGAAACTGAGGGAGAGAGACCACGATATAGAGAGAGACAGGAAGGAGAGAGAGAGAGTGACAGAAAGAGCATGAGATGGAGGGGAAATAAGAGAAATAGAGAGAGGGTGAGAGAGCTAGAGAGCCAGAGTGATAGAGCCTGGGAGAGGGAGCCCTCTGCTCTGGTAGACAGAGCTCCTTCCAGCAGGCTGGGGTAGGGTGGAGGGTGCTTGAGCCAGGCCAGAACAGGGGGGCAGGGCCGCCCATGCAAGAGGACCAACAGAACCCTGAGACGTATTTTTTCTTGGATTGGTTGGTTGCTTTGGGGGTGCTTTTATTATTATTATTATTATTACTATACTTTAAGTTTTAGGCATAAACTGGAAGAACAACAAACTAAGAGAAAAAAAAAAAACTATTCTTGGCATTTTCGCTCATTACCTAATTTCCAAGTGACCTGCATATTTCTGATTGCTCTCCTTTTCCCTTCCCATTTTCCCCTGTTAAGCCTTGTGCCACTGAGAGATGATACATCGGTTTTTCAGAAAATTAGCAGCAGCAACATATCCACTTATTGTAAGTTGCTTTAGTTTTGTTTGAGTTTTAAGATAAAGCCTATTTCCAGGGCATAATTTCTTTCCTGTGTTGTTTTACACTAACTGGGGGGGGGGGGGGGAGGAAAGAATAACCCTCCACAGAAAAAAAGTTGAAAAAGTTTTACCTTTAACAAATTCACAAATATTTTCCAAAGTGCATTTTATAAAGCCATACCCTTTAATGCTCCTTTAAAAGTATCAATATTTAAAATAAAATCTTAGACAATTATTTCAAAATAATTTGCATTTGCATTCAGGGAATGGTTGAGCTTCCAAATATAAAAAAATGACCCTTACCTATGTCAATGTTAAAACAAATATTTTGGGAAGAAAGTTGATTGATCTATACCTTGTCCAGTGCTTCAATATCTGCACCATTGAAAAGCAGTTTTTCTGCCAGTGAGGTGCTCTCACTATACACAGCATAATGGAGAGCAGTGTTGCCGTACATATCCTTAAGGTTTGGATTGGCGCTATGTTCCAGCAGAATAACAGCACAAGCCTCTTCCTGGCAATGGACAGCCTGTCCGTATTAGACCAAGAAATAGATTGTAAATTCCAAGAATTCAAAATACACATTCCACAGGTTTCACCAACTAGTTATATGTAAATGAGATCAATTTATTTTAATTCTATGTATGCAAATCAAATCCATGTCATGCTAAAAGAGTTGGCTCTAATATACCTGTATCAAAGGTGTTCTATTTTCTTTGTCACAGATATCAATCTGGCATTTTCTGTTAACCAGGAGAGTGACCACTTTCACATGGCCACTGGCACAGGCCAAATGTAGAGCAGTTCTATGAGAGTAAGAGGACTTTTCAGGAAACTGTAGTGCAACATCTCAAAACATACAATCATTCATGTAACTGTAAAAAATGAATAGCATGTTTTTCCTCTGCCTTCAAAACAAATACTTATTTTTTTTTTTTGAAGAAAGTACAATACTTACTAGCTCTGATTGCTCATTGCCTTAATGAAAACAGCAGCCTATTTGAATAGAAAGAGCTCAGTCTTTGGATTCAGTTCAATTAGGGTTTGAGTCCTACTTTAAACCCTGTCACTTACCAACTATTTCTTAGCCTTTCTGTGCCTCAACTTCCTCATTAATGAAGATGACAATAGTAGCTATCTCATAGGACACCATCGTGATGCTTAAATGAGAAGCTATGTATTTAGAATAGTTCCTACAACTCAATAATTGTAAGATTTTTGTTTTTGAGACAAGTCTCACTCTTTTGCCCAGGCTGGAGTGCAATGATGTAACTATAGCTCACTGCAGCCTGGAACTCCTGGGCTCAAGCGATCTTCCATCCCCAGCCTCCTGAGTAGCTGGGACTACAGATGTGCACCAGCATGCCCAGCTATTTAAAAATTTTTGTAGAGTAAGAATCTCACTTTGTTGCCCAGGATGGTCTCAAACTCCTGGCATCAAGCAATCCTCTCACCTCAGCCTCCCAAAGTTCTGGGATTACAGGTGTGAGTCACTGCACCCAGCCAGATATTATAATTGTTACTATTACTACTTAACAAAAACATTTTAATTAGGTAAAAGATACAATTACACCTACTTTGCAGGATGGCTTAAAGAGTAGGTCACATTTTAATACCTCTGACATTGGAATGCCACTTATATTATTATAACTATAATTGGTAGCACTTTAAAAATTATCTTATTGATATATAAAATAGCGGGGTATCACACAATCCATGAGACCTTACATTAAGTAGAATATGGTATACTCAGCAGGTCTAGGGCAGTTCTAGGCATATAACTGGCACTTAAATACATTTTAGTTCTTAAAGGTACTATGGGGAAAGAGCACTGAAATAACAATAATGCATTTTTTTAAAAAAATTAATTCCTTCATTTTCAAACAAATTGAAGCCAAAGGAAACTCATGATTCAAATGAATACACATGGCTCATTTTATTCAATACTTATAATACTTACAGAATATATGCAAATAACACTTTCCAATGATTAATATTAGTATTTAAGACTGATAAACTTTTCAAAGAGCAGTTAAAGGTTATCTTCTACTATTTTCTAAGTTCAGAAATGCTTTTGTTTGAAAGGTGGGAGATAAAGTTTCAAGGAGATTAAGTCCCAATATTCCTATATTAAATCTCTCAGCTTGTGCAGGCAGGGCAGGTAAACATGTAGTTTTTAAGGATAGAAGCGTCCTGAGAGATAGTAGAATATGTCTGCTACATAACAGGTACTCAGGTTATGTTTGATGAATAAATGGAATGAAAGAATGGATAAATACAGTTGGGGAGATCGATATTTTTAAATAAACTCCTATAAAGCAATATTTTTGCAATAGTATTTATATATTATTTTTATTTTTAAAGAATACAATTGAAATGAAATTATTAATCTATCATTGTTTGCATAAATTGAGTGAATATATAAGAAAACCATGTTCATAATAATATATACAGAAAATAAAATCTGGAAACAGATAAAAACATTCCCTTTTTACTTCTGAAGAGGCTAAAAGTTCAAAGAAGATAACAATACACAAAATAATGATAAAAATAGAAAGCGAGAAATTATTTTTAATATTGTAAGATTCATATTCCTCTCTTCCCAAGGATTATTCCTTTATTAATAAACTTTACTAGAAGCTTTGTACACGCTCACTGCAGCAATCACAGATAAGAAAAAGGAAAAGAACTTTACTTAAAATACAATTGCTCAGAAATTACAAATTTTATATTTTGTACATATTTTTTGCTAAAACAAGACCATAGTATATTTGTGTGTATGTATAATTTAACTGATTTTTTTTCCTCGCTAGCTATAACAAAATACATCTTCACACATCAATGTACTTCTGTATCTATTGCCACCTTCAACGGTCACATATTATTCCATCCTACGGATGCAACTGAAATTTATTTATAGGATCCATTCTATGGGTTCTTTTTAAAATAAGTGTTGCAAAAAATAAAGTGCATGTATCTTTATTTCCTAAGTGTGTTTTAGTATAATGGAATTGATGGGTAAAGGGCATACATATTTTTTAAATGTAGTACTTACCACCAAATTACCTATTTGAAAAGTAATCAGCAACTTAGACTTTAAGCAGGAGTGTAAAACATCCTCACAAATATTGTGGATAGAAAACTGTTTCATTCCTCTTTTATTTTAAATTCTTATACTAGAAATGTGAAGGACTTTTTCCTACGTACACAAGTAACTTGTAGATCTGGAAAAAAGTACTTTGCCCAGTTTTAGAGTTTTTGATGATTAGATTTGAAAGAATTCCCTGTAAAATGAAAATGTACTTTTCATCTAATGTGTATATATACATACAACTTTTCATCTAATGTGTATATACAACTGATATATATATTACAGATTATATCTGTAATAATATATATGGTATATGTATCAATAATATATATATCATACGATACATAATAAACAATATAGGCCGGGCACCGTAGCTCATGCCTGTAATCCCAGCACTTTGAGAGGCTGAGGCAGGCAGATCACTTGAGCTCAGGAGTTCGAGACCAGCCTGGCCAACATGGTGAAGCCCCTCTCTACTAAAAATACCAAAGTTAGCCAGGCATGCTGGCACCTGCCTGTAATCCCAGCTACTTGGGAGGCTGAGCGAAGAGAATTGCTTGAACCCGGGAGGCAGAGGTTGCAGTGAGCCAAGATTGTGCCATTGGACACCACCCTGGGCAAAGAAGTGAGACTCTGACTCAAAAAAAAAAAAAAAAAAAAAAAAAAAAAAAAAAAAATATATATATATATATATATATATATATATATATATATATATATAATGAATTCCCTATAAAATGAAAACATACATTTCATTTGAATATATATATAATATAGTTAATATTTTTCAAGTAAGTTCTCTTTTGTTGTTTTTTTTTTCTGAAACACAGGCAGTTTTAATTTTTAGTTTGCTAAATCAACCTTCAGAATGTCTGCTTATGAGGTCATTCTTAGGAAGGCTTTTGTCAACATAAAGTGTACCTGCAAAATAAGCGTTTGTGTTTTCTTCTGGTACTTTACTCATTTGCATATGTAAAAATTTCAATCTGTATTCCATCAGGAACTTTGTTTGTGACATAAAATTTCATTAGTTTTCTTCAAACAGCAGACTTTTTTTATTAATAATTCATCCTTTCCTACTCATCAATCCTTATGTATATCTTACATAATTTTAGTGTTTCTGGGTTGCCTATTCTGTTCCATGCGTTTATCTGTCTTTTCAGCTGTTAGTAAACAATTAATTGTAGAAATTAATAGCACATTTTGCTATCTAGAGGAGCAAGTGTTTTTTCACTCCATTATGAAATTTTTTAAAATGTCATCACAATAGCGAAAGACAGCAGGTGTCATACAAAAATCTTAAAACCTTGATATTTTCATTCGGTCTATGTAAAACTGATTAACACAGAAAGAGCTCACATGTTGGGAAAAATGTGCCTTCCCATTCAAGAACACAGAAGCCACCTCCCACTTCCAAGTTTCTCTCTAAGAACCTTCAGTAAAGAACCTACCTACACAGGGGGATACGGATGTAAAACGGACAGTTTTATCTGAGAACTTTTCGCCTACTGAAAATAACTCACGGTATTTTTGAGAGGGAAATGAGTTCTCTCATCAGGCACCTCCTATAATGTATATATACCATGTTTTAAACGTGTACGTTAAAAATAACAACACTGTATATGCTTAAATTTGTGAGTTAAATCACTCAAATTCTCCACCAACTGCTCCAGCCAGGGAATTATAAGGGATGGAAAACAGCTCAGGGTCCGTTTGGCTCCGCCGCTCAGAGGGTGCCCGGCGACCTCCAAGGCCCCCGTCCCAGGGGCTGCCGGAAAGCCGCGCCTGGGGACCCCCTCCCACCCCGGGCTGAGCCCCCGCTACCTTTGCTGCTTGTCCAGGGCGTCCAGGTCTCCGCTCCTGCGCGCCAGACAGCGCTCCACCTCCGTGGCGTCGCCCTTGACAGCCGCCTTGTGGATCTTCTGCAGTTCGGAGTGCCGGATTCGGTACCCGGAAGCCGTGTAGACGTGGTCTATGGAGTCCAGGACCATCTGGCCCCTGCGGCTCCCGAAGCCGAACAACTTCATGGTGGTGACTTCTCAGACCCCCAATCACCGGCTCTTGAGAGGGGGCAGCTCCCTGTCACCTTTTCACTACCACCCCCCGCCCCCGCCGACCCAGCCCCAAATCACCTATCCAACCCCAAATCCCCGATCCAACCCCCAATCCGAGATCCAACTCCCAATCCGCGATCCGATATCTATGATCTCCAAAATCCGCGATCCAGCCCGGTCCACTACAGCCTTCAGCAACGACACTCGCAGCCTCCGACCTCTCAGACCGAGTGAGCCTGGCAAAGCCGTTGGGCGCGCGCCTGCACCGCGGTGGCCGCCGGGCTCCCGGAAGTCGCTGGGAAGCGGCACGCGCTGGCAGGTGGGGGTGCAGCTGCGGGCAGGCGCCGCTGGGCTCGCCGGTTCTCCTGGGCTCGCCTGGGCAGCCCCAGAATCGCACGCGCTCAGCCAGCCCGGCCTGAGGAGGATGGCCTGTCTGGCCTTGCGGCCCGCCCTGCTTCTCCTCGGAAGGGAGATCGGGTGCTGGCAAGGGCACTTCGCGGCCACCAGAGTGTCCTTCAGGGCACCCCGATAGCGCCCCTAACCCGCCGCCAGCTGTTGGACCCGGGATGGCGCCCCTAACACCCTCCCCTCGCCGCTGCAGCGTAGAACCCAACAGCGCCCCCAACCCGTCCCCGCCTCAGACGTTGCAGCACCAGATAACTCCCCCAACCTGCCCCCTGCCGTGGGCCATGCAGCCACGGATTGGACCCGCAACCAACCCCCCTGCCGCGGGCAGCGACGCCCCAGAAAGCGCTGCAACCTGATCCCCGCCGTGAATAGTGCAGCCACGGATCCTTAAGGCCCCCAACCCGCTCCCCACGATGGGCAATGCAGTCCCAGATAGCGAAGAGCACCCCCAACCATACCCCAGCTGCGGGGTGTGATGCCCTGGATAGCGCACCCAACCCGCACCCCCCGTGGACGGCTTAGCCCCCGACAGCTCCCCTAACCCGTATGCCACTACCGAGAATATGGTCCCGATAGCGCACCAAACCTGACTCCCGCCACAGGCAGTGCAGCAGCTGATAGCTCCCCTAACTCGCTCCCACTGACCACAGTACAGCCCCCTAATGGTGCCCACAACCCATCACACCTGCCCACCCACCACTGGAGGGGTATCGCCCCCAAACTGTCCCTTGCCGCTGGCAGTGTAGCCAATAGCGCACCCAACGCCCCCCTCTATCATGAGCAGTCTGGCCCGCGATAGCGCCTGAAACCACCCCCTCCAATCACCTCCCTGTACCCCCCTTTCCCGCCCCACTCCACCTGCAGTGTATCACGGGATACTCCCCCTAACCTATCCCCTGCGGGGGGCACTGCAGCCCCAGATAGCGCCCCCAACAAGCCCCCCGCCGCAGGCGGTGCAGCCCCCATACCACCCCCCACCCCACTATGGGCAATGAAGCCAGACCAGTCAGCACCCAGACCAGTCCCCCCACCCCGGCGCCGCCGGCAGTGTAACCACAGTAGCGGCCCTAACCCGCCCCCTGTCGCGGGCAGTGTAGCACCCAATAGGGCCCCCAACCAGCCCTACTGCTGCTGGCAATACAGCCCAGGATAGTGCCCCCAACCTACCCCCCCCCCCGCTGCTGCGGGCAGCGCAGCCCGGGATAGCACACCTAAAGTAGTGACGCCCGGAATAACACCCCTAGCAGCCCCCGGCCGCGGGCAATGTAGCCCGGGATAGCGCATCTACCCCATCACCTTTCTACGCTCTGGCCGGCTGCAGTGTCCGCTGCTGCCACCCACAGCAGCGAGGCGAGCCAGCGAGGCCAGCCGCAGTCCCACAGACTCTAGCCTCCAGCCTGTGGTAGGTGCCTCCTCTTTCCCTTCCTGTATCCAGGCAAGGAACAGCTCTCGCTGCCAGTCGCCTGTCTCCATCACCACCACACACTATGCAGAGGCAAGCCCTGGTGCCACAGGATCCAGCCTCCAGCCCCCAGCGTGTGGCGGGGGACTCTGCTTTCGCCTTCTCTAAGGTGCGAACTGAGAGGCTGGGAACGCTGAGGTACAACAGCCTGCAATGGCGCAACTCCCCCTTAGCATGCTTTATATACTGAGGTTATGCAAGCCAGGTTCCTGGACTTTATGTTCTGATTGGATGAAAGAAAACCGCTAGGCCTGCTAGTTGGGGGCACTATCCCAGACTGTATTGCCGGCAGCAGTGAGGTGGGTTAAGGGTGCTATCCAGGGCTGCACTGCTCGGGGGTGCGGGTCGGGGGGGGGTTTGGGTTTAGGCACTATGGGGTGCTGCAATGCCCATGGTGCGGGAAGAGGGGGCAGTTTGGGTGTGCTGGGTGCGCTATCGGGGGGCTACACTGCTGGTGGCAGCGGGCAAGGTGGGTTGGGGGCCATATCAGGGGCTGCACTGATTGCTTTAGCTAGGATTTCCAGTACTATGTTACGTAACAGTGGTGACAGTGGGCATCCTTATCATGTTCCAGATCTTAGAGGAAAAGCTTTCCATTTTCCCCCATTCCATATGATTCTAGCTGTGAGTCTCTCTCATGTGGTTTTTATTATGTTGCAGTATGTTTCTTCTGTACCTGGTTTTTTGAGGACTTATAACATGAAGGAATGCTGAATTTCATCAAATGCTTTTTCAGTTTCAGTTGACATAATCATACTGTTTTGTCGTTTATTTGGTTGATATGATGTATCACATTGAGTGTTGAATGACCCTTGCATCCCAGGGATACATCCCACTTGATCCTGATGAATTATCTTTTTAATGTATTGCTGAATTTGATTTGCTGGTATTTTGTTGAGGATTTTTGCACCAATATTAGAGATACTGGCCTGTAGTTTCCTTCTTTGATGTCTTTGTCTGATTTTGGTATGAGGGTAATAATGGCCCCACAGAATAAGTTTGGAAGTATTCCCTGCTGTTTTTCAAAATAGTTTGAGTAGGATTGGTACTAGGTCTGTAAATGTGTGGTGTGAAGCCATCAGCAGTGAAGCCATCAGTTCCTGGATTTTCTTTACTGGGAGACTTTTTCTGATGGTTTCGATCTCATTACTTGTTACCAATCTGTTCTGGTCTTGGATGTTTTCACTGTTCAAACTAGGTAGGTTGTATGCGTCTAGGATTTCTACTAGGCTTTCCAATTTATTGGCATATAATAGCCAGTTAAGATCCTTTGAATTTCTGAAGTATCAGTTGTAATGTCTCCTATTTTATTTTTTGATTTTATTTATTTGAATCTTCTCTCTTTCTTCTTAGTCAGCCTGGCTAAAAGTTTGTCAGTTTTGTGTAGCTTTCCAGAAAACCAACTTTTTGTTTAATATTGTGTATTTTTTTAACTTCAATTTTATTTCTGCTATGATCTTTATTATTTCTTTTCTTATTTTGGGTTTAGTTTGTTCTTACTTTACTAGTTCTTTAAGATGTATGGTTTATTTGAAGTTTTTCTTCTGTTTGGATGGTAGGCACTTACAGCTATGAATCTCTTCCTTTGTACTGTTTTTGGCATATCATAAGTTTTGGTATATTGTGTCTTCATTACCATTTGTTTCATGAAATTTTTCAATTTCCATCTTAGTATCTTCATTGATACTAAGACTAGTCATTCATTCAGGAGCGTACTGTTTAACTTCCATGTGACTGTATGGTTTCCAAAATTACTCTTCTTATTGATACCTAGTTTTATTCTTTTGTAGTCAAAGAAGATGGCCATGGAGACAGCAGCGTGGTTGGAGTGGTAGCAGGCCGCCATCAGCAAGAGCTGCTCCCTGCCCAGCTGCTGGAGGCTAGAGCCTGCGGCCCAGTGGCTTGCCTCACTGTGGCTGGTGGTGGTGGTAACAGAGACTGCAGCATGACCAGAGTGGTAGGACAGGGGCTATCAGGGCTGCACTTTTCACAGTGTGGGGTGGGTTGGGGGTGCTATCTAGGGTGTCACTGCCTGCATTGGGGGTACTGGTTGGTAGCATTATATGGGGCTGCACTGCCCATGGTGGGGGGAGTGTTATGGGCGCTCTCTGGTGCTGCAGTGCCCATAGAGGAGAACAGGTTAGGGCACTATTGGGTATACGCTGCTGGTGGCGTTGGGGGGGGGGGTGGAGGTGGGGGGCGCTATTGAGGGCAGGATTAGCCATGGAGGGGGGCAAGTTGGGTACTGTTGGGGGCTGCACTGCTGGTGACGGTCAGCAGAGTTGGCAGTGACAGTGGTGGCATCCAAGGAAGGAGCGGTTCTCCTCTCCCTGGACTCCACACTCCAGAGGGCAACCTACTCTTGCTCATACTGGAGCGTGGCAGACACACAGTGTTTCTGTGGAAATCCTGAGCATGGCAGAGCCCCCATACCCACCGTGGTTCCTGGGCCCATGCACTCTGAGTCTGTGCCACAGAGACTGCCTGGCACCCCCCAGTATGGAGTAGCAGACACCACTGAGGACAGGGCCCTGTATGTGGAGGCATCCGGAACAGGAAGTGGCACCTGGGTGCAGAGGGTTGGCTGGGTCTGAGTTTCTGCTGCTCCTGCTTCCCGAGGAGTGCAGCCCAGGTGGGCCCAGCAGTTCCTGTGGAGTGAGGAGCCAGGCACTGTGGTGTCTCCAGCACCCACCCCAGGTCCCGGTTTCTGGCCAGCTTGGGCCAAAAGGAGAGGCTGGACTTTGAAGGGTGGCTGTGAGTGCCTTCACTGAAACTGGCCCCTGCCACCCAGTGGCTGGCATGACAAAGTGAGGCTCTGACGCTACCACCCCTTGCATCTTCCTCTAGGATTTTCTGGCTTTGCCGTCCCAGCTGCTCCGTGCCAGGAGTAGGAGGAGACACCTGGAGCCTGCAACGCCGCAGCTCACTTCTCTGTGGGCTCGTGGGGGCAATGCAGACTGCAGTGTGCTGGAGCGGTAGGAGGGCAGGTGGCTGCGGCCAGGGTTGGGGCAGGCCTACAGCGGTGGCCAGGCTGTGGCAGCGGCCAGGTGGTAGGAGCCTTGTAGGGAGGGCTGATGCATTCACAATGGGCCTGGCTATGCCCTGCCCGTGCTGTGGACCTGGCCCTGTACTGCCCTGCCCTGCCCTGGACCTGCCCTACCATTACCTGGACTGTCTCAGCCCTGCTCTGCTCTGGTCCCACCCTGGCCCTGTCTTGGCCCTTTGCTACCCTGTCCCTGCTCTGGTCCTGCCCTTGCACTGGCCCTTCCCTGGCTCAGGCCCTGGCTCCACCTCTGCCCTGGACCTTCCCTGAATCTGCGCTGACCCAGCTTTGGCTCTGGCCCTGCCTCCTGTCCTGATCCTGGCCCTGCCATGGCACTGGCCCTGCCAATGGTCATGGTCCTGGTCCTGTTCTGGCCCTGACCTGGCCTTGGACATGTCCTGGCCCTGATTTGTCCCGGCCCTGCCTTGGCCTGTCCCTGCCCTGGCCCCACCATGGCCCTGCCTGTTCTGCCCTCTCCTGGCACTGACCTTGCCCTGTCATGGCCCAGCGGTGCCACTGACCTGCCTTACCCTGCCCTGGTTGTGCCCTGGCCCTGCCTGGCACTGGCCGCTCCCTGGACCTGCCCTGACCCTGCCATGGCTTTTGCCCTGCCCTCACTATGGCCTGGCTCTGGTCCTGTCCTGGCCCAGCCTGGACCCTGGCCCTGGCCTGGACCCTGGTCCTGCCATATCCCTGACCCTGCCCTTATCCAGGCCCTGCCCCTGCCTGTGCCCTGGCCCTGGCCTGGAACCTCATCCTGCTAAGGACCTGCCCTGATTCTATCATGGCCCTGGCCCTGCTCTGCCTTGCTCCTGGCCCTGACCCAGACCCTTTCCTGGTTCTGTCCTGGCCCTGGCCTTTCCCTGGCCCTGAGCTGGCAGTAGTCTGCCCCTGGTCTTGGCACCAACCTGCCCTGCCGTGCTCTGGCTGTGTCATCACCCTGCCCTGGCCCTGCCCTCACCCTACTCTGGCTTTGACCCTGCCCGGGCCCTACCTTGGCTCTCACCCTAGTCTTGGCTACGGCCTGCTCTGGACCTGGCCCTAGCCCAGACCTGGCCCTGACCCTGGCCTTTGTCCTGCCATGGCCCTGGCCCTGGCCCTGGCCCTGAAGTGACTAGACCCTGTTTTGGCCTGTCCCTGCTCTGCCCCTACCATTGCCTTGCCCTGTTCTGCCTCATCCTGGCACTGACCCGGCCATGCCATTGCCCTGCCTTACCCTGCCTTGGCCGTGCCCTGGCTCGGTTCTGGCCCCGGCCCCGCCCTGGACATGCCCTGACACTGCCTCAGCTTTGGCACCAGCCTGGCTCTGCCTTGGCATCGGCCCTGCTCTCTCTATGGACCGGCTCTGGTCCTGTCCTGCACTGGCCATACCATGCCTTGCCCTGACTCAGCCCTGACTCAGCTCTGACTCAGCCCTGGCTCAGCTCTGGCCTTGGTGTTGCCCATGGTCCTGCCATGTTTCTTGCCCTGTCCCTATCCTGGCCCTGGCCCTGACCCTTACCCTGGTCTGGCCCTGCTCTTGCCCTAATGCAGCCCCTGGACCTATCCTGGCCCTGGCCCTGGCCCTTCCTGGCTTGAGACCTTACCCTGGTTCTGCCCTGGCCCTGACCCTGTCCTGACCCTGAAATACTGGCCCTACCCTGTCCTTGCACTGCTCTGGTCCTTGCCCTGATTCTGACCCTGTCACTATCCTAGCCCTAGCGCTGTTGCTGGTCTTACCATGGCCCAGACTCTGCCTTGGCCCTGCCCTGACCCTGTCCTGGACCCCGGCTGTGCCAAGAACCTGCACTGTCCTTGCCCTTCTTTTGCTCCTGCCCCGAACCTGGTCCTGCCCACGCCATGGCCATGGCCCTGTCCCTGCCCTGGCTGTTCCCTGGCCCTGTCCAGGTCTTGGCACTGGCCTGGCCCTGCCCTGCCTTGGCCCTATGCTTTCCTGGACCCATCCTGCCTGTCCTGGCCCTGCCTTGGTCCTAGCCTGGCTTTGACCCTGCCCTGGCCCTACCTTGGCCTTCACCCTAGCCTGGCCTGGGCCCTGTCTTGTACCTGGCTATAGCACAGACCTGGCTGTGGCCCTGGCCCTGCCATGGTCCTGTCCCAGACCCTGGCCCTGCCAGGTACCTATCCTGGCCCTGCTCTGGGCCTAGATTTGTCCTTGGTTTTTAGATGACCCTGACCCTGCCCCCTACCCTTGCCCTTTCCCTGGCACTGGCCTTGGACACTGGGACACGTCCGTGGTCCTAACCCTGGCCCTGCCCTGGAGCTGCCACTGTCTTGGCTCTGCCCTGGCCCTGGCCCTGCCCCCGCCATAGACCTGCCCTTGTTGGCCATGCCCTGCCTTCACCCTGTGCTACCCTGGGCCTGCTCCACCCTGCCCTGCCCTGGCACTGCCCTGCCTTTGGCCCTGCCCTGACCCCACCTTGGCCCTCGCACTGACCCTAGCATAGACCTGGTCCTCGTTCTGGCCTTGGCCCGGCATTGACCGCTGCTCTTGACCCTAGTCCTGCCATGGCCCTGGCCCTGCCAATGATCCTGACAGCCCCAGCCCTTGGCCGTGACCCTGAACTCGCCCTGCCCTGACCCTGGCTCTGAAGTGGATTTGAAGGTGTCTTGACCCTGATTTAACCTGGCTCTGCCTTGGCCCATCCCTGTCCTGGCCCTACCATGGCTCTGCTCCTCCTCTGGCTCTGCCCTGGTCTTTTGCTGGGCCTGACGCAGACCTTGGCCCTGCCTCAGCCTTGTCCTAGACCTGGCCATGGCCATGCTCCTACCCCGGACTGGCCCTGGCCCTGGCATGGACTTTGGCCCTGGCCTTCGCTGCTTAAGGCCATACCTGGCCTAGCCCTGGGCCTGACCCTGTCCTGGCCCTGATTTGCCCTGGCCCTACCCTGGCATGCTATTCTGGCCCTAGCCCTGACCCTGTCCCTGTCCCTGTCTTCGCCCTAGCCCTGTTGCTGGTCCTGCCATGGCCCTGGTCCTGACATTGCCCTTTCCTGGTCCTGGCCCTGGCCCTGCCCCGGCCCTGCCCTGGCCCTGGTCTGAACTCTGGCCCTGGAATGGACCTGACTTGTCCCTGCCCAGACCCTGGCTCTGGCCCTACCTCTGCCCTGGGCATGCCCTTGCCCTGGTCCTTGTCCTGTCCCAGCCGCGTCCCTGGCCCTGCCCTGCCTGTGCCCTGTTCTATCCAGGGCTGGCCCTGCCATGGCCTGGTCTTGCCATTGCCCTGCCCTAGCCTGGCCTGCTTGTGCCCTAGATCTGCCCCGGCCTTTGCCCCTGTCTTGGTTCTAGTCTTGACTCAGCCCTGGACCTTCCCTGACCTTGCCTCAGCCCTGGCACTACCCTGGCCTTGCCTTGGCGTTTGCCCTGCCCTCTCTATGGCCTGGTTGTGGTACTGCCCTGCTCTGCTCTTGTTCTGTCCTGGCACAGCCCTGGTCCTGGCCCTGCCCCTGGTCCTGCCACATCCCTGGCCCTGGTCCTGCCCTCATGCAGGCCTGCTCCTGCCCCTGCCCTGGCTTTGGCCTGAACCTTGGCCATACAGTGACCCTGCCATTACCCTTCCCTGGCCCTGGCCTGGAATCTGGCCCTGCCAAGGACTCACCCTGGCTCTGTCATGGCCCTAGCCCTTTCCTGGACTTGGATGTGTCCTGTCCTTTATTTGCCCCAGCCCTTCCCTGGATCTTCCCTACCCCTTCTCTGTTCTACAGGGGTAGGCCAGGGTTAGGACCAGGCCAGGGCAGGGTCAGGACCAGTGGAGGGCCATGGTAAGGCCTGAATATGGGAAGGACCAGGGCAGCAGCAGGGCCAGGGAAGGGTCAGGGCCAGGGATATGGTAGGACTAGGGGCAGGGCCAGCGCTAAGGCTAAGCCAGGGCAGGGCCAGGGCAGAGCAGGAGAGATTACATTAGGATATTAGTTAAAATTTTTAGATTTTTAAGATAACTATACTAGTAATAATATTATCTATACTATGTTGTTTGTAATAGTAATAATATTTGCAGTAGTTAATAATCACTAAATTTTAACCAATACTTTCTTTGCTTCTGGTACTGTTCTATGACTATAACTATATAAATATGTATATATGTGAGGCATTAATTCTCACAATAACTCTGTGTGCTAGTTACTTATAGTATCCCCATTTTCCAAATGTAGGAAACAGGCATAAAGAGGTTAAATACTTGGACTGGCGCAGTGGCTCACACCTGTAATCCCAGCACTTTGGGAGGCCAAGGCTGGCAGATGGCTTGAGCTCAGGAGTTCGGGACCAGCCTGGGCAACATTGTGAAACCCTGTCTCTACTAAAAATGCACAAAAGTAGTTGATTTGTTTAAGTTCCTGGTAGGATTCTGGTTTTGAAACATTGGTCAAATACACAGGGCATGGATAGGGCAGGGCCAGGGACAAGGTCAGGCCAGGGAGGGGCCAGGGCCAAGGCAGGGCCAGAGCTGGACTTGGAGGTGTCCTGACCTGATTTGCCCTGCCCCAATGTTGGCCTGGCCCTGCTCTGGCACTTCCTGCCATGCCCTGTCCCTGGCCTGAGCATTGGCCCTGGCCCTGTGCTGCTTCTGGCCCTGCCCTGGAGTTGACCAAGCGCTGCCATGGCCCAGTCCTGCATTGCCCTGCCCTCCTCTGCCCTGGTACTGCCATGTTCCAATATAATTTTATTTAGAAAAGCTGACTCGGAGGCCGGGTGCATAGGCTCACACCTGTAATCCCAGCACTTTTGGAGGCCGACGTGGGTGGATCACCTGAGGTCAGGAGTTTGAACCCGGTCAAGGAGTTTGAGACCACCGTGGCCAACATGGTGAAACCCCGTCTCTACTAAAAATACAAAAATTAGCAGGACGTGGTGGCACATGGCTGTAATCCCAGCTACTCGGGAGGCTGAGGCAGAAGAATATTGCAAAACACCTCTATGCACATAAACTAGAAAATCTAGAAGAAATTAATACATTCCTGGACACATACACCCTCTTAAGACTGAACCAGGAAGAAATTGAATCCCCGAACAGACTGATAATGAGCTCTGAAACTGAGGCAGTAATACATAGCCTACCAGCCAAAAAAAACTCAGGACCAGACATTCACAGCTGAATTTTACCAGATGTACCAAGAAGAGCTGGTACCATTCCTATTGAAACTATTAAAAAAAAATTGAGATGAGACGTCTCCCTATTTTATGAGGCAAGCAGCATCCTGATACCAAAACCTGGCAGATATAAGAAAAAAAGAAAACTTCAGGCAAATATTCTTGATGAACATCAATACAAAAATCCTCAACAAAATACTGGCAAACCAAATTCAGCAGCACATCAAAAAGCTTATGCGCCAAGATCTAGTAGGGTTTATTCCTGGGATACAAGCCTGGTGCAACATACACAAATCAATAAATGTGATTAATCACGTAAGCCGAACTAAAGACAAAAGACCCACGATTATCTCAATAGATGCAGAGAAGGCTTTTGATAAAATTCAACATCGATTTACGGTAAAAATTCTCAATAAACTAGGTATTGAAGGAACATACCTCAAAATAGTAAGAGCCACATATGACAAACGCACAGCCAACATCATACTGAATGGGCAAAAGCTGGAAGCATTCCCTTGGAAAACCGGCACAAGAAAAGGTCGTCCTTCCTCACCACTCCTATTCAACATAGTACTGGAAGTTCTGGCCAGGGCAATCAGGCAAGAGAAAGAAATAAAGGGCATCCAAATAGGAAAAGAGAAAGATAAACTATCTCTGTTTGCAGATGACATGACCCTATATCTAGAAAACCCATTATCACAGCCTAAAAGCTTTTTTTTTTTGTTTGTATGTTTTTGTTTGAGGTAGAGTCTCACTCTGTTGCCCAGGCTGGAGTGCAATGGTGTGATCTCGGCTCACTGCAACCTCCGCCTCCCAGGTTCAAGCAATTCTCCTGCCTCAGCCTCCCAAAAGCTTCTTAAGGAGATAAACAACTTCAACAATGTCTCAGGATACAAAATCAATGTGCAAAAATCACTAGCATTTGGCCAGGCACGATGGCTCATGCCTGTAATCCCAGCACTTTGGGAGGCCAAGGCAGGTGGATCACCTGAGGTCAGGAGTTCAAGATCAGCCTGGCCAACATGGAAAGACCCTGTCTCCAGTAAAAATACAAAAAATTAGCCAGGCGTGGTGATAAAGAAAATGTAGACAGATAAAGAAAATGTGGTACATATACACCATGGAATATTATGCAGCCGTAACAAAAGAATGAGATCATGTCCTTTGCTAGGACATGGACGGAGCTGGAGGTCATTATCGTTAGCAAACTAAGAGGGGCAGAAAATCAAATACTGCATGTTCTCGCTTACAGGTGGAGTAAATGATGAGAACACAGGGACATGGACACATACAGGGCAAACACAGACACTAGGATCTACATGAGGGTGGAGGGTGGGAGGAGGGAGAGTATCAGGAAAAATAGCTAATGAGTACAAGGCTTAATACGTGGGTGACAAATAATCCGTACAACAAAAGTCTATCTATGTCACAGACACAGATTTATCTATGAACAAACGTGCACACATACCCTGAATTAAAAATAAAAGTTAAAAAAAATAGAATGGATTCCTGACTTTGAAAAGATTATAGTCTAAAACAGAGGAAAATAATTAAGTAATAGCAATTCAACCTTCTAATAACAAGTTTTTAAAAAGACAAAACACATCAAGATTTCACATAAAAACTGCATGTATTTAAATTTACAATTTGATAAGTTTTGAAATATATTCATGAATCCATAAAACTGTCTCCATAATCAACATAACACACTCGTATTCCCAAAGTTTCCACCTGTTTCTTTTTAAGCCTTTCCTCCCACCCTTTCAAACCCCATCTATCCCACAGGCAACCAATGATCTGATTTCTGATGCTACAGATTACTTCCTATTTTCCAAAATGTTATATAAATGCAATTATGAAGTAGGTATTCTGGCATCTTTCAGTCAGCATAATAATTTTTAGATTTATCCATGTTGTAGCATATGGAGTTCATTTATTTTTATTAATAAGCAATATTTCACTGTATGGGTATGCTTCAATTTATTTATTTACTTGATGAATATTTGTGTTATTTTAAGTTTTTAGCTATTACAAATAAAACAATTAACATTTATGAACTCATTTTTTGTACAGAAATATGCTTCCAGGTATTTTGGATAACTACTTAGAAATACAATGGCTAGGTTATATGATTCACTTTTAAGAATTCCCACAATTTTCCAAGTGTTTGTACCATTTCAGAAACCCACCAGCAGTATATGAGAGTTGTAGTTGCTCTAGCTGGTCAGGGTTTCTAATTTTAGCCATTTTTTTAGTAGGAGTATACTGGTAGCTTCTTTTAATTTGCATTTCTCTAATTAATAAAAATGCCAAGCAAATTTACATGTGCTTATTTGCCATCTATAGATCTTTTTTGGTGAAGTGTCTAAGCAAATCTTCTGCCCATTTTAAATTGGCTTATTGTGTTCTTATGAGCTGTAAAAGTTCTTCATATATACTAGATATAGATCCTTGTTTGGATATACATTTTGCAAATGTTTTTCCAGTCTGTGAAATGCTTTTCATTTTCTTGTCAATGTCATTATGTGTCTATAGCTGAAAACTTTATTCTGTTCCAATGAACTATCATCTATTTTTACACTAGGATCTTGATTCGCTGTAGTTTTATAATAAATCTTGAAATCATGAAGTATAAGCCCCCAAAATTGGTCTTCTCTTTCATTTATTTTGGCTACTTACGCACAGTTTCTTTTCATGCAAATTTTAGAATCTGTGAATTTCTACCAAAGAAAAAGCCTGAATGAATTTTTATTGAAATTGCATTAAATAGGTAGACATATTTTTAAGTTGGGCTTTGTGGTTTTCTCTTGTTGTTTTTTTCTTAGTGTTGAGGTCTAAGAGTTATTTGTATACTTTGGATACAAGTTCTGTATCAGTTATGTGATGTAAAAACATTTTCTGTTAGTCTGTGTCTTGATTCTCTTAACAGTCACTTTTGCAAAACAGAATTTTTTTAACTTTTGATAAAGTATAATTTATCAATTTTTTCCCACGGATCATGCTTTTTGTGCATGGGAAAAAAAAGAGCTTTGCCAAACCCAAGGTCATGTAGACTTTCTCCTATGTTTTCTCCTAAAGGTTTGTTTGGTTGTTGAAGTTTTGAAGCAGGGTCTCACTCTGTCACCCATGCTAGAGTGCAGTGGTGCCATGATAGCTCACTGCAGCCTCAAACTCCTTGGCTCAAGTAATCTTCCCACCTTAGCCTCGCAAGCGATTGGGACTACAGATGTGGGTCACATCTGGCTATTATTTTTTATTTTTTTGTGGAGGCAGAGTCTCCATATGTTGCTTAGGCTGGTCTTAAGTTCCTGGTCTCAAGTGATCCTCTCATCTTGGCTTCTCAAAGCATTGGGATTGCAGGCATGAGCCACTGCACCTACCCTCTAAAAGTTTTACATTACTGCATTTTATATTTAGACTACTGATCATATTTTGAGTTATTTTATGAAACATTTAAGTCTCTGTTGAAATCTTTTCTCTCTCTCTCTCTTTGCATTGCATTTGGACATCCAATTGTTTAGCAGCATTTGTTGAAAAATGAACTGCCTTTGTTCCTTTGTCAAATATCCATTGTCTGTATTTGTATGGGTCTGTTTCTGGGCACTCTATCACATTCCATTGATCTATGAGTCTATTTCTTGAAAACACCACTCTACTTGATAGTCGTACAACTTTATAGTAAAATGTGAAATGTCAGTCCTCCAACTTTGAAACTGACTTTAAACTTCAATTTCACAATATCCATAAAATAGGATTTTGCTAGAATTTTGATTGGTATTATGATCAATTCCTGTTAATGTCAGGGGTTGCCTTAATTGATTTTTAAATACAATACTAGTTTTGCATAACTGGAATAAATACCACTTGGTCCTGGTAAATAATTGTACATTGTTGGATTTGGTTTGCTGAGGATTTTTCCATCTATGATCTTGAGATAAATTGGTCTGTGGTTTTCTTTTCTTGTAATGTCTCTATCTGGTTTTGGTTTTACAGTAATGCTTGTCTCATAGCAATGAGGTAAGAGATGCTCCTTCTGCTTCTATTCTCTTGAGGAGATTGAAGAGAATTCATATTAATTCTTCCTTAAACTTTTGGTAAAATTCGCCAGTGAAACCATCTGGGCCTGGTGTTTTCTTTCTTGAATTACAGTTCAATTTCTCTAATAGACACAGACTTACTCAGATTATATAATTCTCCCTGTGGGATTTTGGGTAGTCGTGTCTTTTAATGAATTTGTATATTCTATTCATCACATTTGTGGGCATGGCGTTTTTCATAATATCCCTTTATCATCCTTTTGATGTCTATGGAATCAACAAGAACGACCCCTCTTTTATTTCTAACATTAGTAATTTGTATGTTCTCTCTTTTTCTGTTTGTGTTTGTTTTGGTTTAGTTAATCTGGCTAGAATTTAACCAAGTTTATTTATCTTTTCAACGAGCCAACATTTGGTTTTGTTGATTTACTCCAATATTTTCTGTTTTTAATTTCACTGATATCTGCTCTAATTACTATAAATTCTTTTCTTCTGCTTCTTTTAGGCCTAAATTTCTTTCCTCTCTCTGGTTTCCTCAAGTAAAAGTTAGACATGATCTGTAAATTATTTAAATAGGGTTGTAAAAGTCTGCAAGTATAATAGTGGATTTGTCTATTTCTCTTTGCATTCCATACACTTTTGCTTCACATATTTTGATTCATTGTTATTTGGCACAAACATATTAAGGATTGTTATGTCTCCTTAGATAATTGACTCCTTTATAATTATATTATCCTTTTTATTCTTAACAAATTTCTTTGTTCTGAAGTCTGCTTTGTCTGAAATTAATACAGCTACTCCAGCCTTCTTCTGATTAGTGCTAGCAGAATATATCTTTCTCCACCCCTTTACTTTTAATGTATCTGTGTATTTATATTTAAAGCATATTTATTATAGGCAACATATAGTTGGATTTAATTTTTAGATCCACTCTGACAATTTCTATTTTGTAATGCATGTGTTTAGACCTCCACATTTACAGTTATTATTTTTATAGAGTTGGTTTATCTACCATGTCTGTAACTGTTTTCTATTTGTTATGCTTTTTCTTTTTTTCTCCTCCTTTTTGTCTGCCTTTTCTGGTTTTAACTGATCACATTATATGAGTCCATTTTTCTCTCCTCTGTTAGCATATCAAATATACACATACACACACCACAATTTGTGATTGCCATGGCGTTTGCTATATACCTATAAAAAGCATTTAAGTTCACTCCCAAATAACATTATAGAGCTTCATACAAAGGATGGAGGGAAGGAATTGGGAATAGGCTATTATAAGGTAATTGCACTTATAATAGTGCATTCCCAATCCTTCCCTCCATCCTTTACTGTTATATAAATAAGTCAAAAATAATGTCTGTGTACTGCTCCCCAGATTGCTTATTTCTTCACTGCATGCTGAGACCCACTAGCTGAAAAGCCCAACAGGGCCAAACTCAAATTTTTACATATCCAGTTATTTTTAAAATAGCTCAAACAAGCAGATTTTTAGTCACTGAGAGGCTGCTTGCTTTACATATCCTCACATTTGCTGGCCATTGACAAAAGCAAGCCTGTGGTTATAAGACCCCAAGCTGCTACGCACTTTGGAGTTTTCTGACCTAGAGAATCCCTTCCTTGTTGCTGAGTGACATCACCTAGGTAGTAAGTTTTCTCTCCATTTCCCTCTCCTCAAAATGTTTCCTTTTTCCTCTTCCCTTCTGAGTAGCCAACCCCATGCTGTAATCTCTGGACAGATTCCTGCTATAAGAGGCTTCCCCAAAAATCAAACCCGTTGAAGTGTTACCCATTAAAGCCTGTGTGTGCTATTGCCCTCATGGTAATATCAGCTTCCTAGATCATCCCCCATATCAGTTGAATCCCTTATATTTTGCATTGCTGTCATTCATTCCACTTACCCATATTCTATAATCACCTAATATATTGTTATTATTATTACTTTGAACAGCTATGTATTAGATCAATTAAGAATTTTAAAAATAAAAGATTTTATTTTACCTTTATTTATTCCTTCTTAGATGCTCTTTTCTTTATGTAAATCCAAGTTTCTAATATATATCATTTTCCTTCTCTCTGAAGAACTTCTTTTCATATTTCTTGCAGAAAAGTTCTGTTGGCAATGAATTTCCTCAGCTTTTTGTTCATCTGATAAAGACTTTATTTCTTCTTCACTTTTGAAGGATAATTTGGTTGAATATGGAATTCTATATTGGTGTGTCTCTCTTTCAGTAATTTAAATATTTTACTCTCTTCTCTTTTTTCTTGCATGATTTCTGAAAAGAAGTCTGATATAATTCTTATCTTTCTTCTTCTATAGTTAAGGTGCACACCTGGCTGCTTTTAAGATTTTCCTTTTTTCTTTAGTTTTCTGCAGTTTAATAGATATACTTAGGTGTAAAATTGGGGGGTTTTATCCTGGTTTGTGCTTTCTAAGCTAAACTGTCTACTGACATATCTTCAAGCTCACTTATTCTTTCTTTGGCCACGTACAGTTTACTGATAATCCCACCAAAAGTATGACTATTACAGTGCCTTTTTTAAAATTTTCTAACATTTTCTTTTGATTTGTTCTTAGTATTTTTAGCTGTCTCTATTTACAGTACTCATGTGTTCTCTATTTTATCCATTATAGTTCTTAACATATTAATGAGAGTTATTTTAAATTCTGTCTGATATCACTTCTTGGCCTTTTGGCTTAGATCAAGTGAAATTCTGTCTGATAATTCCAAAATCCATGCCATATCTGAATCTGGATGTGATGCTTAATTTGTCTTTTCACACTATGTTTTTGCTTGCTTTTTTAGCACACTTCATAATTTTTTGGTTGAAAACCATTTAGTATGTATCATGTAATACGATCCGAGGTAAATATGCCTTTAGTGACAGGTCTTATGCTTATCTGGCTAGGAGATAGGCCTTGTCTAATGTTTGCTATAGCTGCAGATGCCAGAGCCTTCAATTTCTTCTCGTACTCTTGTAAATTGGCTTCTATTTTGTCTTTGGGTTTCCCTAAAAGTGCTCTTAAATAAGAGTCTGTGCCTTGCAGTTCTATTCCACTCCACTCCACTCTGCTCCGCTCCGCTCCACTCCACTCCACTCTCCACTCCACTCCACTCCACTCTATTCTATTCCATTTTATTGAAATGGAGTTTCACTCTTGTTGCCCAGGCTGGAGTGCAATGGCATGATTTCGGCTCACTGCAAACTCTGCCACCTGGGTTCAAGTGATTCTCCTGCCTCAGCCTCCTGAGTGCTGGGATTACAGGCTTGAGCCACCATGCCTGGATCATCCATTGTTATTTTATATGTGAGGCTTGTTGCGATAGTAAGGTATGGAGAAGGGGAAGCAGTCCGTCATCCTATGATTAAGTCTCAGGCTTTAAGTGGGCCTGTGTCACTAGTGTGATCTTCACAAGTGTTTCTCAGCTTCCCCCTTCTCCCTTATAGAGAAACGCTTACAAAAGGCTGCAGTTGTGTAATTTCTATCCCCCCACCTCAGGTAACATCCTGGTAAAGTCTTTTCTCTTGCTGAGCAGACATTTATAACAGAGTATTCTGGCCATATTTCCAAAGTTTTACTTATTTCCTCCCCTGCCAGAAACATCAAGGTTTTTCACAGCTCTTCATTATGAGTAACTCCAAGTAAAATCCACAAAAATGCAGGCTCTCCAGCTGTTTCTCACTCTCAGACTAGGCCATATTCAGCCTCCAGGGATTCATCAAAGTTAGTATTTTTAGTGTCCCTATCAGTTTAGGGCTCCAGTAGCTTCTGTTCCATTTAGGCTGGGACTCCTTGTGTTTACCTGTATTCACCTCCAGATTTCTGGTGGCAGTTTACCCTGAGCCCTCAATTATCTCACAGGTCCAAGAAAATTCATTGATTTTCGGTTTGTTCAGCTTTTTCTTGTTGAAAGGTCAGGAATAAAAGTTTCCAACCTCTTTATGTGTCAAAGGTGAAAATAAAAGTCCCCTCAATTTATTTTTGAATGTTAAAACAATCTTGCATTTCAGGGATAAAGCCCATTTATTTATGATGCATTATCATTTTTATATATTACAGGATTGGATTTGTGAATTTTTTCATTTATGTTCATAGCAGATATTAGTTTGTAGTTTCCTTTTCTTGTAATGTTTCCTCTTCTCTTGATATCATGGTAATATTGGCTTCACAGAATTAGTTGAAAAGTATGATCTCTTCAATTTCTTGAAGAGTTTATATGGAATCAGTACTATTTCCTCCTGAAATGTTTTGTGGAATTCATCAATGAAGCCATCTCAGTCTGAAGTTTTCTTTGTAGGAAGTGCTTAGCTATAAGTTCAATTACTTTCATATATATAAGACTATCCAAGTAATCTATTTCTTCATGAATATGCTTTGATAGCTTATATCTTTCATTAAAGTCCATTTCATTAAAGTTGTTGAACTTATTGGCATGAAGTTGTTCACAATCATTCATTATTATTGTAGAATCTTTACAAATATTAACCTTTCTTTCTTTATACTGGTAAATTTGTTCCCTCTCTCACTCCTTCTCTCTCTCTTTCTCTGTCTCTCTCTCATTTGTTTATTTCCTGATATGTCTGGCTGGAGATTTATCATTATATCAAAATTCACAAGGAACCAGCTTTTGGTTTCATTGATTTTTATCTACTACTCTATTTTTTGCTTACTTTTATTTTCTTTGATTTCTACTCTTTTATTTCCTTCTTTTGCATACATTGAGTTTAATTTTCTCTTTTTTTATCTATTATCATTAGGTGGAAGTGGAAGCCATTGATTTGAGACCTTTCTCCTTTTCTATACAGGTAGTTAGTGCCATAAATTTCTGTTTCGCTTTAGCTGTCTTGTAAACATTTTAATATAATACGTTGTCATTTTCTTTCAGTTCAAAATACTTTGTAAGTCCTCTTTTGATTTCTTATTTGAACTAGGAGATTTAAAAGCATTTAATATCATTTCCAAATAGCTTATATCACACAGACCTCTTTGATACTGATTTCTAATTTAATTCCTTTGTAGTCGGAGAATAGAGTTTGTATGATTTGAATTAAATTTATTGAGACTTGTTTTATGACCCAGAACAAGGTTTACCTAGGTAAATTTTTCGAGTACACTGGAAAAAATGTAAAGAAATAATTATTTGGCTGTCTTTTGTGGAATGTTCTATAATTTGTAATTAGATCTAATTGGTTGATGGTATTGTTTAAGCCTTCTGGCATCCTTAATAATTTTCTACTTGTTCTATCAATCATTGAAAGATGAGTGTTGTAATATTTTACTGTAATTGTGAATTTGCCTGTTTCTCCTTGTCATGCTACCAGATTTTGTTTCATGTGTTTTCAAGTTTTATTATTAGGTGCACATACATTTAGAATTATTATGTCTACTTAATGAATTGAACACATTGTCTATGAAAATTCCCTCTTTATCCTCAGTAATATTGTTTTCTCTGAAATCTACTTTGCCTGGTATTAATGTAGCCACCCAAGATTCTTTTTTATTAAAGTTAGCATGACCTATATCTATCAATCTTTTTTCTTTTAACCCATTTCTGTTTTAATATTTAAAGTTAGCTCCTTTTTTTTGAGATAGAGTTTCACTCCTGTTGCCCAAGCTGGAGTGCAATGGCACTATCTTGGCTCACTGCAACCTTCACTTCCCGGGTTCAAGCGATTCTCCTGCCTCAGCCTGCCGAGTAGCTGGAATTACAGGCATGTGCCACCCAGCTAATTTTTTGTATTTTTTTTTGGTAGAAACAGGGTTTCACCATGTTAAACAGGCTGGTCTCAAACTCCTGACCTCAGGTGATCTGCCCGCCTCGGCCTCCCAAAGTGATGGGATTACAGGCATGAGCCACCACGCCCGGCCTAAAGTTAGCTTCTTACTGGTAACATGTATTTGGGTCTTACTTTTTTGTCCAACCTAAAAATCCTTACCTTTTGCTTGGGTTGTGTTGTTTAGGCAATTTATTTAATGTAATTATTATGATGATGAGGTTTAAATCTACCAACTTGCTATGTTGTTTTTTTTTCCATTTATTTGTTTTCCTTTTTTCTCTTTTTTTTTTTTTTGCCTTTTTTTTCTCTGCCTTTTTGGTTTAAGGGCTATAACTGTTCTTTCGGTTTTTGTTTGAGTCATTGCTTTAAGGTTTATAATACAAAATTTTAATTTATTATAGTCTATTCTCAAGTAATACACCACTTTGCATACAGCAGTGTACTTTAATTTCTCCCTTCCTAGAATTTTGGTTATGGTGATGTCAAAAAACAAAATTTCAAAAATTGATTTTTGAAGATCTAATTGACTTTTATTAGCTATTCATGAACCAGGCAGCATCTAGTATATAAATAGACATAAGCCCCACTGGGAATGGCAGAACAGTAGATTTTTGTGAAATCGCTTGAGCAGGAACAAGGAAACAATATAGTAGAAGCAGCAGATTGGTTAACATCAAGTTACTTCAGATTACTTTCCTAGTGTGGGTTAAGGCAGAGGGGGCTTCCTTATCATGCCGGTTCAGGTTGCCTGGGTCCCTTTTGATTGGTTGCATGAATCTTTTGCTTTTTGGAAAACTGGCCTGTTTTTAAGTTCAATTTGTACGGGTGCCTAGCACCAGTAACTCCATTCTGGTTTGGTCTGGTCTGTTGGAGCTTGGTGCAGGAGCTCAATCCAAAACAATGGCCTCCCACAAATTTTATTTATAGTTGAAATACATTTTATTTTTACATATAAGCACCACAATACAATCTTATTGGTTTGCTTTAAATAGTCAACTACTTAATAAGGATGTTTTAAAATAATTTTTTAAAATTTTATATTTACTCACATATTTAGCATTTCTAGTGCTGTTCATTTCTTACTGTGAATCCAGCTTCCATTTGATATCATTTTCCTTCTGCCTGGAGAACTTCCTTTACTATTTCTTGTAGTGTATATTGACTGGGGATAAATTCTTTTAGTTTTTTTTTTAATGTATGTAAACCTTTTATTTTATCTTCCTATCTCAAATATATTTTTGCTAGTTGTAGAATTCCAAGATAATCATTGCCTCCTCCGAATACTTTAAAAACTTTGATCCTTTGTCTCCTGGTTTGCTTTGTTTCTGACAAGAAGCCTCTTTTCATTCTTACCTGAATTCTTTTATACCCACTGTGCCTTTCTTATCTGGCTGCTTTTAAGATATTATCTTTATCATTTATTTTAAACAATTTGATCATAATGTGTCTTCATGTAATTTTCTTCAAATGTCTTGTGCTTGGAGAGTTTTGAACTTCTTGCATCTGTAGGCTTATAGTTTTCATCAAATTTGGAAAATTGCAGACTATTATTTCTTCTAATGTTTTTTTTTCCTGTCTTTTGGGATTTCAATTATACATAGAGTAAGCCGTCTGAAGTTATCCCACCACTCACCAGCATGTCATTCTCTGGGTCTCTCTTTCATTTTTGATACATTCTATCATTATGTCTTCAAGATTACTAATCTAACCTTCTGCAGTGCATAATCTGATAGTCCCAGATAGTATATTTTTATTTCTAGAAATTGTATTTAGATCTTTTTAAAAACATTTATATCTCTGCTTAACATACTAAACTTTTATCCTCTTGGCCATTTAAATGCCTTTACTACTAATTCTATTATCTGTGTCATTTCTGGGTCTGTTTTATTAATTTTTTTCTTCATTATGAATTGTAATTTCTTATTTGTATTCCTGTTAATTTTTTAATTAAATGACACACATTGTGAATTTTACTTTTTCAGTGCTGTATCTTTTAATTCCTATAAATATTCTTAAACTTTATTACAGGATACAGTTAAATTACTTGGAAGTATTTATTTTCCTTTCCAATCTTGCTTTTTAAGCTTTGTTTTGCTGTAACTAGAACTTAAATACTCTGTTCAATGCCTCGAGAATTATGAGATTTTTCTTTCTGGCCATGAGGCACATGAAATATTCCTGATCTTATGCAAGCTGCCAGGATTTTTTCCCTCTGCTTGCTTGTCTGATACAGCTTTGTTCTTGGCCTCAAGTAGTTTCCTCACATACACGTGTTGATCACTACTCAAATAATGACTGAACAGGTGCCCTCTGCAGATTGATGGGACTCTCTCCATGTATCTATTTTCTCTTCCTTACCCGGTCTTTTTAAAGTATAAGTACTTTGGCCTCCTAGGAATCCCGGCTTCATTTTCTTATTCAGGAATACTGTTGGGTTCTGCCTATATTTTTCTTTCTTAATTTGCAGCCTGGAAACTCTCTCCAAGAAGTAAGTGAAGGATAATTTTAGAACTGACACTATTTGTTTCTGCTCTCAGTAGCCATTATCCTGGATGCTTAATATCCAATGCAGAAATGTGGGCCCTCTTACTCCACTTTTGCCCAACACATTTCTCTTTATCTCTTTATTCATAAAGTAAGGATCAGGCTGTTATAAAATCTATCTCATTTTTTAAATGTTCTACAACCTGGTAATTGATCAGGACTTGGCTTGGAGAGAGATTTTCCCATCTCACCTTCATTAGAATCCTACCATTACTCTTTGATATGGACAATTAATCTATTCCCCATCTCATTTAAATAACCAGCTAAAAGCAGTTCTGAGATAAGAACTACGTCATAGCACTGCCCTACTACTTCTACTCCTCTCCCAACGTCCTAACATTCCAACAAGAGACTGTCCATGAGGTCCTCTCATATAAGAATTCTAGCACTTTCTCCTCCACCTTGTGTAGGAAACCTTCCTTAGTCCTGGGTAAGCCACCTGGATGATGCGTGATTTATATTTAAAGATGTAAAGCAATTAGTTCAACCATTGAGAAAAGCAGTATGATGATTCCTCAGAGAGCTAAAAGCAGAGCTGTCACTCGACCCAGCAATCCCATTACTGAGTATCTACCCAGAAAAATATAAATCATTATACCATAAAGACACATGCACACAGAATGCATTCCAGCACTATTCACAATAGCAAAGACATGGAATCAACATACACGCCCATCAGGGACAGACTGGGTAAAGAAAATGTGGTACATATATACCATAGAATACTATGAAGCTATCAAAGAGAACAAGATTATGTCTTTTGCAGGAACATGGATGGAGCTGGAGGCTATTTTCCTTAACAAACTAACATAGGAACGGAAAACTAAATGCTGCATGTTCTCACTTATAAGTGGGGGCTAAATGATAAGAAGTTATGAACACAAAGAAGGAAACAACAGACACTGGGGTCTACTTGATGGGGGAGGGTGGGAGGAGGGAGAGGAGCAGAAATGGTAACTATTTGGTACTGGGCTTAATACCAGAGTGATGAAATAATCTGTACAACAAACCCCTGTGACACGAGTTTACCTACATAACAAACCTTCACATGTAACCCTGAACCTAAAATAAAAGTTAAAAAATAAATAAGTAAAGTTGTAGAGCCAGTGCTAGTAGATTATCCATTGACCGAGGATGTAGAATGATGCTAAGGGAAATTTAATCTGTTAACATCTCTCTTACATGAGCTGCTGCTTGGAAAACAGTAAATCAAATGTAAAGAGATTCTTTGCAATTGTGTAAATAGCCTTATTTTATTTATGTAGTGATGTGATTAACAAGCGCATGCTTTGCAACTAGGTGGCTACTTTTGTTTTCTTTAGTATTCATTAACATAAAGAGAGGCTGAAACCAAAAGTATAGCAGAATGTTTTTTCACTTCAAGAATGACTTCCAAGCAAAATACATTAATTGATTTTACCATTGAGTCTGACCTCATGTAGTATCATGAAAAAATTAACATCCAGACTTGAAAAAATGTTGAAAACCAAGGAACTACGTTTTAATTTTTCTAATTTAAAAAGAAGATAACTAAGGAAGACATCAGAGAAAAAGATTAAGCAAACTTCACTCTAGAGGAGTCATAAGCCTCATAGGTGGTCATTACGCAGGGTTTCAGAACATTTTGGGGTCCCGGTAATCATGTCATTGCTGGATTTGTATGGTCCACATTTTTCCCAAGAGAATGCTTGCTCCTCATTTGCTTCATCTGTTTTCAAATAGGCACATCCTCGGTGCTAATAAAGATACATTTCTGATTTTAGAAGTTGCTATTTGCATTCAAATCTGGATCCTACTGTCCAAGTTTCACCTACACTTAACACTTTGCTTTCTAGGAGATAAAATGCTATCTGATTTCACTGCTTAACTATACGCTCTTTGGAAACAGCTGCTTTTCCTCACATACATCTCTGCTGCTTGCAGTGCCTACCAAGTGCTTTGCACATAGCTGAATTATTAGTATCCAAATGATTTTATTATGTCAAGTTTGAAATTACTTGGCTTTAGCTTCAATTTTTGCTAATTTTTAAATATATGTGTTTGTGTGTTTTAATAGCAAAGTAGCATGTCTGTGTGTGTGTGTGTGTACTCAATAAATAAGCAGATGAAGAGTGTGTCACATATTTTCAATTTGATCCTATAGATTCACTTTCTACCTATCTCCAAAATGTTCTCCACCTGGGAGGGCTGCCTGTTTGGGTTACATCACCAGGTTTCTCCTATGCCTCTCTGGCTTCTGTGTGGGTTTGGCTAATGGGGCACATCAGCAGGAGATAGGAGAAAGATTCCAGGCACCCACATGTGGAAAACTGAGGTACAAATTTTGTATGTGGGGGAGTAGAGAAGGTCTTATGGGTGCTATGAGGAAGAAGAAAACCCCTTACTGATATTCTTTAGAATGCCCTACTTCATCACTAAATATTACTGCAATATCTTGTGAAAATTTCAAAGCTAGTAACAGAGAGATTTTCTGCCTGAAGCCAGCATCAGGATAGATGTAAGACAGACCAGTCAAGCAATGAAAAAGTGCCAATTTTCCTTCTATTCTGGGTATCCTACCGTGATGAGCTTAAGTTCCAGGAAGGAAACTGAAGGAGACTCTTTCTCTTACCAAGTTTTGTTGGAGTGGTTTAATACACTTGTTAAAGAAGCACTGTCCAACATTAAATATACCAACCAAATACTTTCTCAAAACTAATCTATGTGTCATAATTGCATACTGCAGAGACATTTATTTTCATTGTCAATCAAATAAAAATTTACTTCTTAGGTTACTTTTAGAGATTGCATAATAAAAAGATTCTTGAGAGCCCAACAGAGTACATATAACAACATGGAATAAAAACATTAAGGTCAAGGAAGACCGTACCAACAACTCAGAAAAAAAACTAACCTAAATTAATTCAAGTATTTTCTTCTCTAAGACAAATAAAAATATGGGAGAGGAGCAGGAGCAATCAGAAACAGAAGTTTTGTGATGATGGTAACAAGGAGAATAGGTGAAGGTCTTATGAATTGGTGGAGGACCCTTAATCCCCGAGACCCATGAGTCTGGATTAGGGGCAAAAGACAAGCCTAGAGATGCCCTACATCATTTCTTGCTGTGGAGAAGCAGAGAAAATCTGGATACCAGATACAAGTATCTGGAGAACCACCTCATCAGGACACCCACACACACACACAAACATGGAAGGAAACAGCCAATCATAATTGGGCATTCCCCATGGCTCTCATTTTAGACAGGACCAATTATGACCATCTAGTTTAGTCTCTAATGCCAACTTGGAATAGTTGTTAATGGCTACCTGGAAGGGGGACTTGATACCAGAAAGCCTGTCCAGGTCAGTGGGAAGAGTGTCATTCTGGATTAGGGACACCTGCCAAGAATAAAAAGCAGGTCTTTGGTGGTGTTTTCCTTTGATAAACATGATACAATATTTCAATATATTAACTGCCAGGGAAAGGGGAAGGATTTTATTTAAATGTGTGGATATGTCATCACTTTGCTGTTGAAATTCATTTACATAAGGCAGAGTTTTTGAGAAATCTCTCCAAGCAGTGGCTCTTCTCTTGCAGTCCCTGTCCCACCAGGAGCTCTCTATGTGCCCACCTAGTAGGCATCTTTGCTCTTACATATTATTCCTTTCCCAGACTTGTGGTTTTGACACCTAAATGGAATGAAAGACGTAAAAGGAAGAGAATGCGACTGCAAGGATGAGAAAGGAAGAAAGAACGTGTGCATTACACATGAATATAAGATAAATGCTTTCACCTAATATCTCATTTGATTATTTCCATTATATTTATGCAATATTATAGTGTTTTTCACTTCAAAAATCACAAAATTAAAGATCAGATAACTTATCTATGTTTCCCAAAATCAACAGGGTTGACAAATGAGAGCTCACGGACTAGAACTCATTTGTTGTGTTATTTTTCCCCTAATATTCCACAGCAAACATTTTTTCTCCTGTATTATATTGCCACATTTTTTACACTCAATATGACCTCCTTCTCTTTCTCTCTTACTTTCATTCCTCATTTCACCCAAGCTCCACTTTTGCAAATTAAGGTGACGTGAGAAAATGCTGGGCAAGCTTCAGATTCAAATTAAGACTGATATGATTTGGCTCTGTGTCCCCACCCAAATCTCATCTTGAATTGTACTTCCATAGTTCCCACGTGTTGTGGGAGATAACTGAATCACCGGGGCGACTTCCCGCATACTGTTCTCGTGGTAGTGAATCAGTCTCACAAAATCTGATGGTTTTATAAGGGGTTTCCACTTTTGCTTCTCTCTCATTCTCTCTTGCCTCTGCCATGTGAGAAGTGCCTTTTGCCTTCTGCCGTGATTGTGAGGCCTCCCCAGCATGTGAAACTGTGAATCCATTCAACCTATTTTTCTTCCCAGTCTCGGGTATGTCTTTATTAGCAGCATGAAAAAAGACTAATACAAAGACTTAGCTTGTAATTCAAGAGTGTACTATCTTAGTCCCTTTATTCTTTCATCCTGATGGGAAACATTAATGTTCAGATTCCATACAAGTATGTCTGAAGTATTGCAAAGCAGTATGAAAAGACATTATGTGGCAATCCAACCAGATTCAATAATTAATAAAAATGGGGGCTCTATTTATAAAAGCAGAATATTTAAAGTGGGATAAAGAGTAAGTTCTACCTTCTTCCCTACAGGTCTGGCCATGCCTGAGAATGATGCTGTGTTAAGAATCTCTCTTTAAGATGAAAAGAGACAACTTAGCATCTAGTGAAAAATGACCAGGTAAGTTAAGACTTGGAAGCCATGTTATATATGAGAAAAATAATATAATAATAATAAATAGCCTGGGATTTTTAAGCTATAAGAGAAATGTCATGAAAATTAAAAATAAGTATCTTAAAGTATGTAAAAGGACCTAATGTGGGAGAGGGAATCGACTTGTTATGTTAAACCAAAGGATATACCATGAAATAAGGGGGTGAGAACACAAACATACTAAGGTGTCTCAGAGGTCTAAAGATCTTTCATCAAGTGGAGAGCTCCCTGTCCCCACAGACAGTCAAGCAGAGACTAAACTAGCATTCAACCCTTCTATTGCAGAAGCGAATTTAAGCATCAGAAGGTAGCTGCACTAGATAACCGGTAGATGTTTCTTTCAACACTGAGCTTCTAGGGCTCTTTACTGCCCTTACTACCTTTATGATATGTTGTGGCAGGAATTCTTCCCAGCATAGGGTTGGAAAAATTGCTTAAAGTATTTATAGCCACTGCCAATTACTTAGGAGCATCCTGCACACAGTACTTGCCCAATAATTTTTAAGTCAAAATGCTAAATTTAATTTATGCCACAATAACAGTTCCCTGCATGAGGCGCAAATGTTCTATATAGTGTTCTATATAGAATATAGTACATAAACTTTCAGGGAAAAAAATCACTTAGTTACATGACAGCAGAATGAGCTGTCTAATGGGACTCTCTTTAGCTGAGCTGTGACCACCTGCCAGTCCTAGGTGAAAATGTGCTCTTATTCACAAAAAGACCACAAACCTAGTGAGTTTCTCAGCATGCCAAGAACCTGGTAAATTAGTTCTGAATATTGAGGACTTGCATTTCCTTCATTTGCCTATCACTTAAACTTTCTTCTGTCACACTGTAAAACTAGGGAAAAAATAGACTTTCTCCAGTATCTCAGTTCCCACTGGGCTGAGATCAGGAGAAAAGTAAATAGCAAGGTGAGGGGGAATGATACTTAAGACAGAACTCTGAATGTAGCAGGAGGAGGAAAAACCAGTTCTTCCCAATTTAAAAATTTTTTAACGTGTAATTTCCTTCTTTTTACTTGCAGGCAGTTTTCGGAAGGTGCACATTTACCTTCCAGGGTAAATGTAAAGCTTGAAGCTGCAGCTCTGCACTGAAGCTACTGTTATTGTGGCATAAATTAAATAAGAGGAAAATGCAGATTCATTTGCTTTTCTCCTGGAATAAGACCCCAGTGCTCCTCCAAGTTTATATAAAAGGCTGAGGAATCTGTGGTACAAATACTTTAATTAGCTGACAGCATGTGCGATGAATTACATTTGATTTCTGTCTAAGATGCTTGTATAATAAAGGATTTAATTCATTTTTTACAGTGTAATGAATGGATAGACGAGGATATCTTAGAAATTTGTTCATTTAAAGCAATAATTGCAATATTGTACGCAAAGTGGAATGACATGAAGAACATTGTAGATAAAGTATGTAGGAGCCTTCAGATTCTGTGGATTCTCTGTACCCTTGCCCTCCTGCCTGGGTATGAAGCTGACTCCATCTAAAAGCTCGAGAACTTCTGGCCCCACCTTTGGCCCTTGCCATCTTTTGCCAGCAAGAATGTAACAGACTCTTAATTGACCTTTCTGCTCATTAAATGCTTATTCAATGAGTGAGTACATGAAAATAGATTTCCTTCTATTACTTCAACAGGATTAGAGTAAAAGTAATGTTTTACCAAATATTCAAGTGAGACAGGTGTAAACAAATCACATACTAACGTGTGGCAAATGTTTGCAAGATAAAATGCCACTAAGAATTAAATTGCTGAGTAAGAGACTTGGATATAATTATTTAATATAATCACATGTGTTTAACATTTCACTCAATTGTAGCTATCATCCAAAATGCTTCTTTGCCCTACCTATATGCTGGTTTAGAGAAACTGACCATTTAGCTATAAATATTCAAGGAGGAGGAAGGTGCCTTGCACTACCAGATCTGACACCAGCTCCTAGCCTCACAAACACCATTATGCATAGACACAGCCTGGGGATCCTGTCAAAATGGAGATTCTGAGTCCATAATTCTGGTGCAGTATTTGGGACTGTGCGAATCTATCAAACTCCCTGGTAATGTTGATGCTGCTGGTCCTTGGATCTTTCAGTGGCAAGGATTGCAAGCACTAAATTTAACTCCGTGCAGTGTAAGGTGGCTTTCAGGAAGCTGAACACCAAAGTATTTATTGTCATGAATATAACTATACTGAAAGTTTCTTTCATCCTATGTGAGCATCTAAGTGGATTTAAGTTAATTTGTATACTCATTATTTGATGAACAAGTATTTTTTAATGATTAAACTAAATTATAAATATTGCAGGCACGGATTTTTTCCTCATAAAAGCTTCAGAAATTTTCACAGAATCCCTTATCCCAACACCCTTATCACAACACACATATCCTTCATCCAAAGAAAAGACCACCAATCATCAGCCTGAAACTTGGCATTCTCTGCAGGCCCTTTTACATAGTTTACACAGGCTGGAGATAATGGCAATGTCTGAATAAGTCTGCAGTTGAAAAACATGTGCACAAGCATTAATGCAATGTTTATGGAGCATGTACTATGTGCTCAGGAGTATGTCACAGAGCACTGTGCTGGGAAGCTCACATTATGTGTTAATTCTCATAACAGGTTTCTGCAGAGGTGGGTACTAATTGTCCCACACTTCCCAGGATTTAAATGCAGGGCCTGCCATTTCTATTTCTTCTGTTTTCCTATCATTGATTTTAAAATAAAATGTATAGAATAATAGCTCATTTTAGACAGATGGAGAGATATAGAAAGGAACTGTTAACTGCAATTCAGTGTTTGTATTTACTTTGAGACTTGTGAAGAAATCATTGAAACTGCAGGAATGGAGAACAGGTTGCTGGATGGGATGTCTCTAGAAACACTGGTTTTAATTTTTTTTTTTTTTTAAGACTGAGTTTCGCTCTTATTGCCCAGGCTGGAGTGCAATGGTGCAATCTCGGCTCACTGCAACCTCCACCTCCCAGGTCCAAGCAATTCTCCTGCCTCAACCTCCCAAATAGCTGGGATTATGGGTGCCCACCACTGCGCCCAGCTAATTTTTAGTATTTTTAGTACAGCCGCGGTTTCATCATGTTGGCCAGGCTGGTCTTGCACTCCTGACCTCAAGTGATCTGCCCGCCTTGGCCTCCCAAAGTGCTGGGATTACAGGCATGAGCCACCGCACCCAGCCTAATTTTTTAAAAAAGAATTTAAGGCCCCAAAGTATATAGTTTTTCCCCTTTTATCTCCTTTTGGGTTTCAGGAAATTGTGAGCACCAGCTGTGGAGAGGCAGTAGGGGTAGTCACTCCAAACTCTGATCTCCTCTAGGCAGTTCTGTGAGAGATTTCAGTGTGGGATCAGACCTGGAGAAAGTTTAGCAGTAGAGGGTGGATCTGCGCAGGGTTGGGACAGATCTCCATGCTGCTAAGAATTTTCAGTTTTATCTTTTCTAAGCCTGACCAAGAGAAATCTGATTTTCAGAGTTTGTGCAATTTTAATCTATTTTAGCCACTTCCCTATTTTGTAACATACGATAAGAAGGAATTTAACCAAAACCCTTACGTTTTCCTAGAGCAATTATATTAGAAGGTAAATATTTATTCTTAGCAAGGTAAAAACAATACAAATAATAACTTCTCTTCTGTCCTTGAATAGACCTTCAGTTGGTGGCATCAAAACTCAAAACAAGGGATGTGACCCAAATGAAGCTTAAGTCTCCTCTACACCTTCCGTCTTTGTGCTTAACACATGATGCTGAATTCAACTACTTATTCATGTGCTCTAGATTGCAAGTTCCTTCATGGTAGGGACCATGACTGCTTCATCTCTTTTTCTAATGACATATGAAATAGAAGCAATTAGCTTATTGACCAGTTTGAGTCTCCAGATCTCCTCATTTTTCACCAAAGAACCAGAAAACTGAAGCAACTCCCATCTGGGTACAAATCAAGGAAATTATTTCTGTGAGGGGAGGAACAAACCCTGGCTGAACCATTTCTCTTCCTCTAAAATGGGGGCAGAATTAAACCTTGTAGTCAGACAGACCCCAATTTGCACAGGACATCCTCAAATGTCTCCAAAATTCACAGGTGCTGGTGAGAGCGTCCCCAGTGACTATGGGCTGATGCCTCCATAATGATCCTGAGACAGGAGACACTCAGGCTTTGTGGGGTGCAAATATTATAGAAAATGGTTCTGCTCTGGTGGAGCGACAGATCCCGAATCTAGCTGTAATATCCCGTCCCTGTCCAGCTAAGTCTGAGGTAAGGGGAAGAACAAAAATACTCTACTCCACTAACAGTTTACAAGGAGGCACAGTTGTGATTATGGCTCTGGTTATTTTGTAGCTCTGACCTCCCACTGCTAAGGTGCTTGTTTAACTTACAGGATTCTGTTGACACCAGAAGCCTCTCACAGAGCTGCAGCAGGTCACTGGACAAGATCTGGAAAACTCAAAGGGCTCCACTCTGAAACTGATGCTTAAGATGTCTATGTTGACCTCTTATGATGCAGAAAATGTCTTCTGTGAGTTTTCTGTATGTCTTCAACCCAAAGTCTGGCCCTGTCTTGTGAATCCTAGGCAGAGGCCAGCTTTTATGTGCAGATTCTAGGTGGGATCAATGTGCCTCTGCATTCTTGGGGGTTACAGCAAGCAGAGTAAAACCAGAGGAAAGATCTTCTCATGGAGGCTCCTTCAACACCTTTTCTTCTCTCAAATCCCAGGACATAAATTCAAAATCTGGAGCTGCACATTTAGGTCTTGAAGGGCTGATGAGCGGTGGCACATGTGTGGGCATTTGGGCAAGGGGAGGTGGGAGGGAGTTGAACTTTTCAGGTTTAATTAATGCACATGTGTGATCCTAATTGGGTTTATGTGCCCCATGATCTCTGAATCAGTGTCAGATGTGAAGATGCCAGGAGCACTAACGGAGGTGGAATACTTGACTGCTATCCTGAAAAGTTATTTTTGTAAAAATCTACTCTCCCTGCTCTAGAAGGGACTGTAGATTCCAAAGAGAGACCATTCTGTTTGAAGATTTGGGGGGCACTTTGCTGCACAATTGTGGGTTGGGACTGGAATCCTGAGAAAGAAAGTTCTCTCTAAAGTGAAGCCTGTTGGGCACCTTGTGTATAACATGTAGTAATGCTGGACAGTGTGGAAAACATAACTGAAAGCAAACTCATTTCTGACCCTAAAAAACTCTCCACCAGCCAGGCGCGGTGGCTCACGCCTGTAATCCCAGCACTTTGGGAGGCCGAGACGGGCGGATCACGAGGTCAGGAGATCGAGACCATCCTGGAGAACACGGTGAAACCCCGTCTCTACTAAAAATACAAAAAAACAATTAGCCGGGCGTGGTGGTGGGCGCCTGTAGTCCCAGCTACTCGGGAGGCTGAGCCAGGAGAATGGCATGAACGTGGGAGGCAGAGCTTGCAGTGAGCCGAGATCACACCACTGCACTCCAGCCTGGGCGACAGAGCGAGAGTCTCTCTCTCAAAAAAAAAAAAAACAAAAAAACAAACAACAACTCTCCACCATAACAGAACAGCAAGAAAACTGTTTTGTTATATAATTAAACTAAAATGTGATGTGCATCACAGGCAATATACTAAGAGATTGCAAACAGAGAAAGGTCAACATAATTAGTACTCAACTGTACCATTTGTCATACACAGCTTATTATAATTTGGGCTGTCATCTGGGTTTTCTAATTGGTAATGTTTAAAGGAAAAATAAACTTCCCTCATCTTCATGACAGGAGGTAGTGTTGCAATGTGGAGTTAGACACCTGCTGAAGGCAGCCTTCTACTCTCCTACAGAAACTGTGGGATAGGGTGTATAAACTTGCTAATTACATTTCAAAGCAATAGTTCCCAGGTCCTAGATTAAGACAATTCTGAGTCAAACACATACACACACACACACACACACACACACACACACACACACACAACCAAATGACCTATTTAACTGATAAAAATGATTTACATATATTTCAAAGAAGTAGAGAAAGGTTTTCAAACTAAATGCTTTAAGAAAAGAAAGAAGAGCAAAAATTCTTCCCTCATTTTAAAGAGAAAGCATTAAACCTTTTCTTTCTAATTTGTATTTGCTCCTACAATAGCCGGGTCTAAAGGCATGGTCTTGAACTCATTAACATCTGACTTCTAGTAGGCACTGGATTCAGGCACTGGAGGGATGGCCTTGGGCACACTGTGTACACGTGAAAGAGGATTTGTGGGGAAGAAAAAAGCAGAAAAGAGAAAGATGCTATCAAGAACTATGGGTGGGGATGCAGGGCAGAATTGGTTAAGGAACTGGTTTGTGCTACAGATACAGGCTCAGGCAGCGCTATGTTCTGACTTATTCCTGTGTTCACACAATCAGAAGAGATTATGATCAGGTAGTCCAAGAAACCTGGGTTGGTGAAAAAAACAGGTTCCCGATAGAGATTCATTGTCTACAGTTTAGATAAGCCAGGAGTCTTCTAGGCACCTGTGTATGTTCTCGGCAGAAATCTCTAGGAGGAAAGCTGTTGTGAGCACAATTCCTGAGGGTAAAACTTTGTCGTGGGAGGAATGTAGCCAGATCAATTTTTAGTGGTTATGTTCAGGAGTGGGTTAGAAGCATGTAGGGGCTGGCAGCAGGGTCAGGGGAGGGAATAGGTTCTCAGAGCTCCTTCACTCTAAGCTCTCGTTCCATCTCACAGTAGGAGGAGACCTGGAATTACAGGACAACGCACAGGGTGACGACAAGCCTGTGTGCAGAACAAAGCCTCACTTCCCTCAGACACCTGGAGTCTCCTTGTAGACCAGGCCCCAGTGATGTCTTTCTTCTGACACAAAACGTAAGGAGTTTGCTGAACACCAACCAATTATCCAACACCAACTAGCTGTCCAACACCTCAATTCCAACACCGCCCGGAGTCAGCATAGATCCCACAAGTTCAGGCTAAGTCCCATAACACTGTCCCCACTGCCGATGCCAGTCACATGCCTCTGGATACCTATCTTTATTTCTCAACTACTTCCTACAAATCAAGGGCTTCCACATTCCCCTCCTCAAGCTCAATAATTTGATAGAACTATTCACAGAACTCAGCAAAGCACTGTACTTACATATACCAGTTTATTATTGAAGATACAGCTCAGGAACAGCCACATGGCAGAGATGCATAGGGCAAGAAAAAGTGGTGGTGAAAGCTGGGGCAGGTAGGTAATTCTGCTAAATAGCTGTGACAAAAAATTCCTCATGCTTTTTGTTCTCCGAAATCAGCTTAACGAAAAGAGACACCCTTCCCATTGTGACTTCAATAATACTCTCTCTTCTTTTTTTCTAAACCTACCACAGAGTCAGACACGGACCACACATTTCCATCTTTTTCTCATATACAATTGGCTGAACAATTTCATCTTCGATGGTAAAAAAAAAAAAAAAAAAAAAGCCTATTTGTTCAGATCCCTGAACTTTGACCTATTCTCAGCCTGATTCAACATTCAATCTCTCTTTATTAACCTCCTAAGAAAAAGCTGACTTCAGGGTTGAACGCTCTCTGATTTAGAATCTGATTTTGCCACCCTTCATTCTGCCCACCCTCTCTCACCTTCCTTCTAATCTGATTTGCTCTTTCCAACTTTTTTTAAAAGCCCTTTTCTGCCTATCCTTTGAGATCCAATTTACAGTTAATTAAAAAAACCGAAGTTGAAATAAGTGAGCAAATCTATACAGGGGGACAAACTCAGGGAGTGGCAGTGCTTTCTGGAACAGGGACATCTGACTCAAGTGTCAAATCAGGCCACCTTATCCCTTGGGACTTTCTCTCACCCCCATACTCCTCACTGAAGTGCTCAATGCCCACCCTCCCAGGAGACACTGCACTGTGCCCCACTCCGCTTTTTGCTTTGCAGGTTCTTGCACTGCCTCCCTGGGGTGGGTTTTTCTTGTCCTTCAGGTTAGTTTCTCTCCCTTCGCAAATATAAGACAATTCAGAAGACAGGAATAGTCTATCTTTTTCTCTGAATACCAGCATCTGATTGGCTGACAAGCAATGTGTTTCCATGGAATGCAAACTGGGGTTGGGGGAAAAAAAAAAAAAAAAATCTTAAAAATCCCAAGGGATTCTTTTTTTACAGGAAGGGTAAGCCTGGATATTTCTCTCACCCCCAGGGCATTCAGCTGCTCCTTTGAGAAGCTGTACTCCCATCCCTCATTGTGTCCTCTGGAAGATTACCAAAGGGCTGATATTCACCAGAACTCCCAAAAGACATGGCTCTGGTTTGTATCTTGGGCCATCTCAAGACAGTTCTAAAACTCAGGACTAGAAAAAGGCCCGAATGTGGCTAAGGAAACATTGCCCCATAAAGTTTCCCAAGGAAAACCTCAATCCCAAGATGTCCTAATAAGGGCGTTTGTGCTAAGGGAGGATACAAGGAGAAACAGCAGAAAGATTTTTTACAGCTGAGTGCCAGGGGATTATTTTCTGCTTTTTTCTCATGTGAAATATTTGTAAGTAGAAAACAAGTATTTTACAAATTGCCATCCACTGCTCTGTGAAAAAGTGATTAATTAAAATACTGTTTCTGAAATGTGCAATAAAGGACAAAAATAGTTGATAATGTATGGGAGGGGAGAAGTTGCCTTTGGGGAATGTCAGCAAGAAACCGGAAATTTAAGATTTTACTTCAAGCCAGGTTAGGCTGGCAGAACAGAGTAGTGGATGTGAGACCCTGCTTGCCACACATTTGGAAAATGCAGGCGAAAACCAGTGTCTTTGATTAAAGTTAAAATAATTACATAGCAGTCAATTAGATTGAAGTGGCTCTAGTGGTCTAGGCCTCTATGTAAAAAAAGAAACCTAACTCAAATGCATTTTTTCTAAGTTACTACCTTAGGAGGAAACGAAATTCAAGCTTAAACAACTACAAACCTCCAATTAATCCCTGATTACATAACCAGGAAATTTCCACCCAGACACTCCAAATAAAGCGACTACATAACTGTACCCAATTATTTAATTGTCTTTGCTTCCTCACACACCTTATACAAGCCTTTCTTTCAAGACCTTCTAGTAGCCCCCAAACCACAAACCATTGCTGAGCGCTGTCCCATTAATTAATCACTGTTTACTCATATAAGCTGTCTATGTTTTAATGGTGCCTCAGTCTAATTCTGAACAGGGTAAGGTAGGGACGGGGGACCCCACGGACCACAGCTCCTTCCACGCAGGAACCCTGCACACCGAGTCGGCGTCTTTCCGATGACTTTCGCCTCATCACCTCACAACCTGGGGAAGATGCAGGGCTGCGGGCGCAGAGCTGCGCAAAGAGGGCTACAGGCTGGGGCCAAAGCCGCCGTGCAGGGACAGGACAGGACGCCCGGAGTCCCTGCACCGGAGGGGACTGAGGGCTGAGCTGCAGAGGACTCGACTCGCAGACTAGGTCCCGTCACCGCCATGTCCAGCCGGTTCCAAGGAGTCCCCTCCCCAGTCTCGGGACGCCCTGCCCCCCACACTCACCATTTCTCGGCTTCAGGGGTGTCCTGGAGTCTTAGCTATAAATCATTCAATGCCAGCAGGTCACAGAGCGACGGAGGGAGTGGCAGAATCACCGAAGTCTCCCGGAGCAGAGGACACAAGGCAATGAAGCCCTAACCCCGCTCTCTGGCTGAAGTGAGACAAAGGCCGCGCCAGATTCCGGAAGCCGCCCCTTCCTCCCTGGCTGCGCGCCTGATTGGACAGTTCCCACCCCAGCGCCCTGATTGGATAGTAGTGCAGGCACCGCGCCCTCAGGCCTTGCGTGTCAGAAGATGCTACCATACACTGTACGGAATGAGCCGAGAGTGTCAGGCTCTTGGCTCCAGTCACTTTCAGGCAGGGCTTTCTGTCTGTGCTGCGCCTGGCTCTAACCAGGGGTCATTTTTTAGCATTGTGGTGTATAACGTTATGAAGGTTATGTTCGTTTATAAAACACACACACACGTTGTTCACAAATGGAAGCAATATAATGACAATTATTTAATATTTCAGATTTCATAACCTTTCTGGCCGCCGGTCTTTGGAGTGGGACACCTAAGATTTTAAGAGAGAAGCAATCCTCTAAAAAATAAAACGTTAGCTATTGTGAATTTTAAATGTTTTATTAGCCAGATCAAAAATAGTAATAAAAAGACTCCGGACATGGTGGCTCACGCCTGTAATCCCAGCACTCTGAGAGGACAGAGGTCAGAAGTTCGAGACCACTCTGGCCAACATAATGAATCCCTGTCTACTAAAAATACAAAAATTAGCCGGGCATGGTGGTGGGCACCTGTAATCCCAGCTGCTTGGGAGGCTGAGGCAGGAGAATCGCTTGAACCCAGGAGGTGGAGGTTGCAGTGAGCTGAGTTTGTGCCACTGCACTGCAGCCTGGGTGACAGAGCAAGACTCCATCTCAAAAATAATAGTAATAATAAAAAGAAACAAGTGAAATTGTTTGTAATACTGTTTAAGCCATTATACCCAAAATATTATTTTTCATGTGTGGTCAACAAATAATTATAAATATTTTGGATCTAAATCTTTTAAACTCGCTGTGTATTTTATGTTTGCAGCACATTTTACTTCAAACCAGCAGCCATGAGGGCTCTGATGCTCCGATCTCAGGGAGGTGAAGGCCTGAACACCTCTTTTCTGCTGGAAGTGGGCTCTCTCCCTACCAACTACTGGCCTCTCTCTACTAACTTTTCTCCTCAGGCTCAAGGGTGGGAGGGTCAGTGCCCCTAGAGAGATCAGGGGCTGCAAGCAGAGAGTGTCACGTAGAGACCACTGTCTCCCAGTTGCTGTTTGATGGGAGTTTCTCTTCCTTTCAAATATCAAACAGTAAACAAAAAATGATGGGGCCCCAGGAGGGGAGAACACCATGTCTTCAGATCTCTTTACAGCCTTGACCTCCAGAGTTCAGATGTGGAGGGAATAGATAAAAGTCAAACTCCTTATTTTGCTATTTGGCTTTGGACCTAATTGTCTGTCTGTAACTGTGTGTTTTTCTCCTGTGGTGTGGGGCACTGCGTGCGTTTAAGCACCAGTCATATGCATCCACATCTACCTGCACTTCCATATAACTCAATACCATCTAACAACAAATCTAACTCTAAATAAAGGGCAAATAAAATCAGTACTTACAGGGTGCCAAGCATTTGCAGGTTATTTGTAATCAATCTGTCCTGGCATCCTGGCATCCTGTCTTTAATGGTTGTATATATTAGTAAGCATAATAAACAATCCCAAACGCTCATGATTGAGCTGGTTAGAAATTTAGGCTGGGCTCAGCTGGGCTATTCTTCAGGGCTCAGAATGGCTCCTTCAGACGTTGAGTGGTGAACGGCTGGTGAATTAAGTGGCTCTGCTTCTGTAAGTGAGCTGTCAATGGGGACATTTTGGCTTTTGCCCAGCAGGCCAAAATGGGCTTGTTCTCATGGAGATGGAAGGGTTCTGAAAAAGAAAACGGAAGCATTTGAGACTTTTTGAGCCTAGGCCCCAAACTAGCACACTGTCATATGCACAGCTTTGGCCTGTGCAAATAAGGCCATAAAGATTCAAGATGTGGAAAACAAATTCTGTCTCTTAATGGGAACCACTATAAAATCCATTGTCAAGGCATGAACACAAGAAGAAATTTTAAAAATTTGCTGTTGTTTTCAATCAATTTTAGTATGGCCTTTTTTTGCAGATGAGGTTTATATAACTGTCCCACAGCTTCTAACTCAGCTGGGCTGGGACTCAGGATCAACTCTGCCTGACTCTGAAGCCTATGCACCTCCGTAGACCACACTCCTCAACCAGGTTTCCTGGTCCTTCAAGGTGCTGCACAGTGGCACTTCTGAAATAGAAGCAAGATTTCTTTGAGATTCTCATCCTGTCCATCTAGTACTCTTCACCATTGGAAATAATTCATTCCAGGGAATGCTTCTGAAGTCTCTTGGAAAAACTGGAAACAATTTGAGGAAATGGCTGAGCACTGAGTTTAGGAAATTAATGCCCAACATTCTATTTTTAATTTCTCATCATAGGAGAAATTTGAAAACACCTATAATGCACTCCACATATCTGCAAACTCTGTCTCTTTTTTTTTTTTGTATTTCTAGGCTATTTATGATTTTTAACACAGACTAAATCAAATTACTGTGCCTGAAAAACCTTTTGCTTTGAAGGCAAGTGACATAAAGACAGAGCTGCTGATATTTTTTCCTGCTGCAATTTAGCCAATCAGCAGAATATGCTTTGAAGGGTAAAGATGTTTTCTAAGACCCCACATTCAGGAGCAGCTATGGGGCAAATCCCTAAAGCACACATGAAAATCACATACAGCCAATGTATTCCTCACCCTGAATCAATGCTTCTCACCCTTGGCTGCATATTTCAATAACCTTGTAGAGGAGTGTTTAAAGTCTTCAAACCCAAGTTGCAATGGGGTAATTAAGTCAGAATCTCTGGAGTGAGACCTAGGCAACAGTGTGACTTAAAGCTTTCGGGTGATTATAGCACACAGCTCAACTCCCATGTTACTGCTTTAAACCAACATCTTTTGGAGAGCCAGTTGAAATTATTTCTCAAATTAACATAGAAGTGTTTGCTGCTGAGTTGCGGCCTTTCAGTCTTGATTACTTACTTTCTATCCTTTGCAGAACTGACCTCTGCTACTTGTTTTGTTTCTGATTCAAACCAGTTCCACACACACTGAGTGCACACTACGTACAGGGCCCTGTGCTAAGTGTCCTGGCCGTGGTGAGTACTATCGTGGAGGAAGGACTTTGCTGTAAAAAATTGCATTCCCCAAAACTACAACCATGCTACTTACTCAATTGAGGTAAAAATGAAAGATCGAGGGGGACCCCCAAGAGTCAGGATGTGAATAAATACCTTGGAATATTAATACCCATCTCATGATGTCTGACACTAAATGCCTCACTTTCAAACAAAACAATACCAAACATTGCTATTATTCTGTTAAGATTAAATATGTAATATTTAAATTTTATTGAATGACGTGCATACAGAAATATATGTCCAAAGCATTAACATAATGCTCAGTAAATTATTACAAGCAAATACATTTGTGTAGGCATAGGATAGAACTAGCCTTGTTTCTGCCACACAAACCACTTTCTCTTTTCCTCCCCTCCAAAAGTAACCACAATCTTAAGGGCTAATGTTGTAGATAAAGTTTGTCTTTTTATACAAGTATTTTATTAGAGAATATTTTAAACATATATACAATAAGCAATGTAGTATAATAGACTGATGCTCAGCCTAAACATCTACTAATTATGTGCCGTTTCTGTTTAACTTCTACTACAACTCATTCCCCATCCCCACTTTATTATTGTTTTTAGTTATTTTCTATGAGATAAGATGTATATACATTGAAACATACAATCTTTTCTGTACCTTTTTAACAAATAAATACACTCATATAACCTTTTCCCTTTTAATTATAGAATTACCCCCACTTAACAATTATTAATATGCATGTGAATCACCTGGGAATATTATTTAAAACCTGATTTTGATACAATATACTTGGGTTTTGCCTGAAAATCTGTATTTCTAACAAAATAGAGATCCATAGAGCACATGGTAACTACAAGGTGTCTTTTATCTAAAGTGTATAAAATTTGATGAATAAAATTAAGAAAAATTGAGCTCAGGTAAAAGAATACATTAAAATGCATATGCAATATGCTATCTATAGGAGATTTGGTTACTAATGACTCACATTCATAGGTGGCCTTTACAGAATTACCCAAAATGAGTCATTTACACACCAAATGCACACAATTTTCATAGCTTCCCATTAAAATTATATTTAATGCCTTTACAAAATCTAAATCAGCTTTCTTACAAAATAAGTAACAACATTTTATATGACATTATAAGTTCCATCTATATTAAACTTAAACTTACATAATTTTATTAGGTAGGGTCTGTGTGTCTACCACCCAATATTCTTTTGGGTTCCACCATTTGCACAGGCACCACAGCTGAGGAGCGCAGATTCACCACACACAAGATGTTCCCTGCATCTTTTTCTTTCTCAGGGTATCAGTTTATCAGTCAATCAAGTCATGTGAGAATGGAGGCCATGTATTTCCTGGCATAGAGTGTCTCATGGACCCTCTCTTCAGGGGAGAAAAATACTAGAAGGTTCTTTTAGGGGGCACTTCCTGGGACATGGGCTAAGCCATGTAAGGGATGAAGGCTCAGACCAGCAGGTGTAGACTTCTCAGAAGGGAAAGATGAGGCAACCATTCTGAACCCGGACCTCTACCACTGCTTGTCCCATCTCATCAAGACAGTTCTGAGGGATTGTTCCTAATGTCTGGATGGTGGAGGTTGGGGAACAGTATGGGCTTTGATGGGACTCAGGTAAGATCCGTCATCGGAAGGCAGGAGGCCAGTGCTCAGCATCTGAATTTGTGTCCTTGTGGACAGTGGGGTGCCTTTTTAGGTCCAAGTCCATTTTCACCAAAGAGGAGGCTGGAGACTCTGAATGGCTCCCAGATTCCATTTATGATACTTTTTGGGGTGGGGTCAGAATGGGTCTGAGTTTCAGTATCTTTGGGGAATTCTGAAAAGTCTGGGGAATCTGGAAAGACCTCTTGCCTGGTGCCCAAATGCTTGGTTTTCTCTCCTGGATTTATACATTCTTGGGAGCCAGAGAGCCAGTTTTGCATTCACACCAACACAACTGAGTCAGAGGTGGAAGCAGCCAAGACAAGTGTCTTGGTGACAGGTGTCTCATCTTTGCCTTAGTTCCTCCCATCAGTCTTGGTAAAGAGCCCTGGAGTCTGGAGCTGCTGGGGCTTTCCTGGTCCCAGGTTCTGCTTTTCCTTCTCATTTGGCCCAAAAGCTATGGGACTGTACCCTATCCTAGCACTTCACTGGGCATCTTCTGGTTCTGTCCATGTGCCCTAAGACTTGGTAGCTCTTTCACTTTCTCTGTAGGTTGAAGAGAAGGGAGGTCAGTGAGTCCAAATCATCACAGGCAGCTTTCAAAGATTAATCTTAGGATGACTTTTTGAATTTAGGTATTGATTTCCTAGGACGGGACCCAAACAAGTGACATACTGGGTGTCTGAAAACTTATGATGCGTTAGTAATATTCACAACCCATTTTAAACTGAGAAACAAAAAGAAAATACCAAAATGGTAAGGGTTGTGATAATCCAGGTAAGTTTATCAGCTCAGATTGTGAATCCTGAGCAAATTCTACAGAACACAGTGTGGCTCCCAGGATGAATGAGGGAGGGTGAGATAGAGCAGAACTTTCCCTCTCCAGCTGGGCTTTCTGCTGCCTTAGGAATTGGAAGTTGATTGAGTTAGCACTGGCTCCAATCTGATCAATTTAACGTGATCATATCTGATCTAATTATCCTTCCAACATTCAAGGGATAAAGGAATATTCTATTTGGGGTTTACTTTTCTGCAGCCCTGTATATCTTAATGGCACACGCAGCCCAACTAGGCCTTCAAGATGCCACATCCCCTATCATAGAATTTTATTTTATCATATATATATATATTTAATACAATCAAGTATAATTTAATATTTGTCATTTCCAAGCATTTGAAAAATTATGACATATATATATATACACACACAATTGTAATACTATAATGATTTTCTTCATGTGCAAAATATATATACAACTGTTAATATATGGTCTGTTTAATTTTGCATTTTGAATCTGGGCAGAGTTTTGAGTACTCCTGGGTGGGAACTGGACTGGGAAACAAAAGGTGATGAGCCTCCTGCATTCTAGTCCCTGTGCCTCCTGGTTTTGTTATATCTTGTTTTTTGATGCTATGGCAGGACTCTGCAAAAGTCTTCCCTTATGTGTGTCTAAGTCCCCAGCATAATCACATCCTGAAACATTCCTTATGGAGGCTATGAAGAGCGGCAGGCAAGAGAAATCAATCTCTTCAGCCAGTAAGAGTGAGCCATGCTTATAAACAGAGGCTTATGGCCGGACACGGTGGCTCACTCCTGTAATCCCAGCACTTTGGGAGGCTGAGGCGGGTGGATCACAAGGTCAGGAGATTGAGACCAGCCTGACCAACATGGTGAAACCCCGTCTCTACTAAAAATACAAAAATTAGCCAGGCCTAGTGGCATGCGCCTGTAATGCCAGCTACTCAGGAGGCTGAGGCAGGAGAATCTTACATTGAGCCAAGATCACGCCACTGCACTCTAGCCTGGGCGACAGAGTGAGACCCTGTCTCAAAAAAGCAAAACAAAACAAAAACAGAAAACGAAGCAAAGAGAGACTTAAAAAAGACAAGTCCAGCATAACATGCTACACTCTGAATCTGGACGTGTAAGAGAGAGGACCTTTCATTTGAGCTTCAACATGGAATGGGGAACTGCAGACCAAAATTCTCACTGTGCCTCCATCCAAGACCTCACTGGCCAGCCCCCTTTCCAACATATCTCCTTTGCAGAAAGGGGCTCAGATGAGGAGGAGAAATGATTTGAAGAAAAAGGCAAGATGATCTCTTTCCATTCCAGTGAGAGCTGCACTCAAAGCTCAGGTAAGACCTTGGGCTGTTCTTATGAAGGTTGCAAAGAGGGGTGGAATGAAGGATACTAAGCTGTATGTCTTTGATAGGAGTTTATTTTGTAATTGAGGACAGGAAATGGATTACAGCCCTCAGGTGGCTTTGAGAAATGTGGTGATGATCTCCTGGGACTGTATTCTTCCCACTCACTTTTGACGCTGGCTGAACAGCATCAGTTGAGAAAATGACCCACAAATATGAGTCAGAAATAGACTATGGGACTCTGGGTCTAGAGAAAGGTGAATCACCCGAACTCCCTTTTCCACTAGGACCAGACCCCAATCCAAATGGGAAATAGAATTCCAAGAAAACTAAGCTCAAAACCAGAAACAGCAATGCTAGATCAAATAAGACTTGACTCTTCCAAGGTGAGAAGGGACAGGATATAGATTAACACAGTCTCCCCTGAGAAAGAAACTGAGAGCGTTTTTGAATGCAGCACTTTACAGATCCTGGGCGCTGGAGCACAGAGGAGAGCTGAGTTTTTGTGGAAACCTCATCTCTAGTGTATCAAAAATGGACTAAGGCTTCCAAGGTGTTCAGTTGGAGGCACTCACACACACCCATTTTTATCAACAGAATCAGAGTCCAGCTCAGATGAGCAGAAGAAATGAAGAAAAAAAAAAAAATTTCAAGGACACCTGACAAGATAGAGCAGGTAGAGTCTTGCTTTTTTATCCTAACAGACAAGCAAGACAAGCAAGGCTTGGGTAAGAAGGGGTCTTCTTGGTGGTTGAAAGAATTTTAGAGATCCTGGCATTCAGAGAGCATTTGGGGACCCAGGAGCGAACTCAATCTCACTTTATTAGGCAGGCTGAGGGAGCTGGCAAGTGGGAGGTGAGACAAGTGGGGGTCACCTGAATGTGCATGGGAAGGTTCTGGAATAAGCTTCTGTGTGAACTATTGTGGTGAATCTTTAACTCACGTGCTTTCTCCACAGGAAAGAGTCTAGGATATGAGCACAGCTTGACTTTGAAAAAGAAAGCAAAGGACTCTGAGGATGGACACAGTAGCAAATTAAGAAGACCAGTGATGCCCACCATAAGAGACCCTCAAGGGGTGCCACTGGGCACAGCAAGCAGCCCAGATCTTGGTTACCAAGAGAACAACCACCACCACTTCAAAAGACTGGTGACTCCCTGCATGCTATTTCTGAGGGCGTTATCAAGACCCAGTCCAGGTATGGGCAGAGGTGCATTCTCACCTGATGTGGAAGTAGCTTTCTTCCCAGATTCAGGGGCTTCTGTGCACTGTGCTGGAGGCATTCTACACCATGACTACCCAGGTAGCCTGTGTCTTCCCTGATGATGAATGGCTCATCCCAGCCACACTGCCTGGTCCTAGGGAGACATCCCTGTCTGGAGGAACTAAGAGCTCCTCCTAGGATGGAGATGGGTCTGCCTCTTCTCTAGTCAGGAGATAACTGAGTCAGTAAGTGAATAAGGTGAGGCTTGCGCTGGGGGCACCCAGACCTATTCAGCATAGGATGCAGTTCTGGAAACAAGAGCAGAGCTGCTACTTCTCAGATTCTTCCAAACGACCGGCAGTGACAATTTTAGAAACACTTTATTAATAAATAAAAAAATTGGCCAGGTGCAGTGGTTCATACCTGCAATCCTAACACTTTGGGAGGTCAAGTGGAAAGACTGCTTGAACTCAGGATTTGGAGACCGGCCTGAGCAATATAGTGAGACCCTGTCTCAAAAAAAAAAAAAAATAATTAGGTGGAGCATGATGACGTGTGCCTATAGTTTCAGCTACTCTGGAGGCAGAGGCAGGAGGATCACTTAAGCACAGAAAGTTGAGGCTACAGTGAGTCATGATCACACCACTGCACTGCAGCCTTGATGGCAGAGTGAAACTGTCTCAAAACAAAAACAAAGACAAAAATAAATGACAGAACCTTGAGCTGTCCTGGAAAAGGAACTTGAACAATATACTCAGAATTGGGAAATCTGGGTTTCCTTGAGGGCTAAGATTACTGCATATTTTATATTTTGTGTTAGATATTTGATGTATTTTGAATCTCTTATGACAGTCAGTTGCTAAATAATAATTATTTAGAAAGAACAACCATCAAGAAGCTCTGAACTTAAAAGTAAAAATAAAGTCCTAACTGAAAGACAGACAAGAACATCTTACCATGTGGCTTAGAAAAAGATAATCAGTTAAAATTCATTCATTCAACAAATATTTATGAAGCATTCACTACAAGGCGACACCATGCTAAATACTCATGAAAGGATAAAGATATAAAAATGTAAGAGCCAACAGTCTAGAGGGGAGAGAAACTTGTAAAGTAAATCATCACAATTGTTACAATGGTGGCGTGCAGCACAGAACAACGCACATTTCTTTGTTCGTGGGTAGTGTGTGTATGGGTAGTACCTGGTAACAGGCAGAGAAAGCTTCACAGAAATGGTGGTTTAAACTGCACTGTGGGCTGGGCATGGTGGCTTACACTTGTAATCCCAGCACTTTTGGAGGCCAAGGTGGGCAGATCACCTGAGGTCAGGAGTTTGAGACCAGTCTGGCCAACATGCTGAAACACTGTCTCTACTAAAAATACAAAAAAAAAAAAATTAACTGGGTGTGGTAGTACACACCTGTAATCCCAGCTGCTCAGGAGGCTGAGGCAGGAGAATCCCATGAACCCAGGAGGTGGAGATTGCAGTGAGCCGAAACTGCGTCACTGCACTCAAGCCTGAATGGCAGAGTGAGACTGTCTTAAATTAAAAAAAAAAAAAAAAAAAAAAAAATAGGCTGGGTGCGGTGACTCTCACCTGTAATGCCGGCACTTTGGGAGGCCGAGGTGGGTGGATCACCTGAGGTCAGGAGTTCCAGACCAGCCTGGCCAACATGGTGAAACCCCGTCTCTACTAAAGATACAAAAATGTCCTGGGATCACCCCCTTTGGCCTCTCCCACTCCTGCCCTCTGTGGGGTGGCCCAGGTTGTGCCCAGCTAGGCAGCTCTGCTGCCCTGAGTTCTAAGTGCTGGGACAAGCTGTCTGTCCATTGATGACCTCAAACCTCCGTCCAGGCTGCGTTCAGATTCTGCCCATCATCAAGCACCTCATTCTCCGAGGGCCCCAGAGGCTCCTGTGCCATGATCCCAACTTCAGCCTGACACTGGGCATAGTGTGGGGAAACCTTCCAAGGTACAGGAGGGGAGAGAGGATTCTGCCGGGCATCTAAGGGGCTTGCTCTGGGGGGGTCAGGCACCCCAAGGCCCAGCCTGGCCATGAGCAGCAGATGGGCCCTCTGGCCTCCTGCAGGGCAAGGATATTGAGTGTCTGACCCGGGGAGGCGTGCTCTGATCAGGTGGGAGTGCAAGCAAGCTCACCTGCAGGCTGGGCTGTCACAGCAGAGCAGAGAGAGCTCTCAGTGGCAAGTTTTACACAGATAGCCCCGTGGAGAAAAGCAACTTACTTTGCACAGTGATATTCCCTGCTTTTCAGAGCAAAGTTTTTTAGGGGTTGTTTAGGAAAAGTGGGTAAAGGTTTGTTTTGGTTTGGTTTTTGCAGACAGAGTCTCGCTCTATTGCCCAGGCTGGAGTGCAGTGGTGCGATCTCTGCTCACTGCAACCTCTGGCTCCCAGGTTCAAGTAATTCTCCTGCCTCAGCCTCCCGAGTAGCTGGGACTACAGGCATGCGTCACCATGCCCGCCTAATTTTTTGTATTTTAGTAGATGTGGGGTTTTGCTATGTTGCCCAGGGTGGTCTCAAACTCCTGAGCTTGGGCAATCCGCCCACCTCGGCCTCCCAAAAGTGCTGGGATTACAGGTGTGAGCCACCACACCCAGCTGAGGGTAAAGATTTTTTTTTTTTTTTTTGAAATGGAGTCTCACTCTGATGCCCAGGCCAGAGTGCAGTAGCATGATCTTGGCTCACTGCGACCTCCACCTCCCAGGTTCAAGTGATTCTCCTGCCTCAGCCTCCCGAGTAGCGGGGACTACAGGCGTGTGCCACCACGCTTGGCTAATTTTTGTATTTTTAGTAGAGACGGGTTTTACCATATTGGCCAGGCTGGTCTCGAACTTCTGACCTCGTGATCCACCTGCCTCGGCCTCCCAAAGTGCTGGGATTACAGGCATGAGCCACCATGCCTGGCTGGATAAAGATTTTTAAGAATTTCAGTGACTAAACTTTAAGAAGGAATGAAGCCCACGCAGGAACTCTGTATGACTTTCAACCCGAGGGGCTCTGGCCTGGGCTTTCCAGTGACTGGCAGCATCGGGACATCCACCGCTGTGGCCTTGGCCCCATTTCCCGTGTTGTGCCCCCCACTTGCTGCAGATGCCCTGACGGCAGCGTGGCCAAACAAGGGGAGGAGCTGTGAGCACAGACATGGCCTGCTGGTCAACAGGGCAGGGAGAGCCAGCCTGGTGCTGAGCTTGCAGCCTGGCTGGGGGAGATGCCCGGAGCCCCAATACCACACAGACCCTCCAGGACTGCTGGGGGTCAGTGGGCAGGGTCCTCTGAGGTGTCAGACCTGCCCCGCCTGTCGGGGCAGGGTAGGACAGGTGGGACGCTTGCAGGCTGAGCTGCATTGGGCAGTGAGGCTGGGGGCACCCTCACCCCACTCCAGGCAGGCCCTTCACAAGCATGGAAACAGGAGTGACTGGGATGCACCGCCAGGTGTGAAAGGCACCTTGTCCTCTCCTAGAGGAATCCAGCCCAAGGACTTCCCCACTGTTGCCTGGACCTACAGGGAGCTCAGGCCCCAGGTCCTCTGCACAGCTTTGCCCTTGCCGGGTGTGCCCTCCTCCCCACTTCAAGCCCAGTCCTACCTTCCCCCTCAGGTTTACCTGGCCCTAGCATCTACCCTAGCTGTCCTGCCCTCCTGCTAAACTCCCAACCCCTGACCCCAAAGGCCAGAAGAGGTATCTGTTCACTGAAGGATGCCAGGGACCTTCTTCCTGTGGGGGGATGGATGGGATTCAGCTTGCTGGAGGGGCTGGCCAGACTCCAGCCTCCTCACAGGGAGTGCCTCCCTCTCCACTCTCTCCCCAGGAATGGCTCTTGGAGGCTCAAGGGAGCCTGAGCCTCTGACCATCTGCAAGCTGCCTCCAACTCTCAGTCAGGGTTTGGATGCCCCAAGTGCAGTCCTGAGGCCCCCGCCCCCCCATCCTACTGTCCTGGCTTCTGAGGCATCTGGAAATCTAGGCCTCCCATGGAAGGGGAGCAGCAGGCGAGGTCTGCATGAGCTCCACAGATGCCTGCTTACCTGCTGGACTTAAAGTCTGTGCCCCTCCCCGACCTCCAGGGTACCCAGATCCCAGGCGGCTCAGCCAGGCCCAGAGCCCCAAGAGCTGGGCTGTTCTCTCTAACTGGGGTCTGGGGTAGGGGCTGCCCCCACCAAGTCCCTGGGGGACTGTCTGGGACATCCAGGCCCTGTCTTCTTGTCTTAACCACTCACAACAGAGAACACAGATGTTCTGTCCAAGAAGGAAGCCCTCACACTCCTCCCATCCTGCCTCTATTTAAATGCGTGGGCATGACCACCCCGAGCCAGCCTGTAAGGGGTCACGGGGCCATCGGGGAAGCAGTGTGGAGAAGAACCCTGGCCTGGCCTCAGCCTGCTCCCAAGGGAGCTAAGAGCTGGGGACAGAGCCTGGAAGCCGCAGCCTTTGCACCCAGGCAGGCCTGCCCACCTACCCCCGACGCCCCACACACCTGCTGACAGCCTCCTCTGTCCTGGCCACTGTGGGCAGCGGGGGCGGGGGGCCTCCTAGCCCGGACGGGTGTTCACAGCATCCATGGCACTCACTGCCTTCTGGTCGTCATGTATCGCTGTCGGAGCCCCCACAGGAGCTGCTGTCAGAGGCCAGCAGGGGGGCCTTCCTGGTGACACACACGGAGGTACACGGAGGTACATGGAGAAGCTGGGCTGACTGCAGAGTAGGAGGCCTGTGCTGTCCAGTGAGGCAGGAGGGGCCACAGGGTGTGGCAACCCCGGCCATAGGGATCCCTTACGTGTAGCCCTCTCACATGCAGCCTGTCGCCTGCACACGTGTACCTGTGTGGAAACCGCATGACGAGGCTAACAGGCTCACACACCTTCCATGTGGTCTCCACACAAGCAACACTGTTGCCTCCCCCATGATACAGGGCAATGTGCCCTGGTCTCACATGAGGACGCAGAGGCTCAGGAAGGGGCCCGCTCTGCCTTGTGTGGTCCTGCCACAGCTCCTTCAAGCACCGGGGACACCAGTGTTGGAAGCCAGCTGTCGCTCGCCTGGAGCTCTCAGCCTTGTCTGGGGGAGCCTCTCGGCCTGACTAGGGGCCTGGGGGCCAGGGGCTCTGATCAGGCCCCAGAATGGCTTCCTGCCAACAACCCACCCACACACATCTCAATGCTGGGGTCCTGGTGCTGCTGTCTAGAATCAAGGGTACAGACCTGGGCTGTGCCACCTGCTCAGACGGGGCTCAGGGCCAGCCCAATGGCCTTGCTGCCTCCCCTCTGGGGGCCTCCCCATCTGCACGTGGCTGCTCCAGTCCCACTGCTGTATCAAACCCCAATGTCACAAGAGACCTAGCAGCATGCAGGGTCCTGGCCACCTCCTCCCACTGACCCCAAGGAGGGGGGCCAGCTGGCCTCAGGCCTTAAACTGGGCAAGGCTAGGCCTCTGCAGGAGGCTGGGTGCCGCCTGCACTGCTGCTACTCACAGGCTTTCTCGAGGCCTTGGCTCTGGCTGCCTCAGCCTGGCTGTGTTTTGTGTCCATCAGAGAGCTGCACCTGGGCCCTGACTCGGAGCTACAGACAAGGACGAGGACAGGGTCAGTCCCGGAGGACGGGCACCTCCTGACCCTGGAAGGCACTTCCTGACACGGCCCCCTCCTGCCAATGCATTTGTTACCAGCAGAAAGGCTGGAATTCGGTGAACTGGCCCAGCCTTTCTCCTCTGGAGCTGAGGTGCCAGCTGCCCACACGCTGGAACCCTGTCCCTCACCACTCCTGGGGCTATGGGCGTCGAGTTTGCTGGCTTATCAAACACTGTCATCCATATGGTGTCTGCTGGGTGAGAGACACAGTGGCCAGGTGAGGGCAGGCCTGTCTGGGGTGCTGCAGGCAAAGGGGAGGCAGCGCACCCCCCACTGGGAGCCCCACAGAGGTTGACAGGAACATGGGGCTGCTCCAGGAGGGAGGCCCAAGCAGTGCCCCTCAGCCCCTCAGAGAATAACAGGGGACAGCTCGAGGGTCCTGACAAGCTGCCAACATCCATGGGGTGTGTGAACTGGGGCTCAGCCAGGCGCCTGAGGGCCCCCAGGCCTCCAGCAGGGCTGACACTGACAGTGTGGAGGTGATGCCACTGCCCTCCATGATCCGGGGCTCAGTCAGGCGCCTGAGGGCCCCCCGGCCTCCAGCAAGGCTGACACTGACAGTGTGGAGGCGATGCCACTACCCTCCATGATCCAGGGCTCAGTCAGGCACCTGAGGGCCCCTAGGCCTCCAGCAGGACTGACGCTGATAGTGTGGAGGCAATGCCACTGCCCTCCATGACCTGGGGCTCAGTCAGGCGCCTGAGGGCCCCTAGGCCTCCAGCATGGCTGACGCTGACAGTGTGGAGGTGATGCCACTGCCCTGTCCTATCCAGGACCGCATCCAACAGAGATGGCAGCTCACCAAGCACCACCAGGCCCTCCCTGGCCTCAAGGATGAGCCGCCTTCCTCCTATCTGGGACGTTCCTGCTTCCCCAGGGTGTTGCCCTTGCTCTCTCTTTTGGCCTCAGCTAAGAGCTCGGCACCTCCTAACAGAGATCCCTGCCCCCTCCCCAAAGTCCTGAGTGGGTCAGTGCTGCCCCCAGAGCAGGGGTAAGGAGAGGGGTCTTATCAGCCGCGCAGCCTGCGGGGTGGACTGGCTCCTGCCCTAGATGTCAGCCGTGAGGGTGGAGGCCAGGCTGTGCTGCTGTGCTGGGGTGGGCATCAGGCCTGTGTCGCATTGTGTGGGGGCCGGGTGGACGATGGGGACTAGGTGGACACCACCCACCAACCTTGGTGACAGTGGCAGAGTGACAACAACTGAGAGGCAGGGGCAGGAGACCACCTTGTGCCGGGCACAGGGCAGCACAGACCCCTACTCAGGATGGCTGGGAAAGAGCTGGAGATGCAGGTTTCGGGCCACAGTGAGCCCCAAATGCCTCAGCTCCAAATGAAGCCTCCACACCCCTAGGCCAGGGTACCATGTCCTGCCCCCAACACACACATCCCCGGCCCCTGCCCCACAGCACCACCTTCTGAGTCACCCTCCAGAGGAGGGGCTTTGTTCTTTCCAGGGTCTAGGGGGCACCTGCCCCAGGCGCATCATGGTCTGCTTCCAAGCTCGCCTTCCCATCCTGGCCTCCGCACTCCGGGCCATTCTTTGAGCAGCTTTCTGAAGCATGGGGGGCTCCAAACCTCGGGGAGATGCAGAGTCAGATGCCTGGTGGCCCAGGACAGATGCCTAACACTGAGGGTCAGTGACAGCAGCAGGCTCCAGGCTGAGGGTGAGCACAGAATGCCCTGAGTGAGGAGCACGAGTCGCTCCAGGCCTCAGCTCCGAGCTCCTGAGGGTCACCCGCTGCGTTGGGCGCCAGTGCTTGCAGGACCGGTGTGCTTGCTCTGCGAGCCGGCATAACAAACAGCAGGGCGTCTGGGCATCTGACGGGTGTTCTGGGGGCTGCACCTCCTCGGCAGAGGCTTTGGGGGGATGGGCAGGCCCCGCACCTGGCTCTGGCCTTCACCTGGGCAGCACAGCAAGTGTCGCTGTCCTCCGAGATGTCCTCGTTCTCATCAAAGTGCTGGATGCGGTCGCTGCAGCAGGCCTCAGAGCCGCGCTGGGCTGCAGAGTAAAACGCCAAGGTCAGTTTCCAGAGGGTCTGGGGGAGACAGGAGGCGCTCTCCCCACAGGGCTCCCAGAGGGGCTTAGTTCAGGATGTGGGCGCCATGGGCTGGAGGGCATGATGGGGAGGGTCAAGAAAAGCGACTGTTCCTAGCTCCACAGAGGGGCCTCTCCCAGCCCCACCGCACAGGCCCACCACAGACCGAGCCATGGGCGCGGCCTGAGCTGCCTGGGAACAGGGTGCCTGCATGACCCCGCACAGCCCCGCTCGCTCACACTGTCCTCGTCAGTGTCGATGTTGAAGTTGATCTCCGCGATCCTGTCAAATGGGGCGCTGCAAGAGCAAGGGGGATGGCCTCGGCGCTCCCTGCCCCGCCCACTGCTCATCTGGGGGCCTCGGGGCTCCTCCCCCACTGCTCATCTGGGGCCTCGGCGCTCCTCCCCCGGTGCTCATCTGGGGCCTCGGCGCTCCTCCCCCGGTGCTCGTCTGGGGCCTCAGAGCTCCTCCCCCGGGGCTCATCTGGGGCCTCAGCTCTCCTCCTCTGGTGCTCATCTGGGGCTTCAACGCTCCTCCCCCGGTGCTCATCTGGGGCCTCAGTGCTCCTCCCCTGGTGCTCATCTGGGGCCTCAGGGCTCCTCCCCCGGTGCTCATCTGAGGCCTCAGTGCTCCTCCCCTGGTTCTCACTGGGGGCCTCAGCACCCTCATGCAACTGGAAACACCTGTTATCTCCCGGCAAGGACTAAGGGAGCTGCCCCCATGGGACTTCAGCAGCGAGGAGGGGGAGTCGTGCCTCGTGCAGGGGGCATCCAAGTGGACTCACTTGATGTTGTTGTCATGGTCTGCAAACTCCTCATCATTGAAGCCAAACTGATCCACAAAGTTGGCCGTCATCTGCTGGATCTGGTAGTCAGAGAAGGCCTGGGAAGGAAGGAGGGAAGGAGGGACGGAGGGAGGGAGGCAGGGACTGACGCCGGTCATAGAGCAGTCCTCAGGCCTACAGGCTGCTCTTTGGGAACCACAGTCTCTCTAGTTGTTCAGGAGCTTCTCCTCCAGCAAAAGTGGGCAGTAAACTCTGACTGTTCAGGGCTCACGATTCTACCCAAACTCAGGCCGCGTGCTCACTGTGCTTACATCCGAGATACGTCCCATATTCTTTGACTTTCGAGTTTATCTGCTGTGTTCTCAGTGCTCTCATCAAGGTGGAGTGACTTTGGAGTTCTCCCCTCAGACCCACCCCACCCCATACGTGCTCCGAGATGAGCCCCCTCTCCCTTTTGCTAGTGAGATGCCATCAGAGACTTGTCTGGAGGACCAAGCACAGAGCACACAGGTGCCAGGAAGGGCCCGGCAGGGTGCAGGGGCCGGCCACGCCCTCACCTGCTGAAGGGACAGCTCATTAGGGAAAGCACCCTCAATGTCCTCACTCCAGGAGTGAAGGTAGTGAGTGCTTGCCTAAAACACAGGCCAGATGGGGTGGGTGTGTGAGCCAGCCCAGCGCCCCAGACCCTGCCCAGCCCAGGGCTCCCAGACCCCGCCCAACATGTCACTCATCAGATCTCTGGGCCCAGGAGGCCTTGCTGTGTAAGGAGGTGCCCAGGTGAGGCCAAGGCCCCGTGACAGCCCAACATCCATGTGCAGGGGGCAGGTTGGTCTCAGGCATATGGAGCCCCCTGCCAACAAGCTACAGCTCCTGGACTGGGAGGGAAGGGACCTGGGGCCAACACCAGCTCTGCACAGAGGTCCTCAGAGACCAGCCCTGGGTGTGGCACAGGACAGGGTCTGTGTTGCAGGCATCAGCCTGGAGGACAGACTGCACACTTGCAGGGTATGCTCGGGCACCCGCGTCCAAGAGGAGCAGGCAGGTGTGCGGCCCTTGTGCCTCTCTTGGCCTCTGCTTCGGGGCAAAGACAGGAGTGTCTGACAGTGTCCCAGCACCGTGCATGCACCAAGGGGGCAGCCCCGAGCCTCCTGCGTCCCAGCACCATGCCGGCGCCGAGGGCGCAGCCCCAAGCCTCCTCAACAAGTCCACAGTGTTCCTGCAGTTGGTCTCCGTCAGCGTCTCCTCCACGAAGCTCTCCTAGCAGCCATGGCAATCCACAGGGAGCTCTACAAGGAAAGTGCAGCCTGGTGAGCCCTGGGAGACCCCTTGCACATGGCTCAGGGCACTCAGGCGCTCTGGCAGGTGCATCCTGGGTCCAGGAGGATGGGACGGTGCTACTGTGGTCAGTCCATCTGAGGGCCTGAAGCAGGAGCTTTGCTGGATGGGAAGGAGTCAGCATAGTCGCGTGTCCGGAGGGGCCTGGGGCCACAGTGAGATTGAGGTGCAGCAACTGTGGGCAGGGTGGTGGGCACTTCTGCCCCTACCAAGACCTCAGTGGGCAACCGAGTTCCAAGTCTGTTGGTGTGGAAGCCCATTCTGAGGAACTCCCAGAAACGCAGAAGCTGTGGAACAGAATCTGAGAAAGCAGCAAGCTTCCTTCACCCTGCCTCACAGGCCCAAACTCAGCAGCAGCCTGCAGGCCTGGGTGTGTGTCCTGTCTGTTTTTCCAGGGAGGTCAGAACCCTGGAAGGATTCACAATCGGGAGACTGTATGGGATGATCCAAGAGCTTCCTGCTTGCCCCTCGCCTCCCTAAACCACCCCTGCCCTGGGGAGCCCTCCCTGGCCTCCACCTCCACCCATCTCTTTTGCCCCTCCTCTTGCCCTGCTCTTATTATTTGTGACAGCGGCCGGCAGGCCTGACCTTGCTAGGGGCCAATGGGGCCCAACCCAGGAGACCCCTCACCCTATGGTCCTGGGGTGCGGGGAGGACCATCCAGAGCTTCCTCACTTTGTACCGGTATAGGGAGGAGGGGCCATGGCTGGGCCCGCCTCTGCCACACATGTGGTGTGCCTGTGTCCACCTAACCCACTGTGCTCTTAAGAAACAGGGTGCTACCTGTTTCCCTGAGACTTGTGCTATGAAGTCTCACACCTGAGTGAGAATGTGAGACTCTCCAACCACCTGAATGCAGAGCAAAGCTGGCACACGGCCAGGACTGCCTACACCCAGGCAGGACTCCATGAGCTGCAAGGAGCTTGGCAGCGCTAATGGCTTCGGAGCACCAGCTCCGGAGTCACCAACTGCCCCCAGCAGGGACTATCTCTTGTGCTACATGCTGATGCCTGGTAGGGTCTCCACAGAAGTCTGCCCAACAGAACTGACACATGAGACCCAGGTCCCCCTGAGGACAGATCTAATGTGGGAAGTGAGAGGACAGAGACGGCTGCGGGGTCTTTCACTGTCAGTGCAATCAGCACCTGCTGACGGGCAGAGGGGAGCCTCGGGCAGCAGCTCCTTCAGAGCCCCGGTGCCCACGACCAGCAAAAGGATGACCGGGTGGGGGGCTCACCTCAGATGACCTCGCTGATGTGCGTCTGCACAGAGCCCTGCTCCAGGTTCTGCACCAGCACGTTGGCGATCTGCGTGAGGTGGCCTATGTTCCCATGCCTCATGCCACCCGTCGCCCTAAAAGCCACAGGCACCATCAGGGTGGCCGCCTGGCCCCAACCTTGCCAGACCCATGACCCGGTGAGCCAAGTGGCACAGGCCTCCAGGTTCACCTCCAGAGCAAGAGCCCGGCCCTTGCCCGGAGCCTGTGCCCCCGGCCCTGCCTCCAAGACACTTCTGTTTGAGCAGCACCTGCCACGTGAAGCAGGCTCACCCCAACCTCACTACCAAAAGTGCCACTGAGACAGACGTGGAGACAGACACTGCTCTCATCCCATTTTACAGACAGGGAAACGGAGGCAGAAAGGCCGTGGTGTGGCCTGAGCCCTGCTGGTGGCAGCAGTAGCGCAGGAGCTGAGCCCACGCTGTCAGCTGCAAAGCTCAGGCTCAGCACCCTGCAGGGAGGGTCGGGCGGGACCTCCATGCTGTGCAGCCCAGCTGAGCCTCTGCTTCCCCACAGCTGCATTCAAACCCCTCCCAGCTCCAGTGAGTCCCTCCTCATATCGCCCAGAGCCAGACAGCTCCCAGCAGGACAATGAATGGGTGGGGATGGCTTTGGGTCCAGGACAATAAGCAGGACATGTGTCCTGACCAGAGGGAGCACCCATTAAGCAGAAGACACGGAAAGACCAAAATAACGCGTCCCCATGTGCGAGTGCTGATAGAGCACCCGAGTTCTTGGGGGAAGATCAGGAATGGACAGGGGACCCGCAAGAGGGCAAAGCCTAGGCAAGCCAGGCTGGGCAGGGGCCAGAGCAGGTGCCTGGTGGGGCTGGGACTGCTTCCTGTCAGCTCCCTGTGTCCCCTCCCCAAGTAGCATTTGCAGCTGTCCACCCAGTAGGAGGGCCCCTTGCATGGCAGCCTCAGAGTGTGGAGCTGTGTCGCACACCCAGCGCTCCACCAGAGCATGCAGTCCTGCACGCAGCATCACCAGTGCCCGGCTGAGGTGCGTTTCTGCATCCCTGACTGGCCAGGCTGGGTCCCTCCATGTCCGAGTGGCTCTTACTGTGTGTGGTCATTGGCTTCCCAGGCCTCCAGGATCCTCTGCCCCAGGCAGCACTTCTGAAACAACTGGGGGTGGCAGGGGCGGTAGCGTGAGTCAGGGTCTGACTTGGTGCACTGCAACCTCTGCCTCCCAGGTTCAAGCGATTCTCCTGCCTCAGCCTCCTGAGTAGCTGGGATTACAGGCGCCCGCCACCATGCCCAGGTAATTTTTGTATTTTTAGTAGAGACGGGGTCTTGCCATGTTGGTCACGCTAGTCTTGAACTTCCGACCTCAGGTGATTTGTCCACCTCAGCCTCCCAAAGTGCTGGGATTACAGGCGTGAGCCACCATGCCTTGCCTCTTTTGTCCTTAAGTTGGAAGCTTAACTCATTAATTTGTAGCCTTTCTTCTTTTCCAGTCTGTCTTTAAAAGGCTACATTTCCCTGTATACAATGAACTTTAACTACATTCTACACATTTTGCTATGTAGTATTTTTATTATTCTTCAGTTCTAAGTATTTGAAAAGTTCCTTTATAATTTTGTCTTCCTCATGAGTTATTAGAAGTGTGTTAGACTCTCAAGCACGTGAGGATTCCACCCAGGATGGGCAGGCATGTGCACATCGTCCACCACACAAACGTGAGACTGTGAGGTGCACGTTCAGAGACTCCCCAAGGGACCCCGGACCTAAGCAGCATGGGCTGAAGCCCAGAGGAGGTTCTGGCCACCTAGGCACTCCCCTGGCGGACAGAGGTAGCGGAATGAGGACAGCGGGTCTGCAAGCTACCATCCATAGGCCAAATCCAGCCTATCACTTGCTATTGTAAATATAAAGTCTTAGTTAAACACAGCCACGCCCGTTCATTCACATATTGTCTGTGGCCACTTTCATGCTTCAGAGGCAGAACTGAATGGTTATGACAGAAACTGTATGACCTGCAAAGCCTAAAATATTTACTATCTGGCCTTAAGAGAAAAGTTTCCTGATCCCTACTCTAGAGCTGCAGTGTCTAACATGGTAGCCACTGGGCAGCCACACATGGCTATCGAGGACTTTAAGTGTGGCTTGTTCAAATTGAGATGTGCTGCAAGTATAAAAGACACACCAAAATTCGAAGACTTTATTTAAAAAAGACAATGAAATATGTCATTAATAACTTTTATATTGATTACATGTTGCAATTATATTACAGATAATATACACTGGGTTAAATAAAATTTAATACAATTAACTTTACCTGCTTCTTTTTACTCTTTAATGTAGGAAACTTTAACATATGGGGTTCTCATTATATTACTATTGGAGAGCATTGCTCTAGAGTAAGGTTTAATTCAGCTGCCATGTAACTTAGCACACCTATTCCTATAAGATAATGGCAAACTTGAGGTTTACACATTTCCATTTTCCTCAGTGTGGTGACTTTATGCTCATGAAAATGTAATGACTTATATAATCTAGGAAGTAGACCACAAAATTCTGTATATATTTTTGTCTTCTAAGCAGGTGTCCATGATTAATTCATTCATCAAAAGCATTGGTATTACAGAAAGTTTGTGAAAGATCACACAGCTTAAAAAACTGAAAAAACAATATTTTTACAAAATTTTATCATTCTAGGCTTAAAACTGTGAAAATCTATTTAAATCATAGTAGTAACCACATTGAAATCTGAAAAAGGGAATATACCAAACAACAGTACTTGTTTGGGTGACAAAATTTAGCACTATTCTTAAAACTTATTTTCTAAATTGCTGTGACACTTTTTTTTACAGTTAAAACAAGAAATTCTAATAATTTGAAGTCAAAAAAATACAAAATCATAAAACCTTTGGAAGTATAAGTTTTACAATATACTAAATACTATAGAGTTAATATTTCAAGACAAAAAATACAAAATAAAATTTAAAAGTTGAATTTAAAGAATAAAAGTACATATACCTAATCTCCCAAAATGTTTCTCCAGGAGCATCAGGATTCCACAAATCAATGCTATCTAACTGACGAAGAACCAGCAGAGCCTGAATTTTTTTAAAAAGAGAAAGGCAAAGAGAAGACTCACTCAAACATGTTTGGTAAACATAACGCTGGAGTACTTACTGTATAAATGCTAAGAAATTGAGCTATTTCATTTGTAGTTTCCATACATAGTAAAAGGTAAAAAGAGATAAACTCTGGTGAACACAAACCTCTAGGGAATAATATAGACAGAATGATATCATTTTATTCTCATCATTCTTACTCTAACTGGCATAACCATATAAAGCTAAATGATGAATTCAGAACAATATACAACTGTAAAAATTCCTTTAAGAAACAAACAAAATAATTTCAACAGATATTAAAGAACTCTGTGAGACAAAAAGTTAATCCCCAAGTAAGAAGGGCTTGCCAAAATTAATACACACAGCAAAAGATAAGTAAAAATCGTCTCACTTGCCACAAAGTCTCTCGTAACAGAAAAGAGCAACTATTTTTCAAAATCAAGAGAGAGGAAGCAAAATGGATTTTGTATTTCATAACAGATTATCCATTCTAAAGTATTTCAGTGGACCATAGAACTGAAATTGGAATTTGGTTCAGAGAACATTAACAGGAATTAAATAATTCACTTACAATATATAACATATAGATTATTACATAAATTAAAACCATCAAAGATATAAAGAATAAAACGTAAACTCTTCCTTCAAACTGATCCTATCTTAACTCCAATTCTACAATCCCAACTCACATTCCTCCCACCCCGCTCCACCCCCAACCCAGCAGACACTGTGAAGCTCTGGACATTCCTTTCAGCCCTTGGTCAACTTATCAACGTATAAAGGCCAGACCCATATTATCTCATTTCAAACATTGTTATTGTAATTACTTTGAGATATTTAATGAAAATTGCAATTAATTGTGAGAATCTCAAAAAACTATTAATTTAAAGCTCTCATATCAAAAAAAAAAACAACACAAATTAAAAATCAAATTTGCTACTATTGTACCAAAACTTGGTACAATTTACTGGCAGTAGCTTTTTCAAGTGACAAATTCTCTATATTTTTGTTTGATAAAACTTTAAAAATATATATTGAAAGAAAACGTGTTAGCCTTTTCCCTGCTTTGATTTTCTTTTCATATTCCCTTTTTTTTTTGTATTTTCCACGTTTTAACGAAGCCGTAAACACAGTATACTCACTTGACGTATCATGTTTTTCCATATTGCTATGTGATCTATATAGGTTTTTGTTGTTGTTGTTGTTGCTATTGTTTTTTGAGACAGACTCTCGCTCTGTCACCCAGGATAGAGTGCAGTGGCGCGATCTCGGCTCACTGCAACTTCCGCCTCCCGGGTTCATGCCATTCTCCTGCCTCAGCCTCCCGAGTAGCTGGGACTACAGGAGCCCGCCACCGCGCCCAGCTACTTTTTTGTATTTTTAGTAGAGACGGGGTTTCACCATGTTAGCCAGGATAGTCTTGATCTCCTGACCTCGTGATTAGCCCGCCTCGGCCTCCCAAAGTGCTGGGATTACAGGCATGAGCCACCATGCCCCGCAGATCTATATAGGTTTTTTTTTGGTTTTTTTTTCTTTGAGACGTGGCTTCGTTCTGTGGCCCAGGCTGGAGTGCATTGATGTGATCTCGGGTCACTGCATCCTCCGCCTCCCAGGTTTAAGCAATTCTCTGCCTCAGCCTCCCAAGTAGCTGGGATTACAGGGGTCCACCACCACACCCAGCTAATTTTTTTTTTTTGTATTTTTAGTAGAGACAGGTTTCACCATCTTGGCCAGGCTGATGTTGAACTTCTGATCTTATGATCCACCCACCTCAGCCTCTCAAAGTGCTGGGATTACAGGCGAGAACCACTGCGCCCGGCCCTATATAGGTTTTAATGAATGTTTATCAGCTCACCAAGTTAAAATACCATTCTCATTATTGAATATTAACCCATTCTCCTCCTAGTAAAGTTCTTCTAATATTCTCCTATTGTAATCAAGAGCGATAAGTACCTATGTGTGCAGCTTTTTCCTTTTGAGTTATATTCATAACATTTTTAAAGTCATAGAAATTGAATTATTTGTACAAAAAAAATGAAATGTTTGTATAGCTCCTGCCAAATAGCGTTCCAAAAAGACTGCAAGAAATGTATCAATTTATGGGACCAATAGCAATGTACACAAATATGGAAGCAATGACTAAGTAATAAGTGCTAAACCATTTTTTTTTTTTTTGAGATGAAGTCACACTCTTGTCTCCCAGGCTGGAGTACAATGGCGTGATATCAGCTCACTGCAACCTCCGCCTCCCAGGTTCAAGTAATTCTCCTGCCTCAGCCTCCCGAGTAGCTGGGATTACAGGCGCCTGCCACCGCACCTGGCTAATTTTTTGTATTTTTAGTAGAAATGGGGTTTCACCATCTTGGCCAGGCTTGAACTCCTGACCTCATGATCTACCCACCTTGGCCTCCCAAAGTGCTGGGATTACAGGCATCAGCCACTGCGCCTGGCCAACATCTGAGAACTTTCAAAACTGGGTTGTTCATAATTAGAATTTTAAAAATCCACAGTCCAAATCTGATAAAGTTTTGCTCTCTATTTAATGTCACCATATCAGAGTTGAAGGTTTCCCAAGTACCTTTTAATGATTTCACTTATTTTGTTTGATATGCTTTTGTATCTTGTGAATACCTCTTTTAAAGTATGTTAATATTTTATTTTAAGAAAAATGAAATTTTACAATATGAATAAATTTAAGATCAAAAGGTTTTAAAGTACCATCAAATATAGTCCCATCATTTTGTCAGTGTGCTATACTGGACTACAACATAAATACTATTACTTTTAACTTAAATGGTAAGGTGGCAAGTCAATGTATCAAATGCTGTGAAAGGGCTAAGAGTATTCAAATAATATGTTTGAAAAGCTTTGGGATGAAAATTTTATATTATATTTTCAGTGCCATTTTTCTCTAGGGCTTTTGATCTGAATAAAATGCTTTAGATTTATCTTTCCAAAGCATCTTATTAACTCCATCTTCCTTAATATGGGCCCTTCGGTCAAGGCTTACTATGAAAAATACAAGTATTTATCAATTATCAAATATAATCACCGTGGAGAAATTTTCCTATTCCGTACATCTAAATTCAGAACCTTTTTGAAAACCAAGAGCGCGTTTCGTAAAAAGAAATATGCAAAGAAAATAATGAAATTTTTTTTTTTAGTAGTTTAGCAATGCCTATTGGACTTACATTGGTGATGATTTGATGGAGTGAATTTACCAGCACATAGTGAAATGTAGAATGTGAATTCTGCACCAGGCAGATCTATAGAAAAAGAAAAAAAAGCAGATTATTTCTATGAGAAAAATACTCAGTAATACAAATGAAGTCAAAAAGAACAGCAAACAGAAAGTTTTTTAAAAAACACTAAGTTTTTAAGGTCTTGAAATGAACATCAATACGTAATAGTGAGAAATGCCGATAGAGGTGAACCTGTTATCCCTCTAGTCTTTCCGTTTATAAAGGATAACGGCATCAGTAAACATAGTTAGATAAAAACCAGTGCCCTCACCTTAAACTTGGTTGTTGTGAGGGCTTACACGAAGGCAAGAAACAAGGCAGTCAATCATAAGATCCACATCTGCAGGCTGACTGCCCCTTGAGAATGGCTTACTTGGATTAAAAAGCAGGTTCTATAAAAACCCCAACAGAAAACAAAAGCCTTTAAATACCCATGCAGTATTTCTTTACTAATATGTAATAACATCAACACATTATCCACATAGATGGCAGTAAAATTCAGTTGCCAGAAGCAGCACAAAGCACCAATACTGTGGTTCATCCATCTGATACAATTCTTCCTGTACCATATATAGGTTCCTTTCAGGCCCTGATTGCCACATTATTTTAAACCCAAGTCTGTATATTTATGCTCATTTAAGAAAACAGTGTTTTCTTCATATTCTCAGTCCATTTAGACTGATGAACGCAGTAACAACAAAAGCAAGTCCTATGAACTTATCAAAGAAGAATCAGAACTTTAATGTTAGCAATTCTCTTTGACATAATACTTATGTTAGAAAATTAATTTAATTTTCTTAAACTTTGTAGTAGAGAAAGAATAAGCATGTTACCGTAAGATCAACCACCATGGACTGAACAAGTAGGAAAATGACAGCGTTATCTTCCCAGTTGATGTAAGTACTTGCTTTACACAGTTTGGCACAGGCAATTGCAGAACTTTGTGTCAGCTGCCTACTTCCTCCGTGGCCAGCAAGAGCTTTCCATAGACTGTCCAGAAACAACTTCTACAGAATTCAAATATAGCAATAAGATAATATATGAAGTTTCTTCTATTCCAGATTTACCTAATATGATAGCAAATTAACAACCTCTAAAACTCATACTATAAAGAGTGCATAATTTATATTTCTGGTTTTCAATTTCATAATTTAAGTAGTGGTCATCATTTAAATGCTTCTCAAATTAAAAAAAACATCTTTTTTCTATTTTCTTTATTGAATTTTTAAGGGTATATCAAAAACAGTTCTTCCCAAACAAGGGAGCTGTTTTTTGAACTTTTTTTTTTTTTTTTTTCTGAGATGGAGTCTTCCTCTGTCACCAGGCTGGAGTGCAGAGGCACCATCTCAGCTCTTTGCAACCTCTGCCTCCTGGGGTTAAGCGATTCTCCCGCCTCAGCCTCCAGAGTAGCTGGGATCACAGGCGCCTGCCACCAGGCCTGGCTAATTTTTGTATTTTTAGTAGAGACAGGGTTCCGCCACGTTAGCCAGCCTGGTCTTGAACCCCGGGCTCAAGTGATCCTTCTGCCTCAGCCTCCCAAAGTGCTGGGATTACAGGCATGAGCCACCATGCCTAGGCTTCAACTTTGAATTCAGCTGATCATATCTTCTTTTTGATATTTAAAATCTAAATATTATACTCTCTTGGCTCTGGTCTATGATAAACTGTTCCATCCTTTTCTAACACTCCAGGCTATATTCAAACTTCAGCCTTCTAAATAAGAATATATTCAAGGCTGTTCTATCGCTCTAAATTTGTTTTTTTTTTAAAAATTACATATTCTTGTGAATGTCAACCCCTCTTTACAGTTCATTAACAAATTTCTTCCCTTGGCTTTTCTCCTAAATGAATATCTCACATCTCCACCTACATGTATGCTCAAATGTAACATGTCAACACCTAAACTCACCCAACATCAGCACAATATATTCTTAAGTGTACATGGAACATTCTCCAAAACAGACCATATATTAGGCTACAAAGTAAGTCTTAATACATTTAAAGAAATTGAGATCTTACAAAGTATGTTTTCTGATCATAATGGAAATGAAAAACCAACAGCAGATGAAAAACTAACAAATTCACAAATATGGGAAAATTTGTGAATCATAACCAATAGATCAAAGGAAAAAATCATGAAGGAAATTAGAAACCATCTTGAGACAAATGAAAATGAAAACACAATACACTAAAACTTACAGGATGCAGTGAATGCAGGGCTAAAAGAAAAAATTAAAGCTGTAAACCTTTACATTAAAAAAACAAGAAAATTCTCAACTCAATAACCTAACCATACACCTCAAGGAACCAGAAAAAGAGTAAACTACACCAAAGCTAGCAGAAGGAAGAAAATACTAAAGATTAGAGTGAGAACAAACAGAGAACAGAAAAACATGGAGACAAATTACAAAACCAGAAGCTGATTCTCTGAAAAAGTTGAGAAAACTCTAGTTAGTTCGATTAACCAAAAAATAAATAAAGAGAGACAGAGAGAAAGAACACCAAATTACTAAATATAGGAAAGTGGTGACACAGCCAGGTGCAGTGGCTCATGCCTGTAATCCCAGCACTTTGGGAAGCCGAGGCAGGTGAATTTCTTGAGGTCAGGAGTTTAAGACCAGCCTGACCAATGTGGTAAAGCTCCTGTCTCTACCAAGAAGACAAAAATTACACAGGCATGGTGGTGCACGCCTGTAGTCCCAGCTACTAGGGAGGCTGAGGCAGGAGTATTGCTTGAACCCAGGAGGTGGAGGGTGCAGTAAGCCAAGATCGTGTCACTGCACTCCAGCCTGGATGAAAGAACAAGACTCCATAAAAAAAAAAAAAGTGGTGACACTACTTATTTACAAAACTAAAAAGGATGATGAGATGATACCATGTAAAACTGTATGCCAACAATTTGAATAATCTGGACAAAATGGACAAATCCCTACAAACACACAATCTACCAAAACTAACTCATAAGGAAATAGAAAATCTAAATAGAACTATAACTAGTAAAGGGATCAAATCAGTAATCAAAAAGCTCCCAAAGGAAAGGTCAGGACCAGATAGCTTTCATGGGTTGATTCTACCCAAAATTTAAAGAAGAAAGTTTCTCAAACACTTCCAAAAAATTAAAGAGAAGGGAACACTTCTCCCCCTTAGTTCTATGAGTCCAACATTACTCTGATACCAAAGCCAGACAAAAATAATACAAGAAAACTACAGGCCAATATACCTTAGGAATAGTGATGAAAAACTCAACAAAATCAGCAGCCTATTAAAAGGATGACACACCATGACCAAGTGAAACTTACTCCAGGAACACAAGATGCTTCAACAACAACAAAAAATCAATGTAATACACCACATCAATAGAATGAAGAAGAAACTCCACATTATCATCTGAGTCGATACAGAAAAACCACTTGACAAATTTCCACACATTTCATGATTAAAAAAAAAAAACCTCAAGCTAGGAATAGAAGGAAATTTCCTCAACATAATAAAAGCCATATATTAAAAACCAATAGCTAACAACATACTCAATAGTGAAAGACTGAAAGTTCTCCCCCTAATATCAGGAACAGGATGAGGATACCCACTTTTTCTACTTCTATTCGGCATAATACTAGAAATTCTAGACAGGGCAATTAGACAAGAAAAAGATGGAAAAGTCATCCAAGTTGGACAGAAAGAAGCAAAATTATGTCTATTCACAGAAGATATATATGTAGAAATCCCTAAAGATGACACATACACACCAAAAACAAACTGATAGAGCTAATAAATTCAAAGTCATAGAATACAAAGTCAGCACACAAAAATCAGGTGGATTTCTATACATTCACAATGAAAAATACAAAAAGGAAATTAAGAAAACAATTCCACTTATGATAGCATCAGAAAGAAAATATTTAGGAATTAATCAATGAGGTGAAAAACTTATACAATAAAAAACTACAAACATTGCTGAAAGAAATTAAACATAAATAAATGGAAAGATATCCCATGTTCCTAGATTGTTAAAGTAACAATATTACCCAAAGCAATATACAGATTCAATGCAACCCCTATCAAAATCCCAATGGTCTTTTTTGCAAAAAGAAAGAGAAAAACCCATTGTAAAATTCATATGAATCTCAAAGAACCACATAATAGTCAGAAGTATCTCGAGAAAGAATAAAGTTGGAGAACTCACACTTTCTTATTTGAAAACTTACTACAAAGCTACAGTAATCAAAACAATGCGGTACTAGCATAAGCACAGTCATATAGACCAATGGAATAGAGAGCCTAGAAAGAAACCTCACACATATGACCAAACAATTTTTGAAAAAAGTAGTAAGACCATTCAATGGAGAAAGAACAGTCTTTTCAACAAACGATGCTAGGAAAACTGATTATCCAGATGCAAAAGAATGAAGATGGACCCTTCCCTTACATCATATACAAAAACTAAATCAAAATAGATCAAAGACCAAAACTTAACAGTAAAGCTATAAAACTCCTAGGAGAAAACATAGGAAAGAAATGTTTCCAACATTGGATTTGGCAAAGATTTCTGGTATATGATGCCAAAAGAGCACAGACAACAAAAGAAAAAACAGATAAATTGGACTTCATCAAAATTAAAACTTGTGTCTATCAAGGACACTATCAAGAAGATGAAACAACAATCCACAGAGTGGGAGAAAATACTTGCAAATAATGTATCTCATAAGGGATTAATAACCAGAATATATTAAAAATTCCTGTAACTAAAAAAATAAAATTTAGAGCCTTACACTTTACAGTTTTTTTTAAAAAAAACTGAAAATAGATGAACCAAGCCATTGCCTGAAGAAATAACAATATAAATAAAATGAAAGCTAAAATTAATGAAACAGAAAAATTTAAATGCTAGGAAACGGCCAGGCGCGGTGGCTCATGCCTGTAATCCCAGCACTTTGGGAGGCTGAGGTGGGTGGATCACAAGGTCAGGAGTTTGAGAACAGCCTGACCAACGTAGTGAAACCCCATCTCTATTAAAAATACAAAACTTAGCTGGGCATGGTGTCCGGCACCTGTAATCCCAGCTACTCAGGATGCTGAGGCAGGAGAATTACTTGAACCTGGGAGACGGAGGTTGCAGTGAGCTGAGATCACGCCACTCCACTCCAGCCTGGGTGATAGAGCAAGACTCTGTCTCAAAAACAACAACAACAAAAAAAAATCAAAGTCTAGGTTTTAAAGACCAATAAAATAGTAAACATGAAAGAGGAAAAAGAGAAATAAGGAAACAGTTACAAACATGGATACTGAAGATAATTATATGAGAATATAGAAATATAATACAACTTTTATATAATTGTACAAGTAAAATATATAAATATTATATACAACTCTGCACTGATAAAATTGAAAAATATATTTTCTGGCAAAGAACAAACCATCAAAAGTGACTTAAAAAAAGAAATTCTTCAAAAAATTAAAAATAGAATAAAGATATGATCCAGAAAGTCCACTTCTGGATATATATTCAGAACAATTAAAAGCAGGGCTTTGAAGTTATTTGTACTCCCATGTTCACAGTAGCATTATTTGTAATAGCCAAAAGGTGGAAACTGAAAAATCCATTGGCAGATACATTTAGATAAATAGAATGTTGGTATATACATACAATGGAATATCATTCAGCCTTAAAGAGGAAGAGAATCTGACATGCTACAACACGGATGAATACTATTTCAGCCATAAAGAAATAATGAAATCCTGTCTTTCAAGGCAACGTGAATGGAACTGGAGGACATTATGCTAAGTAAAATAAGCCCATGTCAAAAAGGCAAATACTGTATGATTCCACTTATGTGAGGTATTCAAATTCAGACAGACAGAAAGTAGAAGGATGGTTGCAGGAGTTGTGGGTAGGGAAGAATGGAGAGCTGTTGAATAGATACAGAATTTGTTTTGCACGATGAAAAGGTTTTGGAGATTGGTTGCACAACAATGTGAAAGATGGTGTTACTAAACTGTACACTAAAAAATGGTTAAGATGGTAAATTTTATGTTATGTGTATTTTACCACATAAAAAATTTTAAAAAGAGACAGAAAAACTACATAGATCCATAAGGCAGCTCAAATAAAAGGTGAATAATGAGTTATTTTAAATAGACAACAGATAGATAGGCTAGTTCTAGAAATAGCATAAGAAACCAGTAGTAGTACTTGACTTAGGAAGAAAAGTATAAACTGAAGGTCAAGAGGGAATAGGAAGCTTACTTTTCCACTGAATTCCCTTCCTGAGGTATAGTGAAAATTTCCATTATGTCAGTTTTTTTTTCTTTAAAACTAATGATAAGTGGTAAAGTGGAAGATGGCCGAATAGGAACAGCTCCAGTCTACAGCTCCCAGCATGAGCAACGCAGAAGATGGGTGATTTCTGCATTTCCAACTGAGGTATTGGGTTCATGTCACTGGGGCTTGTCGGACAGTGGGTGCAGGACAGTGGGTGCAGCGCACCGAGCATGAGCCGAAGCAGGGCAAGGCATCACCTCACCCCAGAAGTGCAAGGGGTCAGGGAATTCCCTTTCATAGCCAAGCAAAGCTGTGACAGAAGGCACCTGGAAAATTGGGTCACTCCCACCCTAATACTGCGCTTTTCCAATGGTCTTAGCAAATGGCACAATTATATCCCATGCCTGGCTTGGAGGGTCCCATGCCCATGGAGCCTTACTCATTGCTAGCACAGCAGTCTGAGATCGAACTGCAAGGTGGCAGCAAGGCTGGAGGAGGGGTGCCCACCTTTGCTGAGGTTTGAGTAGGTAAACAAAGCGGCCGAGAAGCTCGAGCTGGGTGGAGCCCACCGCAGCTCAAGGAGGGCTGCCTGCCTCTGTAGACTCCACCTCTGGGGGCAGGACCTAGCTGAACAAAAGGCAGAAGAAACCTCTGCAGACTTAAATGTCCCTGTCTGTCAGCTTTGAAGAGAGTAGTGGTTCTCCCAGCACAGAGTTTGAGATCTGAGAATGGACAGACTGTCTCCTCAAGTGGGTCCCTGAACCCTGAGTAGCCTAACTGGGAGGCACCCCTGAGTAGGGGCAGACTGACACCTCACATGGCCGGGTACCCCTCTGAGATGAAACTTCCAGAGGAACGATCAGGCAGCAACATTTGCTGTTCAGCAATATTCGCTGTTCTGCAGCCTCTGCTTCTGATACCCAGGTAAACAGGGTCTGGAGTGGACCTCCAGCAAACTCCAACAGACCTGCAGCTGAGGGTCCTGACTGTTAGAAGGAAAACTGACAAACAGAAAGGACATCCACACCAAAACCCCATCTGTACATCACCATGATCAAAGACCAAAGGCAGATAAAACCACAAAGATGAGGAGAAACCAGAGCAGAAAAGCTGAAAATTCTGAAAATCAGAGTGCCTCTTCTCCTGCAAAGGAGCACAGCTCCTCACCAGCAACAGAACAAAGCTGGATGGAGAATGACTTTGATGAGTTGAGAGAAGAAGGCTTCAGACGATCAGTAATAACAAACTTCTCCGAGCTCAAGGAAGATGTTCGAACCCATCGCAAAGAAGCTAAAAACCTCGATAAAAGATTAGATGAATTTCTAACTGAATAACCAGTGTAGAGAAGTCCTTAAATGACCTGATGGAGCTGAAAACCATGGCACAAGAACTATGTGACACATGCACAAGCTTCAGTAGCTGATTTGATCAAGTGGAAGAAAGGGTATCAGTGATTGAAGACCAAATGAATGAAATGAAGTGAGAAGAGAAGCTTAGAGAAAAAAGAGTAAAAAGAAATGAACAAAGCCTCCAAGAAACATGGGACTATGTGAAAAGACCAAATCTATGTCTGATTGGTGTACCTGAAAGTGACGGGGAGAATGGAACCAAGTTGGAAAACACTCTGCAGGATACTATGCAGGAGAACTTCCCCAACTTAGCGAGGCAAGTTAACATTCAAATTGAGGAAATACAGAGAATGCCACAAAGATGCTCCTCAAGAAGAGCAACTCCAAGACTTGTAATTGTCAGATTCACCAAAGCTGAAATGAAGGAAAAAAATGTTAAGGGCAGCTAGAGAGAAAGGTCGGGTTACCCACAAAGGGAAGCCCATCAGACTAACAGCAGATCTCTCGGCAGAAACTCTACAAGCCAGAAGAGAGTGGGGGCCAATATTCAACATTCTTAAAGAAAAGAATTTGCAACCCAGAATTTCATATCCAGCCAAACTAAGCTTCATAAGTGAAGGAGAAATAAAATACTTTACAGACAAACAAATGCTGAGATTTTGTCACCACCAGACCTGCCCTACAAGAGTTCCTGAAGGAAGCACTAAATATAGAAAGGAACAACCACCGGTACCAGCCACTGCAAAAACATCCCAAATTGTAAAGACCATCGAGGCTAGGAAGAAACTGCATCAACTAACAAGCAAAATAAGCAGCTAACATCATAATGACAGGATCAAATTCACACATAACAATATTAACCTTAAATGTAAATGGGCTAAATGCTCCAATTAAAAGACACAGACTGGCAAATTGGATAAAGAGTCAAGACCCATCAGTGCACTGTATTCAGGAGACCCATCTCATGTGCAGAGACACACATGGGCTCAAAATAAAGGGATGGAGAAAGATCTACCAAGCAAATGGAAAACAAAAAAATGCAGGGGTTGCAATCCTAGTCTCTGATAAAACAGACTTTAAACCAACAAAGGTCAGAAGAGACAAAGAAGGCCATTACATAATGGTAAAGGGATCAATTCAACAAGAAGAGCTAACTATCCTAAATATATATGCACCCAATACAGGAGCACCCAGATTCATAAAGCAAGTCCTTAGAGACCTACAAAGAGACTCAGACTCCCACATAATAATAATGGGAGACTTTAACACCCCACTGTCAACATTAGACAGATCCACGAGACAGAAAGTTAACAAGGATATCCAGGAATTGAACTCAGCTCTGCACCAAGTGGACCTAATAGACATCTACAGAACTCTCCACCCCAAATCAACAGAATATACATTTTTTTCAGCACCACACCACACCTATTCCAAAATTGACCACATAGTTGGAAGTAAAGCACTCCTCAGCAAATGTAAAAGAACAGAAATTATAACAAACTATCTCTCAGACCACAGTGCAATCAAACTAGAACTCAGGATTAAGAAACTCACTCAAAACCACTCAACTACATGGAAACTGAACAACCTGCTCCTGAATGACTACTGGGTACATAAGGAAATGAACACAGAAATAAAGATGTTCTTTGAAACCAATGAGAACAAAGACACAACATACCAGAATCTGTGGGACACATTTAAAGCAGTGTGTAGAGGGAAATTTATAGCACTAAATGCCCACAACAGAAAGCAGGAAAGATCTAAAACTGACACCCTAACAACACAATTAAAAGAACTAGAGAAGCAAGAGCAAACACATTCAAAAGCTAGCAGAAGGCAAGAAATAACTAAGATCAGAGCAGAACTGAAGGAGACAGAGACACAAAAAACCCTTCAAAAAATCAATGAATCCAGGAGATGGTTTTGGAAAAGATCAACAAAATTGATAGACCGCTAGCAAGACTAATAAAGAAGAGAGAAGAATCAAATAGATGCAATAAAAAATGATAAAGGGGATATCACCACTGATCCCACAGAAATACAAACTACCATCAGAGAATAGTATAAACACCTCCATGCAAATAAACTAGAAAATCTCGAAGAAATGGATAAATTCCTGGACACATAACACCCTGCCAAGATAAAACCAGGAAGAAGTTGAATCCCTGAATAGACCATAATAGGTTCTGAAATTGAGGCAATAATTAATAGCCTACCAACCAAAAAGAGTGCAGGACCAGATGGATTCACAGCCGAATTCTACCAGAGGTACAAAGAGGAGCTGGTACCATTCCTTCTGAAACTATTCCAATCAATAGAAAAAGAGGGAATCCTCTCTAATTCATTTTATGAGGCCAACATCATCCTGATACCAAAGCCTGGCACAGACACAACAAAAAGAGAATTTTAGACCAATATCCCTGATGAACATCAATGCAAAAATCCTCAATAAAATCCTGGCAAACCAAATCCAGCAGCATATCAAAAAGCTTATCCACCACGATCAAGTTGGCTTCGTCCCTGGGATGCAAGGCTGGTTCAACATACACAAATCAATAAATGTAATCCAGCATATAAACAGAACAAATGATAAAAACCACATGATTATCTCAATAGATGCAGAAAAGGCCTTCGACAAAATTCAACAACGTTTCATGCTAAAAACTCTCAATAAACTAAGTATTGATGGGATGTATCTCAAAATAATAAGAGCTATTTATGACAAACCCACAACTAATATCATACTGAATGGGCAAAAACTGGAAGCATTCCCTTTGAAAACTGGCACAAGACAGGGATGCCCTCTCTCACCACTCCTATTCAACATAGTGTTGGAAGTTCTGGCCAGGGCAATCAGGCAAGAGAAAGAAATAAATGGTATTCAACTAGGGAAAGAGGAAGTCAAATTGTCCCTGTTTGCAGATGACATGATTGTATATTTAGAAAATCCCATCATCTCAGTCCAAAATCTCCTTAAGCTGATAAGCAACTTCAGCAAAATCTCAGGATACAACATCAATGTGCAAAAATCACAAGCATTCCTATACACCAATAACAGACAAACAGAGAGCCAAATCTTGAGTGAACTCCCATTCACAATTGCTTCAAAGAAAATAAAATACCTAGGAATCCAACTTACAAGGGATGTGAAGGACCGCTTCAAGGAGAACTACAAATCACTGCTCAAGGAAATAAAAGAGGATACAAACAAATGGAAGAACATTCCATGCTCATGGATAGGAAGAATCAATATTGTGAAAATGGCCATACTGCCCAAGGTAATTTATAGATTCAATGCTATCCCCATCAAGCTACCAATGAGTTTCTTCGCAGAATTGGAAAAAACTACTTTAAAGATCATATAGAACCACAAAAGAGCCCGCATTGCCAAGACTATCCTAAGCCAAAAGAACAAAGCTGGAGGCATCACACTACCTGACTTCAAACTATACTACAACTCTGCAGTAACCAAAACAGCATGGTACTGGTACCAAAACAGAGATACAGACTAATGGAACAGAATAGAGTCCTAGGAAATAATACCACACATCTACAACCATCTGATCTTTGACAAACCTGACAAAAACAAGAAATGAGGAAAGGATTCCCTATTTAATAAATGGTGCTGGGAAACCTACCTAGCCATATGTAGAAAGCTGATACTGGATCCCTTCCTTACACCTTATATAAAAATTAATTCAAGATGGATTAAAGACTTAAATGTTAGGCCTAAAACCATAAAAACCCTAGAAGAAAACCTAGGCAATACTGTTCAGGACATAGGCATGGGCAAGGACTTCATGACTAAAACATCAAAAGCAATGGCAACAAAAGCCAAAATTGACAAATGGGATCTAATTAAACTAAAGAGCTTCTGCACAGCAAAAGAAACTACCATCAGAGTGAACAGGCAACCTACAGGGTGGGAGAGAATTTTTACAATCTACCCATCTGACAAAAGGCTAATATCCAGAATTTACAAAGAACTTAAACAAATTATTTACAAGAAAAAATCAAACAACGCCATCAAAAAGTGGGCAAAGGATATGAACAGAAACATTTATGCAGGCAAAAGACACATGAAAAAATGCTCATCATCACTGGCCATCAGAGAAATGCAAATCAAAACCACAAGGAGATTAAATATGAATTATTAGCTTTAAGGTATAATTAACATATAATGAGCATCAGCAATTTGAAGTGTACAACTTAACGAACTTTCAGAATAGTCATGTAACCACAACCATGATCGTGACATAGAACATTTCAAACATCACCACAATCAGTCGCCTACTGTTCCTTTGCAATAAATTTCCTCCCTTAACTCCTACTCCTGGCATCCACTGATCTGCTTTCTGTCCTGAATTTTGTCTTTTCTAGAAATTTTAAAAGAAATCACATAGTATGTCATCTCTCTTTCACTTAGCATAATATTTTTGAGATTCACGAATATTGCCGAGTCAGTAGTTAGTTCCTTTTTATTGCTGAATAGTATTCCATTCTTTCAAGGTATCACTGTTGGTTTATTTATTCACAAGTTAATGGACATTTGGGGCTGTTTACAAATTTAGGTTATTATAAATAATATGTATACTCGAGTATGCATCCTTGAGTGAAGGTATATGCCTTTGTGTGATTTTTTATTTTCATATTATAGGTACACAACATAATTTTCATTTTCTTCACGATTGTAACTTGCCTTCAAGATCTGTATATATCGATTAATATTCACAGATATAAATGTTAAAATCTATACACACATATTCTTGTTCCTAATCTTATGTTATCATTCTAGGCTTGAAAATTTATAACATATTTTTAATGCTAGTATCTACTGTTTGATTCCTTTCTGAATGACTTTTTTTCAGGTTTATTGAGGTATGATTGAAAAATAAAAATTGTATATATTTAAGGTGTACAAAACATGATGTTCTGATAAACTTATACATTCTAAAATGAGTACCACAATCAAGGTAATTAACATATCCATTACGTCATACAGTTTACCTCTGAAAGAGAAGGTAAGAATACTTGAGATAAGATACTTTCTTACCTTATTAGTGGGGCAAAAAATTTTAAAGATTGCAAAACAGCTAATCCTGATAAAAATGCAGGAAAATAGGCATTTCAGTGGGGATGAAGCTGTGACCTGCTGCAACTACTGGGGAACATAAATCTAGTAATAACTATTACAAATTTTAAATGCAAATGTTCTTGACACAGAAACCCCAGATTTGGGATTCTAGCCTATAGAATTAAGAGCATCAGTTAAGAAGAATATATGAACAAGATATTTATTAAGACTTAGCTATGGTGTCAAAAAACTGAAAACATCTGAATATCCACCCATTCAGTGAAATGGTCGAGTAAATGAGGCTCATTAGTGTAACAGAATGTTACCTAATATTGAAAGGAATGTGTTAGATCTCTATCAACTATTTTGAGGAACAGCTAAAATATTTTCTTAAATAAAGCAAGATGCAAAGTAATGTGCATAAAATAATTTCATTTTAAAATACAACCACCACCATACTATGTATGTATGTGTATTTTGCATTTGAATGTACGAGTAAGTAAATGTGAGTGGAAGGATACACACCAGCCAATAGCACTAATTAGCTCAGAGGGAATGTGAGTAGAAAAGGGTGAGAATACTATTTTATTTTATTATTTTATTTTTTGTTTTTTGAGATGGACTCTCGCTCTGTCGCCCAGGCTGGAGTGCACTGGCATGATCTCAGCTCACTGCAACCTCTACCCCCCAGGTTCAAGCAATTCTCCCTGCCTCAGCCTCCTGAGTAGCTGGGATCATAGGCGCCTGCCACTACATCCAGTTAATTTTTTTTTGTAATACACTTCTAAAAATACATTTTTTTAGCCAGGCGCGGTGGCTCACACTTGTAATCCCAGCACTTTCAGAGGCTGAGGCAGGTGGATTACCTGAGGGTGGGAGTTTGAGACCCAGCTTGACCAACATGGAGAAATCCCATCTCTACTATAAATACAAAATTAGCCAGGCAGGGTGGCACATGCCTGTAATCCCAGCTACTTGGGAGGTTGAGGCAGGAGAATTGCTTGAACCCGGGAGGCAGTGGTTGCAGTCAGCCAAGATTGTGCCATTGAACTCCAACCTGGGCAACAAGAGTGAAACTCCATCTCAAAAAAAAAAAAAATTAAATCCAGAAAGATTTAAAAATCTAAACTTTAGAAAATATCAGAGAAAAATTAAAAAGTACGCTTCAAAAATCTTGGCACATGCCAGACAAAAAGGTCACATGCTGAATGATTCCATTTATATCAAATGTCTAGTTTAGAATAAGTAAATCCATAGAGACAAAAAACTAGAATAGTGGTTGCCAAGGGCCATGAGGGGAGGGGGACAGGGAGTGATTACTGAGGGGTTTCTTTTTGGGAAGACGAAAATGTTCTGCACTGAAACAGTGGTGATTGATGACTGTACAACTTTGTTAATCCAGGGCCTGTGCCAGGGAAGGGCCAATGCAAGGGCAGGGCAGGGACAGGGTGGCACAGGGCCAAGATAGGGCCAGGGTGGGGCCAGGGCAGGGCGGGGCCGGGACAGGCCAGGTAATGGTAGGGCAGGTCCAGGGCAGGGGCAGGGCAGGGCCAGGTCGAATGCTAAGGCCATGCCCAGAGCAGGGCCAAGGCAGAGGCAGGGCCACAACATGGCAGGGCCAGGGTAGCACAGGGCCGAGGAAAGGCCAGGGCAGGTAGGAGCCAGGGCAGGGCCAGGGCCAAGGCAATGGCAGGGCCAGGACAGGGCCAGAAGCAGGGCAGGGCCACAGCTAGGTCAGGACCAGGGCCAAGTCAGGGTCAGGGCTATCGTAGGACCAGTGGCAGGGTAAGGGCCACGACAGGACCAGGGGCAGGGCCATGGGCATGGCCAAGGCAGGGCTCCAGCCTGGGCAGTGTTGGGCTGGGCAGGGCCAGGGTAGTACAGTGCCCAGTCAGGGCTGGGCCAGGGCAGGACCAGAACCAGGGCAGGGCCAGAGCCAGGGTAGAACCGGGCAGGGTCACAGCCAGGGACATGACAGGACCAAGGCCAGGGCCAGAAGCAGGGCAGAACCAGGGCCAGGGCAGGGACATGGCAGGGCCAGGGCTTAAGACAGGGCCAGGTCAGGGCCAGGGCCAGTGGAGGGCCAGGGCAGGGTGAGGGTAGCACAGGGCCAAGGCAGGGCAGGGTCAGTGTAGAGCAAGGACCAGGCCAGGGTATGGCAGGGCACAGCCAGGGAAGTCTAGGGCCAGAGCCAGGTCCGGGGCATGGACAGGGCAGGGCCAGAAACATGGCAGGACCAGAAAGGGGCCAGGGCAAGGGCAGGCCAGGGAAGGACCAGGGAAAAAGCATGGCCAGGGAGGGGCCAGGGCAAGGGGAGGGCCAGGGCAGAACCAGGGCCAGGACAGGTACCTGGCAGGGCCAGGGTCTGGGACAGGGCCACGGCAGGGCCAGGGCCACAGCCAGGTCTGTGCTATAGCCAGGTACAAGACAGGGCTCAGGCAAGGCTAGGGTGAAGGCCAAGGTAGGGCCAGGGCAGGGTCAAAGCCAGGCTAGGGCCAAGGCAGGGCCAGGGCACGCAGGACAGGTCCATGAAAGCATAGGGCCAAGGCAGGGCCAGGCCAGTGCCAAGACCAGGGCAGGGACAGGGCCATGGCCATGGCCTGGGCAGGACCAGGTTCAGGGCAGGAGCAAAAGAAGGGCAAGGACAGTTCAGGTTCTTGGCACAGCCAGAGTCCAGGACAGGGTCAGGGTAGGGCCAAGGCAGGGTCTGGGCCATGGTAAGACCAGCGACAGGGCTGGGGCTAGGATAGTGACAGGGCCAGAGTCAGGGCAAGGACCAGAGCAGTGCAAGACCAGTGTAGGGCCAGTATTTCAGGGTCAGGACAGGGTCAGGGCCAGGGCAGAACCAGGGTAAGGTCTCAAGCCAGGAAGGGCCAGGGCCAGGACAGGTCCAGGGTCTGCGTTAGGGCACGAGCAGGGCCAGACCAGGGTAAGGGTCAGGGCCAGGGCCAGGGTAGGGACAGGGCAAGAAACACGGCAGGACCATGGGCAACACCAAGGCCAGAGCTGAGCCAGGGCTGAGTCAGGGCTGAGTCAGGGCAAGGCATGGTATGGCCAGTGCAGGACAGGACCAGAGCCGGTCCATAGAGAGAGCAGGGCCAATGCCAAGGCAGAGCCAGGCTGGTGCCAAAGCTGAGGCAGTGTCAGGGCATGTTCAGGGCGGGGCTGGGGCCAGAACCGAGCCAGGGCACGGCCAAGGCAGGGTAAGGCAGGGCAATGGCATGGCCGGGTCAGTGCCAGGACAAGGCAGAACAGGGCAAGGCAATGGTAGGGGCAGAGCAGGGACAGGCCAAAACAGGGTCTAGTCACTTCAGGGCCAGGGCCAGGGCCAGGGCCAGGGATATGGCAGGACAAAGGCCAGGGTCAGGGCCAGGTCTGGGCTAGGGCCAGGTCCAGAGCAGGCCGTAGCCAAGACGAGGGTGAGAGCCAAGGTAGGGCCAGGGCAGGGTCAAAGCCAGAGTAGGGTGAGGGCAGGGCCAGGGCAGGGTGATGACACAGCCAGAGCACGGCAGGGCAGGTTGGTGCCAAGACCAGGGGCAGACTACTGCCAGCTCAGGGCCAGGGAAAGGCCAGGGCCAGGACAGAACCAGGAAAGGGTCTGGGTCAGGGCCAGGAGCAAGGCAGAGCAGGGCCAGGGCCATGGCAGAGTCAGGGCAGGTCCTTGGCAGGATCAGGTTCCAGGCCAGGGCCAGGGCACAGGCAAGGGCAGGACCTGGATAAGGGCAGAGCCAGGGATATGGCAGGACCAGGATCAGGGCCAGGAGGCTGGGCCAGGACAGGACCAGAGCCAGGCCATAGCGAGGGCAGGGCAAAAGCCACGGCAAGGTCAGGGCAGGTCCAGGGAGCGGCCAGCGTCAGGCAGGGCCAGGGCACAACCAGGGCAGTGTAAGGCAGGGCAATGGCACCGCCGGGCCATGACAGGGCAAGGTCAGTGCCAGGAGAGGGCAGAACAGGCAGGGCCATGGTGGGGCCAGGGCAGGGACAGGCCAAGGCAGGGCTGGGACAAATCAGGGCCAGGACAGGACCAGGACCATGACCATTGGCAGGGCCAGTGCCATGGCAGGGCCAGGGTCAGGACAGGAGGCAGGGCCAGAGCCAAAGCTGGGTCAGCACAGATTCAGGGAAGGTCCAGGGCAGAGATGGAGCCAGGGCCTGAGCCAGGGAAGGGCAAGTGCAAGGGCAGGACCAGAGCAGGGACAGGGTAGCACAGGGCCAAGACAGGGCCAGGGTGGGACCAGAGCAGAGCAGGGCTGAGACAGTCCAGGTAATGGTAGGGCAGGTCCAGGGCAAGGCTGGGCAGGGCAGTACAGGGCCAGGTCCACAGCACGGGCAGGGCATAGCCAGGCCCATTGTGAATGCATCGGCCCTCCCTACAAGGCTCCTACCACCTGGCCACTGCTGCAACCTGGCCACTGCTGTAGGCCTGCCCCCACCCTGGCCGCAGCCGCCTGCCCTCCTACTGCTCCAGGATGCTGCAGTCTGCATTGCCACCACCAGCCCACAGAGAAGCGAGCTGTGGTGTTGCAGGCTCCAGGTGTCTCCTCCTCCTCCTGGCACGGAGCAGCTGGGAGGGCAAAGCCAGAAAATCCTAGAGGAAGATGCAAGGGGTGGTAGCGTCAGAGCCTCACTTTGTCATGCCAGCCACTGGGTGGCAGGGGCCAGTTTCAGTGAAGGCACTCACAGCCACCCTTCAAAGTCCAGCCTCTCCTTTTGGCCCAAGCTGGCCAGAAACCGGGACCTGGGGTGGGTGCTGGAGACACCACAGTGCCTGGCTCCTCACTCCACAGGAACTGCTGGGCCCACCTGGGCTGCACTCCTCGGGAAGCAGGAGCAGCAGAAACTCAGACCCAGCCAACCCTCTGCACCCAGGTGCCACTTCCTGTTCCGGATGCCTCCACATACAGGGCCCTGTCCTCAGTGGTGTCTGCTACTCCATACTGGGGGGTGCCAGGCAGTCTCTGTGGCACAGACTCAGAGTGCATGGGCCCAGGAACCACGGTGGGTATGGGGGCTCTGCCATGCTCAGGATTTCCACAGAAACACTGTGTGTCTGCCACGCTCCAGTATGAGCAAGAGTAGGTTGCCCTCTGGAGTGTGGAGTCCAGGGAGAGGAGAACCGCTCCTTCCTTGGATGCCACCACTGTCACTGCCAACTCTGCTGACCGTCACCAGCAGTGCAGCCCCCAACAGTACCCAACTTGCCCCCCTCCATGGCTAATCCTGCCCTCAATAGCGCCCCCCACCTCCACTCCCCCAACGCCACCAGCAGCGTATACCCGATAGTGCCCTAACCTGTCCTCCTCTATGGGAATTGCAGTCCCAGAGAGCACCCATAACATGGTCCCCACCATGGGCAGTGCAGCCCCATATAATGCTACCAACCAGTACCCCCAGTGCAGGCAGTGACACCCTAGATAGTGCCCCCAACCCACCCCACAGTGTGAAAAGTGCAGCCCCGATGGCCCCTATCCTATCACTCTGGTCATGCTGCAGTCTCTGTCACCACCACCACCAACCACAGTGAGGCAAGCCACTGGGCCACAGGCTCTAGCCTCCAGCAGCCTGGCACGGAGCAGCTCTTGCTGATGGCTGCCTGCTACCACTCCGACCACGCTGCTGTCTCCATGGCCATCTTCTTTGACTACAAAAGAATAAAACTAGGTATCAATAAGAAGAAGAATTTTGGAAACCATACAGTCACATGGAAGTTAAATAATACACTCCTGAATGAATGACTAGTGGGTCAATGAAGATATAAGATGGAAATTGAAAAATTTCATGAAACAAATGGTAATGAAGACACAATATACCAAAACTTATGATATGCCAAAAACAGTACAAAGGCAGAGTTTCATAGCTATAAGTGCCTACCATCCAAACAGAAGAAAAACTTCAAATAAACCATACATCTTAAAGAACTAGTAAAGTAAGAACAAACTAAACCCAAAATAAGAAAAGAAATAATAAAGATCATAGCAGAAATAAAGTTGAAATTAAAAAAATACACAAAATTAAACAAAAAGTTGGTTTTCTGGAAAGCTACACAAAACTGACAAACTTTTAGCCAGGCTGCCTAAGAAAAAAGAGAGAAGATTCAAATAAATAAAATCAAAAAATAAAATAGGAGACATTACAACTGATACTTCAGAAATTCAAAGGATCTTAACTGGCTATTATATGCCAATAAATTAGAAAGCCTAGTAGAAATCCTAGACGCATACAACCTACCTAGTTTGAACAGTGAAAACATCCAAGACCAGAACAGATCGGTAACAAGTAATGAGATCGAAGCCATCAGAAAAAGTCTCCCAGTAAAAAAAAGCCCAGGAACCAATGGCTTCACTGCTGATGGTTTCACACCACACATTTACAGACCTAGTACCAATCCTACTCAAACTATTTTGAAAAACAGCAGGGAATACTTCCAAACTTATTCTGTGGGGCCATTATTACCCTCATACCAAAATCAGACAAAGACATCAAAGAAGGAAACTACAGGCCAGTATCTCTAATATTGGTGCAAACATCCTCAACAAAATACCAGCAAATCAAATTCAGCAATACATTAAAAAGATAATTCATCAGGATCAAGTAGGATGTATCCCTGGGATGCAAGGGTCATTCAACACTCAATGTGATACATCATATCAACCAAATAAACGACAAAACAGTATGATTATGTCAACTGAAACTGAAAAAGCATTTGATGAAATTCAGCATTCCTTCATGTTATAAATCCTCAAAAAACCAAGTACAGAAGAAACATAACTGCAACATAATAAAAACCACAAGAGAGAGACTCACAGCTAGAATCATATGGAATGGGGGAAAATGGAAAGCTTTTCCTCTAAGATCTGGAACATGATAAGGATGCCCACTGTCACCACTGTTACTTAACATAGTATTGGAAATCCTAGCTAAAGCAATCAGTGCAGCCCCTGATATGGTCCCCAACCAACCCCGCCCCCTGCCACCAGCAGTGTAGCCCCCCCACCCCATAGCGCACCCAACACACCCAAACTTCCCCCTCTTCCTGCACCGTGGGCATTGCAGCACCCCATAGTGCCTAAACCCAAACCCCCCCCACCCGCACCCCCGAGCAGTGCAGCCCTGGATAGCACCCTTAACCCACCTCACTGCTGCCGGCAATACAGTCTGGGATAGTGCCCCCAACTAGCAGGCCTAGCGGTTTTCTCTCATCCAATCAGAACATGAAGTCCAGGAACCTGGCTTGCATAACCTCAGTATATAAAGCATGCTAAGGGGGAGTTGCGCCATTGCAGGCTGTTGTGCCTCAGCGTTCCCAACCCCTCCGTTCGCACCTTAAAGAAGGCGAAAGCGGAGTCCCCCGCCACACGCTGGGGCTGGAGGCTGGATCCTGTGGCACCAGGGCTTGCCTCTGCATAGTGTGTGGCGGTGATGGAGACAGGCGGCTGGCAGCGAGAGCTGCTCCTTGCCTGGATACAGGAAGGGAAAGAGGAGGCACCTACCACAGGCTGGAGGCTAGAGTCTGTGGGACTGCGGCTGGCCTCGCTGGCTCGCCTCGCTGCTGTGGGTGGCAGCAGCGGACACTGCAGCCGGCCAGAGCGTAGAAAGGCGATTGGGTAGGTGCGCTATCCGGGGCTACATTGCCCGCGGCCGGGGGCCGGTAGGGGTGTTATTCCGGGCGTCACTACTTTAGGTGTGCTATCCCGGGCTGCGCTGCCTGCAGCAGCGGGGGGGGGGGGGGGCAGGTTGGGGGCACTATCCTGGGCTGTACTGCCAGCAGCAGTAGGGCTGGTTGGGGGCCCTATTGGGTGCTACACTGCCCGCGACAGGGGGCGGGTTAGGGCCGCTACTGTGGTTACACTGCCGGCGGCGCCGGGGTGGGGGGACTGGTCGGGGTGCTGACTGGTCTGGCTTCATTGCCCATAGTGGGGTGGGGGGGTGGTTTGGGGGCTGCACCGCCCGCGGCGGGGGACTTGTTGGGGGCGCTATCTGGGGCTGCAATGCCCCCCGCAGGGGATAGGTTAGGGGCAGTATCCGGTGGTACACTGCAGGTGGGGGGGGGGCGGGAAAGGGGGGTACAGGGAGGTGATTGGAGGGGGTGGTTTCAGGCCCTATCGCGGGCCAGACTACTCATGATAGAGGGGGGCGTTGGGTGCGCTATTGGGGGCTACACTGCCAGCGGCAAGGGGCAGTTTGGGGGCGATACCCCACCGGTGGCAGGTGGGGAGGTGTGGTGGGTTGTGTGCATCATTAGGGGGCTGTACTGTGGTCAGTGGGAGCGAGTTAGGGGAGCTATCAGCTGCTGCACTGCCTGTGGCGGGAGTCAGGTTTGGTGCGCTATCGGGACCATATTCTCGGTAGTGGCATACGGGTTAGGGGAGCTGTCGGGGGCTAAGCTGTCCACGGGGCGGGGGGTGCGGGTTGGGTGCGCTATCCAGGGCATCATACCCCGCGGCTGGGGGATGGTTGGGAGTGCTATCCGCTATCTGGGAGGGCACTGCCCATCGTGGGGAGCGGGTTGGGGGCCTTAAGGATCCGTGGCTGCACTATTCACGGCGGGGATCAGGTTGCAGCGCTTTCTGGGGCGTCACTGCCAGCGGCGAGGGAGTTGGTTGGGGGTCCAATCCGTGGCTGCATGGCCCACGGCAGGGGGCAGGTTGGGGGAGTTATCTGGTGCTGCAACGTCTGAGGCGGGGACGGGTTCGGGACGCTATTGGGTTTCTACACTGCAGCGGCGAGGGGAGGGTGTTAGGGGCGCCATCCCGGGTCCAATAGCTGGCGGCGGGTTAGGGGCGCTATCAGGGGGTGCCCTGCAGGTGGCGGCAGAGGTTTCAGCAACACCAGTGGCCTACAAAGAAGGAGCCTTCCTCCTCTCCCCAGACTCCAGACTCTAGAGGGCGACCTCCTCCTGCTCCTGCTCCTGGAGCGCAGCCAGCGCACAGCGTTTCCGCAGGAATCTTGAGAATGGCAAGGCCCGCACACCCGCGGTGGTTCCCAGGCCCGCCCCCTCTCGCAGCTGCAGCCCCACCTGCCAGTGCGTGCCGCCTCCGAGCGACTTCCGGGAGCCGGGCGGCCACCGCGGTGCAGGCGCGCGCCCAAAGGCTTTGCGAGGCTCACTCGGTCTGAGAGGTCGGAGGCTGCGAGTGTCGCTGCTGAAGGCTGTGGTGGACCGGGCTGGATCGCGGATTTTGGATTAGATAATAGATTTGGGATCGCCGATTGGGGGTTGGATTGCGGATTTGGGGTTGGATAGGGGATTTGGGGCTGGGTCGGCGGGGGCAGGGGCGGGGAGGTGAAAAGGTGACAGGGAGCTGCCTCCTCTCAAGAGCAGTTGGTTGGGAGTCTGAGAAGTCACCACCATGAAGTTGTTCGGCTTCAGGAGCCACAGGGGCCAGACGGTCCTGGGCACCATAGACCACCTGTACACGGGTTCCGGGTACCGAATCCGGTACTCGGAACTGCAGAAGATCCACAAGGCAGCTGTCAAGGGCGACGCCGCGGAGATGGAGCGCTGTCTGGCGCGCAGGAGCGGAGACCTGGACGCCCTGGACAAGCAGCACAGGTAGCGGGGGCTCAGCCCGGGGTGGCAGGGGGTCCCCAGGTCCGGCTTTCCGGCAGCCCCTGGGACGGGGGCCTTGGAGGTCGCCGGGCACCCTCTGAGCGGCGGAGCCAAACGGACCCTCAGCTGTTTTCCATCCCTCATAATTCCCTGGCTGGAGCAGTTGGTGGAGAATTTGAGTGATTTAACTCACAAAGTTAAGCATATAGTGTTGTTAATTTTAACGTACACGTTTAAAACATGGTTTATATACATTATAGGAGGTGCCTAATGAGAGAACTCATTCCCCTGTCAAAAATACCGTGAGTTATTTTCAGTAGGCGAAAAGTTCTCAGATAAAACTGTCCGTTTTACATCCGTATCCCCCTGTGTAGGTAGGTTCTTTACTGAAGGTTCTTAGAGAGAAACTTGGAAGTGGGAGGTGGCTTCTGTGTTCTTGAATGGGAAGGCACATTTTCCTCAAAATGTGAGCTCTTTCTGTGTTAATCAGTTTTACATAGACCGAATGAAAATATCAAGGTTTTAAGATTTTTGTATTACACCTCCTGTCTTTCGCTATTGTGATGACATTTTAAAAAATTTCATAATGGAGTGAAAAAACACTTGCTCCTCTAGATATCAAAATGTGCTATTAATTTCTACAATTAATTGTTTACTAACAGCTGAAAAGACAAACGCATAGAACAGAATAGGCAACCCAGAAACACTGAAATTATGTAAGATATACGTAAGGATTAATGAGTACGAAAGGATGAATTATTAACGAAAAAATGTCTGCTGTTTGAAGAAAACTAATGAAATTTTATGTCACAAACATGAGTTCCTGATGGAATACAGATTGAAATTTTTACATATGAAAATGAGTAAAGTACCGGAAGAAAACACAAACGCTTATTTTACAGGTACACTTTATGTTGACAAAAGCCTTCCTAAGAATGACCTCATAAGCAGGCATTCTGAAGGTTGATTTAGCAAACTAAAAATTAAAACTGCCTGTGTTTCAGAAAAAAAATAACAAAAGAGAGCTTACTTGAAAAATATTAACTATATTATATATATATATTCAGATGAAAAGTGTGTTTTCATTTTAGAGGGAATTCATTATATTCTTTTTCTTCTTTTTTTTTTTTTTTTTTTTTTGAGTCAGAGTCTCACTTCTTTGCCCAGGCTGGTGTCCAATGGCACAATCTTGGCTCACTGCAACCGCTGCCTCCCGGGTTCAAGCAATTCTCCTCGCTCAGCCTCCCAAGTAGCTGGGGTTACAGGCAGGTGCCAGCATGCCTGGCTAATTTTTCTATTTTTAGTAGAGAGGGGTTTCACCATGTTGGCCAGGCTGGTCTTGAACTCCTGAGCTCAAGTGATCTGCCTGCCTCGGCTTCCCAAAGTGCTTGGATTACAGGCATGAGCTACCGTCCCCAGCCTATATTGTTTATTATATATCATATGATATATATATTGCTGATACATATACCATATATATTATTACAGATATAATCTGTTATATATATATCAGTTATATATACACATTAGATGAAAAGTTGTATGTATATATACACATTAGATGAAAAGTACATTTTCATTTTACAGGGAATTCTTTCAAATCTAATCATCAAAAACTTTAAAATTGGGCAAAGTACTTTTTTCCAGATCTGCAAGTTATTTGTGTACATAGCAAAAAGTCCTTCGCATTTCTGGTATAAGAATTTAAATTAAAAGAGGAATGAAACAGTTTTCTATCCACAATATTTGTGAGGATGTTTTATACTCCTGTTTAAAGTTTAAGTTGCTGATTACTTTTCAAATAGGTAATTTGGTGGTAAGTACTACATTTAAAAAATATGTATGCCCTTTACCCATCAATTCCATTATACTAAAACACCCTTAGTAAATAAAGATACATGCACTTTATTTTTCACAGCACTTATTTTAAAAAGAACCCATAGAATGGATCCTATAAATAAATTTCAGTTGCATCCATAAGATGGAATAATATGTGACCATTGAAGGTGGCAATAGATACAGAAGTATATTGATGTGCGAAAATGTATTTTGTTATAGCTAGTGAGGAAAAAAATCAATTAAATTATACATACACACAAACATACTATGGTCTTGTTTTAGCAAAAAATATGTACAAAATATAAAATTTGTAATTTCTGAGCATTTGTATTTTAAGTAAAGTTCTTTTCCTTTTTCTTATCTGTGATTGCTGCAGTGAGCATGTACAAAACTTCTAGTAAAGTTTATTAATAAAGGAATAATCCTCAGGAAGAGAGGAATATGAATCTTACATTATTAAAAATAATTTCTCACTTTCTATTTTTATCATTATTGTGTGTATTGTTATCTTCTTTGAACTTTTAGCCTCTTCAGAAGTAAAAAGGGAATGTTTTTATCTGTTTCCAGATTTTATTACCTATATATTTTATTATGTACATATGTTTTTCTTATATATTCATTCAATTTATGCAAACAATGATAGATTAATAATTTCATTTTAATTGTATTCTTTAAAAATAAAAATAATATATAAATACTATTGCAAAAATATTGCTTTATAGGAGTTTATTTAAAAATATCGATCTCCCCAACTGTATTTATCCATTCTTTCATTCCATTTATTCATCAAACATAACCTGAGTACCTGTTATGTAGCAGACATATTCTACTATCTCTCAGGACGCTTCTATCCTTAAAAACTACATGTTTACCTGCCCTGCCTGCACAAGCTGAGAGATTTAATATAGGAATATTGGGACTTAATCTCCTTGAAACTTTATCTCCCACCTTTCAAACAAAAGCATTTCTGAAGTTAGAAAATAGTAGAAGATAACCTTTAACTGCCCATTCAAAAGTTTATCAGTCTTAAATACTAATATTAATCATTGGAAAGTCTTATTTGCATATATTCTGTAAGTATAAATATTGAATAAAATGAGCCGTATGTATTCATTTGAATCATGAGTTTCCTTTGGCTTCAGTTTGTTTGAAAATCAAGGAATTAATTTGTTTAAAAAATGCATTATTGTTATTTCAGTGCTCTATCCCCATAGTACCTTTAAGAACTAAAATGTATTTACATGCCAGTTATATGCCTAGAACTGCCCTAGACCTGCTGAGTATACCATATTCTACTTAATGTAAGGTCTCATGGATTGTGTGATGCCCCGCTATTTTATATATCAATAAGATAATTTTAAAAATGCTACCAATTGTAGTTATAACAATATAAGTGGCATTCCAATGTCAGAAGTATTAAAATGTGACCTACTCTTTAAGCCATTCTGCAAAGTAGGTATAATTGTGTCTTTTACCTAATTAAAATGTTTTTGTTAAGTAGTAGTAATAGTAACAATTATAATATTTGGCTGGGTGCAGTGGCTCACACCTGTAATCCCAGAACTTTGGGAGGCTAAGGTGAGAGGATTGCTGGATGTCAGGAGTTTGAGACCATCCTGGGCAACAAAGTGAGATTCTTACTCTTCAAAAATTTTTAAATAAATAGCTGGGCATGCTGGTGCACATCTGTGGTCCCAGCTACTCAGGTGGCTGGGGATGGAAGATCGCTTGAGCCCAGGAGTTCCAGGCTGCAGTGAGCTATAGTTACATCATTGCACTCCAGCCTGGGCAAAAGAGTGAGACTTGTCTCAAAAAACAAAAATCTTACAATTATTGAGTTGTAGGAACTATTCTAAATACATAGCTTCTCATTTAAGCATCACGATGGTGTCCTATGAGATAGCTACTATTGTCATCTTCATTAATGAGGAAGTTGAGGCACAGAAAGGCTAAGAAATAGTTGGTAAGTGACAGGGTTTAAAGTAGGACTCAAACCCTAATTGAACTGAATCCAAAGACTGAGCTCTTTCTATTCAAATAGGCTGCTGTTTTCATTAAGGCAATGAGCAATCAGAGCTAGTAAGTATTGTACTTTCTTCAAAAAAAAAAAATAAGTATTTGTTTTGAAGGCAGAGGAAAAACATGCTATTCATTTTTTACAGTTACATGAATGATTGTATGTTTTGAGATGTTGCACTACAGTTTCCTGAAAAGTCCTCTTACTCTCATAGAACTGCTCTACATTTGGCCTGTGCCAGTGGCCATGTGAAAGTGGTCACTCTCCTGGTTAACAGAAAATGCCAGATTGATATCTGTGACAAAGAAAATAGAACACCTTTGATACAGGTATATTAGAGCCAACTCTTTTAGCATGACATGGATTTGATTTGCATACATAGAATTAAAATAAATTGATCTCATTTACATATAACTAGTTGGTGAAACCTGTGGAATGTGTATTTTGAATTCTTGGAATTTACAATCTGTTTCTTGGTCTAATACGGAAAGGCTGTCCATTGCCAGGAGGAGTCTTGTGCCGTTATTCTGCTGGAAGATGGCACCATTCCAAACCTTAAGGGTATCTACGGCAACACTGCTCTCCATTATGCTGTGTATAGTGAGAGCACCTCACTGGCAGAAAAACTGCTTTTCCATGGTGCAAATATTGAAGCACTGGACAAGGTATAGATCAATCAACTTTCTTTCCAAAATATTTGTTTTAACATTGACATAGGTAAGGGTCAATTTTTTATATTTGGAAGCTCAACCATTCCCTGAATGCAAATGCAAATTATTTTGAAATAATTGTCTAAGATTTTATTTTAAATATTGATACCTTTAAAGGAGCATTAAAGGGTACAGCTTTATAAAACACACTTTGGAAAATATTTGTGAATTTGTTAAAGGTAAAACTTTTTCAACTTTTTTTCTGTGCAGGGTTATCTTTCCTTTTATTCCCCCTAATTAGCATAAAACAACACAGGAAAGAAAATATGCCCTGGAAATAGGCTTTATCTTAAAACTCAAACAAAACTAAAGCAACTTACAATAAGTGGACATGTTGCTGCTGCTGATAATTTTCTGAAAAACTGATGAATCATCTCTCAGTGGCACAGGGCTTAACAGGGGAAAATGGGAAGGGAAAAGGGGAGCAATCAGAAATATGCAGGTCACTTGGAAATTAGGTAATGAGGGAAAATGCTATGAAGAGTTTTTTTTTTTTCTCTTAGTTTGCTGTTCTTCCAGTTTATGTGTTGAGACAAGGTGCTCCTTAGCTTTGGGTCTAATAATTTTTGGTTTGAAAATGAGAGTGAGTTGAAACTTGCCTAGAGATGAATTTTAGGAAGACTTTGAGGAAACCAGGTTGGCAGTGAATATGTGGTGGTGAAGTGAGAAACACTTCAGCAGAAGGTGGAACAAATTATTAACTGACTTATTGCCCATCCTGGCAGAAACAGCCACTTAGATAAGAGTCTAAAGACTCCTCTCAAACCTAGAATGTCTTGGTGGGAAGGTGGGAGATAAGGAGCTTGTAAATAGCAAAATCAAGTGGGATTTTCAGTTTACTTGTTTGTGTTCTACCCATACCCAGGAAACTTAACTGGAGCTTTAATAAATGACACTATCTCTTACTCTTTTCTCTTTTTGGCCACATGTCCAACTGATAAAGGGAACTAGCCATGCGGGTGAGAGATGAGACTGAAGTGATTGCTGCACTAATTCTCAGAATTGTGCATTACAGCGACCTGAGGACATTTTGTTAAAAATCTACAATTGTAGGCTTTCCCCTGAGGATTTTGATGTAATAGACCTAATAAGGCCTGAACATTTTTAAAAACATTTTCTTGAAGCTGGGCACAGTGACATGTTCCTGTAGTCCCAGCTTGAGCCTGAGTTTAAGTTCAGCTTGAGCAACATAGTGAGACTCTTGCCTCTAACAACAATAACAGCACACACACACACACACACACACACACACACACACACAAAAACCCTCAAGTTTAGGATACACTCCTGATTAAGAACCCCAGAACAGATAAGTGCAACATATAAATTTCTGTATCTCAAAAACGTAAGAAATCTCTAGAAGAATTGGCATTTGATAGGTGCTACTTCCTTCAAAGTTCTCCTTTTCAGTAAATTAGCCTGACTTATCTGTCTTTCTCTACATTTGTGACTGGGAAGTGAAAGGAAATATTACTGGCAATATCTCTCAGCTTACAGAATAACACTTTTCCTTCCCACCATTAATCATTCACTGACATTCAGAGTTTTTAGAAATTTGCTTATGCGTAATCTTTCAATAAGTAGAGGCTGACCCTTTCATGATTTGATGTCCCTTTGTCACCATGCATGTAATTACGTGTCAACAAATGTTCATTACAAGTTGGGCTTTCTCAATTAGAATAGTAGCAAATCCTAAACTATTTTTTTTAGTTGAAGTTGTATTATGAACTGGCTCAGTACGTTTGTTAAGTTTATAGAGCTTTAGCATACCCAAAATGTCAGTTTTAAACACTGAAGTCCATGGAGTTAATAAAAATACAGATATGAATTCTTTTAATAATTTAGTTTTAGCAGTCCTATGAACCAATTATCTATTTGGTTAACAATCTGGGAAAATTATATACAAATATATTTTAAATGAATAAGTGTTGGAAAAATTCTTGAAGCAGGTATTATGAGTCTTTTTGAGCAATTTTTATTATATATGAGAGCCTGATTTTTTGGTAAAACATATGATACTAGAGAAAGAAAATATTTTACATGCAAATACCTGGATTATACACAACCATTTAGTAACACATTAATAGCGAATATAAAAACACAAGGGCTATATTCTAATGTGGTACACAGATTTGTTTGTTTTCCTCTATAAGTTGAATCAACATGTAAAATTTAGAAGACTGGTGTAGAAATCTGGACTTCAGGCTTATTTTAAAAAATCAAATCTGGTGTCCCCTGAGTTTCTATCACTGTTTGGTCTGCTGTGCAGAGGTTGCCCCTTTAGAAAAGGCAGGTATTCTCCAGTTTCCTACTGTGCCCACCTTAGTACTTCCTTTACTCAGGCAACCTTCCTTTGTCCTTGTAAGTATTTGAGTTTACAACTCCTATGTTATAGTATATTTTGATAAAGATTTCAAGGTTTTTAAGTCAGCACATATTTGTTATAATATATAGTCTATAGAGTATATAAATCCCTCAGTTATGGAGTTGAATTTTAGAATTTAGAAGTTTTTGAAACTTTTCTTTATATATACCACAAATAATTATCTGCCCATAAGAATGCCTAGAAGCCTTTTTAGGTTATTCCTGGTTATAGTTGGATAATTTCTGAATATTGCAGACATTACATCTTTCTCCTCAGTGCTCTTCCTTAGAAATGCAAGTGACTTACTGGCTTTTATTATGCCAGAAATAATTCATATGGATCAGTATGAGAATTTTTTTGATAAGCCATTATGTTTTTATTTTGGATTTATATTTTGTCTAAAATAAAAAATAATTTTAAGTAGCCCTTTAAGTGGAAGCCAATAAAAATGGATTTAAAAAGTAGAGCTGCCCTGGGGTCCCGGGATTACCATTATAATTGAGAATAGTATTTCTTACTGAGCTTTGGTTTTTTAAATATTTGTTCTTAAGTTTTTTAAACCTATTTCTCTTACACAGAACATACTGAGCTTTTGAACAGTAAAGATAAAAATCTATTCTCTTGTATTAGGGAAAAAAACCCATGGACTATTTAATAATAAGGAAAATAAGTGCATTTGAAGCCAATCTCTCTTAATTCAAAGCTCATTTCCATAGTGACCCATTTGGATCAGGAGTGCCTGACATTCGCATCTGGGATCCTGACACCATTGATAGAAGTGAGTCAAGCAAGTCTGTACCACCCAGAAAAAACCTCCACCTGCATTGGGAAGCTCTGGCAACTGTACCCCTAAAACTCTTAATTCCTCAAATGTTAATGTTTGCCACAAATAGTATTGTCAAATGGGGATTAGGTAAAATTCAAGAGATTCCTTGATTATTGGACATAACATACAGTTTTATAATACTTCTCAAATGCAGATGGTCATGGAGTCTTTCTCTTGGGGTATAATACTTCTGGTAAGGCAAATATTCTTTGGAATATAGTTTAAGAAACACTGCTTTAGTGAGAATAATTTAGATCATTAATTTATGTAAAAAACTTAAAATGTTTGCTACTGTGTCTTAGGGTTTTGGGGCCATAGAGACAAAAGATACAGCCCTTGCCTCAAGAAGCTCTTGGTTTCAGTGGGACACAGTGAAATGATTACAATGTACCATGCTAAGTGCTGTGATCAAAGCAAGGATTCTTGGGACTGGTAAATGTTTAAAGTGAGTTTTGGCAATGACCACAGTTAATCCAGGGAGACAGAGGAGGGTTGTTTGCAAGGCAAAAAGCAGCACATCAGAAAGCACAGAGGAGTGAGAAGGAAGGGACTGCTTTTCATTTACTTCCTTTCTATATTGTATGTTGAAGTTCAAAGCACCTTAGAGAAGATTTTCAGTTCAGTTGAGAAATATGTAATTTTGTGAATTATTAATTTTTTCTGCTGTTTTATAGGACAATAATACCCCACTTTTATTTGCTATAATTTGCAAGAAAGAGAAAATGGTGGAATTTTTATTGAAAAACAAAGCAAGTACACATGCCGTTGATAGCCTGAGATGGTACAGTAGTTCTTTTTAAATAAAACCTGAGTATTCTAGAGTGGTAACAGTCACTCAAGTCAGAAATATTAATAAGAAGATTAATATAATTACTGGCATATAGTGAAAAATATCACCATGAATAATCAGATAGATCAGCAAATATTTGGACTGAGTAACATAAAGAACAGTATATAGTAGGATTCATCTTCTCCTATAATACAGAGTGTTTGTTATTTATAATTGGATGTTTTTGGTACTGTAATCTTTTATTAGCTAAAGGGTTTTGTATTAGCTTTATTAAGTTTTTTTTGAGATGCAATCTGGCTCTGTTGCCAGGCTGGAGTACAGTGGTGTGATCTTGGCTCACTGCAACCTCCACCTCTCAGGCTCAAGAGATTCTCCTGCCTCAGCCTTCCAAGTAGCTGGGACTACAGGCATGCACCGCCATGCCCAGCTAATTTTTGTATTTTTAGTAGAGATGGGATTTCACCATGTTGGCCAGGATGGTCTCGATCTCTTGACCTTGTGATCTGCTCTCCTTGGCTCCTCAAAGTGCTGGGATTACAGGCATGAGCCCCTGCACCTGGCCAGTTTTATTTATTTTTAAAGTGTGGACTTTTAGTTTATGACTACTAGTATTGTCATCATCATCATTGTTGTTGTCGTTTTCAGTCTGCAGATAGCTCTTATCTGACCCCTAGCTGATATAAATTACAGTATATCAGACTAGGAAAGCAATGGGGAAATCTTCATCTAAATCTTTACCTACTTTAGATAAGTGACCTCAGCACAGTTTCTTGGCTATCAAAGGACTATGAGTTAGCAACTTGTATTATGTCTTACCCCAGTGGGACAAGAGCCTTCCTTGTTGTCCTTTTCTTTTAGCCTTGGTGACAATTTATAAAGATGAACACCTGAGAACCCTAGATGCTTATAGACCCAAGCTAGTACATGCAAAATGTTATTATGTCTACACTGACAGGTGGATATTAAATTGGTAAAGTGTATCAAACTAGCTGTTTAAAAAAGTCTTTATTAAAGTTCTTGAGTGGAGTGATTTCTTTGTTATTTTAGAACAGCCCTCATGCTTGCTGTGCACTATGACTCACCGGGTATTGTCAACATCCTTCTTAAGCAAAATATTAATGTCTTTACTCAAGACATGTATGGACAAGATGCAGAAGATTACGCTATTTCTTGCCGTTTGACAAAGTAAGTGTTTATGTTAAAAGGCCAGTTAATATTGAATTGAAGTTTAAAATAATTGCAACTATTCCATCTTATACATTAGGTGAGAGTTCCTAGTTTTGTTCAGATGGTTTGAAATAGCAATGAGTTAGTCTACCTTTTAGCCAGAAATCAAGCAGAAGTCTAGATTAGTTAGAAGTAGAGTGCAAGATGTTTTCAGGATTTTTAAGACCTTTATCCCTAGGGATCTCAATGTTGTTCATTTTATTCTAAGTATAATCCCCATGCATGGGATAAAAAGAGCCACATTTTTTACTTCTTTTCCTTTCTTTTCTTTTCTTTTTTTTTCCTTGAAACAAGGTCTCACTCTGTTGCCCTGGCTGGTCTTGAACTCCTGAGCTCAAGTAATCCACCTGCCTCGGCCTCTCACAGTGCTAGCCACCATGCCTGGCCTGACTTTTCTAATTAGTTATTGGGTCTTGAAATGTCCAATTTAGCAGAAAATCTTGTATTTTCCCCTGGGGCTATCTCCTGTGTCTTCCTTCTTTGGATTTTCCAAGAAGCTAAGGGGTTTCCTAAGCCCAAGGAAGGCAATCTTCCTTTACAAGTCAGAAGAAGGGGGAAAAAGGCCATTCTGATCATTCTGTTGTTTCCATGGACTCAATTCCTGTATTTTTGCCATTGTAACCAGTCCTGCAATCTGATAATGTTTGACCTTTGCCACCAGGATGCCTTCACTCATTCAGACCCCTCAGTTTTTGTGGTGATTCATACATAGAGTTCAAAGCTAGGGGGTTTATTAATTTATGTACTTATGCTCAGTCATTGTTCCCAGCACCCTGATCTGGCAGCTAGGCCTCCTAGCTTTACCCACACAAATATCGAGCAAGTTGATCCTCACCCTACACTAAAAACCTTATTTGGAGCCCACATCTTAGCTAGACTTAGCCTAGGCATTCATGGTAAGTTATCCTATGAGACCCGTGTTTGTCTGTTCTTTAACCAATATTAGTTGGGATTGCTCTCAACAGTCAGGGATGTTCAAATAATTTTGCAGGAAGAGATTAGGGTTCCCTTTCTCTTTTGCTATCAGATCTGTACCTTGAGGCTTTTTTACATCCTGTGGAGCAGCTTTGGTTAGATAGCAGAAGGTTCCATGTTATCTTTCCACCGAGTAGTGGGAACCAACTTGCAATTGGCCCCTCAAGTAATGTGTCTCTATGATAATGAAAATCTCCTGGGCTAATCACAACTCTTCCAGGAGTTTTAAATATATTTTAAAATTCTACCTCACAGGAAGCCATTCAATAAAATTATCTGAATCTAAAGTCAGTGAGTTGGATTTAACAGAGCTAAGCCTCATCCATAACTCATGAGTATCCATGTATCAAACAGGGCTTTGTACTTGTTTCAGCAGCACATATTTAAAAATTGGATCAATACAGAGCAGGTAAGCATGGCTGCTGCCTAGGGATGGCACACAAATTCAGAAAGCATTCCATATTTTGCATAGTCCCGGGAAGGTCATTTGACTATTTGTTGAGTAGCTCCAAGGAAGCAGTGTGAGTGAAACCAAAACAGAAGACACCCAATATTGAAATTGTGATTATCACTATAAAACTATTGATGTAAGGTGATCTCTGAAATGAGAACAGAGCTGAGTAATAAGGGGATGTTACTTGTTGCTACTACATGTCTTGGAAATGACAAAATGTCAACTTGCATTTCCTTCATGGAACTGAAAAACAATAAAAGCAGGGTTTTGTCTCATCTGTTTGTTGGAGAGGACCATGGAGATCCAGCGTCCTAGCACAGATCTGCTGGCTCAGAGTTTGAGGAGGTAGAGAAGGAGTGGTAGTTGTCCAAGCCCAGGTTTTGACACCTATTAGTTTTCTGCCTTTGGTGTGATTGATGAGCTCAGTGATGGGAGACAATTAGGTAATCTATTTTAATCAGATTAGTTATGAATTAGGTAAAATGCCCTGAATTACAAGCCACAAAGAATACAACTAATAACCAAAATTAGCACTTAATAACATTTTCTGAAAACTGCAACAATTGAATATTAGAACTTATAGAAAAACACACACCAAGCAATAAAGTTCAAGAATAAATCATTCCATTGCTTTACTATTTCCTGAACATTTAAACATGTAATCTTATTACATCTTCCTAACAACCTACTGAAGTAAGGTAGCAAAATCCTTTTTTAGAAAAAACCAGGGAGCCTAAGAGAAGCAACTTGTCTGAAAACAAAATATCTATTAGTTACAGAGTGAGGACTTATTCTGAGTGCAGGACATGTTACATGATGTCCAGCTAACTAGAGTTCATTTACTGAGCTATGCTTCCTCCATTTATGAGTACTTCACTTTTTTTCTTCTTTAATTATAAGCTTAATAAGCTTGTAAGGTTTAAAAATTTGAAGTGTATGGGACATTAAAATTCTGATATTAGGTCTGATATTGCCTGAAATGGTTTTAGAATTTAATATGTTTGGTAAATATTTTTTATTTCAGTATTAAAATAGCAATTTTATTTATTACTTTTGTATACATAGAATTCAACAACAAATTTTGGAACATAAAAAGATGATACTTAAAAATGACAAACCAGGTAAGACTTCTGATAGTGAATTTCTTATTTCTCTTGGTGGTCCTACTCTTGATAAGAAAGTAAAAAGTAAGATGTAAGATTAAGGTAGTGTTAATAAAAAAAGACCAGTTTAAAAATATATGTAAATTAAATGTGCATATATGTATATACATATGTAAATTAATTTTTAAAATTTAACTTCTTTATTTTGAAATTCAGATTTATTTAAGAAGGTAGTTAAGCTAACTTATAATCTCAAACATTATTGTCTGAAAAAATTCCTTTATTTAATTATGATCCCTAAAATCCTATATAATATTTCTGCATAAATAAGAAAAAAGATTTTTAAGTTAGTATGTTGTATGTTTCCTCTATAGTCACATTATAACAAATTGGACTTGATATACAAATGGATCTTCTATTTCATTTTTATAATAAATTGTTTATATTTAGTAAACAAATAATTACAGTTGACCCATGAATAATGTGGGGGTGAGGGACTCTGATCCCTGTGCAGTTGAAAATCTGAGTATAACTTTTGATTCCTTCACCTTAGCTACTAATAGCCCACCATTGACTGGGAGCCTTCCTGATAACATAAGCAGTTGATAGACACCTATTTTGTTTGTGGTGCATTATTATATACTGTGTTCTTGCAATAAAGTAAGCTAGAGAAATGAAGCTGTTAAAAAGAAAATCATCAGGAATGATATATTGACTTCTCATAAAGCATAAGTAGATCCTGACAAAGGTCTTCAAGATCTTCAGGTTGATTAGGCTGAGGAGGAAGAGGACAGGTGGATCTTGCTGTCTCTGGGTTGCAGAGGCAGAAAAACATCAGCATATAAGTGAATCGCTGCAGTTGAAACCCTTGCTGTTGAAGGGCGAACTGTATTACATATTGATTTGTGTCACTAAGAAAGTAACTATCTTTAGAACCAGGAACTCAGCAATCCCTTTCTGGTACCATAAATAAATGGCAATACGAACTGTAAAACTGAACCAGCATGCACCCATACAAATAAGAGATTATTTTTTGAGGATAGCTACTGAGCACAGGAGACAGAAAAGCAATTCCTTCATGAGAAGCACAACTTATATTACATATTCTTACACAAGCAAAATGGTTTTATCTGTCATAGTTTATACACATACACATAGACACATGCACATATACACATACATATGTGCACACGCATGTGCACACAGACACCAAGTTAAAAGTCCTGCTGATTCTTAATGACCAAATCCAACTGTTTGCGGGGAGTGGTAGATAACACATCTACAGTTTGGATGCCATTCTTCTGGCTTTTTGACTTGTTCTGTAATGAACTGCCTTTAATGGGTGAATCATGTTTTTAGTTTTATAAGAAACAAAGAAAAAGATTAGAAGCAAGTAAACAGGAACTCTATGATCAGTAGTAGACTATTATGGTATATTCAATAGTCATATGTTTTTCTCCAGTTATACAATTTACTTGAATGATGCACAATTAATCAATTATTATAGGAGATGGGGTCTCTCTATGTTGCCTAGGCTAGAATAAAGTGTCTATTCATTGGTGCAAACATAGCTCACTGTAGCCTTGAACTCCTGGGCTCAAGCAGTCCTCCTACCTCATCTTCCTGAGTAGCTGGGACTACAGTTTTGTATGGTTATATCTGGCCTGATACACAATTGTTTATTTATTTATTTTTGATACAGTGTTTCCCTCTGTTCCCTCTGTTCCCTCTGTTGCTCTACACTGGAGTGCAGTGGTGCCATCTTGGCTCACTGCAACTTCTGCTTCCTGGCCTTAAATTATCCTTTCACCTTTCACCTTAGCCTCCCAAGTAGCTGGGACTCCAGGCATGCACCACCACACTTGGCTAATTTTCTTTTTAAGGTTTTTTTGTTTTTCATTTTTTGTTTAATATATGAGGTCTCACTATATTGCCCAGGCTGGTCTGGAACTTCTGGGCTCAAGTGATCCTCCTGCCTCATCCTCCCAAAATGCTGGGATTTACAGGTGAGAGCCACTGCACCTGACCTGCACAATTATTATAAAAAGGAATTAAGCCCAGTTGAGTTGCAGAAAATTGACCACCTTTTCATTATTTTTTCTAGAAACATTCATATTATGGAACATATTGTCAATCACCCAGATTCCCTATTTTTTATTCGGTTTAAATAGGATTGCTGCTTATTCCACATTATTTTCTGACATTATTGTGTCATTTATTCCTTTTATGGCTTTATTCCTGTGGATAGATATAGAAATACAAGAATCTCAAAGTCAAATATCAAGGGGAAAAAAGAAAAGAAAAACAGTTTAGGAAAAATTATTCTGTGAAATAGCCATCTGATTACAGTTACATATATCATATCAACTTAATACAAATCTTACACAATGTATTTGTGTCAAGGTTTCCCAAGACCACCCCAGGTTTGGTGGTTCACTAGAAGGACTCACAGGACTCAGCAAATAGTCATACTCAGATCTTTAATTGATTACAAGAAAGGGGACAAGCAAAATTAGTAGAGGAAAAAGGTGCTTGTGGTCAATTCTGGAGGAAACCAGGCACAAGCCTCCAGGAGTTCTCTCCTGTGGAGTGCCCGGGATCTGCTTAATTCTCCCAGGCTCACATTTTGACAGCATATGTGCAGTGATGTCTACCAGTACCAGAGTCTCATTAGAGATGAAGTATCCAAGTTTTTCTGTGGAAATTACTCTCCCTTACATGTACCCAAATTCCAGACTCTTACAAGGAAAGCAGATGTTCAGAGTAACCACACTGTTTCTATAAACACTTTAGACACAGTGAGCCACTCTTCTCAGGGAATGGTGGAAACCCTCCCAATTCCAATTTCCTTAACACCAGCCAAGGGCCAGCCTTGCATGCAGGCCTTTCTAAGGATGGCAGTCTCTTTCCTGCTATATGAAATCTTTTCTGCACAACGCTTATAGCCCCAATTTAATTTTTGGTGTTGTTTTAAAATTTTATTTTAATAACACATAATATTATAAGATAAGGTAACTTGGTACTAATTTCTGTTGTATGATCCATCTTAAGTTGCAATGCTGGTTACTTTTTGACTTTTGGTGACTAACAGGTATTTGTATATAAGTTACCATAGCAATGTTAGGTAATTATAATCTGTCCTTTTTATCTCATTAAGCTTTCAGTAAAATTGTTGAATTAAATAAGCATAATAATTTCTGAGTTAAAATTAGAATAAAAATTGTATTTTATTTTGATTACATGAATAATCTAGTTTTCATATTGTGCTAAATCCCTCTATGATTATAAGATAAAGTATTCAATCATTTTTATCAATATTTTCTTACCTAAGCATGCAATTAAATTTATTTATTTTATATATTTCATATACTTCAATTTGAGAAATATAATGACCACATGCTGTTACTTTGGTCTTCAATGATCTCTAATTTTTAGGGTCACGGTGTCTTGCTTAAATATATCATCATAACAGGTTCAGTGAATATCTTTATTTTTTATTTATTTATTATTTTTTTGAGACAGAGTTTTGCTCTGTTGCCCAGGCTGCAGTACAATGACAGAATCTTGGCTCACTGCCACCTCCACCTCCCGGGTTCAAGCAATTCTCCTGCCTCAGCCTCCCAAGTACCTGGGACTACCAGGCATGCACCACCATGCCTGGCTAATCTTTTGTATTTAGTAGAGACGGGGTTTCACCATGTTGGTCAGGCTGGTCTGGAATTCCTGACCTCAGGTGATCCACCCACCTTGGCCTCCCAAAGTGCTAGGATTACAGGCATAAGCCACTGTGCCCGGCCATTTTTTTAAATTATTATTTTAATTATTGTTCTGGAGATCCTGGGTTGCATAAACAGTGAATATCTTTTTTTTTTTCTTTGAGATGGAGTTTCACTGTCTCCCAGGCTGGAGTGCAGTGGTGCAATTTTGGTTAACCACAATCTCTGCCTTCTAGGCTCAAGTGATTCTCCTGCCTCAGCCTCCCAAGTCACTGAAATTACAGATGCCTGCCACCTTGCCCAGCTAATTTTTGTATTTAGTAGAGGTGAGGTTTTGCCATGTTGGCCAGGCTGGTCTTGAACTGCCGACCTCAGGTGATCCACCCGCCTATGCCTCCCAAAGTGCTGAGGTTACAGGCATGAGCCACTGAGCCCAGCTGTGAATATCTTTTTTAAATCAATAACTTTATTTCTTAGAGCAGTTTTAGGTTCACAGCAAAATTGAGGGAAGGTACAGAGATTTCTTGTATATTCCATGCCTCCAACACATGCATAGCCTCCCCCATTATTAGTATTTTCCACCAGAGTGTGGTACATTTGTTACAACTGATGAACTTACATTGACACTTTATAATCACTCAAAGTTCATAGTTTACATCAGGCTTCACTCTTGATGCTGTACATTCTGTGAATTTGGACAAATGTATAATGACATGACATGTATCTATTACTGTTATATTATTGACAGAACAGTTTCACTGCCCTAAAAATTCTCTATGCTATGCCTGTTCATCTCTCCCTTTCTCCCTAGCAACTCGTGGCAGCCATTGATGTTTACTCTGTCTTCATAGTTTTACTTTTTTCAGAAGAGTCACATAGTTGGAATAATACTGTGGATATATTTTTGAATATTAAGAAAATTAAAGCTCCATGGCAATTGAAGGTAGTCATTTAAGATGCTCTTTGTCCTTTTGTTTTTCTTTTGCTTCTTTATCATTGTAAAGAATGATATATGCTGATGAGGTATGCTTTACATACTTAGAAAACATGATTTGTATAGATATTTGGCACATAATGGAAAGGGTTGAGGAAAAGGACACCATGCCGTACCACACAGCACAAACTGGAGCATCTTGCTCTGTGAGGTGGGTCCAGATACACTGTCTAGCAATGGAAGGGGACAAGCGCAAGGGGTTGTACTTTATAAAACTGGAATCACACAGTCTTTCATACTTACCTTCGGTTGGAAATAAGACCAGGCAGTGAATGCTATAGGTTAATACATATGTTCCTCACTGATCCTCTTCCTTTGAGGGATGAGGTTGACAACAGCCTGTATTATGATGACATGACTCACCTACAACTAGATTCTGTTATGAGGGATGGCAAGGGAGTTTTGCTTTATGTGAGGTGAAAAAGAATTTTTTTCTCCTACTAGGGAGAACGGCAAGCATTGGAACATTCCGGTAGTAAAAGGGCATTGATAGTTTTCTTTCTATATATTTTTCACATGAGATAATACTGCCCAGCACCCTGCCACACCTCCCCAGTGTTTCTTCAGCTTCTCTCTGAATGTGGATAAGCTCTTAAAGGAGTGATCTTTCCAGTGGTTCTTTCTGTGGGAGGTAAAATGGCAGGTGAACATGGGCCTTGTTATATGTAGGGCAGAGCAAATAGCTACAACTAAGGAAACCACCCAGCACCTTCCCCAGAAGAGTATTAGCCAGAGTAACACAGTGATCTCTCTTGAGATCTTCTCCACTGGCAGCTGGAAAGTTTTTGCAAGGATTCCTGTTTCTGGTCTGATTCCTATGTTTTCCTGGCTTCTGGTGATAGGGTGTTTTATCCTAAACTGAACAGTTTGAACTGAAGAGCTAGAGAGGCTGTGTTGTGTTATAACAAAATAAGTGCAGTAGTTCCCCCTTAATTGTGGGAGATACATTCCAAGACCCCCAGTGGATGCAAGAAACCATGAATAGTACTGAATCACAAACTGTTTTTTCCTATACATACATATCTATGATAAAGTTTAATTTATAAATTAAATCTGATGTAATCTGAAGATAGGGTGTGAGAATTGAATTGTGCCATCAGCAGGAATGATTGCTTGCTTGTTGGTGGGGAAAACTCTCCACACATTTGGTCACAGAAGCCTTCTTTGTTGATGATTGTTGCTGTGGTGTGAGAGCAGAGAAAAACATGTCAAGTATGTCTTTGCTCACATATAGTGGATAAGGGGTACTACTGTATCCTCTGTTTTAACTGCTCCTCATATTTTGGTCCAGAAATCATTCTCTTTGACACTGTTGACTCATCACACCTGTTCTGCTAACAATAACATCTTTACTCAATCTCATAGGGTTTGGCTAGGATGACTTGTAAACTGCAGTTCACTTGTAGATACCAAATTTTAATAAAGTTATTCTTCTTTGCATCTAATAAATACAAAGGGAAGAGTTCTTACTGCATGAATTACCTACCAATAGGTAAAATTAATGTTAATTCTAATAAGGTCCCAGGCATGCTCCCAAAGGAATTATTTGTAACAAAGCATCAGTCTTATGCTTTTAAAAAACAAACCAAAACAAAACCACCACCACCACCAACAACAAAAACAGGATCTAAAGCATACACACAAGTGTGCACAATTTTTTTTTATGAAGGTAGTGTCTTACTATGTTTCCCAAGCTGGTCTCAAACTTCTAGATTCCTCAAGTGATCCTCCTGCCTCATCCTCCCAAGCAGTTTGGATTACAGGCATGCATCACTGTGCATTGTTATGCTTTTAATATTCTGTGCATTTATTATTGATTTAAAATGCATTCTACCTTTTTCTTTAATAGATGTTGGAAGTTCTGATGAGTCTGCAGTCAGGATTTTATAGATTTAAAAAATTATGTTAACTAAGAAAATATAGATGGAAGAAACTAATATCTGTTGAGTGTTGTATTCTGGGCTAGACATCCTAATATCTTCTATGCATTTATCATCTCATAAAGCCATCACAACATCTGTGTTCCTATAACCTACTGTTTATTAAATAAACAACTATGGATTACAGCAGTTGATTAATTGCCTTATAAACTCATAGTTAACAAAGCAGCTGGCCTACAGTTTGACCGTCAGCCTGCCTGGCTTCCAAATCCCTTCTCTTGCTCCTCAGCATAGATTGGTAGACATCCGTGCAGCACTTGGATCAAGGTATAGGTCTGAATCAGATTAATCAGATTCATTAATTTAATTAATCTCTAAATTAATGAGAGTTTAAATACCTTAAATACCTTAAACTCTCATTTAAAGTATTGTTAGAAATGTGGTTAGTCGAAGAGTTTGTCCTAATAAATTTGACAATTTCAGTGGTAGCCAGTATCTTATTTTTACCATCAAAGGCTTTAGGGCAGATCTGACTTAGCTTTGTCCATAGGACTGTAAGTTTTACAAAAGCAAGTTTAGGCAAGTCTTAGAGAGAAATCATTTGACTTCCCAGTTTGGTTTTCCATTTAGGCAAGTATTTCTGCTACTTCCATAATACTTTTTTAAGTCTTGTTTCTTTTTCCATGACTTTTGTATAATCTTGTCTTGATTTTTCTTCTCTGCTTTTCTTGCTGTTTCTTTTGTTCTATTATTTTTTCAAATTTTGCTGGGTATGTATTCCCAGTTTTCCTATAGACAGAATCAAGAGGACATAGAATTACAGAATTTTAAGGAATCTTAGAATGAATTAAAATACTTTCTAGTATTTTTACCTGTATTGAACATTCTGGTCAAGTGATTCTCAGAGAATGTGAGGCTCAAAGAGATTAGGATGCTTTTTTTTTTAGACACAGGAATTGGCAGAAATGAGATTTGAACTCATTTTAAGGCCCAGTACTCTTCCTTCTTTTTATATCCTATTTGCATGTGCTTTAATAATACAAATGGGAGTGAGTCCGGTGCACCCAGTGGATGGTATGAAAATGGAATTAGCTGGCGAACCCAATGGAAGTAGATAAGAATGGAATGAGCAGGGGAAGGCCAAGTTTGAAGAGAAACAACACTGGATTGGATAGGAGTATGGACTCTTCAATAAGAGATCAAAATATTAGGGTTTATGAGAAGTTTGATAAAGAGTTCAAGGGAGCTCTAAAAAGTTTGCTCCTTTTTTTTAAATCAAGGACTGACAAACTTGAAGAATTTTACCGAAAGATGCTAAAACATTTTGAGACACTGGGAGGAGTGTCTACAGCAGATAGAAATGTGGTGTCATCTACTTCTGTCCTGACTTTCAGAGGGGTGGCTTAGAGCCCTTGGAGTACTAAGGGGCTGGAGATTGCTGGACTACATAGATGTGTGGCCCAGGACAGGTGGCCTCTTCACCTCTGCCTCTGTTCCCGATTCACTGATATCCTTCCCATGTCCATGTAGGCTGGGTCAGGGGCATGATTGGCTGGCAAACCAGTCATGGAGTTCAGTTGGGTAGTTGGTAGTGTGTCTATGCTGGGTGCAGGTGATGGAGAGTCCAGTTGGCTTATTTTTCAGGAGCAGGGTTATAGAGGGCTCCTACTCCTGGTCATTTGAGGCCATCCTTTCCGGAATCTGTGCTTTCATAGGCTGAAGATTTGAAGATTGGAGACTTCTGTGGAGCCCTGCAGAAGTAGAATCTGGAAGTGGGAGCCCATAGGAAGACAGATACTTAGATAGTACTTAGGGAAATAGAGGTACAACTACCAGGACTCTGTTTTTCTGGCAGTCTCTCTCCTTGGGTGTCTGAGTGCCTATGAAAACTTTTAAGGGCTTGCTAGTTTATGTGGACCTGAATAAAGTAGGACCTATAGAGTGAAAATAATGGGATTTTATAATTGTTAATATTTTAATATTTCTGGGAAAAGTATTCTCAATAAGAACATACACCTTTGTTATTTGATTTTTGTACATGTGGCTTTCATACCTTTCAAATATTGCATGGGATTTCCTGTACCAATTTAGGGCAAAGCAATAGGACATTCGTAAGTGGGTTCCATGTTGAGGAATCAAGACTGCCATTTTGAAGTGATGCTGATTAGTCTTTTAACCAGAGATAGATCATGGAAAAGAGACACTGGATCTTTCTACCTTGTTTTAGGTCATCAATTTTCTTCCAGTTTAGGTAACAGAATTTATGTCGTCCATTAATTGAGTTTTAAGTTCAGCTTCAGGACAGATAATTTGTGAGGGCAAATTATTGTTAGACTCTGCCAATATATTGACTGTCACTATTCGTTATGAAGCTGAAGGTTAGTTTTCATTGAATATTTTATAGATTTAGACAGGTGGAGGCAGAAATATGTAACTAAAATCTATTTTTAGAACAGAGGACATATTTTAATTATATCAAGAATCATAATTTAATATATAGATCACTGACCTTTCCCCAGATTATTCTTTCCTTTTTTGAGGGGGAAGCTGGATATAAACTGACAGTTAAAAAATTGTAAAGAAATCAACTTGCTCATTTTCATTGTGTATTTTTGCTCTGAAGCATTTTCCATGAACTGTGTGTGGATTTATTGCCTGCATTGGATGACAAAGTCTTGAGTATTGCTGCTAAGGTAAAGTGGTCTCTTGTAAAATTAATTTTCTCACTCTGAATGTAGTTTTGCATAGTATTTACTTTTCAAACTTAGCAGTGGTTTACCTTTCATTGTTTTATGGTGGTAATGGAAAGTGGGTCAGAGAAAAACATATATATGGCTAGTTGATTGAAAAAATGTGTTTAACTTTGGTAACTAACAAAGATTGATAAGTACTGTGACAGGTTAGGAGCTGAAAAAAAATGAACTGGAAAATAAGTAGTGACAGGAAAATCACATTAGGAAATGCTTTCTCCAATAGAGGAAATATGAAATTTGATTAAGCTTTATTTGGATAAACACTAATACTTTGACTTTTAAATCATATGAGTGTGACTTTCATAATATTTATGCCTGTATAACTCTTCAGTGGATCAAATTATTTGCAGTAATCATGGAATCCTCCTGGTAACTTTTAGTTGCAAAAAGGTTCAGCACATAGCATATAGCTTTTGTTCTTGGAAACTTATTATTTTGGTATCATATAGTTTTTAGGAGAGATTGTTTCTCTACTTATATTACTGGTTCTGTAGTGGGACTAAAATAATATTAAAAATTGTAGAAAAATAGCTGAGTGTGGTGGTGTACACCTGTAGTCCCTGCTACTTGGGAGTTTGATGCAGGAAGATTGCTTGATCCCAGGAATTTGAGAACAGCCTGGGCAACATAACAAGACTGTATCTGATTTAAAAATATAAATTGTGGAAACGTAGAAATTTAAATTTATGTTCTCAAAATTTGTATTGCAAAGGGATTTTTGTGTGTTTTATGAGTTGTCCATGAAGAGTTTATATAAAACACTTCATCTAATTGAATAACATGTATTTTGCTGCAAATAACCAGTTCTAGAAGCAGAGACTCTTAATACCAATATGGTAAGACTTTATCATCATAATTTTGTCATTGTAGTTTATTTAAAATATTTACTTGGCTGGGCATGGTGGCTCACACCTGTAATCCCAGCACTTTTGGAGGCTGAGGTGGGTAGATCACCTGAGGTCAGGAGTTCAAGATCAGCCTGGCCAACATGGTGAAACCGTCTCTAAAAAAAAAAAAAAAAAAAAAAAAAAAAAAAGAAGCACAAAAATTAACCAGGCGTGATGGTGCATGCCTGTAATCCCAGCTGCTCAGGAGGCCACGGTGGGAGAATCGCTTGAACCTGGGAGGCGGAGGTTGCAGTGAGCCAAGATCGCACCATTGCACTCCAACCTGGGTGACAGAGAAAGACTACATCTTAAAAAATAAAATAACCACTCAAAGTCCTTATATCCTATTCTGAAATTTTGAATGTCAGAAGGTTTTCTATTTAGTTGTTTAAATAATCATTGGAAGCTCCTGCATACTATAGGCTACTGGAGGTCAGTAAACATATTTGTGTGTATCCTGGAGTACCTAGAATACAGTCTTCCATGTAAGAAACATTTTACTTGTTGTTTTTTGAGATGGGGTTTCACTCTGTCACCCAGGCTGGAGGGCACTGGTGAGATCTTGGCTCACTCCGATCTCCATTTCCTGGGCTCAGGAGATCCTCACACTTCAGCCATCCAAGTAGTTGAAACAATAGAGCTATGTCACCATAGACCTGTGTCACCATGCTCGGCTGAGTTTTGTAGAGACAGGGTTTTGCCTTGTTGCCCAGGCTGGTCTTTAACTGTTGGGCTCAAGTGTTCTGCCCGCCTCAGCCTCTCAAAGTGCTGGGGTTACAGGCATGAGACATTCAGCCTTAATAGTTGTTTAATCTGAATAAATACACAAATGAATTTTTATATAATGGAATGTTATAAGTAATATAATATACCTAATGTATCTAACAATTAAATATTGTATTTAAAATATTGCTTACATTTGTATTATTTTTTAATATTTAAGGGCATATAAGTTTTGATGTGTTATGTTGAAAAATTATGCCATAATTAAAAAGGAAATAAATTAGAAATAGGTCATCAGTAGCAAAGAGGGTTACAATATATTTTCTAGTATCATTGAACTGGAATCTTAACATTGAGATTTTTGATTAACATTTCTTAAGCTTTTTATTAGTCCCAACTCACATTCTATTAAATATACCTTTTCAAGCCATACATTACCTTTTATTATTATTATTACTATTATATTTTAAGTTCTCGGGTACATGTGCACAACATGCAGGTTTGTTACATATGTATACATGTGCCATGTTGCTGTGCTGCACCCATTAACTCGTCATTTACATTAGACATATCTCCTAATGCTATCCCTTCCCCCTCCCCCCACCCCACAACAGGCCCCGGTGTGTGATGTTCCCCTTCCTGTGTCTAAGTGTTCTCATTGTTCAGTTCCCACCTATGAGTGAGAACATGCAGTGTTTGATTTTCTGTCCTTGTGACAGTTTGCTCAGAATGATGGTTTCCAGCTTTATCCATGTCCCTACAAAGGACATGAAGTCATCCTTTTTTATGGCTGCATAGTATTCCATGATGTATATGTGCCACATTTTCTTAATCCAGTCTATCATTGTTGGACATTTGGGTTGGTTCCAAGTCTTTGCTATTGTGAGTAGTGCTGCAATAAACATACGTGTGCATGTGTGTTTATAGCAGCATGATTTATAATCCTTTGGCTATATACCCAATAATGGGATGACTGGGTCAAATGGCATTTCTAGTTCTAGATCCTTGAGGAATCGCCAGACTGTCTTCCACAATGGTTGAACTAGTTTACAGTCCCACCAACAGTGTAAAACTCTTCCTATTTCTCCACATCCTCTCCAGCACCTGTTGTTTCCTGACTTTTTAATGATTGCCATTCTAACTGGTGTGAGATGGTATCTCATTATGGTTTTGATTTGCATTTCTCTGATGGCAAGTGATGATGAGCATTTTTTCATGTGTCTGCCATACATCACTCTTTAGAATTCTGGTGACAAATTCTTTTTCTGGGTGGAACATTGATGGAAAGTTCCAGTTTTCTCTCTCTGTTATAATAATGTTCTTTCAGGTAGTGGTAGTTGACCATATTTAGCTAATTGAATGTCTTATAGTAATAAACTCTATCACAGAAGTACTTACAAAAAACTAATTGTAGCATAAATATTAATTAGTATTATCAGGGATATGAAAGACCAAAAAGCTCTGTTATAGATCTATTTCCCCATGTACTTTATTGTACTTCATGTTGTTTCTTTTCTTTCTTGGCTTAAGCTCATATTTCGTTGACCAATTAGGCTTCTTTTTTGTTTGTATCTCTCTTCATTCTCACATTTTAAATTGATATTTTTGGGGAGTCAGGGTCTTGCTCTGTTGCTCAGGCTGCAATGTAGTGGCATGATCTTGGCATGCTACAGTCTCCACCTCTCAGGCTCAAGTGATCCTCCCACATCAGCTTCCCAAGCAGCTGGGACTACAGGCACACACCATCATGCCTGACTCATTTTGGTATTTTTTGTGTAGAGATGTGTTCTCATTATGTTGCCCAGGCAGGTCTCAAACTCCTGAACTCAAGCAATCCACCCACCTTGGCCTTGCAAAAGGCTGAGATTACAGGTGTGAGCCACTATGCCTGGGCAACATTGAAACTGATTTAAATAAATTGATTAGGGCTGGGTGTTGTGGTGCACACTGCTTATCTCAACACTTCGGGAGGCAGAAGTCGAAGATTTACTAGAGCCTAGGAGCTTGAGACCAGCCTGGGCAGTATAATGAGGCCGTGTTTCTACAAAGATAACAATAGAAACATTAGCATGGCATGATGGTATGCACCTGTAGTTCCAGCTATTCAGGAAGTTGAGGTGGGAAGATTGCTTGAGGTCAGGAGTTTGAGACCACAGTGAGCCATAATCAGGCCCCTGCATTCTAGCCCTGGGTTGACAGAGTGAGAACCAGTTTCATAAAAAGAGATTGACAAGAAACTCTTGATGCAACTCATTATAATTTTAAAATGGAAACTAATTCTTGATACTACCTTAGCAGTGTGTCCCCAAGAAAGTGTCAGAGCCTTTACGTGGACCTTCCCATGGAAAAGGAAACAGAATAGTCAATGGAAAAGGAGAAGGTGAGAACTGTATTTTATTTAAAAAGTCATTTGTTGGAGGCTGGGTGCGGTGGCTCAAGCCTGTAATCCCAGCACTTTGGGAGGCCGAGGTGGGCAGATCACGAGGTCAGGAGATCGAGACAATCCTGGCTAACATGGTGAAACCCCATCTCTACTAAAAATACAAAAAATTAACCAGGTGTGGTGGTGGGCCCCTGTAGTCCCAGCTACTTGGGAGGCTGAGGCAGGAGGATGGTGTGAACCTGGGAGGTGGAGCTTGCAGTAAACAGAGATCGCTCCACTGCACTCCAGCCTGGGTGTCAGAGTGAGACTCAGTCTCAAAAAAAAAAAAGCCATTTGACGGAATGTTTCTTTGAAAATATGAGCACTAATAGAGTCTAACAGCAAAGAAAATGTCCTATTAACTATATAATAAGTAAAGGAGAAGTGAAATGGTGATAAGTTGTGTCTCTAACCAAGGGTCAGCAGTTGATTCTATTGGGAGTACCACTAAAGGAGCTGAGTTGTGAGTTCCATTTTAAGATACTCTAAGACCTAAGGCAAGTCAGGAGAGAGGGAAGAGGAAATGAATAAAAGAGAAAGAGAGATGAGGAGGGCAGAGTGTACATGGAATAAATAAAAACACATATGTGGAAGTATGTAATAGAGGGTAGTAAAGTCACATTGATCTGTAGAAGAAGGAAGAACAGGGTGTTAGAAATAGGAAGGAAGATAAAGTGAACTTCCATTACCAACATGTGTCAGAGAATTAGAGTAACATTTTCCTACTCTTGCTGTCATCCTCACTACTGGGGAGGCATTAAGGATTGAGGTATTTTACCACACAGACCTGTGTTTTATCTACCATAGATGAACATCACCATAAATGGTCAGCCATATATGGCTATAATTTGGTTTTAAAGAAAGTGTAACCTCATAGGATAGTATCATATAGGCCAAATTAACGTAATTGAAAAGAATAGTGTTGGGTGATGTATGGAGAAGTAATTAATTAGAGAAGGTATTACCTGATTAAAAGTTCATTAGAAACATTATGGCTTATAATGTAGTATTAAATTCAGAGACATAATAGGGAAGAAATTGAGGCTAGGCCAAAAAGGGCAATTAGGGTAAACTAATATGGAATCACATAAAGTGTAAAACAGGGCATTCAGATCATCATGAATTAGTTGAGGAGCTTCTGGAAACTGCACATTCTGATTTAGCAGGTATGGGAGTCTGCATTTCTCATGAGTACTCAGGTGATGTTGTTGCTGGTCCTTGGACACAGCTCTAAATAGCAAGGGAATAGCCTTCCTTTAGAGAAATCTGGAAAAAGAACCACTGGAGAGCAATTTGAATAATAACAGAATCCAGGGAAAGCATTAATTTCCTTTTATTTCTGAGCATGATTCTAGCCACAGGGGAAGGAAAATGAGATGAAAAAAGAGAGATTACAGGTGTATACTACTGCTGAATACAGATGAAAAAAGTTGTCACAATTATCCATAAAAAGCAGTTAGGAAGGGAAGCATCAGGATGACAGATCTAAAAATCACTTTTTCAAAGGAAGAGGGATTGTGAAAGGACACAGAGGGAGGAAAGAAAGACATTTGCTGGGGTCTTGGGAGTTAAAGCCAAGTAAACTTGAGACAACTCACTTCCAGTTGCTTCAGCATATGCCCAGTCTCACAAAAGAGGTTATTGCTGTGGAGAGTACTGGAGGCAGGAGGGAGTGCTAGAACTGGGGTAAACCACAGCAGCTCATTTCACTTCATAATTTTCAGGCCTCAGAGAGAGAAGTTTCATTGACATGAGTGAATAAGATGTGATTAAGTTGCATATAGATGCTTTGGCTAATTTTTTTTGAGACAGCCAGTTCTTTGATATGATAGCTGCTTTATAAAAGTCCTTTACAGTGTAAGATGATATACCAAACTTAGTTAATTTTAGAAGCAATTGTATTATAAAATTCATTTGTGAATACCAAAATTCTCATTTTCAATAAATACTGCACTGATTTTGAAATATAAATGTGTATTCGTATCCAGCAAGTCTGTGGTAATTCAGTGTTTTCTTTTTTGCTAAATATTTTGATATCGGAAGCTTATTCGACATGGTTTATTTGATGTGTTTTATGGACCACCTCACACAAGTGGATCAAGGAGCTCTAACTCAAGGCCAAATGAGGGGATAGGAGAAATGTAGGTGCTGCAGTAGCCCATGTGATCATGGGAAAAATGAGTAGTTTGATTAGCTGTTATTTCATAAGTGTGTATCCTAGCTGATCAATGTAGAACACTTTCTTTGATGAGAGGTGAATCACACATTCACCTGAACTGTCATCCCAACTGTATATTTCCTAAGTGACAGCACAAGGGGAATTTGTCTGTGACATGCTGGCAGCAATGCCTCTGATGTGTTGAGTTAAAATACTCTGTACATTCACCATCAGCTTGGACATCGATTCCCCCAGGTTTGATTTGCTACTCTGTTTAGTGGTCCCTTTTCTTCTCATTAGCCCACATGTTCACGGTGATATCCATGCTTTTCTACTTTAGGTATAGGCATTTGAAACATAATCTCACTACTGAAATGTAAGCTGTGCATTTTAGGAATCCTGTATTCCTATTTTCCTCATTAGGTTTCTGTCATGTTGCTGTCCTAGGCAATGAAAAGAAGAAGCCAAGAAGAACCCTCAAAACTTTAAGTAATTATTTTTGTAGCCAGGCATGAGAATTCAGCTCGATAGTAACACTGCATGAGTGTTTGGTTGGCCCTGTCATACTTACATATAATTGATGACATATCCCTTTTGCTTTGTAGGACCTCCTGCAAAACATCCTTCCTTGAAGGTAATTAATTATGTATATTTTTTGAATCACTAACTCCACATTGTATAAAATATATATGATTTATGAATCATTTTCTTTTAAAACCCATTCAGCCTAGCACTGAAATGGAAGATCCTGCTGTGAAAGGAGCAGTACAAAGAAAGAATGTACAGACATTGAGAGCAGGTACATATTCAATACAAATGGAATGCTGGAAATAAGTACATTAAATGATTGGAAGTACTCACATTATTCTTACCCCTAATTCTGTTTGTTCAAAATTGAATGGAAGGCATTGACATAAATATTATTGTTGGTATCCATATTTGAATAAAAATAAATTTAGAAGCATAAAAAGATTTTAAAAATGTAAGCTTTAACTCAGATGTTTCTCTTTTAATGTTTTGAATAGCATGAAGTTTTCAGTATAAAATTTTTATATTTGTCAGGGATTCAAAGCACTGAATTTTGAGACTCTAAGATATTTCCATTGATTTATGTGCTAGTTGGAGTTCTGATCTTTATGTAGAGGAAAGCTTTACTTATTAACGTGTCAGTTTCTGTTTTAACTTTAGAGGCGTGCTGCTAGTGTTATTACACTGATGATCTGAAGCCAATCAGATGTTCTAGTGAGCAAGACTGTGTGTGGATGTGTATGTATAGGTGTCTGTATGTGTGTGTTTGTGGCATCTTTGACTATGAAAAATGAGGAAAGTAATTATTCATTTATAACTGGTAGACACGGTCCTTTAAAATGGTGATTTTGAGACTTTTTGGTGTTAAGGTTTTAAAAACATGGTTGCATAGAGGCTACCAACATCATAAGTTGGTTGTTTTTCATTTCAATGCCCTTTTGAAATCTTTAACTATATTGTGATGCTCAGAAATAATATGCAGAATTTTTTATTTGTGTCCTAAAATGGTATGTGAGTGGTTATACACTTTACATACCTTTCTGCCACTTTCTTTGGTGTATTTTGTATTATATTTTCCAGATGTACCCACATTGATATGATTATCTCTGGTTTAATTCATTTTACACTTTTCATTGTATTCTCTTATACCACTTTACCACATTTAGTTAGACTCTCCTGTTGCTGATAAATGAAGAAAGAAAGAAAAATAAAAATAATGTCAGAGTAAGAGGGCTTTTCTTTAATCAGTTTGTATCTATTAATATTTACTATATGAGAGTTTAAAGTTGAAAAGTTCAGAATACAAGCATGCACCACCATATTTTATAAATGTCCTTAGAAATATGACTCGTGAGCCTTTAGCCTATGAAGTTAGGACAATTCATTTCTCTGAAGAAGTTTGCTGTGCTATTCTCAGAAAAGAAAACTGAAAATAGCAAATGATATTGTCTTATTTGACCTCTTGGACATCCTTGAATGAAACTGAAACTCCAGGGATACTCAGATCAAAATTCAGAACTAATGTTTTGAACAATATAGTTTGTGAATGTCCAGTGATCATGAACCCTTGATGGGGAAATGACCTTTCAAGTTTCACTTTTGCATTTTTTGCTCTTTTCCTTGACTTGTCTTAAAAGCTTAAATTCAACCATTTTATTTTTACAGAAACCAGGAATATAACTTTTAAAATATATGTCTGTCCTGTCTCACGGTGTTGTGTACTCTTCAGATCTTTTGTGAACATAGACTTATATGGGAACAATTATGTTTTTTGTTTGTTTGTTTGTGTTTTTGAGACAGAGTCTTGCTCTGTCACCAAGGCTGGAGTGCAGTGGCTCAGTCTTGGCTCATTACCACCTCTGCCTCTCAGGTTCAAGCAGTTCTCCTGCCTCAGCCCCTTGAGTAGCTGATACTACCTGCACGTGCTACCATACCCTGCTAATTTTTCTATTTTTATTAGAGATGGGGTTTCAGCATGTTGGCCAGGCTGCTCTCAAACTCCTGACCTCAGGTGATCTGCCCACCTTGGCTTGCCAATGTGCTGGGATTACAGGCGGGAGCCACTGTGCCAGCTACAAATAAGATCTTTAAGACTATTATATTTTATACAATTCTTTGGTCTATGTGAATTCTGAAGGTATTCATGCATTGAGGGAAGATTATATCAGTTTAATGAAAGCAGTTTTTAATTTAATGTTTATTCATTAAAATTTTTTTTGAAGTTTTTGTCTCTAGTACACAGAAACACACAATATTGTCATGGGTATTTGACCTTATTGTGTTTATGCACAAACTTAGTTATTCAAATATTTTCTTATCCCTGAAGAATCTTAATTACTAATAAACAAATTTCTCATGGAAAACAACATATATAATAGAGATCGTTGAGTGATTGAAAGTAAATTGTAGTAAATAACAGAAGCTTAGAGCAAGTTAAGTAAACTTGTCTGAGTTAATAGCAATTACAGGACTTTTAAAATACGTTAGACCATGAGGGAGTGGTGTGTTTGTGGGGTAGAGGACAACATGGTACTGCTTCAGTGAAGAAAGAACTTTTAAAACTTATTACAATTTGTATTACTATTTACATTCTAATAAATAAAAACTTTATTTTCAGATATTTTAGATTATGTTTCTACTAGTTGAACCATCAATAGTAAGACTTTTCAAAGATTTGGGAAGTTGTGAGTTGACGATAAATATCTGTATCGCCATCCGTGATCAAAAATCAGACAGCAACTACAGACTTTGGACACGCGAACTTCATAGTTAAAGAAAGGATTAATTTTGGAGCTGTGTTTCCATCAGGGAATTATACTCTTCATTACCTGCATGAATCGCAGTTATTAGAGTAGAAAGAGAGCAAAGAAGGGAAAGAAGCATAGAAAATTTTATTCTAGATTACCTCAGTTGGCTTCATGCTACCATAGTTCTGACTTTTAAAAAGTCATTTTGTGGTCCAACGTACTTTGTGTTTACTCCCCTTATGCAGCCTACAACCAAACAGAATGCTTCTTAGCAAGGCATTTGTATTCTTCCCTTAAGGAAAGCAACATATAAATAACAAAGAGAATGAAGAGAAAGAGTAATTTCATTGAGGTTGTTATTTAACATAAATTTGAGTGTGGGTACCATGATTATATTTAGAATTTTGGGACAGGATGGGAAAAACAGCTAGACATCTACAGATTCCCTACTCAAACACAATGTGCCTTTGTTTTATTTTTACATCTCTAATTTTGCAATTATTCAGTACAACTGTATGCAGTGTCACTAAAAATACCTTCCAAAACCAAATATTAAATAATGCCTATGGATTTCTGTTTTATAGTGTTGATTTTCCCAATATTAATGGGAACCATTGAGCATTTGCCTTGTGGTGTCTCCTCAGCTGTATTCACACATTCCATCACCTTGTCTTAATGGATAATCATACACTAGGAGTATGGGTTTTAGAAGAGCTGTGTCATTTAAAGATAACACAGGAGCATCAAATTTAATTCTGCTAGAACACCTGGTCTACTGATTAACTGCAGCTAATGTGGGGTCTACTTCACATACAAGTTAAATTCAGTGCCCTTAATCAGTCATATGATCAGGTCAACAGTAATAAATTATGCAATATTTTTCCCCCACCCCTATAGTTTTAATTTCTTTTTCCCCTTATGTCTAGAATTAACATTTTGTTTTATAAAACATGATGATAATCTTCTAGAGTAGTGATGACAAGCTATAAATCCAAAGTTTCTTACCTATGCAAATGACTTGTTTGCTTCTATTTTCTCATGAGCTTGGTAGATACAGGAAACAGAACTTTTGAAACAAAATCCCCATATGTGGCTGGGGGCCGTGGTTTGTGCCTGTAATCCCAGCACTTTGGGAGGCTGAGGCGGGTGGATAACCTGAGATTGGGAGTTTGAGACCAGCCTGACCAACATGGAAAACCCATCTCTACTAAAAACACAAAATTAGCTGTTCATGGTGGCAAATACCTGTAATTCCAGTTACTTGGGAGGCTGAGGCAGGAGAATCGCTTGAACCTGGGAAGCAGAGGTTGTGGTGAGCTGAGATCATACCACTGTACTTCAGCCTGGACAGGAAGAGTGAAACTCCATCTCAAAAAATAACAACAATGACAACAACCACCACCACAAAACCCAAATGCATTTCCTTGGCACAGTAAAACTGAAACAGAAAAAGTGTAAAGTAAATACAAGTAACTGAAACAGTTTATGTATATTATCTTACTTCTCATTTGATAAAATTTGTAAAGTAATGAGCAGAGTGTATTTCTCCAGGGACCTGGATATATACATTTATTCATTCAATAAAAATTCATTCTTATAATGGCCACTGATACCTATATCCTAAATATTTCTGAAAACATCTCCTCAGGCCTGCATCATCTTTGCAACATTGCCTTATATTTTATCTTTGTTCATTTATTTATATGCCTCAGAATTTTATGCTCCTCACAGTATTTAGAGTTAATTATCTCTAATGTAAATAGATCCATGAACCACTCCTGAATACCTAATGTCCAAGCACCTTAAAGCTTTATATAAAGATTTCAGAAACTGACTTCTGGGTTGGGCATGGTGGCTCATGTCTGTGATCCCAGCACTTTGGGAGGCTGAGGCAGATGGATCATTTGAGGTCAGGAGTTCAAGACCAGCCTGGCCAACAAGGTGAAACCCCATCTCTAATAAAATACAAAAAATAGCAGGTGGTGGTGGCACGCACCTGTAATGTCAGCTACTCGGGAGGCTGAGGCAGGAGAATTACTTGAACCCAGGAGACCAGGTTGCAGTGAGCCAAGTTCATGCCACTGTGCTCCAGTCTGGGAGACAGAGTAAGACCTTGTCCCAAAAAAAGAAAAGAAAAGGAAACTGATTTCTGCCCAAATCTCCATCCGTAGCCCTTTCCCCATCTGCCTTTTTCTCTGGAATTACTCAGCTGCTGGTAATGGCCCCCTCACCATTCCTCTTTTGCAGAGAAATACATACTCTCTTGGAAGCTTCTCTCCCTCTCTTGTTGCTGCCTGGCATGTGCTCACCCTTTCCTGCCCTCTGCCTCACTTAATCTGGCTAACCTCACTCTCTAAGTCTCAGCTCATACATAATCTTTAGGAAAGCCATCCCTGACAGCTTTTATGTTCCTTCCTTATACCCCAGTGCCTAACACTTAGCAGGAGCTCAATAACTAATTATTTGGCAAAATTAAGACTGTTTATACAAAGATTATTCAAAAGATTGTCCTCTACAGTCTAGCAGCAAAGGGGATCGACATGTAAAGACATGATGTGCAGTTCAGGTGGTAAAGTGACACTAGGAAAATTGACAAAGTACTAAGGGACCGCAATGAAACAGACACCTGTGTGTGTGGAGAAAGATAGCTAGAATCAAAGAAGACTTCACACAGCATTCTGAGCCTTTTTTTTTTCTTTTTCTGTTGTTGGAGACAAGTTCTTACTCTATCACCCGGGGTGGAGTGCAATGGCGTGATTGAGACTCACTGCAACCTCAAACTCCTGGGCTCAAGGGATCTTCTCACCTAAACTTCTTGAGTAGCTGGGACTACAGGCACATATCACCATACCTGCCTAATTTTTTGTAGAGTCAAAGTTATCTATGGTTCCCAGGCTGGTCTTACACTCTTGGCCTCGAGCAATTCTCCCATTTTGGCCTTCCAAAGTGCTGGGATTACAGATGTGAGCTATTATGTCCAGCCTACTTTCTGAGTCTTAAAAGATGAAAATAAATTTTTCAGAATAGCAGGGGAAAACATTTGCAATGTAAAAAATGGGGTGCACACTAAGATATAAACAACAATAATTTTGCAAATTATTAGTAACTGCCAACTCAATTAGTGTCTTGTTAAAAAGATACTGTTATGTACATTGTATGTTTTGACTGTATTTCAAAATTTTGTTTTGTTTCCAACAGTTTTGTTGATTTATGTTGGGTGGAACAATTTGTGAGTGACCCTGAGATTTTGTATGGCTTGAACCTGGTGATATCTAGTGTCTCCCCAAGTGGTTTGTTGAAGTTTTGGATAATTAGAAGTATTTCTTAAAGAAGTAAATATTTCAGTAAACCTTAAGCTTCATTTAAACCCTCAAAATATAAAATACAAAGAAATATTATTTTCTATTTATTTTTATAAAGATTATAGTCTTATCTAACTGTTCTTAGTTCATTTGAACTAAAACAGTGAATTTGTCAACAGAAAAAGCCTTACCAGTGGCTTCAGAGGAAGAGCAACAAAGGCGTGAAAGAAGTGAAAAGAAGCAACCACAGGTATATGAAAATTTAAATTTCTTGTTTAATATTAGGTTTTTTTTTTTTTTTTTGCTTTAGTAACAAAGCGTAGTCCAAATGACATGACCTTTTGGACTATACCTTTAGAATCCAATAGGTCATAATTTTATATTTAATTTTTAAAACATTTTAACCAGTTATGAAACTTAAGATATTCTTACTATCTCTAGTAACTATTCGTTATTCTAGTAATTCTTACTATCTCTAGTAACTCATAGCTGTCTTTACCCTTGGAATTGAGGCAAGAATTTTTCACAATTATCTTGCTCTTTTATTTGTATAACCTTACTCATAATACAGAAGGTAACATGAAATATTGGGTCATATTACTAAGGAATAGAAATTATGAACAATTTAACAACAATGGCCACTGAGTTAAACTAGTGTTAAAGGAGTCATCATTGCCAGTGGTTCAAATGTTGCAGTTTTATATTGCTGGTCACCAGTGCCGAGGTTAAAGATTTATTCTGTTTTGTGGTCGCCAGTTGACTTCTGTGTTCAGGGAGTGAATGGGGTCATAAAAGTCAACCCAGTTGCCTTTTATGAGAATCCTACCTTGCAGAATGGGACCTTTGGTATCAGGGTACAAACAATAACTTTATTTCAACATAAATACATAGTAAATATTACTAAAATTAAAAAAATCCAAACACTATCACTAGTGGAACTTAAAATATATTAGAAGTGGATATGAGCAGAAAATCTATTTAGATACATAACACTATCATAGTATATCATTTGAATTAGAATTTAAAATTTTGCTTCTCTTTCTTATTGTTGTTCAGTTTGGCTCTTAATAATTTAGTGTTTGCCTAGTCTCTAGTTAATCTTCAGAAATTTACATGCACTGTAGGGGCTCACTCTTTCTGGTATGCCGAGGTAAACTCTTTGTAAGAGAGGAAGCTTTTATAATACTACCTATCATCTTTGAATTCATTTCTGGTAGACTTTACACATAATGCATTAAGTTTAGTCCAAACAAACACTGAGAGTTCAGCTTGCCGGTTTATGTTTCTGTCCCGTGTTAAGCCAAGGCAAATTATTTTTCACTTTTTAGTTACAATCCCATAATTTAAGAGGGGCAACACACAGATTAAGTTTCACAGTTAAATTTTAATTATTTTCTAATATTTCTTTGTTTATACTTGATTAAAGCTAATTTTAGAACATGCACTCTGACAGAAAAGACATCTGAGAAACAAAACAAGCAAATTTGTTTTCCTTTTTGCACCTGCCAAAAAAAAAAAAAGAAAAGCCTCAAGAACCAGAACTGGGTAAGAATTGTGATAAAGGGAATCTATCTGTATATTCATGACTTTCTTTAAAATTCATTACAAGCAAGTTCAAGCTGAATATTGGTAAAAGTTTTGAAAACTCCAAAATTACTGCTTGCCCTGAGGAAGAGCTTCTACATAGTAACTCTAAAGAGGGACGAACGAAAAAGGAGTGCCCTCTAATCTGATGAATCAGGTCCCTGATTGTGAGGAGAAAAATGCATCTGGAGGGTCTAACTCTGTGGCATTCCAGGCAGCGCCTGAACAGAGGAATCCCATGTCAAATGTCTTTTTATTCCATTCACACTCCAGGTCCCTGAAATACACTTACCAGTCATCTTCTAAGCTTCATTTAAATGAAAATAAATCAGACTATAAAAATGATAACAAACCAGACACATAGCTTGTTTCTAACACAGATGATGAAAATTTTTGTTATGATACAGAAACTGAAACATTAAGGAACCCAGTAATTATGATTGAAATGAAAGATGATTAAGAGTTTCACATGCAAATGGCAAAAAATATAAACCCAAATACCACTAATTGGAAATTAGACATTAGTCATTGGCCTCAGTCTAGAGATCCAGAAAGTCTTTTTGATTTGTGGTTTACCTACCTCAAAGAAATGAAGCATATGATTCAGATAGAAAGCCACAGTATTTCTGCTGCTACAGACACTTATAAAAACAGAAAACCAATACAGTGCTTACTCCAGAAGCCACTATATGACAATCCCAGTGCTAATAACTACAAAAGCATGAATCTTGAATTATAAAATGTGGGTTTATTCTTTGCCACATAGTGAGAGAACATCAAAAATATAGCTAGAAGACACAGCAAGATATTCCAAGGTCACCAACATGGCACATGTATACATATGTAACAAACCTGCACGTTGTGCACATGTACCAGAACTTTAAGTATAATAATAGTAAAAAAGAATGAGGTAGCATGTTACCAGTAGAGTTCCTAGCTTTGGAGAAAGGAAGTCCAACTTCAAAAAGACAGAGGTTCACTTGCTGCTTCTTTTTTCTCTTTATCAATTATTTGATTCAGTCAGATTTTCTATTCAAGAAAATCTCATGTGTACAGTTACAGTGGGGTTATCTAAATGTGTAATTATGTGTCAAAGTAGATTAGTTTTGCTATCTAAATAACGATTCTGGAGAATGTTCTCATAATGTTTGTTCATTAATCAACCTAAGTCTCCCTATCAGTCTTCCAAGTGGCATATGAGCTGGGAAACTAATTCAGCCATATACCATGTGACCTTCTGAACCAGATCAACATAAAGAAATTGCTAAAGAAATAAGCTCTAGATTCTAGATTCTTTTTTCTGTATTCATTTAGAGATGAATTACATTTATTTAATGATAGAATGGTAATACAGTGGGAGGGAAGCAATGACTGAGATGAGCCACAAAAACACGTCTAGCCTTGAGAGTTGCAATGGATATTCCCAGCCAAATGAGTCTGTTTAATGTGTTTTCATGCACAAGTTTATCTGCTTAGCTCAAACTGTTTGAACTTATAGTCCCATCATGGTTATTTCCAATATTTTGAAAACAAATATATACTTCCACATATTTTAAAAAATCACCACTCTCCAATATTTCTGTTGAATCAGACCTTACATTATGTTGTTTAATAAAGTATGGTAAGTTTTGGCATGTATGATTTTTATCACGTAAGAAGCATAATTTCTTAGCCAAAAATTTAGCCTTTGACTCTTTATAGAAAGTTGAGTTCTGTACATTGTGTTCTAAAGATAGACAAAAATCCAGAGATTTTCTTCTTTCAAAGTGAAAGCAGATGAGGCCTTTTTCCACCCTCTGAGGCATTAAATTGCTTTGCTTAAGTTAGACTTTTAATATATCTGACTAATTTGATAAATTTATCTGGTAATTTATGTAATTCAGCAATATGGAATTGTATCATGTTATTTGGTGCCATGAAATACTAGGGAATGCCACCTCAAGAGCTCTGGATGAAACATTTAATATGTCTTGGTTGGTTTGACTCCCATTATCAGTAGATAATGGGGCTAAAGTAGGTAACTGTACCAAAGGTTTTCACCTATAAACTTCTGTGGTAATAGAATGTGAAATCTGGGAAGCATCTCATTTTCCATAATTCTGCACTAGAAACTCAGCAGTTTCACTCTGCTTCTTGTGTTGTGGCAAACTTTGGTTCCCATAGTTCAGGGAGAACCTTTACTTTTTTGATATCCCAGGATTCAAAAAAAAAAAAGAGAGAGAGAGAGATAAAAGGCACTGGGGAAAAGAATAGCTTAGTGCAGAAAAGGGAAAACTTCTTTACTGTTCCTGAAGCCCTACAAAGTCACATCCTCTTAATCTGGCTATTTCATGTAAAATCCACGTGGTAAAGACAGAAGACATATGTTATACCTGTGTCTTTTTATTTCTCTGTTTCTGCTAGTCAGATAGCATAAACATTTATGTCAGATAGCAAAGAGTGGATGGGAATAAAAGCACAAAATGGAGAAGAGGACTTTTTAAAATTTTGGAAAATTCTTCCATTCACTCAAACAGAAATGAGCAGACTTGACAAAAATTTCAATGATAAAATGATGAGTACCTTATAATTATAATAATTATGTATAATGATAAAATTAAAGTAAGCACAAAATACTTTTATCATTAAAATGGTGATAGTTAACCTGAATCAAGTGAAAAAATCAGGGAAAATGTTCTTTTTATTAAATAAAATAATAATTATTATTCATATTACTTTTATTAAAGGTCAAAGAAGGAAATAATACATACAAAAGTGAAAAAATACAACTATCAGAAAATATATGTCATAGTACATCTTCTTCTGCTGCTGACAGATTAACCCAACAAAGAAAGATTGGGAAAACATAACCTCAGCAATTTCCCAAGAAACTGAAGGAAGAGCATGATAGGTAAGTAAGCCTATAGCAGTGTGTTTGTTTTGTTTTGTTTGGGTTTTTTTTTTTTTGAGATGGAGTTTCTCTCTTGTTGCCCAAGCTGGAGTGCAATGGTGTGTTCTTGCCTCACTGAAACCTCTGCCTACTGGGTTCAAGTGATTCTCCTGACTCAGCCTCCCTAGTAGCTGAGATTACAGGCATGTGCCACCATGCCCGGCTAATTTTTTGCATTTTTAGTAGAAATGAGGTTTCACCATGTTAACCAAGCTGGTCTGGAACTCCTGACCTCAGGTGTTCTGCCCATCTCAGCCTCCCGAAGTGCTGGGTTTACAGGAGTGAGCCACTGTGCCTTGCCACCTATAGCAGTATTTCACAGGAGATAATTGTCATTGTGCTATAAACTAATTCAAAATGGGACTAATATTCCTTATGATTAACAAATTTTATATTTTTACCAGGGATATTTATCCCTACCTGGTAACCAGAAAAATGTAAATTAACATAAAATAAGATACATTTTGTAAAGTCATGCTGATATTTAAAAAGTAATTACTCGTGTTGGCAAATGTGAGGAAAAAGGCATTCTCATTCACTGTTGGTATATGAAATGGTAAATTAGTTCTGAAGGGTAACTTAGTGCTGTGTATCAAAATTTCAAATAGCCTGACATCCCTTTAACTCAACAACTCCACTTCTGGGACTAGATTTCCCAGGAAAACATAACTTGTGTAAACATACACACACTTATTAAGGGCATTAATTATATATTACACATAATGAACAATAGGCTAATAAATATATAAAATATATGTAATAAGAAGGTGAATTGGAAGTATTAAGAAAGAATTATAAAAAGTGTGGGGTAACAGATGTTAGACTCTTTAGCCTAGTTTTGGATGACAGTCATTTGCAGATATAGTTTTTGTGAGAGACATCTTACTCTGTAAATCATTTGGAGAGACACCCGCAATATTTCATAAAGATGAAAATTTATTTCTAGTGAACTTATACACTTGTCAATAAATAGTAACTTTAAAATTTTAGTTGATTGTAAATGACCTTTTCTAATTAGGGAGTAATTATGACTGTGTGATTTGAAAAGGTAATTTTGAACTTGTAACTTTACTGAATTATCTCCAGTATCCTTTTTTAAAATATATACTAGAGTGACTAGTAATAAAACCTTTAGCAGAATATTCTTTCCTTACTACTTTTCAAGTATATGCATTCTTTTGAAGATGTTGAAGTGAGAAATTAAATATCTGAGAACTGCAAAGGAAAAATAATCCAGAACATAGAAATTTTATTAGGATAACAAACAATATCTGCAGAGGTAGATAACAGGATAAACTGTTTATTTTTTAACAAAATGAATTTTAAGATAAATGTCTTTATCTGCAGATGCACCTTAAAACAAGAAAATGAAGAAAAAACAAATGTTAATATGCTGTACAAAAAAAAAAAAGAGAAGAATTAGAAAGGAAAGAGAAACAATATAAGAAAGAAGTTGAAGCAAAATAATTTGAACCAACTGTTCAATCACTAGAGATGAAACCGAAGACTGCAAGAAATACTCCAAATCAGGTAAATCAATCTTTAGTAAAAATTCTATATTTTAAACTTTATTTTATCAATGTAACTTATAATATCCACTTGATTTAATATATATTATTTAGGTAAAAAAACAAACCAGAAATATTATGTCATTTTTAAAAATGAGTGATGACACTTACAGGTACAATTATTAATATTTATTATAAATCTTGGCACCCACATAGGATATTATTTTATTACAAAGAGCTTTTGAAAACAATAATATGCCATAATATATACTTAGTGATAACCTATTGATAAAGATTTGTTCCCAGTAAAATTGTTCCTTGTACTTTCTCCTATTTCATATTGATTACTCTACCTAATATTATAAAGAGGAAACAGAAATTATTGCAATCACAAATAATCTCATGATATTCTTAGAAGAGCTCTATAAATTTTATCTTATTTACCACTGGTGTTTTGAAATAAAAGTTTTCTTTCATATGGATATATTTACACCACAGAAGTAACTGTGATCTGTTGGAGAAGTAGAAGTAGAGTCAGAAGTCCTGGGGAAAATCCTGTAGCTTGCTTATATTTTTAACCTTTCTTTCTCAAAATTGTGGTAACTAGATGAGTTCATCAATGAATGTATATAGGAGTGACTAGTATAATGTCTAGATTTATGAGTTAGTAAATGTAGTTCTTATAACTGACTATAAAAGTGTTAAAAGAGTCAAATTGAAATAGAATGTTATCAGTGAAACAGAACTGTAATAACTCTGGGAAATTTTATCTGTCCAAATACGTGTGAACTAAGGTTCTTACTATAGGGTGGTGTATGGGTTAGATATCAAAGTGTAAATGCAATTTTTTGATATATTTTAATTTAGTCAAATTTGTTAATGCTTTAATTTATACTTTTGAGTTTGTTGTAATTCAGGGAAAGGCTTTTCCAATTCTGAAATTCTTAAAAATTCTCTGGTGTGCATGTGTTTGTGTGTGTTTACTTTTATAAATTCATTGACTTTTAATAAATTTCTGAACTTTTTGGAATTTATGCTCTATAAGGTTCAAAATTTTGCTTCAACTTTTTCTCCAGTTGGATATCCACTTACAGTAACCTTTTTAGTGCATTGATGTGCAGGTTGTTCTTTAACTTCAGAGGTAATCATGATATGTTATTTTATTGAGTACTAGCTAAAACTTTCTTTTGTTTTATTTAGGATTTTCATAATCATGAAGAAGTGAAAGATCTGACGGATGAAAATTGCATTTTGAAGACAGATATTGCTATACCCAGACAGGAAATATGCACAATGAAAAATGACAACCTGGAAAAAGAAAATAAATATCTTAAGGACATTAAAATTGCTAAAGGAACAAATGCTGCCCTTGAAAATTGTATAAAACTCAATGAGGAAATGATAACAAAAACAGCATTCCGGTATCAACAAGAGCTTAATGATCTCAAAGCTGAGAATACAAGGCTCAATTCTGAACTGTTGAAGGAAAAAGAAAGCAAGAAAAAACTGGAAGCTGAAATTGAATCTTATCAGTCTAGACTGGCTGCTGCTATAAGTAAACACAGTGAAAATGTGAAAACAGAAAGAAACTTAAAACTTGCTTTAGAGAGAACACAAGATGTTTTTGAACAAGTAAAAATGAGTTCTGATATTTCCGAAGTAGAAGATAAGAATTAGTTTCTTACTGAACAACTTTCTAAAACGCATATTATATTCAATACTTTAAAAGATAAGTTCTGGCCGCCGCCGCTGCAGCCTGCTGGGCTGGAGGAAGCGGAGCTGGTGCTGTCCCGGCTCTCTTGCGGGGAAGCAACTGAGGGGGCAGCGCGGCGGGCCCTGGCAGCCGAAGAGGCTGGCAGGTGGCGCCGTGGGGTGGGTGCTCCTGGTGAGAGGAGTCCACTCCATACGTGCGGGCGGAGGCTGGCCCCCGAGAGCCGCCGACATGAAGAAAGACGTGTGGATCCTGCTGGTGGGAGAACCTAGAGTTGGGAAGACATCAATGATTATGTCTCTGGTCAGTGAAGAATTTCCAGAAGAGGTTCCTCCCCGGGCAGAAGAAATCACCGTTCCAGCTGATGTCACCCCAGAGAGAGTTCCAACACACATTGTAGATTACTCAGAAGCAGAACAGAGTAATGAACAACTTCATCAAGAAATATCTCAGGCTAATATCATCTGTATATTGTATGCTGTTAACAACAAGCATTCTATTGATAAGGTAACAAGTCGATGGATTCCTCTCATAAATGAAAGAACAGACAAAGACAGCAGGCTGGAGTGCAGTGGCGGGATCTCGGCTCACTACAACCTTCACCTCCCAGCTGCCTGCCTTGGCCTCCCAAAGTGCTAAGATTACAGCCTCTGCCCACCCGCCACCCCGTCTACAAAGTGAGCAGCGTCTCTGCCTGGCCACCCATCATCTGGGATGTGAGGAGCCCCTCTGCCCAGCCGCCCCGAATGGGAAGTGAGGAACACCTCTGCCTGGCCGCCCCATCTGGGAAGTAAGGAGCACCTCTGCCCAGCCGCCACCCCGTCTAGGAAGTGAGGAGCGTCTCTGCCTGACCGCCCATCCTCTGGGATGTGAGGAGCGCCTCTGTCTGGCTGCCCTGTCTGGGATGTGAGGAGAGACTCTGCCCGGCCTCCCATCGTCTGGGAAGTGAGGAGCGCCTCTGCCCGGCTGCCCCATCTGGGAGGTGAGGAGCACCACTGCCCGGCCGCCCCACGTCTGGGAGGAAGTGAGGAGCGCCTCTGCCCGGCTGCCCCAAATGGAAAGTGAGGAGCACCTCTGCCCGACCGCCCCGTCTGGGATGTGGGGAGTGCCTCTGCCCAGCTGCCCCATGTGGGAAGTGAGGAGCGCCTCTGCCTGGCCACCACCCCACCTAGGAAGTGAGGAGCACCTCTGCCCGGCTGCCCTGTCTGGGAAGTGAGGAGCGCATCTGCCCGGCTGCCCTGTCTGGGAAGTGAGGAGCACCTCTGCCCGGCCGCCACCCTGTTTAGGAAGTGAGGAGCGCCTCTGCCCAGCCGCCCCGTCTGGGATGTGGGGAGCACCTCTGCCAGGCTGTCCCATCTGGGAAGTGAGGAGCGCCTCTGCCCGGCCACCCCGTCTGGGAGGTGAGGAGTGCCTCTGCCTGGCTGCCCGGTCTGGGAAATGAGGAGCACTTCTGCCCGGCCACCCCGTCTGGGAGGAAGTGAGGAGTGCCTCTGCCCAGCCACCCCATCTGGGAAGTGAGGAGCACCTCTGCCCGGCCACCCATCATCTGGGAAGTGAGGAGCGTCTCTGCCCAGCCACCCTGTCTGGGAGGTGAGGAGTGCCTCTGCCCGGCCGCCCCATCTGGGAGGTGAGGACCACCTCTGCCTGGCTGCCCCATCTGGGAGGTGAGGAGCGCCTCTGCCCGGCCGCCCCGTCTGGGAGGTGAGGAGCGCCTCTGCCCGGCCGCCCCGTCTGGGAAGTGGGGAGCACCTCTGCCCGGCCACCCCATCTGGGAGGAAGTGAGGAGTGCCTCTGCCCAGCCGCGCCATCTGGGAGGTGAGGAGCATCTCTGCCTGGCCACCCCATCTGGGAATTGAGGAGCACCTCTGCCCGGCCACCCATCGTCTGGGAAGTGAGGAGCACCTCTGCCCAGACGCCCCATCTTGGATGTGAGGAGCACCTCTGCCCAGCCACCACCCCGTCTGGGAGGTGAGGAGCACCTCTGCCTGGCCGCCCCGTCTTGGAAGAGAGGAGCATCTCTGCCTGGCCACCCCATCTGGGAGGTGAGGAGCCCCTCTGCCTGGCCGCCCATCATCTGGGAAGTGAGGAGTGCCTCTGCCCAGCCGCCCCATCTGGGAAGTGTGGAGCGCCTCTGCCCGGCCGCCCCATCTGGGAAGTGGGGAGTGCCTCTGCCCGGCCACCCCATCTGGGATGTGAGGAGCACCTCTGCCCGGCCGCCCATAGTCTGGGAAGTGGGGAGTGCCTCTGCCCGGCCACCCCGTCTGGGAAGTGAGAAGCACCTCTGCCTGGCCGCCCCACCTGGGAAGTGGGGAGCGCCTCTGCCTGGCCGCCCATAGTCTGGGAAGTGGGGAGTGCCTCTCCCCGGCTGCCCCATCTGGGAAGTGAGGAGCGCCTCTGCCCGGCCACCCCATCTGGGAAGTGGGGAGTGCCTCTGCCCAGCCGCACCATCTGGGAAGTGAGGAGCGTCTCTGCCTGGCCGCCCCGTCTGGGAAGTGAGGAGCGTTTCTGCCCGGCCACCCATCGTCTGGGATGTGAGAAGCGCCTCTGCCCCGCCGCCCTGTCTGGGAAGTGAGGAGCGCCTCTGCCCGGCCACCCCATCTGGGATGTGGGGAGTGCCTCTGCCTGGCCGCCCATCATCTGGGAAGTGGGGAGCACCTCTGCCCGGCCACCCCGTCTGGGAAGTGAGGAGCGCCTCTGCCCAGCCACCCATCGTCTGGGATGTGAGGAGTGCCTCTGCCCCACCACCCTGTCTGGGAAGAGAGGAGCGCCTCTACCCGGCCGCCCCATCTGGGAGGTGTACCCAACAGCTCCAAAGAGACAGCAACCATCGAGAACGGGCCATGATGACGATGGCGGATTTGTTCAAAAGAAAAGGGGGAAATGTGGGGAAAAGAAAGAGCGATCAGATTGTTACTGTGTCTGTGTAGAAAGAAGTAGACATAGGAGACTCCATTTTGTTCTGCACTTAGAAAAATTCTTCTGCCTTGGGATGCTGTTAATCTATAACCTTACCCCCAACCACGTGCTCTCTGAAACATGTACTGTGTCAACTCAGGGTTAAATGGATTAAGGGTGGTGCAAGATGTGCTTTCTTAAACAGATGCTTGAAGGCAGCGGGCTCGTTAAGAGTCATCACCACTCCCTAATCTCAAGTACCCAGGGACACAAACACTGCCTAGGAAAACCAGAGACCTTTGTTCACATGTTTCTCTGCTGACCTTCTCTCCACTATTATCCTATGACCCTGCCACATCCCCCTCTCCAAGAAACACCCAAGAATGATCAATAAACATTAAAAAAAAAAGGTACAAGAAAAAAAAAAAGATAAGTTCCGTAAGACAAGAGATACTCTCAGAAAAAAGTCATTAGCTTTAGAAACTGTACAAAACGACCTAAGCCAAACACAGCAGCAAATAAAGGAAATGAAAGAGATGTATCAAAGTGCAGAAGCTAAAGTCAGTAAATCTACTGGAAAGTGGAACTGTGTGGAAGAGAGGATATGTCAACTCCAACGTGAAAATCCATGGCTTGAACAGCAACTAATTGATGTTCATCAGAAAGAGGATCATAAAGAGACAGTAATTAATATCCAAAGAGGCTTTATTGAGAGTAGAAAGAAAGACCTCATACTAGAAGAGAAAAATAAGAAGCTAATGAATGAATATGATCATTTAAAAGAAAGTCTCTTTCAATATGAGAGACAGAAAGCAGAAACAGTAGTAAGAATCAAGGAAGATAAATATTTTCAAACTTCTAGAAAGAAAATTTAAACATTTGGTTCTGGATACATGTTGAACCTAGTTGAATATAAAAATCAGTAGATAAAAACTGTGTTTACTATACTGTACAATTCCATTTACATGAAGCATCCAGAAAAGAGAAATATATAGGTACAAAAAGTAGATTAATGTTTGTGAAGGGCTGGGGCTGGAAGCTGATAGTGACTGCTAATGGGCGTGAGGGATCTTGCAGTGATGGAAATGCTCTAAAGTTGGATTGTAGAGATGGCTGCACAGCTCAGAAAAAGTACTAAAAATCTTTTAACTTTATGTTAAAACAGATACATTCTATAGTATGTAAATTATATTTCAACAAAGCTTTTTGATTTTAAAAAAAAGGAAAAATGTGTTTATTACATCAGCTTAGAAACATACCTTGTTTCCATAGAGGTGAGAGATGATTTACTTTGAGAGAAGACTTTGTGTCACCTATGACATTTTATTCGGCACAGAGTCATATTTTAAGGTAGATAGTCCTGTAGTGCTGAAATAATAATTTTAATGTCTTTATGTTGCCACATGTTAAGACCATGATGAAGGTATAAATGGAAATGTTTACACCTGAAATGAGTATTTTCAAATTAAAATTTAATTAAGTGATTTGCTTCAACACTTAATTCTAGATTTCCCAGATGAAGTGAAGTGTATTGCTGTGTCTTGTAATATCTTGCTTTAAGTAGTTTTTTATATATTTTAGTTGGTATAGCTTTATTTTTATTCATATTAATTTAACTTAAATCTGAAAATATGTCAGTCTCAAATTACATATTTTTTGACCACGTAATGTTTTAAAGGCACCTACTTGTTATAAAATTATAATTTAGGGTAAATGTGGTAAATTTTAGCAAAACTATATTTGATTTAGTCTTCCCACTGGTATTCATAATTTACTTTGAATATTTTTATTAATAATTAGCTCATAATTTTTATTTCAAGGCTCAATGACTATCATTTGAATATGACTTTGTCCAGTACAAAGATACTGTAGCTGCCTGTGATTTATGAGTTAGGCATTATATCCCCATTTTCAGACTAAAGAGGGGTTTACCTAGGGCCTCAAAGGCCATTGGAATTTTACTTTTATTCTGAGACAGGAATCTGTTGAAAGGATTTGAACAGTTGATTGAATATGTTAGGAACTTTGAGGTTGAGTTGAGCTTCTAAGATGATTGAATGGTGGGATGAATCTGTTGTATAAGAGAATACCAATTTGGCAGGAGGATAACACATTCTGCATCCCTCACTGAATTCAGTAATAAATAAAAATGTGTACCTGTGATGAAAAGAAGGCGAATTGATGTGTGTGAGATAATTTTCAAAGTAGGTATGTTAGAGTTAAATGTTATTAACATAATTTAATAATAAGGCAATTTATAAAATCAGTAACAAAAATATTTTATCAGGTGGTTGTGAGACAACTTCAACAAGAAGTGGCTGATTCCCTTAAAAAATTAACTATGTTAGAGTCTCCACTGGAAGGTACATGATGTCACATTAATTTGGAAGAGACACGGGCCTCAAAGAGGAAATTATTTCAAGTGGAAAGTCAAGTATGTATGGAATTTAACATGTCAACAGTTATTCTGTAGCTGGTTGAATTATATAACATGTTTTAGGATACTAATTTTGGCAGAAGCTTGATTTTGTACTTTCATTATAATTAATTATTTCCATTTTACTATCTTTATAATGTACTTTTTTTTTATATTGTGACTTTTGTTCTACCATTTTGAAAAAGGATTGCATACCTTTTCTCTTACAATATGTACCCTTGGAAAAGTTGATAATTATACATCATTCCTCAGAGAAAATTGACTTTTTTCCTGTTAAACATATTTTCAAGTAATTTTTGTATTGCTATGATGAGGCAGGCCAGATTAAATCAGAGGACAATGTTTAATGGAATGTTCCAGAAAATTGTCTTATTTCTTCACTTTTGTGAAAGGACACAGAATCTGTGTCTATTTCACAGATTCTAAGTTAACTTGTATAGAAAGGCCATTATACTATTCTTTGAAATGTACATGTTTTATGTCAATTTACAAACTATTTGAAAAGTTAGGCATTTTCTTTATTTACCTTTTATTTAAAATATACTATAAAAGTATAGAAATATTTAGATCTGATATAGTATGTACATCAAAAATTGAGAGCTGAGAAAATTATCTTGATCCTGTCATTGGATTTTAAAAACAGTTTCACTGAGATATAATTCATGTATCAGACAGGTCACCCATTTAAAATGTACAATTCAGTATCTGTTATTATATTCACAACATTTTCATCACCCTTAAAAGCAATGCCACATCTCCTAGGCATGACTGCAACCTTCCTCCATATCCCTCCACCTACCCCTGTTGTAGGCAAACACCATCTACTTTTGTCTCCGTAGGTTTGCCTGTTCTGCATATTTCATATACATAGAGTTAGACAATACATAGTCCTTTGTGACTGGCTTTTTCACTTAGCTTAATGTTTTCAGAATTCATGCATGTTTTAGCACACATTGGTAGTTTATTTCTTGTTATAGTTAAATGATACTCTATTGCATGGCTATACTGGTTTTCCATTCATTCATCAGTTGATGGACATTGAGGTTAGTTTCCACTTCTAGCTATTATGAAAAATGCTGCTGCAAACATTCACTTAGAGGTTATTATGTGGACATGTGTTTTTATTTCCCTGCCATTGGACTTTATCCTCAGAGTTAATTGGGCAGATTTCAGCACTTGTCTTGCTCATGCTATCCTTTCTGCCTTCTCAGTTTCTGTTCATCTAGTCTCATTCGTTCAGACCTGGCAGACAATTTTTTTGTTTTTATGAAGCTTTCTCTGACTGTTCTGACTCTCACTGACCTTATGTGTTAGGAATTGTTGTCCAGTCTGTGCAGAAAAACTTAGTCCTTAATTTTACATGGCTTTTTCTTTTTTTATGGAAGATAATTTTGTCTCAGTATAAATTTGCTTAATGGGGCAATAATATATAATATGTATGGCACCTATCCTTGCATAAATTGAAAATATTTTAGCTTAGAAGTTTTTAGCATACAATTAAATACTTTATACCATACCAATTATTTGTTCTTTGAGACCTTGACACAGTAAGGTTTATATTCTAAATGTATTTTTAGCAATTAAATATCAAATCTAAACCAATTAGTCTAATAGAGGAGACTTGTTCAATCACATGTTTATGTTTTTCTCTCTATGAAAAAGAATCTAAATTGGCTTTTTTTCACTATGCAGCCATTACTGTATTTCTGGACTGCTCCCAGTTTGTCAGCTGAACAGTTCTGGCTGCAGCTTGTCTGATGACGGATAGCACAGCCCCTCAATCTCAGTGCTCCACAGAGTGCTTGTGAAGGCAGCACCACAGCAACAGTTGCTCAGAGGGAACGGATTCAGGAGCCTTGGTTTAGCAATAGAGTCGCAGGGTTTTCAGCTCAGTGTCTTTAGCCTGTCTGCTGGTCATGTCAGTTATGTACTATTCCATCCAGGAGGTGCTATTTACATTGTAGTACATACATAGTCATTGCCTACTGAGTCATACACAGAGAAAAGTAATTTATAAATTATGTGCCCCCCATTTGCTGCAACTCTCAGTGGTGAGAAGAATGATTCAGTGCAGCTATAGGAGACTACTTCCATTGGCATGCCACCTGCCTAACATACACAATTTTGTTAAGATATACAATAAAATTATTATGCTAATAGCAAATATTTTATGTAGCTCACTATGTTCCACATACTCTTGTAAGTGCTTCATGTTAGTCCCCAGTAAACACCTGGTTGGGGGAGGTGGCTCATGCAAGTAATCCTAGCATTTTGGAAGGCTGAGGCAGGAGGATCTCTTGAGCCCAGGAGTTTTAGATCAGCCACAGCAATATAATGAGAACCTGTCTTTAAAAAATAAATAAATAAATAAATAAATACTTAGAGGCATGGTGGTGCATGCCTGTAGTCCCAGCTACATTGGGAGGCTGTGGTAGGAGGGCCGCTTGACCTTGGAATATTGAGGCTGCAGTGAGTGTTGATCAAGCCACTACACTCCAATCTGGGTAACAGAGTGAGACTCTGTCTCATAAATAAAACGTTTTGTATAGATTCCCATAGAAGTGAGTTAGACATCAGGCATAGTATTATTAGCCACTTTGATGTCTGCCTTGGGAGTAAAACATATAATAAGGGACAGCATTAAACCATCTCAGTCAATAGCCTCTAACTTCTCAAGAAGGTTCTTATCTCCTGAATTTCTAAGCAAGAGACTACCTGGATGAAGACGTTTGGTGGACACCATTTTGAGATGAAGAATCTCAAATGGGAAGAAGGGAGATGTCTACTTGATTGGAGCTTCCCAATGATATATTTGAGTGTCACCCGAAAGAAACTTTAGAAACTTTAGAACAAGACTTTCATGATGCCATATCTCTATGGAAAAGGAAACTCTTTAAAAGAAAACAAAGGCAAACAATTGATAATCTGATTCTCATGGGAAAGTTTTCATTATAAAAGAAAAAAAGGGCTGGGTGCCATGGCTCATGTCTGTAATCCCAACATTTTGAGAGGCTGAGGTGGGTGGATTACCTGAGGTCAGGAGTTCAAAAACAGCCTGGCCAACATGGTGAAACCCTGTCTCTACTGAAAATACAAAAATTAGCCAGGCGTGGTGGTGTGCACCTGTAGTCCCAGCTACTTGGGAGTCTGAGGCAGGAGAATCACTTGAACCCAGGAGGTGGAAGTTGCAGTAAGCCAAGATGGCGCCACTGCACTCCAGCCTGGATGACACAGTGTGACTCATCTCAAAAAAAAAAAAAAAAGAAAAAGAAAAAAAGGGACAAAGTATACTGGTCCAAAAAAGAAGAAAGAAAGAAAAAAAGGACAAAGTATACTGGTCAATATCGTAATGGTGAGACTGTCCCCCTTTGAGATTAGAAAATAACGGTATACTCAAAGTAACATCAATAAGAACCAACATAAAATAGACAAGATTCACTATCTACAAAAGTAATCTGCACCAAGTAGCAATGTCTGAGCGTGTGGTTTGGAATATTCTCTATAATATGTGTACTAGAAGGAAGAGGCCTCAAGAAAAAGGTCAGAGATGGAAATGTAGATTAGGGAATCTAGGTCAAAGTTTTGAGATTTTAGGAGTCCTGAGAGAATTTAAAAAGTGGAATAGCAGCCAGGCATGGTGGCTCACGCCTGTAATCCCAGCACTTTGGGAGGCCAAGGCAGGCAGATCATGAGGTCAGGAGTTCAAGATCAGTCTGGCCAACATAGTGAAACCCCATCTCTACTAAAAATATGAAAAATTAGCCGGACATGGTAGCACACGCCTGTAATCCTAGCTACTTGGGAGGGTGAGGCAGGAGAATCGCTTGAACCCAGAAGGTGGAGGTTGCGGTGAGCTGAGATTGTGTCACTGCACTCCAGCCTGGGTGACAGTGGGGGACTCCATCTCAAAAACAAACAAGCAAACAAACAAACAGAAAGGAATAGGACTGAAGAACAGAGGTTGCTGCATTTAGAAATGAAGCGGGGTCAGAGGAGCAGAGGGAACATTTGGTCACTGCTCGCAGCTGCTGCTGAGTAAAGCAGGATAAAGTCCTTCATGACCCTTGGACTTTTTTATTGGAATTATTAAAAATCAGATTTCCATATTAAAAACACAATAAGTGATGAAAAATAGATTTCTGGATGAGACCATGTGTCACAGAGTCCAATGGAAGGGGAGAAACAGGATAATAGAAAAACCACAAAAAGTAGACAAAAGTTGTGTTTTTGTTTATTATAGAAAAAAACTTTATTTAAAGAGAAAGGGTTAAGAGAAAGGGAAAAACTGAAACCTGTGGGTGAATACTTACAGAGAATGACAGTATTTAGCTCAACCTGAAGACAGATGAGGATCAAAAATGTAATGGAAAATAGATAAGAGTTTTCTAAAAATCTTCTTAGATGTAATTTAAGAAAACTTGGAATATCTTAAACTATTAATGACAATGTTTCCAGAGCATCTTTAAAAAGTAAAATGTAAATATAACTACACATTTTTTACTAACCCTTAGTATTTTATGTGTAAAAACCCTTGTTTGTAACAAACATTTTCGGCAGTTTAAATTTCAGAAAATATAATGAAATTATGTATCATTTTTAGCAGTTTTAAGAAAAGTGACTATTTCTGAAATCTGCCCTTATTGGCATCAGGCTTATAAAATGCACTTTATACCCCTGCCTAAATACATATTACTCATCAACTTATGAGAAATAATATTTTTAAGATAAAAGAGGGTCTCTAGATTTTACAAAAATAATTTTAAACACTTTTTTTAAGCCTGAAGAAAAAAATGAAGAATTAAGGAAACCTTTTGTGTTAGTATCATCACTGGAGTATAATGTGAATCAAATAAGAAAGTAAAATCATGAATTAGAAGAAGAGGCAACTGGGTATGGTTTTCATATTGTAGAACATGTTAATCATTTATTAATTGATTTAGCTCTAATTTTACTTGACTAAAACTGAGATACAAATTCATTTTATGTCTCCATTTTCATAATTAAATGAATTCTATTTTAAAATGTATTTCAGAAACTCACAACACAACTTTATAGGCATGTGCATCATGGGGTTGGGAGTCAGCTGAGCTGCTGGGGCAAGGTTGGGATAAAAAAATTTGTATTAAAATATGTATAAAAGAGAAACAACATAATCTGAAAATTTTTTGAATGCCAAAATATTATACTTATTTATTTATTTATTTCTATTTTTATTTATTATTTTTTTTTGAGACAGTGCCTCTGTCTCCCAGGCTGGAGTTCAATGGTTCCATCTTGGCTCACTGCAACCTATGCCTCCAATCAATTCTCCTGCCTCAGCCTCCTGAGTAGCTGGGATTGCAGGCATGTGCAACCACACCCGGCTAATTTTTGTATTTTTTAGTAGAGAGGAGGTTTTGAAAAGTTGGTCAGGCTGGTCTCAAACTCCTGACCTCGTGATCTGCCTGACTCAGCCTCCCAAAGTGGCATGAGCCACCGTGCCCAGCCGCTTATTCTTTAATGATTTTGAAAACAATGACAAAGCCTTGGACATATAATGTCGTCCACTCTTCATTATCTAGTTTGAATTTTTATTTCTGAAGATATTTTTGCTGTCTGTGGTCATCTTTTCTTCCTTTTGTAGTATCCTCTACTGCATTCAAATTCTTTAAAGAAGACCTATTGTGTCATTCTTTAACATCAAAATTTATCTTGATATATAGCTTATATTTTGTTTTTGCTTCTTTTTCTTTTAGATATAAAACATGGAAATTTACTCATTTTACACAGATACCTCCGTTGTATACACGAAGTATACATGTTATTAAACTTCTGTTTTACAGAAATAAATTTCATATATATAAAAATATATGTATAACTTAAAAGTAAAATGAGCATTCATGTTTTGATCACAGATTTTTTTTTTAAAAAAATGGAATGTGTCTTTGAAGCCCTGAACACAGCTACTTTTCTATTTATTTACTGAGCACTTAAATTGGTTTTCTGATTCTAATCTACATTATTCTGTCATTGCCTTTCTCTACATGGTTTTGTATCTCTTTCATTTTGTTGACATTATGTCAGCAAAGATCTCTAGATCTCTTCTTCAAAGTCTTTAAATCGTCACGCATCTCTCTGCCCCTTTCTTGGTCTTCTCTTTTTCTACATTGAATAATGTCCTTGATGCTTTTTGTGTGTACTTTTTTTTCTTCTTATAGACTGTGAATGGGTATCAAAATGTAATTTTTTGTCTTTCTCAAATGTATGTGTTTTACTTTTTTATCTTGGTTACTCATTTCTAGGTTATGGCTTATATTTAGTAATAGGTTATTTTATCTTACCATACCAACATGGATATGAATAGTTTATTTACAAAAAGTGTACGGTTAGGCCAGGTGTGGTGGCTCACACTTGTAATCACAGCATTTTTGGAGGCCAAGGTGGGTGGATCATTTGAGGTCAGGAGTTCAAGACCAGTCTGACCATTCAAGGCCAGTCTGACCAACATGGTGAAACCCCATCTTTACTAAAAATACAAAATGAGCTAGGCGTGGTGCTACATGTCTGTAATCCCAGCTACTTGGGAGGCTGAGACAGGAGAATCACTTGAATCCAGGAGGCAGAGGTTGCAGTAAGCCAAGATCACAGCATTGCATTTCAGCCCGGGCAAGAAGAGTGAAATTCCATCTCAAAAAAAAAAAAACAAAAAAAAAAACTGTATGGTTGTAATACCACTTTACCTGCCATATATGCCATAAAATTGTTCTTCATATTATTTATCTAAGATTATAATTTCATATAGAGTGCTTCCAAACTATGCTCAGTTGAAACTGAAAGGATCATAGTTTATAGATGTGTTTCTTTGATATGCTATAACATAATATCGTTTAAACAATTATTAAATATTTACTCTTAAAAATATTTGACTTACTAATTCTGTACGTTTCTGCAGATATAAGAAACTCCTGGAAATGACAATAAATGTGTTAAGTGTATTTGGAAATGAAGACTTCGATTGCCATGGAGACTTAAAAACAGATCAACTGAAAATGAATATTCTGATTAAGAAACTAAAACATAAGGTAATTTTTTTAAAAAAAATTATCTTAAGGTCTAGATTACATGTGTGAGATGTGCAGGTTTGTTACATAGGTAAACGTGTGCCATGATGGTTTGCTGCACCTGTCAATCCATCACCTAGATATTAAGCCCCGCAGGAATTAGCTACTGATCTTGATGCTCTACCTCTTGACCCCAACAGGCCCCAGTGTTTGTTGTTCCCCTCCCCGAGTCCATGTGTTCTCATCGTTCAGCTCCCACTTATAAGTGAGAAAATGTAGTGTTTGGTTTTTTGTTCCTCCATTAGTTTGCTGAGGATAACAGCTTCGAGTTCATCCATGTCCCTGCAAAGAGCATGATCTCATTCATTTTTATGGCTCCATGGTGTATATATACCACATTTTCTTTATCCCATCTATCACTGATGGACATCTGGGTTGATTCCATGTCTTTGCTATTGTGAATAGCGCTGCAATGAACATGCAAATGCATGTATCTTTATAACAGAATAACTTATATTCCAACATACGGTAATTTTAAATCAGTTTTGGGATTAAAAATCACATAATTTGGGAACATATTGATAATAGAAAAACCCAAATTCTGCCAAAATATGTTGAGAAAATAGAGGGTAAATATATCTTTTCAGACTTTAAATGCATCAGCCTCTTAGTTCATCTTCCCCAGATGTGGGAAGACCTAGAAGGGAAGAGATTGGGCTACCTTAATGAGGGCCATTTCAATCTCTTGGCCCTGCAGCAACCATTTCAAAATATGTCAGAAAAATATATTTGGGGGTTAAATATTTTGATTTCCTTCAGCTTCTTCTCTCTGTGATGCTGTACCAGAATCAGGTGAGAAAGTAAGCCACATTATAAGAGTTAATAAAACTCATCTGATGAGATTTAATAGTTTGAAGTGTGTGATTCTCAGACCCTTTAGATAGAAATTGGGGCCAAAGAAAACAAGGTCTTATTCCTCAATATAAATCTCTCAGTGCTTTAAGCAGTCAAAGAAAGATTTTTCATTTAATTTTACAGAATTGATACTAATGAAAAGGATAGTTTTAAAAATATAAACCTCTTTTCTATAAAAAGGACATGCTGTTGATTCTCTTATGTCTTTAACTCTGGCCAGTGATCTGAAACCAAGCAGTACCTGTCTCCAGACCACTAGTACCAAATTAATTTGGGGGGACTGGGTAACAGGTTTATTGAGAAATAATGAACACACCATGCAAGTCACTCATTTAAAATATACGAGTCATTGACTTTAGTATTTTCAGAGAGTTATGCAGTCATCATTACAATCAATTTTAGAACGTTTTCATCACCCTGAAAACAAACCCCACATCACTTAGCCATCTTCACTAGTTTTCCCTTCCTCCCTCAGCCGTAGGGAACCACCAACCTCCTTTATATACATTTGCCTATAAGCCTCTGAAATAAAAAGCAAGTGGTCTACTGTGACTGGCTTATTTCACTTAGCATAATTTTTCATGCTGCATCTGTGCTGTAGCAGGTATTGATGTGGGGTTTTTCTCATTAGTTCAGCTACATCTGGGTTCTTCTCTCATGACCAGGAAAAATTAAGCACGCAGACACATTGAAGGGTGAGGAGGACAGAATTTATTAAGTGAAAGGAAAGCTCTCAGCAAAGAGAGTGGTCCTGCAAGCAGGTTTCCACCTCACAATTGAATACCAGGAGCACATGAGCTGAAGCGGCCAGGCTCCTCCCCTGCATAAGGCATGAATTCCTGGTGGCTCCACCCCATCCCCCCAGTGCATGTGGGCCTCTGGTCTGCTGCAGGCATGTCCAGGCAAGACAAGTCCAGGTTCCCTTATCTGCACTTAACATCTGGTGTAAACACTTGTGGAGCTGGTTGGAGATTCTCCAGGGACCCTTCCATATCTGCCTAGGCATTTTGCTGTCTCCTCCTAATACAGTATCAGTACTTAATTTCTTCTTATTGCTGAGTGATATTCCATTGTATGGATACATCAAACAGTTTATTTATCCATTCACCAGGTGATGGACTTTTGGGTTCTTTCCCACCCAAAGGTGATGGACGTTCTGGTTCTTTCCACTTTTTGACTCATATTAGTAATGCTGCTGTAAACATTTATGTATGAGTTTTTGTGCTTGCATGATTTTTATTTTTCTGGAGTATATACTTATGACTGGAATTTCTGGGTCGTAGGGTAACTTCATGCTTAACCTTTTGAGGAGCTGCCAGTTTGTTTTCCAAAGTGGCTGCATCACTTTACATCCCCAGCAGCATTGGATAAGGGTTTTGATTTCTTTACATTTTTCCTAACACTTATTTTCTCTTTTTTATTGAACAAAGATTTTATCCTGTGGTGTGAAGTGATACCACATGTGGTTTTGATTTACATTTTCCTAATGACTAATTACATCAAGCATCTATTAATGTGCTCATTATCCATCTTTACATCTTCTTTGCAGATACATCTATTCAAAATCTTTGCCCATTTTTCAAATTGAATTATCTTGTTACTCATGAATTGCAAAGGTTCTTTACATATCCTATATATGTAAGTCGCTTATCAGGTATATGCTTTTCAGATACTTTCTTCTACTTAGCGTCTTGCCTTTTCACTTCTTGATACTGTCTTCTCAGGCACAGCAGTTTTCAATTTTGAAGTCCATTGAATCCATTTTTCCTTTGGGGTCATGGCTAAGAAAACACTGCCAAATGCAGTCACAAAGATTTATGCCAGTGTTTTCTTCTGAGAGTTTTATAGTTTTAGCTGTTACAGTTAACTGTTTTATTTTGAGTTAATTTTTAAAAAAGATATTTGGTCCTAATTTATTTATTTTTTGCATATGGATACCCAGTTGTCCCAGCACCATTTGTTGAAAAGACTATTCTTTTCCGATTTTGTTCTTTTGTTAACTTTATATAAAATCAATTGACTGTAAATGCACAAGTTTATTTTTAGATTATCAATTCTTACTTTGTTTATGTCTATTATTATGCCAAGGCCAAAATGAATTTACTAAGAAGTTTTTTTCAATCATGTTGCATATTACCAGTTGTCTTATGTCGTAATAAAAATTAAATTTAGTGGAATATCTTTAATTTCACCTTTTGTGTCTCAAAGGAGTCTCTGGGCCAGCTTATACCTTACTTACTCTAAGACATGATGGGAAGCCAGGCCTATAAGACACACTTTATTTCTTTTTTCTCCATTCAAATCTTTAGTCTCTTTTCCATTGCCTCCTGCTATAGTTTTGTTTTCAGTAAGTTTTGGTCACAGGATCTGCTGAGATAGTCTAATATTTAGTGCATTATGTTTTCCTAACTCATTATAATTCATAGAATCTTCCATAGATGTTTACCATCCAGGAAGGAGAAGTTTAAGTCTGAGCCGCCAGCTTTCCTCAGTGAAAATCAAGTGAAGTCATCATCTTGCAGTTCACAGATCCTCTTTCCACCTGGTAGCTGGTTCTCTTGGGTAGCACTGTGGCTAATCCTTTTCTTGGTGCAGATCTTGCATTCTCAGAAACCACAGTTAGCTGTATTGACCACCTTTTACTGAAACAGAGATGCACAGCTCTGCTTTCTAGCTCAGTAGAGGATTCTTGGAATATAAAGTTTGACTCATTCCAAGAAAAGGTCTTAGGAGTGCAGCACTTCAAAATCAGGTAATGTTCAGGCAATTTATCAGAGACACATAGTAGATTAGTATTTTGACTTTCAAAATTTCAGAGCCAAGTTGTGTGCTATAGAGAAGTCTTGTGGTATAGCATAGAGATGGGATGGTCTTAACTTCTCCAAACAAACAAGCTTGAAGTAAGGTAAAGGAGAAATTGCATTTGATTGCTTAACACTCAAAGCACACTATGTTTATTTTACTTCTGTGAAGACTAAAAATCATTTCATAATGTTCTCCTTATTTCCTCATTGAGAAAAGGAAAATAAAAATTAAATACTAGATTGATTAATAAATACTGAAAGCTTATCTTTTAGAATTTTAGTTAATTCAAATCAGGTAAATGTCTGATTTTGATTGTGTAACCAAGTATTTCTAGTTTTTTTTCATACCATATGTCTTCTTCTTGCTTCCCAGTCTTATTTCCTAACTTGAGGGGAAACTGTAAGGAGACACCCTTGCTTTGTTATCAGAGTTCATAATTGAAGGAGTTTTAGGAAAAGTTCCTCCTCAGCAGCTTATGTCTCTGTCCTGGTTATCTGCTGCTTCTCAATAATGTTTGCCATCAATAAATTAACCTCAACATGTGTTAGATCCTACTTTAAAGGAGACTCTTTTCTGCTGCATAAGTTATGTTTCCTGTTGTCTCTTTTTAAAACTTATTTTTCTAACGATTACCCAGAGTTTTGTGGCTTAAAAGAAAAATATTTATTTTGTTAATGAACCTGTGGTTTGGAAAAAGCTTGGCCAGGACAGATCGTCTCTACTCCCCTCAGCTTCCCTAGGAACAGCTATCAGTTGGGGAAATGGAATCCTCTGAAGCATTGCTCGCCCACATGTTTGATGGTTGATGCTGGCCATTGGCTGGAACCTTGGTTGGGACAGGCAGCATGAACACTGACACTGGCACTGCCAGGTTCTCTTTGTGGCCTGAGTGCTCTCACAATCTGGGGGCTGGGTTCCAAGGGAAAACAGTCTGAGATAGGTAAGCCGCATGGTATCTCTTTTACTGCATTCTATTCATTAGGAGGAAGTCAGTAAGGTTGGCCCATATTCTGTTTTTTTAAATGGGATCAATGTAACTTCTCTTTTGTTTTAATTGACACATATATACATAATTATGGGTTATAGAGTGATATTCTGATACATGTAAATAGGGTGTAATGATCAAGCTAACTAGCACATTTACTGCTTCAACCATTTTTCATTTCTTTGAATTGTGAACATTCACAATCTTCTGGCTTTTAAAAAATATACAATAAATCATAGTTAACCATATTCACCCTACAATGCCACAGAACACCAGAACTCATTCTTCTTATCTAACTGTAATTCCATATCCATTAACCAACCTACCTTCCCCTACTTCTTTGAGATTTTTGTTGTTGTTAAGAGACAGGGTCTTGCTAGTGTAGTCTGGGCTCTGGGCAACTGTAGTCACCCAGATGGGAGACAGTAGTTTGATCATAGTTCACTGCAGCCCCCAACTCTTGGGCTCATGTGATCCTCACACCTCAGCCTCCTGAGAAGCTAGGATTATGAGCATGCACCCTTGCACCCATCTGATTTTTGACTTTATAGAAATATCTCCCTATGCTGCCCAGGTGCTCTGGAACTTTTGGCCTCAAGTGACTCTCCTGCCTTTGTCTTTCTAAGTGCTAGGAAATTACAGGCATCAGCCATGTTGCCCAGCCCTCAATTTTTCTTTAGCTCCCACACAGGAGTGAGAATGTGCAGTATTTATCTTTCTGTGTCTGCACTTAACATAACATCCTCCAGACTGATCCACGTGGCCACGATAACAGGATTTAATTCCTTTATACGGTGAATAGTATTCCATTGTGTATGTGTGCCACAGTTTTTTGTCTTTTCTTTTGGTGATGGATATGTAGGTTGATTCCATACATTAGCCGTAGTGACTAGTGCTACAATAAACATATGAGGACAGGCTTCCTTTTGATCTATTGTTTTCTTTCTATTGCCTGAATACCCAGTCGTGGGCTTGCTGGATCCCTCAGCAGTTCCATTATTAATTTTTTGAGGAAACCTCATGTTGTTTTCTATAGTGGCTGCACTAATTTACCTTCCCACCAACAGCACATAAGAGTTTACTGTTCTCTGGAACCTCACCAGCATTTTTTTTTTATCTTTTCCATGATGATAATTTATTCAAATTGAAGCAAGATTATATCATATTGTAGATTTGATTTGTATTTCTCTGAGGATTAGTGATAATGAGCATTGTTAAATTTATTTATTGGCTATTTGTATTTCTTTTTTCTAAAAAAAAGTATAGTTAGATATTTTGCCCAATTTTGAACTCAGATTTTTTTTACTGTCAAGTTGTTTGAATTTCTTGTACATTTTGGATATTAGTCCCTTATTAGATTAATAGCTTGATGATATTTTCTCCCATTCTACAAGTTTTCTCTTCACTCAGTTGTTAGCTGGACAGAAGCTTTTTAGGTTAATGTAGTACCATTTGTCTATCATTTGTTTTTTGCCTATGCTTCTGATATCTTACCCATAAAAATCTTTGTGCAGACTGTCCTCAAGAATTTTCCCTATGTTTACTTATAGTAGTTTGATAATTTTGGGCCTTACATTTCAGTCTTCAATTGATTCTGAGTTTATGTTGTTATATGGTGTTACATAGGAAGCTAGTATCATTCTTCTCCATATGGATATTTAGTTTTCCCAGTGCCATTCATTTGAAGAGGCTGTCCTTTCCCCAGTGTATGTTCTTGGCATGTTCATCCAAAATCACTTGGCTGGAAATATGTGGATTTATTTCTGGGTGCTGTATTCTGTGGCCTTTACCCCAAGAATCATTACTTCTTAAAATGCAACTCAAATTAGCATGAAACATTTGCAGTTTAAGGAAAGGCTTATGGCATCAGAATACTTATTTACAGGATTCATTATTTTGTGTTTTTTGAGATAGGGTCTTTGTCTGTCATCCAGGCAGAAGGGCAGTGATGTGGTCATAATTCACTGCAGCCCTGAACTCTGGGTACAAACCATCCTTTTGCCTTGGTCTCCCAAATAGCTGGGTCTACAGACATGAGCCACCATGCCTGGCTAATTTAAAAAACACTTTTTTTTGTAGAGATGGGGCCTCACTATGTTGCTCTGGCTGATCTCAAATTCCTGGCCTCAAGTAATCTTTCTGCCACAGCTTTTTAAAGTGCTAGGATTACAGGCATGACCCACCATGCCTAGTATAGAGTGTTATATTATTTTCAAAGTCTTATTCCTAGAGCCATTTATTGACTTTGGCCTAAATAACTCAGTGTGATATTTCTGAAACTTTTTTTGACATATTATGGGGAATGATAATGAGGGAAGCGGGATAGACACCTTTTACTAAGAGATAGCTTAGTGCTACTTAAGGAGGAACAAAAATAAATTATCAGAAAAATAAAAGTAAGATGAAGTGCAAAAGTTCTGTGACAAAGATGATGATAGTTAAATAATGTATTTTTGTGACTCATGGTAGCTTTAACTTTGTTCTTAAAATTCTGAGTAATTTAAGGGTTCACATTTGAAGAATCTACTGCACTACAGATAACAGTTTATTCCGAGTAAATGCATTTCAAAATTTGCTATTGATTTTGTATTAGATTATTCTCAGCCTACTTCATTATCAAGCTATACTATTTTATTCATGCAGTTTGATGATCTTACAGCAGAGAAGGAAGCTGTATCTTCAAAATGTGTCGATTTGGCTAAAGACAATCAAGTTCTTCAACAGGAGTTATTATCTATGAAAAAAGTACAACAGCAATGTGAAAAACTTGAGAAGGATAAAAAGATGTTGGAAGAAGAAATATTAAATCTTAAGACACATATGGAAGACAATATGGTAGAACTTAGTAAACTACAAGAATATAAATCGGAGCTAGATGAAAGGGCAATGACGGCAGTAGAAAAATTAGAAGAAATCCATTTACAGGTTAGTTTTTTAAATCAGGTAAGTTTATCTGTAATGTGCTTTCCTTTATTTCACTGCAAATTATATTTTGGATATGTGTATATTGTGTTTCCTCTGCCTCTCTTGTAGCAATTTGCTTTGTAGAGTTTTAGAAAAAAAAATGGCATCTGTTTTTTCTTTTAAATATTTAAATTTCCATTATTATAACAAAATCAATCTTTCAGAGTAATGATTCTTACTATGGAGTCATTTGATGATTAAGACCAGTTGGCATAAGAAAAAGTTGTGATTTAGAAATTATGTGATACTTTTGAATTGGTCTTAAGCTACTTTGTTCATTGATCACTTTTTAAAATTATGAATGGATTCTATTGCTTTTTATACGACCAGATTACATTAATACTAACATAATTATGGTTTCAAATTTTTATAAATCAGACTTGATTCTGAATTCAGTTATTAGTTTTGATACTGCTGATAAACATTTTAAGCTTCAGCCTCTTTTTTTAACATATTCAAAATTGCTCTTTGAATCACTGGCTCAAAATGAAAGGCAACAAACATATAATAATTAGGTTATAATTGTTTTAAAAATATATTCTTTTCATTTGTTTTAGAAATAAACACAATATGAAAAACAATTAGAGCAGTTAAACAAGGGTAATACGGCTTCACTAAATAAGAAGGAACTCACACTTAAAGATGTGGAATGTAAATTCTCCAAAATGAAAACTACTTATGAAGAGGTTACAACCAAATTAGAAGAATACAAGGAAGCCTTTGCAGTAGCATTGAAAGCTAACAATTCCATGTCAAAAAAATTAACGAAGTAAGTCCAAACATACACTTATAGAAAATGAATTCAGCTCAATAATTTGTTTTGAAAGCATAATTTTTAGTGAGATGGCTTCAGGATATTAGTAGGAAGTCAATGCTAATTTGACAATGTAATTTTGGAAAATAATGTTAGTAAGTAATCTTACCTTTAAAATGTTATTCAAGGATAGTTTCTGTCTCTCCTCTCATTTTTTTTTTTTTTTTGCTTTTGTATGGCTTTTTTCTCCTGAAAAGTCTCTTGTAGTTAATCTGTAAGTTTTTTTACTAAGTATTTTTGAAGCTTTATAATTAATAAAGTGATCTTGTTTTAAATTACTTGTCAGAATTTCCCTAAATAGTAATATTAATGAGTTTATTTTTCAGTAGATCACGACCTAAACCCAAAGTGTCAAGTGGTACTGCTACTCTGGGCACAATCGTTTTTAATTGTGATCTTTAGTATTATGACTAGAGGGTGCCTCAAGAAAGACTACCTGTGTAACATATTCAAGATGTTATAGAAAGGCATCCTTATGAAATAGGGAATAATTATCACAGGAATTTAAAGAAGTGTAATTCACAAAGCGGTTAAAAAATAACACCTTGTTCAGTCTGAAGGGGTGTGTGGAAGGCAAAAAGAACAAGCCCCACCTCCAGTGCCTTGGTCACAGTGCTGGGGGCTAATTGCCTTCAGAGATGCTTTAGTTCTTTTTGATCAACAACCAAACAATCTAGTTCTCCCCTAGGAGTTGTTGCTCTGAATTATTCCTCATTACCAAATGTTTAATTGGTCCTAGATAATTGGTGAAATGTACAAGGGTGAAACCTGAAACTGGTTTACTAAACACAAGTATTCCTAGATTTTTTTTGTTCATTTTAGTTTTCTTAACCTACATTAAGGAGCACAACATGATGTTTTGATATAATTATTTCTAGTGAAGTGGTTCTTATAATCAAGCAAATCAACATATTCCTTTTCCCATGTTGTTACCCTTTAAATACAAGTATTTCAAGTGGAATCTTCAGAATCTTACAGGTAGAGCCATTTTAGAAGGCAGCAAGTTTTACCCGTTGAGCCATACATCACTGGTAGCCATTTCTCTTCCCTGTCTACTTTGTTTGAGCTGCTTCTTCAGTATAAATCACCTTAGAAACACAGGTGCTTCTTTAGAGTGATTTTAAAAGTATAATTCCTTACAATAGGTATGCTCTCACACATCTTCAGTGTGAAAACACTGTTTAGTGGGTAATTTGGTTTACTCTCAGGGCAAGTTTTTAAAAACTACAAGTCATTAAGAATCATTTAAGGAAAAATGAAATACTAAGCATTTGTCTTTGCTATCTTTATAGATCTAATAAGAAAATAGCAATGATCAGCACCAAGCTCCTTATGGAGAAAGAGCGGGTGAAATATTTTCTCAGCACTCTTCCTACAAGGCGAGGCCCAGAGTCACCTTGTGTTGAAAATCTTACTAGTATAGGACTCAACAGAAAATATATTCCCCAAATGCCCGTAAGAATTCCTACTTCAAACCCTCAGACCTCAAATAACTGCCAGAACTACTTGACTGAGGTTCGTTATATGACCGTTTCTCTTTAGGGTTTCATTTCTCTAGCGTAATTCTTGTTTTTAATTTGGTGAAATACTGAGTTGTTCTGTTGACTTATGCATGTTAAGTAAAGATCATAATTAGCTGTGTTAACACAGAAAGGAAATGGGAACTTTACATTTTTTAATTCCCTGGAGCTCTCATTTTTGAGAGATATCCATTTGCTAACTTTATTCAATAAATGTGACTAAACTGACATGTTTAAAATGTCTTTAAAAGCTGCATTTAAGTTAGGTTTTAGAAATTGCATGTTATTGCCTTATAACTGATGATATACTTTGAGATACTTTGGCTTACTCTCTAATTGATTGTAGTTTGGCTGTGGTTCATACCACATTTTTCTTTCTTTTTTTTGAGGCAGTGTCTCACTCTGTCACCCAGGCTGGAGTGTTGTGGTGCCATCTCCACTCACTGCAACCTCCACCTCCCGGGTTCAAGTGATTCTCCTGCCTCAGCCTCCCAAGTAGCTGAGACTACAAGCACCCACCATTACACCCAGCTAAGGTTTGTATTTTTAGTAGAGACAGGGTTTCACCATATTGGCCAGGCTCTTCTTGAACTCCTGACCTTGTGATCTGCCTGCCTCAGCCTCTCAAAGTGCTGGGATTACAGGATGAGCCACCGCACCCGGCCCTTGTCACTTTTAAAGTTTCTTTGCACCAGGCAGGTGCGGTGGCTCATGCCTGTAATCCCAGCACTTTGGGAGGCCGAGGCAGGAATGTCACGAGGTCAGAAGTTCAAGACCAGCCTGGCCAAGATGGTGAAACCCCGTCTCTACTAAAAGTACAAAAAAAAAAAAAAAAAAAAGCCAGGTGTGGTGGCGGGCACCTGTAATCCCAGCTACTAGGAAGGCTGAGGCAGAGAATTGCTTGAACCTGGGAGACAGAGGTTGCAGGAGCTGAGATTGCACCACTGCACTCCAGCCTGGGTAACAGGGAAAGACTCCGTCTTGAAAATAAAAAATTAGAAAAAAGTTTATTTGCACCATCTCAACTCTTCCCACCCATAATCACAACTGAATGATTGGCATCCAAACACTTTACCACATATGGATGTTTATTATTTAGGAGAATCCAAAATAATTGCATTTTATGAATTAAACCAAACACTAAAATGTTCATTTCCATTTTTATGTTAAAAGCTTTGTGCTTGGCCAGGCGTGGTGGCTCACACTTGTAATCCCAAAATTTGGGGAGGCCAAGGCAGGTGAATCACCTGAGGTCAGGAGTTTGAGATCAGCCTGGTCAACATGATGAAACCTGTCTCTAGTAAAAATACAAAAATTAGCAAGGCATGTTGGCAGGCATGTGTAATCTCAGATACTCAGGAGGCTGAGGCAGGAGAATCACTTGAACCCAGGAGACAGAGGTTGCAGTAAGCCAAGATCATACCACTGCACTATAGCCTGGGTGATGGAGACTCCGTCTCAAAAAAAAAAAAAAAAAAAAAAAGGCTTGTGCTTTTCTTACATAAGAGTACATCTTCTGGCTATAAAAATCCTGGAAGAAAACCTAGGAAATACTCTTCTAGACATCATATTTGTCAATTTATGGCTAAGTCCTCAAAAGCAATTGCAAGAATAACAAAAATTGACAAGTGTGATCTAATTTAGCTAAAGAGCTGCACAGCACGAGAAACTATCACGGGATTAAACAGACAGCCTAAAGAATGGAAGAAAATATTCACAAACTATGGGTATAGCAAATGCATATTATCCTATTATCCAGAATCTATAAGAGACCTAAACAAATCAACAAGCAAAAAATAAATAACACCATTAAAAATGGGCAAAGGACATGAACAGACTCTTCTCAAAATAACACATGTAAGTGGCCAACAAACATTAACAAATGCTTACCATTGCTAATCAGAAAAATGCCAAACAAAACATCAGTGAGATACCATTTCACACCAGTCAGAATGACTTTTGTTAAAAAGTAAAATAAATAAATAAATAAATAAAAGATGTTGGGGAGGCTGTGGAGAAAAGGGAACACACACCGTTTGTGGCAATGCAAATTAATTCTGCTACTATGGACAGCAGTTTGGAAATTAAGAACTAAGAATGACCATTGGATGCAGCAACCCCATTACTATACTAGGGTTATACTGAAAGGACAATAAATCATTGTAACAAAAAGATGCATGCACATGTATGTTCATTGCAGCACTATTCACAATAGCAAAGACATGGAGTCAATCCAGGTGCATCCAAGGTAGATTGAAAATCCAAGGTAGATTGGAAAATTCCATATATACCATGGAATACTAAGCAGCCATAAAAAGAACAAAGTGACATCATTTGCAGCAACATGGATACAGCTGGAATCCACTCTCCTAAGCAAACCAATGCAGAAACAGAAACCAAGTATCTCATGTTTTCACTCATGTGGAAGCTACACATTGGGTGCACATTGTCATAAACATGGGAATAATAGACACTAGGAAATAAGAGCAGGGAGGGACAGAGTGGGCCAGGGTTGAAAAACTACTTACTGGGTCCTACGCTCACTACCTGTGTGATGGGCTCAACTGTACTGCAAACCTCGGCATCCCTCAATATGCCTTTGGAAGAATCCTACAGAGGTACCACCTTAATTTAGAATATAAACTAAAAAAAAAAAAAAAAAAGAAAGAAAAGTTTACTATAAGTAGAGAATAGAAATTTCTTTTTAAGATAAAATTTATTGAAGTAAAAAATGGATTAAACTTTTATAAAGGGCAGAGTTTTCTAAGAATTTCAAAGCAATGCATTCATTGCAAAAGATGGCTTTAATTACTTAATCTTTTTTTTTTTTTTTTTGAGACAAGGTCTCACCGTCACCAGGCTGGAGTGCAGTGGTGCAGTCTTGGCTCACTGCAACCTCCATTTCCTGGCTTCAAGCAATTCTCCTGCCTTAGCCTCCCAAGTAGCTGGGACTACAGGTTCGCATCACCACGCCCAGCTAATTTTTGTATTTTTAGTAGAGATGGGGTTTCCCCATGTAGGCCAGGATGGTCACGATCTCCTGACCTTGTGATCTGCCTGCTTTGGCCTCCCCAAGTGCTGGGATTACAGGTATGAGCCACCATGCCTGGCCATTGTTTAACCTTTGTACTAATAAAACACTACCTTTCTAAAATCATGTATATGCAATAGATCAATATTAACTGTATTTTTGTCCGATTACTCTAAACAGCATTACACATATACATCCTCTGTTATCTAAACTTAAAATAAGTAGAAATTTTACTTTATTTATGTGATTATTTTTCTATTTAAGCAAACTTCAAGTTATGTCTAGTCACTAAAAATACTAAAGGCCACATTTTGTAAATGATACATTATTTTCATGATAATGTTTCTTGTTTAACTTAAACATTATTATTATTTTTACTTATTTTAGATGGAGCTGGACTGTGTGGAACAAATAATTAGAGAAACAAAGAGAAGTATGTTGCCAAAATTTATTAATTAAATTTAGGTTTATTTTAGAAATAAAGTGTAAATAGCAAATGGCATTCCTTTTCATTCTTGGGTTAGTAGATACTACGTCAAGTATTTTTTTTCTTACACACATCTAATGAAAGATGTGAAAACAAAAACTTTCACAGAGAAGACTGTACTTATGCACCATAAATTCATCATGTTCTGTAGCTTAAAAAATTCCCAAGAAGTCTGTGCATCTCTTTTTCACTGGCTCTACACTTTCTTAAGTTTTGCCATCCTCATGGAACTGTCAGCCAGCACACTGAAACGATTCTCAGAAAACACAGGCATCATCAAGTTCTCAGGGTTTTGGTAGAAATTGAAGGCCAACAGACCTTAGACTCATTCAGAAATGCTTAGTTGAGCAATAACCCTTCATAAGCAGTCACTTGACAGGTGACATTTTAAATCTCCTGTCATTTACTGTGTCATTGGCTTACACTTGTTCTCAGGAAACATTCCAGATTTTTCACCATGAAATAAAAACACCCATGTCAATGTAATTCTTGTCAAGTTACTCAGCCTTGTCTCTCACCACTTACTTCACTCTACCCTTTGCTGTAGCCCAAACTTGATGGAGTGGAACTCTGCAGGGCTCTTCCTCATCTCAGGCTCTTTGCCTTTGCCTCTTCCCTCTATCTGGCAAGCTTTTCCTTGTCCTTCAGGTATCAACCTATGATATCTCCTCCATCAGAAAGCCCATGATGTTGACATAAAAGTGGGTAGGTGTCCCTTCTGTGTGTTCCAGTAGTGCCCTGCTGTATACCTGTCATGGTATCTATGACTCTATATGGACATTACCTGCCTGTCTGTTTTTTTAGGTTATAGCATATGACTGTTGAGAGGTGGACCACACCATCTTCCTCTTGTAATTACAGTGCTGGTTCTAGTACCTTGGCACATGGCTGTTGATTACATGAATGAAGAATGAAAAAGCTCTGATATTTAAACACAATTAGAATTAATGCCATGTGTAAATTATTAAATAGTAATTTTGTATTGTAAATGTACATACATATTTCTCATACTTATAAACTCTGATAAAGTTCACAACTCTTTAGTTTTTAAACTCACATTTAGTTAACTGAAGTGCTTTAGGTAAAGGACATAATTCTTTATTTTTCTTTCTAGCTGTTGCTGTGTTGGACACTTGCTCCCATCTATTTTCTTCTCTAGAATCCACTGGTAAGCCACATCTAATGAAGAGAATATTTAGCCATAAAGTTTTAAGGAAAAATTGTATGATTTAAAAGATTATAAAACTTTATTACTGGGCTATTTACACATTTTAATTGTTTCTCATAAAATATATAACATTACAATATTTACTGAAGTAGGATATTTTTGTATCATATGTACGATGATAATTTATAGGGTATTTTAAATGATGTTTTTTAGCCTCCTTAAGTTTTAAGTGGATCTTGCAAATGAAAACAAGTATTATTTAGTTTGACATACTCAAATTGCCCAAATATCAGCTGTTTAAACAACCAAGTCATCATTGATACTTTAGTAAAGGTTAGTAAAGGTCATCGAAGGCTTATTTGCAGTTTACAGTTTTTATTACTTAGGAGACTTAAGGAGTACCTGCCAGGTTTGTCCATGCTAATGCTACTATTTTGTTTTTGTAGTTCAACCATATTTTGTATGGAGATACTTTGAGGCTCTGTAAATATCTGGTTACTCCTCAGAACCCACTAGATTTAGCATTTCATGGATGACTTGTGTTTGAACAATTATTACTATGATGGTTGCCAGATGATTATTTTCTTATTCTCTTCTTTGGTCTACATGGAGAAATAAAACCAATAAATAAGGGAGAAGGAAAGCTCATGATTCTGATGCTCCAATTCCCCAAGATTAGGCCAGTGGTAGACATTCCAAGCTGACTTGTTGTGTTTTTGATTTGTCTCCATTACTCTGTCAGCACTTTTTTACTTTCTGGCACAAGATGTTCTAAGCTCATCTTGTATTTTCTCTGCCCCAGCGCTGGAATGAGTAATTTTTTTTAGAAGCAGAGGTGGAGCCACTGAGGAAGCACAGGCGAGCCCTCCCCAGCGTGTACTCACTGGTCCCCAACAGAAGAACAGCTGCTGCATCCACTGAGGTACCAAGAAACTAGCAAAGGGCCTTCTGGCTCTCTGGGGACAGTCCTCATGTGGTCCCTGGCTCAGCCTCAGAGGTTCTGGATTAGTCTTCCTGTAGCCTCTGTGCTGTGTCTTTAGATCGGGGCTCTGTGGGAAGGGTCCTGGGAGACCCAACAGCACAGTGTGTCTCATCTGCCAAATGTCCCTCCCTTCCTAACACTTTGACACTCAGGAATAGGGTAGATGGTGTGTCCAGGCAGTGCCAGGCCACCTCACTGTCTCCTTTGAGATGGGCCCAGAGGGCCTTTGGGGTGAGTGTGGAGCTGGGAACCTGGACCCTGAGGCCGACTGTCTCTCCCTGTGTCTTGGAGGAAAGGCCATTTCCCCAAAAAAAAAAAAAAAAACCCCAGGGCCTGACCTCTGGGCCCACATGCAGGGAGGGAGGGTCTGTGAGCTGAGGGGGACATTGTAATAAGACTTTGAGCACGGCTGCTCAGGGGCCTGGTCAGTGGACCATGGTCAGAGGTGACCTGGTCATCAGGACCTAGTATTTGGGACCTCATCAGCAGGCGCCTGGTTAGTGGTGGGCTCCTCAGTAAAGGCCTCATCAGTGGGGACCTGTTGACCTAGTCATTGGAAGCCTGGTCAGTGGGGGGACCTAGTCAGTGGTGGCCTTATTAGTGGGGCCTGATTGGTTGGAACATAAACAATGAAAAACTGGTTGGTGGGGCATATACAGTATACCAGGGGCCTGGTCAGTGTGAGGCCTTGGTGGCTTGGAGCCTGGTCAGTGAGGGCCTGGTCAGAGGTGGCTTGGTCAGCTGGGGACTCATCCATGGAGAATTGTTCAGTGGGGGGTCGGGTGAGCAGCAACCTGGTAAATAGTGGTCTTGTCAGTGGAAACCTGGTCTTGTCACTGGGGACCAGGTCAGTGGAAAATTGGTCAGTGGAGTCCGGCCCATGAGGCCTATTAACTGCGGGCCTGGTTAGGAAGACATGGTCAGTGGGGACTTGATCAGTGGGACCTGGTCAATGGAGGAGTGGTCATTAGGGGCCTCATCACTGGGAACCTGGTCAGCGGCGGTTGGTCAGTACCTGGCCCGCTGGCCACTGTGTGACCTCAGGTAGGGGGTTTGTCTGTGGAGCCTCACCTCCATCTGCAGGGAAGGTGAGTCAGGGCACCCTGGAGGGTGGCTGGAAAGAGAAAGTGAGAAGATGTGTTGAATGCAATACTGCTTGGCAGACCTACAACTTTACAAATGACCAGTGTTCCACCTAGAGAGGGTGCCAGCCCTCTCAGCATTATGCAGTGCCCCTCCTCTGTCTGCATCCCCACTCTAAGGTGACAGTGATGAGGACCTGGGTGCACCCATGAGTGGAGAAGCTAGGCCTGTCCAGAGAAGCAAGACAAACACACACATAAGTGCGCGCACACACACACAGGCACACATGCATACACAAACACATTGCATGCACACATGTCAGTTCAGGGGATAGAGGACACTGACTCTGGGCCCTGTTGACCCAAGCAGGCTTCCATTGTGGTGGGTTGTGTCACCCCACAGTGTCACTGTTGCTGAGTCCCCATCGCCTCTGTGTTGTGGAGCAGTTAGAGACACACAGCAGTGTCGTGAGTGGCTCTGTGTGAAGGACCGTTTTCTAGATGAGAGGCACATCTCAACACAGCTCACTGATCAGACTCAGGTGAGTGGGACATGCTCTTTTCTCTTCCTCCTGGCTTGGGGACAGTCACTATCAGGTGGGTGGTTTTGGCCTCTGGGCAGCTACTGAGGGGAATCCCTGAACACTCACCGGGTGCCTGTTCTGTGCTGACGGTCGTCTCATTCATCCTCGCAGCAATTCCATTCTGCATTTTTCTCATCACCCCCGTGACCACCCAGGACAACCCCATCAGGGCCCTGTCACCAGGCCCAGTCCAGCTCCATGATAACCAAGACGCAGGTCCAGAGACAACCGTCCTGCATCGTGCCTGCATCTGAACCCCCTTGGTGGGTAGTGACCAGCACAACATGGAAGAAGCCAGGGCAGCATGCGGCCAGCTGCTCTGCAGCCCCAGATGGCTCCTGAGCCTTGGGAAGTCATTCTTAAAGGGGAAGCTGGTCACTTTGAGGTCCCTGAAGGGAAGGGTGAACGTGCATCCCAACAGCCCTGGCAGCCAGCAGCATGCCATACATCTTCTCACCCAACCTGTGTGATAGAGGACCCCTCCTGGGGCACAAGTCCCATACCTAAAGCATCCTGTCCCAGTTGGACCTCATCCTGAGCCCTGGGAGGGGAGGGGCACCATAGGCCCCCCTGCAGCAGCCAGGATTACCACCCAGGGGACTTGGCCTTCTGTGGCCCTGGCCAGACTTAGAATTTGGCCCAAGACAAGACAAACTCACTCGGAGCAGCTTGTCAGTACCCGGGGCCTGTGTATGCCAGGTGAGGCCAAGCTGGCTCAAAGAGCAACCAGTTACCTCTGCAAGGGTGTGCCAGGAGCAGGTGGACCAGCCACCAACCTCCCCCACTTAAAGGAAACAGGGATGGCCAGGTTCCCACAGCCTGAGTTACCACCACCTGACAGCTGATGGAGTGGAGGCCTGAGGAAAAGCGGATGGCACTGGGGCTCTACCTCCAGGGCACAATAACTGATTTACCCTGACTGGCAGGGAGTAAGGTTGGTGGCTGGTCCACCGGCTCCTGGCACACCCTTGCAGAGGTGGCTGGTTGCTCTTTGAGTCAGCTTGGCCTTGCCTGGCATGCACAGGCCTCAGTGCAACAAATGTGCTGCAAATGGAGCCACATAGAGGAAATGAGCAGTAGGCTCAGGAGCGGGGTGTGTGCTGCCTTTGGGGCTCCATTCCATGCATCAGGGCTTCTACAGCACTGTGGGCTTCTTGGATGCCAAGAGGCAGACCACAGGCCATCTTGAGAAGGACTTGGTAAGAGATTACTTGGGTATGTGGATGATGTCCAGGGTGTTGGCCTGGTGTCCCTGAGACAGCATTAACAGGTCCATGACTGGGTCCAGGTCCTGCCTGGGCTGATTGGCAAAGAGCTCACTGACAGTGTGGAAGGCATCTATGGTGAAGTGGGGTCTATGTTCAAGTGCAGAAAGGGCCCAATCTGGTGGATGAACCACACGGCCAGCTTCTGGATGCAGGCACAGTGCCACATTTTTTGTCACTTCCTGATGCGCCCCACCAGCACTGAAGAGACAGCCTGGAGACAGGGCAAGAGGAAGGCTGAGAAGGATGAGTTGGTGAGTGCCAGATTCTTCCTGACCCTGAGCCCACCCCCAGGGCGACACTCAACCTTTAGGAGTGGGAGAGCAAGATTGACGGCTTCAAGTGCTTCACCAAGAAGATGGACAACAGGGCACTCAGCTCAACTTCACAGCCAATGAGTGGTGACAGGCTTTAAGAAAGAGCATCAGAAGGCTGCCAGTTCTTCTTCAGCCTCAGCCAGGCCTTGGAGCTGGACCAGGCCATTCACTTGAGTATAGATGCCTTCCACACTGTCTGTGAGGTCTTTGCCAATCAGTCCAGGCAGGACCTGGACCCAGCCATGGACCTGTTAGTGCTGTCTCAGGGACACCAGACCAACATCCTGGACATCATCCACATACACAAGGAAGCTCTTACTAAAGTCACGGAGAGCAAACAACAAGTGGCAGAAGGGAATATAAAGGTGCAGAGGCTGATGATGTCAGAATCACAGGAACAGGATTTCTTTGGCCACTTTGGCTGAAATTCACCACTTCCATCCAATTCCAGTGAGAGACATGGACTCACAGATGCAGCATTTCTTGCAACAAGAGATACTACTTTTTCAAAAAGTCACCCAGGAATTGATAGTGTTGAATGACTCGATACTCCATCGTGGACTGTTTCCAGTTCAAGGATACTTTCTACAGCAGAATAATAACACTAACAAAGAGCTAGTACAAGGATGGTTTTGTGCTCAACTGAAATCCAGCTGAATACAGAATTGTATAGGAAACAGTTAATATGGTGATAGAATAGAAACGGTAGCAAATGTGAACTAAATCATGCTATGAATGCCTAAACTACCGCTGTAACTTTTGGAAAAATGATAATACCACTTTATTGCTTTTTGAAGTATGAATATTTTAGTGTATGTGCTCTAGACCTCAAACCCTATAAAGAGTCTCAAAGAAGTTGGCTGGATAAAGCCTGCTGTGGAAGTCTTTATATTCAAAGATCGATGATGCAATTCGAATATGTGTCCACACGGAATCTCATGTTGAGTTATATTTCCTAATGTGGAAGGTGGATCCTGCTATAAGGTGATTGAATTATGAAGGCAAATTTCTCATGAATGGTTCAGCACCATCCCCTTGTACCATGCTCACAATAATGAGTGACTTCTCATGAGAACTGGTCACTGAAAACTCTATGTCACATCCCTACTCTCTGTGTTTTCCTCTTGCCATGTGAGAGAACTGATTCTTTCTTTGCCTTCCATGATTATTGAAAGATTTCTGAGGCCTCCTAGAAGCAGAAGCACTGTGCTTAGAACCATGAGACAATTAAACCTCTTTTTCAAAATAAATCATACAGAAAATGGCAAATGAAGACTGGAGCATTGCTATAAAGATACCTGGAAATGTGGAAGCAGCTTTGGAACCAGGTAATGGATGGAGGTTGGAAGAATTTGGAGGGCTCAAAAGAAGACAGATAGATGAGAAAACTTTTGGACCATCCTAGAGACTGGTTCAATGGTTGTGACAAAAATCCTGACAGAAACATGGACAGTGAAGGCCAGGCTGAAGAGGTCTCAGAGAGAAGTAAGAAGCTTTCTGGAAAATGTCTTCCTTTTGGATATGGAAAGCTTACACAATGCCTGTACCATCATTGTACCTTAGAAGCAGTGAACTTGCTTTTTATTTCAGAGACTCATAGGCAAAGAGACTGTAGCCTTGACCCAGATGACACTTTGGACCTTGTAACTTTGAGTTAATGCTGAAGTGAGTTAAGACTTTGGGAGACTGCTGGCAAGGCATGATTGTATTTTGCAATGTGAGAAGGATATGAGATTCGTGGGGTCAGGGACAGAATAATATGGTTTTTCTCTATGTCCCTACCAAAACTCATGTGGAATTATATTCTGTGATGTCAGAGGCGGGGCCTAGGTGGAAAAAGATTTAGTCATAAAATGGTGCAGGTAGATCCTTCACGAATGATAAAGGACCATCACCTTGATAAAGGACCATCACCTCCTGATAGTGAGTGAGTTCTCATGAGATCTGATTCCTTAACAGGCTGTGGAACCTCTTTCCTCACTCTGTCTTCCTCCTGCTCCTGCTTTAGGAGGCATCTCATTTTCCCTTGGCTTTCTGATATAATGAGGAGGCTTCCTGATTCCTCCCAGAAACAGAAGACACTATGCTTCCTTCACAGCTTGCAGAACTATGAGTAAATTACACCTCTTTTATTTACAATAATACAGATAATTAGAACTGCAGAGAGGAGCTGTGAAATGTCTTCAAGGCCTTTTTTCCTTTGTCTTGGCTATTAGCACAGGGCTTCTTTATATGCAAATTTCTGAAATCTTCTTGAATTTTTCCCCTTAAATGGGATTTTTGTTATTGCTACATAGCCAACCTGCTATATAGATACCTGAAAAAGTAGAAGCAGGCTCAGTAGTGGGTAGCAAACAAAGATTGGAAGGGTTTGGAGGGATAAGAGTATGAGAGGGAGTGGGAGGGACTGATTTAATCATGGATGGGTGGGGGTGGATGTGGAAGGGAAAAAGGGGTGGGTACGGTGGGAGGGAGTAGACTGGCTGTAGGGTGGTGGGAGGGTGGTGGGTAGAGGAAGGGGGAGTAGCCTGCTGCAGAGGCAGAGCCTCATGGAAAACCCCTACTAGGGCAGTGCACCTGTGGCTTTGCAGGTTTGAGAAACATGTCTGCTCTCATGGACTGGACTAGTGTTGAGTGCCTGTAGATTTTCCACACGGAGGGTGCAAGCTGTTGGTGGGTCTATGAATCTGGGGTCTGGAGGGTGGTAGTCCCCTGTGTGGGGGCTCCAAGTCCATATTTTCCTAATGCACTGCCCTAGTAGAGGTTTCCCAAGAACTCTGCGTCTGCAGCAGGCTTCTCCCTGGAAACATTGGGAGGTGGGGGTGGGAGGCAGATCCTTCACCAATGGTTAGGCAGCATCTTCTTGACGCTGTCCTCATGATAGTGTGTTCTCATGAGGTCTGGTTATATAACAGGGTGTGGCACCTCTTTCCTCTCTCAGTCTTGCTTCTACTCCTGCCATATGAAACATCTCCTTGCCCCTTGGCCTTCTGGTATGACTGGGAGGCTTCCTGATCCTCCCAGAAGCAGAAGCCACTATGCTTCCTTTACAACCTGCAGAACCATGAGCCAATTAAACCTCTTTTCTTTATGATCATACAGAAAATTAGTGCTGTGAAGTGGAGCCATGAAATGCCTTCAAGGCCCTTTCCCCTTTGTCTTGGCAACCAGCACTCAGCTTATTTTCATGGAAATATCTGAAGCCTTTGTGAATTTTCCCCCTGAAAATGGACTTTTCTCTTTTATCACATTGCCAGGCTCTGATAAAGATAGCTGACAATGTAGAACCGGGTTCAGAAGTCGGTAAAAGACAGAGGTAGGAAGAGTTGGGAAAGCTTAGAAGACAACAAGATGAGGAAAATATTGGACCACTATAGAGACTTGTTAAATACTTGTGATCAGAAGGCTGAGAAAAGGGTAAACACTGACGTCCAGACTTAAAAGTTCTCAGATGAAAATGAGGAATTTCCTACGAACAGGGGCCAATATTACATTTGATTGGCCTTAGCAAAGGACGTGGCAGCACAGGGACCCTGCCCTGGAGATCTGTGAAACTATGAACTTGGGGGTGATGATTTAGGATGTATCTGGTGAAATGAACATCTAGGCAGCATAGCACAAGAGGTGTCCTGTCTGCATTGAACAGCCTGTGTTCTTATGTGTGACCTAAGAAATAACTTCAAGTTGGAACTTCAAGTGGAGATGTAAAATTTGGAAAATTTGGAGCCTGGCCAAGTGGTCAAAAAGAAAAGCCGATTTTAAGGGGGAAAATTCAAGAAGGCTTAGGTTATTTGCATAAAAAGGAACCCAGTGCAAACAGCCAAGACAGTGGGAAACTGGCCTTGAAGGTATTTTAGAGACCTCTGCAGCAGCCCTTGCTGTCACAGACCGTGGGGCCTAGGAGAGAAGAGAAGAATGGTTTCCTGGGCCAGTCCCATGGCTCTGCTGCTGTGCTCAACCACAGGGCACTGCTGCCTGCATCCCTGCAGCTCCAGCACCAGCCATGGCTGAAAGATGCACAGGTACAGCTTGGGTCACTGCTTCAGAGGTGGCTCAAAGCCTTGATGGTTTCCACATAGTGTTAAGACAGTAGGTGCACAGAGAAAGAGACTAGAGGCTTGGGAGCTCCTGTCTAGACTCCAGAAGATGTACAGAAAATCCTGGATGGCCAGGAAGAAGCTTTTCCAAGAGGCAGAACCTCATGGGGAACCTCTACTAGGGGAGCAAAGAAGAGACTTATAGGGTTGAAGCCCCCACAGAGGGAGGCATCAATGTCCAAACCCCAGATTCATAGACCTACAAACAGCTTGCACCCTCAGTGTGGAAAATCTATGGGCACTCAACAGTAGCCCTGTCCATGAGAGGCAGCTGCAGAGGCTGAACGCTGCCAAGCCACAGGTCAGATCTGCCCAAGGCCTTGGGAGCTCAGCCCTCACAGCCCTGTGCCATGGATGTGGGACAAGGATTCAAAAACGATGATTTTGGAGCTGTAGGATTGAGTGATTGGCCTGCTGGGTTTTGGACACTTATGTATCCTATGAGTCCCATCTGTGTTTTGTGCTTCTTTCTAGCAATTTTCTTTTTTTCTGTTGCCTGGGAATGCTTACCCATTGCCTGTACAATCATTTACCTTGGAAGTAATAAACTTGCTTTACAAATCAGTGGCTCATGGGCAGAAGGGAGTGTAGACTTGTCTCAGATAATACTCTGGGCTTTGGGCATTTGAGTAAATGCTGGAATGAGTTAAGATTTGAGAGACTCTAGGGAAGGCATCATTGCATTTTGCAATGTGAGAGAGACATGAGCATTGGGGGACCAGGGACAGAATAATATGTTTTGGCTGTCTGTCTCTACCAAAGTTCAAGCAGAAGGTTAATGGGAAATGTTAAAGGTGGGGGCTGGTAGAAGGTGGTTTAAACATGATGGAGAGTGGAGGTTGGATGGTTGGCGGGGTGGGGAGGTTTGGGGTGGACTGGGTGGTGGGTAGGGTTGGAGGGGATTGTGGTGGGGTTGGGGGTGTAAGGCAGGGGTGGGGGTGCATCCTTCACAAATGGTTAAACAACATCTCCTTAATGCCGTCCTTCTGATAGTGAGTTCTCTTCATGATTTTGGAGCTGTGAGATTGAATGAACACTGACCTGCAGGATTTTGGATGTCCATTGGGCCTGTGGTCCCATTTGTGTTATTTTTCTTGGAAATTTCTTCCCTTTGGATTGAGAAAGCTTACCCAATACCTGTACCATCATTGTACCTTGAAAGAAACGAACACCCTTTTAACTTCAGGGACTCATATGCAGAAGGGATTGTAGCCTTGTCTCAGATGAGACTTTGAACTTTTTATATTTGAGTTAATGCGGGAATGAGTTAAGGCTTTTGGAAACTTTGAAAAGACACGATTGTATTTTATTCTGTGAGAAGGATATGAGATTTGGGGGGGTCAAGGTCAGCATAATATGATTTGGCTATGTGCCCCTGGAAAAACTCATGTGGAATTGTAATCCAAAATGTTGGAGGTGAGGCCTGGTGTGAGATTATTTAATCATGCATGGGAGGGGTAGGGGTGGAAGAAAAAAGGGGTGGGTAGGGTGGGGAAGAGTAGGCTGGCTGTAGGGTGGTGGGTGGGTGGTGGGTAGTAGGAAGGGGGTGTAGCCTGCTGCAGAGGCAGCGGCTCATGGAAAACCTCTACCAGGGCAGTGCGCCTGTGGCTTTGGAGGCTTTAGGCCCCATGGCTGCTCTCATGGGCTTGGCTGGTGTTGAGTGCCTATCACTTTTCCATACTGAGGGTGTGAACTGTTGGTAGGTCTATGAATCTGGGGTCTAGAGGCTGGTGGCCTCCTGCATAGTCACTCAAAGCCCTTATTTTCCTTCTGCACTGCCATAGTACAGGATTTCCAAGAGCCTCTGCCTCTGCAGCAGGCTTCTGTCTGGAACGGTAGGGGGTGGAGCTGTGTTGGGGGGCGGATCCTTCACCAACGGTTAAGCACCATCTTCTTGATGCTGACCTAGTGATAGTGAGTTCTCATGAGATCTGGTTACAGGATGGTGTGGCACCACTTTCCTCTCTCAGCCTTGCTCCTACTCCTTCTGTATGAAACATTTCATTGCAGTTTTCCTACTGCTGTGATTGGGAGGCTTCCTGAGTCCTCCCAGAAGCAGAAGCCACTATGCTTTCTTTACAGCCTGCAGAACCATGAGCCAATTAAACCCCTTTTCATTACGATCATACAGAAAATAAAGTACTGCGAAGTGGAGCTATGAAATATCTTCAATGACATTTCCCCATCGTCTTGGCTATTAGCACTGGACTTCTTTTTAATGCAAATATCTGAAGGCTTCTTGAAGTTTCCCCCTGAAAATGGACTTCTTTTTCTTCTGCATTGCCAGGCTGCAACAAAGATAGCTGAAAATGTAAAGCAGGTTCGGAAGTGGGTAACAGCCAGAGGTTGGAGAGTTTGGAGATCTTGAAAGAAGACAGAGAGATGAAGGAAAGTTTGGACCATTGTAGGCACTTGTTAAATAGTTGTGATTGAAAGGCTGACAGAAGGATGGACAGTGAAGGCCAGGCTTACAAGGTCTCAGATGAAAATGAGGATCTTACTGGGAACGGGAGCCAAGGTTAGCTTTTGTTTTGCTGTAGCAAAGAACATGGCTGCAGGGCGACCTTGCCCTCAAGATCTGTGAAATTTTGAACTCTAGGGTGAAGATTTAGTGCATATCTGGTGGAAAGAACTTCTAGGCAGCATAGCACAAGGGTGGGGGCATGTCTGCATCAAACAGCCTGTGCTTTCATGTGTGACTGAGGTTATGTGTGACCGAGGAAATGACCTTAAGTTGGAACTTATACTTAAATGACAAGCAGAGCTCAAAAGTTTGGAACATCTGCAGCCTGGTCAAGTGATTAAAAAGGAAAGCTGATTTTCAGGGGGAAAATTCATGAAGGCTCCAGAAACTTGCATAAAATGGAGGCCAGTGCTAATAGCCAAGACACTGGGGGAAAACGTCTTGGAGGCATTTCAGAGATGTTTGCAGCAGCCCTTGCTGTCAGGCCCTGGGGCCTAGGAGAGAAGAATGGTTTCCTGGTCCAGTTCCATGACCCCCTCTGTGTGCAGCCTCAGGAGACTGCTGCCTGCATCCCTGCAGATCCAGCTCCAGCCATGGCTGAAAGATGCACAGGTACAGCTTGCATCACTGCTTCAGGGGTGCAAGCTCCAAGCCTTGGTGGCTTCCACATGGTGTTAAGCCAGCAGCTGCACAGAGAACAAAACTAGAGGCTTGGAAGCCTGCATCTAGACTCCAGAGTATGTATGGAAAAACCTGGGTGTTCAGGCAGAAGCTTTTCCAAGAGGCAGAGCCTCATGGGAAACTTTTACTAGGGCAGTACAGAAGGAGAATATAAGACTGGAGTCCCTAAACATGGAGGCACCATTCTCCAGACCCCAGATTCATAGACCCACCAACAGCTGGCTTTTCCAACCTTGGTGTGGAAAAGCTACAGGCACTCAACACCAGCCCAGCCCATGAGGGCAGCTGTGGGGGATAGACCATGCACAGCCACAGGTGCAGAGCTGCCCAAGGCCTTGGGAGCCCAGCCATGACACACCTGTGATCTGGATGGGAGATGTCCATTCAGAAAAGATGATTTGGAGCTGTAGGATTCAATGACTGGCCTGCTGGGTTTTTGACTTGTATGGGGTCTGTAAGTCCTTGGACATTTCAGTAAATGCTGGAATGAGTTAAGTCATTGGGGGACAGTAGAGAAGTCATCATTGTATTTTGCAGCGTGACAAGGATACAAGATTTGGGGAGCAAGAGCCAGAATAATATGATTTGATTCTGTGTCTCTACCAATATTCATGTGGAATTGTCGTGGGGAATGTTAAAGGTGGGACCTGGTGGGAGGTGATTTAATCATGGAGAAGAGTGGGTGTTGGAGGTAGGGGTGTGGGGAGAATGGGAGAGATTATTTTGTGGGTGGGAGTGAAAGATGAGGGTGGGAGGGCAGATTCTTCACAAATGGGTAAACGCTATCTCCTTAATGCTGTCCGCATGATAGTGAGTTCTCTTGATGATTTTTGAGCTGCGAGATTGAGTGAATAGTGTCCTGCTGGGTTTTGGACTTGCATTTGGCTTGCGGTCCCATTTGTGTTTTCTGGGAAATTACTTCCCTTTGGATTGATAAAGCTTACACAACACCTGTACCATCATTGTACCTTGAAAGAAAAGAAATCTCTTTTAAATTCAGGAACCCATAGGCAGAAGGGACAGTACCCTTGTCTCAGATGAGACTTTGAACTTTTTACACAGGAATGAGTTAAGGCTGTTGGAAGTTTTGAAAAGGCATGATTGTATTTTGCTCTGTGTTAAGGACATGAGATTCTGGAATATCAGGGTCAGAATAATACGGTTTGGCTGTGTGTCCCTATAAAAATTCAGGTGCGATTGTAATTCCAAATGTTGAAGGTGGGGCCTGGGGGAGATGATTTAATCATGGATTGGAGGTCGTTGAGGGTGCAAGGAAAAGGGTTGTAACCGAGTGAGTTGTAGAGAAACGCCACACTATGAGACGACTTCAGGAGACCTTTATTGCCGGCAACTGAGAGCCCGCTAGTGCTCAAAATTCTCTTGGCCCGGAAGCAGGGGCTAGATTTTCTTTTATACTTTGGCTTAGAAAGGGGAGGGGGAGCCTCGCTGAAGGACTCTCACAGCAGCAAAACAGGCAAAAAAGTTAAAAAGATAAATGGCTACAGGAAAACAAACATTTCCATGTGCAGGGGCTTTAAATCCATCCAAAGGTGATAGATGTGGGGGCTTTGGGTGCTATCAACTGGACACAAATGCGGGGGTTTTGGGTACTATCAACCGGGCGAATTCCTGGGAACTATGGATATAGCTTGCCAGAGTATCTTATCAGTAATTGCATTCTTTGATGTGCTGGGAGTCAGCTTGCACAAGTTAAGTCCTTGAGGAAGGGGGGTGGGTAAGGGGCTGCAAGTGAAGGAGCCAAGATGGAGTCTTTCTGGCTCTCGCAGCTAAGGGAGAGTCGACCAGGTTAAAACAAGGTAGGGTATCACAAAAGGGTTGGTTAGGGTGGGGAGGAGTAGGCTGGCAGTAGAGTGGTGGGAGGGTGGGGGTAGCAGGAAGGGGGAGTAGTCTGCTGGAGAGGCAAAACTCATGGAAAAGTTCTACTAGGACAGAGCACCTGTGGCTATGCAGGGTTTAGCCCGTGCAGCTGCTCTCACGGTCTGGGCTGTTGTTGAGTGCCTGTAGCTTTTCCACAGAGGGTGTGAGCTCTTGGTGGGTCTATGAATCTGGGGTCTGGAGGTTGGTGGCCATCTGCATGGGGGCTTCAAGCCCATATTTTCCTTCCACACTTCCCTGGTAGAAGTTTTCCAGGAGGCTTTGCCTGTCCAGCAGGCTTCTGTTTGGAAACAGCAAGAATTGGGGGTGGGTGGTTGTTCTTTCATCAGTGTTTAAGCACTATCTTCATGATGCTGACCTTGTGATAGTGAGTTCTCATGAGATCTGTTTGTATAATAGGGTGTGGCCCTCTCTCCTGTGTGTGTCTTGTGCCTACTCCTGCCACATGAATTATGTCATTGCCCCTGGACATTCTGATATGATTGGGAGACTTCCTGAGTCCTCCCAGATTCAGAAGCCATTATGTTTCCTTATGGTCTGCAGAATCATGAGCCAATTAAACCTCTTTTCTTTATGATCATAGAGAAAATTAGTAGTGCAAAGTGGAACTATTAAATGTCATTGTCTTGGCAATCAGCACTCAGCTTCTTTTCTTTCAAGTATGTGAAGGCTTCAAGAATTTTCCCCCTGAAAATGGACTTGTTTTCCTTTACCACATTGCCAGGCTGTGGCAAAGATAGCGATAATGTAGAAGCAGGTTCAGAAGGGAGTAGCGGACAGAGGTCAGGAAAGTTTGGAGGGCTTCAAAGACAAGAAGATGAATGAAAGCTTGGATCTTTGTAAAGAATTGTTAAACACTTGTGATCAGAAGGCTCACAGGAAAATGGTCAGTGAAAGCCTGACTTAGAAGGTCTGAGATGAAAATGAAGCACTTACTGGGAACAGAAGTCAAAGTTACTTTTGTTACCTTAGCAAAGAACGTGGCTGCACGGTGACCTCGCCCTGGAGATCTGTGAAACTTTGAACTTGAGGGTGATGATTTACTGAGTATCTGGTGGAATGAACTGGGCAGCAAACTCAAGAGGTGTCCTGTCTGCATCACACAGCCTGTGCTCTTATGTGTGATGGAGGAAATGACCTCTGGATGAGACTTACATTAAATGAGTCCCAACTCTTACATTACATGAGAAACAGAACTCAAAAGTTTGGAAAATTTGCAGCCTGGCCATGTGGTCAAAAAGAAAAGCTGATTTTCAGGGGGAAAATTGAGGAAGGCTTCAGAAACTCGCATGAAAAGGAGCCCAGTGCTAATAGACAAGACAATAGGGAAAAGGCCTTGAAGGCATTTCAGAGACCTTTGCAGCAGCCCTTGCTGTTACAGGCCCTGGGGCCTAGGAGAGAAGAATGGTTTCCTGGGCCAGTTCCATGCCCCCCCTCTGTGTGCAGCCTCAGGACACTGCTGCCTGCATCCCTGCAGCTCCAGCTCCAGCTCCAGCCATGACTGAAAGATGCACAGCTACAGCTTGGGTCACTGCTACAGAGGGTGCCAGCTAGAAGCCTTGGTAACTTCCTCATAGTGTTAAGCCACTGGTGGACGGAGCATGAGACTAGAGGCTTGGAAACCTCTCTATAGATTTTGGAAGATGTATGGAAAGGCCTGGGTGTCCAGGCAAAAACATCCCAAAAAGGCAGAGCCTTATATGAAACTTCTACTAGGGCAGTGCAGAAGGAAAACATGGGGTTGGAGCCTCCACACTGGAGGCCACCATCATGCAGACCCCAGATTCATAGACCCCCAACAACTTGTATCCTTAGTGGGGAAAAGTCACAGGCACTCAACACCAGCCGAGCCCCTGAGGGCAGCCGAGAGGCATAAACCCTGCAAAGCCACAGGTGCCAAGCTGCCCAAGGCCTTGGGAGCCCAGCCCTCACACCCCTGTGCCCTGGATGTGGGACAGGGTTTCAAAAAGGGTGATTTTGCAGCTGTAGGATTGAATGACTGGCCTTCTGGGTTAGGAGTTTCATGTGGCCAGTAAGTCCTGTCTGTGTTTTGTTTTTTTCTGGCAAAATTCTTTCTTTTGGCTGGGAATGCTTACCCAATGCCTGTACAAGCACTGTACCTTGGAATTAGTTAACTTGCTTTATATTTCAGATGCTCATGGGTCTAAGCAACTGTAGCCTTGTGCCAGATGAGACTTTAAGCTTTGAACATGTGTATAAATGCTATAATGGCATAAGATTTTAGGAGACTGTAGGGAAGGCATCATTGTATTTTGCAATGTGAGAAGGACATGTGATTTGGGGAGCCAGGGACAGAAAAATAAAATTCAGCTCTGTGTCTCTACCAAAACTCAAGTGGTATTGTCCTCGGAATGTTAAAGGTGGGGCCTGGTGGAAGGTGATTTAATCACGGTGGAGAGTGTGGGTTGGAAGATGGGGCGTAGGGAGAATGGGGGATTTATGGTGCGGGTGAGGAGTGAAAATTGGGGGTTGGGGGGCAGATCCTTCACAGATGATTAAACAATCTCCTTATTGCTGTCCTTTTGATAGTGAGTTCTCTTCATGATTTTGGAGCTGTAAGATTGAATGGATACTGGCCTTCTGGGTTTTGGACGTGTACTGGGCCTGTGGTCCCATTTGTGTTTTCTTCCTGGGAAATTTCTTCCCTTTGGATTGAAAAAGCTTACCCAAAGCCTGTACCATTATTGTACCTTGAAAGAAAAGAACATCCTTTTAAATTCAGGGACTCATAGGCAAAAGGTACTGTAGACTTGTCTCAGAGGAGATGTTGATTTTCTTACATTTGAGTTAATGTTGGAATGATTGAAGACTTTTGGAAACTTTTGAAAAGGCATGAATATATTTTGCTCTGTGAGAAGGACATGAGACTGTGGGGATCAGAGTCAGAATAATATGATTTGGCTGTGTTTCTTTACCAAAACTCACGTGAATTGTAATCTTTAATGTTGGAGGTGGGGCCTGGCTGGAGGTGATTTAATCATGGATGGGAGGGGGCCGGGGGTGGAAAGAAAAGGGGTGGGTAGGGTGAGGAGTAGGTTGTTAGTAGGGTGGTGAGAGGGTGGTGGGTAGCAGGAAGTGGGAGTAGCCTGCTGCAGAGGCAGAGGCTCATGGAAAGTCTCTACTAGGGCAGTGCACCTGTGGTTTTGCAGGGTGTAGCCCCCATGGCTGCTCTCATGGGCTGGGCTGGTGTTGAGTGCCTGTAGCTTTTCCATGCAGAGAGTGCAAGCTGTTGGTGGGTCTATGAATCTGCAGTCTGGAGGATGGTGGCCTCCTGTGTGGGAGCTCCGAGCCCATATTTTCCTTCTGCACTGCACTTGTAGAGGTTCTCCAGGAGATTCTGCCTCTGCAGGAAGCTTCTGCCTGGAAACAGTAGGCGGTGGTGTGGGTGGATCCTTCACCATTGGTTAATCTTCCTGATGCTGATCTCCTGATAGTGAGTTCTCATGAGATCTGGTTGTATAACCTGGTGTGGCACCTCTTTCCTCTCTGTGTCTTCTTCCTACTCCTGCCATATGGAACATCTCATTGTCACTTGGGCTTTTGGTATGATTGGGAGGCTCCCTGAGTCCTCCCAGAAGCAGAAACCACTTGCTGCCTTTACATCCTGCAAAACCATGAGCCAATTAAACCTCTTTAAAAAATAATATTACAGAAAATTTGTACTGTAGACTGGAGCTATGAAATGCCTTCAAGGTTTCCCCCCACCTTTTTTTTTTTTTACCATTAGCATTTGGCTTCTTTTATATGGAAATATATGAAGCCTTCTTGAATTTTCCCCCTGAAAATGGACTTTTCTCCTTTCACCACATTGCCAGGCTGCCACAACGGTGGCTGAAAATGTAGAAGTAGGTTCAGAAGTGGGTAATCACCGGACGCTGCACAGTTTGGGGGTCTTGGAAGAAGACAGAAAGATGAGGGAAAATTTGGAGTATTGTAGAGACGTGTTAAATTAAAAGGGTGACCATAGAGACTTTTTACATAGCTATAATTAAAAGAGTGACTGAAGGATGGACAGTGAAGGCCAGACTTAGAAGGTCTCAGATGAAAATGAGCAACTTACTGGGAACAGGAGTCAAGGTTACTTTTGTTTTGCCTTAGCAAAGAACTTGGCTGGATGGTGTCCCTGCCCTGGAGACCTCTGAAACTTTGAACTTGAGTGTGATGATTTAGGGTATATCTGGTGAAATGAAGTAGGCAGCAAAGCTCAAGAGGTGTCTTGTCTCTTTTGAACAGCCTGTGGTCTTCTCTGTGACTGAATAAATGACCTCAAATTGAAACTTATATTTAAATGAGAAGCAGGGCTTAAAAGTTTGGAAAATCTGCAGCCTGGCCATGTGGTCAAAAAGCAAAGCTGATTTTCAGTGGGAAAATTCAAGAAGGCTTCCGAAATTTGCATAAAATGGAGCCCAGTGCTAATAGCTAAGACAATGTCTAAAAGGCCTTGAAGTCATTTCAGAGACCTTTGCAGCAGAGCTTGCTGTCACAGTTCCTGAGTTCTAGGACTGAAGAATCCTTTCCTGGGTCAGTCCCATGGTCACGCTGCTGTGTCCATCCTCAGGACACTGCTGCCTGCATCCCTGCAGCCCCAGCTCCAGCTCCAGCCATGGCTCAAAGATGCACAGGTACAGCTTGCATCACTGCTTCAGGGGTGCAAGCTTCAAACCTTGGTGGCTTCCACATAGTACTAAGCCAGCAGGTGCACAGAGCCAAAAATAGAGGCTTGGGAGCCTTTGTGTAGACTCCAGAGTATGTACGGGAAAACCTGGGTGTTGAGACAGAAGCTTTTCCAAGACGCTGAGCCTCATGGGAAACCTTTACTAGGGCAGTACAGAAGGAACATATAGGGTTGGGGCCCCCACACAGGAATGCACCATTTTCCAGACCCCAGATTCATAGATGCACCAACTGCTGGCACCCTCAGTGTGGAAAAGTCAAAGGCACTCAACACCAACCCAGCCCATGAGGGCACCTGTGGGGGATATACCCTGCACAGCCAGAGATGCTGAGCTGCTGAAGGTCTTGGGAGCACAGCCATCCACCCCTGTGCTCCAGATGTGGGGTATAGATTCACAAAAGATGATTTGGGAGCTGTAGGATTCAATGACTGGCCTGCTGGGTTTTTGACTTGCATGGGGTCTGTAAGTCCCATCTGTGTTTTGAGCTTCTTTCTGGCAATTTTTTTCCTTTTGGCTGGGAATGCTTACCCAACACCTGTGTAATGATTGCTCCTTGGAAGTAGTAAACTTCCTTTATATATAATTCAGTGGCTCATGGGCAGAAGGGAGTGTAGACTTGTCTCAGATAAGACTCTGGGCTTTGGGCACTTGAATAAATGCTGGAATGAGTTAAGATTTGAGAGACTCTAGGGAAGGCATCATTGCATTTTGCAATGTGAGAAAGACATGAACTTTGGGCAACCCGGGACAGAGTAATATGATTTGGCTCTCTGTCTCTACCAAAGCTCTTGTGGAATGTTAATGGGAAATGTTAAAGGTGGGGGCTGGTGGAAGATGATTTATTCATGACGGAGAGTGCAGGTTGGATGGCTGGGGGTTGGGGAGGGTTGGGGGGGATTGGGTGGTGAGGAGGGTTGGAGGGGATTATGGTGGGGTTGGGGGTGTAAGGCAGGGGTGGGGGTGCATCCTTCACAAATTGTTAAACACCATCTCCTTAATGCCGTCCTTCTGATAGTGAGTTCTCTTCATGATTTTGGAGCTGTGAGACTGAATGAACACTGACCTGCGGGATTTTGGATGTCCATTGGGCCTGTGGTCCCATTTGTGTTATTTTTCTTGGAAATTTCTTCCCTTTGGATTGAGAAAGCTTACCCAATACCTGTACCATCATTGTACCTTGAAAGAAACGAACACCCTTTTAACTTCAGGGACTCATAGGCAGAAGAGATTGTAGCCTTGTCTCAGATGAGACTTTGAACTTTTTACATTTGAGTTAATGCGGGAATGAGTTAAGGCTTTTGGAAACTTTGAAAAGACACGATTGTATTTTATTCTGTGAGAAGGACATGAGATTTGGGGGGTCAAGGTCAGCATAATATGATTTGGCTATGTGCCCCTGGAAAAACTCATGTGGAATTGTAATCCCAAATGTTGGAGATGGGGTCTGGTGTGAGATTATTTAATCATGGATGGGAGGGGTAGCGGTGGAAGAAAAAAGGGGTGGGTAGGGTGGGGAAGAGTAGGCTGGCTGTAGGGTGGTGGGAGGGTGGTGGGTAGTAGGAAGGGGGAGTAGCCTGCCGCAGAGTCAGCGGCTCATGGAAAACCTCTACCAGGGCAGTGCGCCTGTGGCTTTGCAGGCTTCAGCCCCCATGGCTGCTCTCATGGGCTGGGCTGGTGTTGAGTGCCTATCACTTTTCCATACTGAGGTTGTGAACTGTTGGTATGTCTATGAATCTGGGGTCTAGAGGCTGGTGGCCTCCTGCATAGTCACTCAAAGCCCTTATTTTCCTTCTGCACTGCCATAGTACAGGATTTCCAAGAGCCTCTGCCTCTGCAGCAGGTTTCTGTCTGGAACGGTAGGGGGTGGAACTGTGTTGGGGGGCGCATCCTTCACCAATGGTTAAGCACCATCTTCTTGATGCTGACCTAGTGATAGTGAGTTCTCATGAGATCTGGTTACAGGATGGTGTGGCACCTCTTTCCTCTCTCAGCCTTGCTCCTACTCCTTCTGTATGAAATATTTCATTGCTGTTTTCCTACCGGTATGATTGGGAGGCTTCCTGAGTCCTCCCAGAAGCAGAAGTCACTATGCTTTCTTTACAGCCTGCAGAACCATGAGCCAATTAAACCCCTTTTCATTATGATCATACAGAAAATAAAGTACTGCGAAGTGGAGCTATGAAATATCTTCAATGACATTTCCCCATCGTCTTGGCTATTAGCACTGGACTTCTTTTTAATGCAAATATCTGAAGGCTTCTTGAAGTTTCCCCCTGAAAATGGACTTCTTTTTCTTCTGCATTGCCAGGCTGCAACAAAGATAGCTGAAAATGTAAAGCAGGTTCGGAAGTGGGTAACAGCCAGAGGTTGGAGAGTTTGGAGATCTTGAAAGAAGACAGAGAGATGAAGGAAAGTTTGGACCATTGTAGGCACTTGTTAAATAGTTGTGATTAAAAGGCTGGCAGAAGGATGGACAGTGAAGGCCAGGCTTACAAGGTCTCAGATGAAAATGAGGATCTTACTGGGAACGGGAGCCAAGGTTAGCTTTTGTTTTGCTGTAGCAAAGAACATGGCTGCAGGGCGACCTTGCCCTCAAGATCTGTGAAATTTTGAACTCTAGGGTGATGATTTAGTGCATATCTGGTGGAATAAATTTCTAGGCAGCATAGCACAAGGGTGGGGGCATGTCTGCATCAAACAGCCTGTGCTTTCATGTGTGACCGAGGTTATGTGTGACCGAGGAAATGACCTCAAGTTGGAACTTATATTTAAATGACAAGCAGAGCTCAAAAGTTTGGAATATCCGCAGCCTGGCCAAGTGGTCAAAAAGAAAAGCTGATTTTCAGGGGGAAAATTCATGAAGGCTCCAGAAACTTGCATAAAATGGAGGCCAGTGCTAATAGCCAAGACAATGGGGGAAAAAGTCTTGGAGGCATTTCAGAGATGTTTGCAGCAGCCCTTGCTGTCACAGGCCCTGGAGCCTAGGAGAGAAGAATGGTTTCCTGGGCCAGCCCCATGACCCTGCGGCTGTTTGCAGCCTCAGGACACTGCTGCCTGCATCCTGGCAGCCCCGGCTCCTGTTCCAAACTTGGCTGAAAGATGCACCGGTACAGATTGCATCACTGCTTCAGAGGGTACAGGCTATAAGGCTTCATGGCTTCCACATAGTGTTAAGCCCGCGAGTGCACAGAGCACTAGCCCAGAGGCTTCGGAGCCTTCATATAGATTTCAGAAGACGTATGAAAATACCTGGGAGTCCAGACAGAAGGAGCCAAAAAGCAGAGCCTCCTGGGAAACCTCTACTAGGGCAGTGCAGAAGGAAAATATGGGCTTGGAGCCCCCACAATGGAGGCCAGCATCATGCAGACCCCAGATTCATAGACCCACCAAGAACTTTGTACTGTCTGTGGGTAAAAACTACAGTCAGTCAACACCAGCACAGCCCATGAGGGCAGCTGTGGGGACTGAACACTGCAAAGCCACAGGTAGAGAGCTGCCCAAGGCCTTGGGAACCCAGCCCTCATACCCTTGTGCCCTGGAGATGGGACAAGGATTGGAAAAGGATGACTTTGGAGCTGTAGGTTTGAATAACTGGCCTGCTGGGTTTTGGATTTTCATGGGACCTGTAAGTCTCGTTTGTGTTTTGTTCTTCTCTCTGGCAAAAATCTTCCTTTTGGTTGGGAATTCTTACTCAATGTCTGGACAATCATACCTTGGAAGCAGTTAACTTGCTTTGTATTTCAGAGGCTCAGGAGGAGAAGGGACTGCATCTTTGTCTCAGATGAGACTTTGGGCTTCAGACATTTGACTAAATGCTAGAATGGTTAAGACCTTGGGGGTCTTAACCAAGATGATGGGGAATAGTCATTGAAGGCATTTCATAGCTTCACTTCACAATACTAATTTTCTGTATGATCATAACAAAAAGGTTTAATTGACTCATGGTTCTACAGGCTGTAAAAAAAAAGCACAGTAGCTTGGGGAATTGTAAGTAAGGCATCATTGTATTTTGCAAAGTGAGAAGGATGTGAGATTTGTGGGGCAGGGACAGAATAATAAGATTTGGCTGTGTGTCCCTATGGAAACTCATATGGAATTGTAATCAGAAAAGTTAAAAGTGGGGCCAGGTAGAAGGTGATTTAATCGTGGAGGGCACTGGGTATTGGAAGGTGGGGATTGGGGAGAATGGGTGGATTATGGTGGGGGTGAGGGGTGAAAAGTGGGGGTGGGGGAGGATCCTTCACAAACGGTTAAACACCATCTCCTTAATTCTTTCTTCATGATGGTGAGTTCTCGTGATGGTTTTGGAGCAGTGAGATTGAATGGATAGTGGTCTCCTGGGTTTTGGACTTGCATTGGCCCTGTGATCCAATTTGTGTTATTTTCCTGGCAAACCTCTTCCCTTTGGATTGAGAAAACTTACCCAATGCCTGTACCATCTTTGTACCTTGAAAGAAAATAAATCCCTTTTAAATTCAGGAACTTATAGGCAAAAGGGACTGTAGCCTTTTCTCAGGTGAGACGTTGAACTTTTTACATTTGACTTAATGCTGCAATGACTTAAGACTTTCGACAACTTTTGAAAAGGCCTGATTGTATTTTACTCTGTGAGAAGGATATGATATTCGGGGGATCAGGGTCAGAATAATATGGTTTAGCTGTGTGTCCCTACCTAAACTCACATGTAATTGTAATCCCGAATTTTGCATGTGGGGCCTTGTGGGAGGTGATTTATTCATGAATGGGAGAGGGGTTGGATTGGACGTAAAAACAGGTGGGTAAAGTGGGGAGGAGTAGGCTGGCTGTAGGGTGGTGTGTAGCAGGATGGGAGTAGCCTGCCACAGAGGCAGAGGCTCATGGAAAAACTCTACTAAGGCAGTGCACCTGGGGCTTTGCAGGGTTTAGCACCTGTAGCTGCTCTCATGGGCTGGGCTGGTGTTGAGTGCCTGTAGCTTTTCCGTACATGGGGTGTGAGCTGTTGATGGATCTATGGGTCTGGGGTCTGGAGGATGGTGGTATCCTCCATGGGGGCTCCAAGCTCATAGTTTTCTTCTAAACAGCCATAGTAGAGGTTTTCCAAGAGGATCTGCCTCTGTCTCAGGCTTCTGCTTGGAAACAGTGGGTGGTGGATATGGGGTGGTGGGCGGATCCTTCACCAACAGTGAAGCACCATCTTCTTGATGCTGATCTCCTGATAGTGAGCTCTCATGAGATCTAGTTGTATAAGAGGATGTTGCACCTCTTTCCTCTCTCTGTCTTGCTTCTACTCCTGCCATATGAAACATTTCATTGCCGCTTGGCCTTCTGGTATGATTGGGAGGCTTCCTGAGTCCTCCTACAAGCAGAAACCACTGTGCTTTCTTTAAAGCCTGAAGAACTGTGAGTCAACTAAGCCTCTTTTCTTTATGTAGATACAGAAAATTAATGCTGTGAAGTGAAGCTATGAAATGACTTCTAGGCCTTTCCCCCAATCTCTTGGCTATTAGCACTGAGCTTTTTTCAATGCAGATATTGGAGGCCTTCTTGATGTTTCCCCCTGATAATGGTCTTTTCTTCTTTTACCACATTGCCAGGCTGCGAAAAAGATAGCTGACAGTGTAGAAGCAGGTTCTGAATTAGGTAATGGCCAGAGGTTAGAGAGTTCGGAGAGCTTGGAAGAAGACAGGAAGATGAGGGAAAGTTTGGACCATTGCAGAGACTTGTTAAATAGTTGTGATTAAAAGGCTAACATAAGGATGGACAGTGAAGGCCAGGCTTACAAGATGTCAGGTGAAAATGAAGGACTTACTGGGAACAGGAGCCAAGGTTTTTTGTTTTGCTTTAGCAAAGTAATTGACTACACATTGATCCTTCCCAGGAGATCTGTGAAACTGAACTTGAGGGTGATGATTTAGAGTGTATCTGGTGGAATGAACTTCTAAGCAACAATGCTCAAGAGTTCTCCTACCTACATTGAACACCCTGTGCACCTATGTGTGGTCAAAGAAATGACTATAAGTTGGAACTTATATTTAAATGAGAAGCAGAGCTTAAACATATGGAAAATTTGTAATCTCCACAAGTGGTCAGAAAGAAAAGCTGATTTTCAGGGGGAAAGTCAAGAAGGCTTCAGATATTTGCATAAAAAGGAGCCGAGTGCTAATAATTCAAGATAATGGGAAAAAGGCCTTGAAGGCATTTCAGAGACTTTTGTAGCAGCCCTTGCTGTCACTGGCCCTGGGGCCTAGGAGAAAAGGATGGTTTCCTGGGCCAGCCCCATGGCTCCACTGCTGTGTGCAGCCTCAGGACACTGCTGCCTGCATCCCTGCAGCTCCATCTCCAGCTCCAGCCATGGATGAAAGATGCACAGGTACAGCTTGTGTCACTGCTTCAGAGGATGCAAGCTCATAGACTTGGTGGCCTCCACATGGTGTTAAGCCAGCAGGTGCACAAAGCAAGGTCTAGAAGCTTCTGAGCCTTCATCTAGACTCCAGAGCATGTATCAGAAAGCCTGATTGTCCAACCAGAAGCTTTTCCAAGAGGCAGAGCATCATGGTAAACCTCTACTGGGGCAGTACACAAGGAGAGTATAGGGTTGGAGTCCCCATACAGGGGGGCACAATTTTCGAGGCCCCAGTTTCATAGACCCACCAACTGCTTGCACCCTTAGTGTTGAAAAGCTACAGGCACTCAACACCAGCCTAGCCAATGAGGGCAGCTGTAGGGGAAAGATTCTGCAATGCCACAGGTGCAGAGCTGCCCAAGGCCTTGGGATCCCAGCTGTCACACCACCCTGTGCTCTGGATGTGGACATAGATTCCAAAAAGATGATTTGGAGCTGTATGATGGAATGACTGGCCTGCTGGGTTTTTGACTTGCAGGGAGTTTTAAGTCCCATCTGTGTTTTGTGCTTCTTTCTGGCAAATTTCTTCTTTTTGGCTGGGAATGCTTACCCAAAGCCTGTACAATCATTGCACCTTGGAAGTGGTTAACTTGCTTTGTATTTCAGAGGCTCGGGGCAAAAGATCCGGCAGCCTTGTCTCAGAAGAGACTTTGGGCTTTGGATATTTGAGTAAATGTTGGGATGAGTTAAGACTTGGGGGACTCTAGGGAAGGCATCATTGCATTTTGCAATGTGAGAAAGACATGAACTTTGGGGGACCAGGGACAAAATAATATGTTTTGGCTCTGTGTCTCTACCAAAACTCATGTGGAATTTTAATGGGAAATGTTAAAGGTGGGGGCTGGTGGAAGGTGATTTAATCCTGGTGGAGAGTGGAGGTTGGATGGTTGGGAGGGTTGGGGCGATTGTGGGACGGGGAGGGTTGGGGGGATTGTGGTGGTGGGGAGGTGGGGGATTGGGGGGTGGTGAGGGTTGGGATTGTGGTGGGGTTGGGGGTGAAAGGCAGGGGTGGGGGCGGATCCTTCACAAATGGACATTTGAGTAAATGCTGGAATGATTTCAGACATTGGGGGACTGTAGAGAATGCATCATTGTATTTTGCAGTATGAGAAAGACATGAGATTGGGGGGGCCAAAGGAAGAATAATATGATTTGGCTCTGTGTCCCTACCAAAACTTATGTGGAATTGTAATGGGGAATGTTAAATGTGGGGCTTGGTAGAAGGTGATTTAATCATGGTAGGGAATGGGGGTTGGAAGGGGGATGTGGGATGTGGGAGAATGGAGGTTCATGGTGTGGGTGAGGGCAAAACATGGGGATGGGTGGCAAATCCTTCACAAATGGTTAAATACTATCTCCTTAATGCAGTCTGTGTGATAGTGAGTTCTCATGATAAATGAATGCTGTCCTGCTGGGTTTTGGACTCGGATTGGGCCTGTGTACCAATTGTGTTATTTTTTCTGGGAAAATCTTCCCTTTGGTTTGAGAAAGCTTACCCAGTGCCTGTGCCATCATTATAACTTGAAAGAAAAGAATTGTCTTTTACATTCAGGGACTCATAGGCAGAAGAGATTGCAGCCTTCTGTTGGTTGAGATTTGAACTTACTACATTTGAGTTACTGCTGGAGTGAGTTAAGACTTTTGGAAACTCTTGAAAAGGCCTGTTTGTATTTTTCTGTGTGAGAAGGATATGAGATGTGGGGGTGTCAGGATCAGAATAATATGGTTTGGCTGTGTTTCCCTACAAAAACTCATGGGGAATTGTATTCCTGACTGTTGTAGGTGGGGCCTAGTGGGATGTGATTTAACCACAAACGGCAGAGTGGTAGGGGTGGAAGAGAAACAAGTGTGTAGGGTGGGGAGAAATAGGCTGGCAGTAGGGTGGTGAGAGGGTGGTGGGCAGTAGAAAGGGGGAGTAGCCTGCTGCAGAGGCAGAGCCTCATGGAAAACCTCTATACCAGGGCAGTGCACCTGTGGCTTTGCAGGCTTTAGCCCCCGTGTTTGCTCCCATGGGCTGGGCTGGTGTTGAGTGCCTGTGGCTTTTCCATACTGAGAGTGCAAGCTGCTGGTGGGTCTATGAATCTTGGGTCTGGAGGATGGTAACCTCCTGTGTGGGGCCTACAAGCCCATATATTTTTTCTGCACTGCCCTAGTAGAGGTTTTCCTAGTGGCTCTGCCTCTGCCTCAGGCTTCTGCCTGGAAACAGTGGGGGGAGGGGTGGTAGGGGGCAGATCTTTCACCAGTGTTTAAGCAACATCTTCTTGATGCTGACCTTGTGATAGTGAGTTCTCAGGAAATCTGCTTGTATAACAGGTTTATACAACATGTGGCAGCTTTTTCCTCTCTCTGTCTTGTTTCTACTTCTGCCATATAAAACATCCCATTGCTGCTTGGTCTTCTGGTATGATTGGGAGGCTTCCTGAGTCCTCCCAGAAGCAGAAACCTCTATGATTTATTTAAAGCTTGCAGAACCATGAGCCAGTTCAACCTCTTTTCTTTCTGATTATACAGAAAATTAGTGCTGTGAAGTGGAGCTATGAAATGCCTTCAAGACCTTTTCCTTGTTGTATTGGTGATCAGCACTCAGCTTCTTTTCAGGGAAATGTCTGAAGCCTGCATTAATTTTTCTCCTGAAATGGACTTTTCTTCTTTTACCACATTGCCAGGCTGTGACACATGTAGCTGAAAATGTAGAAGCAGGTTAAGAAGTGTGTAATGGCCAGAGGTTGGAGAGTTTAGAGGTCTTGGAAGAAGACAGGAAGATGAGGAAAAGTTTGGATCAGTGTAGAGACTTGTCAAATAGTTGTAATTAAAAAGGTGACAGAAGGATGGACAGTGATCACCAGGCTTAGAAGGTCTCACATGAAAATGAGGAGCTTGCTGGGAACAGGAGGCAAGGTCACTTTTGTTTTTTCCTTAGCAAAGAACGTTGCGGCACGATGTCCTTAACCTGGAGACCTGTGAAATTTTGAACATCAGGGTGATAATTTAGATTGTATCTGTTGGAAGGAAATTTTATGCAGCAAAGCTTAAGAGGTGTCCTGTCTGTGTCGAACAGCCTGTGGTCCTATATGTGACCAAAGAAATGACCTCATGGTGAAACATATTTAAAAGTTTGGAAAATTTGCAGCCTGGCCAAGTGGTCAAAAAGAAAAGCTGATTGTCAGTGAGAAAGTTCAAGAAGTCTTCAGAAATTTGCATAAAATGGAGTTGAGTGCTAATAGCCAATACAGTGTTAAAAAGGCCATGAAGGCATTTCAGAGACTTTTGTAGCAGCCCTTGCTATCACAGGCCCTGAGGCCTGGGAGAAAAGAATGGTTTCCTTCTCCAGCACCATGGCCCCACTCTTGTGTCCATCCTCAGGACACTGCTGGCTGCATTCCTGAAGCTCCAGCTCCAGCCATGGCTGAAAGATGCACATGTACAGCTTGGGTCACTGCTTCAGGGGGCACAAGCTGCAGGCTTTGGTGGCTTCCACATAGTGTTAAGCCAGCAGGTGTGCAGAGAACAAAACTGGAGGCTGGGGATCCTTTTTCTAGACTCCAGAGTACATATGGAAAAACCTGGGTGTCCAGGTCAAAATTTTCCAAGAGGCAGAGCCTCCTTTAGTAGGGCAGTACAGAAGGAACATATAGGGTTGGAACTCCCATACAGGGTAGCACCATTCTGCAAATGCCAGATTCATAGACTCTCTACCAGCTTGCACCCTCATTGTGGAAAAGCTGCAGGTACTCAACACTAGCCCAGCCCATGAGAGCCACTGTGGAGGTTAGACCTTGCAAAGCCACAGGTGCAGAGCTGCCCAAGGCCTTTGGAGCCCAGGCCTCATACCCTAGTGCTCTGGATGTGGGATCTGGATTTAAAAAAAAATGATTTGGAGCTGTAAGATTCAATGACTATCCTGCTGGGTTTTTGACTTGCATGGTGTTTGTAAGTCTCAACTGTGTTTTGTGCTTCTTTCTGGCAAATTTTTTCCTTTTGACTGGGAATACTTATCCAATGCCTGTAAAATCATTGTACCTTGGAAGTAGTTAACTTGCTTTGTATTTCAGAGGCTCAGGGGCAGAAGGGACTGCAGCCTTGTCTCAGAAGAGACTTTGGGCTTTGGACATTTCAGTAAATGCTGGAATGAGTTAAGAGATTGGGAAACTGTAGAGAAGGCATCATTGTATTTTGCAGTGTGAGAAGAACATGAGATACGGGGGCCAGGGTCAGAATAATATGATTTGGCTCTGCATCCCTACCAAAATCATGTGGAATTATAATGGGGAATGTTAAAAATGGGGCCTGGTGGGAGGCGATTTAATCATGGAGAAGCATGGGGGTTGGAGGTAAGGGAGTGGGGAGAATAGAAGAGATTTTTTTGTGGGTGGGAGTGAAAGATGAGGGTGGGGGGCGGATGTTTCACAAATGGATAAACACGCTCTCCTTAATGCTGTTCACATGATAGTGAGTTCTCTTGATGATTTTGGAGCTGAGAGACTGAGTGAATACTGTCCCGCTGGGTTTTGGACTTGCATTGGGCCTGTAGGCCCATTTGTATTATTTTTCTGGGAAATTTCTTCCCTTTGGACTGAGAAAGCTTACACAATGTCTCTACCATCATTGTACCTTGAAGGAAAAGAACTCCGTTTTAAATTCAGGGACTCATAGACAGAAGGGACTGTGGCCTTGTCTCAGATGAGACTGAATTTTTTACATTTGGAATGAGTTAAGACTTTTGCAAACTTTTGAGAAGTCATGACTGTATTTTGCTCTGTGATAAGGACATGAGATTCTGGAATATCAGGGTCAGAATTATATGGTTTTCCTGTGTGTCCCTATGAAACTCATGTGGAATTGTAATCCCTAATGTTGAAGTAGGTGACTTAATTATGGACAGGGGGTTGGTGGTGGTGGAAGGTAAAAGGGATGGGTAGGATTGGGAGGAGTGGGTTGGCAGTAGGGTGGTGGGAGGGTGGGGGGTAGTAGGAAGGGGGAGTAGCCTGCTGCAGAGGCAAAGCCTCGTGGGAAACCTCTACTAGGGCAGTGCACCTGTGGCTTTGCAGGTTTTAGCCCCTCAGCTGTTCTCGTGGGGTGGGCTGGTATTGAGGGCCTGTAGCTTTTCTACACTAAGGGCGTGAGTTGTTGGTGGGCCTATGAATCTGGGGTCTGGAGGTTGGTGGCCACCTGTGTGGGGACTTCAAGCCCATATTTTCCTTCTGCACTTCCATAATAGAGGTTTTCCAAGAGGCTCTGCATCTGAAGGAGGCTTCTGCCTGGAAACAGTGGGAGTTGGGTGTGTGGGGCGGATCCTTCACCAATGTTTAAGCACCATTTTCTAGATGCTGACCTTGTGATAGTGAGTTCTCATGAGATCTGCTTGTGTAATGGGGCATGACACCTGTTTCCTTTCTCTGTCTTGCTCCTACTTCTGCCAAATGAGACATCTCCTTGCCCCTTGACGTTCTGGTATGATTGGGAGGCTTCCTGAGTCCTGTCAGATGCAGAAGCCACTATGCTTCCTTACAGCCTGCAGAATCATTAACCTATTAAACCTCTTTTCTTTATGATCATGGAGAAAATTATTACTGCAAAGTGGATCTATTAAATGTCTTCAAGGCCTTCTCTCTAATGTCTTGGCAATCAGCACTCAGCTTCTTTTTATTCAAGTATCTGAAACCTCCTTGAATTTTTCCCCGGAAAATGGGCTTGTCTTCCTTTACCACATTGCCAGGGTATGACAAAGATAGCTGATAATGTAGAAGCAGGTTCAGAAGGGGGTAGCAGATGGAGTTCTGGAGAGTTTGGAGGACTTCAAAGACAGGGAGATGAGGGTAAGTTTGGATCTTTGTAAAGAATTGTTGAATACTTGTGATCAGAAGGCTCACAGGAAAATAGACAGTAAGGATCAGATTGAGAGGCTGTGAGATGAAAATGAGGAACTTACTGCAAACAGGAGCCAAGGTGCCTTTTGTTTTGCTGTAGCAAAGAACATGGCTGCACAGTGACACTGCCCTGGAGATCTGTGAAACTTTGAACTTGTGGGTGATGACTTACTGTGTATCTGATGGAATAAACTTCTGGGCAGCAAAGCTCAAGGGGTGTCCTGTCTGTATCGAACAGCCCGTGCCCTTATGTGTGACCGAGGAAATGACATCTGGATGGGTCTTACATTAAATGAGTCCCAACTCTTATATTAAATGAGAAACAGAACTCAAAAATGTGCAGCCTGGCCAAATGGTCAAAAAGAAAAGCTGATTTTCAGGGGAAAACTGAGGAAGGCTTCGGAAATTTGCATGAAAAGGAGCCCAGTGCTAATAGCCAAGACAATAGGGAAAAGGCCTTGAAGCCATTTCAGAAACCTTTGCAGCAGCCCTTGCTATCATAGGCCCTGGGGCCTCGGAGAGAAGAATGGTTTCCTAGGCCAGTTCCATGACCCCCCTCTATGTGCAGTCTCAAGACACTGCTGCCTGCATCCCTGCAGCTCTAGTTCCAGCCATGGCTGAAAGATGCACAGGTACAGCTTGCATCATGCTTCAGGGGTGTAAGCTTCAAGCCTTGGTGGCTTCCACATAGTGTTAAGCCAGCAGGTGCACAAAGAACAAAACTAGAGGCTTGGGAGCCTTTGTCTAGACTCCAGAGTATCTACGGAAAAACCTGGGTTTTCAGGTAGAAGCTTTTCCAAGAGGCAAAGCCTCATGGGAAACCTTTACTAGGGCAGTACAGAAGGAGAATATAAGACTGGAGTCCCTAAACATGGAGGCACCATTCTCCAGACCCCAGATTCATAGACCCACCAACAGCTGGCTTTTCCAACCTTGGTGTGGAAAAGCTACAGGCACTCAACACCAGCCCAGCCCATGAGGGCAGCTGTGGGGGATAGACCGTGCACAGCCACAGGTGCAGAGCTGCCCAAGGCCTTGGGAGCCCAGCCATGACACACCTGTGCTCTGGATGTGAGATATCCATTCAGAAAAAATGATTTGGAGCTGTAGGATTCAATGACTGGCCTGCTGGGTTTTTGACTTGTATGGGGTCTGTAAGTCCTTGGACATTTCAGTAAATGCTGGAATGAGTTAAGTCATTGGGGGACAGTAGAGAAGTCATCATTGTATTTTGCAGTGTGACAAGGATACAAGATTTGGGGAGCAAGAGTCAGAATAATACGATTTGATTCTGTCTCTCTACCAATATTCATGTGGAATTGTCGTGGGGAATGTTAAAGGTGGGACCTGGTGGGAGGTGATTTAATCATGGAGAAGAGTGGATGTTGGAGGTAGGGGTGTGGGGAGAATGGGAGAGATTATTTTGTGGGTGGGAGTGAAAGATGAGGGTGGGATGGAAGATTCTTCACAAATGGGTAAACGCTATCTCCTTAATGCTGTCCGCATGATAGTGAGTTCTCTTGATGATTTTTGAGCTGTGAGATTGAGTGAATAGTGTCCTGCTGGGTGTTGGACTTGCATTTGCCCTGCGGTCCCGTTTGTGTATTCTGGGAAATTTCTTCCCTTTGGATTGAGAAAGCTTACACAACACCTGTACCATCATTGTACCTTGAAAGAAAAGAAATCTCTTTTAAATTCAGGAACCCATGGGCAGAAGGGACAGTAGCCTTGTCTCAGATGAGACTTTGAACTTTTTACACTTGGAATGAGTTAAGGCTGTTGGAAGTTTTGAAAAGGCTTGATTGTATTTTGCTCTGTGTTAAGGACATGAGATTCTGGAATATCAGGGTCAGAATAATATGGTTTGGCTGTGTGTCCCTATAAAAATTCAGGTGCAATTGTAATTCCAAATGTTGAAGGTGGGGCCTGGGGGAGATCATTTAGTCATTGATTGGAGGAGGTTGGGGTGGAAGGAAAAGGGTTGTAACCGAGTGAGTTGTAGAGAAACGCCAAACCATGAGACGACTTCAGGAGACCTTTATTGCCGGCAACTGAGAGACCGCTGGTGCTCAAAATTCTCTTGGCCTGGAAGAAGGGGCTAGATTTTCTTTTATACTTTGGTTTAGAAAGGGGAGGGGGAGCCTCGCTGAAGGACTCTCACAGCAGCAAAACAGGCAAAAAAGTTAAAAAGATAAATGGCTACAGGAAAACAAACATTTCCATGTGCAGGGGCTTTAAATCCATCCAAAGGTGATAGATGTGGGGGCTTTGGGTGCTATCAACTGGACACAAATGCTGGGGTTTTGTGTACTATCAACCGGGCGAATTCCTGGGAACTGTGGATATAGCTTGCCAGAGTATCTTATCAGTAATTGCATTCTTTGATGTGCTGGGAGTCAGCTTGCACAAGTTAAGTCCTTGAGGAAGGGGGGTGGGTAAGGGGCTGCAAGTGAAGGAGCCAAGATGGAGTCTGTCTGGCCCTCTCAGCTAAGGGAGAGTCGACCAGGTTAAAACAAGGTAGGGTATCACAAAAGGGTTGGTTAGGGTGGGGAGGAGTAGGCTGGCAGTAGAATGGTGGGAGCGTGGGGGGTAGTAGCAAGGGGGAGCAGCCTGCTGCAGAGGCAAAGCCTCATGGAAAAGTTCTACTAGGACAGAGCACCTGTGGCTTTGCAGGGTTTAGCCCGTGCAGCTGCTCTCACGGTCTGGGCTGTTGTTGAGTGCCTGTAGCTTTTCCACAGAGGGTGTGAGCTGTTGGTGGGTCTATGAATCTGGTGTCTGGAGGTTGGTGGCCATCTGCCTGGGGGCTTCAAGCCCATATTTTCCTTCCACACTTCCCTGGTAGAGGTTTTCCAAGAGGCTCTGCCTCTGCAGCAGGCTTCTGTTTGGAAACAGTGGGAGTTGGGGGTGGGTGGTTGTTCCTTCCTCAATGTTTAAGCACCATCTTCATGATGCTGACCTTGTGATAGTGAGTTCTCATGAGATCTGTTTGTATAATAGGGTGTGGTCCTCTCTCCTGTGTGTGTCTTGTGCCTACTCCTGCCACATGAATCATGTCATTGCCCCTGGACATTCTGGTATGATTGGAAGGCTTCCTGAGTCCTCCCAGATTCAGAAGCCATTATGTTTCCTTATGGTCTGCAGAATCATGAGCCAATTAAACTTCTTTTCTTTATGATCATAGAGAAAATTAGTAGTGCAAAGTGGAACTATTAAATGTCATTGTCGTGGCAATCAGCACTCAGCTTCTTTTCATTCAAGTATGTGAAGGCTTCATGAATTTTCCCCTGAAAATGGACTTGTTTTCCTTTACCACATTGCCAGGCTGTGGCAAAGATAGTGATAATGTAGAAGCAGATTCAGAAGGGAGTAGCGGACAGAGGTCGGGAGAGTTTGGAGGGCTTCAAAGACAAGAAGATGAAAGAAAGTTTGGATCTTTGTAAAGAATTGCTAAACACTTGTGATCAGAAGGCTCACAGGAAAATGGTTAGTGAAAGCCCGACTTAGAAGGTCTCAGATGAAAATGAAGCTCTTACTGGGAACAGAAGTCAAAGTTACTTTTGTTTCCTTAGCAAAGAACATGGCTGCACGGTGACCTCGCCCTGGAGATCTGTGAAATTTTGAACTTGAGGGTGATGATTTACTGAGTATCTGGTGGAATGAACTGAGCAGCAAACTCAAGAGGTGTCCTGTCTGCATCACACAGCCTGTGTTCTTATGTGTGATGGAGGAAATGACTTCTGGATGAGACTTACATTAAATGAGTCCCAACTCTCACATTACATGAGAAACAGAACTCAAAAGTTTGGAAAATTTGCAGCCTGGCCATGTGGTCAAAAAGAAAAGCTGATTTTCAGGGGGAAAGTTGAGGAAGGCTTCAGAAACTCGCATGAAAAGGAGCCCAGTGCTAATAGACAAGACAATAGGGAAAAGGCCTTGAAGGCATTTCAGAGACCTTTGCAGCAGCCCTGGCTGTTACAGGCCCTGGGGCCTAGGAGAGAAGAATGGTTTCCTGGGCCAGTTCCATGCCCCCCCTCTGTGTGCAGCCTCAGGACACTGCTGCCTGCATCCCTGCAGCTCCAGCTCCAGCTCCAGCTCCAGCTCCAGCCATGACTGAAAGATGCACAGCTACAGCTTGGGTCACTGCTACAGAGGGTGCCAGCTAGAAGCCTTGGTAATTTCCTCATTGTGTTAAGCCATTGGTGGACGGAGCATGAGACCAGAGGCTTGGAAACCTCTCTATAGATTTTGGAAGATGTATGGAAATGCCTGGGTGTCCAGGCAAAAACATCCCAAAAAGGCAGAGCCTTATATGAAACTTCTACTAGGGCAGTGCAGAAGGAAAACATGGGGTTGGAGCCTCCACACTGGAGGCCACCATCATGCAGACCCCAGATTCATAGACCCCCAACAACTTGTATCCTTAGTGGGGAAAAGTCACAGGCACTCAACACCAGCCGAGGTCCTGAGGGCAGCCGTGGGCATAAACCCTGCAAAGCCACAGGTGCCAAGCTGCCCAAGGCCTTGGGAGCCCAGCCCTCACACCCCTGTGCCCTGGATGTGGGACAGGGTTTCAAAAAGGGTGATTTTGGAGCTGTAGGATTGAATGACTGGCCTTTTGGTTTTGGAGTTTCATGGGACCGGTAAGTCCTGTCTATGTTTTGTTTTTTTTCTGGCAAAATTCTTTCTTTTGGCTGGGAATGCTTACCCAATGGCTCTACAAACATTGTACCTTGGAAGTAGTTAACTTGCTTTATAGTTCAGAGGCTCATGGGCCTAAGCAACTGTAGCCTTGTGCCAGATGAGACTTTAAGCTTTCAACATTTGAATAAATGCTGTAATGATATAAGATTTTGGGGGATTGTAGGGAAGGCATCATTATATTTTTCAATGTGAGAAGGACATGAGATTTGGGGAGCCAGGGACAGAATAATAAAATTCAGCTCTGTGTCTCTACCAAAACTCATGTGGAATTGTCATCGGAATGTTAAAGGTGGGGCCTGGTGGAAGGTGATTTAATCACGGTGGAGAGTTGGGGTTGGAAGATGGGGCGTAGGGAGAATGGGGGATTTATGGTGCGGGTGAGGAGTGAAAATTGGGAGTTGTGGGGCGGATGCTTCACAAATGATTAAACATTCTCCTTATTGCTGTCCTTGTGATAGTGAGTTCTCTTCATGATTTTGGAGCTGTAAGATTGAATGGATACTGGCCTTCTGGGTTTTGGACTTGTATTGGGCCTGTGGTCCCATTTGTGTTTCCTTCCTCGGAAATTTCTTCCCTCTGGATTGAAAAATCTTACCCAAAGCCTGTACCATTATTGTACCTTGAAAGAAAAGAACATCCTTTTAAATTCAGAGACTCATAGGCAAAACGTACTGTAGAACTGTCTCAGATGAGAAGTTGATTTTTTTATATTTGAGTTAATGTTGGAATGATTTAAGACTTTTGGAAACTTTTGAAAAGGCATGAATATATTTTTCTCTGTGAGAAGCACATGAGACTGTGGGGATCAGGGTCAGAATAATATGATTTGGCTGTGTTTCTTTAACAAAACTCAAGTGAATTGTAATCTTTAATGTTGGAGGTGGGGCCTGCTGGAGGTGATTTAATCGTGGATGGTCGGGGGCCGGGGGTGGAAGGAAAAGGGGTGGGTAGGGTGAGGAGTAGGTTGTTAGTAGGGTGGTGAGAGGGTGGTGGGTAGCAGGAAGTGGGAGTAGCCTGCTGCAGAGGCAGAGGCTCAGGGAAAGTCTCTACTAGGGCAGTGCACCTGTGGTTTTGCAGGGTGTAGCCCCCATGGCTGCTCTCATGGGCTGGGCTGGTGTGGAGTGCCTGTAGCTGTTCCACGCAGAGAGTGCAAGCTGTTGGGTCTATGTATCTGCAGTCTGGAGGATGGTGGCCTCCTGTGTGGGGGCTCCAAGCCCATATTTTCCTTCTGCACTGCACTCGTAGAGGTTCTCCAAGAGGTTCTGCTCTGCAGGAGGCTTCTGCCTGGAAACAGTAGGCGGTGGTGTGGGTGGATCCTTCACCATTGGTTAATCTTCCTGATGCTGATCTCCTGATAGTGAGTTCTCATGAGATCTGGTTGTATAAACTGGTGTGGCACCTCTTCCTTCTCTGTGTCTTCTTCCTACTCCTGCCATATGGAATATCTCATTGTCACTTGGCCTTTTGGTATGATTGGGAGGCTCCCTGAGTCCTCCCAGAAGCAGAAACCACTTGCTGCCTTTACAACCTGCAGAACCATGAGCCAATTAAAACTCTTTTAAAAATAATATTACAGAAAATTTGTACTGTAGAGTGGAGCCATGAAATGCCCTCAAGGTTTTTTCCCCATTTTTTTTTTTTTTTACTATTAACATTTGCCCACTTTTATATGGTAATATCTGAAGCCTTCTTGAATTTTCCCCCTGAAAATGGACTTTTCTCCTTTCACCACATTGCTAGGCTGCCACAACGGTGGCTGAAAACGTAGAAGCAGGTTCAGAAGTGGGTAACCACCGGACGCTGCACAGTTTGGGGGGCTTGGAAGAAGAAAGAAAGATGAGGGAAAATTTGGACTATTGTAGAGATGTGTTAAATTAAAAGGGTGACCATGGAGACTTGTTACATAGCTATAATTAAAATAGTGACTGAAGGATGGACAGTGAAGACCAGGCTTAGAAGGTCTCAGATGAAAATGAGCAACTTACTGGGAACAGGAGTCAAGGTTACTTTTGTTTTCCCTTAGCAAAGAACTTGGCAGGATGGTGTCCCTGCCCTGGAGACCTCTGAAACTTTGAACTTGAGTGTGATGATTTAGGGTATATCTGGTGAAATGAAGTAGGCAGCAAAGCTCAAGAGGTGTCTTGTCTGTTTTGAACAGCCTGTGGTCTTCTCTGTGACTGAATAAATGACCTCAAATTGAAACTTATATTTAAATGAGAAGCAGGGCTTAAAAGTTTGGAAAATTTGCAGCCTGGCCAAGTGGTCAAAAAGCAAAGCTGATTTTCAGTGGGAAAATTCAAGAAGCCTTCAGAAATTTGCATAAAATGGAGCCCAGTGCTAATAGCTAAGACAAGGTTAAAAGGCCTTGAAGCCATTTCAGAGACCTTTGCAGCAGAGCTTGCTGTCACAGGCCCTGAGGTCTAGGACCGAAGAATGCTTTCCTGATTGAGTCCCATGGTCGCGCTACTGTGTCCGTCCTCAGGACACTGCTGTCTGCATCCCTGCAGCTCCAGCTCCAGCTCCAGCTCCAGTCACGGCTGAAAGATGCACAGGTACAGCTTGCATCACTGCTTCAGGGGTGCAAGCTTCAAACCTTGGTGGCTTCCACATAGTACTAAGCCAGCAGGTGCACAGAGCACAGAACTAGAGGCTTGGGAGCCTTTGTCTAGACTCCAGAGTATATACAGAAAAACCTGGGTGTTGAGGCAGAAGCTTTTCCAAGAGGCAGAGCCTCATGGGAAACATTTACTAGGGCAGTACAGAAGGAACATATAGGGTTGCAGCCCCCACACAGGAATGCACCACTTTCCAGACCCCAGATTCATAGACCCGTCAACTGCTCGCACCCTCAGTGTGGAAAAGCCACAGGTACTCAACGCCAGCCCAGCCCATAAGGGCACCTGTCGGAGATAGACACTGCACAGCCACAGATGCTGAGCTGCCCAAGGCCTTGGGAGCCCAGCCATCCACCCCTGTGCCCCAGATGTGAGGTATAGATTCAGAAAAGATGATTTGGGAGCTGTAGGATTCAATGACTGGCTTGCTGGGTTTTTGACTTGCATGGGGTCTGTAAGTCCCATCTGTGTTTTGTGCTTCTTTCTGGCAATTTTTTTCCTTTTGGCTGGGAATGCTTACCCAAAGCCTGTACAATCATTGCACCTTGGAAGTAGTAAACTTGCTTTATATATAATTCAGTGGCTCATGGGCAGAAGGGTCTGTAGACTTGTCTCAAATAAGACTCTCGGCTTTGGGCATTTGAGTAAATGCTGGAATGGGTTAAGATTTGAGAGACTCTAAGGAAGGCATCATTACATTTTGCAATGTGAGAAAAACATGAACTCTGGGGGACCAGGGACAGAATAATATGTTTTGGCTCTCTGTCTCTACCAAAGCTAACGTGGAATGTTAATGGGAAATGTTAAAGGTGGGGGCTGGTGGAAGGTGATTTAATCATGATGGAGAGAGGAGGTTGGATGTTTCAGGGTTGGGGAGGGATGGGGGGGATTGGGTGGTGAGGAGGGTTGGAGGGGATTGTGGTGGGGTTGGGGGTGTAAGGCAGGGGTGGGGGTGCATCCTTCACAAATGGTTAAACACCATCTCCTTAATGCTGTCCTTCTGATATTGAGTTCTCTTCATGATTTTGGAGCTGTGAGATTGACTGAACACTGACCTGTGGGATTTTGGATTTCCATTGGGCCTGGGTCCCATTTGTGTTATTGTTCTTGGAAATTTCTTCCCTTTGGATTGAGAAAAGTTACCCAATATCTGTACCATCATTGTACCTTGAAAGAAACGAACACCCTTTTAACTTCAGGGACTCATAGGCAGAAGAGATTGTAGCCTTGTCTCAGATGAGACTTTGAACTTTTTACATTTGAGTTAATGTGGGAATGAGTTAAGGCTTTTGGAAACTTTGAAAAGGCACGATTTTATTTTATTCTGTGAGAAGGATATGAGATTTGGTGGGGTCAAGGTCAGCATAATATGATTTGGCTGTGTGCCCCTGGAAAAACTCATGTGGAATTGTAATCCAAAATGTTGGAGTTGGGGTCTGGTGGGAGATTATTTAATCATGGATGGGAGGGGTAGGGGTGGAAGAAAAAAGGGGTGGGTAGGGTGGGGAAGAGTAGGCTGGCTGTAGGGTGGTGGGAGGGTGGTGGGTAGTAGGAAGGGGGAGTAGCCTGCTGCAGAGACAGCGGCTCTTGGAAAACCTCTACCAGGGCAGTGCGCCTGTGGCTTTGCAGGCTTTAGCCCACAAGGCTGCTCTCATAGGCTTGGCTGGTGTTGAGTGCCTATCACTTTTCCATACTGAGGGTGTGAACTGTTGGTAGGTCTATGAATCTGGGGTCTAGAGGCTGGTGGCCTCCTGCATAGTCACTCAAAGCCCTTATTTTCCTTCTGCACTGCCACAGTACAGGATTTCCAAGAGCCTCTGCCTCTGCAGCAGGCTTCTGTCTGGAACGGTAGGGGGTGGAGCTGTGTTGGGGGGCGGATCCTTCACCAATGTTTAAGCACCATCTTCTTGATGCTGACCTAGTGATAGTGAGTTCTCATGAGATGTGGTTATAGGACGGTGTGGCACCACTTTCCTCTCTCAGCCTTGCTCCTACTCCTGCTGTATGAAACATTTCATTGCTGTTTTCCTACTGGTATGATTGGGAGGCTTCCTGAGTCCTCCCAGAAGCAGAAGTCACTATGCTTTCTTTACAGCCTGCAGAACCATGAGCCAATTAAACCCCTTTTCGTTATGATCATGCAGAAAATAAAGTACTGCGAAGTGGAGCTATGAAATATCTTCAATGACATTTCCCCATCTTCTTGGCTATTAGCACTGGACTTCTTTTTAATGCAAATATCTGAAGGCTTCCTGAAGTTTTCCCCCTGAAAATGGACTTCTTTTTCTTCTGCATTGCCAGGCTGCAACAAAGATAGCTGAAAATGTAAAGCAGGTTCAGAAGTGGGTAACAGCCAGAGGTTGGAGAGTTTGGAGATCTTGAAAGAAGGCAGGGAGATGAAGGGAAATTTGGACCATTGTAGGCACTTGTTAAATAGTTGTGATTAAAAGGCTGGCAGAAGGATGGACAGTGAAGGCCAGGCTTACAAGGTCTCAGATGAAAATGAGGATCTTACTGGGAACGGGAGCCAAGGTTAGCTTTTGTTTTGCTGTAGCAAAGAACATGGCTGCAGGGCGACCTTGCCCTCAAGATCTGTGAAATTTTGAACTCTAGGGTGAAGATTTAGTGCATATCTGGTGGAAAGAACTTCTAGGCAGCATAGCACAAGGGTGGGGGCATGTCTGCATCAAACAGCCTGTGCTTTCATGTGTGACCGAGGTTATGTGTGACCGAGGAAATGACCTCAAGTTGGAACTTATATTTAAATGACAAGCAGAGCTCAAAAGTTTGGAATATCCGCAGCCTGGCCAAGTGGTCAAAAAGAAAAGCTGATTTTCAGGGGGAAAATTCATGAAGGCTCCAGAAACTTGCATAAAATGGAGGCCAGTGCTAATAGCCAAGACACTGGGGGAAAAAGCCTTGGAGGCATTTCAGAGATGTTTGCAGCAGCCCTTGCTGTCACAGTCCCTGGGGCCTATTAGAGAAGAATGGTTTCCTGGGCCAGCCCCATGACCCTGCTGCTGTGTGCAGCCTCAGGACACTGCTGCCTGAAACCCGGCTGCCCCAGCTCCTGCACCGACCTTGGCTGAAAGATGCACAGGTACAGATTGCATCACTGCTTCAGAGGGTACAGGCTGTAAGGCTTCATGGCTTCCATATAGTTTTAAGCTAGCGAGTGCACAGAGCACTAGCCCAGAGGCTTTGGAGCCTTCATACAGATTTCGGAAGATGTATGAAAGTGTCTTGGTGTCCAGACAGAAGGCTGCCAAAAAAGCAGAGACTCCTGGGAAACCTCTACTAGGGCAGTGCAGAAGGAAAATATGGGGTTGGGGCCCCCACACTGGATGCCAGCATCATGCAGACCCCAGATTCATAGACCCACCAAGAACTTTGTACCCTCTGTGGGTAAAAACTACAGGCACTCAACACCAGCACAGCCCATGAGGGCAGCTGTGGGGACTGAACACTGCAAAGCCACAGGTAGAGTGCTGCCCAAGGCCTTGGGAACCCAGCCCTCATACACTTGTGCCCTGGATGTGGGACAAGGATTGAAAAAGGATGACTTTGGAGCTGTAGGTTTGAATAACTGGCCTGCTGGGTTTTGGATTTTCATGGGACCTGTAAGTCCCGTTTGTGTTTTGTTCTTGTCTCTGGCATAAATCTTCCTTTTGGTTGGGAATTCTTACTCAATGTCTGGACAATCATACCTTGGAAGTAGTTAACTTGCTTTGTATTTCAGAGGCTCAGGAGGAGATGGGACTGCATCTTTGTCTTAGATGAGACTTTGGGCTTCAGACAGTTGAGTAAATGATGGAATGAGTTAAGACCTTGGGGGTCTTAGCCGAGATGATGGGGAAAAGTCATTGAAGGCATTTCATAGCTTCACTTCACAATACTAATTTTCTGTATGATCATAACAAAAAGGGGTTTAATGGGCTCATGGTTCTGCAGGCTGTAAAAAAAAAGCACAGTGGCTTGGGGAATGGTAAGTAAGGCATCATTGTATTTTGCAAAGTGAGAAGGACATGAGATTTGTGGGGCAGGGACAGAATAATAAGATTTGGCTGTGTGTCCCTATGGAAACTCATATGGAATTGTAATCAGAAATGTTGAAAGTGGGGCCAGGTGGAAGGTGATTTAATCGTGGAGGGCACTGGGTATTGGAAGGTGGGGATTGGGGAGAATGGGTGGATTATGGTGGGGGTGAGGGGTGAAAAGTGGGGGTGGGGGTAGGATCCTTCACAAATGGTTAAACACCATCTCCTTAATCCTTTCCTCATGATGATGAGTTCTTGTGATTGTTTTGGAGCAGTGAGATTGAATGGATACTGGCCTCCTGGGTTTTGGACTTGCATTGGCCCTGTGATCCCATTTGTGTTATTTTCCTGGCACACCTCTCCCCTTTGGATTGACAAAACTTACCCAATGCCTGTACCATCTTTGTATCTTGAAAGAAAATAAATCCCTTTTAAATTCAGGAACTTATAGGCCAAAGGGTCTGTAGCCTTTTCTCAGGTGAGACTTTGAACTTTTTAAATTTGAGTTAATGCTGAAATGACTTAAGACTTTTGGCAGCTTTTGAAAAGGCATGATTGTATTTTACTCTGTGAGAAGGCTATGATATTTGGGGGATCAGGGTCAGAATAATATTGTTTAGCTGTGTGTCCCTACCTAAACTCACATGTAATTGTAATCCCCAATGTTGCAGGTGAGGCCTGGTGGGAGGTGATTTATTCATGGATGGGAGAGGGGTTGGATTGGAAGTCAAAACAGGTGGGTAAGGTGGGGAGGAGTAGGCTGGCTGTAGGGTGGTGTGTAGCAGGATGGGAGTAGCCTGCCGCAGAGGCAGAGGCTCATGGAAAAACTCTACTAAGGCAGTGCACCTGGGGCTTTGCAGGGTTTAGCACCTGTAGCTGCTCTCATGGGCTGGGCTGGTGTTGAGTGCCTGTAGCTTTTCGATACTGGGGGTGTGAGCTGTTGATGGTTCTATGAATCTGGGGATTGGAGGATGCTGGTATCCTACATGGGGGCTCCAAGCCCATAGTTTTCTTCTAAACAGCCATAGTAGAGGTTTTCCAAGAGGATCTGCCTCTGTCTCAGGCTTCTACTTGGAAACAGTGGGTGGTGGATATGGGGTGGTGGGCGGATCCTTCACCAACAGTGAAGCACCATCTTCTTGATGCTGATCTCCTGACAGTGAGCTCTCATGAGATCTAGTTGTATAAGAGGATGTCGCACCTCTTTCCTCTTTCTGTCTTGCTTCTACTTCTGGCATATGAAACATTTCATTGCTGCTTGGCCTCTGGTATGATTGGGAGGCTTCCTGAGTCCTCCTACAAGCAGAATCCACTATGCTTTCTTTATAGCCTGAAGAACTGTGAGTCAACTAAACCTCTTTTCTTTATGTACATACAGACAATTAATGCTGCGAAGTGAAGCTATGAAATGACTTCTAGGCCTTCCCCCAATCTCTTGGTTATTAGCACTGAGCTTTTTTCAATGCAAATATTGGATACCATCTTGATGTTTCCCCCTGATAATAGACTTTTCTTCTGTTACCACATTGCCAGGCTGCGAAAATGATACCTGATAGTGTAGAAGCAGGTTCTGAATTAGGTAATGGCCAGAGGTTAGAGAGTTCGGAGATCTTGGAAGAAAACAGGAAGATGAGGGAAAGTTTGGACCATTGCAGAGACTTGTTCAATAGTTGTGATTAAAAGGCTAACATAAGGATGGACAGTGAATGTCAGGCTTACAAGATCTCAGGTGAAAATGAAGTACTCACTGGGAAGAGGAGCCAAGGTTTTTTTGTTTTGCCTTAGCAAAGTAATTGACTACACATTGATCCTTTCCAGGAGATCTGTGAAACTGAACTTGAGGGTGATGATTTAGAGTGTATCTGGTAGAATGAACTTCTAAGCAACAATGCTCAAGAGTTGTCCTGCCTACATTGAACAGCCTGCGCACCTATGTGTGGTCAAAGAAATGACTATAAGTTGGAACTTATATTTAAATGAGAAGCAGAGCTTAAACATATGGAAAATTTGTAATCTCCACAAGTGGTCAGAAAGAAAAGCTGATTTTCAGGGGGAAAGTCAAGAAGGCTTCAGATATTTGCATAAAAAGGAGCCGAGTGCTAATAATTCAAGATAATGGGAAAAAGGCCTTGAAGGCATTTCAGAGACTTTTGTAGCAGCCCTTGCTGTCACTGGCCCTGGGGCCTAGGAGAAAAGGATGGTTTCCTGGGCCAGCCCCATGGCTCCACTGCTGTGTGCAGCCTCAGGACACTGCTGCCTGCATCCCTGCAGCTCCATCTCCAGCTCCAGCCATGGATGAAAGATGCACAGGTACAGCTTGTGTCACTGCTTCAGAGGATGCAAGCTCGAAGACTTGGTGGCTTCCACAAGGTGTTAAGCCAGCAGTTGCATAAAGCAAGGACTAGAAGCTTCTGAGCCTTCATCTAGACTTCAGAGGATGTATCAGAAAGCCTGATTGTCCAGCCAGAAGCTTTTCCAAGAGGCAGAGCCTCATCGTAAACTTCTACTCAGGCAGTACACAAGGAGAGTATAGGGTTGGAGTCCCCATACAGGGAGGCACCATTTTCCAGGCCCCAGTTTCATAGACGCACCAGCTGCTTGCACCCTTAGTGTTGAAAAGCTACAGGCACTCAACACCAGCCTAGTCAATGAGGGCAACTGTAGGGGAAAGATTCTGCAATGCCACAGGTGCAGAGCTGCCCAAGGCCTTGGGATCCCAGCTGTCACATCACCCTGTGCTCTGGATGTGGACATAGATTCCAAAAAGGTGATTTGGTGGTGTATGATGGATGACTGGTCTGCTGGGCTTTTGACTTGCAGGGAGTTTGTAAGTCCCATCTGTGTTTTATGCTTCTTTCTGGCAAATTTCTTCTTTTTGCCTGGGAATGCTTAACCAATGCCAGTACAGTCATTGTACCTTGGAAGTAGTTAATTTGCTGTGTATTTCAGAGTCTCAGGGCAGAAGAGACTGCAGCCTTGTCTCAGAAGAGACTTTGGGCTTTGGATATTTGAGTAAAGGCTGGAATGAATTGAGATTTAGGGGACTCTAGGGAAGGCATCATTGCATTTTGCAATATGAAAAAGACATGAGATTTGGGGGACCAGGGGCAGAATAATATGTTTTGGCTCTGTGTCTCTACCAAAACTCATGTGGAATTTTAATGGGAAATGTTAAAGGTGGGGGCTGGTGGAAGGTGATTTAATCATGGTGGAGCATGGAGGGTGGATGCTGGGGGTGGTGTGGAGGGTTGGGGCTATAGGTGGGTGGGGAGTGTTGGCGGATTGTGGTGCATTTGTGGCTGAAAGGGAGGGGTGGGGGGTGGATCCTTCACAAATGGACATTTGAGTAAATGCTGGAATGAGTTCAGACATTGGGGGACCTTAGAGAACACATCATTATATTTTGCAGTATAAGAAGGTCATGAGGTTGGGGACCAAGGGGAGAATAATATGATTTGGCTCTGTGTCCCTTCCAAAACTCATGTGGAATTGTAATGGGGAATGTCAAATGTGGGGCTTGGTAGAAGGTGATTTAATCATGGTAGAGAATGGGGGTTGGAAGGTGGATGTGGGAGAATGGGGGTTCATGGTGTGGGTGAGGGTGAAACATGGGGATGGGTGGCAGATCCTTCACAAATGGTTAAATACTATCACCTTAATGCAGTCTGTGCGATAGTGAGTTCTCATGATAAATGAATGCTGTCCTGCTGGGTTTTGGACTCGGATTGGGCCTGTGTCCCAGTTGTGTTATTTTTCAGGGAAAATCTTCCCTTTGGATTGAGAAAGCTTACCCAGTGCCTGTGCCATCATTGTAACTTGAAAGAAAAGAATTGTCTTTTACATTCAGGGACTCATAGGCAGAAGAGATTGCAGCCTTGTCTTGGATGAGACTTGAACTTACTACATTTGAGTTACTGCTGGAATGAGTTAAGACTTTTGGAAACTTTTGAAAAGGCATGTTTGTATTTTTCTGTGTGAGAAGGACATGAGATGTGGGGGTTTCAGGGTCAGAATAATATGGTTTGACTGTGTTTCCCTACAAAAACTCTTGGTGAATTGTATTCCTGACTGTTGCAGGTGGGGCCTGGTGGGAAGTGATTTAATCACAAATGGGAGGTTGGTAGGGGTGGAAGGGAAAACAAGTGTGTAGGGTGGGGAGGAGTAGGCTGGCAGTAGGGTGGTGAGAGTGTGGTGGGCAGTAGGAAGAGGGAGTAGCCTGCTGCAGAGGCAGAGCCTCATGGAAAAGCTCTACCAGGGCAGTGCACCTGTGGCTTTGCAGGCATTAGCCCCCATGGCTGCCTTCGTCGGCTGGGCTGGTGTTGAGTGCCTGTGGCTTTTCCATACTGAGAATGCAAGCTATTGTTGGGTCTATGAATCTGTGGTCTGGTGGATGGTTGCGTGGGGCCTCCAAGCCCATATATTTTTTCTGCACTGCCCTAGTAGAGGTTTTCCAAGAGGCTCTGCCTGTGCCTCAGGCTTCTGCCTGGAAACAGTGGGGGGTGGGGGTGGTAGGGGGCAGATCTTTCACCAATGGTTAAGCAACATCTTCTTGATGCTGACCTTGTGATAGTGAGTTCTCAGGAAATCTGGTTGTATAACAGGTTTATACAACGTGTGCCACCTTTTTCCTCTCTGTCTTGTTTCTACTTCTGCCATATAAAACTTCCCATTGTTGCTTGGTCTTCTGGTATGATTGGGAGGCTTCCTGAGTCCTCCCAGAAGCAGAAGCCTCTATGATTTATTTAAAGCTTGCAGAACCATGAGCCAGTTCAACCTCTTTTCTTTCTGATTATACAGAAAATTAATGCTGTAAAGTGGAGCTATGAAATGCCTTCAAGACCTTTTCCCTATTGTCATGGCAATCAGCACTCAGCTTCTTTTCAGGCAAACGTCTAAAGCCTGCATTAATTTTTCTCCTGAAATGGACTTTTCTTCTTTTACCACATTGCCAGGCTGTGACACATGTAGCTGAAAATGTAGAAGCAGGTTAAGAAGTGTGTAATGGCCAGAGGTTGGAGAGTTTGGAGGTCTTGGAAGAAGACAGGAAGATGAGGAAAAGTTTGGATCAGTGTAGAGACTTGTTAAATAGTTATAATTAAGAAGGTGACATAAGGATGGACAGTGACCACCAGGCTTAGAAGGTCTCACATGAAAATATGTGACCAAAGAAATGACCTCAAGGTGAAACATATTTAAATGACAAGGAGAGATTAAAAGTTGTGAAAATTTGCAGCCTGGCCAAGTGGTCAAAAAGAAAAGCTTATTATCAGTGGGAAAGTTCAAGAAGGCTTCAGAAATGTTTATAAAATGGAGTTCAGTGCTAATAGCCAATACAATGTTAAAAAGGCCTTGAAGGCATTTCAGAGACTTTTTCAGCAGCCCTTGCTATCACAGGCCCTGAGGCCTGGGAGAAAAGAATGGTTTCCTTCTCCAGCCCCATGACCCCGCTGCTATGTCCATCCTCAGGACACTGCTGGCTGGATTCCTGAAGCTCCAGCTCCAGCCATGGTTGAAAGATGCACAGGTACAGCCTGGGTCACTGCTTCCGAGGGTGCAAACTGCAAGCCTTGGTGGCTTCCACATAGTGTTAAGCCAGCAGGTGCTCAGAGCACAAAACTGGAGGCTGGGGATCCTTTGTCTGGACTCCAGAGTATGTATGGAAAAAGTTGGGTGTCCAGGTCGAAATTTTTCCAAGAGGCAGAGCCTCCTTTACTAGGGCAGTACAGAAGGAAAATATAGGGTTGGAACCCCAATACAGGGAGGCACCATTCTGCAAACACCAGATTCATAGACTTACTAGCAGCTTGCACCCTCATTGTGGAAAACCTATAGGTATTCAACATCAGCCCAGCCCATGAGGACAACTGTGGAGGTTAGACCCTGCAACTTCACAGGTGCAGAGCTGCCCAAGGCCTTGGGAGCCCAGGCCTCATACCCTTGTGCTCTGAATGTGGGATCTGGATTCAAAAAAATGGTTTGGAACTGTAGGATTCAATGACTGGCTGTTGGATTTTTGACTCCTATGGGGTTTGTAAGTCCCATCTGTGTTTTGTTCTTCTTTCTGGCTAATTTCTTCCTTTTGGCTGGGAATACTTACCCAATGTGTGTACAATCACTGTACTTTGGTAGTAGTTAACTTACTTTGTATTTCAGAGGCTCAGGGGCAGAAGAGACCCCAGCCTTGTCTCAGAAGAGACTTTGGGCTTTGGACATTTCAGTAAATGCTGGAATGAGTTAAGAGATTGGGAAACTGTAGAGAAGGCATCATGGTATTTTGCAGTGTGAGAAGAACATGAGATACGGGGGCCAGGGTCAGAATAATATGATTTGGCTCTGCATCCCTACCAAAATCATGTGGAATTATAATGGGGAATGTTAAAAATGGGGCCTGGTGGGAGGCGATTTAATCATGGAGAAGCATGGGGGTTGGAGGTAAGGGAGTGGGGAGAATAGAAGAGATTTTTTTGTGGGTGGGAGTGAAAGATGAGGGTGGGGGGCGGATGTTTCACAAATGGATAAACACGCTCTCCTTAATGCTGTTCACATGATAGTGAGTTCTCTTGATGATTTTGGAGCTGAGAGACTGAGTGAATACTGTCCCGCTGGGTTTTGGACTTGCATTGGGCCTGTAGGCCCATTTGTATTATTTTTCTGGGAAATTTCTTCCCTTTGGACTGAGAAAGCTTACACAATGTCTCTACCATCATTGTACCTTGAAAGAAAAGAACTCCGTTTTAAATTCAGGGACTCATAGACAGAAGGGACTGTGGCCTTGTCTCAGATGAGACTGAATTTTTTACATTTGGAATGAGTTAAGACTTTTGCAAACTTTTGAGAGGTCATGATGGTATTTTGCTCTGTGATAAGGACATGAGATTCTGGAATATCAGGGTCAGAATTATATGGTTTTCCTGTGTGTCCCTATGAAACTCATGTGGAATTGTAATCCCTAATGTTGAAGCAAGTGACTTAATTATGGACAGGAAGTTGGTGGCGGTGGAAGGTAAAAGGGATGGGTAGGATTGGGAGGAGTGGGTTGGCAGTAGGGTGGTGGGAGGGTGGGGGGTAGTAGGAAGGGGGAGTAGCCTGCTGCAGAGGCAAAGCCTCGTGGAAAACCTCTACTAGGGCAGTGCACCTGTGGCTTTGCAGGTTTTAGCCCCTCAGCTGTTCTCGTGGGGTGGGCTGGTATTGAGGGCCTGTAGCTTTACCACACTAAGTGCGTGAGTTGCTAGTGGGTCTATGAATCCGGGATCTGGAGTTTGGTGGCCACCTGTGTGGGGACTCCAAACCCATATTTTCTTTCTGCACTTCCATAATAGAGGTTTTCCAAGAGGCTCTGCATCTGTAGGAGGCTTCTGCCTAGAAACAGTGAGAGTTGGGTGTGTGGGGCGGATCCTTCACCAATGTTTAAGCACCATCTTCTTGATGCTGACCTTGTGATAGTGAGTTCTCATGAGATCTGCTTGTATAATGGGACATGACACCTGTTTCCTTTCTCTGTCATGCTCCTACTCTTCCCATATGAGACATCTCCTTGCCCCTTGACATTCTGGTATGATTGGGAAGCTTCCTGAGTCCTGTCAGGTGCAGAAGCCACTATGCTTCCTTACAGCCTGCAGAATCATTAACCTATTAAACCTCTTTTCTTTATGATTATGGAGAAAATTATTACTGCAAAGTGGATCTATTAAATGTCTTCAAGGCCTTCTCCCTAATGTCTTGGCAATCAGCACTCAGCTTCTTTTCATTCAAGTATCTGAAGCCCCTTGAATTTTTCCCAAGAAAATGGGCTTGTCTTCCTTTACCACACTGCCAGACTGTGACAAAGATAGCTGAAAATGTAGAAGCAGGTTCAGAAGGGGGTAGCAGATGGAGTTCTGGAGAGTTTGGAGGACTTCAAAGACAGGGAGATGAGGGAAAGTTTGGATCTTTGTAAAAAGTTGTTAAATACTTGTGATCAGAAGACTCATAGGAAAATAGACAGTAAGGATCAGATTGAGAAGCTCTCAGATGAAAATGAGGAACTTACTGCAAACAGGAGCCAAGGTGCCTTTTGTTTTGCTGTAGCAAAGAACGTGGATGCACAGTGACACTGCCCTGGAGATCTGTGAAACTTTGAACTTGTGGGTGATGACTTACTGCGTATCTGTTGGAATGAACTTCTGGACAGCAAAGCTCAAGGGGTGTCCTGTCTGTATCAAACAGCCTGTGCCCTTATGTGTGACCGAGAAAATGACATCTGGATGGATCTTACATTAAATGAGTCCCAACTCTTATATTAAATGAGAAACAGAACTCAAAAATTTGCAGCCTGGCCAAATGGTCAAAAAGAAAAGCTGATTTTCAGGGGAAAACTGAGGAAGGCTTTAGAAATTTGCATGAAAAGGAGCCCAGTGCTAATAGCCAAGACAATAGGGAAAAGGCCTTGAAGCCATTTCAGAAACCTTTGCAGCAGCCCTTGCTATCATAGGCCCTGGGGCCTCGGAGAGAAGAATGGTTTCCTAGGCCAGTTCCATGACCCCCCTCTATGTGCAGTCTCAAGACACTGCTGCCTGCATCCCTGCAGCTCTAGTTCCAGCCATGGCTGAAAGATGCACAGGTACAGCTTGCATCACGCTTCAGGGGTGTAAGCTTCAAGCCTTGGTGGCTTCCACATAGTGTTAAGCCAGCAGGTGCACAGAGAACAAAACTAGAGGCTTGGGAGCCTTTGTCTAGACTCCAGAGTATCTACGGAAAAACCTGGGTTTTCAGGTAGAAGCTTTTCCAAGAGGCAGAGCCTCATGGGAAACCTTTACTAGGGCAGTACAGAAGGATAATATAGGGCTGGGGTCCCTAAATATGGAGGCACCATTCTCCAGACCCCAGATTCATAGACCCACCAACAGCTGGCTTTTCCAACCTTAGTTTGGAAAAGCTACAGGCACTCAACACCAGCCCAGCCCATGAGGGCAGCTGTGGGGGATAGACCGTGCACAGCCACAGGTGCAGAGCTGCCCAAGGCCTTGGGAGCCCAGCCATGACACTCCTGTGATCGGATGAGAGATGTCCATTCAGAAAAGATGATTTGGAGCTGTAGGATTCAATGACTGGCCTGCTGGGTTTTGGACTTGCATGGGGTCTGTAAGTCCTTGTACATTTTAGTAAATGCTGGAATGAGTTAAGTCTTTGGGGGACAGTAAAGAAGTCATCAATGTATTTTGCAGTGTGACAAGGATACAAGATTTGGGGAGCAAGAGCCAGAATGATATGATTTGAATTTGTGTCTCTACCAATATTCATGTGGAATTTTAGGGGGGAATGTTAAAGGTGGGAACTGGTGGGAGGTGATTTAATCATGGAGAAGAGTGGGTGTTGGAGGTAGGGGTGTGGGGAGAACGGGAGAGATTATTTTGTGGATGGGAGTGAAAGATGAGGGCGGGGGAACAGATTCTTCACAAATGGGTAAACACTGTCTCCTTAATGCTTTCCGCATGACGATGAGTTCTCTTAATGATTTTTGAGCTGTGAGATTGAGTGAATACTGTCCTGCTGGGTTTTGGACTTGCACTGGGCCTGTGGGCCCATTTGTGTTATTTTTCTGGGAAATTTCTTCCCTTTGGATTGAGAAAGCTTACACAATACCTCTACCATCATTGTACCTTGAAAGAAAAGAAATCTCTTTTAAATTCAGGGACTCATAGGCAGAAGGGGCAGTAGCCTTGTCTCAGATGAGACTTTGAACTTTTTACACTTGGAATTAGTTAAGGCTATTGGAACTTTTGAAAAGGCATGATTGTATTTTGCTCTGTGATAAGGACATGAGATTCTGGGATATCAGGGTAAGAATAATATGGTTTGGCTGTGAGTCCCTAAAAAAATTCAGGTGGAATTGTAATTCCGAATGTTGAAAGTGGGGCCTGGGGGCGATGATTTAATCATGGATTGGAGGTGGGTTGGGGGGTGGAAGGAAAAGGGTTGTAACCGAGTGAGTTGTAGAGAAACGCCAAACCATGAGACGACTTCAGGAGTCCTTTATTGCCAGCGACTGAGAGAGCGCTAGTGCTCAAAATTCTCTCGGCCCGGAAGAAGGGGCTAGATTTTCTTTTATACTTTGGTTTAGAAAGGGGAGGGGAGGCCTCGTTGAAGCAATCTTACAGAAGCAAAACAGGCAAAAAAGTTAAAAAGGTAAATGGCTACAGGAAAACAAACAGTTCCAGGTGCAGGGACTTTAAATCCATCAAAAGGTGATAGATGTGGGGGCTTTGGGTGCTATCAACTGGACAGAAATGCGGGGGTTTTAGGTACCATCAACGGGGTGAATTCCTGGGAACTGTGGATATAGCTTGCCACAGTATCTTGTCAGTAATTGCATTCGTTGATGTGCTGGGAGTCAGCTTGCACAAGTTATGTCCTTGAGGAAGGGATGTGTGTAAGGGGCTGCAAGTGAAACAGCCAAGATGGAGTCTGCCTGGCTCCCTCAGCTAAGGGAGAGTCGATCAGGTTAAAACAAGGTAGGGTATCACAAAATGGTTGGTTGGGGTGGGGAGGAGTAGGCTGGCAGTAGAATGGTGGGAGGGTTGGGGGTAGTAGGAAGGGGGAGTAGCCTGCTGCTGAGGCAAAGCCTCATGGAAAACCTCTACTAGGGCAATCCACCTGTGGCTTTGCAGGGTTGAGCCCCTGCAGATGCTTTCATGGGCTGGGTTGGTGTTGAGGTTTGGAAAAACCTGTAGCTTTTCCACAGAGGGTGTGAGCTGCTGATGGGTCTGTGAATCTGGGGTCTGGAGGGTGGTGGCCATCTCTGTGGGGGCTCCAAGCTCATATTTTCCTTCCACACTGCCCTAGTACAGGTTTTCCAAGAGGCTCTGCCTGTGCAGCAGGCTTCTGTTTGGAAACAGTGGGAGTTGGGTGTGGGTGGTTGTTCCTTCATCAATGTTTAAGCACCATCTTCATGATGCTGACCTTGTAATAGTGAGTTCACATAAGATTTGGTTGTATAATAGGGTGTGGCCCTCTTTCCTCTCTGTCTTGTGCCTACTCCTGCCACATGAATCATCTCATTGCCCCTGGACATTCTGGTATGATTGGGAGGCATCCTGAGTCCTCCCAGATTCAGAAGCCACTGTGTTTCCTTACAGCCTGCAGAATCATGAGCCAATTAAACCTCTTTTCTTTATGATCATAGAGAAAATTAGTAGTGCAAAGTGGAACTATTAAATGTCATTGTCGTGGCAATCAGCACTCAGCTTCTTTTCATTCAAGTATGTGAAGGCTTCATGAATTTTCCCCCTGAAAATGGACTTGTTTTCCTTTACCACATTGTCAGGCTGTGGCAAAGATAGTGATAATGTAGAAGCAGGTTCAGAAGGGAGTAGCAGACAGAGGTCGGAAGAGTTTGGAGGGCTTCGAAGACAAGAAGATGAATGAAAGTTTGGATCTTTGTAAAGAATTGTTAAACATTTGTGATCAGAAGGCTCACAGGAAAATGGTCAGTGAAAGCCCGACTTAGAAGGTCTGAGATGAAAATGAAGCACTTACTGGGAACAGAAGTCAAAGTTACTTTTGTTTCCTTAGCAAAGAACGTGGCTGCACGGTGACCTCGCCCTGGAGATCTGTGAAACTTTGAACTTGAGGGTGATGATTTACTGAGTATCTGGTGGAATGAACTGAGCAGCAAAGCTCAAGAGTTGTCCTGTTTCCATTGAACAGCCTGTGCTCTTATGTGGGATGGAGGAAATGACCTCTGGATGAGACTTACATTAAATGAGTCCCAACTCTTACATTACATGAGAAACAGAACTCAAAAGTTTGGAAAATTTGCGGCCTGGTCATGTGGTCCAAAAGAAAAGCTGATTTTCAGGGGGAAAATTGAGGAAGGCTTCGGAAACTTGCATGAAAAGGAGCCCAGTGCTAATAGACAAGACAATAGGGAAAAGGCCTTGAAGGCATTTCAGAGACCTTTGCAGCAGCCCTTGTTGTTACAGGCCCTGGGGCCTAGGAGAGAAGAACAGTTTCCTGGGCCAGTTCCATGACCCCCTCTGTGTGGAGCCTCAGGACACTGCTGCCTGCATCCCTGCAGCTCCATCTCCAGCTCCATCTCCAGCTCCAGCTCCAGCTCCAGCCATGATTGAAAGATGCACAGCTACAGCTTGGGTCACTGCTACAGAGGGTGCTGGCTAGAAGCCTTGGTAAATTCCTCATAGTGTTAAGCCACTGGCGGACGGAGCATGAGACTAGAGGCTTCGGAACCTCTCTATAGATTTTGGAAGATGTATGGAAATGCCTGGGTGTCCAGGCAAAAGCACCCCAAAAAGGCAGAGCCTTATATGAAACTTCTACTAGGGCAGTGCAGAAGGAAAACATGGGGTTGGAGCCCCCACACTGGAGGCCACCATCATGCAGACCCCAGATTCATAGACCCCCCAACAACTTGTATTCTCAGTGAGGAAAAGTCACAGGCACTCAACACCAGCCGAGCCCATGAGGCCAGCTGTGGGGCATAAACCCTGCAAAGCCACAGGTGCCAAGCTGCCCAAGGCCTTGGAAGCCCAGCCCTCACACCCCTGTGCCCTGGATGTGGGACAAGGTTTCAAAAAGGGTGATTTTGGAACTGTAGGATGGAATGACTGGCCTTCTGGGTTTGTAGTTTCATGGGGCCGGTAAGTCCTATCTGTGTTTTGTTTTTTTCCGGCAACGTTCTTCCTTTTGGCTGGGAATGCTTACCCAATGCCTGTACAAGCATTGTACCTTGGAAGTAGTTAACTTGCGTTATATTTCAGAGGCTCATGGGCCTAAGAAACTGTAGCCTTGTGTCTGATGAGACTTTAAGCTTTCAACATTTGTATAAATGCTGTAATGATATAAGATTTTGGGGGACTGTAGGGAAGGCATCATTGTATTTTGCAATGTGAGAAGGACATGAGATTTGGGGAGCCAGGGACAGAATAATAAAATTCAGCTCTGTGTCTCTACCAAAACTCATGTGGAATTGTCATCGGAATGTTAAAGGTGGGGCCTGGAGGAAGGTGATTTAATCACGGTGGAGGGTGGGGGTTGGAAGATGGGGCTTAGGGAGACTGGGGGATTTATGGTGCGGGTGAGCAGTGAAAATTGGGGGTGGGGGACGGATGCTTCACAAATGATTAAACACTCTCCTTATTGCTGTCCTTGTGATAGTGAGTTCTCTTCATGATTTTGGAGCTGTAAGATTGAATGGATACTGGCCTTCTGGGTTTTGGACTTGTATTGGGCCTGTGGTCCCATTTGTGTTTTCTTCCTGGGAAATTTCTTCCCTTTGGATTGAAAAATCTTACCCAAAGCCTGTACCATTATTGTACCTTGAAAGAAAAGAACATCCTTTTAAATTCAGGGACTCATAGGCAAAAGGTACTGTAGACTTGTCTCAGATGAGATGTTGATTTTTTTACATTTGAGTTAATGTTGGAATGAGTTAAGACTTCTGGAAACTTTTGAAAAGGCATGAATATATTTTTCTCTGTGAGAAGGACATGAGACTGTGGGGATCAGGGTCAGAATAATATGATTTGGCTGTGTTTCTTTACCAAAACTCATGTGAATTGTAATCCTTAATATTGGAGGTGGGGCCTGGCTGGAGGTGATTTAATCATGGATGTTCGGGGGCCGGGGGTGGAAGGAAAAGGGGTTGGTAGGGTGAGGAGTACGTTGTTAGTAGGGTGGTGATAGGGTGGTGGGTAGTAGGAGGGGGAAGTAGCCTGCTGCAGAGGCAGAGGCTCATGGAAAGTCTCTACTAGGGCAGTGCACCTGTGGCTTTGCAGGGTGTAGCCCCCATGGCTGCTCTCATGGGCTGGGCTGGTGTTGAGTGCCTGTAGCTTTTCCACGCAGAGAGTGCAAGCTGTTGGTGGGTTTATCAATCTCCTGTCTGGAGGATGGTGGCCTCCTGTGTGGGGGCTACAAGCTCATATTTTCCTTCTGCACTGCGCTGGTAGAGGTTCTCCAAGAGGTTCTGCCTCTGCAGGAGGCTTCCGCCTGGAAACAGCGAGGGGTGGTGCGGGCGGATCCTTCACCATTGGTTAATCTTCCTGAGGCTGATCTTCTGATAGTGAGTTCTCATGAGATCTGGTTGTATAACCGGGTGTGGCACCTCTTTCTTCTCTGTATCTTCTTCTTACTCCTGCCATATGGAACATCTCATTGTCACTTGGCCTTTTGGTATGATTGGGAGGCTTCCTGAGTCCTCCCAGAAGCAGAAGCCACTTGCTGCCTTTACAGCCTGCAGAAACATGAGCCAGTTAAACCTCTTTTAAAAATAATACTACAGAAAATTTGTACTGTAGAGTGGAGCTATGAAATGCCCTCAAGGTTTCTTCATCTTTTTTTTTTTTACTATTAGCATTTGGCTTCTTCTATATGCAAATATCTGAAGGCTTCTTGAATTTTCCCCCTGAAAATGGACTTTTCTTCTTTTACCACATTGCCAGGCTGCCACAACGGTAGCTGAAAATGTAGAAGCAGGTTCAGACGTGGGTAACGACCAGATGCTGCACAGTTTGGGGGGCTTGGAAGAAGACAGAAAGATGAGGGAAAATTTGGACTATTGTAGAGATGTGTTAAATTAAAACGGTGACCATAGAGACTTGTTACATAGCTATAATTAAAAGAGTGACTGAAGGATGGACAGTGAAGGCCAGACTTAGAAGGTCTCAGATGAAAATGAGCAACTTACTGGGAACAGGAGTTAAGGTTACTTTTGTTTTGCCTTAGCAAAGAACTTGGCTGGATGGTGTTCCTGCCCTGGAGACCTCTGAAACTTTGAACTTGAGAGTGATAATTTAGGGTATATCTGGTGAAATGAAGTAGGCAGCAAAGCGCAAGAGGTGTCTTGTCTGTTTTGAACAGCCTGTGGTCTTCTCTGTGACTGAATAAATGACCTCAAGTTGAAAGTTATATTTAAATGAGAAGCAGGACTTAAAAGTTTGGAAAATTTGCAGCCTGGCCAAGTGGTCAAAAAGCAAAGCTGATTTTCAGTGGGAAAATTCAAGAAGGCTTCAGAAATTTGCATAAAATGGAGCCCAGTGCTAATAGCTAAGACAAGGTTAAAAGGTCTTGAAGCCATTTCAGAGACCTTTGCAGCAGAGCTTGCTGTCACAGGCCCCGAGTTCTAGGACCCAAGAATGCTTTCCTGGGTGAGTCCCATGGTCGCGTTGCTGTGTTCATCCTCAGGACACTGCTGCCTGCATCCCTGCAGCTCCAGCTCCAGCTCCAGCTCCAGTCACGGCTGAAAGATGCACAGGTACAGCTTGCATCACTGCTTCAGGGGTGCAAGCTTCAAACCTTGGTGGCTTCCACATAGTACTAAGCCAGCAGGTGCACAGAGCACAAAACTAGAGGCTTGGGAGCCTTTGTCTAGACTCCAGAGTATGTATGGGAAAACCTGGGTGTTGAGGCAGCAGCTTTTCCAAGAGGCAGAGCCTCATGGGAAACATTTACTAGGGCAGTACAGAAGGAACATATAGGGTTGTAGCGCCCACACAGGAATGCACCATTTTCCAGACCCCAGATTCATAGACCCGCCAACTGCTGGCACCCTCAGTGTGGAAAAGCCACAGGCACTCAACACCAGCCCAGCCCATGAGGTCACCTGTGGGGGATAGACCCTGCACAGTCACAGATGCTGAGCTGCCCAAGGCCTTGGGAGCCCAGCTATCCACCCCTGTGCTCCAGATGTGGGATACAGATTCAGAAAATATGATTTGGGAGCTGTAGGATTCAATGACTGGCCTGCTGGGTTTTTGACTTGCATGGGGTCTGTAAGCCCCATCTGTTTTTTGTGCTTCTTTCTGGCAATTTTTTTCCTTTTGGCTGGGAATGCTTACCCAACGCCTGTACAATCATTGCACCTTGGAAGTAGTAAACTTGCTTTATATGTAATTCAGTGGCTCATGAGCAGAAGGGACTGTAGACTTGCCTCAGATGAGACTCTGGGCTTTGGGCATTTCAGTAAATGCTGGAATGAGTTAAGAATTTGGGGGACTGTACAGAAGGCATCATTGTATTTTGTAGTGTGACAAGGATATGAGATTGGGGGGGACCCATGTCAGAATAATATGATTTGACTTTTTGTCCCTACCAATACTCTCATGGAATTGTGATGGTGAAAGTTAAAGGTGGGGCCTGGTGGGAGGTGATTTAATCATGGCGAAGAGTGGGTGTTGGAGGTAGGGGTGTGGGGAGAATGGTGGAGATTATTTTGTGGATGGGTGTGAAAGATGAGGGTGGGGATTGGATTCTTCATAAATTGTTTAACACTGTCTCCTTAATGCTGTCTGCATGATAGTGAGTTCTCTTGATGATTACAGAGCTGTGAGATACTGTATTGAATGAATACTGTCCTGCTGGGGTTTGGACTTGCATTTGTGTTATTTTTCTGGGGAATTTCTTCCCTTTGGATTGAGAAAACTTACCCAATGCCTATTGTACCTTGAAGGAAAAGAAATCCCTTTTAAATTCAGGGACTCATTGGCAGAAGGGATTGTAACCTTGTCTCAGATGAGACTTTGAAATTTTTACATTTGGAATGAGTTAAGACTTTTGGAAACTTTTGAAAAGGCATGATTGTGTTTTGCTCTGTGAGAAGGACATGAGGTTCTGGGGTATCAGGGTCAGAATAATATGGGTTGGCTGTGTGTCCCTGTAAAACTCACGTGTCATCCTTAATGTCGGAGGTGTGCCAGGTGGGAGGTGATTTAATCTTGGATGGGAGGGGGTTGGGGTGGAAGGAAAAGGAGGAGTAGTGTGGGGAGGAGTAGGTCGTCAGTAGGGTGGTGGGAGGGTGGGAGTAACTTGCTGCAGAGGCAGAGGCTCATGGGAAACCTCTACTAGGACAGTGCATCTCTGGCTTTGCAGGGTGTTGCCCCCATGGCTGCTCTCATGGGCTGGGTTGGTGTCGAGTGCCTGTAGCTTTTCCATACTGAGGGTGTGAGCTGTTGGTGGGCTTATGAACCTGGAGTCTGGAGGAAGGTGGCCTCCTGTGTGGGGGCTCAAAGCCTATATTTTCCTTCTGCACTGCCATAGTGGATGTTTCCTAAGAGGTTCTGCTTCTGCAGGAGGCTTCTGCCTGGAAACAGTGGGCGGTGGTGTGGGTGGAGAATCCTTCACCATTGGTTAGTTTTCTTGATGCCGATGTCCTGATGGTGAGTTCTTATGTGATCTGGTTGTCTAACAGGATGTCACACCTCTTTCCTCTCTCTGTCTTGCTCCTACTCCTGCCATATGAAACATCTCATTGCCGCTTGGCCTTCTGATATGGTTAGGAGGGGCCTGATCAGTGTAGGCCTGCTCAGTGGACCTAGTCAGTTGGGACTTTGTCAGTGAGGCCTATTTAGTGGGGGGTGGTCAGCAGGTGTCTGCCTAGAGAGGGTCTCATTAGAGGGATCTAGTAGTGCAGCTCTTGGTGAGTGGGTTCCTAGTGGCAGACAAATGTTTGGTGTCTGGTCAATGCCAACCTGGGCTGTGGGACTTGGTCAGTGGAGACCTTGTCAGCTGGGGCTTAGTTGTGGCCTTGTCTGATTGGGCTGGGTTACTGGTGACCAGGTCAAGGGGTGCTATTCAGTGGAGGCCTGGTCACATGGGACCTAGTCAGCAGAGGCGCTTGTCAGTGGGGCCCTGGTCAGGGCAGGCTGGTCAATGGAACCTAATCAGTGGGGGCCTGGTCAGAAAGGACTTGATCAGTGGTGGCTTTTGTAGCACTGGTCTACGGGGTGACCAGGTCAGCGGGGATCTGAGCAGTGCGTGCCTGTTCAGTGGGGCATACTCATTAGAGTCCCAGTCAGGGGCATCTGGTCACCTCAGGCGTGGTTAGTAGGAGCCTGGTCACTGGCAGCCTATTCCCTGGAGGCCTGCTCAGTGGGGCTTCATCTGTGGGACCAGGCAATGGGGTCATTATCGGTGGAACCTGATCAGCGAGGCCTTGTCAGTAAGGACCTGGTCAGTGAGGCCTTACAAGTGAGGACTTATCAGTAAGGTCCTCATCAGTGGAGTCCTGGTCATTGTGGGCCTGTCAGCGGGAATCTAGTTAGTGAGGCCTGGTGATGGGGGTCTAGTCAGTGAGGGTGTGGTCAGGGAGGATCTGATATGCTGGATCTGGTCAGCAGGGACCTGTTCAGTGGGGGCTGCTGAGCACTGCAGGGAGATGTCAGGAGAAATGCATGTTATCGAGGACCCTGTGGACAGCTGGGATGGCCCAGTGGTGTTCAATGGCCCAGTCAAAAGTGGACAAAGCAGGTGTTTGGATGGACCTGGGAGATCTTGCTCAGGGATTCTGACAGGACAAAAGTAAAGGAAGTACCAGAGTGGCCAGAGAGATGGTCACAGTCTATGGGCTGCACAGGATGGAGGAGGCCAGGGAACAGGCAGGGTGGGCAGCTGAGTTTCAGGGAGAGACATGTGCATGCTGGGAGGTCAGACCCAGTGAGGGCTGTTGGGGCATCAGGTGGACTGGGCTCCAGGTGCACCGTCAGTGCACTGGGCAGGTCTTGGCCCAGGCTCCCTGGACCCTGGCTGGGTGATGTGGTCATTTGCTGGGGGACTATTGTCAGGCTCTGGCTACCCAACCTGGGTAGCACTGTCCCATCTCAGGACTGCACTTCCTCAGATCCTGCAGAGGGCACAGCCTCCAGCCCAGGAGGGGCAGCCCCATGGTGCAGACTGAGCTCTCCATGGGCCTGGAGAATCCCCTGCCAGCCCTGCACTCCCTCTTCTCCCAGGTCCCGCTTTTCCAGGGTCAGCCAGTGGGGAGGCCCCATCCTCCCTTCCCTATGTGTCTCCTGGGCTGAAACTTGCAGTGCACTGGGACAGGGATGAGGCTTCCCTAAGGCCTATTTAGGGAGGGGACTGGCTTCCAGCCTGGCACAGGTCCTCAGCTCTGCCTTGGTTGCCTTAGAGTGAGATGGATCAGTCAGTGCCCTGAAGGTAAAGGTAGGAGACTGTCCCTGCTGTTGGGAGGCTGGTCTAGGGATGGAGGACTTAAGAGGTCTTCCCAGTCTGTCAGGCCTGGGCAGTGTTTTCCTGTCTGAGGACTCAGAAAATCCAGTCCTGGGATGGGACAGTGCTGCCCAGGGTGCGTGGCCAGGGTCTGACAGTAGTCCCCCAGGGAGTGACCACATCACCCAGCCGGGGTCCAGGAAGCCTGGCCTGAGACCTGCCCATTGCACTGAGGGTGTACCTGAAGCCCACTCCACCTGATGCCCCCACAGCCCTCACAGGGCCTGACCTCCCAGCATGCACCTGCCTCTCCCTGCACCCTAGCTGTCCACGCTGCCTGTTCCCTCACTTCCTCCATCCTGTCCAGCAGGATGGGATGGGCAGGAGGACAGCCTTTGTGCACATTTCATGGCAAGTAGGAGTGACACACCATCCCTGGGAGGTGCCTTGGTTCCTCCCAAACCCGGCCCCAGAACTCTGTCCCTGGGGTGGTTTTACCATACCCCAAACCCAGAACTGTGGTTGTGGCTCAGGGGTCAGCACCCACTAGTGCCGGGACACTACTGGGAGGCTGGGATCTGACCAAAGCCCGTGGTGCCTGTGGCCTGAGGACAGGGTGTCTTGGGGCCATAAGGACAGGCCACAAGTTCCCATTGGGTCATAGGGGCTCAGCCCCAGTGTTTGTTCTTCCCTGGCTCCCTCCCATCAGTGCCCTGGAGCCCAAGACCAAGCATCCAAGGTTCCCTCCAGGAATCCTGGTGGCTCAGCTTACTTTGTCGTGTTTCATCTGAGAGCAAAAATGTCAGATCGGATGCACAGAAAAATGGCTCAACATGCTTAATGACTAGAAGAAGTCTAGAAGCAGCAAGAAGGTAATGTGGAGAGGGGAGGACCTCCATGGGACTTCCATGACCGGTATCTGCAGAGCCAGGGGTACAGGCACCCAGTGCTGTGGACTGGCACCACCTCTCAGAGGGTGGGTAGCACACTGTCCTTACCTGGGGGACAGCAGGCCTGGTCACCAGCTTTTGTACCTGTCTCTGCAAGCATTGCATTGCTGGAAGAGAATCTCATGCCAGAGCTTGACCATGCCTTGCTCAGGGGTTAGGGGTTGTCTCTTGGTGACCTAAATGAAAAAAATATCTCCAGATCATAGTTCCCACAGAGCCCAAGGCTGGAAACCTCCAGAATCCTCTGGCCCCAGATCCTCCCCAGGGACCCCTGTGGCTTATCTCACCAGAGCATTCTTCCATCTGTAGATTTCTTGGCTGCTCCACAAGGGAGTCCCACTTCAGGTGTGGTGCTGGGCATGGTCACTCCTGCTGGATGTTTAGAAGGTGGAAACCAAGGACCTAGGGAAATACCAGGTACAGCCTTTCCACCCTCATCCAGAGAAGGACAAAGAGGCCAGGCGGTGTCAGGAGCCCAGGTCTCCAGCTGGAGGTAACGTCAACCCCGCAGTGAGAGCAGGGGCCCATTGCACATCCTAGGCAGAGATGGTAACGTAGGCACCACAGGTATGCAGGGATTGGTACCCCTCCCTGGCGTCAGAAAGAAGCCAAACAAGGAGCTTTCTGCAGAATGAAACCTTTCCTTTCAGAAGCACTGCTGACAGTTTGGTGGTTGCCATTGGGGCAGTGAGCCTTTTGTCCATTCTGAGGTTGGGCTGGTTTCTCCTCTTGGCCGTGCCCTACAGACCATAAAGGAAATCAGCTAGAAGTCCCCAGAAACATCCACAGATGGCCCTGGACATCAGCCACATTCTGAGAAACATGTCATGTTCTGGGAGGTCTAAGGCATCAAGTAAGTCTTATGGGGCTGGAGGATCCCAGGGCAGGTGGGGCAATCCAGAGCCATGGGGGCTTCCCATGGGAATTGGGAGGTCCCAAGGCAGATGCAGGGGTTCCACAGGAGGAGTCCCAGAGCCACCAAGCGCTCTCCTGTCCCAGGGAGCAGTCAACACCATGGACTGAACAGTTACTGGGCTTCAAGCTCTGGGCCAGGCTGGGGCATGTGGGGCCATGAGGGAGCTCAGAGTGGGAGACAGAGAGACAATTGTGCTCAGAGGGCACCCATTTCTGGGTGTAATGTGGTCCTGAGATTTTGGCTGAGAAGGGTTTCCAGGGTTTCATATGTGTTATGGAGCTGCTTCCTCTCCCCAGCCTCACCTTGCAGGAATCCCAGTGAATATATTGCCACCCTATTTGAGCTCAGTGCCCTCATAGTGTAATGGCACCAGCAGATCTGCCTGTGCATGGACTTCCTGTACTACCCATTCCTGAGGGGTGATGCTTCTGCAGGGCCTGTGACCTTGTGCACAACTTTAGACACCATCATCCTGGAGCAGCCCTGCACCCTCACTAGCCAGGGTGTTCATGACTTCCTCAAGACCAAGGCCACGTTCAAGACTTGGGACTTCAGTGATGCACTTGTGCTGGGCAAGGTGGCTTCTCCAGTATCTTAATTTGGGAGGTAGAATGCAGCTTGAGATCAAATGTCTGATCAAAGAACTTGAACTTGAGCTGGAGGGCTCTGGGGAGCCATAGAAGGTGCTGGATAAAGGAGGGACAGTCAGATATATTTTAGAGATGACTGTAGAAGGCTGCCTGGAAGGAGTGAACAAGAGCCAGGAGACCCGGGAGGGAGCTTGTGGGGCAGGTCTGGAGATGGCAAGGGAGGGATCCTGCTTGGATGAAAAGTCTTCAGGGACTGTCTCAGGTTACACTCAGGTGCCCTCAGAGCTAATGTGTTCAGAGGTCTTGTCTCCAGGATGAAAATGGGAAGGAGTTGTCAGATGAGGACATATAAATGGAGGCTGGCATCTTCATGAGTACCAGCGGTGGTCCCGGTGTGGGTCTCTCCATCCAGGGACATGGTGGATGGACACTACATCACTCCATTCTGCCCTTCCTTTCCCTCCTCCCATTCTCCCGAGGGCCTCAGTGCATGGGCGCTGTCCAACCTCTGGTGCTGAAGCAGCCAAGAGACGCAAGCCTGCGTGGCTGCCTCTTAGGATATGACAGCACAGCCACTGGCCTCTACTGAATCCTATGCAACCTCAGAAGACACCCAGGAGTGATGCCATCATGTGGTGCAAGAGTTCTGAGGGACCACAATCCTGAAGACATTGAATGGTGGGTGCAGGGCCTCATGGCCTGTTCCCCAGCTCCTCTCATTGGCTCTGCTCCAGGTGGTGAAGGGGGATAACATTTCTGTCAATTCTGCCACGATTGCCTAGCAGGAAAAGGAGCAGAGCCCAGAAGCAGGGCCTGGTATGCAGCCTGCCTAACAAGGAAGAATTTATAGGCTCTGTGGACAGAAAGATCTGGGAGTCCATATCTATCACCCACTAGCTTGCTGAGACATTAGTAAAGTCAGTTTTCTGGACTACATTTCTGTCATCTGTAAATTAAGAGGAATTTCTTCTACCCCACAAGGCTTCTTGGATAATTAGTGACAGTGTGTGTAGAGTAGGTGCCACCCAGCCAGCATTTGGTGTCCAGAACACTCCTCTTCCCCCTTGATTTTCTGCCTAAATTTGCATTTTCTTCTTAAGATTTTCACTCCCCTTAATTCTGCTCTTCCCTCTGATTTCTGCCTTACTGTATATCCCATGGAGTCACCAGGATCAAAGTGGGTAACAGTCATGTATGCATGTATGTGTGTGTACATATACACATTGTTGGGGCTGGAGTGTGGTGTGTGGGTAAGTGTATGAGTTGGAATCACTGACTGAAACTCTCCACACCAGGCTGTGTTCCTGCTCATTGCTGGAGGTACTGTCAGGGTCCCTGTCCTCAACCCCTGGTCTGACACTTGCAGATCAGGCAGGACATTCTGGAGGAATCATGCCCTTGGAAGGATCCCTGAGGAGTGACTGGTGGGTATTGGTGGATAAATACCCCAGCTCCCTTGCTTTGGGTGGGTGACTCTGAGGCACATGTTCTGTGCTGTCTCTGCAGATGTACCTGGCAGGGCTGAGTCCTGGCTGCCACAGGGGAAACTTTCTTGATGAAGGTCCCTTTAACTGCTGCATTCCTTTCCTGTCTCAGTTCCCCACTCCTCTACTGGTGTTTCCTGGGATACGCACCCTAAGGAAGAACTGGCAGTCGAATTACTATCCTAGAGTTATCTCCAAATAGAATTTTTGTATTTGAATATTTGCCTCAGGATCTACTTCCAGGAAAATTATACTAAGGCACACATTTTTCTGTCAGCTCCTTCAATCCCCATAGGCCTGCCATTGTGCTGTTTTTATCAAAAGGGAATATGAGGATCAGAGAGGGGAAGTCACTTGCCCAAAGTCACCCAGCTGAACAGTGGTGGAGTTCAACTTTGACCATGGGAAGTCTGGCCCCAAGGTGGATGCTTGTTTGTATCCCATGAGACTCCTCCCTTACCAGGGTCAAATGAATGAATGGAGGATGTTAAAAGTAGAGTCTCTGATGCCTCTCCAGAGAAACCCAGGCTCATGGCTGGCACCTGTGTTCTCACTCTTACCTCTTTAAGAGTATAATGAAAAACATGCTCAGTGCTGACTGTGTGCCTGGGGGTGTTGTAGGCACTCTGCTTACTTTAATTCATTTAATTTTTACAATAACCTTGTTTTTACTTCTAGTTGTTAGATTAAAAAACAGTGGCAAAGAGCAATACAGAGAGTTGCCAAAATTCACACCGCTGGTCCAGGTTTGAAGCAAGCAGTCTGTACCTGCAGTCCTTGTCTGTAACCATGGCACCCTGGCTTCTCACACATCTCATCGTGGAGTTCCACCATGTGTCAGGCATGGCACTGAGCACCTTCTTTTAAGAATATAATTTGTAATTATGTAGATTATTAATTCTACTTCAAAATGCCACACAGCCTTCATGTGATAAAATGAAACAATTGGTGAGTCTAAGCATTGAGAAAAAACGTTCTTTTTTCCACTCCCGACTCCATTCCAACAGTTGGGACAGTGTTTTCTCTGTGCCTGTAGAAACCTCAGCTCCTGGGCTGAGGAGCCTGTTCCCTTTGGGGAATGTGGCAGTCAGGTACTGGCAGGGACCTCGAAGCGGCTGAAGGGTCATTAAGAAAAAGCTGTTTACATAGGTGTGGGCAGGGCCAAGGGGAACCAGGGGTGATGGCGCAGGGCCCTGGGGTTAGCGTCATCTGGGAGCTGTCACCACCCTCCAGGCTGGTGGGGCCATGGAGAAGCTGTTCCAGTAACTCGGAGAATCTGCAGCTGAAAGAGGAGGCCAGAGGAGACATCACTCACTGTGCCCTTTGACTGCATCTGGATGCCCCCACTGACCACACTACCATCCCCTTATTAGACTGGAGAGGCTGCAGGGAGGGGTTCTAAGCCTCCTATAGTGGCTCACCTCCAACAGTGAGTCAGCACCAGCCCCCCTAGTCCCACAGCACAGGGTCCACTTAGACACTGTATCCTGCGTGGTCCCCTTTCCTGCTGGGAAGCAGATATCCAAATGAGCAGCAGAATCCTGTCTCTCCCTTCAGGCCCCTCTGCTCCTTATGAGTGGTGTTTTCCCTTGGTTTTGGATGAGAAACACCCTTTCCCCTTCCAGAGGGATTGTTTCTGTGGACCCCACCCTGAGTTTTCCCCTGGTTAGGCAACGGGCAGGTGGGGGTGGTGGAACCAACTCTTTAGAACCAGCAATGACAAACAGATCCCACTTGGGGGAAGTTGATGTTAAGTGTCATGGGTCCTCTGGAATTTTCTGAAGCTTTCCTGTTTTTTTTTTTCTCCCCCTAACCAGCTCAACTGATCTCCTGGGATCTCTACTAAGATGTTGGCAGCCCGGCCAGCTGGTCTGGCCCTGGACGTGCCTTCATGGTCTGGTTATGCTTCATGACCTGCACTGTGGTCAGTGGTAAGCAGCACCTGCTTCTAGCTTTACTGTTGGGTCAGATTTTATCCCCACTCCAGCTCTGCAGTGCGGCTGCTTCTTGTTTCATCCATGGACCCTGCACGAAATTGCCCCATGTTTCTGTTTGTGCATCACTGAGAAAGGAAGCATGAAGGACGCACAGGTCAGGCCATTCCATTGCCCTCCTGGTGCCGGGTTTGCCCTCCCAATCCTGGGGTTGCTTCAGGGGCTTGTCATTCTCCATAGTCCCCTCCACATTTCTCAGGTTTCTGCTCAAAAGTCACCTTTTGGAGGGGTCTCCACCTGTCACTGTGTTTGTAAGAGCTCCTTCAGTTTCTTTCTAGCTCATCTCACTCTGGTAATGTCTTTGATTACCACCACCATCTGACCTGGTCTTATGACCTGTTAGCTTTCTTCATCAGACGTGAGCACCAGGATGGCAGGGGCCTCATCTGTCCTGTTCCTCCTGTGGCCTGGGTCCTAGCACCATGTCTGGTACAGTGTAGATGCTCAAGGGAAGTTTACTTTGTAGAACCACTTACCTGGGAGATGTTACTGTTAGTCTAACCTGTACCATTTTGTAAACCTCCAGCCATTTTGCAGACTCTGATCACAGTGAAACGTTCCATGGGAACTTGGGCCATGAGAAACATCCTTCCTAACCACGTGACTGCAGAAACATCCTTATCGCGTCCTCCTGGGCAAAGGCCCAACAGCCTGACTGCAGGGACATCCTTGCCATATCCTGCTGGGCAGCAAGCTCTACCACCCAGATCCCTCCCTCCCAGTCCCATGATTACCCCAGCCTGTGAGTGGCAGTTGGTGCTGGCACTAAGCTGGTTTCCTCCTCCCCAGGGTTTTGCTGGCAATAAAGATGTTGCTGTTGAAGCCACCAACTGTCTCTCTGTCTTTCTTTAACCCTCGCCTTGCCTTCCAAACCTAACAATAACTCTACCTCTCCATTTTACCAATGAGGATATGGGACTCAAGGAGAGCAAGAGATTTACCCAGTGAGTCACAGAGCCTGAACTTAAACTCAGTTCAGCTGAATCCAGAACTTGTTTCTCCCGAGAGTCCAGGGAAGGAAAAGTGGAACTGCAGCCAGTAGGTGCCCACATGCTTGTTCTAGAAGACCCCAGGCGGGCTCCTGGGAATTGCATCTTCATGCACACAAAAGAAGAACTGCTCACTGTCGCATCAGCTAAGGGTCCCCATTGTCCTAAATTGTTACTTCCTTTCAAAGTTTTGTTTTAATAATTACAGTTGTCACAGCTCAGTGTTGAATACAAAGCACAGAGGCATGTAGAAAGTCGTGTGTGGGTTTTTCTCAATTTTTTTCCCCAGTGACTATATCAATAAGTTTACAAAAGAACACAAATATGCTCATACTTTTTATATAGAGATGAGGCCCTCCCTCCCATATTTCTCTGCCACTATTCTTCCATTTTTTTTTCATGTGAGGACCACTCTTTCAATACTAGTCCATGTGATTGGGGTGAGGCTGGCCACCCTGGGCAATCAGCAGGGTAATTAATTCAGGGACAGGCATGTGAACCAAGCTGGGCTGATGGAAGTCATCCCTGCACTTTTGATGAAACTGCTGGGAATGAGGTGCTTTCTTTTTATTGGCACAGTTACTTGCAAGGAAGTAAATTATATGGAATTTATGGGGCCATTTTTGCTGTTCTCTCAAAATAGCTTGCATGAAAAGCAGAGCTGACACAGGAAATGAAGGGACAGAATGAGTCTTGGTTGATATTATTTGACCCCTGATCTCACTGAGCCAGAAGCCCATCTACTTAAGGATATTTTTAGTAATTAGAGTCAAGTAATTCAATGTTCTCCTGGATCGAGTAGGTTTCAGTCACTTGCAGTTAAGAGAGTCCTGCGTAATAGCAATTTCTCTTATGGTTAGGTCCCACCTGCCAGAGCTTTAGAGCTGTAGAAGGTATAAAGTAAACCCAGGCAGTGCTGAGCTAGCCAGGCTCCTGGATAAGTGTGCAAAGGAACCCTGGAATCACTACCACCTTGGTCTGACAAGTAGCCTTGCCTGCTGCTTACCATACAGCCATAGGGGTACTGTTTCCCTGAGCCCTTAGACATTATACCACTTTTTAAAAATGATTTTTATCTAAGAAAATGTTTTGTAGAGATGGTGTCTTGCTATGTTGCCCAGGCTTGTCTTGAACTCCTGGCCTAAAGTGCTGAGATTACAGGCATGAGCCACTGTGCTTAGCCAGCACTATACTTCTATTAGTTGTCAATGTTTTCTTCTGTAGTTTCTAGTGTGTGCTTGAGCATGTGTGTGTATGTGTGAGTGTGTGTGTGTGAGTGTGTATGAGTTTTTAGTTTGATCTTGCAGGGTTATTTCAAGCATCAAGTGGGATCCTTTAGGCACAGCACTCAGCCCAGTGACTGGCACATATGGTAAGCTCTCTCTGTTCTCCTCTTTTCTCCTCCTGATTCAGAGAATGACTTAAGGATCTGTGATGTGTGCCAATTTTCAATGCCCTGGATAAATAATGGGGAGATGAAGTACTGTTGCCAGAAATTTGCACTAGTTTTAATTCATTTTATCTGTTTAGCAATGAGATATCTCAAAGTAACTGAATGAATTTATGTCATATATATATACATACACATAAGTATGTTTCTTGAGAGCTGACAGGCTTAGTTTTTGTTCCCTGATGCTGTGGTAGAGGCCACTGTGTTCTGATTTCTTGAGTGATGGCTGCCAGCTCTCCAAGTGTCACAGTTGGTGAGGCATCCATGGGGGTGAGCACCAAGGATGTGTGGCCAGTCAGCATCTGCAAGCCCATTTTGTCTATTCTCCTTATTTTTATAATATGTTTTATTCATTTTTAGGTTTATCATTTAATTTATTATAAGTATCTCTCCTAAAATTGTTTCTTAGTTCTACTAGGGGTTAGTTTTATGAAACAAGTCCAGAAATAGTCCAGGGCAGCCATGGATACCCAACATGCCATTGGGGAGTGAGAAATCTTGTATATTGAAGATTGTGTTGTTGGGAGCATCATTCCAATGGTCTTCAAGGTGCTAAACTGGACTCAGGGCATTTCATCCTATTTCCAGAGAGCAGCAAGCAGAGAGAGCAAAGGGAATATGATTAAGGGAAAAAAGGAACAATAACTCTTCCCTTTCCAAACAGATTTTCAGAAATCCAAACCAGTGAATTCTGCATTTCACATTGGCCAAGACTATAAGCTCTGCTCACTGCAGTTATGAGAAAAACTGGGAAACTCATTTAAAGACATTAATCAGGGCCAGGCATGGTGGCTCATGCCTGTAATTCTGGCAATTTTGGAGGCCAAGGTGGGAGAATCACCTGAGCACAGGAACTTGAAACCAGTCCAGGCAGCATAATGAAACCCAGTCTCTACAAAAACAAAACAAAACAAAATCTGACTGTGGTGGTGCACACCTGTTATGCCTGAAGTGCTACCTACTCAGGAGTCTGAGCTGGGAGGTCACAGGAACCCAGGAGGCTGCAGTGAGCTATGTTCATGCCACTGCACTCCAGCCTGGGAGACAGACCATTTTTCAAAAACAAATTATAAATTAAATAATAAAATAAGGATAAATAAATAAAGACATATAAACTGTGCTCCTTGTAAAAGATAAATCTATGCTCCCTTAGTGAAGAAGATGAGAATAATGGATATAGCAGGGAAATGGACAGAAATGGCCATATTAGACCATAATGAAAGTCATAATAGGCACCCCAAATCAGTACCATTAAAGCCACATAATGTGACCATAATGCAGGCAAATTGTGACCAATTAAAACAAACTGACAAAAAAAAAGGGTATCCTGGAGCATACAAATTCTAAATCTAAATTGAATGGAACTCAAAGAGGGCTTCACATTGAAAATAAAACCATGGGTATGTAAGTGAATTGTAACAAAGCTACTACATAGCAACATTAAGGTGGCAGAGCAGAAAGGGGGCTAAGACAGCTATCTGTCATTTTATACCATTTTTTTAAGAAAAGAAAAACTATAAAATTATGAATTTGGGTTCTAATTGAGATATAAGACAATGATAATTGCAGTAACTGTTAACATTTACAGTGCTTCAGTCCTGCTATTGCTCATTCATGCCTAATAAGTGAAGAGCTGGAACTGAAAGCTTTCTTATATTTATTCCCATTGCAGTCTCCCTCCAGAGTGTGGATTCATGTGTAACAGGAGGGATAAGTGTTTAAAGAGGTCTTTTCTACATTTTTTACTTCCATAAGCAGTCTCTGCAGTGTGAGTTCTTGTATGAACTATGAGTCTGAGGCAACACTGAGGCTTTTTTCATGTTCCTTACTTTCATAGCTTCTCTCCAGTGTGAGAACAAATAGCTACTCAAGATGAATGAAGATGAATGAAAGGCTTTCCATAGAGTTTACCTTCACAGGGTTTCTTTTCACACTTCTGTAAGATATGAGAGTTCAGGAAAGATGTTCTCATGCATGTTAACTCATTGAGCTCCCTTCCAGTATGTCCTCCTCACATGTTCAGTATGGTGAAAAATTAATGATGATTTTCCACCTTTCACTCACAGGGCTTCTCACTATTGTATCTCTTAAGGTGGCTTTTAATTCTGATGACTTTGCAAAGTCTTTTCCACATTTGTCACATTTATAGGGTTTCTTTCCAGCATGACTCCTTATATGTGCATGTTTTGAGGCTTGCTGAAGGTTTTCCCACATTCCTTGCATTCATAGGGCTTGTCCAGAATGTTCTTTCTTAAATGTTTATTAAGGTGTAGGGAATATCTAAAGCCTTTGCCACTTTTGTCATATTCATAAGATTTCTTTCTAGTGTGAATTTTCATATGTCTCACAAGAAATGACAGATAAATAAAGGCTTTCCCACATTTGGGACATGTATGGCTTTTCTCTCCAGTAGTACTACTGCCGTGTGAACCAGAATTTGGAGCAGGGGCAGAGGTTATTCCACTTTGATGATTCTTATTCTTTGTCTCTACAGTACAGGACTGCATCTGCACAGCATGGACTGAGTTATTTCTGAAGACATTTTCATATTGAATAAAGTTATACATTTTCTCCCAAACATGAGTTATGTGGGCCCTAAGGCATACATCTTCACTGCAGGCTATTCCAAATGGACTCCACTCATGCATGTTTGCAGTTGTATTAATTTTACTATGTATATGATGGACATTGTTCTGACTGTCTATCCATGTGTTTGATTTTAGCTGTTTTTCTCCCATATGAAACCCAGTGAATGTTGTACCTCAAGACTATCATATTCATTGTTTTCATACATATCACTTTATTTCAATAGTTTTTGGGAAACAAGTGGTTTCTGGTTACATGGAAAAGTTATTTGGTGGTGATTTTCTGAGATTTTGGTGTATGCACTACTCGAGTCGTGTACACTGTACCCAATGTGTAGTCTTTCATCCCTCAACCCCCCAACCTTCCCTCCGAGTGCCCAGAGTCCCTTATATCATTCTTCTGTCTTTACACCCTCATAGCTTAGCTCCCACTTATAAGTGAGAACATACAATATTTGTTTTTTTATTCCTGAGTTACTTCACTTAGAATAATCATCTCTAACTCCATCCAGATTGCTGCAAATGGCATTATTTCATTCCTTTTTAGGGCTGAGCAGTTCCATGGTGTATCTATAACACATTTTCTTTGTCCACTCATTGGCTGATAGACATTTAACCTGGTTCCACATTTTAGCAACTGCAAATTGTGCTGCTATAAATGTGTGTACAAATGTCTTTTCATATGACTTATTTTCCTCTAGGTAGATACCCAGGAGTGGGCTAATACAAATTTAAATAGAAATAATTATAAAATAAAGTAATCACCAAGTGAAAATTACTATTTCTAGTAGTAAAACAAAATACATTTATTGAGTAAAATTTGAACATATTTCTGCTCACATAAAGGATATGTAACTTCTGTATTTTGTATAAATGATATGCTTTATCTCACTAGACTCATCCTGTGGTTAATTTGTGGGGAAGGGCAGGAGAAAATAACATATCTTTAAATTTAGCTTCTTGATTCACATTTTTCTTCAAGTTTCAATAGCTCTATTTTAGGAAAATGCCTCCAAGAAGATATTCAGATGCTTTGGGCTTTCTGTGGCCTCAAGGCAAAGTGAAAGTGAGTCTCAAGTCTCCTATTGTCTTCATGCTGTTCTCTGGATCTCTGCTTTCTCTGTGGCAGAGGGTCTCTCTGGTCTGATCGCTGAGGCCATTGCATTGCTTTTCTCTGAGATGAAGCTTGTACTCTTGAATCAGAGTACAGTGGAATTCCCTGCCTCCTGTTGGCTTGGATAAGATCTTCAGATCTCTCTGAGTTTCAGCATCCTTCTTCTTCCACAGTGTGGCTGGCATTGTCACATGTGGCCTTTTTGGCCAGCTCATTTTGCCCCTTGGTGCAGTGGCCCCATGTTGTGTATGTTAGTTTTCAACTCAGTTAAGTTGCTTCCTATTTACCTCTATGACACTTCCACATTGCATAGATTCATAGGTCTAGCAAGAGGTTTTTTTATATAAACCAAGCTGCCAGAAACAGAAGAATGCTCACACAGTAAGTCAGATAAACCAAATTTATCACTCACAGAGGAGCAGGAAGAATCAGCAAAAGCCTAAGTTCTATGGCAAGCCTGACCCTTGAGGTCAGAAAAGTTGCCCAGGGTTGATGGAGTCTCCTCTGCACATGCTCCACTGTGTACTGCAGCTGAGGAACCCCTGAGTGCTCTGCCCTAGGTTTCACTCCCCATGTGCTACTTGGCTCTCTGAGTTTAAGAGTTGCAGGAATATCCTGTTCTAGGAACAACAAGGGCAGAGCCCAGACTGTCCCAGACAGTTTCTCCTTATCTCAGGATATTGTCTTCTCGGAACATTCTAAAATTATTCTGAGAACCAGGAGGTACAGAAAGCTGAGTTGGCCAAGGCCATTCAGGTCTTGTCCTCCTGACCACATAAACAAAGTAGGCTATAAAACAACAAGCATTAGCAGAAATAATCATATTGCATTATCATAGCCCTTCTTTATTATGATAAAAAGAATTTATCCACCAAAAAGTTTTCTGAACTCTAAATCTGAATGAACCCAACAAAACAGAGATTTGGGCCTGTTGTTACAATTTAATAAAGGATTTACTAAACCAAAAAATTTACTTAAATACATAAACTCTGGAAGGAGTATAAAAATCATAAAGATTCATTTCAATAAAGGCTGGCATGCAAGGTTATCAGACATGTGACAGAGTAGTAGAAAATGTTGACAGTGCTTAGGGCACAGTGAATATGATTGATTTTCAAATGAACAAAGAAGATAGTCAACTCAATAGAAAGATGGGCCGAAAAATTCCAATACATTATTAACAATATGACAGATGCAAATGTGCACAATAAAATGAGATCTGTATTTTCACCACTCGCTTAGAAAATATAAGAATCCTACGTAACATTGTGTGATGAGGATATGAGGAAAACAACCTTTATGGGCAATGGATGGGAAATTCAATGGTTTTAAACATTTCAGAAAATAACATGACAGGACCCATCTGAAAGTATGCATACTCTACAACCTGTCTCAATGACGGGCACATATACCTGATATAGTTTGTATGTGTGTCCCCTCCAAATCTCATGCTGAAATGTGATCCCCCATGTTGGAGGTGGGGCCCAGTGAGAGGTATTGGATCATGGGGTGGATCCCTTATGAATAGTTTAGCACAGGAATGTCCAACTTTTGGCTTCCCTGGACCACAACGGAAGAATAATTTTCTTGGGCCACACATAAAATACACTAAAAATAGCTGCTGAGCTAAACACACACACACACACACACACACACACACACACACACACACGCACACACACACAAAATCTCTTATGTTTTAACAAAGTTGACAAATTTGTTTTGGGCCACATTCAAAGCTGTTTGACCTGCATTCAGCCTGCAAACTGCAGGTTAGACAAGCTTGGTTTAGCACTATCCCCTTGTGAGTGAGTTCTTATCAGTGAGGTCATGAGAGATCTGATTGTTAAAAACAGCCTGGGACTGCCCCCTTCTCTCTCTTACTCCCTCTCTGACCATGTGACACACTGGCTTCCCTTCACCTTCTGCCATGATTGTAAGCTTCTTGAGGCCTCACCCAGAGCAGACGCCATTGCTTCCTGTGCAGCCTGCAGAACCCTGAACCAAGATAAACCTCTTTTTTTAAAAAATAAATGAATAAATTACCCAGCATCGCGTGTGTCTTCATAGCAATAGTAACAGACTAACGTAGACCCTGCCAAATTGTGACACATGACCAAAAAGTGTTTTCATAAGAATACCACAAGGAAGTGAATATTTCAGTAGCAGGATATCAGTGTGAATTCTACTGCAAGACTGGATAGGGAAAATGCGGTTGATTCATTTTGTCCAAAACTATGCAGCAGCTGCAGGGGAATAAACAACCAAAAATAACCTACAGCAGTGTGGGAATATATGAAGGATGTGATGCTCTGTGACAAAAATAGAAATAAAATCAGATTTATGGCACGATACTCTTTAAGAAAAATGTATACACTTTTGTATATACACATACACACACTCAGAAAACAACCTTCTTATCTTGTAAGAATTCTTTAAGAGTAAAGAACTTATATCAAACACATTAGCATGCCTGTCTGTGACAAGGGATAAAGAATAAAAAAATTGAATAAGTAAAACCAGAAAGAAACTTTTAGGAAACAATAATAATAATGTCTCATGTAGTAAAGAATATGATTAATTTTTTGCAACTGTGGTATAAAAACAGAAACTGTCAAAATCACATGTAATGAGCTTTAGTATAGAGCTTATTGTAGGGCAAAAATCAAATTTTAAAGACTTAGTTTGCATAGTTGGATGGAGGAATGGTCTCCTATGTGAAGTAGTAAGATACACGAAACAATCCCATGGGTGTATGGGAAGAAAATACTCAAAATGCTACTTATATTTATCTTTTACTCATTTTTCCAACAGTTTAGTATCTAAATGCTAGGGGAGGCCAGATGTGGTGACTCACACCTGTAATAGCAGTGCTTGAGGGTGGGGGGCAAGGCAGGAAGAACACTTGAGGCCAAGAGTTCTAGGCCAGCCTGGGCAACATAGTGGGTTTTTGTGTCCACACACAAAAAATAAAAATTAGCTAGGCATGATGCTATGCACCTGTAGTTCTATCTACTGGAGAGGCTGAGGCAGGAGGATCACCTGAGGGAGGAGTTTGAGGCTGCAGTGAGCCATGATCACTCTACTGCACCATAGCCTGGGTGACAGAATGAGACCCTGTCTCTTAAGTGAAAATAAGTAAGAGCTAGGAGACCACATGATTTTCTAGTTTTCAGCCCCTATTGAAGTTCCCTGTAGATTATTTTGCTTATTCCCAATGTTCCAGGTGTTTCTCCACATTGTAGGCTTGTCCTTCTACCTACTCAAGGCCCCAGATCCAGCAAATGTCCTCAGAGATGGACTCCGCTGCTAATCTGTGATCACCTAGGAAAGGCTTATTTTTCTCTGAAATTTAGTTCATTGTAACTTTAGGCCCATAGTGTTTTGATGGCTTTAAACAAAAAAAAAATTTTAAGTTCATCCAATGTCTTCTCGTTATGGCAGGAGCAATTGCCCTTGGTAACTTTATTTTAATTGGAAGAAGAATCTCTAATGTAGGCATTGTAATGAGGTTTTTGGTCTTTGACCTTACTGGAGCAGTTAAATTCAAGTCTATTTCCTATATTATTCATGTATTGAAGGATCAAATGAGAAAATATATGTAGAGTGTATAAAGTGTCTAATGTACACTACTGATATACAGTTGTATTATGACTACACACTGAAAACACATAATCAACCAGATTGCTTCCTGAGACCTAGAGCCAGGCTTTTCCAATGATTCTTAACTGTCAAATAATTCTATTCAATTTTTCATGGGACTTAGGGTTTGGTCCATGAAGTGTTGCCATGGTATGCAAATCAATTATGTCAATAAGCATGTTAGTTTATTCAGCAAATATATTCTTGTAGCAATAGTTACTCAATGAAAGAACTAATATATTTAATTTCTAGTAGAAGCTACTTCTGTCATTGTGAACTGGTTACAAACCTTGAATGCTCTAGCTATTTTGAGGAGCATTAATAGGCATTACCCAAAGAAGATGATATATTCCCTAGACAGCAAGAACTCTTATTCCTGTTAATCTTCTTTTTGATAAACTCTACAGTCTCTTTGTAGTAAATCCAGGTTCTGTGGGATGTACAAAACAATCCCCCATAAATTTAAATTTATACCTATGATCATGTGTAATGAAATTAGCCCTCAAGAGCCAACTTGAGACCATGTTCAGAATGGAAGCTTCAGAAACCTATGGCACATGAATATAAGACCATTTTAGACACAGTCCCCAAATTACCTCTGAATTCAGTGGGAAAAAAGTGACAAGGAACAATATTTAGGGCATCTAGGATAGTGCTACCTTCTCGTGCCTAACATAAGCAAATTAAAACCTCATACTAATGCTCTGAAGCCTAATAATAACTAGTAAGGTTCATGTCTGTCAAAAAGCCACTGCAGGCTACTGTTAAAACCAGCTACACAACCATCTGAAAGCCATTTGCCTCCCTCTAGTTAAAAACAGTCCCATGTCTACTGATGATGTAGTTAAGGCTGTATCAAGATCTATCTCTCAGCAGGGACATGTTCCCCAAATGCTAATGTTTGACCAACAAAAGTTTTGCAGCCAGAGCTTGTGCAAGTATTGGTAGATAGAAAATACAAAATCAAACCATTTCTCATGAATGATTAAACAATTAAAAAAATAAATGCAAGAAGCTTGTGTGCATGTGCATGGGTGTATGCATGTGTGTGTATATTCAGCTTTGTTATATTTATTTAACTTTATTAACTTTGTTTAAAATTTAATTTGAAAATTAGATTGGGGAGCAAAATATCATTCTTTCTCTCTCATCATAAAAGTTTTGGCTCATGGGATTCTGACATTCTGTCATGCTTGGAAAAGTTGGATTTATGAAACCAGTAGCTGGACTGAGCCTGCCTATGCAGCTCTTACACAAGTGCTTCCTATTTTGTGCACAAGCAGCCTCAAGAACCCAAAGATAGTGATTGAGAGAGACAGGCTCTGAAGCCTTTTTATTTCAACTTCTTGGAATCACCACCTTGCTAATAAACATCAAAATCTTCTGTGTCATTTATCAGATTAATTACTTTTTCCATAAAAAGAGTGAGTTGAGAAACTAACCAGCAAGAAACTCCCTGTCCCTTCTTCATCCTGAAAACAGGAGAATCAATATCTTAACCCTGTTTTTGAGAGATGAATGGGTAGGTCAATATTGCTTGGCTATTTGTCCTTCCACTTGGGAGAGATTACTGCTGCATTTTCCCCTCAATCTCTAGAATCATGGCTTATAGAAAACAATTATGTACTGAATTACTAATTGCACCAAAATTTTATTAGACTTCTTATCAAAGAGCATGCTCAGATTTATTTATTATTAATAGTAACAAAAATATAAAAATTTGAAAACAATATTATAAATAACAGAGAAAAGCTATGCACTGTTATGAAAGCCTTTCATATTTAGGGATATCAGGTAAGGCTTCTCTTGGTGGGGAAGATGAAGAGCAAACTAAAATAAAAGTAAGAGCTAATTATGTAAATCTGGGATGGTAGTGGGAAAAGCATATGAATAAGAAGACCAAAGTCCAGAAGGCAAGAAAAAATATATCTGAATCATTTAGCTCAATAATGTTCATGCCACAAGATGGGGGAGAGAGAAAAGAAACAAATTTTGTACTGCTTGAACCCATTTTTTGACTCTTGATTGGACTCCTAGTACCAATGTGAAGTCTTTGGGAATTTTTAAGCCAAGCAATTTACAATGTAAATTGTATTTACATTTCAAGTAAGTCATTTTGGATATAGCACAGAAACATTTTTGGAGAGAGAATCAGGGAGAGCACTTTAGAGGTGCTCACTGTAGCCCAGGTGAGAGAGTGATGGGGTGGAATTCATGATGGCAATGAAGACAGAAAGAGAAAAATTCATTCAAGAAAAAGAGAGAAGGTAAAATCTGACAACACTTGGTGACTGAAAATGGAAATGTGAAGAAGAAAATGTCAAGAATTACACTGAGATGTCAGGTGTAGGTAGAGGTCGACATCACTTGCTGGAAAGAAAAAACACAGGAAGAATACCACTTTCAGTGAAAGAGACATCTGGGTTGCTTAAAGTATCATGAAATGGGACTTTTCCAGTTCCACGCAGGTAAGTTAGGACGGCTCAACCTTGAGGCACAAAAGATGGTGATGGTGGTAACAGTGGCCTTGAGACCAGGACCTATACCAGACTCTAGAAAGATTAGTGTGATTTGGAGTAGCTACAGACCGGAATATTTCAGTGAAAAACAAAACAAAACATTCACACTTATTCTTGGAATCTTGCTTTATTTGAAGGAGTAAATAATTGGGCCTTACAGCTGTAAGTTTTGGTAAGCCCTAAAATGAACAGAAAATTGTATAAAATGGAAGCAATTCACCAATTCTATTCACTAAGCATTTAATGATTTTCTTCCAGGTTTAAGTATTATGATAGACATTGTACAGTAATTAATTTATTGACCATCTTCTCTGGTGTTTGTATTAATACACAAAGAGATATAACTTTAAAAGTATAGTATTGCTTTCAGCTTACACCAATCATTACCCATTATCCCAATTCATTAAATCAGATTGTTTCAGCGATAAGTTACATTTTGAAGTTAATGAAATACTTAAAAGGCTGTGATGTTGTAACTTCATATGTAGTATGCAAAACATGTTTGATTCATGTTGTTCAACACAATTTCATCATAAAATCTTATCTATAAAACAATATTTTTACACACCTAGTATTATTCTCTTGCTTTATGTAAACTTTATGTCTATCATTTATCTCTATCAAATAAAGTTATATTTCTAGTTTTTTATTCCCAAACATAAATGACACCATTAATTTTTACAAACATTAATGATGAACTATACTCACTCATAACTCTTTATGTCTAAGTTTTCTTAGAGTTATTGAACAATTTCTGAGTAACTAATGGCTAGCCTTTTATTATTCTATGATGATAAATATTTTTCAGTATCCAGGCTTCAGATATATTTTTGAAAACTTATTTCTCTATGGGTCAAAATTTAAATCAGTTGTAATATGTGATCCACTCACAAATATATTCTCCAGGCTGAGCTATTAAAATGAAATACCAAAGTGGCTCCCCAAGACACCCATTTATAGTCTATACGTGCAGTGCAGGGTTACTGAACCAAGGCACAGTGTAATCAGGGAAATTTTATTTTTTGTTTTCTTTTTCCTAAGATGTTTTTTATTTCCAGTTATATAAAAATGTATATTACAGGCAAAGAAAAATTAACATGAATGGAAGTAAATATAAAGTATATTCACATTAATATCAGCTTTGCTTTATCTATTAAAGTATATAACAAGCTTGTGGTTTTCAGGACCTTGTAACTCCTGGTTCATTGGAAAGCACAGAAATTCTTCAGAGCCTCAAGAGTTGTGTTTAATGCACTATTTAAATAGTCTCCAACCACTAGTTAGATAGCTTAGCACTCAAATAGCCTTTGAAATCTCTGTAGACTCACCTCAGTTGAGCAGTCCTGATAATTTACAGAAGTGTGTAGTGCATTAAGAGATCCCTGATGTATGATGTCTTTGCCTGTAGAGTGTTTTCTGTGTTTATCCACTGAAGTGTGTGTGTGGGTGTGTTTCTGTGTGTAGGTGGGTGAGTATGGGTGTGTGTGTGTGTCTGCATGTAGGTGGGTGAGTATGAGTGTGCACGGGTGTGTGTGTATGTGTTTATATTGTGGTGTGTGTCTGTTGGGGTGCTGCCATCAGGGATTTGGAAGACTGAGAACCATAAACTTGTAAACACTCCTACATGCCTGCTTCATAAGAAGTGTATTGAACATGGCCAAAAGTAACTAAACCAAGTAAGCAAATTAGACATTAATTAAGTTTAATGCTGGGCAGGAAAGAAGTATTAAAGACCAGGTAAAATGAAGAAATATAACCAAATGAATGAAAATTTTAAATTGATTAGTAGAATGAGACAGGAATATTTTTTAAAGTTTATAATTTCTAATGAATATCAGTATACAAAACTAAGAATTATATGGCTGTCAATTGACTAAAAACTGTACTTAAGATTTGAGCTAGTGAAACAACCATATATGATCTTCTAATTCCACTTTTCTGTCTCAAGAAGGACTTGTTAAAATGATTTTTTTTTTTGAAATTTTACATTCTCATCTTGAAAGAGCTTCACAAAACTTACTTGAGAATCTGGATTGTCATAAGAGGTCTGATTTTTTAATGGTATGTTTGTATTTCTATTATGTACATCAATGTCAAGCATTCATTTCCTGAGCTGTTCTCCAGAACACAATTTAACTTGTAATGGACACTCAATAAATGGTCGGTTGGATAATCAAATCAACACCTTAGTTCCATCAGTTTTCATTTCATATAAAAATCACTGATCTTCTATACTCATCAATGAAACAGAGAGATGAAGGAGGGAGAGGAGCTGAGACTGAGAGGATGACAAGCAGACCTCATTCTGCACTTCTGAATGCTTGGAAACACTTGCCATGCTCAAAAAAATTGGTATTTCCTAGGCAGCAAAAGGGAGTTAAAGAAAGTCCATATTTCTGTATTACAATAACTTACACTATAATACACAGATGACATACATTTCTAAGCTATTCAATTCATAGAAAATGTAGATAAATTTAGGTGAGCAAGATGTAGGAGAAGGGTTAGTAATCCAGCTGAGTGTGATTGTGAGATTAAATCTAATATTATCTTATACAATTGTTGTATAATTGTATCAGTTGACATATCTGTTGTAACAAAAGGTGGGAGAGTTTTGCATGAGCTTCTGAAATTTACAGGATGATGTTAGGAGAGAGGTTGATCAATGTGGCTAGGCCAGATGTATTTACTAATTGAGGCTTAAGAAAGTTAAGTTCCTAACCTCTCCCAGAGACTGGGAGATAAAGGCGCTAAATTGTATAACATTTATATTTAATATATATTTAATAATATATATAAAGTCCTAAAATGCCAATTTTAAGTCTTTTCATTTTCTTCTTAAAAACAGAGGTTTTATTGTGTTTGGTCCACAGTCGGTATTTCACATTATCTCATGATCCGGGGTCCCTGGGTGGGGGGCCCTGTGCAGTACTTGGCAGGGCGTGTGGTTGGGGGAGATACAGCAGTAGACCTGGTCAGGCCCAGAAGGGGAGAAGGAGGGCTGGGGCTCCTTAAAACCTACTGAGGGGCTGGGCGTGGTGGCTCACACCTGCCATCCCAACACTTTGGGAGGACGAGACAGGCAGATCACATGAGGTCAAGAGTTCCAGATCAACCTGGCCAACATGGTGAAATCCTGTCTCTACTAAAAATACAAAAAATTAGCCAGGTGTGGTGGCACAGGCCTGTAGTCCTAGCTACTCTGGAGGCTGAGGCAGGAGGATCGCTTGAGCATGGGAGGCTGGTGCAGTGAGGCGAGATTACTCCACTGTGCTTCAGCCTGAGAGACAAAGTGAGACTCCATCTCAAAAAAACAAAAACAAAAACAAACAAAAAAACCCTACTGAGGGCCACGGGGGTAAGGGGACTAGTATGGAGAGGGGTCAGGCTTAACACTAACAACGGAGAATTCCACTACCTTGTAGGGGCCTGTTTCCTCACCGGGCCCCAGCGTAGGTCTGAGGGTCTGAGGTCTGTTGGTCTGAGGGTCCTAGGGAAATCCAGCCACTCAGGAGCCTGAGATATTTTAGCATCCTGGCCTGGCCCCCTGTCCCAAGGGACTGATTTCCCAGCACCCACTGTCCCTGCCCCATTCCTGGGGGAAAAAAAATTTTTTTCTTTTGTTAATACTTCTTGAAACTTTTGCGGGTACAGAAACCACAAACTGATCGGCTGACAAAAGGGGGAAGAGGCGAGGCAACGGGAAACCTTCGGGGACCGGTTCCCTCCATGCCCAGGTCTCGTCTCCCCAGCACAGCTAGGCCCACAGCCTGGACGCGCCAGCGGGGACCCTCACCCGACACGCATCGGGATATGGCCTTGATCCCTTCCCCCACAGCCCGGTGGCTCAGTCCTGCAAAGGAACGAAAGCAACGGGGAAAAAAAACCCTGCTGCCTGATCCCACGCTGCTACTCACAGACGCTCCGTTGACTGGCAGCACTGAACAGGTTAAAAAAAAAAAAGATGAAAACACAGAAAAACCCAAACACCCAGACAGGGAGACCATGTGGGGAGAGAGCGTGCTGGGAGCCTCAGTAGCTGGTCTCCTCTTGGTAGTAAGGGAGATATTCAGGGGCCTCCACTGGCCCCGGGCAGTCGCCTGCACCTGAGGGAGCCCCGTGGGCCACTGTGCTCCCAGGCAGTACTTGGGGTCGTATATCTGTCGGCCCAGGCTGAAGACCTGGCTGCTCTGGTTGGTGCCCAGCGTGTAGCCCATCTTCAGGGTCGTGGAAGAGTTGTCATACTTGTGATTCCCAGCTTCGTGTCGTAGATGTGCCACCGGGTCCCAGGAGCCGCCATGCCCACCTGGCTGGCACACTTGCTTGTACCCATCTGGAGGCTGATGGTCGAGTGGTCCATGGGGGGCAGGATGTTGTTCTTGGGGTCGTAGAGATGCCTCCTCGTGCTCTGCCGTACACAGTCGTGCCTGACTGGCTGGCGCGTTTATTGGTAATCTGCAGCCGGATGATGCACTGGCCAGCCTTCATGGTGGCATCGTCGAAGTTCCCCTCCTGCTTCTCTGAGTACTCCTCACCGATGTCCACCTCGCTCTGCAGCCCCTTAGTCTTGGCCTTCCTTGCCAGGGCGAGAAGAGACACCTGCACCTGCCTCACGTTCCCACTCTCAAACAGGTCGTTGGTCTCAAATAGGTCCACGGGGTTCATGCTGTAGCTGACCATGGCCTTGAGGAGGTTGGAGAGGCTTTCTAGCTGGTACCAGTTCTACACTGAAGCGGTTGATTTTTGGGTACTGAGCCCGGCTGCAGTTTGTTCATGAGTGTGCATAAGATAATCCCGTCCTTCAGGCCCTTCTGGAAGTCGGGCCGATGGAGAGGCCAGTGAGTCCCTAGATCCAGCTGCGGAGCTCTACCTCCTTCTGGGAGTCATATTTGGACAGGAACCGGTTCTGGACGTCCGCCAAGAGCCTGTAGGAGGGGCCTTTGTTGAACTGCGTGGAGCTTACAGCTGGCTGGCCCCGTGGCGGGACGGGACCACACGGGACCGGGGACTGTCTTTTTTCTAGTTTGCAAGATTTTGTTTTCGCCACACCATTGTTTTTACTACATATCTTTTGTGTATTTAAAAAATGTGTGAAAAATGTTAGACCATCTCCCTTTTTTCCACCTTCCCTTTACCCTTTACTGTGATTTACATCCACACATCCACACACACACACACACATCCACACACACACATGCACACACACATACTGAGCGAAATTAATTTAGATGTACGAATGGGTTATTTGAAGCAAAAAGTCAACCTATATTAGTAAAAGTGTCATGCCAGTGGGAATTACATTTATAATCCTTTTAAGAAGAAAGAACTTCCGGCCGGGCGCGGCGGCTCACGCCTATAATCCCAGCACTTTTGAAGGCTGAGGTGGGCTGATCACGAGGTCAGGAGCTCAAGACCAGCCTGGCCAAGGTGGTGAAACTTCGTCTCTACTAAAAATACAAAAAAAATTAGCTGGGCTTGGTGGCATGCGCCTGTAATCCCAGCTATTCAGGAGGCTGAAGCAGAGAATTCCTTAAACCCGGGAGGCTGAGGTTGCAGTGAGCCGAGATCGCGCCACTGCACTACAGCCTGGGCGACAGAGCGAGACTCCATCTCAAAAATAAAATAAAATGTTGAATTTTTACAAGTCATTGTTCCTATTCCAATTTTTGAATGCAACCACAGCCTCTAACAAAACAGCCTCCTTAAACTAATTCGCTGATAATGAATTCTTAAGTAAAAGGGGAATTCCACAGAAATATATATGGCTCTTTTATATTTAATAAAAGAGCCTGAAAAACAGTTGTGTTCTGTAAAACTGAATTACTTTCTATCCGGTTCCACTGGTTCGCAGTGTTTTACCTTTATATTAAAATATACATAAATGATTGATGAATTTTTTTCTTTTAGACACTGCTGCTGAATCCATGGAGAGAAAAAGGATAAATTTCCAGAACTATGGTCCCTGTGCTCCAGTTCACCAGGCGGGCGCGGCGGAGACGGAGACCAAGGAACACGGCTGGGGCGATGCGGCGCTACCCGCACGTGGTGGCGCTGTGTCTGGCCTGCGGCTTCTGCTCGCTCCTTTACGCCTTCAGCCAGCTCCCCATGTCCCTGGAGGAAGCAGCAGGCGGTGGTGGCGGGAAGCAGCAGGCCTCAGTGGCTTCCTGGCTGGCAGGAGGCGGATGCGGTGCCGTGAGAGGCGCGGGCAGCGCTGGTCCTGCTGTGCATCCTGGTGGGTGGGACAGGTGTCGTCTGAAAATACAGCCTGTTGAGAAAATGCATCTAGCTGTAGTTGCCTGTGATGAAAGACTGGAAGAAACTATGACCACGTTGAAGTCAGCTATCATTTTTCAGGATCAAAGCTCTTCAATTCCAGGTTTTTGCTGAAGATCAGCTACATTATAGCTTTAAAGGAAGACGTGACAGGGGTCATTTCTGCAAATATTTAATTATACAATATACCCCATAACCTTTCCAAGTGAGAATGCAGCAGCATGGAAAAACTCTTTAAACCATGTGGTCCGCAGAGATTGTTCTTGCCGTTATTCCTGAAAGAAGTTGACTCCCACACTAATAGCCTTTTTTACGACCAGTTGATCATATTTGTTCTTTACTAAAGAAATTTAATTCCACATAAATTGCTCCAGTGGCCTCAGAACACAAGGAACCTCAAATAAGATGGTATAGTCGCTTTGCTAGGCAACCATACTGTGGAAAAACTGGAGTAAACCCTGGAATTATGTTGATGAATATGACTCGAATGAGAAGGAAGTATTTCAAGAATGATATGACAAACTGTGTGACTACAATGAAGAGATATACTTATGACATGGCTTAAAGAATACAAACTAAACATTACATAGGCAATCAAGATTTACATGGGCAATCAAGATTTGTTGGATATCATGTTTTTTCATAATCCAGAAAGTCTTTTTGCCTTTCCGTGTCAATGGAATTATCATCCAGATCATTGTCTATATGGAAGCAGTTGCCAAGAAGCAGAAGAAGGAATCTTGATTCTTCAGGGAACAGAGGTGTTTACCATGATGATAAGCAACCAGCATTTAGAGCTGTTTATGAAGCACTGAGAAATTGTTCTTTTAAGATGACAACATTCATTCCCTAATAAAACCTTTAGAACTGGAACTACAAAAAACAGTGCATACATACCGTGGAAAAATTTACAAAATATTTGTCAAACAACTAGCAAAAACCATAAGAGATCATTATGCCAGATGACCAAAGGAAAGGTGATTCTTGGTGCCTGCTACATCAAAGGATGAAAACAGCAAAGCATTGGAGGATAAGTGTGAAGGAATCATCTTGGGTGAAGCATTAATGAAGGAATTATTCATCTCTGGAATATTTTTTTTCCCAAAGAGGTTAAATGAGCAGTATTTTCAGGTAATGAAGAATAAATTAAAATCTTGGGCTCCAACAAAGAAACATTTTTGGCCTCTGATGTTTTGTAATGTTACTTACTACCATTCCAGTATTGGTGAAAATATTATTGAATGGTTTTAGCCTGCAAACTTCTGTTGACTCATACTCTCAAGTAAGAGTGCTGGGGCTGTGAAGATGAAGAAAATGTATCTCAAGCACAGTGCAAACTTTAACTTTCTTAAAGTAAGGCTCTAGACAAGGCTGTGAGTAGAGCGATAATTTTATGTCAGCACTGACCTCGCTTTAAATGTGTGAAAAAAAAAGTTTGTTTACAGGAGAAGAAACAGTTCTGTTTCTAAAGAAATGTAACAGATGTAACCATGGATGATCTATGTCTGCCTTTATACATTTCATGTCTGTTTTAAAATATTTTTATGACAATCATGTTTAAAATTGTTTTTAGATTATAAGTAAGCTGCATGTTAAAAATTGAACTGTATAAGAAAGAGGAAATATAGTGAAAACTTTGGGGTTTTAATCTGTGCATGTGTGAGAGAGAGTGAGAAATGTAGTGTTTTCATTGTGTATGCATTAAACTGTCTTGCCAAAACTCAGATCTAAGATTGTTAAGTAGATATTTGGGGAATTTTTTTTATCACTTTAAATGAAAAAATTTCAGCTTTACTGGGTATTCTGGAAGCAAAATATATTATGCTGATGATAAAGTGAGAACCTTAAGGGTATACTCATTTGATGGTGGAAAATGTGATGGACCAAAATTCAGAAGCTATACACATCCTGTGAGTAGTAATTTTAGTTACGATGGAGTAGAAAAATGTGGTGCATTTAAACTTTTCTTCTACCTCATAATGGCTTTGCAAGATACTTGTAAAGAAGCAAATGTCTAGAGCCTTACTTTAAGAAAGTTAACAATGAACTCAAACAAATTTACAAGAAAAAAACAAACAACCCCATCAAAAAGTGGGCAAAGGATATGAACAGACACTTCTCAAAAGAAGACATTTATGCAGACAAAAGACACATGAAAAAATGCTCATCATCACTGGCCATCACAGAAACGCAAATCAAAACCACAATGAGATACCATCTCACACCAGTTAGAATGGCAATCATTAAAAAGTCAGGAAACAACAGGTGCAGGAGAGGATGTGGAGAAATAGGAACACTTTTACACTGTTGGTGGGACTGTAAACTAGTTCAACCATTGTGGAAGTCAGTGTGGCGATTCCTCAGGGATCTAGAACTAGAAATACCATTTGACCCAGCCATCCCATTACTGGGTATATACCCAAGGGACTATAAATCATGCTGTTATAAAGACACATGCACACGTATGTTTATTGTGACACTATTCACAGTAGCAAAGACTTGGAACCAACCCAAATGTCCAACAATGATAGACTGGATTAAGAAAATGTGGCCCATATACACCATGGAATACCATGCAGCCATAAAAAATGATAAGTTCATGTCCTTTGTAGGGACATGGATGAAATTGGAAATCATCATTCTCAGTAAACTATCACAAGGACAAAAAACCAAACACCGCATGTTCTCACTCACAGATGGGAATTGAACAATGAGAACACATGGACACAGGAAGGGGAACATCACACTCTGGGGACTGTTGTGGGGTGGGGGGAGCAGGGAGGGATAGCATTAGGAGATATACCTAATGCTAAATGACGAGTTAATGGGTGCAGCACACCAGCATGGCACATGTATACATATGTAACTAACCTGCACATTGTGCACATGTACCCTAAAACTTAAAGTATAATTTAAAAAAAAAAGAATGTTAAACAACTTTTGTGAATGATTTGGATTAAGATTGTTACATCCAGCTATAGAAAATGTGGTTTTAATTGGGTTGATGTGAGTGAGTATCTTCCTTTTTTGAATATCACTTAAAAGTTAATTTTTTAGTTCTTGAAGATGAGAAAATATTACTTATCTAATATAACTATGTTAATAGTTATCTAATTTGTAGTTATCTAATATAACTGTAAATTCTGAATACTTAGTATGGGCTGTGCTGGGGCAGATATCTTATTTTACCAACTGCTATATGGTTATATCTTCTTTTTCTTCCTGATATTTTAATGCTCAAGTAGAAAATGGAAAATCATGAAGGGAAAATATCACCTGCGAAAATCGTTGCAGTTAGCTTTGTGAAGACACCGTGGCCTCTGTGGAGACATGGGATATGCAGAAAGAGATGGCTAGTACAGTTGTTCTGTCTTCTGCAGTTCAGTCAGGGACACATCGAGAGAGGAAAGTTTAAGCAAGGTACATTAGAAGTTGATAAGCAGCCCAGCATTCTTAGAACAGTTGGGTTTAGAGAATACAAGTTGTAGTTCCTTGGCAGAATGCCATGGTGGATATGAGAAACTGTGAACTGCATTGAAATTGAGCTTACTGAGCAGAAAACGAGAATATTAAAAATTTGAAGTTCAGAGTATATGCATTCGATTATTTCTAATGGTCCCCAAATATGATCATTGCCTGCCTGGCTATATAAGACTCCTGTTGGGAGCTTCAGAATAGATTCTTGAGCTTAGCCCTTTGGAGACTCTGGTATGCTGTGTCTAGGATGGAGTCTGCAAAAAAAAAATTTAAAGAAGAGACTTAAAAATTATACAAAACTAGAATAGTGCTTTGGTACTATCAGAGTACTTTGGAGGCTATTCCCACTTAGATTCTTCATATAGAAGATGTGGATAGAGAGACATGCAGATAAATCAGTCAATGCCAACTGTTGGGGGAAACGTCCATAGTCTGCAGATTCCCACAGAGAACATAGTACTTCCACTCCTCTCCCATGAGGGAAAATAAAGGAGAAAAGCTTTCAGCCTCTCACCATAAACTCATTCAATCCTCCCCTTGGGAAGAGAAATGACTTACCTGAGGAATGTGCTTGGAAGTAGTTGTGCTGGTGAAACTCAGCCTCTGTGGGTTTCTCTCTCTTTCAGAGTCAGCTCTCTTCAGGATGCACATTTATTTCTCCCTTTGGAGGAGGCCTCAGTCCAGCTCAGCCAAGGACTGAAAGGCACATCTGGCTAATTCAGGACTGGGGTATTGGGAAGTCCCCTTGGCCCCAGATCTATGACATGTTCTCGAGTCCTGAGACCTGCTGACTCTGGTGCCTCATTTCCCAGTTGGGTCATATCTTGGGGTTATTTGTGTTCCCCAGCTCTAACAGGAAGGTTCCCAAGCACTCATTTCTTCTTAACCAATTTCTGAAGGTAAGATGTTGGTTGAAGAGAGCTCTTTTCTTGCTGCTACCATTAATTGGGTGTTTATTTTGTGTCAGACACTGTTGAGTATTTTACATTTCTTAGCTGGTTTTATATTTACAGCAACTTTATATGACAGACATTGTTCCTCCATTTTTCAGGCTAGAAATCTGAAGGGGTGGGTTGCCCCTCCACACCTGTGGGTGTTTCTCGTTAGGTGGAATGAGAGACTTGGAAAAGAAAAAGACACAGAGACAAAGTATAGAGAAAGAAATAAGGGGGCCCAGGGGACCAGCGTTCAGCATGCGGAGGATCCTGCCAGCCTCTGAGTTCTCTTAGTATTTATTGATCATTCTTGGGTGTTTCTCAGAGAGAGGGTTGTGGCAGGGTCACAGGATAATAGTGGAGAGAAGGTCAGCAGATAAACACGTGAACAAAGGTCTCTGCATCATAGCCAAGGTAAAGAATTAAGTGCTGTGCTTTAGATATGCATACACATAAACATCTCAATGCCTTACAGAGCAGTATTGTTGCCCGTATGTCCTACCTCCAGCCCTAAGGCAGTTTTCCCCTATCTCAGTAGATGGAACATACAATCAGGTTTTATACCGAGACATTCCATTGCCCAGGGATGGGCAGGAGACAGATGCCTTCCTCTTGTCTCAACTGCAAAGAGGCATTCCTTCCTCTTTTGCTAATCCTCCTCAGCACAGACCCTTTATGGGTGTCGAGCTGGGGGACGGTCAGGGCCTTTCCCTCCCCACAAGGCCATATTTCAGACTATCACACGGGGAGAAACCTTGGACAATATCTGGCTTTCCTAGGCAGAGGTCCCTGCAGCCTTCCGCAGTGTTTGTGTCCCTGGGTACTTGAGATTAGGGAGTGGTGATGACTCTTAACGAGCATGCTGCCTTCAAGCATCTGTTTAACAAAGCCCATCTTGCACAGCCCTTAATCCATTTAACCCTGAGTGGACACAGCACATGTTTCAGAGAGCACGGGGTTGGGGGTAGGGTGTCAGATTAACAGCATCTCAAGGCAGAAGAATTTTTCTTAGTACAGAACAAAATGGAGTCTCCTATGTCTACTTCTTTCTACACAGACACAGTAACAATCTGACCTCTCTTTCTTTTCCCCACAGAAATCTGAGGCCCAGTGTCCCACAATGGCCATGTGGTGACACTAGGCTTTGAGCACAGATGGTTGACTTCCAAACTCTATGTTCCTAACCATTATGCCAGTCTGTGTTGTGTCAGCACCAAACATACTTTCATTCATATGTATTTTTTAACTGATCATGTTCTTGTGTGATTTCTTTCAGAAAGGCTTTTACATCAAATATTGATAATGATACTAATAATGAACACATGTTGAGCACTTACCATGTCTCAAGCACTGCTCTAGAGCTTTCCATGAAAAAACCCCTCTAATCTTCAGAACAATCCTGTGAGGTAGGTGCTACTATTACTCTGTTTTCACAAGTAAAGAAACTAAGCACAGCAGATCCATAGTCATGCTGTAGGATGCTGTGTAGAATGGCTCCCGGGACACTGGGAAAGCTCTTCTGCACCCCAGCATCCTCTTTACTGGTTCATTAATGTCTGATATTCCTGCATGAGAAAACACAGCATAGAGAGAAAGCTTAATATGTCTATACACACACTGAGAGATGAGGCATTGACATAACATCTCATTATAGGTATTAGAAATGCAGTCTCAAGAGCAGGTTGTTGTGGGGTGACAGGCAGGGTATTCTAGGGGAAAGAATACCCCAAGAAAGGCAGCATTACAAAGGAAGAGGAGAAAGAAAGATGTAAATGAGGAGACACTGATTTTCTTCCACTGCAATTTTTCCCAAGGCTGGCCCCTTTTCTATTACATTGTTACCCAGTAACTCATACTTTCCCTAGAGCTCTTGCAAGCAAGAACTATTGAGAAAGTAGCCCATGTGAAAGTATATTTCCTGCTATTTATCTGCTTCCAGAACTGGCTGAAGTTTACTTTTTGGTACTCCAGAGAACTAGCTGCTTCTTGCCTTCTTCCAGTGTGGTCTATTTAACCTCCTGTCATGTGGGAAATTATATTCAAAATTTCTGTGATCCTCTGTCCATAGTAAGTTACGCATGTAGTGACAAATGCATGCCACAAGGTCTTGAGATTGTATCTGCAATGTGTTGCTGCTGGCTGTTGATCAAGATAGGCTGGAAGAGAAACATTTATCAAATAATTCTTCTTGCATTTTTCCCAAGACGTTGTAGCGTATTTAAACTTGGGAAGTGAAGTTTGTAGCATTCATTATGACTGAAAATTTAGTTCACACAATCATGATGCTCTATTAGGTGTTACCATTAAACAATATTAAAATACACACAATGTGGCTGGTCTTTCGTAAGCTACATGGCATGTTTACTTCTTTGCCTGGTTTCTTAATTGCATTTCTTCTTCTTTCTGAATACCCATGTCACTGTCACCCACAATATTTTCTGTTTTGAGTACGTGGTTTACATTTTACTTTGCCCAGTGATAGAATATGATGGGGACATCTTATCTGAGTGTTTCATAGTATGCTGTAGTTTGAATTCTTGGCCGTTGGTTTCCCAGAGTCCCAGCTCCTGCCACTGCATTCTGCCTTTGCAAATGGAGAATAATGGCTCTAAAAAAAATTCACATAAGAATCTCATGATAGTGGAGAAGGAGGACCATGGAAATGCTAAAGCCTCCCACTCAGCTTCTGTAAATCATGCAGAGGATCAGGAAAATGATTGAAAGTAACGTATCCCAAACAAAGAAGCCAGCTGTATAATTAAAGACCTGTGTCTGGCTGTTAAGAAAAGAAAAAAAAAAAACAATGGAAAGAATAACCTTGCTATTCATCTTGTTCAAAAAACTGGAGCAGATTGAGTCATCTAGACCCAGTTTCAGATGAAATGTTAAATACCGATAGGGGCATATTCAAGATCTTTAGGATTTTTTGGGGGGAGGAAGGGGGAACATAAAAAAGCAATAATAAAGATAAATTTGAATGCAGGAAAAATACACATAATCCATGAATCAAACACCTGTTTTTGCATGTTTATCACCTTTGTCCCTATGTAGATCTATGTTTTCTTTCATAGTTGCAGTCATAGAATATATTCTATTCTCTAAGCTTTTATCCTTTAACGTTATAGGAGAACATTGTTCCATGTTACCACATAGCCAAGTGTTTCAAAACTTGTTTAATAAATTCTGTGTTGTTGTTTTCACAGGGAGAAACATACGCATGTATATTACTTGTTTTTTTTTTCTGTTGAAATATACTCTTGGAATAATTTTTTTCAGTGAGGTTTTTGGTTCCAAAAAGTATAAACATTTTGGTGATCTTTAGTAAGTTGTATTGCTTTCCAAAGAAGTGATAGAAATTATACTTGCCACCCCAACAGTGAAAGAGTAGTCATTTAATTTCAGTGTAACAGGGGATGCTACTGTTGCTATTATATTTTCTATTATAATGAAAAGATTTCAACCAAGCTGGATTGTCCTTCAGGAACCGCTGCTAAATCAACACCTTGATATCTTTGTTCTGGGAGAAAAATGAGCTAAGGAGGAAGACCGTCTAAAAAAAGCCATTAGACAATTTGTGCTCACTGGAGTGGTCTCTACTGGGCAAAAGGCTTTTAGAATGGCTTGTGGATCTTCTGGCAAGTGGCAAACCATACAAGTGCTACATCAGGCCTGGAAGACAGGTGCAGCCCTGTCGGGGTCAAAGAGGAACACCAGTGGCAGAAGAGCTAAGAGTGAATGAAAATTGAATTATCTCTACTTCTAGGACTTGTCTATTGAGAAACAGCAGCTACCCACTCCAGCTTGGGCAACAGAAAGCCTGTCTTGGAAAAATTGCAAATCAAAAACAGAACCCCAACAGCATCCAAGTCTGCTGATAAGCACACTCTGAAAATGCATGACCAAGATCAGCAGCAACTTCAATGCTGCTTTTCTCAAACAGTAGCACTCTAAAAGGATGCACACAGCTTACTGATAATGAACACAAAAATTACCAAGAGATTGGTGGAGTAAATCTCTTAAATTTCTTTTTTTTACTTCTTCTCCAAATTTTGATGTGACATAGCTAATTTGAATATATATCTATTTCTAGATTATACAGATAGCCTTAGGGCCCCACAAGGCATTTTGGGAAGTTGAAATAACAGCAGTTTCTACCTTACAGGAACCTCTAAAAATTATTATCATAATCATGACTTATTTTATTGAATCCATGAGGCCTATGAGGTTTTAAGAAACTCAGGTTGGGCCGGGTATGGTGGCTCACACCTGTAATCCCAGTCCTTTGGGAAGCTGAGGTGGGCGGAACACTTGAGGTCAGGAATTCAAGATCAGCCTGGCCAACATGGTGAAACTCTGTCTCTACAACAAATACAAAAATTAGCCAGGCGTGGTGGTGGGCCCCTGTAATCCTATCTACTCAGGAGGCTGAGGCAGGAGAATCACTTGAACCTGTGAGGTGGAGGTTGCAGTGAGCCGAGATTGCACCAGCGTGCATGATGGCCTGGGCAACAGACAGAGAGAAAAAAAAAAGAAACTCAAGTTGTACCCACTAGTTGCAGAGTGATTTTATTTGTATTTATTTATTTTGAGATGGAGTCTTGCTCTGTCACCCAGGCTGGAGTGGAGTGGCAGGATCTTGGCTCACTGCAACCTCTGCCTCCCAGGTTCAAGCGATTCTCCTGCCTCAGCCTCCTGAGTACCTGGGATTACAGGCACCCACCACCATGCCCAGCTAATTTTTTGTGTTTTTAGTAGAGACGGGGTTTCATCATGTTGGCCAGGCTGGTCTCAAATTCTTGACCTCAGGTGATCCACTCGCCTCAGCCTCCTAAAGTGCTGGGATTACAGGCGTGAGCCACCATGCCCAGCAGTGATTTTATATTTAAATGTGTGCTTTATAGGTTGCCTCATTTTCTGGTCATAGTGTCTCCATGAAGGAAGTAGTTTATTGCTGTTTTTCAATAGGAAAGCAGCAATACAGGAGGACAAATGACTTACCTTTTGTCATTCAGTCTGTAAGTGGGAATTGAGAGCAGGATCTCAGGTCCTCTGACCTTCAGCCCTGTGTTCTCTCTTTCACTTAGCTTTCCAGTTTCTTTATGCCAAGTAATGGAAGTGATTTGAAAGCTGCATTCTCAGCCTATTGGAAAGTGGTTCACCAGAGGTGTTTCTTCACCACTCTCATTCTTTAATGTCACCTGACACCAAAGACCTCATGATGGGAAATACTGAATGTGGATTTGGCCAGTCTGCTGACATCATCCTGTCATGCATCCCAAAATTACCCAAGCTCATCCCTCTGATCAGAAGTATTTGTGAGGTGGAAGGTGGGGCCTTAATGGATAACCCTACTACCCCCCATGCACTGAGGTATGGTTGGCCAATGATCCTCATTGACATTTGGGGATTGTGTGTAGGATTATGAGCATCCATTGTGAGTGCTGAGACCTGAGACAACGCACCAAGTCAGGCAGAAGTGCGGTTCATCAGCATCTTGACAACATAGTCTATTCTCACGTGTTCAAGGCCTGAGCCACCACTGCCATCAAGCTGACTCCAAGTGGCTGCGTTTTCAGCAAGAGGGGAATAGCAGTCACCTATCTGCTTCTTGACTGTGTTCTGCTGGGCTTCCTGATAAAAGATGTTTATTCAGAGAGAAAGAGACAGGAAAGTGAGGTGGTACACAACCTGCTATCCCCAGACTTTGCACAGGTTTCAGAGTTAAGATCTTCTTTGAAGGCTCTGAAACCTGGGACAGTCCTTACCATGACTGAAACCTGGAGAGGAGATGTGGACAGAGGATCATTTTTGTGTTGAGTCACTAGGTGACCCTCTTCTCTTCTTTATAACAATGTGTGTTGTGCCTGGGCCCTTGTTAGGCTGTCTTTGTGTTATCTCTGGCTGTGACTAGAACAACATGTGTTCTCCTCCCACTTTCAGCCTGGAAGATCCAACGTCTGAGCCCTGAGTGACAAATCAGCTTCGTAATGGGAAGCTGACACCATCCTATCTTCAAAGGCTATAACTGGGCAGTTGCAGAGAGCCCTGGTCTCAGAAGCATTGTGCACATGGTTTACAATGATCTGCTGTTGCATCTTGAAATGCTTAATTTTTGAACAAGAAGCCTTGTACTTTCATTTTTCACTGGGTCCTACAAACTATGTAGCTCATCCTGCCAACATCATTGGCATCCCTGAGTATGAGAGCTCAGAAGAAACTTAGAGGCTGTTGTCTGATTCAGCCCTTGCAGCTTACAAAAAGAAATGTGGGAGCAGGCACTGCATGACTAGTCTGAGGTTACTCAGGAAGTCAGAGGCAGAGCTGCAGTCAAGGTCACCTCTCTTTACTGCTAGCTGTGTGCTCTTTCTACTGCACCCTCAGCACAAAACATCTCCCAATCCAGGAACAAGGTCTACCTCATAGGTGGGCACAGCAGCGTGATCACTCTCTCAGTCATCTGTACTCCTCCTTTGCTTTGACCAAAGAGACAGGAAGGGACCTTTTGCCCCACATAAAACACTTCTCAAAGGCTTGGCAACAATAGATAATAGAGAGCATTTGCCTAAGACCAATGTTTTGACCATGATGTCAAAACAATATTTTGTTTCAGCAAAGAAAAGCTATGTCACAAGTGGATTGTTATTACTAATAATCAGAGTAGTGGTACTTGCGAATAACTTGGTTTCATACTCACACTTGGACAACTATGCACACTGAGTATAACTGACCTTATGAGAACATCATTGTCACTAAGATTATGATGTGTTTCTCGTGTGGGAACTGTACATAATATTGTGTGTACCCTTGGGAGGATGTCCTGCCTGTGATGTTGTCTCTCAGAGAAGAAGAGTGGTTGAGAACTGAGGATATATTCAACATTTACTCCCAGATTTTTCAAGATTTCTGTTAAGCCAGATCAGAAGAAAGCCATCTATTTGGATTGCATCACTCTAACTCCTTAAGTTGAATTGTCTACACAGAATTATAATTTCACAGTATGTCCAGATTACTTACCGAGAACCAATTTGAGACACCAACAGGACTAGTAAAACATCTTTGCACTGTGGGGCGCATTGCTATCAAAGACCTTGTACATTATGTCATTCAAGAACCTTTATATTAAGATTCTTATGAAAAATCCTTCCCAAAGTTTAACCCTATGATACTGGGGTTTTTTTCTCCAGGTAACATAGTGGAAAATTGGGAACTGTTTAACTCAATGCATTGATTTCATTGATTGTTTTGGTTGCCAAGAAGTACGGATGCTCAGAATAGGTTTTCTTGTTTTCAACTGCTAATTCCTTTATTTAAATTGTAATAAATGTTTCCCTTTGTTTCTTTGCTTTTTCTTTTTAAGAAATTGAATGTATTTAATAATAAATTATAAATTATCAATAGATCAATTAGCATAGAATAGTTTGGAATAATGCTTAAAGATCTCCCATTGAAAAAGACCCCAGTACCTTAGGGTTCACAGCTGAGTGTTAACTGAACTTTAACAAATTCTGATTTTATTTAAAACAATCAAAGCCTAGAAAAAAAACTCCTGCACATCATATGGGGCACATAATAACCATAAAAAGAAAAGAAAGAAACAGGGGTGGCTTTCTTCAATTAATTTTGTAGTGTAATATCAAAGCTTAATGCTTAATGTATTTCATCTAATGTAGGATGTCAATGTTTAGAAATCAGACATTATTTCATGTACCATTATAGACATACTGCCAAATAACTGTGACTTCCTTAACAAAAGCAAAAAAAGGAATTGTAAAGATATTAAAACATGTAAAGAAGAATATAAGCACTATACTCAATTAACATGTTAATATTTTATTGTATTGGTTTTCAGTAATTATTTTCAATAACATAAAGCATTATTAACTAATATTCCACCCCTACCACCCCAATCTCATTCTCCTTCTAGGTCCCCAGGGCCAATTGCTAAAATGAATTTGTTGTATATTTTAAAGTCAATTTTTTATACTTTTGCACATAAATATGTGCATTCATAAAAAGTATTTTTGTGCTGAGAAGGTAGAATAAGCCCTTCAAAGCTGTTGATGTTCAGATTCCAGTTAGCAAAAGTCTTACACATATGGCATTAAATATTTTCAGTATAAATATGCACATTCCACAAGTTCAGCAGTTCTGTAATATACATCCAGAGTCTGCCCTGAGGGTTGCTTACAATCTTAGCATAAACTCTCACTCACCCCTTTTAGAGAATAAAACTTACACCCATGTAAGGACCAGTCCAGGTACAAGGGTGTCCTCTAAGAACACTCATTCATATATTCAACACATCTTTATTGAGCACCTTTTCATGTTAGGGAGGTGACCTGTGTTCTCCCTACACAACAGGAGAAAGTGTGGTGGCACTGGCAGGAAAGTGCAGTGGAAAGGAGGAGCTGACTTTGGCAGGAAAAAGAACGATATTACTTTGAATTTATCAACTCTGATGTGGCATCCTGATAAAAAGTGCCATATCCAAACCACATTGTAGATTCTCAAAAGACAGCATGAAAGTTGAATAAAAACTATGTGCCCCAAATAGAAAATGGTATAGAAAGGCCTGAGGCTGGGGTATGGAGGCACATGGTGTGCAGAGAACAAGGGAAGAGAAGAGTGAACAACTGCTCGGGGTGGGGTTGCATTGATGGTGAGAGATGGGTGTAACATGCATTTATGAGGACAGACATGATCAGGTTTAAAGAAAAAGAATTTTTTTTTCCAGCACTCCCACTATGGGGCATTTATCTACAGGAAAGGAAATCAGCATATTTAGGAGATACCAGCACCCTCATGTTTATAGCAGCACTATTCACGGTAGCCAAGATTAGAATCAACCTAAATGTCCAAAAACAGATAAATAGATTTAAAATGTAGTATATATTTACAATGGAGTACTATTTAGCCATAAAAATAATGAAATCCTGTTCTTGGCTGAAACATGGGTAAGCCTGGAAGACTATGTTAAGTGAAATAAGCTAGGTACAGAATTGTAAATCTTGCACGTTCTCACTCATATGTGGGAGCTAAAAAAAAACAAACTGAGCTCATGGAAGTGGAGAGTAGAACTGTGGTTATTACAGGCTGGGGCAAGCAACAGGGAGGAGACGACAGGGAGAGGTTGGTTAACAAATACGAACTTACAGCTAGATAGGAGGAATGAGTTCTAGTGTCTACAGCACTGTAGGGTAAATATGGTTAGCAGTAATTTATTGGATATTTTAAAAAAGCTAAGAAAGAGTATTTTGAATGTTTACAACTCAAAGAAATGATAAGTGTTTGATGTGATGGATATGTTAGTTACCCTGATTTGATCATTACATATATAGAAATACATATATTGTATACATATATTGAAATGTCACTCTGTATCCCATAAATATGTACAATTACATTTCAACTAAAAATGAAAAAAGCAGTAAGACTGAAATGATAGGCTTAGTATCAACTTATAGATGAGTCTTGATTTAGGGAAAAGAGATAGGTAGAGGAGAGAGATTTATGTCTGAGTGTGAAGAGAAATTTTTATTGGTTTTTGGTGAATACTGCCCAGTGAATTTCCTAGTTTAGAAGAATCACAAGGAGCTGCCAATGTAGTGTGGGCAAGTAGCTGGAGTGACATCAGAGGTCAGCTCTGTGACTCCAGCACCAGATTATTCTTTTATCAGTACCTGAAGCTCACAGTCAGATGCCCATGGCAGTAGCATCAACATATTGACGCCACCACCATGGCTCCATCACCCTTCAAAACCATGATAGAAAGACCAAGACATGGATGTCCAGCTAATGGTTCTCAGATACGAAGGGCAAGAGACCTGGAGTGATATCCAAAACAAGCAAGAATAAGACCACATTGCAAGTTGTTTTCATCCATTGGAAAGCCTAAGAAGGGAACCAAGGTGGCTCTCCAAAAGCTTTGTAACTTCAAACACTTCCCAGGATCCCCACTGCCATCTTAATGTTATTATTCAAGTTCTTTTTCCTGAACTAGCTGAGTTTATAAGCCATTTTTGAAGGTAACTGTAGCTATAGAAAACCACAGTTATAAGAAAATGCAATCTGTTGATCTCTTCATGGTAGAGTCTTTATATCATTTACACTTCACTTCTCTGTGGGTGGAAAAGCTTTTTTCATGGTTTATTTAGTGGGAAGTCATTTTGATCAGCAAGATGAGTAATACTTTACAGCTGTTTGCAATTACTGCCTCTGCTCTGCCAGGAGTTTTAACTATTACACAAACTGAAATACCAAATAAGTTGATGCAAGTTGGGAAGAGAAATACATATTTCATAGGCCCATTCATTTCACCAGAAATTATCCATCACTTTTTCTTTCAATTCTATCTTTCTAAATTCAAAGTTACATCTCAAGGTAATTTTGAATTACCTAATTCCAAAGGATTTTTATCAATGAAGGGAAGTGCACCTGCTAACACCAAATTTCCTATTGTTGCCATTGGAAGGGCACCATTGCCTAAATTCCACACAGGTCTGAAGCCAGTTTGGCGAGGAGAAAGAACACAGGCCTTGATCGGCATATTTGTCTCTTTAAAACACCCATTCTTCATGATTTTAAGGAAAAGATCATGCTCATTATTTTCTTCCCTCCCAATCTTTCTAACATGGGCCCACATAAAACGTGTCCCCCTCTGCCAACATCCCTTCACACACACACACACACACACACACACACACACACACACACACACACACACTCTCTCTCTCTCTCTCTCTCTATCTCTCTCTCTCTTTCTCTCTCTCTCTCTCCCTCTCTCCCCCTCTCTCCATCTCTGTCTCTCAGATGAGGAACAAGCTCAGGGGGAGGTCTTGGGATTAGTTCTGATTGGTTCTGATTGGGTCACATGCCCATCACTGAACCAGTGGAATGCTGCATGCTAATTGGCTAGTTCTGGGTCAAATGCCCACCTCTGAGGACAGAGGAAGAATCAACTTGTTTAATTGATCCACATGGATGGGCTGAGCTCGGCAGAACTTCCAGCAAAACTTGAGTGCTGTTTTTAGAAAAAATAAATGGAATATATTTGAAATGAAGAAAAACATTATATCTCCACTCAGGCATTTCTCTTTCCTGGGCAATTGACTGGAGGGTGCATGGGGTAAACTCATCCAGGCTGCAATGATTTATTGAAAAATGCCATTCTTATTCAAATGGACAATTCATAAAACTTGACTAGATCCAAAAGCCTGGCCGGGCACGGTGGCTCACGCCTGTAATCCCAGCTCTCAGGGAGGCAAGAGGCGGGAGGACAGCTTGAGCCCAGGAGTTCGAGACCTGCCTGGGCAATATAGCGAGACCTCGTTCTCCAGAAAAAGGAAAAAAAAAAAAAAAAAAAGGACAAAAAAAAAAGCGTAACTCCCCTTAAAGCAACAACTCCCCTGCCCCCACTTTTAAACACTCCAATGAAAGGGTAATGCAATGTATTAATACATATTAATAATTAACACCCTGGCCGGGTGCGGTGGCTCATGCCAGTAATCCCAGCACTTTGGGAGGCCAAGGCGGGAGGATCACAAGGTCAGGAGATCGAGACCATCCTGGCTAACATGGTGAAACCCCGTCTCTACTAAAAATACAAAAAATTAGCCGGGCATGGTGGCAGGCGCCTGTAGTCCTAGCTACTCGGGAGGCTGAGGCAGGAGAATGGCGTGAACCTGGGAGTCGGAGCTTGTAGTGAGCCGAGATCGCGCCACTGCACTCCAGCCTGGGCGACAGAGCCAGACTCTGTCTCAAAAAAAAAAATAATAATAATAATAATTAACACCTACTCTTAGGGATACCCTGCTCTTCACTTAGCAGAAGATGTTAGATAATAGGCGAGCAATTGATCAAAAGGTCAGAGGATCACAGGCATTTCTGTGATGTAGCAAGCACTGAGAATAGCTGTGAATATCCCAGGAATTTTCTGTAGGTATCAATAAAGCAAGATTTTGGTTCCTGAACACTGACCGGAGTTCTAGTTTGGCAAACTTTCTATTTTTTATTCATATTTAGCTTCCAGTATTTTGAAACAGAGGTTAATTGAAAGAGAAGACCCAAAGGATAAGGAAGGGAAACATTTTTTTTTCCACATACTTTGTGATATGCATGTAATACAGATGTAGGGGTGAAAAGAATGCTGATAAATGTAACATTTTATTAACTAATGAAGCCTAAGGAAGAACATGTAAAGAGATCAGGATCTGATTTCAGATTTTACTTGCTCCTACATAGATATCTCAGGGATATTCAAATAAATTAAGACTCAAACACAGCCCACAAGAACATCGGCAGATGACATGCCAGGCACTGTGCCCAGAGCCTTCTCAAGCAGGAGCTTCTTGAATCCTCCCAAGGATTCTGGAAGAAGGGTGATATTCTCCCCTTCCACAGATGAGGAAACTGAAGTCAGAAAGATCAAGATCACAAAAATACTCAATGTTGGATCTGGTAAATGAATGAAAGTCTTCTAACACCAACTCTACCCTCTCTTTTCAGGACAAAATGTACCTTCAGTTTAGCTGGTTCATCCAACTACCATAGATAGAATTTTGTTTTGTTTTTCAGTTTCTAAAAGACACAACCATGGCTTTACTTAATTGGAATAAAAATTCTGAGAACTAAACCTTCCCTTTCCCAGGAAGGCAGTCTGCAAAGGCACAGAGACTGCAGAATCCGGAAGATGACAACTTCTGAGAATCAGGGTTAATGACCAGGGCTCGTCATTCAGAATTGTGTTTTGACTTCTCTGCAGTGCTCCAGGAGAACAAATTAGAGGTTGAGCTAGGAGGGACTAATAAACCAGTGGGCTTTGAGTCACAAGGACCTAGATTTGAAGATTGGCATAAATAATTATAACTGGAATAACTTTGGATAATTTACCCAACCTCATTGACCCTCATTTGTGAAATAAAAATAATAAAAATAATACCTACCACATTGGATTATTGTGAGAATTAACCATGGTAATACATATAAAGCATTTAGCCCAAGCCTGGCCCATGGTAAGTACATCATAAGTGATAGAGATTTTATTAGTATTACTAATAGTGTTAAGATTAGTAGTGTTTCTTAAGATTGATTAGAAGTAAACCTCTTTTGTGGGAGGAGGGAAATGTATTAATTTGTTTTATAGAAACATGATATGCTAAGTTAGTGAATTTAGGTGAGGCAGTGGGTGCGACAGACAAAGCAATGAGTGGGAGACACGAGTGTGTTTGCCATTTTGGGACCTCAAGAGTGAGGTGAGCCAAGGGCAAAGCTGAGCCAAGGGCAAAGCTGATCCAAAAGGAAGCTGTGCCAGATACATGGAGTGGTGGAGGTAGTGAAACTCCTTATGTCAGTGAAATTACAGCAAAGAATGCCTTTTGTAAATGCAGCAAACAAAAACTAAGGGTGGAAAAACACATGGTTTTTAATGTACAATTTAGAGGATGGTTAGGTCCAATTTAGGGGAGGATGAAAAGAAGAATTTAGTTCATGCAGCAGGTAAAGAATAGAATTATGGAATAATAGCCTTGAATTATTTAGATCAATTTACTGAGCCCATAATCTCAGGAATTTCTGACATTGTAGTAAAAGTAAATGAGGTGTCTGTAGATCCATATGGCTTAACCTGTGTGGCCACTGCTTGTGATCACCTCTGTATGAAAGAACCGTGATTTGAGGTGGCTGTAATGCATTAACCACGCCAATTGCTTCCCGCTCCTTGTTGTCACCAAAGTGGGCCACACTCACCTAGAAATTAGGGCAGGCAGAAGGGGGAGCCCCTAACCATTTGCATTAGTTTCTGGGCTCCCTTGTCAGTTTTGACCCCTGCAATAGTAATCTTTTGGCAAAGGAACACTCAACCCTGCCATTGCCGGGGGTAAGGATCCCAAGGGTTTGGGGAGAAGTTTTGCTGTCTTATCTGAGAATGGAGTCATGTTGCTTTTGGATCACAGTGTCTCAGGGAGATAGGGAGCTCCAAGTCCTGAGAAGGAGGAATGGTACCTGGTACCTTGAATATGAGGCACACGCTAAAAGGTAAGGAAGAGAAAGAAAGAGAGAGAGAGAGAGAGAGAGAGAAGAAAGAAGAAATAAAGAAAGGTGTTTGGCTTTAGACCTGATTATTTCAGCTGTAGAAACACTAATTTCGCTGACTGGTGACGGTGGGGGTGGGGGAATGTAGCTGTTTCCTGATAATGTCTTCTGTGCTGAAAGTGCCCTGGATAGCAAGGAGGGGCACTGGGCAAGGACAAACCACCAGGAAGAGGGCAGCCCTCCAGTGCAAGAGGGTGAAGCAGCCTGTTCTTGCGTAGTGTGGACAGAACTGAAGGCATCTTTGTCATGGACTCGAGTGCCCCCTGTGGATGCTGAGGGACCCTGGAGCCCCGTGGGATTTTACTTAACGGGGCTTCCTGCCCTGCTGCAAACACATCGTTCCATAGTTCTTTCTTGTGACTGCAGGAGACTCTGCTCCAGCATCAAAAAGAGAAGCAAAACATCATGGATCCAGGCCAGGGTTTCCCACTAATTAGCCATGCCCCCTCCACAAATTACTTGGTTTTCTAGGCCTCAGTTTCCTCATCTAGTAAATGAAAGTTAAATAAGATTATTTCATATATCAACTAAATCCCAAACATGATTTTTCAATATCTTTTGTCTACTGTCTTCCCCTATCAATTCTTTCCATAAAAAGCCCCTGCTGAGAGGTCTGAGACCTTGAATCCCAAATGCCTAGTGTGGTGACTGGTGCACAGTAGGTGCTCAAGAAATACTTATTGAATGAATGTTTCTTGGAAAGTCTCTGTTGAATGGATGCTGCTTCTATTATCTCTTCCCAGAGAAAAGAGGCAAAAATCTATGGCAACAGAAGAGGGGAAAATCATTCTAATAGTTGATGGCACATAATACATTAAAGCAATGCTCACTCACCATACATTAAGTCTTTTTCATATGGCTTTTAAACAGCTTTTCTCATTAGCCACATGAAATACAGTAATCCTTTAGCTCTCCTTGTCAGATTATCAGCTATTTCAAGTAAGTGTTAACATTTCTGTCACTGGCAAAAATGAATTATGTTTTCCTTCCTAAGCTTGCATCAACATGCCCAACAAGTGGGCTGCATGCTACTCTCTAATGGGATGGCGTGAGATGCCACTGCTTGGTGATTATGAAGCAGCTCGACATCTGGAGGTGGGGGCATGTCAGCCTGAGCAGGGCCAGGCAACCTTTGCAGGATGAGTGAATGAACGAATTGGGATATCATCCTGGGTGAATAACAGAACTCCTATAACTGCTCTGGCTTTGGTATATAAATAGCCTGCACAGAAAATTCTGGATGTTGTTATTCCTTGTGAATTTCTGTGTCAGCGTTAATGACAATACAGAGGATACCAGCTACTTTATGCTCAAACACCCATTTTTTAGAAATCTGGAAAATCTGTCCACCAGGAAAATTCAGTTGGGTGATTCAGAGTTCTTATTTTGTGAACCAGTTGATCATGGTGTATCAGAGAAAGATCCTATTTAAGAGACAAACTGCAATAGAAATTCAAATTTCTTAACAGGTGAATGTGATCAGGCCCTGGTTGCTTTTCCACCTCCTCTTGGCTGTGCAGTGTGTCACGCTGCTGCTGCACCACATCACGTCTTTTCACTGCCCTTCCCATGATGGGAACAACTACCCATTTTGTCTACCTGGAGAAATCTCACCCATCCCCTAGAATGATGCTTTTCTATATTCCCCAGCATTTTGTAACTACCTCTATAGGCACTTCTAAATCTCATTCTATTTATATGTATATAATCTTGTCTATTCCATTGAATGGTGAATTTCTTGAGATCAGAAACTATATTTTATTTTGAATTTCAAATGGGCTCTTGTATATATCAGAAGCCAAATAAATGATTGTTGAGATTAATAACTGCTACTTAGAGTATTTCAGTTATTCACACTGCAACACTGGAAAGTAAATATTATTGCTTTCATTTTAAAGATAGAATACAGGATCACAGATTTTTAGATAACTTGCCCAAAGTAATAAACTAGCGATAGAATATCTTAGATTGAAAATCAACTGTGCAATCCCCATTTTAAATTAAATATTTAATTTAACACATTTAACATGTGTGCAGAATCACTAAAACTTCACAAATTGTATTTGTTAGTTCATGGATACATATGTATTTTGTTCTAACCAGAGGAGTGGAGACCTAGCACTGAATTATCTCCAATGTTTTGTCTTTTCACTTCTTGATATCAGCACATCCTATCAGTGCTTTCTGTCTTTGGCTTACAGATGATTAAGGAAGGGCTGAAAGGAAAATGGGTTGTCTCATCTTTTTCTGTCCTTCCATATCATTATTTCTGTGTAAGTGGCTGGCTAATACAGGGAAGTAAGAAAGGATCGGGAAAATTCCTGTGGTGAGAGAATTCACTTTTGAGGAAATGAAGACCTTAAGGGGGAAAATAGAATGAAGACAAAGGTCAGAAATATGTGTCTAAAAGCTCCTACAAATACCTTTCCATTAAGGAAATTTAACTGCAAAAATAAACACCAAATATAGGCAATCGATGACTTTTCTCACACTAAATTAGTAGTAATGCATGTACATTTATTTCCCTTGCCGTGTTTAGCTTAATTGAAACTTTTCAGGATCTCTCCTGAAAACTGGTGGCTGCCAATTTGTTTTACTCCAATATGCATGCTAATAAGCATGTGTAAAGGTAGAGATCAATATTCATTAAAGGTAACGTGCATGCTAACAAGAATTTTTATGTGTCTTTCTCATCCTCCAACCAAATGTTTCATGCTTTTCTGATTTTATGGCTGGAGCTCCTCTTCTTTGATGCCCCTCCAGTCTCTTCAGTGGAGTCAGAAGCAGAGACTTGGCTGCCTGAGATGGAAAAGGCATTGGAGACCCTCAGTTGTTCTCTGCTGAGGAAGTATTTAGTGCTCTTCTCTCCCAGAACGCTATTGGGATTAGATTGCTTAGGTCTGGGAGTGTTAACTTCTTGCTTAGGCTCCTGTTGCCTGGCCCTCCTTAACACTTTGTGGTTCCCTCCTCAGAGAAAGGCACAGTTCTAAGGCTGGAACGATTTCCCTTTGTCACGCATGTCCATGTGAAGAGACCACCAAACAGGCTTTGTGTGAGCAACAAGGCTGTTTATTTCACCTGGGTGCAGGCAGGCTGAGTCCAAAAAAGGAGTCAGCAAAGGGTGGTGGGATCATCATTAGTTCTTATAGGTTTTGGGATCAGTTAAGGTGGGGCAGAAACAAATCACAATGGTGGAATGTCATCAGTTAAGGCTATTTTCACTTCTTTTGTGGCTCTTCAGTTGCTTCAGGCCATCTGGATGTATAGTGCAAGTCACAGGGGATATGATGGCTTAGCTTGGGCTCAGAGGCCTGACAGTATGTAATCTGCATTTCCCAAAAGACTGTCACCAATGAGTTGAAATAATTGATTGACTGTCACCTACATTCTACTTGTTATTGCCCTCTCTCACCACCAATAAAAGACCTACCAGCATTTCTATTCAAACAAGCCATTGTTCATGCAAAATGGACTTAAGGCTGTCCACTCCAGCTGCGCTCACCCCACTGGCCCAACAAAGCCTGTGCCACAGCTGGGATCCCTTCTCTGCAAACATGAGGAAACTTGGGTTTTGTGAATTGGTAAGTTGCTCAAGGGTGCACACTTCGAAGAGACAGACCTGGATCATCAATTTATACTTCTGCCTCTAAGGGCACTACCTTCCTTCTGGGTTCGAGCTGATCAACTTCTCATCTCAATACAAAATCAACACAACACTTTATGCCACTTGTTTATATTACTTCATATTACTTCTTACTTTCACGGTCACACAGATTCGTTTCCTTTGGCAAACAAACTAAAATTGTGGCAATTAAGTGAGAAGGTTAGGGAAGAAGGTTAGGACAGGAGGGGTGTGGTCTGAAAGGCCTCACAAGACCAAAGGGCAGTGACTCCTAAGGACAGGGAGCTCAGGGATTCATTGTACAGGCCCGAGGTGGGAGCGGTGCGAAGAGCAGGCCTCATGGTTTGTCAGGGCGGAGCATAGTTTAGTCAACATTATGTACTCAAGGCTAGTAAATACACCACAGACTTCATTAGCTAAGCAGCAATCCATACAGATATTAACCAATTGCCCACTCTGTGCCAAGCACATATGCCATCGTTTGGTGATTTTCACTTATTCATACAATCTTCTCAACAAGTCTGTAAGGTCTTTTGGGACAGAGAAAGTCTCCTGCATCTTGTGCTCTCTTACCACTTTTTGCTTAATAGATTTTGTTGTTTCAAATTCTAAAAAGGAAGGAAATTAAACAATTCTTAACCAAATGATCATTCTCAAACAGGGTCAGTGCCCTCTCTTGGGATGCAAATCCTATGTATCTTATTCCAATGAATAACTCTATAGTTAGTCATTGATATGGCAAGTTCAGGCTTTTGCTCTTCCTCTTTGAACATCAATGGGTGCGTTTTATTTCTCTCTCTCTTTTTATTATTATTATTATTTTTGCAGAATTAAGGAAGCCAAACCCTCAGCCTCATGTAGAAAGAGCTCATTTATTGCAACTAAAATATCTCTTCTTGGAAGGCCATGACCTCAGAAAGGTGAGCACTTTAGTTTTTCTAAAGTAGTGAATATTTCATCTCTCTTACTTTGGACAAGTATTGAACCACATATTATTCCTGCTTGATCCCCTGGTCTGTTCACTCCTGGTTCCTTGTCCCTCTCTCATTTTCAAGTGAGAGCTTCAAATTGCACAGGAATTCCAACTGCACCATTCCTTTTACTCTTGACATTTCTATGAGCTTCAAGTACCCAATGAGAATTCTGTTTCTGGTGTTTACCAAGTGAATTGGCATGGACAGAAGGTTGCATGCCCCACACCATTTGCAGGAACTGTTTCTTATGATCAGTAATTTTAAAGCAATGCACCTCCTCGGGCTCTTAACTATGTCATCCCAGGAGCTGCTTCTCCTTTTTTCCCATCTCCTTCATCATACAGGTGTCAGACATGCCTCAGGCCTACTGGGCATCTGCTGTTTATCAGTGGGCCCCTCTCTGCCCCCAGCCCCCTGGGAAATCCCTCTGAGGAGTGAATTATTGGAAACACAAGGCAAGGCCACAGACTTACTGGGGGAGACAAATATATAAAAAGACAATTATGGCAGGTGTGAATAATGCAATAATAATGTTGTTTACCAATAGGAGTTCAGAGGAGGGTCCCTTAGCACAGCCTATAATGGAGTGTGGAAAGGAGAAACCAAAAATTCTCTAGAAAGAAATGGCATCAAAATTGAGGCTTAAAGATCCATCTTTAAGCTATCTTTGTTGCTATCTTTTTCAAAAGGAAGAGATTGGTAGAAAAGAGAAAAAACTTTATTTCTGTTGTCCTTCCACTAGTATTTATTATTAGCCCACCCTGGAAAATCTGTGTCTACTGCTTCTTCAGAATTCATTACACCTGGTGAGTCCCATGGGCCAAGGCCCCCGTATAATTTCTATGCCTTTGCTTAATTAAGACACTGTGATAGACTGGGCAGACATTTCCTGGCAATTTATGATCAGCTGGAGGAGCTTAAGTCTTAAAGCAAAGCTGTGAAAATATGCAGTTATGTTTATATAAAAAGTAGTGAAATTATAACTTTTCATGTCTTAGCTAAAAGTTGAAAAGGCACATTGCTGTGGTTGACAAGCTGCATTTATACTTTTTGTTCTTTTCCTATTCATTAAAAGCCATTCACAAATAAACAGGAAGAGAGAGACACACACTCTGAGTTTGACACTTGCTCTTTTTTATTAGGTATTTGGAATCCAGGTGAATGTGAAGAACTTCCCTAAGACTCATTGCTGGCTAACACTGGGATTAGTTACTCAAAGAGCTTTGTAGTGTGACCATCATTAGGACTTTTACAGATGTCTTTATTTAATCACATAGGTTTAGCAGAGTTCAGCCAATAGACTGTGGAATGGACAGAATGAGCCCAATGCTTGTCTGACAAAATATGTTGAATTTGTCAGTTCTAAGTGTAACACTTGGATCCTTCACAGCTATCACCATGTAGTACAGTGTTGTTCACCTATCCAAGTTCATAGAAGATTCCAGGCTCTGCACCAAGTATTTTCCATCTATAACAGGGATAAAGTTTTAGATATATTTTCTAAGTTTTCTTACGGTTGGGCTGATTTCTGTCCTTGCACCCTGCTAGGGTCTGACTGTTTCTGCCTTCTCAGAATTTGTATGTTGAAATTTTAACTCCTATGGTGATGGTATCAGAGGGTGAAGACTTAGGGAGGTGATTAGGTCATGGGGGCAGATCCACATGAATGGGATTAGTGCCCTTATGAGGTACTCAAGGAAAAGCCCTCGCCTCTTCCACCAATGTGAGGACACAGTGAGAAAGCACCGTCTATGAACCAGAAAACAGGCCTCAGCAGACATGGAATTTGCTGGTGCCTTCATCTTAGACTTCCCAGACTTGAGAAAGGTGAGAAATACATTTCTGTTTTTTATAAGCTACCCAGTCTATGGTAGTTTGTTGTAGTAGCCAGAATAAACCAAGATACAGCCAATTTCATCATTTGGACTGAACTTTGAGACTGCAATCTTAGAGGAATGAGTAGCAAATGATATAGGACAGTTGCATTCAGACAGGAAGGGAAAGTAACAGGAAAGCTTACCCCTTACCATCCTGTCAGATAATGGAGGCAGAAAAAAAAAAAGTAGAACAAAAAGGTCCTATTCCCACATAAGAATCATACATCAAATGCAAAAGTCTTTTAGGAACATAGAAGTATGGGGCAATACACTAATATCAGAGGAGTAGATTATTTTCCAAGGCAGAGTCTGCAGGCCCCTAGAACAATTTGTGCCTTCAGCTGGATGCCAGATCCATCATGGCTCCAGAGCAATTCTGTGGGAAGACTGCAGAATGGGTTCAGGTGGTGAGTCCACTATGGAGCCCTGGCTCTCCATTGTCTGCACTTGTTATGACAGGGATTTAAGATTTCCCAAATGCTCCAGAAGGGATGTGGAAGTGTTGAGAAAGGAGTGGGCAACTGTCAGAAGCTTGGGGTCAGAGTGGATAGGATAAAGTGGGGGTGGACCTGAATACACACAAATGCCTGAAACCTTGGACTCCAGGAAGCCAAAGCTTCACTCCAAAAGGATAGGCAGAGCTAGACAGAGCTCAGCAATCCTCAGACAAGGAGAGGTGGACCAGCCTGTCCACAGCTGGGCATAGAGGGCATCTAAGGATTCCACATGATCTGAATTTTTTTTCTCCCCACTATCACAAGGACACAGTAAACCCCTCATACAACTTGGTGTCATTCCAGGGAAGTTCAGGAGTAGGAGACAGAATCTGAAAGTCTGAAAAGCATCTAAAACAGATTGTGTTAACTAAATGACATGTCAATTACTAGATCAAACCAAGATCGCACGACTGCCTCCACTATCAATGGGAGTGCAAGTCTACAAAGACTAGTCTGCATATAGAACACTAAAAGGCCCCTGTTTTTCCCACATTTTGACTCCAACATCAGTACATTTGCAGCCCCACTGCATGTGTGTCATCTCATTGAATTCCCAGAACAAACCTGCAAGCTAAATATTGCTATTATTCCGATGAAAAAAACAGATCTACAAAGGTCATATACATACATTACTCCCAGTTTTACAGCTAGACATGTAATGTGGAATCAGTTCCACATATGAATATAGATCAGTCTGAATCTAAAAGTCATGGTGTTCCCATGATGACTCATGAGTTTGCTTCTTGAATGTGGAAACATACGATGCTTTGCATATGAGGGAAGATAAATGTAATTGATGTTGGGTATGCAATGTACCTTTTTTCTTCAGGGACTCTTATTGGGACTTGTAAGGACACATAAATGAAAAACAGTTACCTTCTAGTAGGTCTAAATGTCAGTGTAGCATAACAAGGGGATGGGCGCAGAGCCCCTGGAAGCAGCAGGGTTTATGTTAGAGTTGAATGTTCCATCTTTGGAGCTGTTTGTTGGATAAATGAAGAAACACAAAAGTAGTAATTGTTCAGGAGGTAGCAAGTGGCATGTGGTGTTGGTTTAATTAGAAGAGGTGAAAGCAGAGCTGAACTATTCAATGAAACAGACATTTATTTAGCTCTTACCTTCAATGAAACAGACATTTATTTAGCTCTTAATATATATATTACACAATGAGAGAATACAGTGATGCCTAAACCATGGCAGGGTACAATAGGATATAATATTATACGAGATGGTGCACTGAAAGTGGTTTTTTTTCTTGTTTTAAAAGCAGCTTCTTTCTTGCTCTAATCTTTGTAAAACTAAAAGCAAAATCTGCACCTGTGTGGAGGAGATATGGTGCAGAGCTCTCAGTAAGGACTGAGCCAGTTAATAAATTTGCAGCCCCTTTTCACCTTGTCACCATCTTGCTGTCTATATGGCAGCATCTGTGGCCTCTATCACACATTTTGCTTCTCTTACTTTCTTTATACTCTTATCCAGTTCAGCTTTGTTTGTCATCTCTTATGCAACCTACACAAGTGGAATTCTCCTTGGACTCTTTTGTCTCAAACATAAATTGAAAAACCACAACTTTGGCAATGGCCTGCTGGGTGCATTTCAGTATACTATATCTCAACCAACTGAGTCAAAAGGGGCAACTTGTTTTTACTGACAACCTAAAGACAAAGGCTCTTCAGGGCTATGAGGAAAGCTTACTTTGAAAGTGCAGTAAAGGGGATTTTAAAGAAGAAAACAAATGGCAATGGAATTTTACTGTTTCCAGGAAACAAAAAATTAGAATTTGTAGACTCTAAACTCAGACTGCTGGAAAAATAATTGGGCCTTTATTTGTTCCCTTTAGAAAAGAGAAAAAAAAATCTCTTAATTCTCCTGGGAGAATTAATTGCAGATGGAGAGTAGATTCTTAGGAATTTCTCACAAGGGAATCAATGGCACATCCTGCCTGCCCTGTCCCCAAGCTAGATCAGCTGCTTCCTGGCCAGGAGACCACAATTATCACGTGACTTCAGTGGCACTGGCAGCTCCCCTACATACCAGACCCAACCAATAGCTCATGTTGAGAATGGTGCCTGAGAGGCCCCAGTGAACTGGCAGGGGGCATGGGGCTTTCTTGCTGGAGAGAAACCTGTCCAATGACTTTGCAGTGTGCTCAAGGTTTACATGGGGTTTTCTGGAGAGATAGTGGTAGGGGTGAAAGGCATTTATCTGAGCTTTGCCATTGCCTTTTTCTAGGGCCTTATCCTAGCTCTCTTGCTCTTCATTCTTACCATGACAGAAAATACAGAGCAATCACAGGGACTCTTTTCTTGTATAAGCAGAGATATCATGCACAGATCTGGTGACTCTGAAAATGCAGTGGGAGGGGCTCAAGAGCTCTCATGCATTCAAGGTGGAAAAAGCCCCTCACTACTCACTGTACATCCATCCTCAAACTGACACACGTTGGCTCTTCTCTCATCCTCTAGAGCTAAAACATAAGCTGAAGGTGGCCCTACACTCCTTCTTCTTTATAGGAACACATTGCCCATGAACTGAGTCAGATAGCCCCATAGGAAAACATAGGTGAGAAAAGTTTGGGGAAAGAACTTGAAGTAGCATGAACTAGAGAACACTCTGGAAGAGTTAAGAAAAGGTGCACTTTTTTTCCCCTAGGAGGTCCAAGGACTGTGAGGAAGATTCAATAGAACTATTCAATAGCTAGTTATTCACAAGATTTATTTCTTTCCACACTGTAGGCAGTGTTTCCCAGTCTCCCTTGCAGTTAGGTGGCATGCAACTGCATTCAGCCTGTGGGAAGTGGGCAGAAGTGATTACTGACCTCAGCCACTTACCCTCCTGTGTACAATTCTTTCTCTTCACTTGCTACTGAATATTGACACTCAGGGAGATCCCAGAAGCTCCATGCTGAAAATGGTGGATCCTCTTTCAGCCTCAATCTCTGAAAGACTATGTAGACCCTTCTCTCCTCTTCTCCTTATAAGTAGAAGAAAGACCAGAGCATGCTCTCTCTCCCCCTGCCCAGCATTGAGAGCACAGAGGAAAGAAGATGTGAGGGCATAGTGAGAAGGAGGCCATCTATGAGCTAGATGTTGTGGGAAGTCAGGGACCCCGAATGGAGGGACCAGCTGCAGCCAAGGCAGAAGAACATAAATTGTGAAGATTTCATGGACATTTATCAGTTCCCCAAATTAATACTTTTATAATTTCTTACACCTGTCTTTACTGCAATCTCTGAACATAAATTGTGAAGATTTCATGGACTTTTATCACTTCCCCAATCAATACTCTTATAGTTTCTTATGCCTGTCTTTAATCTCTTAATCCTTTTATCTTTGTAAGCTGAGAATGTACATCACCTCAGGACCACTATTATATAAACTGATTGTAAAATTGCGTGTTTGAACAATACCAAATCAGTGGATTTCATCACCCGATTTGTGCATGATATCTCTGCTTATACTGAAAAAGAACAGAGTAACAGATTTTCAGGGAACAAGGGAAGACAACCATAAGATCTGACTGCCTGCAGGGTCGGGCAGAATACAGCCATATTTTTCTTCTTGCAGAGATCCTATAGACAGATGTGTGAGTAGGAGAAATATCGCTGAATTCTTTTTCGAAAGGAATATTAATAATTGATAACCCTGGGGAAGGAATGCATTCCTGGGGGTAGGTCTGTAGACGGCTGCTCTGGGAGTGTCTGTCTTATGTGGTTGAAGTAAGGACTGAAATACACCCTGGTCTCCTGCAGTACCCTTGGGCTTACTAGGATTCAAAAATTCCAGCCTGGTAAATTCTAGTCAGACCGATTGTCTGCTCTCGAACCCTGTTTCCTGCTAAGATGTTTATCAAGACAATGCATGCACAGTGGGACATAGACCTTCATCAGTAATTCTAATTTTGCCTTCACCTTGTGATATGTATTGCCCTTTGAAGCATGTGATCCCTGTGACCTACTCTCTGTTTGTACACCCCCTCCCCTTTTAAAATCTCTAATAAAAACTTGCTGGTTTTGTGGCTCATGGTTGCCATCACAGTCCTACCAATATGTGATGACACCCCCAGGGGCCCAGCTGTAAAATTTCTCTCTTTGTATTCTTTCTCTTTATTTCTCAGACCAGCCGACACTTAGGGAAAATAGAAAGAACCTATGTTGAAATATTGGGTGCTGGTTCCCCCGATAGCGAGGAAAAGAGCCCTCACTAGACATCAACCCTGACAGCATCTTAATCTTGAATTTCTAGCCTCCAGAACTGTGATTTAAAAATGCTTTGTTTTTTAAGCCAAACAGTCTATGGTATTTTGTTATGGCAGCCTAAGCAGACTAATACAACCATAGATCCCACTCTCACCCTAATCCTTGTTGCAGATTGAATTTTACATTATGAAAAATAAACATCTCTTTTTGTTAAGCCACTGAGATGTCAGGCTTTATCTCTTACAACAGCTGGTGTTTAATTTCTGATACAAAGACCACATAGAGCTAATCAAGTGTCTGATATCCCTTTTCTCAAAATGTACAGGCTGGATTTTTATAGGCAAACTCTACCTTAAGTGCAAAACATTCCTTAGGGTCAATACCCAAGCTTATTACCAAAAAAAAAAAAAAAAAAAAAAAAAGCTAACTAATACTTCATTAACAGATATTTAAAAAATAAGAATACTTATTTAAGCCAGCTAGTTTTTCAAACATTTTATGACTCTTAGCTCATTTCATTCTCATAGAAATCTATGAGGTATAATTCTTTTTTTTTTTTTTGCGTTTTTAAATTTTTATTTTTTAGAGACAGGATCACTCTGTCACCCAGGCTGGAGTGCTGTGGCACAGTCTTGGCTCACTATAGCCATGGCCTCCTACGCTCAAGCAATCCTCCCATCTCAGCCTCCCCAGTAGCTAGGAGTACAGGCACGCACCACCACGCCTGGCTAATTTTTGTATTTTTTTGTCAAGATGGGGTCTCACTATGTTGGCTGGTCTTGAACTCCTGGCCTCAAGTGATATGCCTGCCTTGGCCTCCCAAAGTGCTGGGATTACAGGTGTGCGCCACTGCGCCTGGCCAGGTTTTTCACAAGAAACCCAGACCGTGGGATTAGGATGCTGGAGAAAGTGGAAGCCGCCCCCATCCTCACCCCCACCACACTTCCCTGCGTGCATCCCACAGACCCACAGACGTTGTTCCCAACACTCGCTCTACCACAAAAATGGTTTTGTCGCAAGCATTGGTTTGTGACCAGCTCCTCTGAAGCCAGAAGCCCGTTCTCTAAGGAGCTGGGGCTGGGCAGCCAAGCCGGCCCCGGCTGAGAGAGCATGGGATCTGCTGCCTGTGGCTCCTGTACGCCTGTCTGTCCCATCGGCTGGGGCCTTGGAGGGTGTCCAGGCTGTCTCTGTGGATGCCGTGTCTGCTCGTGTCAGGGAAGGGCCAGGACACTGAACAGAAGGGACGCAGGCTCCAACTCGCCTCGGCCACCCACTCTCCAGGCAGCCTTGGCAGGGCTGCTGGGGCTATGAACCCTGAGCAGGCAGCAGGGCCAGGGGAGGTCGGACCATGGGGGCTCACAACAAGAGGGGCTGTGCACAGGGGCCACCCACATGCCCTGGAGCCAGGAGGCCCTGGAGTCCCTGGGACCACCCCCACCCCAGGCAGCCTGGGAAGGCTCAGGGTGCTGGGCCCCCACCTGGGAGCTGAGAGTGGTCCTGCTCTGCACTTCCCAGACACCCCCAGCAGGGTGCACCACCACACCCAGCCTGCCCAGCTCTGCTGCAGGACATGGGCCAGCGAGGCCCCACAGAGCACTGGGACGGGGGGAGCTCGGGCAGGGGGAGCCAAGCTGGGCGTCAGGGGCCTGGGGACGCACCACCCCCTTGGTTTCCACAACTTGAAAACAAGAACTGATCAGTCACTGATTCACAGTCCAAAAACCAACCCCCAAATCCCAGGGCTTCTAACAACAAAGGAGGACCTCTCTCACTTCTGGGTCAGCAAGAACTTCAGGGCTGGGCCCACTCCATGTCTCCTCCCTGCAGAAGGACCCTCTGCTCTCCGTCCCCAGAGCAAGGCAGTGGGCTGCCTGGGTTTGGAGCAGCTGGGTAGGGCGAGGGCAATGGGTGGGATAGGGGGGATGCAGCCCAGGGGGGTGCAGACAACAGGCAAGGAGCAGGCCGGGGGCCTTGCCAGGGCCATCTGTGTCCCTGGTCACTGAGGGTGGCAGGGGAGACTGGAAGGGAAACAGACACCCAGGTGGGGAGGGCCCCAAGCCAGTCCCCACGGCAGCCCCTGCAGGCCTCAGTGCTTCTGGATCCCACCAGGGTCGCAGCAGGAACCGAGGCTGAAGCAAATCAGGGCGGCTGGTGGCACAGCTGGGGCCACACCCAGGCACAATTCCTTTCCAACACAGCCAGGAGACTATCTTGGCGGCACCAGTGCCTGCTCAGGGACGGACTTGGGGCCTCCACAACTGCAGTCCCTATGAACCCTGTGCACGGTACACCCTGACTGCGTGGGGGCTGGGGCCCCCAGTGGAGGGATGTGGCTTGTTGTCCTGAGGAGAGCGGGGGCAGCTGTCCCAGGGTGGGCCCAGCCCTGTGAATCAGGGAGCAGCTCATGGGAATGGCCCTGGGGGTGCAGGGGAAGTTCACAGAGCCATTTATTGAGCCCCACAACCGACCAGAGGGAAGGGCGTCCACCAGGCTCAGGCCATGGTCCTTGAGGGGCTGGTGCTGTCTACTTGGCCCACACATGTGTCCCGAGGAGTTGTGGCATGCCCGCTGCCCTGGTCAGAGCTGGCCACCATCTTCCAGCTGCATCTGCCGGGCCAGCGTCTGCCCAATGGCTAACAGGGGGCTGGCTCTGTAGGCCGGACTGGCCAGCAGCTCCTGAAACCGGGTCCTTTCTTCCTCGAGAAACTGCTGTCTCTGGGCTGCACTCATCCGGCTGAGCTCTGAGGGCCAGGGCTTGTTGCTCTCCCTGCTGCAGGCCTGGCGCCGGCTGCCAGCCTCAAGCCCCAGTAGCTCAGGCAGGGCATCCCTGAGCGGGTGCAGGTCCCCCACCACCATCCTGGCCCTCTACCTCCGCTCCTCCCTGTGCTTCTGCTCAGCCAGTTTTATGGCTTCGATTTTCTGCAACCATTGCTCACGCCTCAGCTTCATTTTCTCCTTGGGCAAAACGGTCTTGGCCTCTGCACCTCTCCTGATGGAAGTGACGCTCCTTACGTCCAGCTCCAGCTTTTGCACCAAGGCACTGGGGTCTATCTTGGTCCTGGCAAAGATGTTGGTGTTGACGAACGGAGGTATAATTCTTATTAGTCCTGTTTTTATAGATGAAGACAATGAAACAGCTATTGCAAACTTATAACTGAGAAAGAGATCTGACCTAACCAACTGCATCTGCTTTTAACCTCCAAGCTGTCCTTGTTCATTCCTGGGTGTAGGGTGAACTAACTTTGGGAGGAACTTACTTTATAGTGTAAAACGAAGATGTTAACACCCCTTTCTCAAAACAAACCTCCTTCTTGCCTGGGGACTAGACTGCCTTTGTAAGACTAACAAATTAGTTACAAAATTAGAAATTGTGGTTTAGGAGTCATGCAGCTGGAGGCTACAAGATTCTAATCCTCCCTAAACTGCTCCTAAGATCAGTGCTTGAGGTATTTTGCAGACCCGGCACTTGATGGATCAGCTGGCACCCAGTTTATTGAAACACTCAGATCGATAAACTGGCTCATCTGATCTTGTGGCCCCCACCCAGGAACGGACTCAGTGAAAGAGGACAGCTTCAATTCCCTATGATTTTGTCTCTGACCTAACCAATCAGCACTCTGGACTCACTGGCCTTCCTCCATGCACCAAATTATCCTTAAAAACTCTGAAAGCTCTGGGAGATGGATTTGAGAAATAATGAATCTCCAGTCTCCTGTACAGCTGACTCTGTGTGAATTCACTCTTTCTCTATTGCAATTCCCATCTTGATTAATTGGCTCTGTCTAGGCAGTGGCCAAGGTAAACCCACTGGACGTTTACAACACTGAGGCACAGACAGGTTGAGTGACCAACCCAAAGTTTCACAGGACACAGTAGAGTCAGGATTTGAACACAGACATTCTGACTCCAGAGTCTATGCCCTTAACCACAACTCATACTAATTCATTTATCTTTTTTGTCCATGTTTTCATTTATTTTCTTTAATCTACAATAAAACTTTGATTTTTACACTGGCTGAGGATGAAGTAAGAATGTTGCAAATAGAAAAATGTTAACTGAAAGACACAATTTATCTTATTCTAGCACCAAAAATGATCAGGCCTATTTTGACCATGAATCTCGCAAGCTGTGCTCTCTAAACTTTTGGATGAGAGGGCGTAGGCTCAGAGTCTGGGAACTCTGTCTCCCTCGCTCCCTCTACTAAGTAGGTTCCATGCTCTATTCAAGTTTGAGAGACTCTGCTTGGTTGGGGCCTGCATTTATGTTACTCCTATTCTTTATACTTGGCACATCACAGACCATGAAAACGTAATCTGGTGGAAATGGCAAGTTTGGATTTTTAATCTCAGTTGTTAAAATTTTTCCAAATGAGAACATTTGGACACAGGGCAGGGAACATCACACCATAGGGCCTGTTGTGGGGTCGGGGGAGCGGGGAGGGATAGCATTAGGAGAAATACCTAAGGTAAATGACAAGTTAATGGGTGCAGCAAACCAACATGGCACATGTATACCTATGTAACAAACCCGCATGTTGTGCACATGTACCATAGAACTTAAAGTATAATTAAAAAAATAAAAAATTTAAAAAAATTTCCAAATATATTTATCTTTTGAATAATCTAAGGCCCTTATCCCCCTAAGGTTTACATGGCATAGTTCATACTGCTTTTACTTTTCAAAGCCGTTAATCTTTTGTAATAACATTTTGTATTCAGTTATGTTCCTTTGCTTAGTTTTCAACCTTGTTATTCACCAAGCTGATTTTATTAATTAACACAGAGAGAGTCAGGAGTATCTGAATTAATTAGGTGATAGTGAACTAGGAGGAAATCACAGGCCTCAGTGTGAGACAAATCTGGATTTAAATCCCAGCTCTAACTCAGTCCATGACCTTGAGGAGGTCAGGTGGGGTCACTGGGCTCAGTTTCCAAATCTCTAAAATGGAGATGACAAAATCCACCTCACAGAATTGTTGAAAGGACAATTACATGTTTGAGAACATGTTACTGTAGTGTCTATAACCTATCACGTGTATAGCAAATGATGATGATGATGATGCTAATTTAAAAAATATCTATTGAAGGTCCCAGAAGTTTTACTTTAACATGTTGATTTTTGTCCCATGGAAAGGCACATGATTTGGTGGAAAATATAACCCCAAATGTTATTATGCATTGCTCTGTAAGATATTAACAAGTTTTATATATAACCCAAATATCTTAACATTTTAAAATTAAATGGTCTATAAATACCTAGCTCCTCAAATATTGTTTGAACTGGTCTTAATATCTAATTGTTTCCCCACCTAATTAATGAGTTGAACAAAATCCTTGCCATATATTCATATTATATTTGCATCAGTGTCCTAATTATATCGTTTGAAATTATACTTTAGCAATAAGAATAAAAGTCATAATCCAAATGTTAGCACTTAGCATGGGAATGAGTCTATCAGTCAGGGTTTAGTCAAGAAAAACTGGTTTCTCTAGATAATCCAAATTAAAAAGGTTTAATGCAGATGTCAAGAAGCCTATACAACCATTGGAAGACTAGGGGAAGCTGAGGTCAATGAAGCCACGGTGGACAACCTCAGCTCAGCTCCCAGCTGAACAGTTTCCTCTTCATTGTCCATTGTCCTTGAACTTCCAGATATTTCTCTTCAACCATCACAGTCTGCAGTGATGAAGGAGTGGCTTTCTGGTGGAGCCTCTTAGCATCTCATGGTTGTCCACATTTCTGCCTTTAACCCCCTTTAGCCTGTCATTTGTTTCAGCCTTCCAAATCTTCAGCAAGGGAAGGGACTTCTTGGTAAACCAACCTGTAACCATATGGGAAGGGCGTTCTGCAAATGTAGCTCCCAACTTTTCTGAAAGACAGAGGAACCCTTAGAAGGGAGAGTTGGTGATGCCAAATTGGCAATAAATAACCCAGGACTGCAGCTCAGCTCAGCACCTAACTCCATAGGGCACTCACTCACTTCAGGAAGGGTGCATTTACTCAGTAAGACAGATTAAAGGATCACTTGGTTGGTATGGACTCAGACAAAAGTGAGCTAAGTGATCTTTAAACAAATTTGACCAAGCTGAGAAATACCAAAGACTTATGATTTTTCAATCAGAAAACACAGCATGGAATAGCAGAAAGAGTACCAGACTGGAAGCCAGAGAACCTGGAATCCAGCTCAGCCTATCCTGAACTTGCTAGCTGGGGAAGCCCTCAGGGTGGTCACTTCACCTCTCTGTAATTCAAGTTTTGTCTTCTATGAAACAAGGAAAATAGTATCTGTCATGCCTCAGAGAATCACCACAAGGTTAACATATGTGGAAATATTTTAAAGTGTACAAACACCATATCAACATTAAAGTCCCCATATGAACATGAAGACCTAAGGTTTTCTTGGTTTAGTCTGAAGAAGCTTCCAACACAAGGCTGGATTAGGAAAGATGAAAATGAAATAAAAGTTGGACAGGGGCTGGGCGCAGTGGCTCACGCCTGTAATCCCAGCACTTTGGGAGACCAAGGCGGGCAGATCATGAGGTTAAGAGATTGAGACAAGCTTGGCCAACATGGTGAAACACCGTCTCTACTAAAAATACAAAAATTAGCTGGGCATGGTGGCAAGTGCCTGTAATCCCAGCTACTCAGGAGACTGAGGTAGGAGAATCACTTGAACCTGGGAGGCGGAGGTTGCAGTGAGCCAAGATCACACCATTCCACTCCAGCTTGGGTGACAAGAGCAAAACTCCATCTCAAAAAAAAAGTTGGACTGGGAGCCTTACAGAGTTCACACATATTTGTAACATTCTTCAGATGTCGTGTGCACAAATTGGAGTTATTAGTCCAATATTTATAAAGAAAAATCATATTTTGAATGTAGCCAAATAACTTCCTAATTAAAATGATATGATCCTTAGAAGGTTTTTGGGGAGGAGGTAATGGAGAGAGGATCAGAATTAGGAGGATCAAAGTAGAATGCATATACTTGAAAGTAAATATAAGGCCAGGTGCGGTGGCTCACGCCTGTAATCCCAGCACTTTGGGAGGCCGAGGCAGGCGGATCACCTGAGGTCAGCCTGACCAACATGGAGAAACCCCGTCTCTACTAAAAACACAAAATTAGCCGGTCATGGTGGCGCATGCCTGTAATCCCAGCTACTCAGGAGGCTGAGGCAGAAGAATTGCTTGAACCCGGGAGGTGGATTGCAGTGAGCTGAAATCGGGCCATTGCACTCCAGCCTGGGCAACAAAAGCGAAACTCCATCTCAAAAAAAAAAAAAAAAAAAAAAAGAAAAGAAAAGAAATATAATCTTTGGCCAAAGAAAAATAAAAGCTCTACCTAATCAGTCTGCAGAAATGCCTAGAAAATAAACCATCTTCTAAGTATATCAGCGATTTTAAAGATGATAAAGTATGAGGAAGGGGGGGAGTTGTCTATGAGAAAAAGTATATAATTTTACAACATTTTATGTTTATTAAAAGGGAGCATGGGTTAAAACCACCATGAGAATTAGGTCATCAAACCATGAACAATAGACTAATATTCCCCCAAAATTCCTACGTTGAAATTCTAATTCCCAATATGATGGCATTAGGAGATGGAGCCTTTCATAAGTGATTAGTGATTCATGAATTGGTGAATGAGATTAGTGCTCTTATCAAAGACGTGCAAGAGATCCACTGCAAGAGAAATCAATTGCAGGAGAAGACACAGAGAGAAGACAGCCATTGTCTGTGAACCAGGAAATGGTCTCACCAGATACTGATTCTGATAGTGACTTAATCTCAGCTTTCCAAGCCTCTAGTACTGAAAGAAATAAATTTATGTTGTTTATAACCTACCCAGTTTATGGTATTTTTGTAACAAAAATTTCTGTAACAGCCTAAATGGACTAAGATACCATCTCTAAGTAGAACAGTCATCCTAAAGTAGTTACAACACAACAAAAACAAGGGAAAGACTTAATTGAAAAATTTCATTCATGAGATGTAATAAACTAGGTGAATTTAGTAATGGGAAATGATTCTGCGAGGGACTTTTAGCATTTTCACCCTCCAGAAGCATGTCAGAAAAATCTAGCACATTATTCCCTGGGTGGGACAGATTTGGGAGAATGCATGCTACCTTATCAGCTCTCTGTCCCTCCCTGGGAGACTGATGCTTCCCAATGCACAACTCAATTCAAAGTAGCAACGTACTCTGAAATTTCATCTCTTTCTTTCTTCTTTCTCTTTCTTTCTTTCTTTCTTTCTTTCTTTCTTTCTTTCTTTCTTTCTTTCTTTCTTCTCTCTCTTTCTTTTTTTCTTTTCTTTCTTTCTTTCTTTCTTTCTTTCTTTCTTTCTTTTTTTTCTTTCTTCCTTCCTTCCTTCCTTTCTTCCTTTCTTTCTTTTCTCTTTCTCTTTTTTCTTTCTTTTTTTCCTTCCTTCCTTCCTTCTCTTTTTCTTCTTCCTGAGACAGGTTCTCACTCTGTTGCCCAGGCTGGAGTGCAGTGGCATGATTATAGCTCATTGCAGCCTTGAACTCCTGGCCTCAAACTATCCTCCCACCTCTGCCTCCTGAGTAGCTGGGTCTACAGGCATCCACCACCATGCTTGGTTAATTTTTTAAAGTTTTTGTAGAGATAAGGTCTCACTCTCTTGCACAGGTTGGTCTTGAACTCTTGGCCTCAAGTGATCTTCCCACCTCAGCCTCCCAAAGTGTTGGGATTATAGGTGTGAGTCACCATGCTCAACCCAGAAAGTATTTTTATGTAAAAATAAATTATGCAATGGCATTTTATGAACTTCAAAGAAAAATACTTTGTGTTGTTCTCATATCTGAGAATAAAAATGATTAATTTTCTAAACAAAACATATTCTGTTATTTTACAACTTTTCTCAAAATGGAAGGGTTTAAATTGTGATTAAAAGTAGTAGGTAGAGTGTACACCTATGTTCATAGCAGCATTACTTACAATAGTCAAGATTAGAAACTACTCAAGTGTTCATCTACAGATGAATGGAAACAAAATTTATATATATATATATATATATATATATATGAATATTATTCAGCCTTAAAAGGGAATGAAACTCTGACACAATACTACAACGTGGAGGCATCTTGCAGACATGCTAAGTAAAATAAGCAAGCCACAAAAAGACAAATACTATGGGTCCACTTACATGAAGTGTCTAAAGTAATAAAATGCATAGAAATGGAAAGTAGAATTATGGTTGCCAGGAGCTGAGGAGAGGGGAAAATGAGGAGTTGTTTAATGGGGATAGAGTTTCAGTTGTGACAGATGGAAAAGCTCTGGACATTGATTACACAACAATGTAATTCACTTAACGCTATTGAACTGCACACTTAAGAATGGTTAAGATGGTAAATTTTATGTTATGTGTATTTTACCACTATTTTAAAAATTAGTTGAAAAATAGTAGGCCAAAATTTGTTTCTAACTATGGCTTCCCACCGCCATTTAGGGGGAGTTTTGTTGTGAAATTTTAGGTGATTTACTTTGTCAAATTTTACTGAGTCATGGGTTTGTTTTCCCATGGAAAAATTACTAAAATAAGGGCATGTGGAAATACATAACACTTAAGTCACTTCCAGGAGAGGTATTGCAAAGGTGTGTCCATAAGACTTTTGACTTTGATGAGATAAAAGCTAGGCTGCCTTTTCTTCCTTCTCACTGCATCCCATCTCCCAGGGCCAGCCCGTTCCTCAAAAGAGTGAAAAACATAGGAAAATTACTGCCTTAACTATCCTGATCTTCATTTTTTTTCCTGTGTAAAATGAAGACATTAATAAACAATGCCTTTCTTGTTAGAAATGTAAAGGTCAAACGTAAAGAAATGTGAAATCCTAAGTCCTGCATGCCTTCTACCACTGATCTAGTCACGTGTGCCAGCTGAACATTCCCTGGGCTGCAAGTGATGTGACTGATGGTTTTATCCCTGGTTTTCCCAGGGAGAAATCTAGACACAGAAATCCTGAAAAATGCCTCTGCGGAAAGGTGGATCCAAAGTGGGTCTTCTAAGGGAAGCTGCAGAATGTTTCTCCCTCAGCCTATAGTTTGACAGAATGCTAAGATATCAAGATGAAACTCTGAAAACCCGAGGATTTTTCATGGATTTCATTATTCTATTGAAGACCTACAAAAAAAAGTGGCTGATAAATATATTTTTAGAAATTGCTTTAGTATGATTTTTATTAATTTAAATTAACATTTATTTAATTAACTACATAAAATCTGTGTATAAAAGAGGCAAAAGATTATTCTTGCTCTCAGCCAGACAGTTGCTGATAAGGTAGTTTCGACAGGAATCTCATAGAATAAGAGGGCCCTGACTCAACAACCATCAATATGGTTGGAATGTGGTATTTGCTCTTCCTGGAAACAATGCTTCTCACTTATAGAGTTTATATTCAATGTGGTGTTAATACATAGACCTCATCCAACTATCTGTCTGTGAAATCTGAGTTCCTACTCAAGTCAATATCCTGTAATATGCTAAACAAAAAACCTCCTGTATTAGTTTCCTGAGGCCACTGTAACAAAGTACCACAAACTGGGTGGCTTAAACAACAAGAATGTATTCTCTCACTGTTGTGAAGGTCAGAAGTCCAAAATCAAGGTGTTAGCAGGGACACCCTTCCTTGGAAGGTTGCAATCCTTCCTTGCCTCTTTCATCTTCTTCTGGGCCTTTGCATTTCTTGGTCTGTGGCAGGATAACTCCAATCTCTGCCAGAGGTTACAAATGGCCTTATACCCTGTGTCTCTGTATTTTTCCCTCTTCTCATACAGACACCAGTCATTACACTAGATTTTTGTATGCACTGTAAATCCAGGGTGGTTTTATCCCAGAATCCTTTTTATATCCCAAATATATCTACAAAGATTCTCTTTTCAAATAAGGTCACATTCTGATGTTCCAGGTTGGAATGCTCTGAATGTTTGTATACCCCCAAAATTCGTATGTTCAAACTTTTTTTTTTTTTTTGAGACAGAGTCTTGCTCTGTTACCTGGGCTGTAGTACAGTGGCACCATCTCAGCTCACTGCAACCTCTGCCTCCTGGGTTCAAGTGGTTCTCCTGCCTCAGCCTCCCTAGTAGCTGGGATTACAGGTGCGTGCCACCACGCCCAGTACTTTTAGTAGAGACAGGGTTTCACCATGTTGGCCAGGCTGGTCTCGAACTCCTGACCTCAGGTGATTCACCCGCCTCAGCCTCCCAAAGTGCTGGGATTACAGGCATGAGCCACCATGCCCAGCCCATGTGTTGAAACTTAATCCCCAATATGAGAGTGTTAAGAGATGTGGCTTTTTTTGGGGGGAGGGGTGATTAAGCCATGAACACTGATTCCTCATGAATTGGATTAATACCCTATAAAAGAGGCTTCAGGGACCTTGGTCAACCTTTCTGCCATGTGAGGACACAGCGAGAAGGCACCATCTATGAAGCAGTGAGTAAACCCCCACCAAACACTGAATAGGAAGTCATCTTGATCTTGCATTTCCCAGCCTCCAGAACTATGAGCAATAAATTTTCTTTTGTTTATAAATTACCTAGTCTATGGTATTTTTGTTATAGCAGCTCAAATGAACTAAGACACAGATGCGTATAAATTTAGGGAAAAATTATTCAACCCACTATACCTCTTTCCCTTTCACTAATTCCTATTTGATTAATGGTGCCTGTGGTTTATTTAGTGACAACAATATCTATGGTCAATATGTGAGATTCTCAGAAAAGGAAATGTAGCCATCAGCAGCCAACAGAAAGTGGGAGGCAATGGAAAACCTACCTCATTCCCCATGTTAGAGAAAAAAAATCAATACATGAAGACATGAAATAATGCTTTGTGGGTCTGTTTTATTGTAGCTTCTGTATATGTCAATCTTTTATGCTCAGCTTTCTTCATATCTTATTTTTTAATTTTAGTATAAAAATAAATGTTTTATTGCCTTCAATTTACCATTATTATTTTTTACATCAGTTGTTCTTTGTGTGTGTGTATGTGTTGGATTTACTTTTCTGGAGTGTGAATGCATGTGGTATGTGTGTATGTCTGTGACCTAAATAAGTTTTTCTCCTGAAAAGAAAACAACATCAACATTTAAAGATGAGGTTAACAGAACTCACTTTATTAAATGCCTGCTATGTGTCCAGGCCTTGAGCTAAGAAATAAGAACAATGATGAATAAAGGCCATTCCTGCTCTCAAGGTGTTTGTAGACTACAAAGGAGCCTGCAACCTTGCAGCAAAACAAAAAAGTAAAGAAACACAAACCACGGAGCATGTTGCACTCAACAGAGGTTCATTCTCACCCATTGTGAAGATGCTGGGAGTAATTGGAACTTTGTTGAAGAAAACAGGGAGATCATTTCTGTTTTATCTGTGTATCACTGTGACTGCCTAGCACCATGGAGAGAGGGTCCCCCTTTCAGAGCACAAACTCTGACCACAGAGGCCCTTGGTCTATCCTTTGTTTTACTCTAAACTTTTCTCAAAATAATCATGGATGAAGCTGGAAACCATCATTCTAAGAAAACTAACACAGGAACAGAAAACCAAATATCGCATGTTCTCACTCACAAGTGGGAACTGAACAATGAGATCACATGGACAGAAGGAGGGGAACATCACACAGTGGGGCCTATTATGGGGTGAGGGGCTAGGAGAGTGATGGCATTAGGAGAAATACCTAACATAGATGATGTGTTGACGGGTGCAGCAAACCACCATGGCATCTGTATACCTATGTAACAAACCTGCACATTCTGCACATGTATCCCAGAACTTAAAGTATAATAAATAAATAAATAAATAAATAAATAAATAAATAACCCTTTGTGAATCTGTACTTCTGAAGAAAAGCCCACACAACTCTGGGACATTAGTATGCATCACAAGTAAGATTTTAAAAATAATTTAAAAAGTGTTATTTCTGTTTTTGTTACCTTGTCATTAAATAAGGTTTCTATCTTCCTTGACCTCTCAAGATCAGTGATTTAGCTACATGTAAATGCCTTCTTGCATTGGATTCTTCCCATAAACCAGACTGCTCATTTCTCTCGTGGATTGGGCCTTCTATGACTGCACATATATAGCTGCTTCAGAATAGAAAGCTACTTTCTCTCTTAGCAAGGTACGGCTTTTCCAATGTCCCCTCTTGCTTTGCCAAGTTGAATTCCAAAGTTGTGTTAAATCTCAGCTAAATCAGTGTATTTGCCTTTCCTGCTTATGGCATTAATTGCACTTTACCCATGCTATTATTTTCCATTTAACTTTTTAGACTTCCTAATTCCTTCATGTATTCTGGGATACCATTTGGATATGGAGATATTATGCAAATGATGTAGAAAGGGAATGAACTTCAGCACTCCAGGTCAGAGTTACTTGGCTACTTTTAAGTATTTTTTGCACCTTCTTTTTTGGTCCTTGGGAACCTTGGACAATAAGCTGTTATCCACTTACATTTCTGAATTATACTTACATGAATCTGGTGCCAGAGAAAGTTCTATGGTAAAGAATTAAAAGCAATGATCCCACTGTTTACAATCAGAGCTGGTGACTAATGAGGGTGCCTCTCCTGACTCCTATCCCTCTTGCTAACCTTCCTCAGAGGAGTAAAGTTCATTGAGGCTGAGTATCTTCCAGACTCCTATTTTCTTCCACATAAAACTATACATTTTGTGAAAAAATTGGATCAGGGATTTTACTCTCTCAGGCATTAACTAGTAATTCATTCACTTTAAGAAAAGTGCAAGGAGAGGGGACAGAATGAAAATTGTAAGCTACCCTTTGGATGGGCTTATGAAAGGCCCATTTACTCACAGACTATAAGAAATGGAATGTGTATATTAACAAAAAGCAAACTGGAATCAGCCATGAAGTTGTGAATGTAGGAGAGGGGATTCTCCATCTTATTTTGTTTTTCCTTTTAACTTAAGAGCCAATTTTGCTAAGGAAGCCAAAATCCCTGTCTGTCTGGCCCATCATAATCGGATGTATGTAGAAGGTAGACAGACAAGGCACATGACAATGGCACAGATGCCGTTGGGTTTATGTCTGTCAAAGGGGGAGAAATTGTTCTTTTAAGATCCAGATTTTGAAGGCAAATAAACAAAAATTTCAGTCCCAAACCCACCTCCTCCTCATTGTGTGGTCTCTAGTAAGTTTCTGAAAATGTTTAAGCTTGGCTTTGTCAGCTAGAAAGTGGCAATAATCATTTAACCCATAAGTACCAGGTCCTGGCTGGATCAGTTGGCATGCTAAAAAAAGGATAACTGAAGAGGGTTTAATCAAGAGTTCATTCAGGGTATGGACAAAGCTAAGGAACCCACTAGAAGCAATGACGCACCCAAGGACTAGAGGTGGTGAAGGCCATTCCTACCATCAGTCCTGTAGGGATGGGGGAGGTAGGAGCTCTTATCAGAGCACTGGGGAACCTGCACATGGGAGATACTACCCAGCAAGAGCTGCTTCAGTGAGGGATGCTGCCACCGCCACTGCCACATCACTGCCTGGCCAGGTGGGGGTGGAATAAACCCCACTAAGGCTCTTTCCTCTTGCTTTCCAATCCCATGGCAATGTGCTCCATTGGCTGCACTTGACGTAAAGTCAGAGGACAAAGGAAGAGAGTGGCCAAGGAGGTGAGCTTCCTTTGCACAAAATCAGGTTAGAAAAGGATGAAGAGTGGATATGGAGGAGCAAATAGATAATTTTCAGCATCTGTCTGTATTAGATGACTGTTGTTTGCCCAGTATCCCTTCTTTTGAGTAAATGCTATGCCTCGCTCCATAAAACTTGAATGAGGCTGAAATAACATTTACCCTTCTCCAATGACCAGGACCAGAGAACTTCATCACCCTACCCTCTAGCAAATCAATCAAATTCAAATTTGAGATTTAATACAGGGTTTCTGGAAAATAGATAATCTCTTTTTCATTTGGATTATGAGCCATAAGGATGTAGACTTGGGCCAAGCAACAGTCATCTTTCCAATTATGCAGAAAGAACTAGCCTGACAGCAAAGACAATGCAAAAAGAGCACAGAAGAGTCCAGGAATAGGGAGAAAGAGGCAGGTCCATGGTGACTTTGTTTGAGGCCCTTTGTTTAATTATATCTAAAGGCAGATATGCTTTTTAACATTTCAGTAATATGCTTTTTAATATCCTATATTGGAAGAGTGGAAAAAGTTAATAAGGAAATGTGAAGCACCCAGAGGTTAGCAACAACAGAAAGTCTCTATGATATCAGAAATGGAGCACAAAGGGAGGCAATGGCACTACGGGATTCTCTGAGTTGGGGCCTCAGTAGGACCTGGAATCATGGAGAAGGAACTGCTTAGGAAATGCCAAGGCTGCCAGGCTGGAAGCATGGCAAAGACTGCACAACAGGAACCGAAACCAGAGAAGAGATGCTACCTCAAGTACAGAGAGTGAGAAGAAATAGTCTGGCTTCTCCTTCCCTTCCACCCTTTGGATGCCTGCTCCTCTGCCTTCACTTAGCTAAACCTAAGTCTGAGACTAACATTCAGAGCTGAGCAGAAAAAGGGGCAGGGTATGGCTTTCAGAGCAAATGAGTAATACACGTGGTCAGGACATATTCGTTCAGTTTTCCTCTTTCCTTCCAAAATGCATTCCAAACTTTAATGAAGGATACACAATTTTTTCTCAAATCTCAGAGAATGGGGGTCAGGTTATTTTCTGCTTAGAAACTTGAGTGGGTTACTACATAAGACAAGGCAATTTGGTCTGATATTCAAGTTCATTTAGACTATTGCCATAATTTATGGGCATGAAATAACATGATAGAAAAATGTAAAGGTAAATTGAAATCCAGTCACATTAGGCTACTTGCTCTTTTTGATTAGAGTATATTTTCCTGCACTTGCTAATAATATTCCTTCTGCCAGGCTTACCATCTGCTTCCCCATTTTTCTTTACTGAGATTTTATCTTCACATCACAAATTAAGTGCTATTCCTTCAAGAAACATACTGGCTTGCCCAAACTTTGTTGTATCTCTCCCTTCTTAAACTCTTATATCATTCTCATGGCACTCAACACTTTGGATCTTGTGTTTTAGATATTGAAATTTCTATCATATGCTTTGATAATAGATTGTGATTTCTGCAAAGGCAAAGAGTGATTTCCTCAACTTTGTATCCTTTGGGGTGGGTTTAAATGATCTCTTATACCTACTAGGTGTTTGATAAATGTTTGTTGTAGCAGATGAACACCTGAAACAGTAATTCAGAACCTTAGGTTCTAGTATTTTCTATGTCACATTAGTGTGACTTGCAGAATGGCTCAGCTTAACTTTTCCTATGTATAATGAATTCAGACTAGATGAATTCCAAGGTCCCTCCTGGCCCTTTCAATTCCCTAATTTCAAGTGGAATTTAGAAGAAAAAATTTGTAAGCAGCAATTTTATAGTTCAATTATGGAATTTCTACTTGGGGAAAGCTAACATTTCATGATCTCATTCTTGCTGGATTCTTTCTCAAGATTTTCCATGGAGCTGAAATTTACCCATGACCTTGAGAAAGAAATGCACATGCTTCATGATCCTCACTCCACTTTCTTGTCCTTAATGCTTTTCCTCTGATGATTGCTCATTTCACACCCCAAAAGGAACTCATTTTATAAACGTTTTACAGCGCAGCAAGCAGTAAAGAATAAGAAATTACAAAATATTATATCCTATGAAGAAACACTCTCCTAATGCATCCACAAAGAATCAAGCTCATAATTGCTGGTTTGTCAATTATAATGGTAAAATATGTATTTATATAATACATATGATATGATGGATGCTATTGGAGTGAGTTTGGCATATTTATTTATTTATTTTTTATGGTACTCATCCATGTTTCTGTTTATATATAGGATAACAAATTCAGAAACAATGGGAAAGTAATATATGAAACCTTAATAGAAAATACAATAGAGATCACAAAACACTGCCATTTGATTTTTTATGCAAATACTTCAATATTCCAATATTTTTACTCACTTGCTAAATAAAGCACATGACTCGAAATGCTAAATAATTCTGTTAGTCTAAATCTTTTAGATAAAATGTTGGTGAAAAACCAAAATTATTTAGTAAGGTATGTATGACCTTGTTTATTATCTATCATAGACATCAAGATGATCATAGTTAATACCAATTTAAGCTTTATAGAATACTCTTTTAGGCCCAATATTGATATATTAAATGAAGGTATCAGAGAATCTTGTATTTATGGCATCAGGTTATAAAGATCTATTCAAAACCATTTTTGTCAAAGTTTAAACACTGGAACAAAAGTCAAATTGTTTCTAAATGAGACACAAATGATTCTTGCTAATAGTACAAATTTTGTCCCATGGGTAATACTATTGTCTTTTTCTTTTTTAAAACAATTATTTCAATTTTTTTTTAGATTCAGGGAACACATGGGCAGGTTTGTTAGCTGGGTGTACTGTGTGATGTTGAGGTTTAGGGTATGGATGATCCTGTCACCCAGGTAGTGAGAAGAGTCCCCAGTAGGTAGTTTTTCAGCTCTTGTTCCCGCTCCCCACCCTACCTCCCCAGTGTCTGTTATTCCCATGGGTCCTCAGGTATTACTATTTTCAAGTTTTTTTCTTTACATGAAACTACTGAAAGCAAAAGTATGTCATGCTTGTAGGTTACTCTGTACATTTATCATTCTATTAATAAACATCTTAAGTAATTAAGTAGTGTATTAAGGCCATAAACCAAGTCATTATCTCCTATCAAAGGACTACTGTTATTCAGTCGTCTAGAAAATTCATTTTAGGCAGGACACAGTGGCTCACTTCTGTAATCTCAGCACTTTGGGAGGCCGAGGTGGGTGGATCATGAAGTCAGGAGTTCGAGACCATCCTGACCAGCATGGTGAAACCCCGCCTCTACTAAAAATACAAAAATTAGCTGGACATGGTGGTGTGTGCCTATAATCCCAGCTACTCAGGAGGCTGAGGCAGGAGAATTGCTTGAACCCGGGAGGCAGAGGTTGCAGTGAGCTGAAATTGTGCCATTGCATTCCAGCTTGGGTGACAGAGAGAAACTCTGTCTTAAAAAAAAAATTCATTTTAATGGGTTATGTTACAGTGTTGAGGTCAGCCTACAGACACAAAATAGGTTAACTGAATTTTTTTTTCGTAACAGGTTTTAATTTTTTCATTGGAACAGGTTTTGGGGGTGGGGATACTAAATGTGGCAGGGTTCAACAAATTTACATTTTATCAAAATAAAGTTCTTAAAGAATACAATGATAGCATATGCTCTAACTCTTATAGCACAAACCCTCATATTAATTGATGGTCACAGAAAAATACTGTAATGCTTAAACAAAAGTTTTAAAATACATCAATGACACAAGTTTCAAACAAAATGCAGTGATCAAAATACTTAACTGTCCTTTCATCAAGCTTTTACAAACACAATCAGTCTTCGCTGTCTGAGCAAATCAGTTTTAGTTTCTTCATGGTCCTCCATCTGTCTTTTAACATGACACTTGTCCGGTTGTTGAATTTATAATTCCCTCTCCATATTTCCTCATGCCAGATCTCAAATTCTTGTCTTCTTCCTGAAGCCATGCCTGTCTTTTTCTAGCTCGATGTTTTTCAGGAGTTACCGGTTGACTCTTTGAAACAGGTATTCAGCTTTCAGTGGCTCTTCTGCTTTCTTTTTTCTTTTTTGTACTTTGAAGAGTTCCTACTCTTCTTTCTTTCTTATTAAGGTCTTGTTGCTGGGTCCCATGTTGTAACTTAGATAAGAAAAGATTCTTGTGAGACCTTTTTCTTGTATCCAAATTAGCTTCAGTTTCCGTTTCAACATAATTTTCATTAGCTTTATCTTGAGAAGTTATTGTTCTTGTTCTTTTACTTTCTACTACTTTTGCTGCTGCCTTCATTAGAAAGGTTGATGATTTTTCACTTAGCACATAATTCACATAACTCTTAATTTTCTCCATCATGTGATTGTAGCTGAAGTGTTGAAAAAAGGAATGAAATGTATCTTTCTGAGAGATTATCATAAGCAATTTGCTTTTGAGAGGCATATAAGAATTTGGATCACCAAATATTCTTTCAAAGACTTCTGCTTCTTTAAAGTTGCCATTTTCCATACAAACAGCTATAGCCTGAATTTTAATTAAATTCTGTATTTCTTCTTGAAGTTTGTCATGTTCCTTTTCAGTTGAACCCCAAATCATCAGGGCTGATTCCAAGGGTGTAATTCATTCATCATTTTCAAACTGTGCATCAAGGGTTTTTCCTGCTGCAATTCTTGTCAAAAACTGACATATGTATATCGTTCTCAACTGGTAAGCTGTTAGACTGGATAGTCCATGAATAATAGCCTCTGCCCTGTTGCGGATCCTGCAGAAGTCCTCCGAGCGGCCGTCGCGGAAAGCTCGGCAAAGAGAGAAGCGGAGGAAATCGAGCATCCAGCCTGCAGCCACGGCCTCGGCCTTGGCCACCAGGCCCGCGTCCTCCTCCTCCTCCTCGGGGGCCCCCACCTGCACCTGGCACTTGAGCCGTTCCTGGCATTCGAACTGCTCCTCGTCGTTTCTCTCTGTTTCTGCCATCTGCTCCTCGGTAGGGTCGGCATCTCTACCATCCGCCGGCATATTTATTACAATTTATTTTTATGAAAAAAGATTTAAAAAAGAAATGTCTGCCCTAAGCAGTTTCATGAAAATGGATAAATACAAAAGCAAGCACAAGAGTATTCAGTAGAGAATTTTGAGCCTGAACAATCAAGTTTCAGGCAAATCTTGTGTGGTTCATAATTTTAGCCCTTTATTATGCAAACCTGCCAATTCAATTTTCCAATGCAAGAAATGTTGGGGGTGATTATCAAGTTATATTTACTGTTCTGTGGATCTACTAAAATATGCACTATCTTGAAAGAGTCTGTTCAAATTACCTTGGAACACACTTTTAGATCCTCTTTTGTAAGCAAAAGTTGACAGACTAAAATGTATTCTTTTTTAACTGGCATCAGCATGTGAGACTTTAGAAAAATTGGTAGAGCAAATAATGATTCTGTTGCAGAGCCAGACAAATAACTTCCAAATCAACAAATTCAAACAGAGAAAAAAAGTTGTTGATCTTAGATGAATTGCCACATGTTGCCACTTCCTTTCACATGTGTCTTGGTAGAAAAACTCTCATATAGAATTTTTCCCACCCATCAGAAGAAAGTAGTTATTATCTCAATTTCCTATCTCCTCTTCTGCATCTCACGTTCTGAGGAGATAAATATTAGAATCTCAAAGTATCCACTGCTAAAACCCAGAGATAAGGGGTTGAGATGCAAGTTGGAAAAACTGGGAAAGTATTAAATTCTGGACCTCTCTTCCCCCTCTGGCTTCTCTCTCATCTCTCTCACTCTGTCTGTCTGTCTCTCTCTTTCTATCTTCCTTCCTCTTTCTAAAAGACCTTGAAAGAGTTTTATGTATATGCAGAATCAAATTTCTCTCCTCTCTTCTTCTCTCTTCAGTGCACTCTGTTCAGGCTTCTGTTGTCATCTCTCCACCAAAACTGTTTTAGTCAACATCGTCGATGACCTCAATGCTACTAACACCAAAGTTCTAGTTTCAAGCTTTGTCTAACTCAACTCTAGCAGCATGAAACACAACTTATTACTCTCTACTCCTTGAAGCATTGTCTTGTCTTCCAGGAATGTACACTGCCAGTGTTCCTTCTCTTATTGCCTGCTCTTTTTCAAGGTTCCTTGCTGGCTCCTCTTTTTCTTTCTGACAAATAGAAGTATTTCATGGCTCAGGCCTTGAAACTCTTCCCTTATCCATCTAACTATCCATTCACACTCACTTTCTTCATGAGTTCATCTAGTCTTGTGATAACTTCTAAATACATAACTTTAGTCTCAGCCTCTTTCCTGAGATATAGACTCAGAGATCCAGCTGACTACCTGATGTCTCCACTTGAATGTTCAATGGCCATCTCAAAGTCAACATGTCCGGAACCAAGCTTCTATATTCAATCCAGCCTCCCCAAATTTGCTTCTGCTCAGCCTGCCCCAACTCAGTGGATGGTGATATCATTGATCCAGTCAGGACTAGGACAAGAGTGAAGTAAGCCAACCACTTAGGCACAAACTTTAAGGCATTCAGAGCATCAAGGAAGTGCTGACCTTGCTTTTGCATGGCTATGCAAGGGCCTCCTTAAATTGTATGCCCTCAGCATCTCACTTGGCTCACCCTAGTACCAGCCCTGCTTCTTCTTGCTCAAGCCAAAAACTTCAGCATCATCCTTTATGCCTCTGTTTCTCTCACTGTCTCTTCCAATCTACCAGGATATCCTATTGGCTCTACCTTCATTAATATTAAAGTGTTTGATCCAGTTATTAAAGAAATAATTAGATATATCAAAAGAAATGGAGGAGTTATTATAAAAATATAATTCTTGTCCTAAAGAAGAAAAACCAAAAGTCTGCTCTTATTTTCACAAAGGCAGGGAACTAATAGAAGATAGACATACTGTTTCAAGGTGTTTAAAAAAATTAATAGACTTTGATTTTTAGACCAGTTTTAGGTTTTCAGAAAATGTGAGCAAAATATATGGGGTTCCTGTATACTCTCTTCCCCCACCAGCCTCTGGTTTTTCCTATTGTTAACATTTTGTGTTGGTGTGGCACATTTGTTACAACTGATGAACCAATATTCATGCATTATGATTAACTAACATCCACAGTTTATATTAGGATTTAGTCCCTGTGTTGTACGGTTCTATGGGCTTTGCTAAATGCATTATGTCATATATTTCCCATAACAGTATCTTAAAGAATAATTTCACTGCCCTAACAATCTTCAGGGGCTTATTTCCTCTCAGCTAGCAGTGACATCTTTAGGTACAAGTACACACCACCTATAACAACTTAATTTATTGCATTCTAGGCAAGCCAGGGCAGGGACTGAGGACAGTGACAATGTCACCTATCTTCCATTCAGGAGCCTGTGTTTGGTGCAGAGCCCAGGGTTCCTAGGTCCAGCCTATATGCTCCAATGGTGGTTTCCTACACTCAAAGACAATGAACTTGCAGATGCATCACAAACACCTGGTGCTCTGCAAAGCTGTCCTGATTCCTCCTAGCAACATGAGATGCCACATTTTCTTTACTCTAAGGTGTCAGGCACATGATCATGGTATTCATCAGGCTATCTGATCCTCTGATTATATGTCAGTCTCCCAGACTAGATCAGGGGCTTTTCAAGGGCAGAAGCTCCATCTTAGTCATCTGTGTCTTCCTCAGGGCCTGTACTTGCCATTTGTTGATGATATGAAAAGAGTTGGGGTTGTGAGGGGGAGGAAGAAGGATAGTGGAATGAATAAAGGGAAAAGAGGGAAAGAAAAAAGACAGGGAGATAGGGAAGGTGTTGGTGCCCATGCCCTCGGTCACAGGTCACTATGGGTGGGCACAGGTGTTCAGCACCAGAATGACAGGAAGATGAGCAAGAGAGGGCATCTCTGAGTCAGGGCTGGTGCATTTCTCACACCCAACAATCCAGCCACATCACTGACGAATCTGGGATGTTGTACTTTTCCCCACCAGCAGCCCTAGTTGCACGTGACAGGCTATCGCCTGCTATTGCACTGACTTCATATATTCCTAGTACCTCAGGGTTAATGAGTTCTCAGTTACGTGGAACAGCTTTGTTTGATAGGTTACTCTAGTTTTATATGTAAGAAAGCTTGGTGTTCTTATATTATTTAATATATTGATTTGCTACATTGTATAAAAAGACAAATAAATGAGACTTCTTTAAACTGTCTTAGAAGAAGTCTCAAGTCTCCTGTGGCTCTCAAACCTCAGTGTGGACAGGCAGTTCACGACATTTGTTGTCCATAGTGTACTTGTTTGGACAGTTTCTCAATTTCCAAACAGCAGTGATGTTTTTTTGCAACAAATAAGTTACAAAACAAAATATTTCACGTTTTGTCCTCCCTCTGATAGAAATCTTTGTGGTCCTAAACAATTAAAGCTCCTTAGTTTAAATTGGAAGTATTATTAAGGAAAGTTGAAATTTTATGAAAGTGATTAAATTGAAGATTCAAAAATGTGTCTACATTTGGGAATATTGATTATGACTTTAATGTTAACTTTTTTGATCTGATACCATTTCCAAAAATTTAACCTACAGAAATACTAAAACATATGTGCAGTTATAGGTTAAAAGAATATGATGAAATTATTTGCAGTAGGACAAAATTTAAAACAATTCAAATGGTTTTAAAAGAGGATTAAATAACTATATTCAATGATGAGTAAGTAGTAGGTTAAAAAATGAATTATTTTGAATAATAAGAAAAATAAAGATTCTAAGATACGTATTCAGTGAAGAAAGTTTCAGGATCACATGTTTGCTATTATTTCATTTTTGCAAAACAAACAAACAAGAATAAAACCAAAAGCTACACACGCACGTGTGCGCGCACACACACACACACAGTGCAAGACACTTGTGAATTGAAGGGGGTAATGTTAATATTCACACAGGAACCATCAGCATGATATAGGAGTGTCAAGAAAACCAGGATCTATAATCACCTTAATTTAATGGACTTTATATTCTGTATTATACCTTACTATCTATAAGAATAAAATTAAATTTTCCATACTTAAAGTATCTATAAAAAATTGAGTAAATTGTAATCTTGGATCTCAAGTCCAGTTCCTCTAGTTCTCTCAGAACTATCTCCCTTCATTTCAAAGTTCATGGATTGATTTTTGGTTTTCCTAAAATGTACCACTGTATTTTAAATTTACACTTCACCAGGGCATTCTTTTTTCTTGTTCTCTTATTATTAGAACATACATTTAACCCCTTCTGACAATCTAGTCATTGTAAACCTCCCAGCTTTATCAACTGTCATCTTCCAAGTACTCACAGTGCAGATTTCTGGTATTATAATGGCCTTAAATTTTTTCCTTTGGATTTTTTTGAAAATAAATTACGGTGTCTATTTACATGGATAAAGAGTGACCACTGTCTTTGGCTGGTTCCTGTTGATAATGAGGTCAAGGCAGGGGCCTTCACTGAATTCCCACATGTGCTTGGTTGCAAGTCACACTCAGGTGACAGACAGTCTTGCAGTTGGTGCTGCTGGTCACATGAAGACTGGGAAAGAAAATGTATCAGATCAAAATAAACTTATTTCTCTTGCAAAAAATAACAACTCGAGGCACATGCATTATGAATATTGGGTCAGAAGCATTATCTTCATATTCAAAGACTAGCATATAATTATCAAGAACAGAAATGTAAAGAACATAAACAGCTTGATGATAGAATTGGTACACGTTTATTATTAGAAATTCTATTTGAAATCCAGAGAAGAGTAACTGAACAGAGAAAAACACAGATATTAGATGACAAAGAATATGAGAAAATTTCAACTTTTTTTTCCAATTGAATTTAACAATGGAAATCAATCAACTCCATAGTTGACTGATTGATTTGCCTCTGCCGGGATGTAAATTCACAGAGATATTCTTTCTGCCATTGTGCCAATCTGTGACACAGCTAGCCTAGGATTTATATGCTGTGCTTGTCAATATCCTTCAGAAATGCCCAGCAGAACACAGGCACATGTATTCTCCTTCAGCAAACACTCATGGAATGTGAAATCAGACTTCTACTGGTACTGACTCATCTGGAGGGCTTGTTATGAGGCCTCATTCAGTATGAGGCAAAGGTTGTGAAGTTTGCATTTAAGTTTTTAAAAAGCTATGTATAAAAAGTGGCCACCATGATGATTAAACACATTATATTGTACCCTTATAAAATTTGAACAAAAACCACAAACTTCAATGACAATAAGTAATTGGTCTTACTTCGTCTGCTCATTCTGAAAAAACTGAGTCTTGTCCTATGCAACAGGGCTGGAACAGTTGCAACATGCATCAGTTGGAACATGTTTAGAAGCTAATGGATAGCATTGGTTTACATTTCATATAAGACAGAGTAAATTAAGGACACATTTCTAGTATCTTCAGATATTCAAACAAGTAAATATTTCATATATCTCAGTTTGCTCCATTGTCAAACACATTTTCATTTTGATAAAAATGTCTCAAAAATGCCTTAATAATGTGTGCTTTGGTGAGGGAAATTTGGAAATAATGAACGTGAGCTAATCCTCTGTTTGTGACTGAAGGGTCCTCACATGAAATCGTCACCTTTGGAGCCGTGCTTTTATAATGTGATGCTCACTGGATTTTTGAGATATAATGCCTGTCCCTAAACTGAATTTCCCCAAACTGCTTTATAGTTGTTGATTTCACTACCAGTGTCCTCTCCTTCACTCTTATTTTGCATTTCAGTGTACCAAATTTACAACGTTTTTGTTGGTTTTGTTACCAACAGAAACATCAGGTGAATTAAAAGATACCGAGATAAGTACTCATCAAACTAAAAAGGAAATGCAATTAGATGTTATTTTTGCCAGAGGGTGGGTGGGCAAATTTACCATAATGCATTGCATTAGTTGTCAGTATGGAGCATGCTTCAGAGTCATCTGGAAGGCTTGTTAAAATGCAGGTTGTTGGGTTCCACCCCAGAGCTTCTGATTCAGCAGATCTTGGGTGAGGCCTGAGAATGTGCATTCCTAGCAGTTTTCCAGTGGATGCTGCCCATCTGAGGACTACACATTGAGAGCTACTTGCTGTAGAGAAAACTGGAATGGGGACAGTTTAAAGAATCAGTAAGAGTTTAAGGTTTCAGTAAATGTTTGGAAGTCTGCAAGTAGAAAAAGGGGAATGTTAATTTTCTCTTCACATATTGGGCATTACATGTATGGAACTCTAACACAAAGAGGGAGAGCTGTGGGAAAAAATCAAGGGATTTGTCTGAAATGATAGAGTTCCATGTTAGTTCACAAAATGATTTTGGGAAGATATTTTAAATAATTCCAACACTACAAACTGATACCACATCAGGCAACCTCGCTCTCCAAAATCCACTCATGTTGCTTTTGCACTAGGCTGGCCTGGATGGAGCATTGGTTGGACCCCATGTGGCGTTCCTAATGTCTCTATATTCTAACGCATTGGTTGCCAATAAAGTGCTTTGCCAACAGATTTTGTTCTGAGATAGTGCACAGCGCTGAAGAGAAAATAACTTTGCAAATCCAGTGATTTCATGGGCCACTAGGCTTTCTGGATTCTCTATTACCAAGTTTATCTTTTGTTCATTTAATGCATTGCAAACAACATTGAATTAGTTTGTTGGACAATTAGGTAAGATATTAAACTAATGATATACATATAAATATGTCAAGTCATTATTTTAAGAGTACATCTGTAAGTCATAGTTGGAGAAGGCTTTTTCTTGTGAACCCTGTAAAGGCTTTTCCCCACAACTCTAATAGTTCAACAGGTACCAACTTTTATAAATAATACTTCTTTTTCAGAGGTGTTCACAAGTGAGAAAAAGAATTTTCTATAATGGATGTTTAAAAAAATCAGTTCCAAGGAAATTAATTCTTGTAAACCTCCCAAAATAAACATCAGGAAATTAAATTGGTGTTGGTTTGTTAGTAGAATGAACATCCCCAAAGAAATCCAAGATTGCAAATGTTTTAGCTCAGACCTAGTTTCTAGTCTCTGAAAGACCCTTCCTTCCTGAGCTATGACCACCTACAGCCCTCCTGCAGCTTCACCATTGCCTCGACTTTCAGCACGAATCCTGCAATGATGCTAAGGAGATTTACATGACTACGTGTCTGCCAGCTGTGGTTTCATCATTTTTCTTTGTCTCTGAGCTTATGCAGAGACAATACCCTGGCTCTGGTAAGTGGATCTCAGTCTGTTCCTTAGTCTCCTCTCCCGGCACCCAAGTCTGATTTTTGAGCTTCAGCTTGATCCTTTTTTTTACCTGTCATCGTCCTCAGGAAGGGATTCCCCAGTCCTGGATCCTGGACCATTGTCTTGGACCCTCTGAAATGACAAATATTCCTAATTCCAATTTGCTATCTTTCTTGTAAGGATAAATTGTCTTGTACTGCATCCATCTGTTTGGACAGGTCAAAACTTCATTTGCAACCCTTCGTGGATATCTACTTACCTGCACTACAACCTGCTATCACTCGATCTTGTTGGACACACTACTGTAGTCTTGCTTTACATCTGTGATGGAATCCAGCCATCCAGATCCTATTCAGTAATAGAGCATTTTCTCAAATCCCAGCCCTTTCTCATCTGAGCTACATGACAATAAGTAATTGCTCTTACTTGGTCTGCTCATTCTGAAAAAACTGAGTCCTTACTGAGTGGAGTTTCATAAGGACTGAGTTCTTATGGAACCATATTATGCATGGGAGTGATGGACATGAACAAGGTACAATTTCTCTCTTGAAGAAACTCATTCTTTTTTTTTTTTTTTGAGACAGAGTTTCACTCTCTCACCCAGGCTGGAGTGTAGTGACATAATCTTGGCTCACGGCAACCTCTGTCTCCTGGGCTCAAGCGATTCTCCTGCCTCAGCCTCCTGAGTAGCTGGGATTACAAAATTAGCCTGCCACCATGCCAGACTAAGTGTTTTTTTTAACTTTTAGTAGAGACAGGGTTTTGCCATATTGGCCAGGCGGGTCTCCAACTCCTCGAGTGATCCGCCCACCTCAGCCTCCCAAAGTGCTGGGAGTACAGGCATGAGCCACTGCACCTGGCTCATTTTTGAAGACAGAGCAAACAAACAAACAATTGAAATGCAGTTTGAGTATTCCTTATCCAAAATTCTCGGGACAAGATGCGTTTTGGATTTTTAAAAAATTTTTCAACATTTGCATTAAACTTACTGGTTGACACCCCAAATTCAAAAATCAGAAATCTACAAAGCTTTAATGAGCATTTCCTTTTGAGTATGACCTTTGAACATTGTGTCAGCATTCAAAAAATGTGAATTTCAGATTTTTGGATTAGGAATGCTCAACCTATACAATACTTTAACCATACATTCTGAGAACCTTTCTCAAAAGTGTATAGTAGAAGAGGTCAGACAACCGTCCTTCCATAAACATTCATTCTATCATTTGCTCAAACCCCACTGTGTTTCAGGCATTTTGTTAATATATCGGGAATGGACCCAGAGGGCCTTTCTGAGACTTGTGAGTTAGACCCAGGTACTCACCCAGGCCCAGATCATCCATGAACTTTTGCCTTCAAATACCAATGATAATTTGTCTTGTGGTCCTAAGATGTTAATCAGAGCTGCTTATAATAGACAGCCTCTGAAACTGTCTTCTCTCCCCAGTAGCCCCAGGTGGTCTACCCTGGATCCTGATGACATTAGGTTGGGGGGTTGTAAGTGCAGTCACTTTGTTGCCAGGTCCACTTTCTTTCCAGAACCTCTGAATCAAATGTCAGCCTGTTTTCATTGTTCCCTACCTGATTAGCTGGAGCTGGATATACCAAAGGAATGAAAGTTTTCTGAGCTGACTGCACTGATAAACCTAGAAGGAGACCATAGTGATAAATGCTTCATAATTTTCAGAAGTCAGCATTAACTGCTGAGTAGCAGAGTGGACTTAAATTTGTGTTTTCAGTGGAAATGATCACCGTGATGTCCTTACTGCCTCCTAACTCATGAAAGGAACAACTGGCTGGCCCCTGGAACTCCTTGCATGACTGGTGATTGCCCATGGACTTCTAAAACACTCTTTACTCTGAGATGTGAATGTTGCCCACGGCCTTCAGCTGGTGGATGATATCTGGGCCTGAGATGACAGTATCAGGTATTTCTGAAGACATGCTGGGGAAATGTGGGAATTGCCATGGTGCCTCTGAGCTTACCTCTAGAACAGACACTTTGATAAGTGCTTTTGCTTCTTTCTCTGAATTCTAAATCAGCCCTAGAATGCTGGATGATAATTCTGAAACAAGCCCTACCCAGTCGATCTTCCTGAAGTTTCATGAGGATTCTGAAGAGTGGTGACAGGTGTTGGACTAAAATAAGGGAGGAAGGCCGAGGTGAGGAGAGCACTCAGAGACAGTGGGTGGACAGACGTCATCCAGAGACTTGCAGAAAATAGGACCAAAGCCATGGCCCCCGACAGGAGTGGCAATCCTAAGTGCAGTTTTAGTTGCACTTTTGAGATAATGAAAGTACAAAATCAGTCACTTAATCTCTTTTAACATCAGTTTATTAATCTGCAAAACATTAACATGCTACCTCACAGCATTCTTCCCATATAATAAGAAACAGCGTGTTAAAATACTAAACAAAGTTTAAGAAGTGATGCAAATATACTGTTAGGGTAGATTGTAGATTATAGTTCTATCACTTATCTCTTTCTTATTTTCTGAGAAGCTCTTATGAACATTGATTTAATTATTTCTTTTTCCTCTTTATTTATGAGCATACATGTCTTATTCAAGATTTAAAATATCACTTGGAAATTAACAAGGGGTTTCACAAATATAGTCGTATTCCTTATTTGTTCACAATATTTTGTCCCAAAATGTTGCTTTTAAAGAAATAAAAGAACTACTTCTAAAATTGTGGTAGATTCAAGGCCAACTATAAACAAATGCTCACCAGCCAACAGAAGAAATCTATCCTGCAATATGAGTGACTTTCCCAGTATACCATGATAGTTCCTTAAAGCTGTTATGAATTATTCCATAAACCTGTATTTAGAGACTTTTTTTTTGAATATCTTTTTAATGACTTAAACACCAGCACGGAGACTCGCGATGTAAACAGCCTCATTTCTCTGCTCTGTGCTTTGGGAGGGACAGGGACGCCATTTCCCTCCTTGGCTGAGATAAAACCTGTCTTGTAAATTAATAAATAATTTCATAACATGGCAAAAAAAAGAAAAAAAAATCCAAACGAGACCTAGTTTCCATCCAGGGACGGGATGTTTCTGGACACCCCCGGTTGCTGCTCCTCCTAAGGGCCTGGCTGTGGCTACTGCAGGGAGGATGTAGTGAGAATGGCTTCCCTTCTGCTGTTTGCTGCTGTCTACACCAGCCAAGAACCTGCTCACGTCTGCCCGGGCTGATGGAGTCTCACTCTTGAGAAAAATCTTGCTGGGGCAGGTCCTCTGGCAGCCCCAGCACCTTACCCTGAGTCATGGGAACTTGAGACTTTGTCCAAACCTTGGCTGGAAGGCTAGTCTTGGCACTCAACGTCTTAGCTAGTGGATTTATCACATTAAGACTGTACCTGGGCCTTTTTCATGATGACTTAGGTCCCAATCCTCGGAGCAGCTGAAAAAAGAGCTAGCGCCACCTGTGGATGCACCCACAATGAAATCAGAGGCCACGTGAGGTTTGCAAGGTGGAGTGGCCTGTAGTTTTAACTCGGACACTATGGCAATGCAGACCCAAACCAATTGTGCCAGTTCTTGCTGGGTGGCAAAGTGTTGTCAGGCTTTGTGGTCACTCCTGATTTCTGTTTGGAAGCACAGTTCTCTTTCTAATGATAATGGAAAATTGGAAAGGCCTGTAAAATTGGAAAGCCTGTAAAAGGCCGTAGAGTGGAGATGTATAAAAATGTACAGTCACACATGTTTTAGGGGTCGAAACCATGGACTTTTATCTCGCTCACCAACTTCCTCACACATACAGCTCACTCCCTGTGGCCTCAGCCATCTCAGGCACTACAGAATCCTCACTGCTTGAAATTCACTTACGGAGTCCAACAAACAACTTTCTTTAAAAAAAAAAAAAAGGCAGTAAAATCTCAGAATTCCTGTGCAATGCTTGCAACCTGCCCACTTATTAAATAAACAGAACACCAAACTAACCAAAAGCTATGCAAGTGGCAGGCTGCCCTGAGCAGAGCCCTGCCTGTCTGCCAGGGACTATGGTGGCACAGGAGCAGGTCGTGATCATGCTGGAAGAAATGAGAGGTGGTTTCATTCCCTGACTTTCAAACTCTCATCTCGGGAGCCCCCAGTCCTAACACTGTATTCAGCAGCTGGAGTTACCTGGCCATGTAAAAGGACAAGGGAAGGCAGACCGTCCTCAACTTCTTCCTGTGTTTCTAGCAAGGAAGGAACGCAATGGCTTCAGTCCCTCCGCCTCTAGGTAACAAGGCAAAGGCCTCCGTAACCCAGGCAGACAGGATGTGGGGAAGGTCTTGTGTCTTTTCCTAACTCAGAATTTCTGAGTCAGTGGGCTTCCCGGAGAAAGACTGTCCTCTTGGCATGTGACCCTGAAGGCTTCTAGCACCAAAGGCTCGCTAACACCTCAGACCCTGTCTTCAGGTAAAGGGGATGGGAGGCAGAACCCTTCTCCTGATTGGTGCCTGAAGGAGGCAAGAACGAGCATCTGCTATACCCCAGCCTGATTTCCCCCGTCTCAGCAGGAGAGGGGAGAGGTGAGGGTGCAGATGTTCTGGGCAGGTCAGTGCAGTTCGATGAATGCCTCCAGATCTTCCGGGATGAAGCCCTTGTAAGGGATCTTGTTCTTATCCAGGGCCTGGGCTGCAAGGCACTGCAGCGTCACGTAGTTGAAGGGCTGCATGGTACCCCTGGCCAGCAGCTTCTCTTCCAGCAGCTCGTAGGCCGTCTTCTTGAAGGCGTTGGTGGCGTCCATGTGGGCCCCTGCTTCAGTCAGGGCATTCACGATGGCCGGGCAGTTGTTCTGGGCTGCTATGTGTAGCGGGGTGTTGTTGTCAAAATCCCTGCTGTCCCGGTCGGCCCCGCAGTCGAACAGCACTTTGACCACGTGCAACGAGGGGAATCTGCCCACGGGGTAGCGGCCCACGTTTGTGGTGTCCTTGTCCACAGCCATGTGCAGAGGCGTGAAGCCGTTCTTGCCCCTGGGTGCGCACTTGAGCAGGCGATAGATGGTCTGGTGCTTCAGGTGCTCCTGGCTGGGGGTGCACTCCACTTTCTCCAGCAGGTAGAGCAGGTGGAGGATGATGGCCAGCGCCTTGTTGAACTGGGCCGAGTCTCTAGGCTCCCTGAGCAGCTGCAGGGCCCATTCCACTTCCCGGACCCCTTTGGTGAGGACCCCCATGAGGTCTGCAAAGCCGATCTGGGTGCCCAGGCTGCCTTTGGCAGCCGGGTCCTGCAGCACGTAGGAGAAGAGTTCGGCGAAGGAGAGGAAGCTGCTGGCGCTCATGGGGCTCAGAGGCTCCAGGTTGCTCTGTTGCATGTCCAGGGCGTACTTCCACAAGCGGATGTAGCACTCGATATTCCCCGAGTCGGCGTACACTGCGCCCCTGTAACGGATACAATAGGAAGTGTCGGGGTGCGAGGGACTGAGGATGCGCTCCCGGATCAACAAGGCCTGCATACGCATCTCATCGGCGTCGGTGATCAGCGCCTCCAGCTCCTCGGTGGTGTTGACCTCCCTGGAATAGTCATAGGCCAGGACCAGCTGTGGGGGCTCCAGTTTGGGCAGGTACTCACCCCCCTGGTGACGCAGCTCCATGGCCCGCCTCCAGTGTTTAAGGGCCCCAAGCAGATCTCGTTTCTTATCCACATAGGTAGATCCCAGCAATTCCAAGGCTTCCATGGCAGCTTCCCGGCTGGTGGGACAGCAGCTTTGGTAAGATTCCCCGTTCAGTACCTCAGGGGAGAAGATGCAGCACGGAGCCCCCTGAGGCTGCGCACACCCCTGGCTGGTGGAGGAGCCTTCTTGGGGCAGCCTAAGCTGAGCCTCTACCCCTATGAGCTGCTCCTGGCCGGGCTGCTCCTGGATGAGGTACTCCACGATGTTGGTGTGGCCCGTCACGCTGGCCGGGAGCAACGGGGTCATGCCGTAGCTATCACGTTCCATGCTGGCCTTGCACCCCAGCAGCAGCTGCAGGATCTCCAGGCTGCTGGTCTCGGCACAGTTGTGCAGGGCCGTGTTGCCCTTGGCGCTGCGCCAGTTCACCTGGGCGCCCTGCTCCAGCAGGTAGCGGGCGATCTCACGGTGGCCCTTGTAGCACGAGATCATGAGGCACATGTGGCCGTGCCGGTTGGCCACCTCCAGGTTGGCCTGGTGCTCGCCGACCAGGTAGCGCACCACCTCCAGGAGGCCCTCGAAGCAGGCGGCGCGGAGGGGCGTGGAGTTGGTGCGCGTGGTGCAGTTCACCGAGGCCCCGCGGCGCAGCAGGCTCCGCACCACGTCCAGGTGGTCCGCGCCCACAGCGGCGGCGCACCCTCCATGGTCTCGCCATCGAAGTGCACCGAGCCACCGGCCTCCACGCTCGCGCCGCACGGGTCCACCAGGTACTCCACCACGTCCAGGTGGCCGTAGCAGGCGGCGATGAGCAGCGGCGTCCCCCCGCCGGCCACCTAGCCAGTCAGCTCGTCCAGTTCCTCCCGGCTCCGGCTGCTGAGCAGCTTCTGGAGCAGCTGCCCCCTTGCCGTCACGGGCGGCGTTGTACACGGCGGTGCGGAGGTCTTTGGTTCGGGCCTCCGCCAGGCCATGAGCCGGCCGCAGGGGGAGGGGGAGACAGAGGATCAGAGCCCAGACAGGCGGGAGCCAACCTTCACCGTCTCCCTCGCCGCCATCTTAGGGTGTCCTAGAGACTTTTAAATATGCAGATCATTGACCTGAGAAACCATTTCGTCTCCAAAGGAACATTTGCAGGCTGTCGTGCAAATCTGCACTTGAGCAACTTTCACATTATGATCTTAGTGAATTCTTGACCAGATGGACTTGAACAGCTGCCACCCATGCTTGGGAAGTCACTTTACTTGAGAAAAGAAAATAGCTCATTTGTTTGCAATTCTTTCCTGAAAGTACATAAGGGCAATTTTCTACATTGTGAACTAGTATCAGAGCAACATTTTCCCTGAAAGACCATAGCTCATTATACTATTTAGGAACAAACAAACAAAAATATATACAAACATTTTTTGGGGAGTTTTATAATTTGTGCCTAGAAGGGACAAGTTTCTTTTCAGATTAAGTTTTAAAAAATGTTCCTTTATTCGAGCTGACATGGAGGTTGTAACTGAGAAAAACCTCCCTCTGAAATTAGAATGCCTTACATTTGTATAACATTCTATACTTTTCAAAGTGCTTTCAGGCACATTATTTCATCTGATCTTCAAAACAGCTCAGTGAGGCAGGTAAAGTGGGTGTTCTTATTCCTTACTGTTTAGATAAGGAAATAGGTTCAGACTACAGATATTATCTGAGTATCTACTAACTTCATTGTATTGTGCTAGGTGTCATAGAGGATAAAATAACATGTATTCCTAAAAGAAGAATCTTGGTTTTAGATAAGACATAACAACACAAAGCTAAATAATACATAAATGTACAATATGGTCAAAAGATGACAAAAGACAATGTATGGTCAAAGTATTAGAAACACAAGCAAACTGTGTTCTCAGATTAAGGGAGACTTCTTAAAGAAGGTGCTACTCGAATATATATGCCTGGAAGGAGGTTTGGAATTTGTGGAATATTTACTCTTTGGCATCAAAATCACTTTCTCATATAACCTTAGAGTATAAGAGATTTTGGCATTCATCTAGTTTGTTCTGATACTCGATGTTGGCACTCCCTATGGCCCCCTAAGCAAAGATGTTGGAATAGCTATGAGTCTTAACAATTCTATCTATATGCAGCTGCAATCTCCATTTCTATAATTCTACCCTTTGTTGACCAGAGTAAAACAAGACTAATCTATTTTCTCTTTCTGTGGAAAGCCTTTACTATGTCTGTAGTCAGCATGACAGCTTGATCTGCCTTTAGTCTTTTCTTCTTTTCATTAATCTTAAAGCTTCTGGAGATACAGTCATTATTTTACTGCTGAGCCCCTATTTTATTTATCCAAATTATCTATAACTTTGGCCATCCCAAATTGATACACTATTGTAGATATGCAGATTTGAATGAGGCTTTAAAAACTATTGTTATCTTTTTAATTCACTGCCAGCATGTCTGTTAATACTGCTAGTTGTGAACATTTCTCAATATAAAGTAACTTTTGTGTAAAAGTTGCATAATTAATATGCCTGGAATGAGTTATGAATGTCTTCCTAAAGAACAAAGGCCACCTTCATTGTGATGGCTTTTTTCTTTTTCTTTCGTATTTTTGTTAAGCCATTCATGATCTGTGCATGCCTGCACAGATGATACTTGCTTAAGGAACTAACACCAAAGCTCTAATATAGTAATAATCTTTGGTATTTTGTTTCTCATCTTTATTACTGGGAAAGTAAAAATTAATCACTCATGTAAATTAATAGTGCAATACTGACCTCTGGTATGTAATGATGAAATTGCTTACTGGATGAACTAGTGGATGCTTGGGAAGAGTTTTATGTTTTAATATAAGAACATCTTTCTCCAAGCAAAGAAGCTTCCTAGGCTATAATTACAAATGTGGAAATTGGGAAACGTAAAACTAACTAACTGAATGTAAAGAATGTATCTATGGTAGTTTATAGTAGTGGGTAAGTAAAAAAGGAAAAGAGAGAACAACTGACACTAGAACTGCCCCATTCAAAAACTTTTTTTACAATTCGGCCATCTTTTAAGAAACTAAACACAGTGAGTTGAGAATAAATGATGTACCCTCCCTCACTTGACTATATTTGAATTGGACTTAAAAAAAAGAGGCTGTTTTGAATTTCTGTGAGTCATCTCAGGTGGTAGATGTGTTTTCATTGCCTGCCACTCCCCAAAGTGCCTCTCCATTTACTTCAGACACAAGGTCCCAAAGTCATAATTTTCTAGTCTTATTTGCTCATCTTTATGATCTTGTAATTTTCTAAAGCCATACAATATGCCTGCTTTATAATTCAAAGGCCTAATATTTGTTAGGCTGGTTCTTGATTCAGGTTTCTCATTCTCCTTCCTATTTTCAGTATGTGTCCTTCCCTCACACTCTATGCTCAAGCCAAATTATCTATCTAGCATTTCCCCCATTGGCACCTTCTGAGCAGAGGTACTGCAGAGTGCACAGATAGGCCTGGAATGAGTCAGTCACTTTGCAGACAGAGGTGTAAGCCATGCAGGTTTAGGCCTCTACTGCCACCAGCGACCCTATTGCTGGCCTAATCCCTCCTGTAGCTGTGCTCATAGAACCTTAGAAATTCGTTACCTGTTGAGGGAGTATCGCTGGGCCAGTCATCAATGAACCCCGATTCCAATTTAATCCTGGCGCTGCCCCTGACTTGTTATGGGACTTTCTTCAATTCAGTTCAACTCCTAGGCTATGAGATTTCTACTTTCTAGTCTGTAACAAAGGGTGACTAGATTAGATGATTTCTGACATCCTTTGTAGTACTCCAATTCTACAACTCTATACATGTGGATTCAGGAGGCTAGCTCAAACCCTGGGTTCTTCACTTCTTGCAATACTCTCTCAATTCCCTTCTTCTCCCATCCTCTAGTTTGTCCAGATGTTACTGTATTTGTGTACTTCCTATGTATACTAAACCATTATATGGACTACACTCTACTGTATCTATTTGTCTATCTATCTTTTTAACTTCATTCAACTGAGATATGGTCGGCTGTTACTAGCTATCAATGGAGTGAATGAGAAAAGACTGCATATCTTGTCTTTATCCTGCAGGTCTGTCTCTGCCACATATTTCTGAGGAGATCCCGGGCCTGGGAAACTTTGGAGTCAACACTGACCTTTTATCCTGGTTCTATAAACCAGATCACATGCAAGAATGTTGCCTCTTAAAAATTCTCAAAAGTGATGAATAGCTATAGTCCAGGCTAAAGGAAAATGGAGAACACCAGGTTGTTAGTGAGAGCTGAATCACTCTGAGTTATGGAGTAACAAGTTTTATTAGGCTGGTGCAAAAGTAATTTGTGGTTTTCGACATCAATTTTAATGGCAAAAAGTGCAATTACTTTTGCTCCAACCGATAGTTCCCAGAGTCAGGTAGACTAGGAAGTGGCATTCAGAAAGCAGAGACTGGGAAGGTGGAGAAGAGTTAGTGAAATGATTTGAGTTTGGAGACAATGGGGTGAAGGCCCAAGGAAAGTTCCACACTCTTGGGTTGGCCATAGGAAAGCATTAAAACTCAGAATTTAATTTGACTAAATTTGTTTGCCAATTCAACTCTCAATTTCTAATTTTCAGTAAACTTTTATATCCTCACAAATGCTTTACATGGGTAGGTTTTTGTGGAAAACAATAAAGGCAATGAACATTCTATCTGGGTCAATGGTTCTTGATCTTCAGGATGCTTTAGAATCACTCGGGGAACTTTTGAAATCTGGATGCTGATGTCAGACTCCTGAGTGATTACAACAGAATCTCTGCAGGTGGCACCCAGAAATCGGTATATCTTAAAAGATCCCAGGTGAATCCAATATGCAGCTTGATTTGGAATGAGTTATTGTGAAACAATAGACTACAGTGATCAACGTGAACTAATCTGAGAGACTCCTCAGCAATCATGTCTCCTTTGTTCTTTAATCAGTTCTATTTCATCTTATTGGAAACAACTATTTTAATTTTGTAAGCCTCCACTTTTCTCAAAACTTCCAACTCCAATGCCATGTATACTCTCAACTAATGACTTTCCTTCTACCTTTCAGAGATAATTGGAGCTTAACATGAAAAATTTCTTCATTTCTTGTCACCAAATCTGTAAATGTGTTTTTTCTGAATTATGTTTCACTAGTGCCTTTCTATCAATATTTGACCATCCAAAGTCATCCATCTCTAGAAAGTAACAATACAGAAATATAGGCCGTGTGTTTGTTGGAAATAAAATAACACTAACAAAGACCTCTCTGAACCAACATAGAAAAGAGAACACAGTTTATTACTACATGAACATGGTCAGATTTCTATGCACGTAGGTACTACAAAAGTGACTAAAATGTCTAGGCAGACTTTCACATAATTTATTTAGCAAAGCAGAAGTAAGAATAACTTCTCATCTCCTCAAGAGACAAAGGGCTACATCCTAAGATAGTCCTCTTGTGAAAAACTCCCAAGTAAGTTTTGGAGGCATTTGTTTACAATTCCAAGGGTCAGAAAGTCCCCATTCTTCCACTGCAAAATCAAAAGCATAAACCTGTTATTTGGACCTATTAAGATTTCAAGGAAATACTCTAAGGAAGACAGGATGGAGAGATAGTGACCTCCAACCTCAAAAAAGTCATCATTTTACCCTTATGGTGTGTTTTGCTTGGTATATGCATATGTATTTCTTAGCTTTGTGAAGTGAAAGAATCTAGAAGAAATGACACCCTAGTAGAACACCTAGCCTCTAGACCTTTGTATCCAAACACTATTTCTCCATGAAAGAAACCCGTGCTCTTTGGGGAAATGACTAATTTTTAGAATAGGGAAAAATGGTTAATTCCTCCATCTACAGAGGAAGGCTGCCTCATTTGGATTGAAGCCACAACTGAGTAAGGGCTTCAATGCATGTAGGTGACCCACGTGGGGTGTCAGAATCAAAACAAGGTGAGGGAGCATCGAGACAGAAGTATTATCCATCACCTGGTGTCTAAACCCCTCAGGCTAGTGGGAAGAGAACACCCATGTAAGGCAGTGGCACAGAATGGGATAAAAAGGATTTGCATGTAGAAGAGTCAAGTCACTGTGGGATTTTCTGGTGTAAATAGACTGAAAGGGGCATCTGTATAGGAGGGCTCCAAGGTGCCAGGTATCAAAGCCAAAGAACAGGAGAAGGAGTCCACACAGAAGTGGTGGCAGAACCCAAGCAAGATGAAAAGGGCATCACCGCAGTGATACAGCAAGGTTGGAGTGTCAGAGCCTCACTGAGCAGAGTGGGGTGAGCACCCATGTGGGTTTAACCCAGGAAGGATGAGAAGAGTGTCTATGTGAAATGGATGATAATCTAGGGAGTAGATCAGAGCCCAGGGATGGCATCCAAGAATGACGGTGGCCAAGCATGAGGTGTTGGAGTCAGAGTAGAGTGAAGAAGGTAACTACACACAGGGGTAGCTTAATGTAGAGTGCCAGGGTCTTGAATGGGGTCTGAGGATTAGACAGTAACAGGGTATTAGTGGGAATACAACCAATGCTGACAGTTGTGTTGTGAACATGTAGGAGAAACCTGTTTGTAAGGAATAAACCCCAAAATATTTGGTGGTAACTGGAAATCAGGTCAGTAACTTATTCTCTAATGGTTCAAGAAATTTCTTTTTGTATTTTACTTGAAAATTTTGTCTAAAGCTCAATATATAAATATATATACTTTTATGAACTGGCAAATAGCAAATTCATTCTTAGGTGTATTATCAATAGAAATGTATACATACTGAAAAGCTTCCTGTTTGGATGTTTGAAAGGAACCACCACATTCCATAGAACATATTTACATGGGGCTTTTATTTAAAGGCAAAGGATATGGTGCAGCAAGTGAAAGAGAGTGCGGGCATGGACTGGGAGTCTGAAAGACATCCCATATTGAAAGCTACCCAGGGCTCCAAGTATTCACAGACACAGAGTGTGCATTCTGTCTCCAGTGTCAACCACCAAGATTCTGTGCTAGGAATCATGCTTTCAGGAGGGCTTCGAGGAGAAATTCTCCACAAGCCTTTTATGTCTCCTTGTCCATGTAATCAAGCTAGGTTTGTCAAACCAATTAGGCCAGTTGTAACCCATCAGTGAAAAACTGACCCTGTAGGTTACCAGGAGGCATTTCCTGACTTTAAATCATACATGATAAATGTCATTGCAGTTATTTTCACCAAGAGTAAAAAATCCAGATATCCAGGTTAAAAGACAAAGCTTTTTCTGTTCAGCTATAAATCTGCACATATTTTTACTAGAAAAAGAATATTTAAAGCATCGTATTCATAACAATAACAGAAGCCAACCCAAATATATCTATTAAGAGAAGAAATAGCAAATAAATTGTGATCTATTTCTACATGGAATACTATGGAACAATGAATAAATATGCATTATTGTTACATAAAATAACGTAGATCAATATGGCAAATAATGTACTGATAGTCCCTTTATATAAAGTTCAACACCCAGGCAAAACCAATCCCTTGTGTGAGAAATTAGGATATCAGTTGCCTTTGGGGTATTAAAAAAGAGGAATGGGCCAGGCACAGTAACTCATTCCTGTAATCCCAGCACTTTAGGAGGCTGAGGTGGGCAAACTGCTTGAGGCCAGGAGTTCAAGGCCAGCCTGGCCAACATGGCAAAACCCTGTCTCTACTAAAATTACAAAAATTAGCTGGGCATGGTGGTGAGTGCCTGTAACCTAGCTACTTGGGAGGCTGAGGCATGAGAATTGCTTGAACCCAGGGTGTAGAGGTTGCAGTGAGCTGAGATCATGCAACTGCACTCCAGCCTGAGCAACAGAATGAGACTCTGTCTCAAATTAAAAAAAGAGTAAGGATTGATAGTGAATATAAAATGAGGTGAGAGTTGCTGGTTATGTTTTATTTCCTCTCTTAGCTGATAGTTAAATGGCTGTGTCAACAATGTAAAAATTCATCAAGCTTAAAATTCGTTCTTAGATGTACATATGCAATATTTCAATAAAAGTGATTTTAAAATATTTTATATAGGGTTGCACACATATACACACACATGTGCACACACATACTCGACATTTATAACTGCTTTTGGAGTCTTCTCAACAAATCCATTTAACTTAACACTGAGTGGGTAGTGACATTACAGCATGTGTTTATTCTCTACCTTTTAAAGTTTTCTTCTATTATTTCCGTGAGTATTTGTTTTCATTTTTCATCTTTTAACTCTTGGTGACTCATTTAGATGGATATCACAACTTATGAATTCAAATTCCATTTCACTTAATGTTTCCCTCATATTTTTCATCTTTTTATATATTTTTAAATTTATTTTATGAAAATAGCTGAGGTTGATCCTCAAATTCAATTTGAAGGCAAAGGATGTTCATGCATAAAGTACTAGGCAGTTACTTTAAAAAATGAGACAGATTTCAGTCTTGTACATGTGCTATAATATAAAAAAATCACATTATCTTTTTTTTAATTTTTATTTTTTGAGACAGAGTCTCGCTCTGTCAACAGGCTGGAGTGCAGCGGCACGATCTCAGCTCACTTCAACCTCTGCCTCCAGGGTTCAAGTGATTCCCCTGCCTCAGCCTCCCAAGTACCTGGGACTACAGGCACACACCACCATGCCCAGCTAGTTTTTTGTATTTTAGTAGAGATGGGGTTTCACCATGTTGGCCATGGTGGTCTTGATCTCCTGACCTTGTGATCCACCTGCCTTGGCCTCCCAAAGTGCTAGGATTACAGGTGTGAGCCACTGCACCTGGCCCATATTTTTAAATTAAAAAATAGTACAATTTATGTAGTACAAGACCTTTAAAAATATCTCTCCGTGTGTATGTGGTCTGTGTGTCTTAAAAATGAGTGCAGGCAAGTGTATTTCTAGAAACATACTTTATTAGTTGGGTGCATTGGGTTGCAGGTAACAGAAAACATTCTTATAGTGACTTAAGCAATAAAGTCATCCAATTTTTCTACATAGCAAGACCTCCGGAAATGGAGACTAACAGATTTCCTGCAGAGCTCAACAATGTCAATCACCCAACTTCTTTCTGTTCTGCCACCACAGCACATTCCATTTTCATTCTATGTAATTCCTCACAGTTATAAGATCACACACAACTAACACAACTTAAATAATTATGTCTTTAAACAATAAAAACCAAAGAAAGAAAAAATTTCATATATTTGGCCATCATTTTCATTAGAGGTCAAAATCCTACTAATAAGCTCCCTCCTTTGGCATTCTTCCTAAATACATTGTATTACCTGGAAACAGGACAAATATTCATCTCTAAATCAATCACAAGCAAAGGAATTACACTAACGTTTGTATTAGTTTGCTTTTGCTCCAATAATGCTTAAGAAACATGACAAGAAGTTACTGACCGATAACAGCAAGCATTTACTCCTTGCTCATGAATTTTGCGAATTGGTTGCCGCAGTTCTACCTTAGACTACAGATGAGAGTCAGGTGTGCTCCAGGTGTCTCTCATTCCTGGACCCATGTTGAAGGACACAGACTACTTAGAGCATTTGATTTTTATAATGCTTTATATATATTGATTTTTATAATGCTTTATAAGCAAGAGTTGAAGAGGAGAAACTTCTTTAAAGTTCTGCTTAGTTACTTCTATTACTATTAACCTACCAAATTCTATTGGGTAGAGCAGTCACATAGCCAAGCCCAAAGTCAGTGATACAGGGAAATATTCTTTCCTCATTAAAAAAAAGGTAAGGATGGGGAGGGAACAAGAATCATCTGTTTTAATTATTTTTTTCTCAGACAGAGTCTCGCTCTGTCATCCAGGCTGGAGTGCAGTGGCACAATCTTGGCTCACTGCATTCTTCGCCTTCTGGGTTCAAGTGATTCTCACACCTCAGGCTCCCAAGTAGCTGGGATTACAGGTGCACACCAGCATACCCAGCTAATTTTTTGTATTTTTAGTAGAGAGGGGTTTTGCCATGTTGCCCAGGCCGGTATCGAACTCCTGAGCTCTGGCAATCTGCCTGCCTCAGTTTCCTGAAGTGCTAGGATTACAGGCGTGAGACACTGCACCTGGCCAGAGAACAAAGAATTAGGAACACACAATACAATCTACCACAATATTCATGGCCTAGATCAACCATGGCTCATCCTCTCAGATTGAGAGAGGAATCCATTGTCTGTGAACTTGTTGCAACAATACAAATTTCTTATTCATTGTGAACAAGAAATAAGGAATTGTGGCTATTGAGTAGACAACAGTTCAATGTTGACTTCTCACTATTTAAACAAATTAGACTTTTTTTCTAATTGAGAAAACACACAAACTTGAAGAAACAACTCCAACATTGATGAAAATAGCAGTGATTTATTTAACTAAATATTTTAATTCAACAATTTAGAAAGAGAGTTTTTAATCTTCCACAAACAATTCTACCTTATTTTAAAAAGGCTGCAATTTATATATATGGGACATTCATGTCACAGTATATCAGACAACTCTCTGACACCTTGGGTGCCCAGTTTTCTTTCAGGCAGGACATCAATATTTATCTTCTTTTAATTCTGGCCCATCCACTGGCACAGACTGGTCCCTTATGTTATTATCATGAGCTAGTGATACAGGAAGAGAAGCATTGCTGATCTGTGAAACTGGACAATACATTTAATCTGTCTTGGTATTTAAACCACAGTAGGCACCATGTTTAACTGGGTTTATGAAATGACATCTTGTTCAGGGCAAGGGTCAATATTGAAGAGGAGCTATATTTAATGCTAAATTAAGTGCCCAAGTTAAAGCTAAATTGTTACACACACAAGTCAGTAATTTCAGAACTATGACTTGCAAATAAATCACAAATTGACCTCTTTGAGCACACTGCAGGAAATACTTTGTGTGACATTATATGGCACTAATTGTAAAAGCCAAATCTGACTTCTTTCCAATTATATGTCCAAAAATCATAACTGAGAATTCTCTCTCTTTGGATTTTCTGACATTCTTTCCTTAGTATTAAGGTAATGAATGGCTTCAAAGCTAAAGTTATGGGAAATGCAAGAGCTTATCCAATAGTTAATATCTGAATCTTAGGGTTTATCAACTGTAGCATATCTAAAGACACAAAACCCACCTTTGCTGATTTCCTGGATGCTCTAGATGTGCAAATACAAACCTCACTGCACATGGAAGTGCCCTGTCAGGCACAATTTTCATAAAGGGAATTTAAATAGCTATTTTAATCTCTAGACCAGACTGTGCATTCCAAGAATCTAAGACTAATGAGCCACTTTCTCAGATAATCACTTCTAAATAAACAAGGTCTTTTGCACTGACCCAGGAATCTGCATTGTAGCTGAAAAATTAATTATACCAATATTATACTAGGCATATCTACAACAATACAAAAGAATGTTCTCTCCATCTCCAAAGTTAGATGTTCATTCAGATGAAATGCAATTTATTCATCTGGAAAGTTCTAAATGTTTTCCTTTGCACCTCTAAATGAGCAGAAAGATATTTCCTTTTAAGAAGAAAAGAGAAAATCCATTATTTTTACTTTTTCTTTAATATATATATAAATCAATAAATTCCCAAACTAAATTTCTCCCCTACTAATTTAATTTGGAATAAAATTAGAACCAATCATTATGAGCAAAATGTTTTCAATTAAGACATAATTAATTAAATGTGCAAATGCAGAATACATTTAGATGGGCTATCAGATGACTGATTATACTGGAAATCTAATTTTACACTTAAATTGCCAGCCACACACTTCATCTTGAGCTGTTGATCCATAGCAAGTTACCATAAGTTAAACCTTACCTCTGGAGGAAGCAGCCTCAGTGGACAAATTTTTTCCTGCAGTAATTCTATGACCATGCCATAGTAACTGTCTTTAGAGGGTAGTCAGAGGTATCTTGCATGAAGGAGCTTCATTCTTGCCATCCTTCTTGTTTTTCAAACAGCATTTTTTTTTTATTTTAAATAAGTAATGCACGTCTTGGCAAGTTGTGAAAGAAAGGCCTCTTTTACTCTTTTCTACTTACTAACCTTTTCTACTCACTCTTTAAAAGGAAGTTGATAATCAAAGTATTAATGTGTGAAAAGGTACTGAGCTTTGAACAATTTTTGAATTACTTAATATTGCATTTTAAACTGTCTAAATTATAGATACAAATGTCTGAATCTATACTTGCTGTTGGTGTTTATGGGTTAAGTATATCCTCAAACTAACCAGGATAATGAATTTTATTGCCTCAGAGATAGAAAGGATGATTTAGCAAGGTTTGTAATTGATATGCATCCATTTTGCTCTAAAAAATGAAGAGATTCCCATCACATAGTTTAAAAAATGTATAGGTCCAAAAATTGGCTACAGTCAATAATTCTTCTCTAAATCTGATGTTATTTAAGTTTCCTGAATATTTGAAAAATTTGTAAGATTTTTTCAAGGATTCTAAAAAGTGGGTGATTGAGGAGGAAAGCAAAAGTTGTCAGCAAGAAGCATTTGTTGAATGTCTACTATGTGCCAAGCAGTGCACTTGGTATTCTCATGTGTCATGTCTTTGTGTATCAATTACTAATCCATAGGTTGATGCAAAAGTCATTGCAGTTTTAACCATCATTTTCAAGGGCAAAAATCGCAATTACTTTTGCACCAAATGAATATCATTTCTCAGTCCCAAGCCAATGCTTCTATTTTTTGCAATGTTTAGTTGGACATCTATAACGGCCTTCCATGAGGCAGCCTACTGTCTCCCAGAGCATGATAAGGAAGTTCCTTGGGTTAGATATCTTTCTAGCCTGAAACATAACAATTTGCATTTCAGCCCATTGAATTAGACATTTTTCTCTTCAGATAATTTCTTTGGAAATGAAAATGTTCCTCAAAGTGTAGCTACCTATTGGGTCACTGAAGCTTTAATATTAGCAGGTTTGCTGGTTCGCTGTCTTCAAGAATAGTGGATATTTTGCCACAAAGGGAGAATAGGAAGCCAGAGTGGAAAGAGGGGAACAAAAACAGGGATAGATACAAGGGAAGAAGATAGACGGTATTAGCATTTACTACCCCATCATTATATGTACCTTGATTTGTTCCTGGAGTTGCTGAAGGATGGCTCAGTTTCCCCTTTCTTGTATAATTCTTTGATTCAGTTGTAGTCTGACTTTTGAAAGCTGACTGTAGAAAGAGGAATATTTAGAAAAATAGGCAAAGTGATGTTATGGTTTAAAATCATCAAGTGGGAAATCCAAAACCACGGTTCTCAACCTTAGCTACTCATGGAAACCACCTGGGAAATTTTTAAAAATACTGATGGATGGGTTCCATGCCCATAGATTTTTAAAAAATTCTTCCAAAGGATTCTGACATCCTAATCAGGGTTGAAAGCTACTGCTCCAAAGAGCTTGACATAATCAAATGAACATTTACCAGGTGTTCACAAGGTTTAGGAAGGCCCAGCACAAAGCAAAACCATAGAGACGTTGAGTACTCTTTTGCTTCAGCATTCAGCATACAATTCCAACTCCATGCTTTTCCTTACTTCCAACTTCCATCTTTGCCCCGAGCAACCTGTGCAGAAAACCATCAGTTTCCCTGCTCCACTGGACATCTAAGGACTATGGTGGTGATAAAAAATGAGAGTCATCAAAAAGGTCCAAGTTTAGTGAAGATGTGCAAAGGGAAGCAGCCCTTCCCAAAGAATTCAGTGAATGAGCCAAGATTCTCCAGAAACCGCTCAGCTTTGCAGTGATAATTTTCTGTGAAGACATAGAGTGAAATGGGAATAAGAGATAGAAAGTTGAAAAAGAATTTTCTCAGAATCTACATGTAACCTTACAGAAGGCAAACAGAAGGGTTAGTGAGATACATGGAATCACGCAGCTGAGGTGAGACAATGTAGGAAAATCAAGCATGAGACAGGAAATCAGGATATTGTGTTTCTTTGTGAAGACTCGGTTCCCTCTAATTGCTCATAAACCTAAAATCCCTACTTCATTCTTTGTAACATTTTTTCTCATTTCTTCCTGGAATTTTTGGATTCCATGCTTTTTAAGATGGCTTGAGAGAAAGACTTATCAGAGTCAACCTAACAGGCATTTATTAAGATACTACCAAGGGTGAGACCCTGAGTAAATGATTGTCAAATTTGAATATGTGGTTAGAAACACCTGAAGGACTGCTGGGCCCCACACCCAGAGTTTCTGATTCATTGAGTTTGAGCTGGGACTTGGGAATTTACATTTCTAGCAAATTCCCAGATGATATTGATATTGCTGTCTGGAGGCCACACTTTGAAGACCACTGCCTCTAGGAATGGGAAAAGAAATTAGATATCAGCAATCTGTCCTTAATGAGATTGCTTAAGGCTTTGTATTAGGGATGTACTTTGTCATGGAACATGTCATATAAATGACAAACTGAGAACACTGGCAACATATTTTAAAAGTAAAATATAGTACAATACACGCCAGAAGTTCTGAGAAGGATAAATAATTAAGTAGTGGTGAGGCAGAAGAGGCTAATTAGAGATGACAAAGAATAATACAAAAACCATGGGCCACAGAGCCAGGGGTGGCCTGGAGCTGAGCTGAGCTTATTAGGGGACAACTGCATAGGTGGACTTAAGGGCAAAACTGAAGGTTTTAAATGCTATGAAGTGTAGGGCCATGCTGCTGGTGCTAATTAAGCACTGAGAACTACCTTTCATACAAGGCTGAGATCTGTGAGACAGCCTCTTGCTTCTTGATCATGAACATCTTCAGTTAGATAAAGAAAGGGTCTAGTGAGGGTAGGTGGGTTACTCAAAATCCCTAGTGTTTAATTAGTTTTAGTTAGTTGAGACTGATTGTGATGAAACACAACATTTAACTTTGCTATCTCCTAGGCAAGTGCTGCCAGAAATAAAAAGTCTCCTTTTTACAGAAAAGAGAACATGGAAAGGCTGTCCAGAGTTCAGTCTCAAAGGCAACACTGGGCAGGGACTGACAAAGGGTTGAGGAGTGTCCATTAACCTGGGTATTGGTGATGGAAAGCATATCCTGAAATTGGAGATAGCAAGACTCTTGGTGAACTGTTGAGTAGACTGGGTTGAATTCAGTGAAGGATCTAAAGGAAAAATAAAAATATTAATGCTTCTATGTAGTATTAAAAGTTGTGACCATAAGATAGCAAGTATAATCACACACCAAAAAATGACTTTTCTGTCCCAAGTGAGTGGTGGGCTTCAATGTAGTCACCCAGAAAACATTAAATATTTGTCATATGTTCAAGATACATTTTGAAACATCTAAGGAAATAGAAATTATCACTTTGTTACATGTGCATGTAGGTGCACACACAGAGTATTACTCAGCGAATTTTTTCAGCTTTATTCTATATAATTATATATTTTTTCCAGCCTTATTCTGCCTGACTATCCAGATTTTACACTGTTTAGATCTGGCTGTTTCCAAATTGCACAAACTGTCTTGAACTGAAATGGACAGAAGGCAGGCAAATACTGGTAGAAAAGGGCAGGATCTTTGGCAAGGGCTCCACCCACAAGCTTGGACCCTCAGCCCAAAGTGAGAACTATCCCTGTTTTCCCACCTGATTGTTGCCTTTTGGCCCACCCCACACCACCCCCTATCCTGTGCCCATAAGAACCCCAAGCCCCAGACTCAGTGGACACACACACAGAAGAGAGAAGTGTCTGGATATTGAGATGAGAAGAAGCAGCTGGAGGTCAGGAACTATGGTCAGAGAGGAGTTCAGCTGGAGACACCCGGGCTCCAGGGGAAGATTATCTTCCCACTCCATCCCCTTTCCAGCTCCCTTTCCCACTGAGGCCCACTTTTACCACTCAATAAAGTCCTCCACATTCACCACCTTCAATTTGTTCATGTGACCTGATTCTTCCTGGACGCTGGATCAGAACTCAGGTACCAAGACAGCAAAGTGTAAAAGGCTGTCACCCTGACCTTCCACTGAGCTGGTTAACACTTAGCCATCCACAGACAGCAAATGTTAAAGGAGCACTGATTGTAACACATGCCCTCTGGGGCTCTGGGGGTCGCAGACAGCCCCTCCCAGACCGCAGAGCTAAAAGACTATTGTAACACACTTTGACACTGCTGCAGAACCCACACAAAGCTTGCTCCCGCCGGAGAGGAGCCACAGGCCAGTTCCACATTCATTTGCTCTGGTTCCCACACCCATCCACTCATGTGCTTCCTTCCATAAGGGATTCAGCATGGTAAACAAGTAAACAAGTCACTCATGTCACAAGTCCTGCAAAGGGGTCAAGGGAACACTCCTGTTTCAGAACCATTGAGGAAATTCAAAGAATCTGTGACAAGCTTCTTACCAGTGCCCTGAGATCTTGTGATTTCTCAGGATAGAAATCAAGAGAGATCACCAGAGGCAGCAATGAAGAGAGTTTATTACCTCTCAGGGAGCCAGCCATGAGAGAGCAAAAAGGAGTGGGCTGTTCCCCAAAGATACTGTGTGGTTCGGTTAGGTATAGGGTCTTTCCATAGGGAAGGATTCCCTCAGGGAATGTATAGGGAGAGTTTTGCTAGCACCTGCACAATGGCTCAACATGTTTCTTCATACATTGCATGTAGCATTAGAATTTTAAATCTCCACCCCTGGGCATGAACTTTAGTGTTGAAATGAGGAAAAGATAACTTTAGGTTGGAGTTTAAGTCTGACTCCACATATGGGACTCTGGGAAAGCCTCTAGCCCCCTGAAATAGAAATTTGCAATTAATAGCTTCCTTGGTCTTTTATTGCTGATTGGCTGAGAGTTAGACAAGCTAGAGTTTGAGTTGAGGGGCTTTTATCCTTTTCCTTCAGACAATCTTAAGATAGGGAACCAACCAGTCGGCCTGTCTCAGGCTCTAAGGAAAATTCTGAGAGGTCAGCAAGAAACCTAATATTATAAACAACAGTGCCATCAGCAGTTATTTAAATATATAAATATAAATTTTAAAGGTCCTATTAAAGTCATTCTGAGCCTGTACATTTAAACCATTCTAAATGTTTACGAGTATTTAGATACGAGAAGAAATTAGACCCAAATTATGCATCAATATCCAATACATGTGCACTGTGTATTCAAGATCAATATAATCTCCCACAGACTGTTCTGCTGAGTTAGCTAATATACAAAGACTTAGTTTGTTTTCTATATGTTAGAACATGAAAGAAAAGATATGTAGCTCACTGCCATTCCAAAATCCCAACAAATTATGGAACTGCCTCCATTGTGAAGCTGGCTAGTTTTCTTTTTTCTTTTTTTTGTTTTTTAACAGAGTTTCACTCTTGTCACCCAGGCTGGAGTACAGTCGAGCAATCTCGGCTCACTGCAACCTCTGCCTTCTGGGTTCAAGCGAGTCTCCTGCCTCAGCCTCCCAAGTAGCTGGGATTACAGGCATCTGCCACCACACCCAGCTAATTTTTTTGTATTTTTAATAGAGATGGGGTTTCACCATGTTGGGCAAGCCGGTCTTGAACTCCTGACCTCAGGTGATCTGCCCACCTTGGCGCTAGTTGTTTTTTAAAAGCCATCTTTCTAATGAAATGTAACACTGATGATTGCCTTACACATAGATAACATTAGGCCTCACATAGTAATCTCAGTGCTAACTACATGTCTTACCCTTCCTAAAATTTTACATTTTCTCTGTGGTTAAAGTCATCTTACAAAAAGACCCACATTTTACAAAGATTTAATTGTCTTGGATTTCAAATTACAACTAGTTTGATAGCCAAAAGGTTAAAAACAAATTGATTTTATGAAAAATTCTTATAGTATTAAATTTGACATGGATTACCATTAATAATAGAATCCTCTGCTGGCTGTGAGACATGCAAAGTTGCAAAGCCCAGATCCACAGATTAGAAAGGATTTTGACATGTATAATTGTGTTAGTCAGTTTGGGCTGCTATAACAAGATATCATAGACTGAGCGATTTAAACAACAGAGATTGATTTCTGGAGTTCTGGAGCCTAGGATAGTCCAGGGTCAGGGTGTCAGCAGACTGTGACTGGTGAAGACCCCCTTCCTGGTTTGCAGATGCTGTCTTCTTGTATCCTTAGATGGCGGAGAGAGAGATCATCTTTTCTTATAAGGGCAGGAATCACACCTATGAGGGCTCCACACTCATGACCTAATCACCTCCCCAAGGCCCCAACTCCAAATATCATCAACTTGGGGGTTAGGCTTCAATATATGAATTTTGGGGGGACACAGATATTCATTCACAGTAATAGCACTGTTGACAGCACACACAGATACCCCACATTCTTTTGCTCTTTCTGTAAGCCTCTTCCAACTGCTTTGTGCTTTGCTTCCGAAGGCCTGCAACTGAGACTTTTTTTTTTTTTGAGACTGAGTCTTCCTCTGTAACCCAGGCTGGAATGCAGTGGCATGATCTCAGCTTACTGCAACCTCTGCCTCCTGGGTTCAAGCAATCCTCCTGCTTCAGCCTCCTGAGTAGCTGGGATTACAGGCACCTGCCACCAAACCTGGCTAATTTTTGTATTTTTAGTGGAGATGAGGTTTCACTATATTGGCCAGGCTGGTCTCGAACTCCTGACCTCTTGATCCGCCTGCCTCAGCCTTCCAAAGTGCTGGGATAACAGGCATGAGCCACCAGACCCGGCCGCAACTGGGACTGTCTTTAAGGATCTCTGCATGGAGCTGGGAGAGGGGAGCTTTAACCCTCTGTGCAGTTCTTAGGCAATGACTGACTGGTCCAAGTGTCTGACAATCTGACTCCCTGGCCTCAAGTTGGATGAGGCTGAAGCTGGACTTTGACAAAATCACACACTTTCTTGGGTTCTCTCTTTTCCATATCCTTCTTTCCCTTCTCCTTCCCTGTCTTCCTTTGAGATCACCTTGTTAATAAATTACTCCCACATGACTCCTCATCTCAGGGGCTGCTTGAGGAGAATATGACATCAGGCAATATATGCACAAAGAGCTTTACAAATTTATAAAATTTTTTTAATTAATTTTTTTTTGTAGAAATGGGATCTCTCTATGTTTCCTAGGCTGGTCTCAAACTCTTGGGCTCAAGCAGTTCTCCTACCTCTGCCTCCCAAAGTGCTGGGATTATAAGTATGAGCCATTGCACCCTGCCAAAATAAGATAACTTTTGTAACCAAAATATAGGCAGAGCCCTTCATGGCACAGACTCTGCACAGATTTCATCTGAAACCAACAGCAATCCAGTATTCTTTAGTTACCCCTCAGAAATATTTAATTAAGGTTGGGGATAAATGGCTGTTATGAGACAAGGAACATATGTTGATGCAAGTAGATTTATTACAATGATCCCATTTCTACTCACATGTTACTGAGGCTCAAAGAAGTGAGTACTGCACATTGAGTATATGACATGGGACCAGCCCAACAGGTGAAAGAAGTTGGAAATCTGTTTTATGTCTGAATTTGAAATGCAATAGCAGAAATCTGTTTTACGTGTAAATTTGGAATGCACTGCCATAAAGTATATCCTTTAAAGGTTTTATGCCTATGGTTACAAATCTTGTGGAGTGAGGACTTTAACATATCCCTCTTTTCTCTCAGACAGAACTGTAAGGTCTAATAAACATATTGGATTTAAGTTCTAATAAAGATATAAGCCATAAAATTAATCTCTTGTTAGGCTTCTCTGCTTACATTTGTACACTTGCTTCCAATCTTCAAGCAAGAGAGCTCTGCCCTCTAGAAAGAAGATGTGGGCCCATTCTGCAGGCCCAGAGGATTCAGGGACAGCTGCAGTTTCACATTTATCAATGACATCTATTCACATTTTCTGATTCCAAGTCTTAAGAAGCCATTTCTTCCTTACCAAGTTCCTGGCTGTTGCATGGGATTGCTGAGGATGTAAACTGGGTGTCCCTGAAGGTCCACTGTTTTGTTTTTGTTTTGTTTTGTTTTGAGATGGAGTCTTGCTCTTGTTGCCCAGGCTGGAGTGCAATGGCGTGATCTCAGCTCTCTGCAACCTCTGCCTCCTGGGTTCAAGTGATTCTCCTGCCTCAGCCTCCTGAGTAACTAGGATTACAGGCATATGCCACCATGCCTGGCTAATTTTGTATTTTTAGTAGAGATGGGGTTTCTCCATGTTGCTCAGGCTGGTCTTGAACTCCCGACCTCAGGTGATCCATCTGCCTCGGCCTCCCAAAGTGCCGGGATTACAGGCCTGAGCCACCAAAGGTCCACTGTTCTTATAGTTGGTCCTGGCCTGGTCTTCAGCATGGTCTCCCTTGGCTATAGAAAAAGGGGGTTTGTTTAAGAGCTGCCAAGGGACTTTTTGACTTTCTCACTTTGCCTTATGCTGACCAACTGGAGTCTATTTATCATGGAACCCATCCACAGCCTTTGTAATGACCATTTACCTTGTACCATCAAAAGCCAAAGAAAATTGCACAATCTAGCATACCTGTTCTGTCAGAATCCCTTCTGTATTAGTTTCCTAGGGCTTCTATAACAAAATACAATAAATTGGGTGGCATAGAACATGAGGAATTTATTATCTCACAGTTCTGGAGACTAGAAGTCCAAAATCAAGGTGTCGGCAAGGTTGGTTCTGAGAACCGTAGGGAAGAATCTGTTCCATGACCTCCCTGTTGGCCTCAAATTGTTCTTGTGGATGCCCTGTGTCTTCACACCATCTTTCCTCTAAGCATGTATGTCTCCATGTTCAAATTTCACTTTTTTTGTGAGGTCAACAGTGATATTGAATTAGGGCCCACCCTAATGATCTCATTCTAGTTGGATTATCTGCAAATATCTTATTTCCCAGTAATATCACATTCCCAGGTACTGGGGGTGAAATTCAACATCTTTTGAGGTTACATAATTCAACCCATGACATCATCTTAATTCGCTCCAGGTAAAAGTTTTAGCAACTGCAATGCTCTAGTGTGTCAGGGCCCCTCTGGGCTCCACATACCCCCTGTGATGGGGTATTTATTGCCACTTAGCTGGTGACTTAACTCTAGAATCCCATCCTCAGAATCTGCCTCCAAAAATCATCCTTGCACTCCTAACCAAATACCTAAGGCTGGACCTCCAGAAGCCAACTCTGAGACACAGATCATGAACAGGGTATTTATTAAGGGCCAGGAGAAGAACACAAGAGAAAAGGAAATGAAGAACAGAGAAAGGCACAATTTTAGCCAACTCCCTGGCCTTAGCCAGATCTTTGGGGAGCTCTAGACCATAAATTATGTCAGAATTTGCCCCATTTTGAGGAAAGGGAGTCAGGCTTTCAGAATCTTGCACAGTCATTGGCTATAGGCTTCCCTAGAACTACACTACCAGGCATTCCAGGCTCTCTCTGGGAGGGAGGGACTGGCCCATGGTCAGCCTCTGAAGAAGGTCACAGGGGCAGGCCATTTGGAACAAAGCACAGAGAAGCTATAGGATGCATTCACATGGCTGGTAAAGTGGATAAGAAGGGGTCCGGGGAGAGCATGGAGAAAGTTTACCACCCAAAGCAATACACTTTTGCCTACTTGTGCTGACATTTACTGAGCTTCAACACAGGAATGTTCTAGATAAAATAATATTACTCTGCAACATTGAGGGAAGACCAAGAATGCCTTGAGATAGGACTCAGCATGTCCTGGAAGCAGGGTGCCATTGTGTGGGAGGGAGGTGCCCAGCAGAGGTAATTCTTGGATCCATGGCACCTGCGGTGGACAACTGGCCAGGAGGAGCCACAGGAACCAGCCCCACGGGCTCAACAAGGCCACAGAGCAGCAGCAGGAGGCCCTGAGTAAGACCCTGTTTGTGACAGTCCCCTGAAACTTTAAAAGACAAAGCAAGGGAAGAAAGCGGCGGTGAAGATGGATTAAAGGCCTCACAGTAACAGGTCTGTAGGTACAGCCAGAGAAATCAACGCTTATTGTTTTTAATGTGTCCCGCTTTTTCTTCTTCCTTTTAATGCCAGATGGGTGCGGCAATCCTTTGTTAAGACAGAAATTATTTTACTTTTTTTCCACAGTGGTACAGAAAAATGTACAGGGCTCATTAGAAATATTTAGTGGATGGAAAGTAATTTGAAGAAATCGATGAGGTTGAAAATAATAATAAAAGAAGTCAGAAAGGGGCAGAGAAAGATAGAAATTTACAGGTTTCAAAGCAGGGATACATGAGGAAAAAGGTTACATAAGTTCTCTCTTTGAAGCACAGAAGGTGTGCAGGAAGGGAATAACACCCATCCACATGCTCGTGCTCAAGAGATTCAGGTTTCTCTTAAAGTGAGGTCCTGGGAGTGCAGACTGAATATATTTGAGGAAACCTAGGTTCAGACAGGTTAAGTGATTTTTCTCAGTTACACAGCTGTGGATTGCACAGCTTAAAAAATATTATAAAAATTCTTATGAGGATTATAACTGAGAAGTAGGTGTCTTTTTTGCTCACAGAATATTCTATGGCAAATCCTAGACTCAGGTTCTTATAGCCATAGCCCCAGGCTGTGCCAAACATCCACACACACCCACTTTCCCATTCTCTCCAGCAGACCTCATAAGTTATCTTAATATGTAGTCTATGGTCTATTTAGGCACCACCTGCACACAATCATCATTTATCAAATTGCCTAGGCAAACCAACATCGGCTTTGCTATATCTTGGCAAATGTCTCTCCTATATTTAGCCTTTTAGCCACAGTGTGATGATTGGAATGTGTCTTACAGAAAGGAAGCTTTCTCTGAGAGCCATGCAGGGGTGAGGCGGCAAGCCTCTGACGGAGATAACTTCCTGACTTGTGTTTGGGATTTCTCCAAGCTGCTGAAATAGTACTTGAAGTGTTTCATGGACACACGGAGATTTAACACCTGCAAAGTTAAGCCTGACGCCCTAAGGTGGAATGCTGAAACGGCAGAGAGCAGAGCAAGTGTAGGTGAGGATTGCGTTTCACCTTCCTAGTGCCCTCATAGGGTGCGTTGGATTTATGTCTCACTGAGTGAGGCGCCCTCTCCTGGCCGACGATCCCACTGGCTCAGTCACAGCAGGAAAGCGAGAGCTGCAGGTTGCAGAAAGACAGGGCTCCACTCTCAAGGGAAACTGCTGACAATGCCAAAAGTCAGAATCCTTTCACTGTCTCTTTACATCCCAGCTGTCAGACAAGCTAACTTTAAATTTTAACTTAAGCAAGATTGTGTTTTTTATAGAATATTTCAACACAGAGGGCAAATTTCATTCTAATGTGACAAAAGCAGCGTTGGGAAAAGAGTTGGAAATGTGTGCTTTTGAATGTGACCTGAGATATAGCTTCCAAAGCTGGCCATTGCTCTCCTGGCCCAGAGCCTGACCCCATCTCATGACAGGAGAAGCTGAATCTCACGCTCTGTAAGAACCTGGCTTACTCCCTCATTAAATATGAGTCCCTGTTCTCAGAAGTGGATCACTGTAGTTTGAAGGATCAACATTGATCAAACATATCCATTTCTGCCAGTTTTACCCCTCTCTATGCTGTTACTAAACAAGAGAAGTTATTCTACAATTTATGTAAGTTATAAAATAGTAATTAAATATTTTGGAATATGTGAAAAAGTAAACTACCAAAATCTCCCTACCTACCTACAGTATTATCATCTTAATGTATTTCCTTTTTTCTCCTTTTATATGCACATTTACACTAAATGTTTATGTGTACATATATATTTTAGCCTATAATACTATTTTATTTTGATTTAACATGTATTTTATTTACTATGTAATATATGACATATAAATATATATTTTATATTATCACCTTATATTTATAGCTTTCTTCTGTAATGTTGATTAATTATTATCAGGAGTAAATTATATTTAGAGAATATGCTGCAGCAATAAAAAGCTTAATAACAAGGAATCTGGACTAAAGTAGAACAGGGTAAGCCCACATCCAATTAAGAAAGCTCTTTGGACACATATATATTCCACCAACAGAGCTACTAAAATGTAACTTACATTCTTAAGCTTTCCATAGTCTGTATACCCATGTTGCCAAAGATACACTACAGTAAGAAAGAAGAGAATTTTATACCTGAAAGATTTTTGCCTGTGCTGGCTTGTAGGGAATATTCTTAAAGACTAGCTTCAACTCTGTCTGTTGTTGTTCCCAATGAATTATCCAAGTATCTAAGAGTTTAGGGTTCATGCTGCCTTCAGCCATTGAGGCCATTCACCTGGTGAGATATGTTTTCCCCAACAAAACATGGAACCCCTGGAGAATATATACGTGTCTGCAGTCATGTTCCATTATGGTTTTGCTTTCAGTTAGCCAATCATATATATAATTCATAGTAAGGGTATCAAGGTCTGTTTTTGTTCCACCAGCAAGCCCATGGCAGTTTGGGAACCAAAGGCATTCAGAGTATCTGAAATCACTCCAATTCCCAGGATGGGTTGAACCTACCTGAGAGCTCTACAGGGCAAAGGCAAGCTGTTCTGTGTCTATTTTTTCCTTAAGCCATTTCATACACACACCTTTGATGAGAGCACCTAAGTGTCATAAAATGCTGACTTTGGACCCAAAGACAGATTACCTTGAAAGAAATGGGCTGGGATTTCCAATTAGCAGCAGAAATTCCAGGAATTTCCAGATTACTTGGCACCCATATTATCAGCTACATATAGGGAGTCTGGACTTGAAAATTCAGGAGCATGGGGGTGCATGGTAGTGAATTCCTGTAATTTTATATTGCCTTGGCATTCATTTTGAATATAAGTTGGACTTTCTCATACAAGAAACATGGTTTAGTCACCCTTGGCACAATTTCCAGTTCTCTGTTTCATCCCAGTTCCTTAATATGGTCAATCCAGATATCTCCCTTATACAATTGTCTGCTGTTGACCACCTTCCCTAAGGGACAGTTAGGTACCACCTATTGGCTTACCCCACTGACTCCTCCATCCCCCATAGACTGTACAGATATGCTGCAGCGACAACCTCTCAGTAACAGCGTGGCCACATAGGACTTGGAACAGCTTGCTTTAAACTCGCAAATTAGAACTCCCATGGAAACCCACCTAATAATACCCTGGACTCCAATAAAAGCTTTAGCACACAGGTCCCTCACTCTCTCTTTTGCTCTGCACTTTGTGGTTCTGGTAGAGCATGTATATCTGGAATGGCTCTGCTTTCCCATCAGCTCTGCAAGGAGTGCTGCCCTTTTCTCTAATCTGTAAGTAATAAACTCCTCCTATTATTGTGTGGTTTTTGTTGCATCGCCTCCTCTGCATCTCACCTGACTGACACACCTGAACCTAGTTTCTTTCCAAGGGAAAGCTCTCCTAGACAATGGATATCTTGGTAGAAATAAACTGGACATAGGTCAGACAAGAGCCACGAGGGTGCCTGCTGGTATAAGCATGTTTCCTGTGAGTGGGACACCTGGTCATGGGTTGGACGCTTAGGCACTAGGCAACACTTAGGCATTAGGCCATCCACTAGGATAAAGAAGTCACTGTAGACATCCATGACCCAAATACTGGAGCCCTTTCAGTGCAGGGTTAGAATTCACAGCCATTTTCCAGAGAGAAACCTCAAGACCAAATTAGAAAAACAAAATTCCAGTACTCACCAACAGCCTCCTGCTTTTAGAGAAGGGGGTGCTTGAAACTTCTGATTAGCCTCTCACTCTCTGTCATTTCCCATCTCCCCAGGAGGTAAAATAGCTCACCCCTGCTAGGGAAGGGTAGAAGTGGGGAGAAGCTAGGCAGATGGTTGGCAAGGATTACTTCTCGTATTTCATCCTAATTTGCATTAATGCTCAACTTTGAATCACTCTTTCTGTGTATATAATTTTTTAGTAAAAAAAATTCCTCTTCTTTTCAATTTTGAGCCTGAAATTGTGAACAATTTGATTGCTATTTGTTAGTCACATTAAGATTCTCTTAAAATATACTCACACATTGTTATGTATCTAGCAGGCATATACTAATGTATGTTCTTGTAAAAATATGCCTATGGGTATTTAATGCCAGAGACAATTACTGTATTTCGTTTCAAGTTCAGTCCACAGCATGGGACCTCTTCTGAAAGTGCATGTACAAAAATGATTATGTCTAGTATAGCTCAAAGTATTGTCTTCCATTCTCACTCCTGGAGAATATTACATTTTTCCCCCTCCAGAATTTTGTAATTACTGTAGGGGAAGAAAAATTAAAAGATGCTAAATTTACCAAGTGTAGATCTTTCTTTTTTTTTTTTTTTTCTTCAGTATATATCTCATTTTAATAAGACCACAGTATAGTCTCACCTGACAAAATAAACAATAATTTCTTAATATCATTAAATAACCAGTCTATGTTCACATTTCCAATTAGCTCATAAATATCATACATCATTTTTATTTCTATATTATGGTGATGCAACAGCAAAATTCAGACTGTAGGAAAAACTACAGGATAACTAGTTTTCTTCAATAAGCAGAAAAATGTATAAATTAAAAAAAGAAAGAAAGAAATGTGGAAATATGGATTATAAGAGACTTAAAAGTTATTTCAAACAATCACTGTATGAACTTCATTTGGATCCTGAATACTGGAAATTGTTTAATTCTTTTTTGTGCACTAGGGATGGAGAGTCAAATTACTGTGTCTTCTAAAAGCCCCAGATTTCACTACCACACAATTTATCCATGTAACAATCCTGCACTTGTACCCTCTAAATCTATAAAAATAAAAATTTATTTAAGATATTTTTAAAAACAACAACAATTGTGCCTTAAAGCCATTGGGAAGAGTTCCTCTCTGTGAAGGTGTGCTCCTAACTGAACACACAAGATTTGTAAAAATTGCTTTTTTATTTTTTGTTTTGTAATTACGTAAAATATTTATGCAGCTCAGAAGTCAAGTTTACAAGGCAAATTCACTTCTGTGCCTATTCTCTTTTTTTTTTTTTTTTTTTTTTTTTTTTTCCTCAGGGATCTAGAACTAGAAATACCATTTGACCCAGCCATCCCATTACTGGGTATATACCCAAAGGACTATAAATCATGCTGCTATAAAGACACATGCACACGTATGTTTATTGTGGCACTATTCACAATAGCAAAGACTTGGAACCAACCCAAATGTCCAACAATGATAGACTGGATTAAGAAAATGTGGCACATATACACCATGGAATACTATGCAGCCATAAAAAATGATGATGAGTTCATGTCCTTTGTAGGGACATGGATGAAATTGGAAACCATCATTCTCAGTAAACTATCGCAAGAACAAAAAACCAAACACCGCATATTCTCACTCATAGGTGGGAATTGAACAATGAGATCACATGGACACAGGAAGGGGAATATCACACTCTGGGGACTGTGGTGGGGTCGGGGGAGGGGGGAGGGATAGCATTGGGAGATATACCTAATGCTAGATGACATGTTAGTGGGTGCAGCGCACCAGCATGGCACATGTATACATATGTAACTAACCTGCACAATGTGCACATGTTCCCTAAAACTTAAGAGTATAATAAAAAAAAAAAACATTAAAAAAAAAAAAGTGTAGATCTTTCAAAACTTCACAGGTAAAAGTGCCTCAGAAACATTTTTCAAAATGGTTTTGTCAATACTTTAATCAAAGAATTAGCTAAAGACTTGCTGTTTGAATATGAAATTATGTTATTCTCACAAAATCTTTCCCTCTGTGATTAAAAATTGTAATCCTCATGTTCTTGTTTTATTACCTGCTATATATAAAATATATTTAGGGCAGGGCACAGTGGATCATGCCTGTAATCCCAGCACTTTGGGAGACCTAGGCAGGAGGATTATTTGAGCCCAGGAATGGGCTCAAATGCCCAGCCTGGGCAGCACGCAGATACCCCAACTCTCTCTATATGTGTGTGAATAAACTAATGTGAATTTTCTTTCCCTACCTGTACTGGAACAAGTTTAAAAGTCCTACATACATACGGGAAACATTAAGAAATGTAAGTCATTATCATCATCATGGTCATCTTCATCAAACACTCATTTGGCTGGTGGGAAACAGATTCAAATTCATTTCTGTTTGACATCTGAATTCAAGACATTCACATCTTGAAAGTTTAATCCTTATCCTTTACTGCCTCATGTATTCTATGTAACCAAGAGAGATGATGGGCTTGTATTTATTTGCGCCTTTTCTTTGGTTCTACATGGGCAACTATTTGTCTTCTACATAAAACTTTATTTATCCTGAGCCAGTCTGGATAGGCTTGTGTTCCTGAATATTGAGAGTTCTCTGAGTAAATGCTCTCTCTAGATAATTTTATCCTATATCATAGGTTTTAATCTTACCCAAATGCTGGTTATTTCTAAACTAACACATCCAGCCTTGACCTCCCCTCTGTGTCCAGATTCAGATACTTGACTGCCAAATTAACACCTCCTCTGGGATATCTGAGAAGCATTCTGAATTTAACCACTCAAAACAGAAACTTTGATTCCTCCCTGCCCCAAATATGATGCTCCCCCTCACTTCCAGTCTTAGTGGAAATATCATCTCTAACTATCCAGTGGCTCTGGCCCTCAATTTAAAAATCAGCCTGGATTCCCTATGTTTTACACACTCCAAATCCATTCTATTGGCAAAGCCTGTCAACTTTACCTTCACAACACATCCTAAATCGAGTTCTCACCTTTTTTGTAGATACTACCCGAGGCCATGTTTCCGTTATCTCTCTTCTAAATTACAGCAGTCATTTCTGATTGTTCCCTCTATTTCCATTACTTTTTTTTTTTCCAACCCAATCCCAGCTATTTTCCAAACAGGAGCCAGAATGATTCTTTCAAAAACGTAGATCAGATCACATCATTTCCTGCTCAAATTCTACAACAGATTTTCACCACATGAAACAAATCCATAAGTCTTCACCATTATCTCCCAGGCCACAGGGAATCTAGGCCCTGCTTATCTTTTGTATCTGTTACTTACTACTTTTCCCTCTGCCACTCTATATCACTTTGGCACTATTTTTCTTGCTGTTTATTAAACCTCCCAGCTCTTGCAGCCTTAAGGCTTCTGATTGGCTATTCCCTCTTGCATCAGATATTGGTGTGGTTCTTTCATCATTTCTTTCACTTCTGAGCCTTCTCTCCAACAATACTCTCTACACACACACATTGTGTCATTCTATATTCAACCACACTTTATTTTTTCCACATAGCCCTTATCACAACCTAACACTATATTATGCATTTGCTTCTTAACTTGCTGTTTTTTTCATTAGACTGGACACTCCACAGGGGCAGAGATTTCACCAATTTTGCTCATCCTTGTATTAAAAACATTTTTTAAAGTGCCTGGCACACAGTAGGTTCTAAAAATAAGTGTTGAATTTTACCATTATGCTTTTAATATTTTTTCCAAAATAGGTTTTTATGCTCTGTATTCTTAGATTATGCTGAACACCATCGTCTTTAAGATTTGCAGCATTTGTTAGAAATGCTGGTTGTGTTGCTCTGTTAGAAAGTACAGATCTAAGACCGGGCATGGTGGCTCATGCCTGTAATCCCAGCACTTTAGGAGGCTGAGACGGGCGGTTCATGAGGTCAGGAATTTGAGACCAGCCTGGCCAGCATGGTGAAACCCCATCTCTACTAAAAATACAAAAAATTAGCTGGGCATGGTGGCACATGCATGTAATCCCAGCTACTCGAGAGGCTGAGGAAGGAGAATCACTTGACCCCAGGAGGCGGAGGTTGCAGTGAGTTGAGATCACGCCATCGCACTCCAGCCTTGGTGACAGAGAGAGACTCTGTCTCAAAAAAAAAAAAAAAAGTACAGATATAAGAAGAGTATGATAAAAGTGTGGGAGGCATCTGTTGAATATGGCTTTAGTTCTCATTTTGAACATAATGTAACAGTCACAGTACATTAATGGCTTCCCTACTTTTTTTTAAAGCATTACTTATTACATTACTCATATTTTTCTTTCATATCTCTTACATCTTACATCTTATTCCATGAAATAAGTGCATTCCTGTTGAATGTTCATTCACACTTCAAAATGCAGGTAATATGTTAGCTTCATCAGCACTCACAGTTATAAATTTTCCCTTGTCTTCCAATATATAGGTAATTACATACAATCTTACTATAAAATTTATTATGTTATTGCAATCTGATTATTAAACTAGGTTTAGTGAGATGAAAGCAGAAAAGATAGCTACTCACTTTGTCCACTAAATTTGTTTTTTTTATTATTAGACTTTAAGTTCTAGGGTACATTTGCACAAAGTGCAGGTTTGTTAAATAGGTATACATGTGCCACGTTGGTTTGCTGCACCCATCAACTCATCATTTACATTAGGTATTTCTCCTAATGCTATCCCTCTCCCAGCTGCCCACCCCCCAATAGGCCCCGGTGTGTGATGTTCCCCTTCCTGTGTCCATGTGTTCTCATTGTTCAATTCCCACCTATGAGTGAGAACATGCAGTGTTTGGTTTTCTGTCCTTGTGATAGTTTGCTGAGAATGATGGTTTCCAGCTTCATCCATGTCTCTACAAAGAACATGAACTCATCCTTTTTTATGACTATATAGTATTCCATGGTGTATATGTGCCACATTTTCTTAACCCAGGCTATCACTGATGGACATTTGGGTTGGTTCCAAGTCTTTGCTATTGTGAAGAGTGCCGCAATAAACATACGTGTGTATGTGTCTTTACAGTAGCATGATTTATAATCCTTTGGGTATATACCCGGTAATGGGATTGCTGGGTCAAATGTTATTTCTAGTTCTGGATCCTTGAGGAATCACCAATCACCACACTGTCTTCCCCAATGGTTAAACTCATTTACACTCCCACCAACAGTGTAAAAGCTTTCCTATTTCTCCACATCCTCTCCAGCATCTGTTGTTTCCTAACTTTTTAATGGTTGCCATTCTAACTGGCATGAGATGGTATCTCATTGTTGTTTTGATTTGCATTTCTCTGATGACCAGTAATGATGAGCATTTTTTCATGTGTCTGTTGGCTGCATAAATGTCTCTTTTGAGAACTGTCTGTTCATATCCTTTGCCCACTTTTTGATGGGGTTGTTTTTTTTCTTGTAAATTTGTTTGAGTTCTTTGTAGATTCCGGATATTAGCCCTTCGTCAGATAGGTAGATTGCAAAATTTTCACCCAATATGTAGGTTGCCTGTTCACTCTGATGATATTTCTTTTGCTGTGCAGAAGCTCTTTAGTTTAATTAGATCCCATTTGTCTATTTTGGCTTTTGTTGCCATTGCTTTTGGTGTTTTAGTCATGAAGTCTTTGCCCTTGCCTATGTCCTGAATGGTATTGTCTAGGTTTTCTTCTAGGGTTTTTATGGTTTTTAGGTCTAACGTTTAAGTTTTTAATCCATCTTGAGTTAATTTTTGTATAAGGTGTAAGAAAGGGACCCAGTTTCAGCTTTCTATATATGGCTAGCCAGTTTTCCTAACACCATTTATTAAATAGGGAATTTTTTCCCTGTTGCTTGTTTTTGTCAGGTTTGCCATGATCAGATGGTTGTAGATGTGTGGTGTTACTTCTGAGGCCTCTTTTCTGTTCCATTGGTCTATATAACCTGTTTTGGTAACAGTACCATGCTGTTTTGGTTACGGTAGCCTTGCAGTATTGTTTGAAGTCAGGTAGCGTGAGGCCTCCAGCTTTGCTCTGTTTGCTTAGGATTGTCTTGGCTAGGTGGGCTCTTTTTTGGTTCCATATGAACTTTAAAATAGTTTTTCCAATGCTGTGAAAAAAGTCATTGGTAGCTTGATGGGGATGGCATTGAATCTGTAAATTACCTTGGGCAGTATGGCCATTTTCATGATGTTGATTCTTCCTATCCATGACCATGGAATGTTCTTCCATTTGTTTTTGTCCTCTTTTATTTCATTGAGCAGTGGTTTGTAGTTCTCCTTGAAGAGGTCCTTCACATCCCTTGTAAGTTGGATTCCTAGGTATTTTATTCTCTTTGTAACAATTGTGAATGGGAGTTCACTCATGATTTGGCTCTCTGTTTGTCTGTTACTGGTTTATAGTATCGGGGGAACCAGCCCCCAATATTTCAATGTAGGTTCTATTTTCCCTAAGTGTCGGCTGGCCTGAGAAATAAAGAAAAAGAGTACAAAGACAGGAATTTTACAGCTGGGCCTCTGGGGGTGACATCACATAACAATAGGTCCGTGATGTCCCCCTGAGCCACAAAACCAGCCGGTTTTTATTAAGGACTTTAAAAGGGGAGAGCATGTATGAACAGGGAGTATATCACGAAGATCACATGCTTTAAAGGGCAATAAAGATCACAAGGCAAAGGGCAAAATTAGAGTTACTGATGAGGGTCTATGTTCAGCTGTGCACATATTGTCTTGATAAACATCTTAAACAACAGAAAACAGGGTTTGAGAGCAGAGAACTGGTCTGACCTCAAACTTACCAGGGCGGGATCTTTTCCCCACCCTAATAAGCCTGAGGGTACTGCAGGAGACCAGGGCGTATTTCAGTCCTTATCTCAACCGCATAAGACAGACACTCCCAGAGCAGCTGTTTATAGACCTCCCCCCAGGAATCCATTCCTTCCCCAGGGTATCAATTATTAATATTCTTTGCTGGGAAAAGAATTCAGCGATATCTCTCCTACTTGCACATCTGTTTATAGGCTCTCTGCAAGAAGAAAAATATGGCTCTATTCTGCCTGACCCCGCAGGCAGTCAGACCTTTGGTTGTCTTCCCTTCTTCCCTAAAATCGCTGTTATTCTGTTCGTTTTCAAGGTGCACTGATTTCATATTGTTCAAACGCCCATGTTTTACAATCAGATTTCATATTGTTCAAACACACATATTCTACAATCAATTTGTACAATAGTGGTCCTGAGGTGATGTACATTTTCAGCTTAGGAAGATAACAGAATTAAGAGATTAAAGTAAAGACTGGCATAAGAAATTCAAAGAGTACTATTTGGGAACTGATAAATGTCCCTGAAATCGTCACAATTTATGTTCAGAGATTGCAGTATAGACAGGTGTTAGAAATTATAAACGTATTAATTTTGGGAACAGATAAATGTCCATGAAATCTTCACAATTTATGTTCCTCTGCTGCAGCTCCAGCCGGTCCCTCTGTTTGGGGTCCCTGACTTCCGGCAACATTATAGGAATGCTTATGATTTTTGCACATTGATTTTGTATCCTGAGACTTTGCTGAAGTTGCTTATCAGCTTAAGGAGATTTTCGGCTGAGACGGTGGGGTTTTCTAAATATACAATCATGTCATCTGCAAATAGGGACAATTGGACTTCCTAATTTCCTAATTGAATACCCTTTATTTCTTTCTCTTGCCTGATTGCCCTGGCCAGGACTTCCAACACTATGTTGAACATGAGTGGTGAGAGAGGGCATCCTTGTCTTGTGGTGGTTTTCAAAGGGAATGCTTCCAGCTTTTGCCCATTCGATATGGTGTTGGCTGTGGGTTTTAAATATCTCTTATTATTTTGAGATACATTCCATCAATACCTAGTTTATTGAGAGTTTTTAGCATGAAGGGCTGTTGAATTTTGTCGAAGGCCTTTTCTGCATCTATTGAGATAATCATGTGGTTTTTGTCATTGGTTCTGTTTAAGTGATGGATTACATTTATTAATTTGTGTACGTTGAACCAGCCTTGCATCCCAGGGATGAAGCCCACTTGATCATGGTGGATAAGCTTTTTGATGTGCTGCTGGATTTGGTTTGCCAGTATTTTATTGAGGATTTTGGCACTGATGTTCATCAGGGATATTGGTCTAAATTTCTCTTTTTTTGTTGTGTCTCTGCCAGGCTTTGGTATCAGGATGATGTTGGCCTCATAAAATGAGTTAGGGAGGATTCCCTCTTTTTCTATTGATTGGAATAGTTTCAGAAGGCATGGTACCAGCTCCTCTTTGTACCTCTGGTAGAATTCAGCTGTGAATCCATCTGGTCTTGGACTTTTTTTGGTTGGTATGCTATTAATTATTGCCTCAATTTCAGAACCTGTTATTGGTGTATTCAGAGATTCAACTTCTTCCTAGTTCTGTCTTGGGAGGGTGTGTATGTCCAGGAATTTATCCATTTCTTCTAGATTTTCTAGTTTATTTGCATAGAGGTGTTTATAGTATTCTCTGATGGTAGTTCATATTTCTGTGAGATTGGTGGTGATATCCCCTTTATCATTTTTATTGAGCATATTTGATTCTTCTCTCTTTTCTTCTTTATTAGTCTTGCTAGCAGTCTATCTATTGTTGATCTTTTCAAAAAACCACCTCCTGGATTCATTGATTTTTGGAACGGTTTTTTGTATCTCCATCTCCTTCAGTTCTGCTCTGATCTTAGTTATTTCTTGCCTTCTGCTAGCTTTTGAATTTGTTTACTCTGGCTTCTCCAGTTCTTTTAATTTTGATGTTAGGCTGTTGATTTTAGATCTTTCCTGCTTTCTCTTGTGGGCATTTAGTACGATAAATTTCCCTCTACATACTGCTTTACATGTGTCCCAGAGATTCTGGTATGTTGTTTCAAAGAACATATTTATTTCTGCCTTCATTTCATTTTTTATCCAGTAGTCACTCAGGAACAGGTTCTTCAGTTACCATGTCATTGTGTAGTTTTGAGTGAGTTTCTTAATCCTGAGTTCTAATTTGATGGCACTGTGGTCTGACAGACAGTTTGTTGTGATTTCTGTACTTTTACATTTGCTGAGGAATGTTTCACCTCCAATTATGTGGTCAATTTTAGAATAAGTGTGATGTGGTGCTGAGAAGAATATATATTCTATTGAGTTGGGGTGGAGAATTCTGTAGATATCTATTTAGGTCCATGTGGTGCAGAGCTGAGTTCACATCCTGGATATCCTTGCTAAACTTCTGTCTCATTGATCTACTATTGAGATTGGGGTGTTGAAGTCTCCCATTATTATTGCATCGGAGTCTAAGTCTCTTTGTAGGTCTCTAAGGACTTGCTTTATGAATCTGGGTGCTCCTGTATTAGGTGCATATATATTTAGAATAGTTAGCTCTTCTTGTTCAATTGATCCCTTTACCATTATGTAATGACCTTGTCTCTTTCGATCTTTGTTGGTTTAGTCTGTTTTATCAGAGATTAGGATGGCAACCCCTGCTTTTTTTGCTTTCCATTTGCTTGGTAGATCTTCCTCCATCCCTTTATTTTGAGCCTATGTGTGTCTCTGCATGTGAAATGGGCCTCCTGAATACAGCACACTGATGGTTTTGACTGTTTATCCAATTTGCAAGTCTGTGTCTTTTAATTGGGGCATTTTGCCCATTTACATTTAATAGTGTTATGTGTGAATTTGATCCTGTCATTATTATGTTTGCTGGTTACTTTACCCCTTAGTTGATGTAATTTCTTCATAGTGTAGATGGCCTTTGCAATTTGGCATGTTTTTGCAGTGGCTGGTACTGATTGTTCATTTCCATGTTTATTGCTTCCTTCAGGACCTCTTGTAAGGCAGGCCTGATGGTGACAAAATCTCTCAGCATTTGCTTGTATGTAAAGGATTTTATTTATCCTTCACTTATGATGCGTAGTTTGGCTGGATATGAAATTCTGGGTTGAAAATTCTTTTCTTTAAGAATGTTGGATATTGGCCCCCACTCTTCTGGCCTGTAGGGTTTCTGCTGAGACATCCGCTGTTAGTCTGATGGTTTTCTCTTTGTGGGTAACCCGACCTTTCTCTCTGGCTGCCCTTAACATTTTTTCCTTCATTTCAACCTTGGTGAATCTGACAATTATGTGTCTTGGAGTTGCTCTTCTCGTGGAGTATCTTTGTTGTATTCTCTGTATTTCCTGAATTTGCATGTTGGCCTGCCTTGCCAGGTTGGGGAAATTCTCCTGGATAATATCCTGAAGAATATTTTCTAACTTGGTTCCATTCTCCCTGTCACTTTCAGGTACACCAATCAAATGTAGATTTGGTCTATTCACATAGTCCCATATTTTTTGGAGGCTTTGTTCATTTCTTTCTACTCTTTTTTCTCTAATCTTGTCTTCTCACTTTATTTCATTAATTTGATCTTCAATCACTGATATCCTTTCTTCCACTTGATTGAATCAGCTATTGATGCTTGTGCATGCGTCACGAAGTTCTCATGCTGTGGTTTTCATCTCCATCAGGTCATTTAAGGTCTTCTTTACACTATTTATTCTAGTTAGCCATTCATCTAACCTGTTTTCAAGAGTTTTAGCTTCCTTCCAGTGGGTTAGAACATGCTCCTTTAGCTCAGAGAAGTTTGTTATTACCGACCTTCTGAAGCCTACTTCTGTCAATTCATCAAAGTCATTCTCTGTCCAGTTTTGTTCTGTTGCTGGTGAGGAGCTGCGATCCTTTGGACAAGAAGAAGTGCTTAGGTTTTTGGAATTTTCATCTTTTCTGCTCTGGTTTCTCCCCATCTTTGTGATTTTATCTACCTTTGGTCTTTGATGTTGGTGACCTACAGATGGGGTTTTAATGTGGATGTCCTTTTTGTTGATATTGATGCTATTCCTTTCTGTTTGTTAGTTTTCCTTCTAACAGGCCTCTCAGCTGCATGTCTGTTGGAGTTTGCTGGAGGTCCACTCCAGACCCTGTTTGCCTGGGCATCACCAGCAGAGGCTGCAGAAGAGCAAGTATTGCTGCCTGATCCTTCCTCTGGAAGCTTCATCGCAGAGGGGCACCCACCTGTATGAGGTATCTGTCGGCCCCTACTGGGAGATGTCTCCCAGTCAGGCTATACGGGGATCAGGGGCCCCCTTAAGGAGGCAGTCTGTCCATTCTCAGAGTTCCAACACCATGCTGGAAGAACCACTTCTCTCTCAGAGCTGTCAGACAGGGATGTTTAAGTCTGAAGAAGTTGTCTGCTGCCTTTTGTTCAGCTATGCCCTGTCCAAAGAGGTGGAGCCTATAGAGGCAGTAGGCATTGTTGAGCTGTGGTGGGCTCCACCCAGTTTGAGCTTTCCGGCTGCTTTCTTTACCTACTGAAGCCTCAGCAATAGCAGACCCCCCTCCCTCCACCCGGCTGCAGCCTCTCAGGTCAATCTCAGATTGCTGTGCTAGCAGTGAGCAAGGCTCCATGGGCGTGGGATCCACTGAGCCAGACATGGGAGGGAATCTCCTGGTCTGCTGGTTGCTAAGACCATGGGAAAAGCACAGTATTTAGGCAGAAGTGTACCATTTTTCCAAGTACAGTCTGTCACAGCTTCCCTTGGATAGGTAAAGGAAATCTCCTGACCCCTTGCATTTCCCGGATGAGGTGACACACTGCCCTGCTTCAACTCACCCTCTGTGGGCTGCACCCACTGTCCAACCAGTGCCAATGATGATGAACCAGGTACCTCATTTGGAAATGCAGAAATCACCTGTTTTCTGTGTTGGTCTCACTGGGAGCTGCAGATCGGAGCTGTTCCTATTCGGCCATCTTCTATCCACTAACCTTCAAATTCTCACACCCGGAGGTTAGTTTCAGAAGATCATAGAATTTGTCATTGTGTTCAGGTACTTAGTATCTCATCTTTAAATAATAAAAAAGCATTGTCTGACACTGTTTTAAAACTATATTTAGAAATACCAAGAATTTAATAGCCAAGATAACTTTGAAAAAGAACAAAGGTTGAGGATTTACATGATTAAACATCAAAACTTGGTATAAAGCTAAAGTAAATCAAATAGTAAGGTATTAGAACAAGCATGGACACCTAGAATAATAAAACAGAAAACAGATCAGAAACAGACCTTTCTATATACAGTCACCTGATTTTTGACAAAAGCACTACTACAATTTAGTGTGAGGAATGGCCTTTTCAATAAAAGGTGCTGGATCAACTGGATATCTATGAGGAAAAATTTATTTTGACCCCTCCTCAAACCCTATACAAAAGTGAGTTTGTGATTTGAAAAAATCACATCAACTAGATCTGAGACCCTGCTGAGAAATGTAAAATAATGTAACCTCTTAAAAAAGAATGTAGGACATTATTTTTATAATGTTGGGATAGGCAATGATTTTCCAAATTGTACATAACTATAACTAACCATAATTGATAAATTAAACTTTCATAAAATTAACAATTTCTGTTCATCAAAAGACACCATTTAGAGAGTGAAAAGCCAAGCCACACACTGGGGAAAATTACTAAAAATACAAAAATTAGCCGGGTGTGGTGGCACACACCTGTAATCCCAGCTACTTGGGAGGCTGAGGGGAGAATCGATTGAACTCGGGCAGCAGTGGTTGCAGTAGCCGAGATTGCACCATTGCACTCCAGCCTGGGAAACAAGAGTGACACTTGATCTCAAAACAACAAGAACAAAAAAGACTTAGCACTTATTACGTAGTCATTGCTTCCATTTGTGTATATTGACATATACACAAATGAAATACATATTACATTTATAGTAATATGTATTTCAATACATATTACATTTATAGTAATATGTATTTCAATACATATTACTATATATGTAATTTTATATATAAATTAAAATTTATATATAATAAATTTTTACTTATATATTTAATAAATATATGTAATTATATATATTTGTATATATACAAATATATAATATTAATACATTTATTATATTATATATAATAAATGTATTATTGCTGCTATCTATAAACACACACTGTGTTGCTATTACTCCTGTAATCCCAGATGGGCAGGGATTTACTGTGAGAAAGTTGAACCTCAACTGGAAAAGTATATGGTTTTGGGGTTTTGTTTGTTTGGGTTGTGGAAAAATAGATGTCAGAAAACAAAGTGGATATCAAGATACTAGAACAGTAAGAATTTAGGTCTGGGTCTGGAAACGACATTCGAACATCAATATGTAATAGTAGTTCATGTCCAAAACTCACAAGTGAGATTATCAAACTCCAGGGGAGTCTATTAATGTGTCCATAAAATCTACCCCATAATTTTGACATAATTTTTCCAGCCCAAAATACAACTGACATCATCTTATGGGTCCGGAAGTGCCATACACCAAGCAAAATTTCTACCGGAGAAATAACACCGTAATCGTTTGGGGAGCAGCCTGACCAGTGTTCCCTGAGTTACGCCGACCGCCCCCAACCATCCTTCTCACCTAATTATTACCAGGTCAGGAAGATGTCCTGCTGCACGCTCAGGCGGTCACTCCTCCTTTCCACAAGGCCCATGTCCGCACCGTTCGCCCCGGGGCTCCCATGGCCCCCGACCTCCAGTCTCCGGCAACGATGGACCCTCACAGACACGGCAGGGAGCGAAGGGCGCACACTCACCTCCCTGGAGTCAGTGGGAATAACCCCGGGCGCTCTGAGGGTACGTCCCACACCCGGAGCCGCACGGGCCCATCCCCGCCAGGTCCGGGCAGGCAGCCCGAGCCCGGGACCCCGCCTCCCCCGCACCTAGGGTCCGGGCCGAGCTTGGCAGCTGAGGTCCCGCTCCCACTCCCACTCCCAGCGCCTCCCCCTGGCGGCGGCGGCCGCCTGGGAGGCCCCTCCCCGGGCGCTGCCTCCTCAGAGGGTGACTGCCGCCTGGCCGGGCCGGACAGAGGCCGGCCCCTCTTCCAGCTCCTCCTCACCCCCCGGAGGAGACGGGGGACGGGGATGGGGTTCTAACCAGGCAGCAGGACACAGCAAGGCCAGCCACGGCACAGCCTCCTCCTCCACCATCTCACCAGGCTCCCTGCCAGGGCCGGCGCAGGGCAGCGCCTGAGCTACTAGGGAGTCTGGTCCGGCTGCTGCTCCGCCGCCGCCGCCGCCTTCTCACAGCCACAACAACACTGCAGCAGCGACCACACAGAGCGCGCTCCCGACGCCGAGCCGGGCGACGAGCGGGGACGCGCTCGCACGCTCGGGCGCTGAACCCGGTGTCCGGGGAAGGGGGCGGGTCTCCGCGGGTTGGACGGGGGCGGGGCCTGGACAGGTGGTCACGCCCCAGGAGATGGGAGGGGCTGCAGCCCAGACGAATACCTGCGGCTGGGGAGAGGCTCGCGAAAAAGACCAGCGGAGGCAGAAGGGCTAGACAGATGGGAATTGGGCGCAGGAAAAGCGATGACAAAAAAAATATCTGGAAGAAAACCAAAGGTGGTCCTACAAATTTTTAGGAGGCGTCTTTCCCTGGGGAAGACATGGCTCACTCTACTTACCAGAAAAATAGAACAACAGTGGTATCTTTCACCTGCAATTGTGGTCAGGATAAAACCAGTTTAATATAGTGCAAGTAAATGTAGTGTTTTAGAAGATGTATTCAGAATACAATTTCGTTTTTTCTTTTCTTTTTTTTTTTTCTTTTTTTCTTTTGAGACAGAGTCTGGCTCTGTCTCCCAGGCTGGAATGCAGTGACATCTCAGCTCACTGCAAACTCCGCCTCCTGGGCTCAAGCGATCCTCCCACCTCAGCCTCCTGAGTAGCTGGGACTACAGGCGCAGAACATCATGCCCGGCTAATTTTTGTATTTTTTGTAGACATGGAGTTTCTGCCATTTTGTCCAGGCTGGTCTCGAACTCCTGGGCTCAAGCAATCCACCCACCTCGGCCTCCCAAAGCACTGGGATTACAGGCATGAAGCACCGCACTCGATCCAGAATACAATTTCAAACTGATTCAACTTCAGCTCCTAATCAAAAGCTTAGCGGGAAGAAGTGAATTTTCAAACAAAATAAAGCCCTCCCCCCAAAATTGTAACCTACCCACACTAGCCTGCGGAATTCCACAAACCAGGATTGCATTACCGTAGGCCCTAACAGATTCACCTCTGAGTTGCCTTTTAACATTCTACCCTTGATTTTTCTGGAAACTGGGAGAACTAGTCAAATGAAATCTATTCCTGCATCTGTTGTAAAGTTTTTCCACAGCACTTTCTGAAATTTATTTTCAATGTTTATTGTTTTTTCACTCCACTTAGAATGTAAAAGCTACTTGAAGATGAGGATCTTGTTTGTCTTGTTCATCACTATTTCCCCAGCACCTGAAACTGTGCAGGCTAAGTAGTAGGCAGTCGGATTTCTTGATAGCTGGCTGGGCGCAGTGACCCACGGCTGTAATCCCAGCACTTTGAGAGGCTGAGGCGGGTGGATCACCAGAGGTCAGGTGTTCGAGACCAGCCTGGCCAACATGGTGAAAACCCGGATCTACTAAAAATGCAAAAATTAGCCGGGCATGATGGCAGGCGCCTGTAATCCCAGCTAATTGGGAGGCTGAGGCAGGAGAATAGCTTGAACCCGGGAGGCGGAGGTTGCCATGGGCCAAGATTGCGTCACTGCACTCCAGCCTGGGCGCAGAGCGAGACTCTGTCTCAAAAAAATAAATAAAATAAAATAACAGCTAACACTTATTCATACAACTCATCTAATTGAATCTTCACAACTTTAATAGGTAGACGCCGTTATCTCCATGTTACAGATGAAGAAAGTGAAGCACAGAATAAATTGCACGTATTAAAATTCAAACCCAAACCCAGAAGACAAACAAAACAAAACAAAACAAAAAAAACCACTGTGCTCTCACCCACCAGGCTGTACTGCCCAGTGCATGACACAGTAGCCTGAAATAAAATCTCAAGTAAGAAATTACTTTAGGCTGGGCGCAGTGTCTCATGCCTGAAATCCCAGCACTTTAGGAGGCCAAGGTGGGTGGATTGCTTGAACTCAGGAGTTCCAGACCAGCCTACGCAACATGGCAAAATCCCACCTCTACAAAAAATACCAAAAAACTGGCCAGGCATGGTGGTGCGTGCCTGTAGTCCCAGCTATTTGAGAGGCTGAGGTGGGAGGATGGCTTGAGCCTGGGAGGCAGACGTTGTAGTGAGCCCTGATTGTGCCACTGCACTCCAACTGGGTGTCAGAGCGAGAAAAAAGAAAGAACAAAAGAAATTACTTTAGAGGTAAATTCTTGGAAAGCCCTTGCTTTAGTACCAGGAAAACCAGCGCGCTTCCTGCTTTTTGATAACTCTTATGCAGCTGATTGTGTCTCTCTTTTCACTCTGGCTTCCAGAAAGCCCAGGGCTAAATGACCAGGGCTCAGCAATGACCTCTGCTTGGCCCTTAAGGTCCACTCCTGCCTCAACTTTGCACCTTTATTTATATGTGGCTGTCCTGATTTTCCCTTTCTGTTGTATGACTGTAGGCTTTATGGAATGGGAGAAGAAATAGTAGATACATAAAATTGATGAATGACTTAAAGTCTTTTATTTTATTTTTTGAGACGGAGTTTCGCTTTTGTTGCCCAGGCTGGAGTGTAATGGCGGGAACTTGGCTCACTGCAACCTCCACCTCCTGGGTTCAAGCGACTCTCCTGCCTCAGCCTCCTGAGTAGCTGGGATTACAGGCATGAGCCACAACACCAGGTTAATTTTTTGTATTTTTAGTAGAGACAGCGTTTCTCCATGTTGATCAGGCTAGTCGCCAACTCCTGACCACATGTGATCCGCCTGTCTCGGCTTCCCAAAGTGCTGGGATTACAGCCGTGAGCCACCATTCCTGGCTCATTTTTATTTTTATATTTTATTTTATTTTATTTTCACACAAGGCCTCACTCTGTTGCCCAGGCTGGAGTGCAGTGGCTCACAGCCACCAGGTGAGTTGGGCCCACAAGTCACCCTTGCTAAGAGGCAGAGTCCAGAGCAGGACATGGGTAGATGCCAAAGGCAGCACTCCCTACTCCACACATGGGTTTCTTTCAAGTAAATCACCAGCCAGGTGAGGTGCATACAGCATCTCGGGAGATGGGACACCATATTGTCCCCTCCTTCAGCCAGGAGGCCCCACACTGAGCGCCACTGCCTCCACTGTCCGATGCTACAGGAGAGACGTTTCCTGCTGGTTAAGGAAGTGGAAACTGCAGATCACTTTTCATCTTATTGGAAATCACTCTTTGACACTTTTGCCTCATCTTCACTCAGTACACATTGACTCTACCAGCAATGGTGTAAAAATAAACACAGCTTAAGGAAATAGGAACCCTTTATTCCTGGGACTTAAAAGCTTGACTTTCTCCAGTAAGTCAATTACCAGTGTCCATGGCAGGAACAGCTCTGATGCCAGGGTTGACAGCACACTGGAAAACAGGAGGGTGTTTGCATTTCTGGGGCCTCAAGTAATGAGAGGTTCTTCCAAGAACACTGACAGGGGTATTGTTGCCCTATTTTAGAATTATTACTGTGAAGATCAGGGAATTTCAGTCGGTTGAACTCATGCCACAGCACCTGTGCTTTTCCAGTAGGGGAGGGATGGAGTCCAGGGCAGGGGTCCCCCGTCATGGGGGAAAGCACTGTGATGGGATGGCTGTGGGGGAATTAGAACCCTATAGCAGATGGGATAGGGTGGGGAGTCTACATATTTTTATTTGGATGCTTTGATGGAGTAAAGTTCCAAACCAAGCAAGTATCAGGCAGAGGGCAGTCCAGGCTGTGGTGCTGTGCTGTGAGGCTGGGAGTCCAGGCAGGTCCTGTGTTCACTGGTCACTTCCACAGCCTGAAGCCCCTCGAAAGGACATCTGCACAGAGGCCTGCAAGTGACTTCAGGATGCTGATGATGCCCTCAAGGTGAGAGCCAGAGAAAATCCCATCAACTCTGCCAATCAAGGGCGTCAATGGCCACGTGTGTGGTTTTCTCCGGCAAAGAACAAGCCAGTTTGCAAACCATGCTTTTGAAGCTAGAAAAAATGTCTGTATTCCTTCAGTGTCTCCTGAAGGCTGGGTCCCCTGAGAGTTGATTCAAATACCGTATTCTCGTATAAAATATGGTAACATTTAGACCTGAAAAATGGCCTGGGGGATAATCTTATCAAACCTCTGATGTGGTTATTTTCTAACTGAGTATATTGAAGGCTGGGGAACAAAGCCATCTGGTGCCAGCATCCTAGCTGCTCTCTCTCCTCCAGGGGCTTGCCTTGGTTTGGGGCCTTTCCAGCAAAATTAGGCTGGAGAAATGAGATTTTAGTTAAACAAGGCCCACTGTTGCTTTAAAACAAAATGTCAAAGTTTTTAAAAATGTATTAACTAGTTCTTTTGGCCAAGAAATCAATAGATGCACTTCCTTTCCACTGTGCAGGCTCTGAGCTGACAGAGGAGTAAGAGCTTGAACCATCTACGTGGTCTGAGTGACCACATCCTTCACTCAGAGCCCTGTTCTACAGCAGATAATTCTGAGTCACCCCAGCTAATGGCCGTGCACAGCATCCTGATGCTCTGATTAGGCTGAAGGGCATGTGGCGTGGTGGCTAGGCTGTCTCAGAGAGCACCTCAGGCTGGGTGGACCAGGCTGACCCAGAAAAAGGCAATGGGCCTTTGACAGGGACTAGCTGGCTACTATCTGCCTCTTCTGCAGTTTGGGACACTTAGGGTGATGGGTGAAAGTGTTTTTCCATATATAGTGGACCGAAAGGAAAGGATACTCATGCCAGTGTTCAGAAAGTGTGTGGGTTTCTCAGGTAACATTACTGCAGCCACTGATGTCTAATCCAAAGAGCTCTGAATGCTTGCTATAGAGATTTGTAGTTTTAATACTGAAACCCCGAATATTCTGATTTCCTCATTAAGACCGACCTAACATGAGCTATGTAGTCAGCTAAGGTATCAACGGAAGGAAATTGCCAGTGGTTTCCCTCTTATTTTCCTCTGAGGTCATCTGAAAACAACTGCAGTGAGGACAGAGTTCGTGTGGCACTGATGGCTGTGTGTTCCCAGGTCCAAGCATGCACTAAATATTTAATTCATTTGAATATAAATAAGTTAATAAATATGAATACATTAATAAATTAATTGGCATATTTTTAGTCCTGTTGCAGTTTCAAACTCACCGATTTGTCCAACTTCTTTGCACTGAGTTCTTATTCAAGTGAAGTATTCCAGTCTTGTGACTAGTACTTCTGACATAGTAATAGTAACAACTAATATTTATTTAGAACTTTAGTTTACCAAGCACACTACATTTTATTTTATAATTTATTATTTATTTATTTATTTATTTTTTTAGTAGAGACAGGGTTTCACCATGTTAGCCAAGATGGTCTCGATCTCCTGATCTCGTGATCCGTGCTCCTCGGCCTCCCAAAGTGCTGGGATTACAGGCGTGAGCCATCGCACCCAGCCTACATTTTATTTTTACATTTTGTCTTTACAAACCCCCACGGGGCAGGCATTCTCCTTACACGCAGTGTTAATTGGTGACACAGAGGGTCAGGGGTTTAAATGGTTTCACTGTAAACAATGTAATCTAGTAGGATGTTGCTTTCCTATTTTTCCTAATACTACCATGTTTAGATGTGGGTGGCTGAGTGGGAGTATATGATTTCCTGTGTATGTATAGATGTAACCCACACTCACGGGCGGAAAGTTCTGCAGGCCGAGAAGTGAAGCCCTTTGCTGAACAACCACCAACAACATTCTAGGACCCCCACACCCTTGGTTCTGCAGGCTACACCCCTCCCATCTGCTTAGAAGCAGAAAGAAAACTCTGCGGTTACTTTTCCCTTTGACAATAAGCCGCGGTTCTCTTCAACGTTCTCCTGGGGACTTGGGTCAATGTTCTCACATGCAAATGTTAGCCAGGCCGAGAGTTATTTTTTTCCCTACCCCTGCAGATTGATCATGGCACGCAGCTGCCCCATACTGTATTTTGGTCACCCCCATCAGCATCCCATCTGCTGCTTGTGCCTCTGGCCAGCTTCTTGCATGGTTCTGACATGGTGCTGTCACTCTCACATTATTTGCACACATTGTTTACCTATAGCTGGACACATTGTTCATAGGAGCCCAGCTGGTAAGGTAAAAATATTCCAAGACTGTGCTGATAAGCTACTTCTTCCCTGCATCCTGGGCTGGTGAGAAGCTAAAGAGGAATGAATGCTCTGCCTGTGAAGAGGCCGCACTGCAGAGAGGAGGAGGCAGAGATGCAGTCGTCACAGCCCCAACACCCTGCCTGGACCTGGTTTTGTAGATCCAGGGAAGAGTTTTGCACAAATTCTCACTGGGAGCATTGTCAGGGCTGCAGCACATCACTCTTTTTTGACCTGAGTCATTTTAACATTAGCTCTAATGCCAAAAAAGATGAAATTGAAGTTGCCAACATCTGGTGGAAGGCAAAAACCAGCGAATTTCTACCCAGGGAGAGTTCCTCTGCAGGGCCCCTGCTCCTGGTGGCCTGGAGTTGGGGAGGCCTCTGGAGCAAGTCAGGGGATGGGATTCTGGGTTTTCTTCCATTTTAGTATTTTCCTATTTTGACATCTTTGAAAAATGGCTCAGCCTCATGGTGTATGGGTCTTCTGATTGCTTTTGTCTTGATTTTATTCTGACTGAGGGGCAATGGCCACTGTGGGCTCCTCATCCAGGATGAAGAGGGCCCCTCCATGGCCTGGGTCCATCCATGCTGTTCACGGTGGCCTCATGGATCATCATACAAAGGATGATCTCAGTGATGAGCTTGAGCCTTTGCAAAATTAAATTATATGGGTTTATAAGATGCTTGCCTCAGGATCAGTGACATCAGGCCTGTCCCTGCTGCTAGCAAGGCCAACTTTATAATGTGCTATCATGGTGGTAAAGGCATCACCCACTTGATGGAGATCCCAAAGACCAGCTCTACTCAAGACAGATTTAAGCTAAGTTGCCTGGGAGTCCCTGGTGCTTTTTCAAGGTTCTACTGAAGACAATGCCATCATCCAGGTATCTCTGAATGCCTACGTAGCTCTTGCCTCAGGAGCTCTGAGACCCCATGTTATCTATTTTTGAATTGGCCAAGGCCCCTAGCCAGGAAAGGGATGCTCTTCCCATCCTTGTCAGCCCTCGTGTCTTGTATTCCACCCCACAGCCTCCTAGCAAGCATCTCAGTGTCTGCAGGTGAGCATGGCTGAGTTCAGTCTTGCTTACTGCAACTATAGACATGAGGCCTGTGGAACTAAGAATCCTCTCATTTGCTGACTGGCATTTTGTTTAAGTCCCAGATCACTAATCTCTGGCAAGACAGTCCTCTTTGTGTTTCCTGGTGATGGACTTGAGTGATTTCAATGTAAACAGTGGCTCCACCTGGGAGGGTATCCCCTTCCCACGGGGAGGGGGTGCATAGCCCCTGCGAGGTTTCTGCTGTCGTCTCATCCTCCCACTGGGCTTTTCCCCTGCAGATGGCCTGGTGCCCACACTGCCTGCAAATGGCCACTCTTGCTTGTCCCAACCCCACCTTCACTGCAGCTTCCCAGAGCCCTAGAAGGGCCGGGCCCTGGCTGAGCACTATTCCTAGGCCCTGGATGGCGGGTGTGGAACTATGTACTTGTCAAGGTCATTTCCTCTTCTATTTTCATCATATTAAGTAAATCCCTCTCTCATCATGAAATGCCCTGGAGAGAACAGATGCATGGCTGTGGAGTCTTGTTCTGGGATATGTCAGGTATGGGCTCAGGTGTGTGGAGGCTACAAGGGGTGGACAGGAATGGTCTTTCTCTCACTGTGAATTGCATGTTTTGTGCCAGCCCAAGGGTTCTGTGGAGGAGAATCAGCTGTTCACCTGGCTGAGTCTAACCCTGGGATGGTGACAGCCGAAACCCCAGCTCCATTCCATGACCTTCCCTAGGCTGCCGCATGGGTTCCCTGGCACTGTCACTGGGCTAATGCATTCTATCTCCTCCTGGGATGAGGCCAGCCTTTAGTCATAGTTTCTGCCCATTCCACATCATTCTGCCTCCCACCCTTGGCTTTTTCAAAAATCCGATCCAAGCGTGTGCAAGGGGGCTAGAAACATGCTGTCCACAGGGAGCTAAAATACACTAAGTTGAGAAACCAGCAGCACATGCTTTGGAGCTCTCACACCTTCTGGGAACTGAAAAGCAAACTCTCAGAGATGCCTGGAAATCTTGGGAGCACACGAGGTCTCTGCATATATTTCAGCTGCAGATGAGTTTCTAGTCAAAGTAAAAAACACACGAAGGGCATTCACGTTTCCAGGAACAGAAGCATCCTGTTTGGTTTTTCAGAGGTGAAGGGAGCAGTCTGAAGGGGCCGTGGCATAGGTGTGTCTACAATCAAAGCTCACAGCCAAGGCCCTGGGGGAGGTTCAGGTGTGCCCCAGGGGGTGCGCCCCATCCAGCACTCCACTGACAGGGGCCTTGTCTTTATTAAATTCTAGGCCTTTTCCTGGGCACTAGTTACAAAAGGGGGGTTCAATGAACCCTAGGTTCTGTGGCTGCCACCCATCTCAGGGTTGCACAGGTAATGATCACCACCCCCTCCACCTTCTGCTGAGGGTCCTGGTGACCCCCTGGTGGTGTAACCCAGGCCCTCACCCCTAAGGGGCCCTCAGCCTTGCCCACCACAGAGTCCTTGGTCTAGGGCTCCCGCACTTGTCCACATGCCATCAAGTGCTGTGTACCAGGAGGTACTTGCGTGGAGCCCTTTCTTCCCCAGGCAGCGCAGCCCTGCTCCTGCTGACACCATGGTCCAGGTGGTACCCATTTTTCTGCCCGCAGGTCCCATGGAGGAGCAGCCTGAGGACAAAGCAGCACCCAGAGCTTGTTTTTTTCAGAGAACCTGGCCCTGCCCTGGCTAGAAGCCCCACAGCTGTGGAAACCAGGACCTCCTGCTTTTCAGAGCCTAGATGTGCAGGATATAGATGCACCTCAGAGGTCCTGGGTATGATGTGGAAGGTTGGGGGACACTGGGCTTCCTACTGCTGTGCTCCAATTGCCACATCTTCTACCTGGTGGGACAAGGCAGCTAACAAAGGTGACAGATTCATGCAGACACTGTGTCCTCCCACATCCTGACCTGGCACCTGTGCCACACTGCTGGGTCTGAAGCTCCCAGGAGCATGTGTGTGCTGTGACCAGTGGACCTATGGCATGTGCCCTCTTCCTCCCTCTGTGGCGTGAAATCAGTTCCTCTGATGGTGTCATGTGAGGTCTTGTCCTGATGGGTAGAACTTTCTATAAACCATCCCATGGCCCCGGGGAAAGGCAAACTCATCCCTTCAGGTTTAGCTGTTTCTGTTAAATGCAACCCTGTCCTTCCCAGGGCATCAGGTCCCAGTGCAGTTGTCCCAGCCTGGCAGGAACTCTCCTTGAGGATTGTGTGGAGGGCGCAGCCTGGGCCTGACTCATGACCCTGGCAAAGGGCAGGTGAGCCCTGGGGCTGACCACCTGCACTTTCTGTTTGGTGGTGGGAGACGTGGGGCAATATTTCTTGCCTTTCCTTTAGAGAGCATCTCCCAGCCTGCCCAGACCATTAGACCCCTAGAAATGTGACTTGTAGGCAGGGCCTGGCTCTCCGTGGTGCTTTTCTCTCCCCTCCAAGCACCTGTGACTCTCAGGCATCCAGCCCTGCTGGCTTCCCCCATCTGAGCTCCTGATGCAGGGTGAGGACTGTATTGTGGCAGACAGCATGCCGGTTTACACAGTTCTGGGAGAAAACTATAGGTATACATTATTTTACGTCCCAAGTAAATGAATCCCATTTATCGATACTTTTTTTGGCACAGAGGGAAGAAATGCATTGGTGAGATCCATGGGCCAGAGTTCAGGCCTGTGCTCAGGCTCTGGCAGCAGCTGTGCAGCTCTGGAGCTGTTGCGGAGTGGGGAGGTGCTGTGTCTTTGCTCCCGGGTTAAAGGCTTTATTTGTTTCTTTGTTCAGTTTGTTTTCTTTGACCCCTGTTCAGCAATACTGAAAATCAAGCATTCCTAAGAGGTGGAGACACGGCTTTGGAGCAGGGGTGGGCCATTGGGTGGAAATGGAAAATAGGTTGATAGTGGGAATTTCATTTTCTGGAGCACATGTGCAGCCTCTTGATGGCCTCGTCACAAGTTCACCTGATGACGTGAGTGGCCACTGTCCTTCTCCTGATCAGGTTGCATGCTTGCCACGCACATGAGCAGTGCATGCTCACATTCTTCAAAGTGAACGAACTAAGAAGGATTTGTCAGCAGATTGTAAGCCTGAAGCTGCCAGTGTTTGGTCCACAGTAAACCACATGTGGAGAGCTTAAAAAAATGCCCTCAAATCTGGCAAGAAAATGACAATAATAAATTAAATTATTACCGTAATACACATTTCTTTAGTTACAATTAGATGTATTACACATATAACTAACAATTTTGCAGAAGTTTCTCATCTACCAGTATTTATTTATTTTTTTATAAGTTTCCAAGGAACCCTAATGATGGGGAGTGTCTCTTTTAAAATTAAATTTTGTAAATAACTCCCAGAGCCATACTGGTAAGAAACAAAACAAAACTAAAAGAACTAGAAACGTGAACAAACATTGGATTTCTGCTGGAAAAAAGGTTGCAAAGCAGGCCTGCCTGCTGCACTTCCCCAGAGCTAATCCTTGAGCCGAAAGAGCTTTCTGGTGAAGCCTCGCACTCTCTGTAACAGGGTGTGGGGGGCACCAAGACATGCGGGCTCCAGACTTGACCATCTTTACCTACTCATGGGATTTCAATCTTGTCTTTTAAATTCTTTGAGCTGCAGTTTTCACATATGTAAAGTGAAAGTATTTTTAAAATTGTAATTTGTGTTATGGCCTTGTATAAAGATAAAATAGTACATTTGAAAGCATTTTAGCTGAAGTCAAACGTTCACGTGTGTGCATGCAATGGCTTCTTAATTATTTTAGGGCTTAACCTGGTTTCACTAGTACTGTTACTAGCACTGCTACTTCTCCATGTCTCTGAAGACTATGAAATACTTAGAACTGAAGCAACAAGAAGCACCTGTCAAAGGGTTCTATGGCCGATGACAGATTTGACACAACTGGATATAATAATATGTTAGATGGTACCCAGAGATGCTGTTCAAAGTCAAAAGTGTCCCTAGAATTCTGAACCTGCTGAAGCAGCCTTCAGAACTGAAGTTGAGAAAAGTACATTTTCAGTTAAAGAAAGTCTGTGAGACTGTGTTGCCATCGAACCCAAACCACGATAAATGCAAAAGAAACTTGATCAGGATGAAGAAAAATAATAATTGGAAATTCTAGTTCACAGAAAAGATGAAAATGTGCCAAAAATAGTAAATATGTGGAGGGGAAATTACTGTTTGGATGACATCCTCCAGGAATTACAACACGTACAGAAGAAAAATCTATGACAACATGGCACAAAAGATGAGAGGATGGTAAGGTAAGGTTTTTATATTTTATATACAGTGTTATGATATTTAATATACATTAAGTATTTATATTTTAATTTCTGAACAACTCACCAAAAATAAATAAATGAAACAAAGTCATAGTTAAAAAAAAAAAACAGGGTACAAAATCCATACTAAAAAAAAAAAAGAAAACCCCATAAAACAAACAAACAAACCAAAACTGCAATAATCCAGAAGAAGATCAGGAAGGCGGAACACAGACTGTCAAAGTAGGTAAAAAGGAAACCTCAATATCCACTTTTAAAAAGAAATACACTTATGAGATAAAGATATAAATAGATTCGAACTGAAAAGATGGACAAATATACACTATGCAATCTTTTTTATCAAAAACTGCAGCCAGTGTATTAATGGCAGGTAAGACACACTGCAAGAAAGACAAGCATCACCAGGGATAAAGAAGGATGTTTTATACCAATAAGCCCATTTGCTTAGAAAACCTAATAAGCATAAGCATGCATGCACCTAAGAAACACAGCAAAATACATGAAGCAAAAGTTATTGAATTAAAAAGATAAATGCATAAATCCACAATTTGACAATTCTAATTATTATATCTCAGAAATCAATAGAAAAAATAACTACAACAATAAGACTACAGGTATTAATAGGAGAGATTATAACCAGAGCACCAGGAGAAAAACAGCAATATCCAATATGCTTACAACTATTGGTTGACAACTCAAAAGTTCCCAAAAGAATTTTTGACACTAAATAAAGGTAAATAGCCTGGAAAGCCTGCAAGCCAGCATAGGAAGGAAGTGGAAAATGAAATGTTGATGGAAAATAAATCTGGAAGTCCGGGCGTGGTGGCTCATGCCTGTAATCCCAGCACTTTGGGAGGCCAAGGTGGGTGGATCACCTGAGGTCGGGAGTTCGAGACCATCCTGACCAACATGGAGAAACTCTGTCTGTACTAAAAATACAAAATTAGCCGGGTATGGTGGTCCATTCCTGTAATCCCAGTTACTTGGAGGCTGTGGCAGAAGAATTGCTTGAACCCAAGAGGCGGAGGTTGTGGTGAGCTGAGATCTCCCCATTGCACTCCAGCCTGGGCAATAAGAGCAAAACTCTGTCCCCCCAAAAAAAGAGAAAAGAAAAGAAATCTGAAAAAAGGAAAAGAGAATTGAGGATAAAGCTTTGCAAATACAAAATCCAAAATCAAATGATAGAAATAAGTTCAAATATATCACTTTTTCCTACCAAACATAGAGGGATTAACCTCATATATTAAAATACAAAATTATCAATAACAAAGCAGCACTTTCAAATTAAAGAAATAAAAAAATAAAAATTTTATAAAAATTTTAAGTAAATATTCACAGAAAGCAAGCTGCTATCACAAAATTAATTTAGTTCAAATAAAATTTAAGGAAGAAATAATAAACAACAGGATAGACACTGCACATGGATGGACAATAGAACCGAGTAGGTGAAGCAACGTCAAGTCCAATGCTGGCCTCGCCTCCAGGACATACAAAGAAACTAACAGGATAGAGCAGGTCTAGAGAGGGACGCTGGAACCCATACTTCTGAATTTAAACGGGAAATAGACAAAGATGTTACGTGTTTATAAAAGGTTTTAAAATCACAACAAATGCTGAATATACGTCATTTTCTAGTATATGTAATACTTACCAAATGGGACACATATTAGGTTGCAAAAGAAATTACAAAAAACTGGAGCTAGCGACCAAAGGACTAAGATAACTCAGAACAAAAAACACGCCCCATATATTTTAGGAAAAAACGGCACAGTGATTTAATGGTAAATCACTATAAACATGAAGGGATTCACCCAGAGTTCAAGACGACAACATGTGTCAGCCTGACTTTCTGAATGACTGCACAGGAAAGGCTGCCATCCAAGGAAGCACAGAAAAGGACACCCCTTAGGTCCTGGATGGAGGAGGTTGTTCCCCAAGTCCTGCTTGGAGAAGGTGGCTCTGGGGACCGCATGGGGAAGGATGCCCCTTTTCCAGCCTCCCCATCCATACTTCTCCTGACCTGTTAATGTAGAACAAAGAGATTTGGAGGAAGAAACATGGGACTAAACTTTACTGTTTTCCTTTTAATCAACATTTTATAAATTCTAATTTTTATTTGATAAAAATAAGTGAAATGTATGACATAAACACAGTGTAACAACCGATTAGACCTATTTTTCCAATCTGAGTCCTGGCTACCGGCTCTATTAGTCATTCTACTTTTCTGTATTTGTAAAGCTTCTCAAAATTAAAGATAAAAGAGTTTATTGCTAGTAACATGTATAAATAGACATTGAATAAAATGTGACTCTTTAAAAATTAGTTTATTCTATGGGCTTCTTTTGAAAGGTTATGATGTACTAAAATTACTAGCGGATCTTTATTACAAGCTCACTGGTAAAAATAGACAATGTGGAAATATTCTAATTTGTTAGAAATTAGTGTTGAATGAGTATTAATCAAAACTTTAAAACCAAAGTACATGGACATAAGAATAAATTATTCGACTTAATTATCCACTGACTTTAAATTCTAGTTGCTAAATTTACTTTTTGCCCATTTCACCTCCTTCAAATCTCCAAGTAACTCTTCATTTTTCTCTCCTGTCAATATTTTATTCTCCCTTATTTTTTTTCTATTTCCTGATTTTTTGAACAACTCCAAGGGAGTTGTGTTTTGCTTGTGTTGAATGACATCATTACACCAACCCATTAGGCAACTAGACCCTCATCAAGGTGAGCAATAGGAGACTTCAGACCACAGAGCCTCTCCTGATTTTTGACTCAGGCTACCTGGCAACCGTGTTTAAATTATGAGTTGTTTAATTTTTTAGATCCCCTATAGATAAAGAAGGATTTTAATAATCATCAATTTAAAATGCACTGGGACACTTTATGACTGACATTTCTTGCAGTTTCTGTGCTGCGGCCTCATGAGTCTGTAAGAAACATCCTGTTCCTCATTCTGCCCTTGCTCCTTGGACTCCAAAGGGAAAAGCCAGAAATTCTGTGGATATAAAACATGGAAACATTCATTCTTTAAAGAAAAAGGCAGTAAAGCAGAGATGAGAACAGGGAAAGGATGTTATTGAATACATGCAAATGGATAAAATATGAATGATCATGTTCTCATGTTCAACTCAATTTTTAAAAGTGGATGTATGAGCAGTGCCAGCATTTAGTCAGACCATGGTGGGCCTGTGGGCTAGAACAAGAGGCCACACTCAAGGAGAGATGGCACTCACGACGTGGGGCCTCTGCTCCTTTATGACTCCCCTTCTTCAGTGACCCAGAGCACCCTCCTATCACAGCCTGTAGGGAAGAGGAAGGTGTTAGGGCACTTTGAATCACAGCGGAGTGTGTGTCTACATGCTCTCCTCACATGCCACAAATCTGCATCGCTTTACAATATTTCAATAGATTATGAGTAAGGAAGATCGCTGCAGAACCAGTAAAAGCTGCTCTCACAGACGATGCGCTAAATTGGGTTTTACAAAGTATTGTGAGAGATCTCGGGAGATGGGGAGCAACCTGCTCATAGATTTTGCCAAAATCAACATTTAAACACCTCCGTTAGGCAGAAGAGCAGTGCTACTGGAATTAGTTAGCAGCTCTTTCCTGCTGAACATCTCTCAGCCTCCAGACCCTACAGAGAAGAGGCCATGACCTAAAAGCAGTTTAAAATCTTGAAAAATAGAAGCTAAGGATTAAGTGAATATCGAAATTTGGAAAAGGAGAGAAGACTTTATTTCTTGTAGAGGGTTACAGCCTGCAAGGTGGCCACCCCACAGGCTGGGAAGAACAGCCTCCTGCCGAGACCAGCGATGGGCACTTCCAGGAGGAGGGGTTGGGGCAGGAGCTTTGGGGTGAAAGGGTTGGCTAAAGATACACATTCATCAGGTGACAGGCATAACAACATAAAACCAGCTGTAGGTAACACAGAATGATTCTGATACTGATGTTCAATTCCACACACTAACAGACGTGAGAACCTCATTCACTGCATGTGGAGAAGGCACTGTATCTGCTCTGTGCTGGTCCAGATGACTTATATTTATCATTGACTGGGTCTGCATTTTCTCTTCTCTAGATTTTGCTTATCCTGCAAAGCTTGTGCTGGGACTTCATTTCTAAGATTGAGTTTAAGCTGAGCCTCAGAGGCTTTATTGCAGCTACGGTGGATATGGCTTGGTTCCCTGCAGTACTCTCTGGAAAGTACCTTCCTCCGTTTGAAATCCCTGACATGGTACCTCCTACAGCCTGCACAGCTCTGGCCTCTGCCATGGGTCTCATGGCCTCTGCTGCTAAAACTAGAGAGGAGGTTCATCCCCTGCCTCTTTATAGAGAAGAGCCGCTTGCTGACTGAGCTGAAAAGGGACTCCCCACTGAGCAGGCTCACCAGTGTCCCGACAGCCGGGCAGATCATGGGGACGGGGAATTCTGAGCAGACCCTCTTCAGAAATTGAGTCTCAAGGGGCCTTGGGGAACTTGGTCAGCAGATGGCAAGATTTCATCTGTCAGTGGGTGGGTCAGCTTAGTGGGACTCCTGTCTTTGAAACTGAGACTCAAATCTCTACTCTGTACCGAGACAGAGATGGGGGCCAGGAAACAAGACACACAACCATTTTCCATCATCGAGGGGCAAGGCAGGGCTTGGCATGAGGCAGAACCGGGCTCCATCAATGCCACATGTCAGGAGGAACCCCTTTTCTGTTTCAATCCCTCCTGCTCATTTGTGGGAGGCATTAGAGAGGCCTGACATAGTTTTTTTTTTTTTTCTCCACGGCCTGAGGACGTGATAGGATTTCATTCCCACCCCACCTTGTGGTTGGATGGAATCATGCACCCAGTTCTGGTCAAGACCAAGAAACTGAGGTATCAGTTTTCTTTGTGTGGGACCAGGAAAATGGCTCTAATTTGGCTTTGTGTTTGTGCATGTGTGTGAGAACAGACAGGTAAATGTGTGTAATGGAGAGTGTGTGGGTGAGTGTGTACATGTGTGAGAGTGTGTATGTGAGTTATTGTGTGAATGTTTGTGAAGAAATAATGGTGTTTGAACTTGGGAGTATGAGTGTGTATGTGGAATATAACTGCGTGTGGATGTGTAAATATGAGTGCGTATGTGTGTTAATGTGTGTAAGTGTGTGAATAAGCCATGTAAGTGTGGTGTGTGAGCTTGGGCCTATGAGTGTGTGTGAGTGTGTGTGTCTGTGTGAGCATGACAGAGTGTGTGAGTTTGGGGTGGGCGCAGGCCACATCCAGCCCCTCCTGGGGTACTAGATCTTTCCAACCCAAGAACCTCAACTTGTTCTTCCTCACTCCACCCTGAGCTTCCCAGCCAACTGTCTCTCATCCAAACTCCCACAGGGAAACAGAGTCCCTGGGACCAGGGGTTCTGAGCATGGCACAGTGCCAAGTCTCCTCCCTTGCCACCTCCTGAGAACCTGGGTGTAGCACAAAACAGTCAAATATGTTCCTCTTCTGTCATCACTAACTAGAGCTCCACAACTTCCCAGATCGCCCTGTTAGCTCTTCACCATAATTAGCTATTTTCGGATGTCATACTAACATTCCTTAATTATTCCCTCAGAAACAAAGCAAATCCATGGGATGCAGAGGGTACGCAGATGATTTCTGCTCGGGAGAGAAGCCCAAACACACGTCCTAGGCAGAGCCCAGAGACCTGGAGTGTGGCCGCCAGTGGGCTGAGGGACAAGCAGATAGGCCTCAGTGGTGGCTGCCAGGTCCCTGGACACCGGTAGCCACTGGCCTTGCCTCTCCTCTGCCTCAGAAGCACCGGAGGCTTTGGGGATCTGGTGGTCCTCCGGCCCTAAACATGCACCTGGCGTGACAAAGGGAAGTTTGCCATCTGCATCCTCCTCAAGCTGCCTGTGCACCCCAGTAGCACCCACCCTCTCTGTGCTCCCTTCTGCACCCCATGTCCTGGGGTCCTTCTTTGTGCTACACCTGATGACAGGAACCAGTGTCCCGACTGTGACTTGCTTACCCCCTCAGGGACACACAAGCACTTTAATATCGAGGCTACTTTTCACCCCTTCTGCCTCCTGCAGGGACGCTCGATGCAGAGGCAGGAGGACAGAGGGGCTGGTCTCAGGTGTGGCTTCTCTCACACCTGGCGCAGGTGGCCACTCCCTGCCCCCCACCCCCCACCTCAGCTCCCGGGTGTGAATGAGAAAGGGGAACCAAGAGATCATCGTTACATGGGACACACCACAAACCCCAAAAAGACCCATTTGGTGAAAAGAAGTAAAACAACCACAAGTCTATTTTCGCCTGAGGTGGTCTCATGGCTGAAGCAGACCGCTGCTCTCCTGTCTGGGCTACTCAAATAGTAACCCGGTGTGTCCTCCCATGTGCATTTTCCTTCGGGTTGAGCAAAAACACTTTGTCATCTTCCCACTCCTCAATAGAGCAGAAGGGAACGAAAGGCAATTACAGGGCCTTACAGAGCTGCTCCGGGGGCCGCGGGAAACTTATCAGCATCCTGGAAAAGACAAAACCAGTGGGTTGCATGTGGCCTCTGACACCTGCCACCCTGACTGCAGGGTGTGGCCACCCCCACCTTTCACCTTCCCATCATTAGCGCCTGGACAAAGCGCTCGAAAGCCCAGGCCCGTGGGTCAGCTCCAGCTGCTCCGCCTGACAGGGGTCAGGGAGGCGGGCCAGCCCCACAGCCAAGTCACAGCTACAGGGCCTGGTCGCACCTGAGCAGCGCGGCCTCGGGCTGCTGCTGGCGCTGCAGGCTCCGCGCCTGACCCTCCAGCCTGAGCAGCGGGCACTTGGCCGGGAAGCACCTCTCCAGCTTGCGGCTCAGCACCACGTTCACGCGCAGCGCCTGTGGCCGCTCGGCCCCGGCTCCACGCAGCGCTTGCAGACCGTGAGCCCGCAGGGCAGTGTCACCGGCTTGTGCAGCAGCCGCGGGCAGCCGAGCAGGTCGCGGGGCGCGCCGGGCTCCAGGGCCGGCCCTCCCTAGCCTGGCGCCTCAAGCTCGCCGCCCGGCTTCCCCGTGAACAGTGGCCGTTCGCGCAGGCCGGGGCACACCAGGCCGCCCGCCAGCTCTGCCAGCTCTCCCAGCTCCTCCGGCCGCAGCGCCTCGAGCCGCAGGGCGACACAGAACGCGCCCAGGGCCACCGGGAGGCGGTCGGCGCGGGCCAGCGCGTTCCCCAGCCTCAGGCACTGACCGCGGTCGGGCTGCGCCAGCCGGGCCAGCGTGGAGCGGAAGAGCCCGGCTGCTTTCTGGTACTCGCTCTGGCGGAAGGCCTCGTCGCCCTCCTCCAATCGCTGGGCGATCGGCTCCCCGCAGTCGCAGCCCGGACACTGGGGCGGCGGCGGGACCGGCTCAGTGCTGATTCCCGCGGGGCTGCGCCCCTGCGGGCCTGGAGCGAAGGCGTGGAGCAGGGGCAATGCGCTGCTGCTGGGAACTGGCCGGCGGGAGCACGGCCACAGCCTTCGCCTGCAGAACGAAAAAAGCGTTTTAAAAATCCTTTTAACATCCGCAGAACGATTTTTAAAACCTTTTTTAACATCTCTGAAGAATTACATTGGAAATTTGTTAGAGATTGTATTGGACCTATAGACTGATTTGAGTATGATGGTCATTTTAACAGTATTAATACTTCTAATTCATAAAAATGGGATAACTTTCCCTTTATTTGTATCTTTTTCAATTGATTTTTATCAATGTTTTATAGTTTTCATTTTAGACATATTTATTTGGCTTAGTTTATTCCCAGGCATTTTTTTATAGCTATTTTAAATGGGATTGGTTTCTTGATTCCTTTTTCAGATGGTATGCTGTTGGGTATAGAAATGCGACTGATTTTTCTATGCTGATTTTGTATTCTAAAACTTTACTGTATTCATTTACTATTTCTGTTTTTTCAGTAGAGTATTTAGGGTTTTTTATACATAAGATCATGTCATCTGCAAACAGGGACAATTTGACTTTATTTTTGTTTTTCAATTTGGATGTCTTTTCTTTTGCTGGCCTAATTGCTCTGGCTAGGACTTCCAGTGCTATGTTGAAGAGAAGTTATTAAAGTGAACATCCTTGTCTTGTTCTAGACCTTAGAGACACAGTTTTCAATTTTTCCTTATTCAGTATCATGTTGGCTGTGGGTTATCATATATGGCCTTTATTTTATGGAGCTATGTTCTTTTTATAACTAATTTGTTAAGAGATCTTATGTTTACAAAAAACATTGAATTTTGTCAAATACTTTTTCTGTATCTATTTAAATGACTATTTTTTTATCTTCCCTTATCAAATGTGGTGTATCACATTTATTGATTGACATATCATAAGCCCTCCTTGCCTCCCTGGAACAAATACAACCTGATTATGGTGAATCATCTTTTTAATGCACTTCCAAATTATGATTGCTAGCATTGCTGGTTTTGAATTGTTGCATTCATGTTCATCAGTGATATTGGCCTGTAGTTTAGTTTTTTACTGTTCTTGTCTCATTTTGGAATATGGTAATTGTGTCTTCATAGAATGAGTTTGGAAGAGTTTCCTCCTTTTCACTTTTTTTGTAATAATTTGTAAATAATTACTATAAGTTCCTCTTTAAATGTTTTGAAGAATTCAGCAGTGTAAGCATCGGATCCTGAACTTTACTTTTCTTTTCTTTTCTTTCTTTCTTTCTCTTTCTTTCTTTCTTTCTTTCTTTCTTTCTTTCTTTCTTTCTTTCTTTCTCTTTCTTTCTTTCTTTCTCTTTCTTTCTTTTGTTCTTTCTTTCTTCTTCTTCTTCTTATTAAATATTTTTGGTTTAGAGACAGGGTCTTCCTCTGTCACTCAGGCTGGAGTGCAGTGGTGCAATCATAGCTCACTGCAGCCTCAAATTCCTGGACTTCAGTGATCCTCCTGCCTCATCCTCCCGTTGTTAGGACTGCAAGTGCACACCACTACACCTGGCTAATTTTTATTTTTATTTTTGTAAAGACTGGGTCTCACTATGTTCCCCAGGCTAATCTGGAACTTCTGGCTTCAAGTAATCCTCTTGCCATGGCCTCCAAAGTGTGAGTTTACATGTGTGAGATACTGTGACAGGCCCTCCAGATTTTCTTGTATTGAGAGACAATGCTTCAATCTCATTATTTGTTATTGGTCTGTTTGCATTTTGTGTTTCTTCATTCTTCAATTTTGATAGGTTATATGTGTTCAGAAACTTATTTATTTCTTCTATGTTTTCTAATTTATTGGCATATAATTGTAGTACTTTCTCATGATTCTTTGTATTTCTGTAGTAACCATTTCAATGTCTTTTTTCATCTGATTTTATTTATGTGAATCTTCTCTTTTTCTTAATCTGACTAAATACATATCGATTGTGTTTATCTTTTCAAAAAATAACTTTTCATTTCATTGATCTTTCATATTTTTGTCTCCATTTTGTTTATTTGTGCTCTATTCTTTATTATTTGTATTCTTTTTTACCAATTTGGGGCTTAGTTTGTTCATGTTTCTATGATTCCTTGAAATACATTCTTAAGTTATTAATGAGAGTTTTCTTTTTTTCATATAGAAATGTATTTCTGCAAACTTCCCTCTGAGGACTTTTTTTGCTGTATTTCTTAAGTTTTTATATGTTCTGATTTCATTTTCATTTGTCTTAAGAAATTTTAAAATGAAACAAAATTTATTTTTTAACCCATTGTTTAAGGACACATTGTTTAATTTGTATGTATTTGCACAATTTCTGAAGTTCTTGTTGTTTATTTCTAGTTTTATTCTATATTGTCAGAAAAGACGTGATATAATTTTGATCTTTTTTGAATTTGCTAAGGCTCATTTTGTGCCTAATATATGATCCATCATGGAAAATGTTCCATGCGCAGTAGAGAAGACTGTGAATTATGCAATTGTTGGATAACATGTTCTGTAAATGACTACTAAGTTATTTGGTCTAGAGTTCATTTTAAATATGATGTTTCTTTGTTGATCTTCTGTCTTGATAATCTGTTTATTGCTGAAAGTGGAATGTTTAGATTTCTTACTATTATTTTATTGCTTGCTGTTTCTCCTGTTAGATCTATTAATGTTTGGTTTATATATTTAGGGGCTTCAATATAGAGGGCATATATATTTACAATTATATTATCTTGTGATATTGACCCCTTTATCATTATATAATGGCCATATTTGTCTGTTTTTATAGGATTTTGCTTGAAGTATATGTTATCTGATATAAATATATCTATACCGGCTTTCTTTTGGTTTCCATATTTATGAAATATATTTTTCCATCTGATCACTTTCAATTTATGTGTGTATTTACAGATGAAGTGAATTTCCTGTAGAAAGTTTATAGTTAGGTCTTGTTTTTAATCAGTGTAGCCATTATATGTCTTAAATGGGATAATCCATTTACATACAAGATAATTATTCATAGGCAAGGACTTGGTCCTGCCATATTATTACTTGTTTTCATGTTTTTTAAAAATTTATACTTTGATTGATTGATTGATTTCACTATCTTCCTTTGTGATTAAGTGATTTACTCTATCAGTGTGTTTCGGTTTCTTTTTTTTTTAATTTTTAAAGTATCTATTAAAAGTTTTTGCTTTGTGGTTACCACAAGGCATGCAAAGAACATTTTATGGTTACAGTAAGTTATTTTAAAGAGATAGCAACTTAATTTTGATTCAAAAAAAGGGGAAAAGAAACCACTCTACTCTTTAACTTCATCACTCCCTCACATTTTGCATTTTTGATGTCTTAATTTACATCTTTGTATATTTCTATTCCTTAACAAATTATTGTAATTATTATTTTATTTGTATTGTATTTTAACCTTCCTACTAAGGATATATAAGTGGTTTACATCCAATTATTACCGTATTAGAGCATTCCAAATTTGTCTGAATCCTCACTTCTATCTGTGGGTTTATACCTTCAGATTTTTTGTGCTACATATTGCTGCCATTTCCTTTCAGTTTGAAGAACAATATTTAGCATTTCTTGTAAGGCTTGTTTGATTACAATGAATTCCTTTGCTTTTTGTTTGTCTGAGAATGTTTCAATCTCTCCTTTATTTCTAAATGATAGCTATGCTGGATACTTTATTCATGGTTGACAGTTTTTTTAATTCAGCACTTGAATCTATTATCCTACTCTCTCCTGGCCTGTAGTGCTTCTGCTGAGAAGTCTGCTGCCAGGCATAATGGAATTCTCTTATGTGTTGTTTCCTTTTTCTTAGTCCTTTCAGGGTCTTCTCTTTGTCTTTGACCTTTGAGAGTTTAATTATAATATGTCTTTGGTTGTCTTATTCAGATTAAATATGATTGGGCACTTTGACCATCCTAAACATTTTAATCTTTCTCCAGGTTTAAAAAGTTTTCTGTTATTTCTTTGAATAAACTATCTCTTTTTCATTCTTAGTTCCACTTTAACACCAATGATATGTAGATTTCCTCTTTTGTTGGTGTCCCACAAATCTCATAAACTTTCTTTGTTTCTTTTCATTCTTTTTTTTCATTTTACTCTGACCATGTATTTTCAAAGAGCCTGTTGTTTGAGCTCAATGTTTCTTTCTTCTGCTTGATCAGTTCTTCCTTCTGTTGATGCCTTCCGTTGGATTTTCAATGTGTTCATTGAACTTTCCTGCTCCAGGGTTTACATGTGATTTTTCCCATTATTTTGATTTCTTTGTTGAATTTCTCTGGTAAATTTCTGAATTGTGTCTCTGCTTCTCAGTGTTCAGGCTCTTCTTAAGACAGCCATTTTGAATTATTTGCCTGCCAGATCATTCATCTGTATGTCTTTAAGTTCAGTTGCTGACACCTTGTTTTGTCCATTTGGAGAGGGAACTTTTCCTAAGCTATCATTATTATATGTAGATATACATCTCTGTCTACACATTGATGAATTAGATGTTTATTTGAGTCTTCTCAGTCTGGGTTTGCTTGTGACTACTTTTAAGTGGGCCTATTAAGAAATTTTGAGTGGACTTATCATCGTATTCCAGTTTAACGTTAGAGAGAGCCCAAATCCCATGTTAGACGTAAGTCTTCCAATGGCTCCACTGATGCAACATTTGCTGGCTGGGCCCATGGGTGATCCACAGGGAGCCCCTGGCTATGGGGGAGAACAAGTCAGGCCGTCAAGCCTGTAGAGTCTGTGTATTATGTTTCACATGGTGGCTGTTGCTGGCCCCACCTCCTCTTATGTCATTAACATGCCTCAGGTGGTTCTTCCCTTTTGGCACTCATGGTGCCACTTGTGGGCTGATACAGGAGTGAGGCTACTGTGAAAGAACTCAATATAGTGGAAAAAACAAATATCAAACTCCTGCTCACTTTCTTCAGTGTAAAAACTATAAGCCCTGTGGGAGTTTCTGCAGATGGTACCATAACGGCCTGAGGGAAGAGTATCACAGTCACAGAGTATTGGTTCTCTCACTGCATAAGCCATGGTTTCACCCATCTTCACAGGCTAAAGGTGCTTCATAACCTTGTTCATGTATTGAGGTTCTGTTGGCTCTTGTAATGGTAATTTCACATGTGGACAGTTGTTCATATTGATGTTTCTATAGGGGTACGATAGCTGGAGAGGTCTGCACCACTGTCTTGCTCTGCCTCAATCATTTTTTTTTTCTAACAAGAATTTGTCTTCTCCTAGTTTTTCTTTTTCTCTTAACTGACCTAGGTTTAGCCTTGTAATCCTTCTCCCTCCTCTGCTTCTAATGTCATTGTTTCTTTGTATTCCTATCATATCTACATGCTACATGACCTTCAGCTGGTTATGTATAATATATAAGACTTAATATCCTATAAAATAGAGATAATAATAGCATCTACTTGATAGGAAAGTTAAGAATATTAAATGACACCATTGATGTTAAATGGAGGTAACTTTCTGAAATGTATTAATAAGACATTATTCTTTGTTCTAGTCTTCACTTTATACACTAGACTACTTTATTCGAGTTTTCTTCTTTCAGTCAGAGAAAGAAATAAAATTGTAATAGTAAAAATTAAATAAAATTTAATTTAAAATTGTGTTCTGGTCTTCTCGTTGTTCAGCCATGGAAAGCAATAAAATTGTTATAGCAGAAATTAAAAGTGAGCAGAGACTTATTTAAAAATTGGTGTTCTGCTTTTCAATGCCAAAATAAGAACTAGAAACTTTTAATAAGGCAATGGTCTGAAGAAACAATTTATTGAAGAGAATATGGGTTTCTACATCCTAAGAAGTTTTTTTACGTATGTGAGTCGAGTTTGGCTGCCTTGAATCCTACTATGACTTTAATGGAAGTTCTAGTTAGGGTGGAAAGTGTCAAAGAAAACAATTGCACCAGACAAAGTTAAACACATAAAAAAGCTGTTATTGAAGGCTATTGCAAAAGGACAAAGAGGCCAGAACTTAGTCTGAACTCAGCTCCACTGAAACAAACAGCAGTAGAGATTTTAAGAGCTGGGATGAGGGGGTGATCATAGGCCACTTGTTTTTGACAGTTGTCTTTTTCCAAAGGAACATTAAACTATCTTATCTTTATGACAGAAGGTAATTTTACAAATCAGAGCAATATGCCCACCATAATTTGGCTCTTACTCTCTTATGGAGTCTGGGAGATAATGGTGTTATCTTTCTTGAGGATTACATTTCAAAGGAATGGCTCTGAGGTCCTTGAAATGGACATTTCTGAAGTGTAAAACTGGCAGATGGGCTCTTAAAAAGATTTATATATCAAAGAGGCAGAGAGAGAATTTACAATGATAACATTTCTAAAATATGCTAATAAAAGAGGCCAGGAGCCAAGAATCAGAAATAATCCTGTCTAAAATTTTATCAAGCTGAGGGGATGGTTTCAGTCAAAGGTTTAGTGTAAGGGGAATTTCTATGAACAAGAGGAAGAGAAGAGCTTTTAATTACACAGGAAGAAGAAAGTTCCCAGGAGATGTGACTATGGCTCTGCCTGTGTCTCTGATCAGGTATTCAGCCCCAACATCTTCCTGGGACTCACTCATACAGATAGATAGGAAAAAATAGACAGTTAAAGAAAGATGAGAAAATATGCAGGCTGATGTCTTACTTCTCTAGTGCACATAGGGTGTTCCAGGAATGACAGAGTGGCAGGACAGGGGGAAGTGCCTAAGAGATCAATTCCCTTACTCTCAGCTTGTGAGTGCTGTCTGAAAAGCCAGTCTCTCCAAGCTTGGTGGGAGGGGGACTCACAACTGGTTTGACAGGGCCAGTGGAGGCCCCTGGTGGGACATGCTGGCCTCAGAATGTGAGGTCTTGGTGGCTAGAGGAAAATGGCAGGTGACCAGAAACTTCATCAGTGGGTGACAATACATGCAAAATCAAAGAGAAGATGAGCCATGCCAGCAGATATCTGTGAAGAATGCCCAGAGAAGACTACATTGACCATGCACAGCACAGACCAGCCTGTACCAGAGGACGGTGCAAATGGCACGCCGCAGCAACAGAGGCGACTTCGACCCCGCCCACGCCACCAGCAGCTCGGACCCTAGGGTCAGATACCACCACAGAGGCTAATTCCAGTGGTCGCCCCGCATCTCAGGAAGACGGGAACCTGCACTCAGCACCATCCCCGTGGCTGCACAGGGCCCAGGACCCGTAACCCGGCGCTCTGGGTGCGGGCCAAGAGCGTAACCTAGGGTGGCATGTCGGTGAACTCGGCGACCCTCTAACAACCTGGGAGCAGCCCCAACAGCCTCAATTGTGGGCTCATCTGCAACTGCCACCTGCCGATGGCGCACGGGAGCAGCAGTGGCAACCCTTGACCCTGTCCCCACCACCAGCAGCGTCGACAGCAGGGCCAGATAGCGCCGCGGCGCCTAAGACCTTAGGCCACGCAGCTGCAGGAGGACGTGAAACTGGCGCTGACCGGCCCCCAGAAGCTATGCAGTCCCCAGCGCAGGCCAGTCCGCACTCTGGGCGCGGGCCAAAGATCAGATACTATGATGAAAGGACGGTGAACTTGGTGACCCTGAGGCTCGCAATGGGTTTAGCAGCAGCTGCCACCTGCAACCAACCCTGACCCTGCCCGCGTCACCAGCTGCAGTAACCCAGGGCCAGATGCCGCCTCAGCGGCTAGTGCAGGTAATCGTCCTCCAGCTGCAGCAGGGAGGAAATCCGCTGCTCAGCCCCATCTCGGCGGCTGCACAGAGCCCAGCGCCGGCACAGAGCCCAGAGCCCGCACAACCCGCTCTGGGTAAGGGGAAAGGAAGAGCGGACCTAGGGTGGGAGGACCCTGCACTCCCTGACCCTCAGGCCGTCTGGGGCCAGCCCTGCCAGCCTCGGTCTAAAGCTCCGCTGCAGCTGCTACCTGCTCATGGAGCGCAGCGGTGGCAAACCCGGACTCCGCCCACCAACACCAGCGGCCTCGAAACCCTAGAGCCAGACTCCACCTAGTGGCCAAAATCAGGCAGTCGGCCCACAGCTGTAGGAGAGCGGGAACGTGCCCTTCAGCGGATTCCGGGAGGCTGCACAGTGCCCAGCGCAGCCACCCGGATCTGGGCGCGGGCAAATGGCCCTCAGGCCGTCTGGGACCGGACCAGCCCTGCAGCCTCAGCGGTGGGCTCAGGGGCGGCTGCCACGTGCACACGGTGAACTATAGCAGCTGTGGCAGCCCCCGACCCTGTGCAAGCCACCGGCAGTGCGGATCCCATGACCAAAAGCCGCCGCGGCGCATAACTCAGGCTGTCGGCCCCGCAGCAGCCAGAGGGCGGAAACTTTCAGCTTAGCCCCATCCCAGCACCTGCACTGTGCTCAGCGCCTGCAATCCAACTCTCTGGGCGCGGGCAAGGAAGACTGGACCTTAGGGTGGGAGGGCGGTGCATTCGGGGACCCTCAAGGCTTCTGGAATAAGGCCTTCCAGCCTCCGCCACGGGCTCAGCTGCAGCTGCCAGCTGCACACTCCTGGAAGCAGCAGCGGTGGCAGCTCTGTTCTCTGCCAGCTCCAGCAGCAGCGCGGACCGCAGAGCCAGAGGTCACTGCAGCGCCTGTTATGAGATTGGCTTCTCAGCTGCAGGAGGGCGGGAATCTGCACCCAACCAGATCCTCATGGCTGCACAGTGTCCAACGCCCACAACCCTGCAATCTGGGAGCCGGCCTAGGAATAACGGACCCTGGGGTGGAAGCGTGGTGCACTCAGCCACCCTTAGGCAACCTCAGACCAGCCCTGACAGCATCTGCCTCGGACTCAGCTGCAGCTGGCACCTGCCCATGGCGCACAGCAGTAGTAGTGGCAGCCGTGACCCTGCCCGCAGACACCAGCAGCAAGACCCCAGGACCGGATGCCTCCAAGGCATCTAAGTCAGGTGGTCGGTCCCATAGCGCTGGGGATTGCAGCGGTCGCCCGCTGCAGCAGGGCGAGAATCGGCTGCTCAGCCCCATAGCAGCTGTGGCAGCCCCCATCTCTGTCCATGCCACCCAGTAGCACGTACCCCAGGGCCAGATACTGCGGTGGCGCCTAATTCAGACTGTAGCTGCAGCAGGGCAGGAATCCGCTGCTCAGCCCCATCCTGGAGGCTGCTCAGAGTCTAGCCCTCGTACACCGCGTCCTGGGAGCAGGCTAAGGAAGAGCAGACCCTAGGGTGGTAGGGCGATGCACCCAGAGACCCTCAGGGTGTCTGGGACCAGCCCTGCCAGTCTCTGCCACGCGCTCACTTGCAGCTACCACCGCCAGGTGGCTCCCACCAGCAGCGATGGAAACCCCGCTGACCTTGCCCGCAGCCAACAGCAGTGAGGATTCCACTGCTGGATCCCTTGCCAGGGCGGGAACCTGCCGCTCAGCCTATTCTGGGCAGCTGCACAGGGCCCAGCGCCTGAAACCCCGAGCTCTGGGCTCGGGCCAAGGAAGAGTGGACCCTAGGCTGGGAGGGCAGTGCACTCGGCGATCCTCACGCTTTCTAGGACCAACCCTGCCGGCCCCTACTGAGAACTCAGCTACAGCTGCCACCTGTACAACGGCGCCGCAGCAGCAGAGCAACCGGGCACTTTGCCTGCACCACCAAGAGCCAGGACACCAGGGACAACGCCGCCTCAGCGCCTAATTCAGGCAGTCAGCCCCGCAGCTGCAGCAGGGCAGAAACCTTTGCCCTCGGCCCAGTCCCCTTGGCGGCACAGTTCCCAGTGCCCGCGACCCGGAACTCTGGGAGCAGGCAAAGGAAGAGCGGACTCCAGGCTGGGACAGTGGTCCACTCCATGACCCTGAGGCTGTCTGGGAAACCCTTGCCTGCACATGGCGCACGCAGCAGCCTTGGAGGCAACCCCAGACCGTGCTCCTACACCAGCCAGGCGGATCCCAGGGCCAGACCTCGCCCAGCGGCTAATTCAGGTGGTCAGGCCCCAGCTGCAGGAGGGCGGGAACAGGCCGCTCAGCCATTTCCTGGCTGCTGCCCTGTACCCAGCGCCTGCACACCCCGCTATGGGTGCCGGCAAGAAAGAGCTGACTCTAGGGTGAAAGGGCCCTGCACTTAGAGACCCCCAGGCTGTCTGGGACCAGCCCTGCCTGCTTCTGCTGTAGGTTCAGCTGCAGTGGTAACCTGCACAAGGCGCGCAGCAGCAGCTGTGGCAAACTCTGACCCTGCCAGTGCCACCAGCAGTGCGGACCCTTGGGCCAGAAGCCTCCACAGCGCCTAAGTCAGGGTATTGGTCCCCAGCTGCAGGAGGGCAGGAACTGGCGCTCAGCCCCACCTTAGAGGCTGCATGGTGCCCAGAGCCAGGGCCCAGCTCTTCTAGCGCAGGTTGTGGAGGGGCCAGGGGCCACCCAGGCTGGAGGGCAGTGTCATGATCACAGCTCACTGAAGCCTCAATCTCCCAGATTCAAGGTATGCTGTCACCTCAGCCTCCTGATTAGCTGGTAGCTGGGACTACAGGCAGGTGCCATCATGCCTGGCTGTTATATTTTATATATATTTTGGAGAGACAGGGTCTTACCATGTTGCCCAGGCAGGTCTTGAACGCCTGGAGTTCAAGCGATCCTCCCAACTTGACCTTCCTCAGTGGTGGGATTATATGTTTGAGCCACTCTGCCCTACCTGCCGCTTTTCTTATAAGGATACTTGTCATTGGATTTAGGGCCCATCCTAATCCAAGATGAGATGCCCTCATCTCAAGGTGCTGGATTTAATTACATCTGCAGATTGTTTTCCAAATAAAGGCACATTCACAAGTTCCAGGTAGACATATCTTTTGATAGACCACCATGCAATCCACTCTAGGAGTATTAAAGTGCCAGTGTGGACTGAGGCACCAAAGAATCACATTATTATGTCATATAACTTGCCTTATTCATAGTGACCCATGGGCTTGGAAACAGAACCACTTGCAGCTGTCAGGGAAGTAAGTGCACAGTGCCTGACCTTTCCTGCAGCCTCCTCCCCACTGGTCTTCCATGAGAAGATCACCCCTTGAGAGTGTCGAGAGATTCCTGTTAAATGCTAAAGACCACAGGAGAGTTTGGGAGGGGGAAGATGTTTGGGGAGCCGCTTAGTTGTCCTGAGGTGCCCATCACCCTTCACCATTTCAGCAATATGGATCTTCCAAGGATCTGGGAATGGGAACCAGGCATAAGACAGATACATGTGGGTGAGAAGAGGCCAGAGTCTTTCTCTGTGTAGGTACCATCCAGCCCAAGATGAGCATTGCTGCAGAAACACATGCACTCATGATGCTAAACCCAATCTATTGAGGACTTAATACAAACTGCGATTTTTTTAAAGCATTTAATTCTTACCACAGTCCTTTGTCATCTTATTGTCTCCATTTTACAGATAAAGAAACAGGCACAGAGGGTTTAAGTAACATGTACGAGGTCACACAATCACAGCTAGTAAAGCCAGGATTAAAGTCCAGTCAGTCGGCATTCAAAGCCTGTGCTCCTGCCCCAAAATGACAAGTAATGACTTAAAGGCAAGAAAAACAGACCCTCCTCTACCCACCATCCTCATACACAGCCTTCCAGCCCAGGATCTGAGCCATTCATTCATTTGCTCTCATATTCATTCATTCATTCATTCATTCAGTTCTTCATCATACATTTAGTGAAGCTCTGTCATGGAATGTCCACACAGAAGGTACAAAAATGAGGCAGGTGTATTTTCTCCCATCTAAAGGGGGATGACCACGTGAAGAGAACTGATGGGCTGCGTGTCCAGTGGCCTTACGGGGCAGTGGTGGAGGGTGGCCCAGGTCATCCACTCTCTGGGGAGGCAGAACCAGAAGCACCAGTTGGACAACTGCTAAAGAGATGTTTATGCAGGCTTATATGTTAAGTCCTATATTTTGAAAGCTTTTTAAATTTTTTCTTTAAGATTTTAGATGCTTACCACTGAGTACCAGAGGGATGTAGCCTGATGCCCTTATCAACAAAGTCAGGGATGGTGGCACACAAGGTTTGACTACTGCATACACGGTCACAGCGCTACCTCCAGATGGCCTGAATTCCCCTGCCCTCTCTAGTGGGGAGAAGAGCTGGCAGAGCCATTAGCATGGGCTTCAGCCAATCCTGGCCACTTTGATGCTCCTGGTGCTGACCCAGGGTCCTGGAGGATGGGCTGAGGTGGGGGGTAGAGATGTTCAGGGCAGTGGCCCCTTTCCATCCACCCTGGAACTATTTCAGTATTTCACCACCAATTCATCTATTCCCTTGTGCACTGGCTGAACATCAGCCCTGCTCCAGGTCTCAGTTTCCCCTTTGTAAAGGGAAAGCTCTGGATTCAGGGGTGATGAGAGGCCATCATGGTCTTGAGATTCCAGGCCTGTAGGCAGGGGGTGAGAGGTTCACTAGGAGTGCAGAAGACCAAGGTTGGGGAGAAGCAGAGGAGAGAGTGGCCTCCCTTTGGCCCAGGTGGGAGGTTCACAAAGACACCCTTCCTTCTTCTCCAAGGCAGGACTTGTTAACAGTGAGCTTCAGGCAGTCTGGCACTTGGGACTAACTAGGATGTCACCCTCCCTGCAGCCTCCACTCCATAGACAACATGAGAAGAGTGTGTAAGTATAACTAGGAACAGGCTAGTGTCCTGATATTCTCTGTGATGGAGGGGACAATCCTCCTCAGAGACCCAAGGGAGCCCAGAACCATGGACAGCCTGAACACACTTTACTTTCTCAGCAGTGACAATCAGAACCCTGGCTTACAAAAGCAGAAATTAAAAGGAGAAAAACCTAAATTCCTGCCTGTACCAGGCTGACTCACTCCAAGGCCCTGCTAGGACTAAGCTAACTTTATGTACAAGGTCAAGCAGAGCACAGAAGGAACGGACTCCAGGAACGGGGATGAGAAAAATAAGTTCTTCTTATCAGCTTCCCCCTTTGAGATTCTTTCCTAGGCCAGTATGTCTTTGCTCTGCTCTCATAATTATTTTTGTAACTATTTCTGTAAGTTTGTAAGGATTTTGTAAGTTCCTGTTTTCCATCTGTGCAACACTGAGAAGGTCACAAGACATGCCTGAGCAAGCCTAAAATAGTGACCATCCACTGAGAGCCTGCTGGGCAGCCCAGCAGAGGTCACCAGGCATGTTTGAGTCATACACCTGTCACTGTTTGATTAACTGCCTTTGTTCTGCTTCTATAAGCTTGCCATCCCGCCCTGTGAGTTTCACGCAGCTGCATGCTTAAAAACCAGGCCCCATCTTTGTTCGGAGCTCAGCCTTTTGGATGCGAATCCACTAGGCCAGTGGCCACTTTAATAAAATCCTCCTGTCTCATCCATTGGTCTCTCCAGTCTCTTGAATCCCGCAATGCTACAATGGCTCCAAGACAGCATGTGGGATCTAAGTAATAACTTTTTTGTTTGTTTGTTTTTATTTTTGTATATTTTGTATATTTGTTTATATTTTTGTATAAGACTGGGTCTGGCTTTTTCACCCAGGCTGGAGTGCAGTGGTGCAATCACAGCTCACTGCAGCCACCTCCTGGTCTCAAGCCACCCTCCCACCTCAGCCTCCCAAGTAACTTAGGACTACAGTTCTATACCACTATGGTTGGCTAATTTTTGCATTTTTTGCAGACACAAGGTCTCACTATATTGCTCAGGTTGGTTTCAAATTCTTGAGCTCAAGAGGTTTACTAGTCTCAGCTTTCTAATGTGCTAGGATTACAGGCATGAGACACCGTGCCTGGCCAGTAATTTTGTTTTATTATATTAAGGTGAGGTTTATACCACATTCTTCTGGTTACAGAAGTAATACATGCTCATTGTATACACTGAAAAATGTAAGCAGTATAAAGAAGAAAATAAAAAAGAATATGAAAATCATTAGTGGTCCCATTGCCTACCATAACATTATGTGCTGCTTTCTAATCTTTACTTCCTCTCCCTCCATGTGTGTCTTTGTGTGTGTGTGTGTGTGTCTGTCTGTGTGGTTTTTTGTTTTTTTTTTTTGGCACATAGTACAATAGCTGACATTTATATCTCTCTGACCAGTGTTGAGCATGGTGTTAAGCAATTGACAAAGTGTATTGTATTTAACTCCTACAGAAAATCTAAAAAGGGGAAGGGCAGTATAATTAATAGAATTTTCCAGATGAAAAGACTGGGGCCTGAGTTGAGGTCACATTTTATATACAGCATTATATTGTACTTCAGACATGTAACACAGTAAGTGTCCTGGAGAATCTTGGTCTCTTAGTCTGTATAATAACATAAGCATCTTTTGTGGGATTAATAGTTTTTCCAAAGCATGCCTGGAATTTTTGCATAATATTCTAGTGTTTAAATATGTTGTTTATTGCCAGGTGTAGTGGCTCACGCCTCTAATCCCAGCATTTTGGGAGTTCAAGACAGATGGATTGCCTAAGCTTAGGAGTTTGAGTCCAGCCTAGGCAACACAGGGAAACCCCATCTCTACTAAAATACAAAAAAATAGTGAGGCTTGGTGGGGTGTGCCTGTATTCCCAGCCACTTGGGAGGCTGAGACAGGAGAATTGCTTGAACCTGGGAGATGGATTTTGCAGTGAGCTAAGATCGTGGCACTGCACCCCAGCCTGGGCAACAGAGTGAGACCCCGTCTAAAAAAATGTTGTTTATCAAACCATTTTCATCTTTGAAACATTTCAGGTCTCCTCTTTGGCTTTTTTGCATTATAAATAATACTGTGATAAACATCCTTCAGCAGAAACCTTCATAGGCTACCTTCCTAGAAGTAGAGGTATTAGGTCCAAGGTTTTGAATTGTTTTAAAGCTATTGATTTATCTGGATAAAATTGCTTCCAGAGATATTGTCCCATTTTGCATTCCAATCAGTGGAACTCACCTTCAGTATTTTGTGCAATTAAAAAAAATAATGTTTCTCCTTTTAAAGATTATATTTAAAATAGCTTTTAAATGTGAAAAATTTGTATCTACAAATAAGAGATAGTGACAAAAAATAAATAATAAAATAAACACAAGAGCAGAAAGTAGATTGAAACATTAAAATTCAAATCACAGGCCTCTGTTATGGAGAAGACAGCTGCAATAGCTTTTTTGTTCTTTTATCTACATTGGTAGATTCTTCTTTTAATTAATTTTTACCCCAACTTAAGTGCTGGCTGGGTTGGCAATTTGTTGCTGGGATGGAAAGAAGAAATGTGCACCTTGTCTTTTGCAGGTTATGAGAGCCTTGTCTGTCTTTGTGGTTGTGTGGGTGTCTGTTAGATTATTGTGAATATTGAGCTTTGAAAATAACCTAACAGTCAATCAGCTGCTGAGCTTCTATTACCAGTAGTGGGACACAATGTACATCATGTAAATAGGCAGACTTGTCACTCACAAGAGGGCTGACCCCTGGAAAGCCAGCACAGAGCCAGCTTTTCCATGTGAATCCACTCTCTCCAGAATATAACATAAGTCATGGAAAGAAATAAGAGTCTCAGGAAATGAGACTCTTACCACGATGAGAGGTGAACCTTGAAAAGCTATTTTAGCAATTAGGAAGAGAAGTCCCCTTTTGCATCCCAAATTAAGTAGAGGCCTGCTAGTCCAAACATAATTACTGAATAACCTGAGTCACCTGGGCCCTGAGGACTCCTGGCCTCTTAGTCCACATTTGCAGAAATATCAGGAGGTCAATCAGGAAGCTGGTTAGGCAGCTCAACACAGGGTCAGAAAGCTCCTAGGCATGCAAATAAATGTGCACACTGGAAATTGAGTTCTGCAATTTTTCCATGACCTAGAAAGCTATGATGATGAAAATGTTCTACATTCATGCTGCCTAGTTCAGTAGCCACTAGCCACATGTGGCTATTGAGTAACTGAGATGTGGCTAGTACAACTGACCAGCTAATGTTAAATTTTGTTTTATTTGAATTAATTTTAATTTTAATAGTCACCTGTGGCTATTGGCTACTGCACTGGATAGCACAGAGATGAGAAATAATAGAAACTTTTGTTGTTGTTGTTTCAATGGCTAACATTGTCAAAAGCTGAATTCCTGTTTCATGTAAAATTTTGGTTTATATTTTCTCAAAGAAGTGAAGTACAAAAAACAAAACAAAACAAAACAAAAGGATGATCAAGCAGAACTTTGGTAAGGAAGGGTGAAGCAGAGACACTTAATTTGGAGTGGGGACAACAGCAATGACCTTGTTTGAAATGCAGCTCCTGTCTGTGTGGCTATCTGTGCTCTGTTCAGGTGTCAGTTCTTCACTTCTTAGTTAAAGCAGTTATTTCAGCTGTGCAATGCTTTTTTGTTCAATAAGCATGATTTTTTACACAGCTGGTTTATCTCCAGTATGGAAACTTTCTGCTTAATCATCTTGATTTCTCTGGGCTTGTTCCCACTCTGCATATGTAAGCATGACACTTGTATCTCTCTCTCCAGGCTCTGATCTAGGATGACAGTTTCTATGATGTGCCCATCTACAGAAACACGCAAATTGCAACTTTAGGAAGAGAAAAAGAGGGCCCTGCAAAAGGCATCTACAGGCCCCATGTGCTGTTCACATTTCTTATTTATTGGTGAAGTGAGTCCTCATCCATTTATTGGACAGTTGCAAGCAAAGGAATTAACTATGACAATTCACCTTGATGTACAACAATTTAGTCTGTTTGGAGTTTCCACTGTTGGAAAATACCTAGTTATCCTAATGAAGAATAGTTATAGATAGTATAGTGATAGCCTTTTTTTTTTTTTTTTTTTTTTTTGAGACAGGGTCTTGCTCTGTCACCCAGATTGGAGAGGGGCAGCACGATCATGGCTCACTGCAGCCTCAACCTCCCTGGGCTCAGTGATTCTCCCACTTCAGTCTCCTGAGTAACTGGGAATACAAGCACATGCCACTGTGCCTGAATATTTTTTCTATTTTGTTTTGTTTTGTAAAGATGGGGTTTTGCCATGTCACCTAGGCTGGTATTGAACTTCTGGACTCAAGTGATCCTCTCTCCTCAGCCTCCCAAAGTACTTGGATTACAGGTGTGGACCAGCATGCCATGCCTATAGTGATATCTTTAAGTAACCCTCTCTTTTCTTCTTTTGAGCAATTTTTCAAAGCAACAGGCATTTTATTAAATAAGAAAGTCGATGTGCTTTCCTAATGCCTGTTAATAAAGTAAAGAGCCAAGGAACCTCTGTGATTTCAATGAAATCCCTCCAGATATTATAGGCTACTTGTTACTGACAAGTATGGCAGGAACTGCAGGTCAAGCTGTGATAGGCAAATAGATCTTGCTGAAGAGGAAGAATGATTGGCTAAGATAATGCCCCAGGACAGCTGGCATACCTTTAGACACAGCTAAATTGAATGCTTTCTGAGGAGGAGTGTATTAGTCTGTCTCACACTGATATAAAGACATACCTGAGAATGGGTAATTGAAAAAGAAAAGAGATTGAATTGGCTCACAGTTCTGTGGGCTGTACAGACTTATGCTTATAGGGAGGCCTCAGGAAACTTACGATCATGGCAGAGGTGAAAAGGAAGCAAGCACATATTCACATGGCTGAAACGAGTCAGGGGAGGTGCTACACACTTTTTAAACAAGCAGATCTTGGGAGAACTTTATCATCAGACAGCACTAGGGTGATGAGGCTAAACCATTAGAAACCACCTCCATGATGCAAACACCTTCCACTAAGCCTCTCCTCCAACACTGGCAATTACAATTCCACATGAGATTGGGGATGGGGGGTGCACAAATCCAAACCATTTCAAGAAGCATTTTAAAAATTGAGGGAAGTTCTAATCAGATGGCAAGTCAGGATAGGGCATTCCATCAACATAACACTCCTCTCAATACATGCCAAAATGAGAGAAAGGAAAAAGTGCAAGGATGAAGAAGGGACACAGCAAAATGACAAGATGACTAACAAGATGACCCCTGTGGAAAGCATTTACTGATTCAACAACCAAATAATGAAGAAAATAAGAGCAAATTTGCTGAGTTTCTATGCTGTTTATGTTTATTAGGGAAGGGCAAAAGCCAGTCCCTCGACATTGTTACTGTTAATTAACATCATCACTACCTGCTCTTAAGTGTCTAGATACTTTCAAGAATCTAGTATTATCTTCACTTAAATGTTTCTTGGATGTGCCCTGTCATGAATGTGATATTGCAAAAAGATTCTACATTAACCACAGCAAGATGGCTATGTAATAATTGGGATCACTTTAGGGGAGCATATTTCTACCACATTTTGAGATGGAAAATGAAGTAAAGATATCCATTTGTCAATTTCTTCTACATTATGCCAAACATTCAAAGAGATTATTTTATTTATTTCAAAGATGTATACATGTTGAAATTAAAATTTAAATTAAGAAAATTTATTAACTGTGTCAAAAGAAAAGTAAGCGAGGCAGTTCTGCATGCCCTGGAAGTGTCAGGCATATATGACTAAAGTATTCGGCATTTGGCCAGGTGTGGTAGCTCATGCTGTCATTCCAGGATGTTGAGAGGCCGAGGCAGGTGGATTGCTTGAGCTCAGAACTTTGAGACCAAGCAAGACAACGTGGTGGAACCCCATCTCTATGAAAAATATGAAAATTAGCCAAGCATGGTGGTGCCCACCTTTTAGTACCAGCTACTGGAAAGGCTAAGGTGAGAGGATCATTTGAACCCAGGAGGTCAAGGCTGCAGTAAGCTCTGGTCGCACTACTGCACTCCAACCTGGGTGAAAGAGGGACACCCTCTGCCCAGGACTCTTGGGATATGACTATACCCATAGGGATTGCCCTCAGTAACCTCACATTTGAGTGGAAGTGGAGATCATATGTACCTATACCAATATGTAGTGAAAAAGGAAAACATAAGAAATCATGGCAGAAATGGCACAAAGTATAAAAGAGGCTTGGTATAATTGAGAGAGGCTTTCTGGTGATAAAATTTGAACTGATTTCTGGAGAATGGGTTGAATTTCAATAGAGGGAGATGGACCAAAGTTAATTCTGATGAGGGAAATGTCTTGAGCAAAATCTAGAAAAGGGAAACATGCCCATTTTAAGTGTTAATGAGGGTCCAGTTGGGGTACAGTGCAGGAAGAGAGTTCTAGTGAAAAGGTAGTTGGTCTGATAGGTCAGGGTCTTGCAGGCAGAGGCAGATACTATCATTATTTCATTTTTCAGATTGGAAAACAGACACAGAGAGCCCAAGGTCACAAAGCCAGAAAGTGAATCTGGGCAGTCTAGCGGTAGCACCCTCTTCTTAAATGATCTATTAAAGGGCCTCTTCTCCAGGCACTCTAAAACTGTTCTCCATCTTTAGCTTCCCCAGAGTACAGTGAGGCCCCCTGTTTACCTCACAGGATGGGGTCTCAGAAAAGCAACAGATCCCAACTCATACTAGCTTTTAAATAAAAAAATATATAACCTTGCAAAAAAGAAGTGCAGAGGTTGGGAGAGAGCCAGCACTGGTTAATTCAGCAGCTCAACAATAAATCCAAGACCTGGGTATTGGTTCACCTCTCCACACCACCATCCTCATGGGCCAGCTTCTACCTTCTCCTGAATGCTGTGTCTTTGCCTAGTTTTCTCCCTGATTGTAGCTCAAGTGCTACTTCCTGGGGGCAACCTTTCCTGCCTCCCTCTTGGGGTCAGTCCGCCTTCCCAGGCTCTTGTAGTACCCCTGGGTCTGCTGAACTTTCCCTTATTACATAATTCTGTGACTAATGTCAGCTCTTTCTGTTAGACTCTCAGCTCCACTAGAGAAGAAATTCTGTGCATGTTTGCTCACTATTGAACCCTGGAGTCTACTACTCAAATATTTGTCAAATGAGTAAACGGTAGCTCTGTGCAGGGCCAAGGAACACAAGAAACATGCAATCTGCCAAAATACTTATTACAGCTCACTCTCCTCTGGTGACATTTCCCTGAGGCACATTCCTGTTGGTTTCTTCCCCTCAAGAAGCATTCTTCTTTCTCCTTCCTATAAAAGCCAGGATTTTCTCAGATAGCCACACCATGCCCCATGCAAAGAGATCTGGATTATTCTACCATCTTGAGGCATTTCTGTGGAAACTGCTATCAGTCCAAGTGGCCCATGACCTAAGCTGACCCAAGCCAACTGAAGGGAGGACGTATTCTATGCATGCTGTGCAGTTCCACAGGGTGCTGGTTGTCCCAGCTGCTGCTGGTGGTCTTCATGTAGCCAAGGTACCACTAGTGCATATGGAGAAAACAGAACAACTGGAGAGAAACTGAGTAGGTAAAAGTGGGCAGGGCTTGGTGATGTTTGGGGATATGATATGAGCGATAAGACAGAGGATGGTCTTAGGAAAATCTCCTGTATTTTCCTTTTGGACAATGGTATAAATGAATGAAAGTTCCAATCGCTGGGATAGAAAACACTTGGAAAATATGAGATTCATTCAGGCAAGCCTTTCATACACTATTCCATAATCAGTTTCATAAGTGAAAGGGAGTCAGAACTCATTTCTACCTTGTTTGCTTCTATCATACTGTGTTGTACCCTGTTGGATCTACTTATCACATTCCTCCTGCTAGTGGACTTACCTACTAATGTTTGCACTTCTTCCTTGCCAGCCTGGAACCTCTGAGACAGCAGGAGCAGTGTGTGTGCATGCATGTGTGTGTGCACTTTTGTGTGTGTGTGTGTAATTGGATTCCCCACAGCACATTATTGTTTTATCCATAGTAAATGGTGGATGAATATTTGCATGATTTAGCTGGACTGCAGCATTGTGGAGGTCAGATAACCACATTTTGATAGACAAGTTGCATTCTAACCTTGAAGCAGACAAAATGCCCATTTTATCAGCCTCGCTCACACCAGCTGTGCTTTTCCTTTGTGGTTGTATGTTTAAGGAGCTCATCTAACAAGCTTCTTAAAAAGGGGATTGGCCTCAGGCTGCATGGCAAGGTGACTGTGTCTTTGAATATCCCAGATGGAGGCTGGTCACCCTTTTGTCTTTGGGTGAATAGACTACTCGGGAAGGCAAGGATGCATGCACCCCCCCTTTCTTGTTAATGAGTTTGCAATTTATTTTGGCAGATCTAAAATAATAATTCAAAGGCAGTGTAGAAGAAGATGGGGACATTACTTTCAATTGTTTAATATTGTTATGACATGACATGTGCTTACAGAAAGAGAGGCAAGCCACCATCTTCAAGGGAGGGCATAGTCATCGACTGTGATCCTGGTGTCCATGTTGGAATATCATGGCAACTGTCTCCCAGCACTGAACTCGATTACTTCTGCTGCATTCCCAGTGTTAGCTGAGTTGCTTAATTTACTTTCTTCAATGCCATGTGTGAAAGGGAAGCTAGAAAACTGCACTATGTATGGCTTCGTGCACTGAAAATTTGACATTATCAAAGGAGGCATGATCTTGTCTCTCTCTATCCCTCTCCAAATGTTTTCTATAATTATATTCAGAGGCTCATGGGTCTTACCATGGGTGATCAAGGAAGGGCTGGTAACTCTTTCAACCACAGGTAAAATATTACCAACATCTGAAACCTGCATTTTTACAGGTGAGAGAAATGAGGCCAGAAAAGTTAAGTGCATCATGTTGAGTACAATTTTATTTGGTGATCAGGCAGCCCTGGGTTCAAATCCTGGCTCTGTTGCTACCAATTAAGCCACTTAACTCCATCTGAGCCTCAGGTTGCCCATCTGCATAATAAGCAGTAACAGCAGCTGTCCTGCAGGACTACTGTGAGAATTACAACTCAGGTAATGATCATGATATTTCTTGGCAGAGGTGTTCACTACCTAGGTAGTGTTATTATTATTATGTCTAAAGTCACAAAGGGAGTTTTTGAGAAAGCTGGAATGAAAACTTGTTCCTCTCAACACTGAGCTTATTAGAGCACACCGTTTTGCTTGAATAAAGCAGCCCTGGAGTCTCTCAGGGGAGGGTGTTTGTAACATCTGCTCAGGCACGGTTTCATTTGCTATATACCCAGAGACTAGCACTGTACAAGTTGTTGGGAGATACTCATGTGAGTTGGCAGACTTTTGGTCAAATATTTTCCCTAAATCCAGGTCTCTATGGCATTCTACAGAACACTCTGCATCCTTCTAAGGGACACTGGAAGAGCAAATGGATTGTACAGTGAGTTACAAATAAAATGGCTAATCTCAGCATGAAAGGCTGAGGGTGTTACCTGAATGAGGATGCAGACCCTCCATCTACATACAAGCAAACCTAAGTGACCATGAGCCTGCCGGAAAGAAATCACATGCTATGTAAAGGCTTAGTAACAGTGATGAATATTTGAACCTGAACTCCAGCTCCAGAGCAGTTCAGTTGCATCTCTTCCAGGAACAGAAGCCAAAGCAGCTCAGGATTCTTGAAGGCTCTGAAAGGTCAATGAGAATCCTGGTATATGTCAAGACTATCCCACCAAAGAAGGGCTCCATGTGTAGAGACTTAGAAAGGATTCCCAACCTTGGCCCCTCCAAAACCAGAAACAAAGGTGGGGGACAGCCCAATTAAGTGGCCCTAGAGATTTGCCCAGGAGCTGGAGCCCTCCGGAGAAGTCCAGTTTTCCTATGCAGGGAGAGGACTGGGAGTTCTCTGGTCACAAGCCTTCTCCCTTTGTTTTCATGAAGCTATGTCTCTTACCTGGTAAGAAAAATGGAACTGCAGGCAGCTGCTGAAAACTTTAACCAAAAACCCATTGATGCTGGCACAAAGAAAGGAGGCCTGAAGAAAACAAGTGGAAAAGGGCTTGGAGTAACTGAGGTCAGCTGGATTCCTTAAACACTGCCCAGAGCCCTTGAAGCCAACTAAGGGCACACTTCTCAGGCCTGCTCCGAACGACACTCAACTGGGAATCTTTTAAGGACAGCTGCTCTGTTAGGCTTGCCTGAGATGGTGCAGTTTTACCCCGCGGCGGCAGAGGCACAGACAGTTAAGAATGCAGGAGCGGGGCCTCACAATGCCTTGGACTAGGGCAAAGGAAGACCCCCGCCTCTCCCCTCCCGGGGCTAAAACATGGGAGGACCCGGACCCGTGGATCCATTGACTCCGGTACCAGAGGATCCCCGCTCTCCAGCGCCCTAGACTGAGGCAGGAGAAGACCTCAGACCCACTCCGCCCTGAACTAGAGCACAGTGGGACCCGCGACCTGCCGTGGCCTCAGGCACTGGAGGACACCTGCAACGCCGTGCGCTAGACTGTGCTACTGAAGGACCTCTCCCGCGGCTCAGCCCTGGACTAAGGCACGGGAGGATCCCCGCCCTGTCCCGCCCCGCGGTGTCCTGGACTGTGCCACTGCAGAACCCCCACCCCTCCACACCCTGGACTCTGGCTCCCGAGGACCTGGGCCCCGGCTCGCCCTGAACTACTCCTGCCCCTCAGCGCCCTGGACTGTGGTTCCAGAGTACCTGGTCCTGCGGCAACTTGGGCTACCACGTGGACTCCAGGACCCCAGTCCTACCAGGCCCTAGACTGAGACACGGGAGAACCTCTGACTCGCCGCCCCCTGGACTAGGGCACCAGAGGACCCACACCTTGCGGTGCCCTGGACTACAGCACAGAAGGACCCCCGATCCGCCAGGCACTGGGCTCCTGCACAGAGGGACGCCCGCCATGGAGGTCTGGACTACCCCTGCCCCACCGCACCCTGGATTACTGCACGCCAAGACCCTCACCTGAACGCGCCCTACACTCTGGCATGGGGGAACCCGGCCCCGCAGAGCCCTGGACTCTGACATTGGAGGACTCCTCGGCTACGTCCTGGACTCCTGCACAAGAGGACTCCTGCCCTGCCACACCCTGGACACCTGCACTAGAGAACCCTGCCCCGTCGCCCCCTAGACTATGGCACGGGAGGACCCTTGCCACCGACTTCGGCACGGTAAGACCCCTGACCCGCCTTGCACTGGATTCCAGCACTGGAGGACCCCCTGCCACGGCGCTCTCTGGACTACCCCTGCGCCACCGCGTCCTGCACTACAGCACAGCAGGACCGCCGTCCCACCGCGCACTGGACTGAGGCACAGCAGGACCACCACTCCCACATGCCCTGGACCACTGCAGGACAGGTCCCCCACTCCGCCGCGCCCTGGAATATGGCACTGGAGGACCCCCGTCCTGCCGCTCCGCGGACTCCACCACCGAAGACCCTCGCCCCCCTGCGCCCTGGACAAAGGCACGGGAGGACCCGGCTTCACCGACCCGTGGGCTATCGCATAGGAAAACCCCCACCTCCACCCCCACCCCGCGCCAGAGACTCTGACAAGAGAGGACCCCTGCCCCCTGCTCCCCGGACTACAGCAAGGCAGGAACCACCTTCCTCCAAGATCCTCACTATGGCAACTGTGGACCCCCGCCCTGGTACGCCCTGGACTAAGTCACCAAAGGACCCCGACCCCACAACGCCGTGAACTCCAGCATTGGAGGACCATTGCCTTACTGCGGACTCAAGCACTGGACTATCGCAGGGCAGGATCCCTGTCCCGCCATGCCCTACACTATGGCACGGGAGGACCCAGCCTCACTGTGCTCTGGACTCCAGCACCGGAGGACTCCTACACGGAGGACTCCGGCTCTGCCACGTCCTGGACTCCTGAACAAGAGAACCCCCGCCCCGCTGCACCTTGGATATAGCAAGGCAGGAATCCCGCCCTGTCGCGCTCTGGACTGTGGCACCTGAGGATCCACGCCCCAGCGCGCCCTGGACTACTGCTCCGCAGGACTCCTGTTCCACCGCACCCTGGACTATGGCACCAGAGGACCCAGCTCCCCGCGACCGGGACTAAGGCACCAGAGGACCCAGCCCCCTGGCGTCTTGGACTATGGCGCCAGAGGACCCAGCCCCTCGCATCCTGGACTATGGCACCAGAGGACCCAGCCTCCCTGCGTCATGGACTATGGCACCAGAGGACCCAGCCCCTCGCGCCCTGGACTATGGCAGCAGAGGACCCAGCCCCTCGCATCCTGGACTATGGCAGCAGAGGACCCAGCCTCCCTGCGTCATGGACTAAGGCACCAGAGGACCCAGCCCCCTCGGGCCCTGGACTATGGCAGCAGAGGACCCAGCCCCTCGCATCCTGGACTATGGCACCAGAGGACCCAGCCTCCCTGCGTCATGGACTATGGCACCAGAGGACCCAGCCCCTCGCGCCCTGGACTATGGCAGCAGAGGACCCAGCCCCCTGGCGTCCTGGACTAAGGCACAGTAGGACCCCGCAGCATCGTGTACTCCTGCACAGGAGGACCCTCGCAGGGCTGCGTCCTGGACTGAGCTACTGAAGGAGCCTCACCCCTGCCTCACCCTGGACTAAGGCACTGGAGAACTCTTGCTCTGCAGAGCCGCGGACTCTTGCAGGAGAGAACCTGCGCCCAGCCGTGCCCTGGACTGTGGCACAGCAGGGCCCACACCGCGCCATGGACTCCTGTACTGGAGGAAGAGTAGTGACAAATGTCCAGGTTTACAAGTTGAAAAGTAGCAATCAATGTGTTACAATGGATGGATTTGATGTAAAATTACAAATGCTGAAAACATTATGTGTAATTGCCTAGCCAGATCAATTACACAAGACAAAGAAATAAAAGAAATCCATATAGGGAAGGAAGAGGTAAGATTGTTTCTGTTTTCTGAAAATATAATCTTAAGATACAGAAAATCTTTTTTTATTATTAATGTTCTGTTTACTTATTTTTATAATATTTTATAAATAAACTTTATTCATATAAAACAGGCCAAACATCTGACATTCAAAAATGGCTACTATTATAAAATCAGAAACATAGTCAGAGTGTTGGGAATATTGAAATTTCTAAATCTTTATGAATAACACAATCACTTACGTTATATCCACAAAGAACAGAAAAGAGGCAAGCTTGAAAATGTGAGGATAGAAAGGTGTCACAGTGATGTGTTTTTAGAAACAGTACCTTCACCTCTAAGCACCTTTCAGGTAGGTGATAGCTAGCTCATAGGCACCAGAAATTCATAACAGAAATTAAATTACCCAAAAGGCACAGAAGAAAATGTTAACACAAGTATAAAAGTAATTTTATGTAAGATTAAAACCTATTTTAAAATGCTTCCAAATATGTAAAACTATAGACAAATCCATTACACATTCAGCTTAAGTTTACCATTAAAAAGTGTACACACAATACTCTAACTGTAAATACATGCCACTGTTTATAATGTAGCATTTACCACCACAGCACCAAAGATATTAACAGAAACCAACTCCCTACTAAAATCTAGGGAAAGGTTTTACAGCTAGTGAAATAATTTATTGCAGACCGTATTTATTATAAAGAAACTGTTGGCTCGTTCTACTGTATCCACACTCCCTCACAATCTTAAGGGAAATACAATAAATCCACTTTCTTCTCCTAAAATGATATTTAGCACATTTGGCAAGGAGGAGTAGTCCCTTTACTCCTTCTTCTTATCTTTTTTCTTTTTCTTTTTCTTTTTTTTTTTTTTTGAGAATAAACCACTTTCACAAAACTAAGACTCAAACTTTTTCAAAGCTCAGCTTGATTTGCTGGAACTACACAGAGACATGCTTGATCACACAACAGCAACTGTACATCCTCCCACGTCTGGAATACAGAATTGATGGAGGACACTTACTTGCTTAAAATATATTTGATTATTCTGCATTTATGATAAAAATATCATCTAGGGATCATATTCAAGAGGGTAAATTTAGGATTACATGTTTCTAGAACATATAATATGTAATGCCATGCCAAACCAACAACAAACAACATAAAGCACTGAAACTGAAGAACCACTTAAAATTTAGAATTAGGAAATTTCAATCTATAACTGTCAAACAATAAATGAGTTATAATATTTTTCTAATAAGAAAAATATCACCTAAAGTGGAAAGCCAGTATTTAGTCCAGAACTATGAGATACTACATCCTTGATCTGGCTGGCCACCATTTTAAAGACCACCACAGATCTCAAGGCATGAGACCACTCACCAACAAAATCTATCCCTGCTATTGCACCTAGTGTCATCTCAATATGTGGCTGACAGCAAATGTTCTAACTTAATCTGATAGATGCTCCTTTAGCATATAAAAGAGCTTGCTAAGTCCCTATTACCTGTAGCAGTCTATCAACTAAATATTTAAGAAATCATTTCATAGACAAGGTTTATGAATGACTTAGAAGTAAAATTAGTAATTTCTAAACCACTGTAGAGTTTTCTATGTTTTTAGAGATATTCCTAACACAGAGTTTTCCAAGGAGCTGTGAAAACAAGTACAAACACACATGTGTAATTTTGTCATGGATGTTTCTGTACTAATTTGGGGGAGACTAGTGGGCCATAAATAAATGAGATACACATCCTAAAAATAACGGTAAAAATTATCAAGTACCACTTTCAGATGGTTACTCAAGTATCAACTTGGTATGCAAGTAAGTTCACCAATGTCTTCACTTATGATTTCATATTCAAAGTGCTACATCTTACTTAGGTACTGATAAATTTAGAAACCTTTATAATCAACCTCTTAAAGAAAATCCAGCTTTTTCAGATGGTAAACTTGTCTTTACTAACTTTAATGCCTGTAACTATTTCGATATAACCAAAGAAAAATTTAAAAAAATATATTCCTTACAGCTCCTGATTAACTTATTTTTGGATACATTTTGAGGCTAGTAACAAAATTTAGACCAGAATAGGTTTTCATATATCAAAAAAGGAAAGGAACACGGAGAGCACAGATGAGACGTATGGAGGCTCTATACTATAGACCCATCCTTGCTCTGTGCGGGAATCATCACAGGAATCACGCCCATTCGACTTAGATTAGGGGCAGCTACCTTAGCAGGTGGGAGAGTCGGACTCTGAGGAGTGCGTTCAAAGTCTTCCCTCGGTACTTGTTTATACTGAGTCTTGGAATATCCTTCCATGTTGGAAGGAGACATGGATCCCAGGGATGAATGATTACTGCCTATGCAGCTTCTGGCAGCGGATGTACGGCTCTTTGGAGGCGGCACATCTTCCCTGATATCGTGATGAACTTACTTTTCGTATTTTTCTTCTCTGCGCTTTTTACGACAGCAAAAGATGATAAGACCAATGAGCACTAGAGCAAGCAAAGTTCCTATAATGGCTCCTGCAATTAGTCCAGCTTTATTTGAAGGAGGGACAACGTTTACACGCAACAGGCACTGATCAGAGCCCACTCCGTTTCTGATGTACAGCTGTATGTCCCAGAGTACTCAGAAGAAGCATTTTTTTTACAGATATAACAGATGAAGTCATTTCTGCTAACCATGAAGTGGGCATTTTCTGTGAGTCAGACAATTTTTGCCACTCATACTGTAATGGAAGTGAACCTTCTTTTGGTTCACATTTTAGTTTAAAGTCACTTCCAATTTCTTCTGATCCATCAACATAACATCTTGTACCTGAAGGCTTAACAAGAACTACCAGCTGAATCTTATTTGCAACACCAGGAGCTTTTTTCACTTTGCACTGATCTGTGCCAATATCTGACAGCTGTAAATTCGTTACATTTATTGAAGCATCACCAGATTTGAGATCATTTCTCTTAAAATGTACTCGGCCTTTCAGTTCTGGATAGTAATCATCATAAATTTTGTTTCCAGAATATAAAATCATCACTTGATCCATCTTCTGATTATCAGCTGGTGATATCAGCCACTCAATGTCCAGTGGTCCCTGGTCTTCAGGACTAAGCATAATTTGCATGGCAGATAGGTAGTTTCCCCTTTGGCTTTTTCAATCATCTGCTCAGGAGTAGTGATACTCAAACTTCTGGTGAAATCCGCGACTCCGCACAGGAGCACGAAGCGCAGCAGGAACGCCATGATGGCTGCCGTGCCGTGGGCGGCGGCTGCAGGTAGGCGGCTCTCGCTCCAGGTCCTAGGCTCCCCGCGCCTCGCGCACTCAAGATAGAGAAAATCTTAAAGACTCCACCAAAATAAATGGTTAAAGCTGATAAAGAAATTCAATAAAGTTAATAGTTACAAAATCAACATACAGCTAGCATTATTGTTTCTATACACTAATGACAAACTATTACCTGAAAAATAAAGTAATAAGGCAATTCAATTTATAATAGAATCAAAACAGATATAAAAATATATAAAAGACTTAGGAGTAAATTTAATCAAGAATGTGAAAGATTTGCACACTGAAAACTATAGCACATTGATGAAAAAAATTAAAATGGCATAAATAAATGGAGAAACATCCTTTATTGATGGATTCAAAAATTAGTATTGTAAAAGTGTCAATGCTACCCAAAGCAATCTACAGATTAAATGCAACCACTATCAAATTCCCCGAAATAGAAAAATTACTGCTAAAATTTGTATGGAACCACAAAAGACCCCGACTAACCAAAGCAATCTTGAACAAAAAGAACAAAGCTGGAGGTATCAGACTACCCAATTCCAAACTATATTACAAAGCCATAGTAATTAAAACAACATAGCAGTGGCATAAAAACAGACAGGTAGAACAGTGCAAAGGGATATAGAACCCGTAAATAAGTCCGTGTGTCTGTGGTCAATTGATTTTTTGATAAAATGACTAAAAATACACAATGAAGAAAGAAAATTATTTTCAATAAATGGTGTAGAAAAAACTGAATATCCACATACAGAAGAATAAAATTTGACTTTCCTTTTGCTCTTTATACAAGTATCAAATCAAAATTAAAGACTTAAATGTAAAACTACTACAAGGAAATATAGAAGAAGACTGTATGACATTGGCCTGAGCTATGATTTTCTGTAGATTATTCCAAAAGCACAGGCAACAAAAGCAAAAACACACGAATGAGATTGCATAAAACTAAAAAGCTTTTCCACAGGAAAAGAAGCGATAATAGAATGAAGAGAACCCACAAATGGGATAACATTTTTAAACCATACATCAGATAAAGGGCTCATATAATAATATATAAGTAACTCAACCTACTCAAAAATAAGAATAAAACTATGCTTATTAAAAAAATAAGCAAAGAACCAGAATAGACACTTCCTAAGGCATACAAAAGGCCAACAGGTACATGAAAAAATCAAAAACATTTCTAATTATCAGAGAAATGCAAATCAAAGCCACAATGAGATATCACCTCACACATTTTACTAAGGCTATTATAAAAAGAGACGGAAGATAAGTGTTGATGAGGATGTGGAGAAAAAGAAACCCTGTACACTGTTGGTAGGAATGGAAATTAGTACAGCCATCTTGGAAAACAGTATGAAGTTTCCTCAAGAAATTATAAGTATATTTACCCTATGATCCATCAATCCCACTTCTGGATATATGTCCAAAGGAATTTCAATCCGTATGTCAAAAAGAGACATCTGCAATTTCATGTTCGTTGCAGCATTATTCATAATACCCATGAATTAGAAACAACCTAAGTGCTTATCAACTGAAAAATGGATAAAAATATGTGGAAAAATTGGAACCCTTCTACACCACTGGTGAGACTTTAAAATGTAAAACAGTCTGGCAGTTCTTCAAATGGTTAAACATAGAGTTATCACATGACCCAGCAATTCCACTTCTGTGTGTTTACCAAAAAGAAAATAAAACAAATGTTACACAAACAGTAGTACACAAATGTTTATAGCAACACAAAGTAGAAAACAACAGAAATGTTCATCAGCCGAGGAGTGGATAAATAAAATGTGGTGTGTCCATAAAACAGAACCTTATTTAGCAAGAAAAGGTAAAAAACTGTTAATGCATGCTCCAAAATGGATGAACATTAAAAATACGTTAAGTGAAAGATGTGAGTAAAAAGTGACTATGTGTTATTATGATTCCATTTATGTGAAATGTCCAGAATAGGCAAATTCATAGTCAGAAAGTAGACGAGTGGTTGCCTAGACTAGGAGGGGTTTAAAAAAAGCTGGAGAAAATGGGGAAGATTGCTAATGGGTGCAAGTCTCTTTTAAGGAGAATTAAAATGTTCTAAAATTATATTATGATGATTATTTGTCCATCCAGTTAATATACTAAAAGAATTTGAAGTTTGTACTTTAAATGAGTGAATTACACAATGTATAAATTATATCTCAATAAAGCTGTGGAAAGTTAAAAGTATATGTAGGATGCATACAAAAATACGGCTTATCTTTATAAATGAATGAAATTCTGTCATTTGCAAAAACATGGATGGATTTAGAGGACATTATGCTAAGTAAAATAAGCCAGACACAGAAAGACAAATATCTCTTAATATCACTTATATGTGAAATCCAAAACTGTGCACTCATAGAAGTTAAGAGTAGAATGGTGGTTTATCAGAGGCTGAGCAGGGTGGGGGGCAGGGGTGGAAAAAGGGGAAATATTCAATGGGATAATGCTTCAGTTAGGAGAAAGACATTCTGGTGATATGGTGCACAGCAAAGTGACTGCAGTCACTTATAATGTAGTGCATATCTTAAAAGTGCTAAAATAGTACATTTTAAATGTTTCACCATAATGTAATAAATATCTGAGGTGAAGGATATGTTTTTTAGCCTAATTTGTCCATTTCACAATATTTACTTGTATCGTACCACATTGTACCCTATATATATTTATTTATCAATAAAATCAACATTTTAAAAAGTGAGAAACACAGATGTGCTAGATCTTCATCTAAAGACATTTCTGAGAAAAATGTATCTGTTTTCTTTCAAAAGAAATTTACACTTAATAGATATTATAGTAACTAAAGTAAGGCAGATAATTTCGGCCATCAGCTTATATTATGGGATAATCTCTTTTTGCTGACCTTGTAAAAGCTGTGGCATATTAACAAGTAGGAACATTTTTTTATCACGATCAGGTAAAGGTTCTGCATGTTTCTATTTTGAATAATATTTTCCCCAGGAATCACAAAGTGTGAATGCCTTTTATTTCAGAGGTCTAGCCCTAAATGGTTTAGTCAATTACATCATGCATTCTGAAATAAGTACTGGTGCATTTGGGAAGGTACCATATACAATTGTGTTTTAAATTTAACTATCATATAAGTCTACTTTTCTAGTTAAGAGTCTATATTTTATAGAGGCCCTCCATATATATAAGAGCTTTTCTGATAGTATACCCATTAGATTTCAAAGATAAGTAAAGGAACAATTTTGCTTTTATTTTTTATTATTATTATTTTTTAAGGCTAGTCAAGTGAAGCAGTGGGAGTGGAGAAGGAACTGCTTTAATTTTTATATGTTGGTGTTACAGGCTATATGTGACAGGCTATATATTTTTCTGCTGAATTTTAGAAACAAAATGAAATATTTATTTCATATTTCATTAGATTTAGGGATGATTACATTGAGGGGTTGGGACTAGACTGAAGGCACCACATCATCAATCACTTGGAAACAATATTTTGCCTATGTGTTATGTTATATTGACAAAAACTTTTATTGTTGCAGGCAATATATCTCCCTATTGAAATATGTGAAAAACGTAGAGAAAAAAAGACAATATTTGTTATCAAGGGATATTTAGGCCTGAGATGCATGATGCTAATATTCAAAACATACACTTTTTAAAAATTAGATTTAAAATGTAAATTGAAGCAGGACATTTAGAAAAAGACATAATATCTACTATAAAAGTCCTGGGTTAGAAAAGTTAAAATGCTAAATGAAAAAATAATGCTTCTTGGGTGGCTTAAAATCGAATATGAGACAAAAGATTACTCAGAAATTTTTCTAAGATTAAAAACATGTATACAGTTTCTTTGATATAAAATGAAATAAATGTCTGGATATAAGTTTAACAGAATAGAATAGGGAGACAAGGGCAAAGAGCAGGTGTATGCAGAATAAAGTGAACATATTATTGTAATAATGAGAGGGACAGAGTTGAATGATTGCTCTTGGAGACAAGGGATTTTGATGTCTAAGTTAATGACAAATCTTTTGTTTGCAAGTTAAAAAATGTAACTTAAACCTGGTGAAGGAATAAAGGGTGGTTGGGGGGATGATTCTTTGTACACTAAACTTATTTTAATGACTAATGAATTAATCATAAGTTCAAATGATTTTATGGAGGCCCTTTCTTTATTTGATATTTCTGGACTCCTTTTTTCTTTGTATGTGCTCCATTTTTACCTACTTGAACAATTTTTACCCTCAAAGTTTAGGAAACACTGTAACCAAATGTTCCAACATGATGTAATCCCTGAAAGCATTTGCAGCTGGGGGAGTAGGGGAAAAGGGGTTTCTCTTTCAACAAATGCATGTTAATCTCAGTGAAAACTCAGAAGTTTAAACATGGTCCCCCTTGGGTCATGTGGCTACCCCAGGACCAATCATTGCACCAGACATAGGAGATAATCTCAAAAGCCAGGTTGGAGTCAAGGTTCTTCAGTGGAATTTCCACTTTAGAAATCAGTTTTGTCAGGCTTTGTGTTTGCATATTACAGACATGATAGCCATATAGCTATCTATTCCACTTCCGGTAGAGATGAAAACCTAAGAGCATATGACCATTCAAAGGATTTTACATGAATCTTCATAGCAGCTTTACTTGCAACAGCCAAAACCTGAAAACAGTTCAAATATCCATGGACAGGTGAATTTGTGATTTATAAACTTACTATGGTATCTGTATATAATGAAATAATACTCCCTAGTAAGAACAGAACAATTGATAGATGTAGCAACATGAATAAATCTCAAAAATAGTGATGCTGAGTGATCAGAAAGTATACATACCCTATGATTTTATGTATTTGGAAATAAAAACTCATGGATAGTGACTGGAAGTGGATCAGTGGTTGCCTGTGGATGGAATGGGGATAGGCAGGAAAAAGTGAGTAGAAAAAGCACAAGGAAACTTTGGTGGTAAAGGTAATGGATATGTTTGCTATTTTAATATGTTGTTGGTTTTGTAGAGCTACAAATGCCAAGAATTATCAAAATGTACAATTGAAGTATGTGCAGTTTATTGCATGTAAATAAACCTTTTAAAAATTAACTGATACAAATTGACTTACATGACCAGAAAGCTCTTGAAAAACTCTCCTGTTTTCTCCCCTATTTTTATTCTTGCATGCCCTTATAGCCTGTGTTAACACATTTCTCATCTTACCATTCTTTTGTGTCTACATTTCTCCAGGTCAATATAACTACCACCATAATTTCTTGGTTTCTCTTTAGTTCATTAGTAATTATGAGTAATGTATTGAAATGTTAAAGATATGTTCATGCATTCAGAATCCTCTGCTCTCTGATCCACATAATAGTGAATTATGCTGTCAATAATTACACAGTATAGTGCTTTTTTTCTTTTTTGAGACAGAGTCACACTTGGTTACCCAGGCTGGAGTGCAATGGTGCATTCTGGGCTCACTGCAACCTCCACCTCACGGGTTCAAGTGATTTTCCTGCCTCAGCCTCCTGAGTAGCTGGGATTACAGGCATCTGCCATCATCCCTGGCTAATTTTTGCATTTTTATTGGAGACAGGGTTTCACCATGTTGGCCAGGCTGGTCTTGAACCTCTGACCTCAGGTGACCTGCCTGTCTTGGCCTCACAAAGTGCTGGGATTATAGGCATGAGCCACCACACCCAGCCAGAATATTGCTACTTTTGCAAATAGCTACAATTGACCCTGATCTGGACTTTGAGTTGATCACAGCTTTGTAAAAGAGGATAGCATTGTAAACTACAAAATTAGCCTAATAATAAATAACATAGAATGCTTTCAGTATAAGAAATAATACTATCCTAAGCAAAAATAAATAAATAAATAAAAGTGGAGGAATTATATTATCTGACTTCATATTATACTACAGAATTATAGTAACCAAAAGAGTAGGGTACTGGCATAAAAAGAGACCCATAGATCAATGGAACACAATAGAGAACCCAGTAACAAATCTATATACCTACAGTGAACTCATTTTTGACAAAGGTGCCAAGAACATACACTGGTGGGAAATGGTGTTGAAAAAACTGGATATCCATATGCAGAAGAATGAAAACAGACTAGTATCTATCACCGAATACAAAAGTAAAATCAAAGTTGATTAAAGATGTAAAGCTAATACCTCAAACTATAAAAAAATCTCCAGGACATTGGTCTGGGCAAAAATATCTTGAGCAATACCCGACAAGCACAGGCAACCAAAGCAAAAATGGACAAATGGATCACATTAAGTTAAAACGCTTCTGCACAGAAAATGATACAATCAACAAAGTTAAGAGACAATCCACAGAATGGGAGAAAATATTTGCAAACTACTCATCCAACAAAGGATTAATAATCAGAATATATAAAAAGCTCAAACAACTCTTTAAGAAACAATCTAATAACCTGGTTAAAAAAAAGGGGGCAAAAGATTTGAATAGATATTTCTCGAAAGAAGACCTACAAATGGCAAACAGGTATAAGAAAAGGTGCTCAATATCACCGATCATCAGAGAAATGCAAATCAAAACTACAATGAGATATCATCTCACCACAGTTTATATGACTTGTATGCAAAAGACAGGCAGTAACAAATGCTAGCAGGGATGCAGAGAAAATGGAACACTTGTACACTGCTCCTGGGAATGTAAATTAATAAAACCACCAAGGTGAACTGTTTGGATGTTTCTCAATAAACTAAAAGTTGAGCTACCATATGATCTAGCAATCCTACTGCTGGGTCTATACCAAAAATGAAGGAAATCAGTATGTCAAATACATATCTGCACTCCCATATTTGTTGCAGCACTGTTTACAAAACTAAGATTTGGAAGAAACCTTAGTGTCCATCAACAGATGAATGGATAAAGAAAATGTGGTACATATACACAATGGAGGACTATTCAGCTGTAACAAAGAACAAGATCCAGTCATTGTCAGTAACAATGATGGAACATTATGGATCATTATATTAAGTGAAATAAGCCAGGCGCAGAAAGACAAATGTTACATGTTCTTACTTATTTGTGGAATCTAAAATCAAAACAAACTCATGGACATATGGAGTATAAGGATGGTTATCAGAGGCTGGGAAAGGTAGCTGGGGGGAGGTTTGTGGGAAGGTGGGGATGGTTAATGGGTATAAAAATAGAGAGTTAATAAGACCTACTATTTTATAGCACAATAGGGTGACTATATCCAATAATAATTTAATGGTACATTTTGAAATAACTAAGACTGTAATTGCATTTTTTATAACTTGAAGGATAAATGCTTGAGGGGAGGGATACCCCATTCCCCAAGATGTGCTTATTTCACATTACATGCCTGTATCAAAACATCTCAGGGACCCCACAGATACATACACATACTATGTACCCACAACATTTTTAAACAATCTAATACAATTTTTTAAATAGCACTTATTTTTTGTTACCTTCAACTATTGTAAAATATATTCTATTATTTATGATTAGACTTGTTTGAAAACAAATTTTAAAAACACTATTTAAGACCAGATAAATGGACTAGGAGTAACTTGCATAAAAATGACAGAAATTGCTGCTACTTCTTCTAATTATTGAGATGGTATTTCTATATTTGTGAAATTATCTGTGATAGAAAATTGAATTGTTTCCAACATTATTATTTTTCATAATTCCACATGTTATATTGCTACTTCTTTAAAAGTGGCCTTTAAAATATTACCAATCTATTTTAAAGTCTACTTGCCAAAACATTAAACTATTCTTTAAAAAAGTAATTTATTTAATTACCTAACATCCTCAAGCAATGTCCTAATTTTCTCAAGCAATTATCTGATTTTCTCAAGCAATTGATATTAGCAAGTTGTGCTAGCTAACTGCTGAGAATCATTGTCTACATATGAGATAAATCATCTGTCAATCCTTTAAAGAAGACTTTATGAGCCATAGAGATTGTAGTCCAATCTGTATCACTGACTTTAAACATTGGATAATTGACACTCCGTGTTGTCTGTAAGCCTATTTCACAGCAGCTGAGTGATGTTAATAGATACTTCTTGGAGTGCCATTTTCCTTATAACCCTTAGATTAATTCAGATTGACTGAGTTCTGTGTCAGTGGAAATTGCCAGAATTATATCATTGTGCTTTGCATCTAGTTTCACTTTTCCAAAAGCCTATACAGATTTCAGATGTTTAGAAAATAGCTCTTGTTTTCCTTCTGGGTAATCTTTTTCATGTCACCACTCTTGTCAGCATCTGCATTGGGCAAATTTCCTAGGACCTCCCTTCTGCGTCTTTTAAAAAATGAAAACAAAATCAATGTAGCGCAGCAAGCCAGGGAGTCTGCTTTGATTGACTTATGGCCATAGTCACCCAGCAGTTCCTTCAGATGTGGCTTCCTAGGTCAGCCACTGAGCCCACCGCTGTCCTCCTGCCTGCAGAAGTGGCTCTGTGAGCTGTTTGAGGAGAAAATGGGGGACTTTGGGCTTCAGCCCGAGGAGAACAGGCTGGAGATGGAGGAGCCCCTGGGCATCCGCAGGTTAACTGAAAACATGAGAAAACACAAGCACGGGACCAAGTCTGTCACTAACCTGTAAAGAACTCTCACCAAGCCGACTGGGCACTTTGTCTCAGCGCCTGCCTTTGCCACCACTGTGTGCGGGAATGCCTGGGGCACGACTGGGCCATCCCAGTGTTCTTATGTCTATACATTCCGAGGTTACCCCTCAGCAAAATGCCAGAGGCTGTCAGACACAGCGGAGCATCCTGCAGTAGGGATCCGAAGCCGTGGAATCTCCAAAGGACCACTTGACCGCGTCCCAGAATCTCCAGCTCAGGCCGGACATTGCCCAGAAAGCCCACATCGTCTTTGGCAATACCTCCCGGATTGTGGTTTTGATTTGCATTTCTCTGATGGCCAGTGATGATGAACATTTTTTCATGTGTCTGTTGGCTGCATAAATGTCTTCTTCTGAGAAGTGTCTGTTCATATCCTTCCCCCACTTTTTGATGGGATTGTTTGATTTTTTCTTGTATATTTGTTTAAGTTCTTTGTAGATTCTGGATATTAGCCCTTTGTCAGATGGGTAGATTGCAAAATTTTTCTCCCATTCTGTAAGTTGCCTGTTCACTCTGATGGTAGTTTCTTTTGCTGTGCAGAAGCTCTTTAGTTTAGTTAGATCCCATTTGTCAATTTTGGCTTTTGTTGCCATTGCTTTTGGTGATTTAGACATGAAGTCCTTGCCCATGCCTATGTCCTGAATGGTATTGCCTAGGTTTTCTTCTAGGGTTTTTACGGTTTTAGATCTAACATTTAAGTCTTTAATCCATCTTGAAAAGTTAATAATAATAAAGATAATAATATGGAAGAAATTAAAAAAAAACCTCCCGGAGACCAGGAACTTGGTCGGGGCGGGCGGCCTGAGATCACCCCAAGCTCTGGGTGCCTTCCTATCCTTCTGCTTCTTCCTTGGCCGCTTTAGGGGGCGCGCCTCGCCGTGGGTCTCCCTGCGGGTGGTGCAGTGGTGCTCCTGGATGTCACCTCCAGGCGCTTTTGAGACTGCGGCAGGCACCGGGCACCAGGCACCTGCGGATTGGCCTCCCCAGACCGGGCTCAGGAACCTCCAGCGCTCCGCGGTGCGGGCTGCAGGCGACCTCAACGTGGAGCTGCTGCCAGCACCACAGGCCCCAGGGAAGGCCCAGGATGCTGCTTCCCTGCCCCAAGAAGGGTAGTTTGGAGGAAAGTCTTTGGCCTGATGGAAGGCGGCGCCCATCAGGGACGGGGCTGAGAACTAGGCTGGCGCCGCTGCCTGGTAAGCGGGGACCAAGAGGCCCACGGCCTCCATCAGGAACCAGGTGCTTCTCCAAATCCCGGATTTCCAGGAGGAACAACGGCGTCAAGCTGGCTGACACCAGGAACACCCAGAAGTCCCCGCTCCTGTCTGTCCTTCCGCACTCAGGAGCGGGGATGGCCACGGGGACACCATCCGCCCACAAACCGCTGGCGTTTGCTGCCATGGTGCGCGGAGATGCGGTCCCCGAGGAGGCCACTTTCGGCCAGGACGCCGGGACCGTATCAGCGGCAGCATCCCGCGCTGACACTCAGTATTGACTTTCCCCGGACATTGCTGGATTTTTTGCTTTTTAAAACAATTTTGCAGTGGGAGAATAAAAAAGGGCATCCTCAGAGCTTTTGCAAAATTCTCCTGGACCTGTGGTTCTATGGTGTTCACCTCTGCGTTTTACGGACCACTAATTGGCCAGAGCTCGTAAGGCCTATAAGGGCCCCACCCAGCGCTTTAGACACCCCTGAGGGACATTTGCGGCTCAGGAGGATAAAGGTCCTCAGGGGCCTGCCGCGAGGAGGACATGCAGCCCCTCGGCCACCACATCTTCCTCCATTCCAGCCTGGAAAGAGAGACCTTGCCCTCCACCTTACAGGCCTTCATGACCTTGGGACCCACTCTAGAGGCCACGCGCATTTCCACTGCCAAAGCAATAACACAGGAGATGGAAAGAAATTCTTGGCCAGGCGCGGTGGCTCACACCTGTAGTCCCAGCACTTTGGGAGGCCAAGGCGGGCAGATCACGAGGTCAGGAGATCGAGACCATCCTGGCTAGCAAGGTGAAACCCCGTCTGTACTAAAAACACCCAAAAGGTGGCCGGGCTTGGTGGCGGGCTCCTGTAGTCCCAGCTACTCGGGAGGCTGAGGCGGGAGAGTGGCGTGAACCCGGGAGGCGGAGCTTGCAGTGAGCCGAGATCGCGCCACTGCACTCCAGCCTGGGGGACAGAGCGAGACTACGCCTCAGAAAAAAAAAATTTTGCCTTCACTATATGCCTAAGTAATTTATCTATTAGAGCTCAGAGTCGTGGGGCCCACACCGCCAGCTGACACATGAAAATGTGGCAACGATGTGGTGGTGTCTCTGTGTGGCAGCGTGGTGGTGTGTCTGTGTGGTGGTGTGTCCGTGTGGCAGAGTGTCTGTGTGGTGCTATGTCCATGTGGTGGTGTGTTCATGTATCTGCATGGTGATGTCTCCGTGTGACAGTGTGTGTATCCATGTGACAATGTCTGTGTGTCCTTGTGTCCACATGGCAGTGTCTGTGTGGTGGTGTCTGACAGTGTGGAGGTGTGTCCATGTGACAGTGTGGCGGTGTGTCTGTGTGTGGCAGTGTCCATGTGGCAGTGTGTTTGTGTGTTCCTGTGATGGTGTGTCCATGTGACAGTGTAGTGATGTCTCTTGTGTGTCTGTGTGTCCCTGTGATAGTGTGGTGGTGTGTCCATGTGATGTCTCCGTGTGTCTGTGTGTCCCTGTGATAGTGTGGTGGTGTGTCCGTGTGGATTTCTCCGTATGTCTGTGTGTCCGTCCATGTGAATGTGCCAGTGTGTCCATGTGACGGTGTGTCCGTGTGGTAATGTCTCCGTGTGTCTGTACATGTGACAGTGTGGTGGTGTGTGCGTGTAACAATGTGGCGGTGTTCCCTTCCTGGCTTGCGGAGCTGGCGTCTTTCCCTCTCAGCCCAGGACGCCCCAGGAGACCCCCAGCTTGGAGGGCAGGAGGTGGCTTCTGTGGAGGGAGGAGCAGGGAGCCCCAACAGCCGAGTTTGTGGGGTCCCCTGCATTGGGTGGGAGGAGAAAGGCGCCGGGGCAGCCAGGACAAGCCTGGGCCTGCCCTAAGGAGGTGACCCACTCCGGGCCTGCATTTTGGGGCGAGCACTCCAGCTCGGTCATCTTGTCCTAAGTCCTTTGTGTGCCGTGGAGATTGCTGAGTTTTGAAGAAGGGAAGGTCATGTTTGTCACGGAAAGCCTGATGTGTTTCTCTATTGCTGTCACTTTTCAGCCTCATTGCTGGTGAAACATCAAACATTGAGCACATTCTGCCAAGAAAACACCCGGAAGAAAATGTGGGGACTGGCAGTATCAAACCAGAGGAGTCACACACAGATTTCTGTTTGGTTGGAGATCTGCCGTTTTTCCCTGTGGGTTGGGGAAGCGGAGCAGCTCTACAACGGGAAGGAAGGTGGGTTCTGTGCGGCCAGGAAGGTCCTGGCCCGGGGCAGAGGGGCGAGAGGGGATGTGCGGCGAAAGGCTGTGCAGGGCAGCGGGCAGTGTGCATCGCCCCTACTGCCGGGCGCCCAGGAGGAGGACAGGTCCCGGCCTGGCGGGAGCAGAGGCGGCAGGGCTGGAGTCCCCACACCGGGCTTGAGGGCCGGCGGAGCCGCAGGCTGTGGCCGAGGGGGACTCCCGGGCACCTGGTGGGCGTCCCCATGACCAGGATACACACCGGGCTCCGGAGGCCAGGCGGACCAAGCTAGGGGTGCCAGGGGAGGCTCGAGGTTCCCGCGGTGGGAGGTGGGTCCCTGGACCCTGGTCTCCTGCTGCTGTCCCACACATGGGCTGCCTTCGCTCAGGGGCACCCCGCCAGCGTCGCCTATCTGGGACCTCAGCGCAGCTCCTAGCAGGCGGGAGGCTGAGGCAGAGACCTCAGGGCCCAGCTGGGTCTGCAGTTTCCACCACTCGTGACGCAGGGCGAGCTCAAGCTGTGCCGCCCAGGCAGGAAACCCTCCGACCTTGCCAGCTTTGGCGCCAGCCTTGGTGACTCTCTCCAGCTCAGCTTCAACACCTTTCAACAGTTCTGTGTTCGCTATTATCACAAGAATTCTTTCTGTATTTCCTATCCTTTATCAAATAGGAATTTAAATATGCATATGGAGTGATATCACAGTTGAAACATTAAACAATATACAATTTCATGTGTCTTTTTTTGTTTAATATATAATTTTCTAAAAAGTAAAATTATGACTCTACTGCAAATATAAGATAAACACATATCAACAATGTTTTTCAACTCAATAAGCGATGAGGGTTCCAGTAAATAGGTTCAAATCCTTGCAAGGAACATTAAAGGAGCTTTACAGCCAGTGTTAAAGTCAGATCGTTGGGTACTTACAGTACTGGTTAGTATCCAACATAGCCAGAAGCTGTCATCTTTGTGAGTTCTCTCTTCCATGGCACAGAAATAATGTGTTTTTCTACTGTACAAAATATTTATCTTTTCTACTACTTCTGCACATAAAAATATTGCTAGTCAGAAAAGCCCAGGATTGCACTGAAAAAAAATCTCAGTAATATCTCTCACCTGTATTCATACTTCTTTTCTTCCTTTATGAAATATCTTTCAACTGCATTTTCTATCTGAAGGTTTATAGAGAGAGGAAAATGAATAAAAGCATAGTAAGTGAATATTTGGTAACATTTTGCAGCTTTATTCATGTCTAACGAACATAAAACACACTTCCAATATTTAAAGTGTAAATGAGATGAATTTGATATGTACATGTGCCCATTAAACAATCACCATGAAGGGGACAATGAGCATATCCAATACTCTCAAAGCTTCCTAGTTCTCTTTTGTAATGCACACTCATACCTCTCAGGTGTGAAGTATTGAGCTTCACACATACACACAAATATATACTGGGATATCTAATTGTTTCAGAAGCATTTGTTGAAAATGTTATGTCCATGAATGGTCTAAGAACTTTATCAAAAATTAGCTGATAGCTGATATACATGTGTATATCTATATTTGTACTACATTGTCTTAAGTATTACTGTAACGTTCTAAGTCTTGAATCCAGGTGCTGTTTATTCTCCAGCAGCACCTGGTTTCAAAGTAACTGTTTCCTTTCAAAGTAATTTGCCATTATAGGTCCTCTACCCATTGATGTACATTTCAGAATTTTAGTTTCTCAATTTCTAAAATAAGAAATCCAGCTGTGATTTGATTGGAATTGTTATAGATCAATGTGGGAAGAGTAGACATCTTAACAATATAGAGATTTATGACTCATAAATTCCATTTATTTAGGTCTCATTTATTTTAGCAATATTTTGTAGTTTTGTAGTTTTCAAATGTTTCTCTTTTTTGCTGGTTTATCTCTAAGTACATATTTTGATATTTACAATAATATCAAAATTATGGTAATATTAATGCAAATGTTGTTTTATTTTTTTCCTCCATTAATTGTCAGGTAGTTTTAAATCATAATTTAATTGTATGATAAAACTGAATTTTGCGAGAAATGTATACATATTGTATATATACTGTTTGTCAGTTTGGCAGATTGACTGCATTATCATATCATAATTTAAAATTGCACTAATTACCACTCAGCCTCCTCTCAAGGACAATATATCAAAATATATAGCATGTTTCAGTTTATTTAGCATCATGAAACTCTCATATTGCACTTACTTTTGGAAACCTGGAATAATAAAATAATGTAAATATCAGTTCACAGGCGACATATAAGTACATGAGACAATTTTCTAAATATCTACCTATCGCTCTTTAATTCTATGTTAATATTGTCAATTTTTTCCTCCTCTTGAAACTCTCTTATGCAGCTTATTGACTTTTGGTTCAATTCCTTCCCTGTTTTTCCCCCTAATCTACTTTCTAATATTTTACTGATGTTGTGCTCCTTTTTATCTGGACACTTTTAAAAAGCTGTGTAATTTCTCCTTTGTATTAAAATGCAAATCCATATCCAAAATAAATGAGCAGAGGGACCAAACAGATGTTTGTGCAGCGTGTCCATTAGCAATATTATTCACAATAATCAAAGGGAGGGAGCAGCCCTTGTGAATATTGATGGATGAGTGGTTAAACAAAATGTGGTATATACGGCAACATAATAATATTCAGCCTTAAAATATATTCTCACACATGCTACAAAATAGATGAAACTTGAAGACATGCTAAGTGAAATAAGCCAGTCAGAAAAATTCAAACATTCTATCATGCCACTTCTATGAGTTACTTAGTGAAAGTTGTAGAGACAGAAAGTAGAATGGTGATTGCTAGGGGGAAGGAGAGGGAGAGGAATGGGAAGTTGGTGTTCAATGAGTAAAGCATTTTAGTTGGAGAAGAAGACAAGTTTTGGAGGTCTATGGTGGTGACTGTTGCACAATAGTGCAAATATACTTAATGCCACAAAACTGTGCACTTAAAGTGATTAAAAAGGTAAATTTCATGTTGTGTATATCTTTCCAGAATTATAAACCTGCCATCACAGTATAGAAATAGAGTATATTATATAGCGTTAGGTGATGCTATTTTACACATTTGCACATAATTAGAATTTCAAAGCCTTAATTTCACATAAGGTAGTCTAAGACATAACAATATTGATGTAAGAAAGCCATAAGCAATGTTTATTTTCAATCAGATTTACTAAAAAATTTTATTGAACTGGTCAATTTTCTTTGCCAATATTACTGTATTCTTATTTCTAGTAATAGAGGTGTGAGAAAGCATCAAGGAAACTTAAATTGCATTCTCATACTGACTGCATACAATAATTCTGAAAACAGCAGAAGTTATGTATATCCCCCATAAGTAAAACATGAGTAACACAACACAACAAAAATTAATAGGAGACAATTCAAATAATGGTGACTTGTTATTCTTATCTAGTTAAGTACTATTCTTTTCTAACAGGAATTTGCTATTTCAAATATATTTTCTGAGATGTCTATATTTATATTTTGAGATGCCATATAAACTTGAGTCAATGACATAGAATTTTACAAATCAAGAAGCTTATTCTGGGGCCATTTCTTTTGACATTTTCTCTAAACTACTAGAGAGGCATTAATGATCCATAAATTATATTATCTATATTTACAGCATTTAAAATGTGTTCAGCATGAAATATTAGCTACAGGGTAAGCTAAATAAATTAAACATGGGATAAAGATTTATCCTTAAATATAAATTACAAGAAGACTTTGATATTAGTTTATCACAAGTGAAGCATTCTTATAAAATGTCATAACCTTTTTGGGGAAACTCTGGGAAAAATGGAGAAACTCTGAAGGGTTTTAAGTATCTTTCCTGAAGCTACAGACTCCATAACCTCTCTTTACAGGGAGCTCCTGCAGCTCCGACAGAAATGAGTGGCTGAGATTCCTGGTTGCATAGCAGAGCTTCTCATCCAAACCCTTTCCCTTTTTAGTGTCTGTGTATCAGTACAAAAGTTCTATAAACTGTAGTTATTTTAATCCCAAAGCACAGTAACAATATATTTCATCCAAGGGTTGGCAGTTTCTGTGAGTGTTTTGTCTAATTCTCCAAAACTCTATCTACAGGATTCCAAAGAGCCTAAAAAGTAAAATATTTTAAAAAGGGGAAAGGGAGAAAGGGAAAGAAAATAAAATTAATAGCCCATTCTGTCATTGTTATTAAACACCAGAGTACCTTTCTGCTAATCTAATTAAAATTAGTGACATCATTTAACATTTATGTCTTCAACAAAAGTTTGGAATCCTGAAAAAGACATTTAATTTGCTAATAAATATATTTGAATCAAATTGAAATCCTTACATATTACTTTAAATAAAGAACACAAGATGATTTATGATGTAGAAAATTCTATCCCTCATTGTCCAAAATCTAATAGTTAAATTGAACTTGTTAAATAATATTTTTGGCCAGGCATGTGGCTTACACCTGGAGTCCCAATACTTTGGGAGGCAAAGGCAGGTGGATTGCTTGAGCTGAGTAGTTGCAGACCAGGCTCGGCAACATGGTGAAACCCAATCTTTACAAAAAAAAAAAAAAAAAAAAGAAAAAGAAAAAGAAAATTTAGCCAGGCATAGTGGCTTGCCTGCCTGTAGTCCCAGCTATTCAGGAGGATGAGGTGGGAGGATCACCGGAGTCTGGGGAAGCTGGGGCTGCAGTGAGCCATGATTGTGCCACTGCACTCCAGCTTGGGCAACAGAATGAGACCCTGTCTCAAAGAAAGACAGAAAGACAAGGAAGGAAGGAAGGAAGGAAGGATGGAAGGAAGGAAGGAAGGAAGGAAGGAAGGAAGGAAGGAAGGAAGGAAGGAAGGAAAGAAAGAGAGAAAGGAAGGAAGGAAAATTAATAGTTTTGGTGCCAATAATCTTTACGGAATTTTGCTTTAATGAAATAGATTTAACTAAGTAGTGACATGATCTGCTTAAGTGTATTGACCCTAGCAATCAGAGGCCTCCGTATCCCCACAATGACTTAACAGTTACATTTGACAAGCCTTGATTCTCCTAACCTACGCACAGCATAGTCAGAATTTCAGAATTCCAACTTTCCCTATGCTATTTGGGCACATTGCTTAACTTCTCTAAGACTCAATATTTTTACTCTTAAGATACTACTAATAATAGTACCTAGTTTTTATGATATAATGTGCATCAAAAGCATTATACTTTCAGGCAGATGGCAATTTCTCAATAAATATTTGCTAATGTTTTAGTACAAACAGGAAAATTGGATTATGATATTTATGACACTGTTGATTCTCCTTCTAGAAACATTTGCTTCTAAAACTTGTTTTCAAATTAGAGCACTATTTTGTATTCAGATTGAAAATACTATATGTTCAGATTTTTTAAAAAACAGTATTGCATGAATGTTTTAATTAAAATATTCCTAAATGAGCTTGAGCAAGGAGGACAGGGGAGATAAGTAAAATAAGGCTTTCTGGCATAGGAGACATTTGGTGGAAATCTTTCAGCTCAACTAAGATTTGAAAAAAAAAGAGAATTTTTATAAAAAATGTAAAGGCAGGATTTACCCTGATGAGCTTGTGGAGAAAATACAGAGTCTAACATAATTCAAAAGAGACTAATCAGTCAAAGTAGTTTTGAAGGAATATCTTGAAGAGAGAGAACATAAAATGAAGATCAGGTATGTAGTTATTTTAATAATCTATCCATGAGATAAAAAGCATTGGGTTTTATTTTATTTGTCAAAAAGGGACAATAGTTCCAAGAACCATTCTTTCTTCAGCCTAAAGAGGTTTTTACATTTTGAACCAGCGACATATTGTGCTAAGTAGGATAATATCCAAATTTGTGTCTATATCAACAATTTTGTTCTCAATTAAAAACACTTTATTCACACAACTGATGATTATCTGCATTTGATTTAGTGCTGAACTGTCAAAGGGGGACTAACAAAAACAAAACATTAGAGTTGCAAGCAGTGTAAGTGGAAAATAATGATCATATTGAACTCATCATTACTGAAATAAGAAAACAAAGCAAAAAATAAATAAGAAAAAAATTGACTACATGAACATTTGCTTCTCTCCTAAGAATCAAAACCCTTAATTTGCTGTGGCAAAAAAGCATCTGGGTCCATGAACCCATGCAAAAGTCTACTGTTTCTGGGAGATAAGAAGAAGCAAAACACATCAGCTTTCAGAGAAGGTTAAGAAACCTCTCATACCCTACCCTACCCCACCTGATACCAGGCAAAGGATCACTGCTTCTGGGAGAGGGATGCAAGAAAAATACTCCTCCATCAGGAGAGGAACAAGGATTGTTTTGGGGCCCAGGATTTTGCACTAATGCAGAGTCGTGCTACTGTGGTAAAGGTTTGGAAAGTCTCCATCCAGTGACCACAGACAAAGGTATATTGTTCCTATGGAAGGAGAAATAAAAGAGTTTGTCCTTATTGTGGGGTTGAAAACTTGCAATGATATAAATCAGAGGTTTTCTACTACTGAGGTGGGAGGAGGGTAAGGTATTATTTCTTCTGCAAAAAACAACACAGGTAAGTGACAGTTTGACTCCCACTAGAATAAGAGTCAAGAAGTGTTAAAAATACCCCTTCTGTGAGTGTCCAATGATGAAACTGGCTCAAAAATAACATGAATCATCCCTCTGTCCCCAACCTGAATTTTTTGCCTAGTCACACACACACACACACACACATATACACAAAATGATGTTCTACAGTTAGAGAGGAACAAGAAAGTGGAGAGAGACCCTCTCTATAACATAGGTGGTAAGGACTACCGAAAGCTAACTGTGGAACAGGATCATTGGCATATGCTCTCCAGAGTCTAAGGCCCCACACAAGGCACATCACATAGCAGCCTACTGCTGGAGAAATCTGAGTTACATTGGTCACTGAATGTTTCAGACACCGCAGCAAAAAGCAACCTTTGTTCCTGCCCACACTAATAGCATGACATAAAAATGAAACAGAAATATAAAACAATCTCGACATAATTATCTCATGATCTACTGTTTTTCTACATCAGATGATTTGCATTTTTTAGAAATTGGGAGACACATAAAAGCAAGTTAGAAATTTGAGTTATGAGTTATAATATTTTCAAAGGATAAAAAGTCAACAGAATCAAATTCAGAGATAATTCAGATGTTGGAACTAAATGCAAGTAATTTAAAATAATAATGATCAAAATGTTAAAGGATCTAGCTAAAAAATACAACATGTATGGAAAAATGAGGAATTTCAGCAAAGATGGGAACAGTAAAAGGCAAAATCTAGAAATAAGTGAAAGCATGAGAACAAAGATGAATTACATCAGCAAGCTGATTAGCAGACTGGTCATCAGAGTTAAAGAAAGAAGCAGTAAATTTTATACTAGGTCAATACAAATCATTTGAATGGTAGCACAAAGGGAGGAAAGAGAAAAACCAAATAAACCAATAAACCAAGCAAATAAAATACTCCAGTGAATCCAAGAATTTTCTGGTAATATGAAATTAACTAAAATATAATTAATTGGAATTACAGAAGGAAAGTAAAAACAGAATGTGAGAGAAGAAAAATTTGAAAAAGATGACTAAGGAGACCAAATAACCTCAAAATATCCAAGAAAGATTAATACAAAATTTAAAGAACGCTAGAATAATCACACTAGTCAAACTGCTGAAAACCAATGATTACCATAAATCTTGAATTCAGTCACAGAAAAAATAGGAACACTGTGTAGAGAGATAAACAGAAACAAACATTATAATGAACTGCTTGTCAGTAACTCTACAAGTCAGAAACCAATGATACAAAATTCTTAAATAACTGAAGAAAAGTCAACCCCCAATCTTATATCCATTAACTGTAATACAGCAAAAATAACAATTAAATGACATTTGCAGATTAACACTGGAAGAGTCCCTTGCTAACAGGTATGCACTAAAATAAATGTCAAAATCATTTCTTGAGGCAAAAGGAATATGGAAGCAGGTGAAAGTTGAAACTACACAAAGAAATAAATAATGCCAGAGAAGATATAAAGATATATAACCCAATTATTTTACATTGCTCTAAAGATAATTGATTGTCTAATTTTTTTTTAAAAAAGTAACTTTATATTATGGAATTCATAATATTTGAGACTATAATGCATGACATAAATAGTATAAAGGAGAGAGGAAACAGAAATATACATTTTAAGGTTTTTATACCATAGTTGGTATAGTACAAATTATAGGTTACTGTAATAAGCTAGAATAGGTATTGAAATCTCTAGAGAAACCATGAACATTTTTTAAAAATGGTATGTGCATTGTTTTCATAGAACTTCCAGCTTTTATTTATTTGTTTTTATTCATTTAATTTTATTTATTTTATTTTTTTGAGATGGAGTCTCGCCCTGTTGCCCAGGCTGCAGTGCAATGGTGTGATCTCAGCTCACTGCAACCACCTCCGCCTCCCAGGGTTCCAATGAATTCTCCTGCCTCAGCCTCCTGAGTAGCTGGGATTACAGGTGCCCACCACCATGCCCAGCTAATTTTTGTATTTTTAGTAGAGACGGGGTTTCACCATGTTGGCCAGGCTTGTCTCAAACTCCTGGCCTCATGATCGGCCCACCTCAGCTTCCCAAAGTGCTGGGATTACAGACTTGAGACACCATACCAGGCCCCAGCTTTTAGTTTTTAAGGTAGTTGTTATTACATGTGAAGTAAGGTTATTCTTAAATATCCATGTTTTGAGAATTAATAATGACAAATTAATTTATCTCAATCTAAATGATATTTTAATATTAAATATTTAAATATTTTTATTATTTTTCCTTTTTAACAGAAGTCATTCTAACTGGTGTGAGATGGTATTTCACTGCTGTTTTGTTTTGCATTTCTCTGATGATTAGTGATGGTATGCATGTGTTAATATGTTTGTTGGCCACATATGTGTTCTTCTGAAAACTGTCTGTTTATGTTCTTTGCCCATTTTTTAATGGGGTTATTTATTTTTTGCTCGTTGATTTGCATAAGTCTCTTATGGCTTCTGGATAATAGGCCTTTGCTGTATGCATAGTGTGTGAATATTTTCTTCCATTCTGTAGGCTGTCTGCTCAATCCCTTGAGAGTTTCTCATGCTGTGTAGAAGCAGCTCTTTAGTTTAATTAAATCATATTTGTCAATTTTCATTTTTCTGGCAATTGCTTTTGAGGACTTACCCATAAATTCATTGCCAAGTGCAATGTCCAGATGAATATTTCCTAGGTTTTCTTCCAGGATTTTTATAGGCAGAGGATGTAATCTCATGTCAATGGGTCTTAATAATCAAATGACTCCACACTGAGAATCATTACTGTGAAAAATCGATTTTGTTATAATGATGGAAATTTAAACATATAAAAGTAAAAACAGAAGCCACCTCTTTGCTAGAACTCCACAAGGCAAATTACTATAAGAGAGGCAGAGGAAACACGATATATATATATATATAATCTCCAAAATATAATTTGCAGTGAAATAAATGAAAGCACATTATAAATAAACTTACCTGATTTTACAAACTAACCTGTAAAGGGATTTGTACTAATTTTTCCATTGCCTGCATTGCCTTTTCTTCTAGATCCAATTTATATTTTTGTACTTCACCAATGTGTCTTCACCAATGTGTACTTTCCATACGTTTTTTAAGATTTAATATTACTTCTTCCAACATCTTTTTAGCCTCAAGTTTTTTACATTCCTGTTGTATTTTTTCATACATAATAACTCCTGTTGAATACCTTGATTGTTTTGAGTCAAACAGACATATTTTGAAGATACAGCTTCCAGCTCTGCTGTAAGATCATCAAACTACATTAATAAAATAATATAGCTTGAAAATGAAGTAGGCTGAGAATAATCTCATACAAAACCAATAACAAATTTTGAAATACATTTACTTGCAATAAAATGTTATCTATAATGTAGATTCTTTAAATGTTAACCCTTAAATTACTCAGAAATTCAAGAACAAAGTAAAAGCCACCATAAGTCACATATATTCTTTACTATCATCATCTTTGCCACAGAACTTTTGCACTTGATCTTTCTTTTATTTTTCTGATAATTTGTGTCTGTTCCTCCTTAAATGGCTCTACGTTAACTCTTATTAGAAAGTTTCAAACCCCTTTCTCTCATCATCATGCCCCAAAATTTGTCAAAAAAAGTTTCAGAGATATAATATTGAGTTATTTAGGCCAAAGTCAATAAATGGCTCTTAGAATAAGACTTTGAAAATAATGTAATACTCTATGCTAGGCATGGTGGCTCATGCCTGTAATCCCAGCACTATAGGAGGCTGTGGCAGAAAGATTACTTGAGGCCAGGAATTTGAAACCAGCCAGAGCAACATAGTGATAACATAATCTCGACAAAAAAAATTTTTTTTTTAAATTAGCCAGCCATGGTGACTTATGCTTGTAGATCCAGCTAGTTGGGAGACTAAGGCACAAGGATGGCTTGGACTCAGAGTTCAGGGCTGCAGTGAATTATGACCAAGCCACTCCACTTCTGCCTGGATGACAGACAGAGACCATATCTCAAAAAAACACAAAATAATCCTATAAATAAGGATTCTAATGCCATAAGCCTTTCCCTAGGCTGTAAATGTTTTATGCTAATTTGAATTGCATTTTTAAAAGTAATGACTCTTGGGGTAGAGGCCATAGAATACAGCACCCAGATATAAATCCACATATTTGCCTTACAAGAAATAAATCCACATTCTTACAAGAGCTCCTGAAGGAAGCACTAAACATGGAAAGGGACAAACAGTATGAGCCACTGCAAAAACATACCAAATTGTAATGACCATCGACACTATAAAGAAACTGCATTAACTAATGGGAAAAATAAACACCTAACAACATCATGACAGGATAAATTTCACATGTAACAATATTAACCTTAAACGTAACTGGGCTAAATGCCCCAGTAAAAAGACACAGACTGGCAAGTTGGAAAAAGACTCAAGACCCATTGGTGTACTGTATTCAGGAGACCCATCTCACATGCAAAGACACACACAGGCTCAAAATAAAGGGATGGAGGAATATTTACCAAGAAAATGAAAAGGAAAAAAAAAAAGGGGGTTGCAATCCTAGTCTCTGATAAAACAAACTTTAAATGGAAAAGATCAAAAGAGACAAAGAAGGGCATTACAAAGCAGTGCCATCTGCTTTTCCTCAGGACTCTGCTCCATCAGCCATCAGGTGGCAGCCATTCAGGCTGTTGGAACCTGGCCATCCATGCTTCTCTGAGTGGGTGAAGTTAAAGGCTGGTCCAACTGCATGAGGAGCATGCTTGCAGAGGTGGCTGCTTGCTCTTTGAGCCAGCTTGGCCTTGCCTGGCATGCACAGGCCCCAGCTACTGACACGCTGCTCTGAGTAAGCTTGTCCTGCCTGGGGCCAAATTCTAAGTCTGGCCAGGGCCACAGAAAGGCGAGTCCCCTGGGTGGTAATCCTGACTTTTTTCTGCACTTGAACATAAAGTCCTCCTCAAGACGGCCTGTGGTCTGCCTCTTGGCAACCAAGAAGCCTGCAGTGCCATATAAGCTCAGAGGCATGGACTAGAGCCCCAAAGGCAGTGAACACCCTGCTCCTGAGCCTGCTGCTAATTCCCTGTGTGTGGCTCCATTTGCACAGCTGTTGTACTGAGGCTTGTGCATGCTGGGCAAGGACAAGCTGGCTCAAAGAGCAACCAGCCACTTCTGCAAGGGTGTGACAGGAGCAGGTAGACCAGCCACCAACCTCACTCGCTGCCTGCCAGACACGGCACATCAGTTCTTCTACCCTAGAGGTAGGGCCCCAGTGCCATCTGCTCTTCCTGAGGCCTCTGCTCCATCAGCCATCAGGAGGCAGCCACACAGGCTGTGGGAACCTGCCTATCCTTGCTTCCTTGAGTAGCCGAGGTTGGTGGCTGCTCCACCTGCTCCCGGTGCACCCCTGCAAAGGTGGCTGGTTGCTCTTTGAGCCGGCTTGGCCTTGCCTGGCATGCAGAGGCCCCAGCTACTGACACGCTCCTCTGAGTGAGCTTGTCCTGCCTTGGCCCAAATTCTAAGTCTGGTCAGGTCCACAGAAGGCAGAGTCCCCTGGGTGGTAATGCTGGCTGCTTTCTGCATTTGAACACAAAGTCCTCTTCAAGACGACCTGTGGTCTGCCCCTTGGCAATGAAGAAGCCCGCAGTGCCATATGAGCCCTGAGACATGGACTGGAGCCTCAAAGGCAGTGCACACCATGCTCCTGATCCTGCTGCTCATTTCCTCTCTGTGGCTCCATTTGTAGCACAGTTGTTGCACTGAGGCTTGTGCATACCGAGCGAAGCCAAGCTGGCTCAAAGAGTACCCAGCCACCTCCGCAAGGGTGTGCCAGGAGCCGGTGGAGCAGACACTAAACTCACTCGCTGCCGGTTGGGGCACATCAGTTCTTCTCCCATAGAGGTTGGGCCCCAGTGCCATCTGCTTTTCCTCAGGCCTCTGCTCCATCAGTCTCCAGGTGGCAGCCAGTCAGACTGTTGGAACCTGGCCATCCGTGCTTCCTTGTGTGGGTCAGTTTGATGGCTGCTACATCTTCTCCAGGCACACCCTTGCGGAGGTGGCTGGTTGCTCTTTGAGACAGCTTGGCCTTGACTGGCATGCACAGGCTCCAGCTACTGAGATGCTGCTCTGAGTGAGCTTGTCCTGTATTAGGCCAAATTCTAAGTCCAGTCAGGGCCACAGAAGGCAGAGTCCCCTGGGTGGTAATCCTGGCTGCTTTCTGCACTTGAACATAAAGTCCTCCTCAAGATGGCGTGTGGTCTGCCTCTTTGCAACCAAGAAGCCCACAGAGCCATACTAGCCCCAAGGCATTGACTGGAGCCCCAAACGCAGCACACACCCTGCTCCTGAGCCTGCTGCTCTGTTTTCTCTGTGTGGCTCCATTTGTAGCACAGTTGATGTACTGAGGCTTGTGCATGCTGGGTAAGGCCAAGCTGGCTCAAAGAGCAACCAGCCACCTCTGCAAGGGTGTGCCAGGAGCAGGTGGACCAGCCACCAACCTCACTCGCAGCCAGTCAGGGTACATCAGTTCTTCTACCCTAGAGGTAGAGCCCCAGTGCCATCTGCTTTTCCTCAGGCCTCTGCTCCATCAGCCATCAGGAGGCAGACATGCAGGCTGTGGGAACCTGGCCATCCCTACTTCCTTGAGTGGGTGAGGTTGGTGGCTGCTCCACCTGCTCCAGGTGCACCCTTGCAGAGGTGGCTGGTTGCTCTTCGAGCCACCTTGGCCTTGCCTGGCATGCACAGGCCCCAGCTACTGACACACTGCTCCGAGTGAGGTTGCCCTGCCTGGGGCCAAATTCTAAATCTGGCCAGGGCCACAGAAGGCAGAGCCCCTGGGTGGTGATACTGGCTGTTTTCTGCATTTGAACATAAAGTCCTCCTCAAGATGGCCTGTGGTCTGCATCTTGGCAACGAAGAAGCCCACAGTGCCACACGAGCCCTGAGGCATGGACTGGAGCCCCAAAGGCAGCGCACACCCTGCTCCTGAGCCTGCTGCTCATTTCCTCTCTGTGACTCCATACCTAGCACAGATGTTGCAATGAGGCTTGTGTATGCCAGGCAAGGCCAAGCTGGCTCAAAGAGCAACCAGCCACCTCTGCAAGCGTGTGCCAGGAGCCGGTGGAGCAGCCACCAAACTCACTTGTTGCAGGTCAGAGCACATCAGTTCTTCTACCCTAGAGGTAGGGCCCCAGTGCCATCTGCTTTTCCTCAGGCCTTTGCTCCATCAGCCATCAGGAGGCAGCCACTCAGGCTGTGGGAACTTGGCCATCCCTACTTCCTTGAGTAGCTGAGGTTGGTGGCTGCTCCACATGTCCCAGGTGCACCCTTGCAGAGGTGACTGGTTCCTATTTGAGTCAGCTTGGCCTTGCCTGGCATGCATAGTCTCCAGCTACTGACATGCTGCTGTGAGTGAGTTTGTCCTGCCTTGGCCCAAATTCTAAGTCTGGTCAGGGCCACAGAACGCCAAGTCCCCTGGGTGGTAATCCTGCTGCTTTCTGTACTCGAACATAAAGTCCTCCTCAAGACAGCCTGTGGTCTGCCTCTTGGCAACCAAGAAGTCCGCAGTGCCATACGAGCCCTGAGCCATGGACTGGAGCACCAAAGGCAGTGTACACCCTGCTCCTGAGCCTGCCTCTAATGTCCTCTGTGTGGTTCCATTTGTAGAACAGTTGTTGCACTGAGACTTGTGCATGCTGGGCAAGGCCAAGCTGGCTCAAAGAGAAACCAGCCACCTCTGCAAGGGTGTGCCAGGAGCAGGTGGACCAGCCACAAACATCACTCGCTGCCGGACATGGTACCTCAGTTCTTCTACCCTAAAGGTAGGGCCCCAGTGCCATCTGCTTTTCCTCAGGCCTCTGCTCCATCAGCCATCAGGTGGCAGCCACTCAGGCTGTGGGAACCTGGCCATCCTGGCTTCGTTGAGGGGGTGAGATTGGTGGCTGGTCCAACTGCTCTAGGCACACCCTTGCAGAGGTGTCTGGTTGCTCTTTTAGCCAGCTTGGCTTTGCCTGGCATGCACAGGCCCCAGGTACTGACACGCTGCTCTGAGTGAGCGTGTCATGCCTGGGACCAAATTCTAAGTCTGGCCAGGGTCACAGAAGCCTGAGTCCCCTAGGTTGTAATCCTGGCTGCTTTCTGCACTTGAACATAAAGTCCTCCACAAGATGGCCTGTGATCTGCCTCTTGGCAACCAAGAAGCCCAAAGTGCCATATGAGCCCTGAGGCATGGACTGGAGCCCCAAAGGCAATGTACACCCTGCTACTGAGCCTGCTGGTCATTTTCTGTGTGGCTCCATTTGTAACACAGTTGTTGCACTGAGGCTTGTGCATGCCAGGCAAGGCCAAGCTGGCTCAAAGAGCAACCGGCCATCTCTGCAAGGATCCACCTGGAGCAGGTGGACCAGCCTCCAACCTCATCCACTTAAGGAAGCAGGGAATGTGTGTTTGTACCATGCATTTCACTACAAGTACATTTCTCCTGAGTTTGGTGGCCTAGGTTTTCTTCTAGGTTTTTTATGGTTTTAGGTCTTAAGTTTAACTCTTCAATCCATCTTAAGTTAATTTTTGTATAAAGTGTAAGGAAGTGGCCCAGTTTCAGTTTTCTGCATATGGCTAGCCAGTTTTCCTAACACCATTTATTGAATAAGGAATCCTTTCCCCATTGCTTGTTTTTGTCAGGTTTGTCAAAGATCAGATGGTTTTAGATGTGTGGTGTCATTTCTGAGGCCTCTGTTCTGTTCCATTTGTCCATATATCTGGTTTGGTACCAGTACCATGCTGTTTTGGTTACTGTAGCCTTATAGAATAGTTTGAAGTCAGGTACTGTGATGCCTCCAGCTTGTTCTTTTTGCTTAGGATTGTCTTGGCTATGCGAGCTCTTTTTTGGCTCCATATGAAATTTAAAGTAGTGTTTCTAATTGTGGGAAGAAAGTCAATGGTAGCTTGATGGAGATAGCACTGATTCTATAAATTACTTTGGGAGATATGGCATTCAGGCACAGAAATGTCCTTGTGTTACGCAATACCATTCAGGACATAGGCATGGGCGAAGACTTCATCACTAGAACACCAAAAGAGATGGCAACAAAAGCCAAAATTGACAAATGGGATCTAATTAAACTAAAGAATGTCTGCAGAGCAAAAGAAACTATCATCAGAGTGAACAGGCAACCCTCAGAATGGGAGAAAATTGTTGCAATCTATCCATCTGACAAAGGGCTAATACGCAGAATCTATAAAAACTTAAACAAATTTACAAGAAAAAAACAAACAACCCCATCAAAAAGTGGGCAAAGGATACGAACAGACACTTCCCAAAGGAGACATTTATGCAGCCAACGAACATGTGAAGCAAAGCACTGGTCATTAGAGAAATGGAATTCAAAACCATAATGAGATACAATGTTACGCCACTTGGAATGGCCATCATTAAAAAATCAGGAAACAACAGATGCTGGAGAGGATGTGGAGAAATAGGAATGCTTTTACACTGTTGGTGGGAGTATAAATCAGTTCAACCATCGTGGAAGACAATGTGATGATTCCTCAAGGATCTACAACTAGAAATACCATTTGACCCAGCAATCCCATTACAGTGTATATACTCAAAAAAATATAAATCATTCCAATATAAAGACACATGCACATGTATGCTTATTGCGGCAGTGTTCACAACAGCAAAGACTTGGAACCAACCCAAATACCCACCAATGATAGACTGGATAAAGAAAATGTGGCATATATACACCATGGAATACTATGCAGTCATAAAAAAGGATGAGTTCATATCCTTTGCAGGGACATGGATGAAGCTGGAAACTGTCATTCTCAGCAAACTAACACAAAAACAGAAAACCAAACACCACATGATCTCACTCATAAGTGGGAGCTGAACAATGAGAACACATGGACACAGGAAGGGAAACATCACACACAAGGGCCTGTCAGGGTGGGGGGCTAGAAAAGGGATGGCATTAGATCACGGGTTGGTGCATGCAGCAAGCCACCATAGCATGTGTATACGTATGTAACAAACCTGCATGTTCTGCACATGTACCCCAGAACTTAAAGTATAATTTTAAAAAAATAAATTTGCTTTTAATTAAGCTTTTCATCATAGAACTTGTAAAGAAAATACTTCTGAATCTTTTACTACCACATCATAGCTGGGACAAACTGCTGATATTTTAAAAATAACACAAATATCAAACAGAAAGAACTAGACTTAGGAACCAAACTCAGGTTTCTGTAGTGAACAGGGCAGAATCTTAACTTTGGGTCGCCACCACTACTCCTTCAGTTTGGCCTTGGCTAGCAAAAGATGCAACCACTTATGTAAAAAATAAAAATAAAAAAGTTAAAAAAAATCATTTCTGCTAACGGATTTTTTTTTTTTTTTTTTTTTTTTTTTTTGCAGCCACATGAGTTTTAGCCAATTCAGAAGCCTTGTTCCCCACAATTTGGAGCATTCTTTGGATCTGACCAAGTCAGGAAGAGATGGGAGAAAAGTGAAACAACATCAACAAAACCCCAAACATAAACAAACAAAAAGAGTTAAGCAAAACAAACAAATGCACAATTCATATGATTACTGAGTGTTCTAATGGTAAGGAGAAATTAAAAGCAGCTGGTGAGTAATCTTAAATTTTAGTCATTAAGGAAAAATTTTAAGACAAAACTCTAATTCAGCTACTTACCTGGAAATAAGTCTCAGGCTGGTGATTGTTCTCTGCCATCTTAGAAGCTGGAAAAAACTTACACTCACCTTCCCTGTCAGAAGCAAGCTGAAACTCAAGAAAGGAGGTGCCTGCTCTCCATCATCATGGAAGCAGGAAAACTTGCCTTGTTGGAAATAAGTAAAACTTCAGAAAAGGAGTTGTATGGCAATCAACCTTAGATGTCAACCAAATTTTGGGAGATCAGGGATTATCTGCGGGGGAGAAGCTCCCTAACCTCAGCACATTATCCTATTGGTTTGGGCAATAAAGATAGCCCAGGTTGGTATCAAGCAATAATGAGATTTATCAAAGGTCAGGACCACCTTTGTAATCTCCTTCTGTTTTTTTTTTTTTTTTTTTTTTTTTTTTTGAGACGGAGTCTCACTGTCTCTCCTGGGCTGCAGTGCAGTGGCACGATCTTGGCTCACTGCAAGCTCCACCTCCCAGGTTCACACCATTCTCCTGCCTCAGCCTCCCAAGTAGCTGGGACTACAGGCACCCGCCACCATGCCCAGCTAATTTTTTGTATTTTTCGTAGAGACAGGGTTTCACCGTGTTAGCCAGGATGGTCTCGATCTCCTGACCTTGTGATCCATCCGTCTCAGCCTCCGAAAGTGCTGGGATTACAGGCGTAAACCACCGCGCCCAGCCCTCTTTTTTTTTTTAATCTGTATTGGTATAGTCTGTTTTGTCAGAAACTAGGAGTGCAACACCTGCTTTTTTCTGTTTTCCATTTCCTTGAAATATTTTTCTCCATTCCTTTATTTTGAGCCTATGTATGGCACTGCATGTGAGATGGGTTTCTTGAAGACGGCATACTCCAATGGGTCTTGGTTCTTTATCCAGCTTGCCCCCTGTGTCTTTCAATTGGAGCATTTAGCCCATTTCCATTTAAGGTTAGTAATGGTATGTGTGGATTTGATCCTGTCGTCATGCTGTCAGCTGGCTTTTTTGCAGACTTATGTAGTTGGTTTTTAGCATCACTTGTCTGTGTACTTCAGTGTGTTTCTGTAGTGGCTGGTGGTGGTCTTTTCTTTCCATATTTAGTGCTTCCTTCAGGAGCTCTTGTAAGGTAGGTCTGGTGATAACGAATTCCCTCAGCATTTGCTTGTCTGAAAAGGATCTTGTTTCTCCTTCACTTATGATGCTTAATTTTGCTGGACATGAAATTCTGGGTTGAAATTTCTTTTCTTTGAGATGTTGAATGTCTTTTCTGGCTTGTACAGTTTCAGTTGAGAGGTCTGCTAAATCTGATGGAATTCCCTTTGCAGGTGATGTTGCCTTTCTCCCTAGCTGCCTTTAACATTTTTTCTTTTATTTTGACCTCAGAAAATCTGACGATTATGTGTCTTGGGGATGATCTTCTCATGGCATATCTTACTGAGGTTCTCTGGATTTCCTGAAGTTGAATGTTGGCCTGTCTGGCTAGGTTGGGGACATTCTCATGAATGATATTCTGAAATGTGTTTTCCAAGTTGGTTCCATTCTCATCTCTTTCAGGTACATTAATCAGTCATAGATTTGGTCGTTTATATAATCCCATATATCTCAGATGTTTTGTTCATTCCCTTTCATTCTTTTTTCCCCCATTCTTGTTTGCCTGTTTTATTTCAGAAAGCCAGTTTTCAAGCTCTGGGATTCTTTCCTCTTCTTGGTCTATTCTGTTGGATGGTCTTGCACATGAGATGGAGCTGGTCTGACCTCAGCCCTCCCTAGTCTGCTTGCCTCTCCCAGGACCCCAGCCTGGCCACACCTGCTTACAGGGCACTCTCAGGTGCCCACACATACAATAATATTCATAATGCAATCACACACAATCACCATGTGACTGCATTATGAAAATTCTTCTAGTGTGATTTACAGCTCTGTCAGGTCAGTTATTTTCTTCTTTATACTTGCTCTTTTGTCTGTTACTTCCTGCAATGTTTTACAATGATTTTTAGCTTCCTTGTATTGGATTACAACATACTTCTTTCACGCAATGAACTTTGTTCCTACCCATATCCTGAACTCTGCTTGTATCATTTCAGACATCTCAGCCTCAGCCCAGTTCTGAACACTTGCTGGAGAGTTGATGCAGTCATTTGGAGAAAAGAAGGCATGCTGAATTTTTGAGTTTTTAGTGTTCTTGCACAGAGTCTTTTTCTCATCTTTATGGGCTTATCCATCTTCAATCTTTGAGGTTGCTGACGTTTGGACAGGGTATTTTTCCTTTATTATATCTGATGACCTTGAGGATTTGATTGTGGTGTAAGGTGGATTCAGCCAACAGGTTTTGTTTTTGGAGGATTTTAAGGGGCCAACATGCAGCTCCCAATTCTTGGACTGTGTGCTTTAACTCTGGGGAACTTGTATTGGGCCACAACTTTGTTCTCTGGCTCCTCGAGGTTTGGAGTCCACTGCACTGAGGGGACCAAAGTGCGGCAGCTGTGGCAGAATGCTACCAGATGCAAAAGTCCCTGCCTCCCTGTGGGCATTCACCCAGTGGTGGAGGCAAAACAGCTGGGGTGTGGGCCAGGGGGCCCCTGCTGTGTGTGCTGTTGCACTGGAGGTAGTGCTGGTTTGGGGTGGGTGGCTGGCCAGTGAAGGTGCCTTCTTTGATCCCCCCCAAGCAACAGTGGTCACTCAGGGTATAAGAAGGTCCCTTTTCCTCTGCACAGCATTACCTCAAGGGTGAGATGCTAGCAGGGGTGGGGTTTTTGGTTCTGTGCCCACCATGGCTTCATCTTCAGTGGCAGTTGGTGTGGGTTGGGGTGTGTGCTGCATTCCCATATGCTGTTAGGGCAAGTACAACAAAACCCACCTGTGTAAACACACACAGCAAAGTGATGTAGGAAGTTTCCATATAAAGGGCTGCAGTATGGAGAGGTAATGTGCAGGCTAGTGCGTGGCTGTAGAGGTCACCTTGCTGCAGCTCTCCATTGATCAGGCATGGTCCGCTTGTACAGAAGCTATGGTGTGGGCACCCGAAAGTGCCCTCTAAGCAGGTGTGGCCTGGCTGGGGTCCTGGGAGAGGCAAGCAGACTAAGGGGTGCTGAGGTCAGACCAGCCCCATCTCATGTGCAAGACTGCCCAGCACAGATCAGGTCTCAGAGGAGAACTCTCTCAAAAGTGAATCCTCAGCACAGCACAACTGCTCTACACAAACGTGGCCAGACTTCTTTTTTAAGCAAGTCCCCTTTTTTACGAAGAGAACTCTTAGACCTGATCTGTGCTGGGCAATCCTGCATGTGAGATGGGGCTGGTCTGACCTCAGCACTCCTAAAGTGCTGGGATAAAGTGTCTCATAAGAGCAAGTGGAGCCTAGAGACATAGCTGTCCCTGCCCTCCGGGCTCCACATCAGCTGACTTGCTGCTCCACCACTTTCCTTGTCTCCTGGGGGCTCCACCCCAGAGAGGTGTAAGTTAGCAGTTACTTAATGTAATCACCCCAGGATGGAGGGTCTGTGTTGTGGGCCCAAGCCAGGGTTCCTTGTCTGGTGATGAGCAGTAAGGGGTGTGTTGTACCTGTGGAAGATGGACTGACTTGTTCCTTGTGTCAACTGCAGCTTGTTGGAGGTGTCAATATGGTACTTAGGGTCTTTGCTCCCTTGATATTCTGAGGGTAGCAAGGGCAGTTCCACTGCAGAGGCAGTGGCAGAGAGGATTTCTGTTGCTCCTGGAAGCTCTGTCCAGGGAGTTGCTGAGTTGCTACTGGCTTGAAAGCTCAAGTGGGGGGCTGGCTGGAGACCCAGGCCAGGAAGACCTGCCCATCGAGGAGATATGGAAATGGGCACCCACATAACAGTCTGGCCACTTTTCTGTGGGGCTGCCGTGGTATGCTGGGGGTCCACTCCAGTCGCCAATTGCCTCGTATTTTCCAGTGGCTGAAGGTATCAGCAGTGAAGCCTGCGAAAAAGCAAAGACGATAACCTGCCCTTCCCTCTGGGAGCTCTGTACCTCTGAGGTATGAACCTGTTGCCAATCTGAACACACCTGTAGGATGTGACTGGAAGCAAGTTGAGAAGTCTTGCCTAGTAAGGAGGAACAGGAATAGGGACTTGTTTAAAAAAGAAGTCTGGCCACGTTTTTGTAGAGTGGCTATGCTGTGCGGGGGGTTCACTTCAGCCCCTGGTCTCCTCAGACACTCTGAAACTCTAAGACTGAACTGGCTGAGTCATCCAAACAGCAAAGATGACAGTCTGGTCCTCCCCCTGGGAGCTCTCACTCAGGAGGCCTGAAACCTCTGTCAGCCAGAGAACAGCAGTGAAGGTGGCTGGAGACCCTGGTTGAAAGGCTCCAGCCAGTGATTAGAAATGTGGTTGGGGACTGGCTTAAACAAGAATCTGGCCACGTTTTCGCAGGGTGGCTGTTCTGTGCTGAGGTACCACTTCCACCCCTGGTCAGCTTGGGCTCTCCAAAGCCCACAGGCCAGAAGGGCTAGTTGCCCAAACAACAAAGGTCATGGCCCACCCCTCTCTCTGGGAACTCTGTCCCAGGAAGGTTTCAAATCTCCATTGGCCAGGGAACACTGGTGGGTGTAGCTGGAGGCCTCAGGTGGGAGATCCTGTCCAGTGACAAGGAACAGGATCAGGGGCCTGCTTACAGAAGCATTCTGGCCATGATTTGGTAAAGCAGCTGTGCTATGCCACAGGATCTCTTCTGCCCCTGGTGGGTTTGTACTCTCCAAAGCCCGCACGCTGGAATGGCTAAGTTGCCCAAACAGGAAAGATGGTGGCCTGCCTCATCTTTTCTCTCAGAATTTATCCTGTGTGATGGAGCTTAATTTTTAGGTTGTTAATTTTACTGTCAGCGTTAGAGTTGTTCAGAAAGAATCTCACTGTTATCTTTTAGGTGAGATATATGAGAATTCATTTTCTCCTGTAAATAAACCTGTTCATGTTTGTTCTCTGGAAAGAAGTCCCTTTCAGCTATCTGACTTTGATCACAATCATGTAGAGCAGTAGTCAGTCTACAATGACATGATTGAATTTCCATTTCCAGTGTTTCCTAGCTGTGTCTTACACTCTCCAGTTCAGAACTGAGCATTCTCAGTTGTCAAAATCCTAAGCTGTCCACTGTACTTAAATATTGGTTTTCGTTAATGCTTCTTCATTCAATTGCATAGCCCTTAGAAGTTTATCAGTCTTTTCTTTCACACTTTCAATTTCCTCCAAAATTTTATTTTCCCTTAGCTGGTTCTGATGTTTTGTTTCATCTAGTTCCAGTCTTAGCATGGCAATTTCTTCCTGCAACACGCTGTTTTCACGCAAGAGATCTTCTTCTTTCTTATGACTAAGAGAAAGCTAAGTAAACAAAGGGAACTTTTAGTTAGCACTCAATAGAATGACATATCATGATTTCTTCTAAAATTAAAGAATGACATTTATATTTGTATAATGAAATAATTCCCATAGTGGATATTTAACTGGAAAAAAGTTGGACAAAACTTCAAATCTAAAAGAGTGTAAATTCCAAAAAGTTGAAATATTTATCTAAAGACCATGAAAAATAAATCACTAGAGGATTTTTAAGAATTTCAGAATTGGAAAAGCCTTTCTCTGAATTACAAAAAACCCAGAGGCATAAAATAGAAGATTAATATATTTGGCTACATTTTTTAAATTGGGTTTACACTCTGATATCTAACCTATAAACCACACCATCATAAGAGCCTTAGCTATGCATATATTAGGACAGAAGCAATTCCTCAAAGTTCTTTAAGTTCCTTTTTCTGAGGAATGTTTTATCAATATACTGCTTTTCTAATATTTTTACAGTCAGTTGTAAGCATTACATTTATTCATAACTGTTAAATCTAAGCATTGTACCCTTCTACAATGTACACATCTGCATCTAAGCATTGCACTTCTACATACAACACTCAACTCATTTAGGATCACGATTCTTAAAAGGAGAGGTCAAAAAATATATGCAGCCAGGACCAGTGGCTCACACCTGTAATCCCAGCACTTCAGGAGGCTGAGGCAGGAGAATCGTGTGAACCTGGGAGGCAGAGGTTGCAGTGAACTGAGTTTGTGCCACTGCACTCCAGCGTGGGTGACAGTGCAAGACTCCATCTAGAATACACACACACAAACACACACACACACACACACACACACACGTATATATGCAACGTGCAGGATTTTTGCCAGGTCTTCTGATGCTACTGCTAGTGATCCTCCACAAAATCACAGTTGCTTCTGTGGTGTAAATATATAAATATAAAAGAAACCTTTTATTTCAAAATACAAATGGTAAATAAGATATAACTTACAAGGCTTTTCTTAGAAATCATGAGATTATTTGCCATTGCAATAACTTTTCTTTCCTCTTTATAATGTTTGAAACATTGTAGTAGTAAGTGTGAAATAGGGGAAACATACTGAACTATTCATCTGGGAACAAAATACTTATCAATAAATTATCACTAAATGTGTATCATGGCATGTCATTGTTTTCAAAGCTCTTTGCATTGAAATGAGAAACTACTCGGAGCAAACTGTTCCTCTCCTCAAAAGCAAGGATAATGACATCCACAATGTGGCCTCTGACCCAGCTGTACATTTCCTACTTTCCTGTTAGTGAAAATAACAAACTGACTTCTCTATTAATATTTTAAAAAGAACTAATGTCCCAAAACTAGCAAATCTGTTGTTAGTAGCAAAACTTATTTTTGATATTGGAAAGATAATCAATTCTTATGAAAAATATCAAATGCTTTTCCTTTGGATTGAGGCCATTGTGAAGGTCACTACTCGACTGTTGCAGGCAAATGCAGTTGAATTAAGAACATGGTTTTATCCTATATGTACATATATAAATATATGACCAAGGATATACAGGGTGTGTGTGTGTGTGTGTGTATATATATACACACACACATATATATACACACACACACACGTGTGTATATATGTGATTTAAAAATCCTTTATACCTTCCAAAATAAAGCTTTTTAAAAATATATACACATATGAAAACATTTGAAAATGACTAAAGAAAATACCTCAGAATTCATTTTCTGTTCAGCCACTTCTATCTGCTTTTGTTTATTAGTCAGAATCTCATCTTGTGATATTCCAGTGTTCTGTTCTTCAGAAAGTTGTTTCCGGGTATCATTTTGTTCATCACTAGAAGAAAATTTAATTTTCATGAAATACTGGAGGTGTCCCTAAAATGATCTACAGGGCAAGATGGCACCATCAGATGTCATTCACACAATGTATATCTGCACATTAATCCAAGACAAGACAAAGGGGTTTCACATCTGTTAAACCTGCTCTCACAGTCATGTTGGCACCAGGGACTAGTTTTGTGGAAGATAATTTTTCCATGGACCTGAGGTGGGGGATGGTTCCAGGATGATTCAAGCACATTACATACATTGTGCACTTCATTTCTATTATTACTAATATATAATGAAATAATTATATAACTCGCCATCATGTAGAATCAGTGGGAGCCCTCAGCTTGTTTTCCTGCAACTAGATGGTCTCATCTAGGGGTGACAGGAGATGGTGACAGATCAGAAAGCAATAGATTCTCATAAGGAGTGAACAACCTATATCCCATGCATGAGCAGCTTGCAATAGGGTTCAAGTCACACTCCTATGACAATCTAATGTCACCGCTGATCTGACAGGAGGAGGAGCTCAGAAGGTAATGTGAGTGACAGAGAGTGGCTGTAAACAGATGAAGCTTCACTTGCTCCCTACCACTAACCTCTTGCTGTGTGGCCCAGGTCCTAACAGGCCAGGGACTGGTACTGGTCTGTGGCCTGGGGATTGGAAACCCCTGTGTTAACCTAAACTTTTTATGTTTATTTTTTGGAAACAGTTTCCACTTATATTCTTGATTCCTCTGTAATCTATAGACAACTTAGAAATTCCCTTTGGAACAAGACAGGCTCTAATATTGTGTTTTTAACATAGAACTTTGAATTCATTTTATTTGTGTATGAGAGAGAAATGTGAAATAAACTGATCAACAATCGCTTTCAATTTTACTTTTATTTCATGCATATTAAGAAGAAAACTGGGAAGCCCTAGGCAGAGCAATTGGGCAAGAGAAATAAAGGGCATCCAAATTGGAAAAGAGAAAGTCAAACTCTCTCTTCACCAATGATATGATCTTATGCCTAGAAAACCCTACAGACTCCTACAAAACACTCCTAGATTTGATAAATGAATTTAGTAAAGTCTCAGAGGTTACAAAATATACAAATACCAATGAATAGTACCACTATACACCAACTACAACCAAGCTGAGAGTCATATCAAGAATCCAATTCTTTTTACAATGGCTGCAAAACAGTAAAATACCTAGGAATATACTTAATGAAGGAGGTGAGTGATCTATCAAAGGATAACTGGAAAACACCACTGAAGAAAATCACAGATGATACAAATAAATGAACATACATTCTATGTTCCTGGACTGAAAGCATTGATATTGTGAAAATGCCATAGTGCCCAAAGTAGTCTACAGAGTCAATACAGTTTCTACCAAAGTACCAATGTCATTCTTCACAGAGTTATTTTAAAAAGCTGCCATTCATGTAGAACCACAAAAGAGCCTGAATAGCAACAGACATGCCAAGCAAAAGGAACAAACATGTTGGCATCACATTACCTGACTTCAAATTATACTCTAAGGCCACAGTAACAAACATCGTGGTACTGATATAAAAGTAGATACACAGATCAATGGAACAGAATAGACAACTCAGAAAAAAGGCCACTTACAACCAAATGATCTTTGAGAAAGGATACAAAAACATACACTGGAGAAAGCACACGTTATTCAACAAATGGTGCTGGGAAAAAAAGATAGTCACATATAGAAGAATAAAATTGGATCTCTATCTCTCACCATGTAAAAAAATTAATTCAAGATGGATTAATGGCCTAAACCTAAGACCTGAAGACATCAGCCTAGGCAAATAATTTATGATGAGGACCCTGAAAGCAAAAGCAACAAAAATAAAAATAAATAAATAAATAAATAAAGACCTAATTAAAGTAAAAAGCTTCAGCACAGCAAAAGAAATAATCATCAAAGTGAGCCAACAACCTATACAATGGGGAAAATATGGGCAAATTATGAATCTAACAAAGGATTAATGTCCATAACCTACCAGAAACTCAAACAAATCAGCAGGAAAAATACAAATAATTCCATTAAAAAGTGGGCACATGACATGAATAGACATTGCTCAAAAGAAGATGTACAAATGGTGAACAAGAATATAAAAACATGCTAAATATTACTAATCATCAGGGAAATGTACAATAAAACAACAGTGAGATATCACCTCACTTCAGCCAGAATGGTCACTACTAAAATAAAAAAAACAGCAGATGTTGGTGTGGATGTGGTGAAAAAAGAGTTATACACTGCTGGTGGGGATACAAATTAGTACAAATCTATGGAAAACATTATGGAGAGTTCTTTTAAAGTAGATCTTACCATTCTATCCAGCGTTCTCATTTCTGGATACCTACCCAAAATAAAAGAAATCATACTCTCAAAAAGACACCTATATACATATGTTTACTGCAGCACAATTCACATATGCAAAGATATGTTATCAGCCAGTGTCCACCAACTGATGAGTGGAATAAAGAAAAAAAAAAAAAAATATATATATATACCTGAGACTGGGTAATTCATAAAGGAAAGAGGCTTAATTGATTCACAGTTACACATGGCTGGGAAGGCCTCAGGAAACTTACAATCATGGCAGAACGTAAAGGGGAAGCAGGCAACTTCTTCAAAAGGTGGCAGGAGAGAGAGAAGTGAAAGGGAAAGAGCCCATTATAGAATTATCTGCTCTTGTGAGAACTCACTATCACGAGAACAGCATGGAGGAAACCGACCCCATGATCCAATACCTCCCAGCTGGTCTTTCTCTCAACACCTGGGAATTACAATTTGACACGAGATTTGGGTGGAAACACAAAGCCAAACTATTGGGGGGGGGGTGTATCCTTACTTTTAAAATATCAAAATGTCATTATTTATATTTCAAAGATAGCAATTTTTATTAGTAATGATTTTGTTTGAAAATAAAATGACCTGGTAAATTTTCTTCACTTTTAGCCTAGTATTTAGTAAAAATATAAAAAGCTGAATTTGCCAGCAGCAAACTGTAATTACTTTTAAATGAGGTAAAGATGTATAAGAATATCACCGTTATTGTACTGAGAAGAAAGTGAACAAGAAAAGGAATTTAAAAAGAGAGTAGAGTATCACTACCATATACATACATGAACTGACAAAGAGACTAAAATCTCCTACTGGAGATTATGTTAGGACTTGAGCAAAAGCTTCTAAAAATACCAAAAACAGAAAGAAAATAATTAATTTTAAGGAATAAATTATACAGAGAAATATGTATTTTTTAAAAAAGAAAACAGATATTCCTGAGAGCTGTTATTAACCAATTCATCTTGACCAAAATTTTAAAATGAAGTCTACAATTCTGGAATATAAAATAGTTTCATTTTGAACATAGTTAATTGAAGGCAACTTTTATACAGAAAATTTTCGGTTAAAGTTGACTCTAACTTAGGAAAGAAATGACTTGTACCAATGGTAACAAGAAGCCACACAAAGCCAGTTTGAAATCTAGTCAATCAATGACCACTGCTCTTGCTCACCAACCAATATCAATGTGAGCAGCTTGCTTCTGAAATACAGCCATGCAGCAGCACCTGCTCCATCAGAATAGACAGTGCCTGACCAGTATTCCTCTTACTATAGGAAGCAAAAAATTCCAACTCTGTCTCTTTATTTCAAATACCAAAGGTTCATAATCCCTTGAAAAGAATTTGTAAGTCCATTAAATGTGCCACCCTAATTTTTTTTTTAAATAAAATACTAGTGGCCAGGTGCGGTGGCTCATGCCTGTAATCCCAGCACTTTGAAAGGCCGAAGTGGGTGGATCACCTGAGGTACAGAGTTCGAGACCAGCCTGACCAATGGGGTGAAACCCCATCTTTATTAAAAATACAAATATTAGCTGGGCGTGGTGGCATGCCCCCATAATCCCAGCTCCTTGGGAGGCTGAGGGAGGAGAAATGCATGAACCAGAAGGTGGAGGTTGCAGTGAACTGAGATCATACCACTGAACTCCAGCCTGGGGGATACAGCGAGACTCCATCTCAAAATAAAATAAAATACCAGTAAACTTTGCAATTCCTCTGACTCAGTTTGCCATAATTACAATTATGATTACTAGTAAAAGAATAAATAGTGAATAACCACAATATTGGGCTTTTCTCTCTAAATAAAAAAATTAATATAAAGAATGTAGCTTATTATAAAAAGCCAAAACAATTTTAAAAATGCATGTAATTACTGGGCAAAACTGTTAGAATGAACCACGTCAAACATTTTTAAAGTGAGAATTAATCAAACAATATATCCAGGATAAACTCCCTTCACTCATTTAATAAGTATTTGTTAGGTAGCTTCATCCAATATGCTAGGCCTTTTTCTAGGCAGTGAGGATATGGTAGTGAAAAATAAAAACCCTATTCATGAGAGTGAGAAAAACACACAATAACAACAGACAGATAAGGCAAAATATACAGGATGTTACAGGAGAAAAACTAAAGCAGGAAAATGAAATGTTTATGTGTTTGATGGGGAGGGTGGTGGGAAAGTTGGGATGGTCAGAAAAGTCCCTGCTGAGAAAGGGGATTTTTTTTTTCTAATACAAAAACCTTTTATTTGTATATCAAAGTCTCTAAGAAATGATGACATAAGGTTAACAGCGTTGATGTCAAGATACAAATGGGTTTGAAGTTAGAGATGATAAATCACTTTGTTTCACTGAACCTTCCCTTCGTTACGTTAGAGAGCATCCCTGGTAGGCACCCAATTGAACCTTAAGCATGACGCGTCTGGGTAGCACACCGTTCTTCCTCAGAAAGTGGTTGTTCCTTAATGTGTTTCTTTTTACCCTTTTTCCTCTTCTTCTTAGAAAGGGGGTTTTAAATAAAGAACTGAAGGAATGGAAAGAGAAAGCTAGGAGGATATCTGGGGAAAAAGCATTCCAGACACAGGGAACTGCAAATCACAGAGGTGTGCCTGGCATCTTTAAGCACTAGGGGTAGATAAGGGATGGCAAGAATTCAGTGTGGCTGAAGCAGAGCAAGGGAGATAATTAGGAGGAACTTTGACATGTACTCTGAGTGAAATGGGAGATAATCAGAAGGGCTGGGGCAGAGGAATGACACAATTTGACTTATGCTTTAAATACATCCACTGAGTTAAGAATTGATGAAAAGGGAAGTTTTTAAAAACCAGGACTATCAATTCCCAGTCTATGGCACTCATCTAGACTGCAGATGAGGGTGGCTCAGATGTATGAGATATGACTGGCTTCTGGACATATTCTTCAGGTAGACCTGACAAGATTTACTGAGAGATTAGATGTGAGGTGTCAGAGAGAGAGAGAGAGATGAGTCAAGAATGACACCGAGATTTTTGGCAGAGCAACTGGAAGAGTTGCCCTTAACCAAAGTAGGAAAGACTGCATGAGGTGTAGATTTCAGGAAGGACATCAGTAGCCCAATTTTGGATCTGACAAGTGTGTGATACCCAATAACTAACCAAATAGAGATGTCACAAGTAGGCAGGCTGATATAGAAATCTGGAATTAAGGAGAGAGATCTGAGCTGGAGACATACATTTGGAAATCACTAGCATATACACAGTAGAAAAAGTCATGAGGGGCCAGGTGCAGTGGCTCACACCTGTAATCCCAACACTTTGTGAGGCCAAGGCAGACAGATCACCTGAGGTCAGGAGTTTGAGACCAGGCTGGCCAACATGGGGAAATGCTGTGTCTACTAAAAATACAAAAATCAGCTGAGCATGGTGGCATGCACCTGTAATGCCAGCTACTCAGGAGGCTGAAGCAGGAGAATCGCTTGAACCCAGGAGGCAGAGGTTGTAGTGAGCCGAGATCACACCACTGAACTCCAGCCTGGGTGACAGAGCAAAACTCTGTCTCCAAAAAAGAAAAAGAAAAAGTCACAAGAAAGAAGATTGAGGAGTGAGCCCTGGGAAACAACAATGTCCAAAAGGAGAAAGATGAGGAGGAGCAAGCAAAACAGAACATGATGAATGGACTAGAAAGGTAGGAGGAAAAGCCTGAGGCAGTGAGGTCCTGAAAGCCAAGTGAAGACGCCGTTAGGGAGGAGATGTCCTCCATTGCCTCAAATATTGCTGACAGATTAAATAAAATGAGGTGGAAGAAAAGTGCCTAGATTACAGAAAAAAATTAGTGATAATTTTGAGGAAAAACGTTGGAGGACTGCTGAAATTGAAGACTTACTGGCATGAGATCAAGAGTGAATGAAAAGAAAATTTGAGTTCGTGAGTGTAGACAGTTCTTTTAAGGACATCATACTTAGGAGTCATGGCTGAGAATGTTGTAATTTTCTTCCACAGTCATGGAAAAGTAGTAGACAAATAGTTTCAAATTTTACATAACAGGTGTAGTTTTCAAATTTTATATAACAATTACATATTTTAAAGCTTATAAAAATTATACACATTTGGCATTAAAAATGCCAGACCAAGGTGTTAAATTCTTAAAACTATAGAACTAAAAGTTGCCTTGACCATTTCTAGATTACAGAAGCTGATTATTATTTTGTTCATGCTTATACATAAAGACCAAGAAAAACTAAAAGCTTCAAGGAGAGTATTTCTTGCTTGATAAAAATCAGCCAATTCTAGGACAGTTGATACTCATCAAATATACAAAGTAATTGATCACAGTGAAATACTGAGTTCTATTGACAGGAATAAAGTGGCAGAAATGCAGAAAATAATCTTATTTTACAAATGAAATTTTAAAAATTATATGACATCACTGTGGAAAAATATGGTGAGGTGAATACTGAAATATATCCTTTTCTCAAAGGAAAGATAATGTCACACATGCAGGGCACTTTTACAAATAAGTGTTACTGCATTAGCAGCACCTTCCTTTTAGCACACGGGTCAGCAAATTAGCACCTGTGGGCCAAATCCAGCCCACTGCCTGTTTTTGTAAGTAAAGAATCTTGGAACACAGCCATGCTTATTCACATTACAGTCCATAGAGTCAATTAGCTGGGTGTGATGTTGCACACTTGGGGTCCCAGACAGTAGAAAGGCTGAGGTGGGAGGATTACTAGAGCCCAGAAAGTCAAGGCTGCAGTGAGCTGTGATCACACAATTGCACTCCAGCCTGGGCAACAGAGACCCTGTCTCAAAAAAAATAAATATATATAGTCCACAAAGCCTGAAATATTTACTAAATGGCTCTTTGCAGAAAAAGCTGGCCAGCTCCTGGTTTAGCAGATGAAAGATACTTTGATATATTTTAATAAAAGTTTTACCCAATATACTCAAATGTTTATATTAAATATAGATCCCCATGTACAATCCCTTGGCAATATTCAGATTGAAGGTCCAATATTTCGGCACTCAGGCACTGACAACAAAAATTTAATAACTAGCAATCTTGTTGCTAACAAGGTACGGTGTCAATGTAGCGTGTAGCTTCCATTTGCAACACAGCAGATATTACAAGAATTCTAACAAAATTATCTTAAGATGTGTTACCAAACTAAATGCTTTAAATATTTTAATTGTGAATAATCAGTATACTCTAGATCTAACCTCATTTGTAAAAAATGGTTGCATACTGTATTATTTTCGGGGTATTTCCTATTGGTAAGGATTTACTTTTGATGATAAATTCCTATTGATAAGGATCTATCTTTTTGATATAATAATGCTGTAAGAAATGTCCTTACACATAAGTATATATGTGACAAATCTATACAAATATCCTTAACATACCTATATATCCTTACTATGTTATATATATGTGTGTGTGAATATGCTACTAAATTAATGTTCAAAATGTATTTACCAACAGTGTATGAAATGTCTTTTTCAATGAGACCATTTCCTTTGCAGCAACACACATGGAGCTGGAGGCCATTATCCTAAGCAAACTAATGCAGGAACAGAAAATCAAATGCCACATATTCTTACTCATTAGTGGGAACTAAACAATGAGAACTCATGGACACAAAGAGGAGAATAACAGACACCAGGGTCTACTTGAGGGTGGAGTGTGGCAGGAGGGAGATGACCAAAAAACTACCTCTCGAGTATTTTGCTTATTATGTGGCTGATGAAATAATCTGTAGTCCAAACCTCCATGATACAGTTTACCTATATAATAAACCTGCACATGAACTTCTGAAGCTAAAATAAAAGTTCATTAAAAAGAAAAGAAAATGCCTTTTCCCTCACATTTGCCAATGCTGGTTATTTTTCAAATAAATTAATGACTGGAAAAAACGGTAACTCATTGTTTACTGATTTTCATTTTTCTGATTAACAGGCAAGGCTGAATATTCTAGTAAAAGTATAAAATTTGTTCATCATGAATATTAGCCCAAATTAAGATTAGTTTGACAGCATATAGTTATCTCCTATTAAATGTTGCCATAGGCTTACCTGTGATACTCTTCATTCTCAGTGTCAGGAAATTGCTGATTTTCAGGTTTTCTGCTCCTCCTTTGTGGAATTAATCCATCATCACCATTGCCAGCACTGGCACCATTAGTCAGGTTTTCTGGTAATCCCACAGGATTACTTCCATGCTTCTTTATTTCTTCTTCAACCTTGAGTGGAAGTTTGATATTAAGGATGGTTATCACTTTATTGAATAAAAATAACCTTTTTAATTGATTTTATCAATTGATTCAGTTTGCCATTATTTTAGTCATTAAAAATCTCACACTTAAATTTGATCATATATACAGAACTATTACCGTATAATTTTAAGATGTAATTATCATGTCATTAGTATATCATTGAAATTTTTGTAAAGTTTGCTTGATTGCTGTTTGACTGAATAAAACAGAATTTTCCAAAATTCAAAAAGGGCCCTCCTTCATTTTGTGCCTTTATTCCCAAAAACTCTTCAGAATCTTATATATGAATTTACCCCATTTGACTCGTGGGAACACAAAAATAAAACGACATAGACACAAAATGTGTCTTCTATCTTTACCACCTAGATTTTACATTAAACACTCAGATGTAGAGGATGAGACACTGGGGGACTTCAGGAATAGAAAGGAAGATGGCCCTTTTCTGCACTAAGATATTCTCCTCCCCCACTGCCTTTGATCGTTCTTTTTTCGTTTGGTTCCTGGATATCAAAAACATGATGGTGCTCACTGAAACATGAAAACCAAAGTTTGCCACAACACAAGGAGCAGAGTGAAACTGCTGAAGTGCAAGCGTGGAATTCCAGAAAATTAGATGCTCCCAAAATTTCACATTCAATAGCTATACAATTTTCCAGCTGGAAGTTACAAAGAATAAGTAATTATCTTCTTTAGCCACATTATCTAGTGATAATCAGACTAAAACCAAGAAAGATAAAATGATTGGTCCAAAGCTCCTAAAGTGGCATTACCTAGCATTTTATGGCACCATTCAGGATTGTTCCATAATAATGAAAGAATCTCTCTAGGGTTTGTATCTCTTGAAAACTCAATGTACAGAATTCTTTCTGAGTTAAATATTAAATTTTTCACTGGTGATTTATGCTACTTACATGATAGGATCATGTATGCCTACACTTACTACACTTTGTTAAACAGCATAACATAAAAATCTAATTCAACAGAAACATTTGAACATAAAGGTATACCTCTCTATCACAGTCCTTATTTATTTCTGGTTCTTGAGACATTTTCTGCAGATGCAAAAATAGAAGGTTAATTTGCTTGTTGTATTTCCGTGTATGTCTCCTCTTTTGGAATGCATGTTAAAATAATTTTATTCTTAAGTAATCAAGTATGGACATGAAAAATTAGAAAATAAAATAAAATTTAACTGTTAAAATAATTAAATAAATAAATAATTAAAATTAAGAATTAATTTTTTAATCTATGTTTAGCAACTGCCACATCATTGGCTTCTGACTAACATGTGAAAAATAATTCACCTCAGACAAAGGGAGAATAAAAACATGAACCAGCAAACTTAACTTTGTTACCATTTGTTTGGACTAAACTTAATTTGTTATGTGTTAAATCTACCAAAAATGAATTAGCAGATGATTTGTAGTGTTCCAAAGGCTTCCTCACTTGAAAAAGTATATCTCATGAAACCCTAACTAGTGAGCCCCTATAGTGCACTGAAGTGCTTTTTTAAAAGATTCCTAATTGGATTGTAGGCACGCTTTAAATTATTAGGAGCTGAAATCAACACCAAACAGAAAGAAATGCAAATTCTTACATTTTAATTGAAATTATATGCTGTAATATGATAGTGTTATGTATCTAGATGATCTGCTTAAGTCCAGTTCTAATATATTCTAAGGTGTACTAATTATAGTGGATAAATTTTTTTTAATAATCTGTACTGATTTTCTGCAACTAAAATAAGGAAAAGGTTATTGTGTTTGTGCACTAACACCAAATGTCCCATTCTGCAAGATATGATTCTTGTAATAGGCAGTTGGGTTGCTTTTATGACCTGGTTCCCTCCCTGAACAGAAATGCTGAAGTCAGTGAGAGATCACAAGGCAGAATATGTCTTTAACCTTGGTATCAGTGACTGACAATATAAAACTGCAGATTTTCAATCACTGGCCGTGATTATTCTTTAACCATGAATCCAGCTCAGGGACCTTCAGTGTTACATTGTTCATAGTTCTTTTGCTTAATAATATAATCCAATAATTGATGTTACTTTATCATGTTAGGGTGTTGTTAAAATAAAAGAACAAACAAAGGTCTGGAATATGTTTTTGCCTCTATTCCAAAAGGAAAGATTAGCTATAAGCTAATCAAAAAGGCAGACAAGAATATTTTAAATAAGAATACTGTAAAATAAGGGTATTTTAAATTTTATAGTGGTTATGTTTTTAAGCTAAATATCAAATGTTAAATTAGAATTTATTGATTCTTCTGTTAATGAGATTGCTGAATTTATTAAAATAAATTTTAAGAATCTTATTAAAAAATTCTTAAAAAAAGAATCTATTGATTCTTAAAACCTAGTCTGAAAGGTAATTTCATTTGGACTATCTAATATTGTTAAAGCAAAGAAAACAACATTAAATCAAAAATTTAAATTTAAAATTTTCCATGCCTCTGGCTGGCTATTTTCACTGACTTTAAGCCTTTGTGACTCTTCCTCTGATGTCAGCTTTAAGTCTTGTTCTGTTGAGAAATCCATATATTCAGTTAAGATGAACCACTTAGAACAGTTAAAAACTATTGCCTTTATAAAAATAGATTGAAGACAACATTTTATTTTATTTCATTAATTGAGTGTTTAGTCTTTCATGAAATAGTTACTTAGGAAATAATTCTCCAAAACTTCAACAAACCACTTGGGGAGACACCTGATGTGATTCACTCACAAATTCATCCACCCCACATAAATGAACAAAACCACCAGAAACACAACTTTAAAATACAGTAGAAACATATAAGGTAACTCAGTATGTTGTTCACTTCCTAATGGTGAAGCAGGAAATGTAAAGAAAAGAAAATTTAGTTTTAAAGAGAAACAAGTTTTCCTGCACTTAGCTACTCTGACTCTAAGGATAGTATCAGGCAGGGCCCAGGAAAGGTCGTGGTGACCCTGTCTGAGAAGCCAGAGCCCACAGGTATGGGCTCCAGACATCCCAGAGAAAAGTTAAGAAAACAAATTCCTTTACCATCTCCCCTCCCCCTCAGCATTTATTCATAGCTATTTTTACAAATGCATATATTTTGCAAATTCTTGTTTTCCTTCAATGCAGCTGCAAGGTCACAAGCTATGCAGTGGTTGCAAAACTGTCACTATATGATTAACTGCCTTTGTTCTGCTTCTGTAAGTTTGCCTATATAAGCCAAGCCCTGTCTTTGTTCAGGGCTCAGGTTTTTGATGCAAATCCGCTGAGCTGGTGTGCACCTAAATAAAATCCTCTTGTTTGACCCACTGGGTCTCTCCTGCCTCCTGTTTTCTGCAACAATAGTACCTTACAAATGATTTCCAAAATTACTACTGACACCTTTGTTAGTGTACAATGTCTTCTTAACGTCTAAAATGTTTCCATCCACTATTATGACAAATTTATATTCATTTTTCTTTTTTTTTTTTGTTTTTTTGTTTGAGCCAGGGTCTTGCTCTGTCACCAGGCTGGAGTGCGGTGGCACAATCTCAGCTCACTGCAACCTCTGACTCCCTGGTTCAAATGATTCTTCTGTCTCATTCTCCTGAGAAGCTGGGATTACAGGCACACACCATCATGCCCAGCTAATTTTTGTATTTTTAGTAGAGATGGGGTTTCACCATTGGCCAGGATGGTCCTGATCTTTTGACCTTGTGATCCACCTGCTCCAGCCTCCCAAAATGCTGCAATTACAGGTGTGAGCCACCACACCCAGCCTTATTTTCATCTTTTAAAACAATGCTATGGGAAGTCTTCCTTGATTCTGCAGATCTTTCCCCAGATAAACAGGTAACTCCTTTCTTGAGGTAGCCTTAGGACCTCACTGATTTTTCTACTGCACCTTTACCACCTGAACTGTACATTATTCCTCCACAGGTCTGTCCCCTCTACTCCAAGACTGCAGAGGACAGTCTTGCACATCATCTTTGTAAAAACAGTCTTTATTTTACTCAGAAATTTCTTATTGAGTCCTGCTACACACATGCTAGGTGTTAGGGTTTAAAAAGAATGAAAATAAAGCCTGTCAGGGATGGCTTTTCTAGAACACCTGCCCAAGCAGAGACTTAAATATTGAGGCTAGCTAGATTAAAAGTGGTAGAGGGCAAGAAAGGGTGACAGCATGCCACACAGCAGCAAGAGCAGGAGCGAGGCCTGAAAGAGTGAAAGTATTTGCCTGCAATAGAAGGAGGAGTGAGTAGGGCATTAAGAGCCACTCAGTAATGCCAGAGAAAGGGCACACAGGGAAAAGGGCTAAAGATGTAGAGTAGGGCAGAAGTCAGATTATGAAAGCCTTATGTGTACTTTTAAGATGCTTAGACATTAACGTTCAAGAGTGGTCCCTGGTCCTATCTGTATTTAGATGTAGATCATTTTAATGTCAAAACCAATATTCCTAGTGAGCCATTATTCATTAAGACAAGGTGACAGCTAGCTCATGTGGACACAGCTGAGATGATACTATGTAGCAAATTCTCAATAATTCTCATGAACACTTGGAAAGTCAATTCTATAATAAGTCATAGAAATTATAATAAATCACTTAATATTTGTTTGGGAAGGTGCTTTATAAAGTTATAGTGTATATGAATATAACTAATAGTTGTGAATTCAGAGCTGTGACAATAAAGCAAAAAAAACACACTGTGTTTGAGTCAGCAATATTTAGATTTCTATCTAGTCTTCCTACCGAGTCCATAAATTCTAAGTATAATCCTAGTACTCGCTCTCAAGTTTAAGTTAAATGCTAGCCTATACAAAAAACACTCTTTCTCTTACTCTTTTTTGTTATTTTTATGTTACTTTGTTTAAAGGAAGAACACAAAAATGCCCTGCTAAAGGGATTCTGTTTGGCTGCAGGCTGCAAGAGGGGAAAAACACAAAGCACATTTTGCAGAAAATGATTTTTTAGAAGTCAGAACTATGACATGAAGTCAAGCAGGGCACTCTAGGACTGACTTTGCTGTGGTTCCTTAATATGCTCCTTGCTCTCTTTCTTTTCTGGAAGCTGTGACTCACACAGGTCATGGAGAAAATTTCCTACTCCTTCCTCATGTCCAGGTTAAATACTAGTGTACAACGTGGAAACCTGTAAATTATCTGACATTTCTCTCTGTCCCCCAAACCTTTCTCATTCAATTATCACTAAATCATATTGACTATACCTCTCTTCTTCCTCTGCTTTATATTACCACTGCCACTGAGAACATAAACATTTACAAAACGGCTTTTATTACAAACAACCCTTCCAACTATTAATGTTATTTCTTACATGAAAAAAATTAAGCAAAACAAATGAAAAAAGCATAACACCAAAAAAAGGCCAACACATTAAAATGAGTAACTGAGATTCCAAACTTTATTTTGCCATGGGCAGGTGAAAACCTTAGAATACATTGATACTAGTCCAAGGATGTGTGACATGGAAACTATAGCTGACTACTGCAAAAGCTTCCTTTTTCTCCTGGTTTCTTTACATGGTTATCTTCCATCAATCCCAGCAAACTATAGGCCACAGGCCAAATCCAATCTGCCTTTTGGCTTTGTAAATAAAGTTTTATAGGAGCTCAGTCATGCCTGTTTGCTTACATATAATCATGGTGGCTTTCACACTACAACAACAGACAACAGCCTGGTTAAGTAGATATGACAGAGACCACATAATCTAAAATATTTCCCACCTGGTCCTTTACAGAAAAAGCTTGCTAACCCATTTTACACCATAAGCAGAATATGCCTTAATACTCAAATTTAATCTTGTAACTCCCCTGCTCAAATTTCTCCAATGAGCCCCTGCAGCACACATTGTTGGCTCCCTATCAATAGCCATTCCTTATTCTTTCTTGCAGAAGAAACACAAGTCTATTGGGATATTTATTATCCCAATCCCCCTCCTCAGCCTCAGAAAGAGAAATGTTTATTCTAAGCTAATCATGTATTTGCCTTCCCAGTGCCTGGTTTGGGAATGAGCATGTGGTGTGACCCAGCCAGTGAAATGTTACAGGAAGCCCCTTGCATGCTTCTAAGTTTTCTCCCTGTTTAAAAGACACATGTGAAGAAAAGCAGCCCTTGAAATGTTGTGTTGTGAGAACAAGATGTTTGGAGCTGCTGAGGATTAGCCAACCATGAAAGGAGACATGAATAAAACACTGCCAACAGCACAGCTGAAAGAGGGACAAGTGGGATCCTAGGATATCACTGAACAACCAAAACAACTCTGGTTCCTACTGTTTTAGCCACTGCTCATCTAGTATTTACAGTCCAAAGCATTGTACCTGGTAAATTTCCCATGGCCCACAGGGTAAGACCTACTCATTTCTATAGTATTAAAAAAGTCTATCATAAACTTGCCTTAGCTAAGTATTCACCTTATTCCCAACCTCTGGTGTCTCACACTTTTGGTACTAGCAAAAGTGAACTGCTCAGAAACCCTGCAAAGTTCACTCAGCATCTTGTGTTTTGCACTTGCTGCTCTTCCTGCCAAACAGGCAATCTCATTAGATGTTCTTCTGGCAAACACACAATCTTGTTGCGTGTTCCTTCTGCCAAACATTATTCTTCTGCTTCTTTACCTAGAAAAATTCTTCTCACTCTGCGTGCTTACCTTGAATCATACCTACTTTTTTTCAAAACTTTCATTCCTCATCACATACGTCTGGCACATAATTAATATATAATAAATCATAATTATAAGCTTCCAGTGGGCATCTAGCACACAGTAAGCACTGAATAAAGTAGTAAAATAATAAAAATGACAATGATAATAACAAGCTCCTGTCTGTATTTTTAATTGTGTGTGTTCTGTAACATTAGAAAAATGATTAGTATCTAAAAGACATTTAATAGTTATTTGTTAAGTGGACAAGTGAAAACATAGAAAGGTTTTCTTTGTAAATTCTGTTGAAAAAGCACAGAAATGAAATAGAGACAGCTCTACTATGAGCACCTTAAAGATCAAAACTACATCTATTCCATCTTTGTCTCCTGCAACTTATAAAACCTAACTTACAGAAGCTTTTTGATAAATAGATGGCTAAATTAAAGGTGTCCTAATACAGTTTGGGTTATACAATGTATTAGGTGTCCACAACCAGGTGGCATACTAGTATTTTTGTTAATGTGAAACATTTTTCTACTTTTATTATAATCTGCTGAGCCTAGAATTGGGCAATTTGTATATTTATTATGACAATCTTTTGGTAAATGGTAGCAGAGCATCTTGTTCTAACAAAATTACTGTTATCAAGACAATTGACCAGCAGGTAGAAGAACACATCTTGTTCCAACAAAGTAAATGTATCTCTTTCCAACTTCAAATGAGGAGGAATGAAGTCAGTAAGAGTGAGACCTTGTTGGGACAAGGATATGTAACATGACTTGTGCTTTGGCGTTCTTTTGTGATCAAAAATTCCTTACTTTTATTTATTTATCTACGGTAGGACCACCTAGAGCAGGGGCCCACAACTCCCAGGTCACAGACTGGTACCACTCCATGGACTATTATGAACCACACCACACAGGAGGAGGTGAGCAGCAGGCAAACCAGGGAAGCTTCACCTGTACTTACAGCCACACCCCATGGCTCATATTACCGCCTGAACTCTGCCTCCAGTCAGATCAGTGATAGCACTAGATACTCATTGGAGCATGAACCCTGTTGTGAACTGCTCATCTGAGGGATCTAGGTTGTGTGCTTCATATGAGAATCTAATGCCTGATGATATGTCACTGTCTCACTTTGCCCCCAGATGAGACCATCTAGTTGCAGAAAAATAAGCTCAGAGTTTCCACGGATTCTACATTATGGTAAGTTGTATAATTATTTCATTATATATTACAATGTAATAATAATATAAAGTAGCACAATAAATGAAACATGGCTGAATAATCCTGAAACCATCCCCACCTTCCCCCAGCCCATGGAAAGACTGTCTTCCAGAAAACTGGTCCCTGCTGCCCAAAACATTGTGGACAACTGACCTAAAGTAATTCATTATCACAAGTCTTACCTGGATTGCTGTTTTCAGAAGAGATTTTTAGCATCTGTTTTTCTTTATAGTCAGAAAGTAATTCACAAATTCTATGTATAAAAATGTAATAAACCAAATTACTATTTTAATACTGATATAAAAAATACTTACCAAATGTAAAATTCTTAGAGTATTTCAAACAATTTCATAATATCAGAATTTAACAGTATTATCCCATACACTTATGAGTACATTCTACAAACTTTTCTTTAAGCTTCTAATTAAAGAAGAAAAAAAATTAGGTGAAATGCTCATAAATCAAGGACACTGTGACCCAGTAAATCAGCATGCATTAGCATGACATAATAGAAAGTGTCCCAACTCTGCATAAGTCCTAGCTCCATAATGAACAGCTATTAGTTCTTGGACAAATTTCTTCTCTTAGGCTCAATGTCTTCTTCTACAAAGTGAGGACTTTGCTGCCTTATTTCACTAGGTTGTTACAAATATTTAACAAGGTAACATTTTTTAAATGCTCAGAGAAATAGTAAAGCAATGGAATAATCTGTTCCTAAACTTTATGACTAAAATTATCTTGGAATCCCAAATAAAACCCCATGTGTATTTTGTTCACAGGTTCTAATATGCAAATGCTGTAGTTTTCAGAAAATGTTATTAAGTCCTAATTTTGCTTCTTAGTTGTCCTACTCCTTATGGCTTATAATTCAGGGCATCTCAACTGTGTCATAGTTTGTAACTAAATTTTTTCATAAATCTCTCATTAAAGTAGATAATGTGATTGTCCACTATTACGGAGTTGACCAATTTGTTGTGCTAAGGGCAGAAAAACCAATGGATGTTAAGACCTGGCTTGGAGCAATGATCCTTCTCTACAGACTCAAACTCTGAGCCAGCAGATGTTTGTTAGGATAATGCTTTATATTGATGTTCAATTCCAGCTGACATGGGAGACCAAAACTCTACTTTTATTTTTTTTCAGTTTTCATGAAGAAGCTGCAAATTGACATTCTCTAATTTTTGACATACATACTTAATATATTTTGCACCGAACACATTATTCAGCTCTAAATCATCTCACAGACCATCTTCCATGACTATTTTTGCAGCACAAATCACATTTCGATATTTTGGTGGCACCCATTTTGCTTTGATTCACACTGTTTCCTTAGAGCTAGTCAGCAGATAGTGAAATGATCTTCCAGTGACTGCACAAAATATGGAATGCCTCAAAGAGTTGTGCTGCCTCCTTATGCAGAAGCCATGCTAACTTTCTCTGTATTGTTCCAATTTTAGGATATGTGCCGCCAAAGCAGGCACAAAGCCCTACTTTTACACATGATTTGTGACGAGTCATGGACAAGGCTTGGCTCTTGTCCGTGACTCATCACTACTTACTTAACCTACTTGAGATTCTGAGAATTCTCTTCAATGGCTTCCTGTGAGGTACAATTTGATAATATTTTAAAATCTTGAGCTAGAGATGGAAGTAGCTTGGACGATTTTCATTATCATGTAAATCAGATCACTCAAGGGGCCAACCACAGCTGGGAGCCACTGCTTGGGGAAGGCTCATATGGGACTTTCTACTGCCTAAGGTTCTACACAGGATATAAAGGTGCCTCACAGTATAGATCTGGTAGCAAAGAAGAAGAAACAAACACTGATCTCTTTCTGCCACATTATTTGAACCCCTCTGACCCTTTAGAACAAGCCCACCTAATATCTGCTAGAGAAAAGACCAACAACGGCCTCAAAGGATCTCTTACCATGAAGGTCTCAGCTAATTCTTGGCTAAGATGTGGGTTCCACATTAGGTTCTGAATACAGGAGGAAGGGTCAATTTGCTCACTTTGTGTGCGGATAAAGTCAGGATGCCCAGCGGCCAGAGCAGGGTGCTGGTGCTTTGGGAACAATGGCTGAGCATATAAGCATAGGTAAGGGAACTAAAAAAAAATGTTGTAACTTCAAAGTCACTGTATGAATCCCCATGAAGACTTGAGGGATCTGAATCAGTAAGGGCATCTTGGTGTCAAAGGTCAACAATTACCAGGCAGCAGAACCAGTTTGAGTGGCAACAATGCAGCAACAGAAACAATGGAAACAACAGAATGATTGGAATGTCCTTTTTTTTCTCCTCCTTCTGACTTGATAAAAGGGACTGTCTTCCTTGGATTTAGTGAACCCCTTTGGTTCTTGAAAAATTCAAGGAGTATGTAGAAGATAGTCCCCAGAAGACAGTACAAGACTTTCTGCTAAACTGGACATTTCAAGACCCAAATAACTAATCAGAAAAATCAAAGATGTGATACTCTTTTTTATCCCATGCATAGGTGTTATACTTGGATGAAATGAACAATATTGGGATCTCTAAGGATAAAGGTCTTAAAAGTCCTGAGGTAAAGAATCCTGCACCCATTGGTACTTCTAACTTGTCTTGCTTTTTGTCTGATTTCTGGCTGATGCAGGGGACTAACTCACGGCCAATCTAAAACTACCTGAACCAAACTATGACATCTCACCTGATATGTAAGATGCAATTGTTATAATTATTTTAAACCTCAATTTAGCATTAACTAGCCTTTTCATGTAAACACTTACACATGATGATGACTAGAAACAGCATACTCTCTGGCCGTCTGTCCAGATAGATCTTGAGAAGATACATCAACATTTTGCTCAAGTAGAAGATTGACTATACTTGCTGATCCACAACATACAGCAAGTATGAGGGCAGTTCTAAAATTACAGAGATAATTTCTCCTTTAGGAACTGTAATAAAGTTATTTTAAAAGCTAATTTGATATACTTTACCAATTTAACATCTTGCCTGTCCATGCAGAATCAAACATTTACATGCACTAAAAGACAGAAGCATCTTGGGTGCTCAAGAGTTCATCTTTGTAAAATACCACCAAGGTTAAAAGGAAAGGACAAAAAGGAAACCTCTTATCTCAGTGGGGTATTGCATAGCAGAAGCTACTAATTTAAAGTCCTTTGATGGGCAAGAAACAATGCTAGGGCCACTTATCTGAAGTGGACAAAGATTTAAGTGAAGATTTTGTCACAGCTTCCCTAAACTGATATGCTGTAATAGAAAATTAGCTAGGGGGTAAGAAAAATAAGAGCTCTCTGCATGCTGAAAGCAGTAATATTAATAATAATGGTAAGAATAGTAGTCACAGGAGTTTCAGTTAATGCTGCCAATAAGCATGTGCTACGCACTGAATTAAATGCCACATATATCTTTCTTGCTTATGCACAGCCAACTTTGAAGGATATATTCTCCTACTTTTCACATATGACAACATATTGGGTGGTAAATAACGTTCCCAATGTCACACGCGTAGCAAGTAAGAAAGTTAGGAATTAAACCCAGTCTTGTGTGAATCCAAAGCCTAGCTCTTTTCTCTTTTTTTTTTCCATGCCCAGCTAGTTTTTGTTTTGTTTTTGTTTTGTTTTTTATTTTTATTTTTTATTATACTTTAAGTTTTAGGGTACATGTGCACATTGTGCAGGTTAGTTACATATGTATACATGTGCCATGCTGGTGCGCTGCACCCACTAACTCGTCATCTAGCATTAGGTATATCTCCCAAAGCTATCCCTCCCCCCTCCCCCCACCCCACCACAGTCCCCAGAGTGTGATATTCCCCTTCTTGTGTCCATGTGATTGCATTGTTCAATTCCCACCTATGAGTGAGAATATGCGGTGTTTGGTTTTTTGTTCTTGCGATAGTTTACTGAGAATGATGATTTCCAATTTCATCTTTTCTCTTTATCACCCACCTACAGCTTGCCTTCATTAAAGGAAAAGTGTATCCACTTAAAACTATCTTCACTCCCTCTCTCCATACCAACTAAAAATAAAAACATCAAAATACACTGGAAATAAAAAAGGAAAAAAGCTGTTGAACCCACAGTATGTGGGAATAGCAATTAATTGTCATGTGGGGATAAGCTAACATTAATATTCTTCAAAGAAAGCAACTTAAAGCAGAGTCATTGAAAAGATAAAAGGATTTTCAACTCCTATTTATGTTTAATACAGCATATTTAGTGGAAAAGCATATAAGATACAGAGGTTAAAACCTACTAGAAAGGGTTAAGAAGTTCAATACTGAGTCATAAAGTAAACTGAAAGTTAAAGTTCAAACTTCATAAAATTAATATGAAATCCCTTTAGCTAACATAAGATCATGTAACCAAAAACATCATACAACAAATAACATCAGTCAATATAATAAGAGATGATGAATCCTACTAAAACAGTTCTTTATGTTGCCCAGTCCAAATAATTGCTTTTCTACTTAACTGATTTGTGTTGATACTGATCACTATGTCCCAATAAGTATAATTTAATCTTTTTAATTTATTATTTATGACTTGAGTGACTGCTATCAATCTAGAACAACACACAAATTAAAAGAAATAACCATACCTTCCATATCTATCAAGTACATTTAAATTAGCTTTTTTCTTGATTAAAAATTTCACCACTTGCTGTTTTTGTTCATGTACGCCAAGCAAAAGTGGTGTGAGGCCACACTGTAAAACAATATAAAACAAAAACAATATGTAATTCAAAAAATTATGTATTTCTCAACTGAACTGGAAGCTTATGGACTTACACTCACAGAAAGTAAATAAAACTTGGTCGCTTCCTTCTCACTCTTCTGTACTTTCCCACATGCCACTCCTTCCCTTGGAAACATCCCTTCTCTGCCTCACCACATTAAATCTGATCATCTCAAAAACTCACCTTAAACATTTACTGTTTCCAAGACTCTTTGTTTCTAAACGAGCATTTGGCATGGCACTTTTGGATGATTTTTCTTTTCATTTAAACAAAAAGCTTCTTGAGGGCAGGGGCTGTATCTTTTATCTCTATATTATCCAACCCTAAGACAAAATTGTTGTGTATAAAGCAAGAATTTGAATGTAAAATATTTCTTTAGTTTCACATGTTTTACCAAAGTTCAAGCTCCAACGTGCAATAAATATTGCTATTAATACACTGCCCATTTCAAGAATTTTTCCAACATTTATTCATTTAAAATCTATTTGTATTTAATTTTTCCAGATTGTTAACTAGATAGATAATCAGTTCATAGGATTACTGAAACTAAGAGATTTCCTATCTGTATTCTTAATAACTCCATGGTTTTTAGTGTTTAAACCTGCCATCCTGATTAAGCCAAAGCTCTACAAACTTAAGAGACATACTGGATAGCCCATAATACAGCTTCAATTGACAAAAAAGGTTTAGAATTTGCTACAATTCTGAGAAAACTCTGCTCTTAAAAACGACTTACTGACCTAAGCACTTGAATGAGTGAACAAAGGGACACAAAGTCCTGAGAGAGCCATCCTCTACTTATTGGAAGACTACTCACTGCAAATTTCTAAAGACCTTCTGAATGGCAGTGAATAACTGATGGTAGAAAGGAAAAGCTATTATTCTGTAAGCTGATAGATAGTGCCAATAATATTCATTTTAATGTCTCAACGACAGAGATAAGTCAGACTAGGCCAAGAATGGTGGCTCACACCTGTAATCTTAGCATTTTGGGAGCCTGAGGTGGGTGATTCACTTGAGCCCAGGAGTTCAAGATCAGCCTGAGAAACACGGCAAAAACCTCATCTCTACTTAAAAAAAAAATACAAAAACAGATTGGAGGACCACCAGAGCTTAGGGACGTCAAGGCTGTGGTGATCTGTGACCGCACCACTGCACTCCAGCCTGGGGAACAGAGTGAGACCCCATCTCAAAAACAAACAAACAAAAATTTAGATTAATGTTATTGGAAAGGAAAGATTTAAAGGAATTAGCACATATCCAACTCCAACTCTTCTAGAAATATCTGAAGTTTCTGAGATATAAGAATTTACATATTACACTTATGTATTCAGTGGTTAAGCAGGAGTGTATCCGGATTTTGAGAAATTTGTTGTTGTTGTTGTTAGAGACAGGGTCTCATTATGTTGACCAGGCTAGACTAGAACTCCTAAGCTCAAGCAATCCTCCCACCTCAGCCTCCCTAGCAGCTGGGACTACAGCCATGCACCACCATGCCTGGCTTCAAGGAAACATTTTTAAACATACATATCCCGGCTTTATTAGACTTACTCTATCAAAATCTTCAGGGGAAAACCTAGACTTGAAGATTATTTAAAAATTTTCCTGAGGTAACTGGAATGCACAACTCTAGCTGGAAGCTAGTGCAATAGACAATTATTTCAGTCTCATCTCTCATCCACATAAACAATTCCCTTTATCATTTGAGGATTTGGTCAAAAAGAGGAAAGAGTAGGAGAGAGATTCATTTGCTGAAAACACCACAAAATTTTCCCCGGTAAGAGTAGAACAAGGTCTAGTAAACTCAAAATCCAACCTGATCTTTTTACTTATAAGCCCCTTATCTCCCACCTTCCCATCAAGACATTCTAGAATTGAAAGCAGAGTTGAGACTCTAATTGGCCATTTCTACCAGAATAGGATACTAAGTTGGTTAATTACTTGTTATTCCTTCTACTCAAGGGTTCCCAATACATTACCACATATTCACTGCCAATCTGGTTCCTCAGAGGCCTCCTAAAATTTATCTCTAGGCAGTTTACAACCCACTAACTCCCTCTCCCAAACTGAAAACTGTCATTCTCTAAAATGGAAAAGAACCCTGTCTCACCATATAAAGGAAACAAATGAATGAACAACAGTAACAACACACACACACACACACACACACACACACACAACCTCTTCATGGTCTTTTCCCCCATTACCTAATTTCCAAGTTGGCCTTGATATTTCTGATTGCTGCATTTTTCCCTTTCCACTTCTGCCTCATGAGCAATCAGAAATATCTTAAGCCTTGCCACTGAGAGATACATCACCTCATATCTATTAGTGTTTTTTTAGGAATTTGCCAAAGTAGCAGGATTACTATTCACTGAAACATGTTTAAGTTTTCTTGGAGTTTTAATGTAAAACCTATTTCCAGGGCAAATTTTGTCATTTTACATTCATTAGGGAAAAAAAACTTGGCAGGGAAAAATTGAAAAAAAAAAAAGTATTACCTTTTACAAATTCAGTGTTTTTTTAAAAAAAGCACTAACCACAAGTGCACTGAAAAATCTGTACCCTCTAATGCTTCTTTAAAAGTAACAATATTTAAAATAAAGTCTTAGATAATTAAGTCATTTCAAAATATTTTCATTCAGGTTATGCTTGAGCTTCCAAATACGGAAAACTGGCCCTTACACAGGTCAATGTTAACACGAATGCATTTCAGTATTTTGAAGATAAAATTGGTAGATCTATACCTTGTTTTTTGATTCAATATCAGCACCATATAAGAGCAGTGCTTTGGCCATTAATTTATCTTCATTGTAGATAGCATAGTGTAGAGCGGTATTTCCATACTCATCTGGAATATTTCGATCAGCGCCATGTTCCAGCAACATTAACACACATTCATCTTCCTGGCATTGTATGGCCTGTCAGTATTAGACCAAAAACAAATTACAAGTCCTAGGAATTCAAAATAACATTCCACAGCTTTCACCAACTAGTTATATTTAAATGAGAAAACTCATTTTTATGCTATCTATTGAAATCAAACCCATCTCACGCTGATATAGTTGACTACTGCATACCTTTATCAGAGCTGTCCTTTTTTTGTTGTCAAGGACATTAAGTTGACATCGTCTGTCCAGCAGGAGTTGTACTACTTCTGAATTTCCATTGGCAGAGGCCAAATGTAGAGCAGTCCTATGAGAGTGAGAAGACTTGAGGAAATTGTAGTTCACTAGCTAATGCCACATTAATGATTCATGTAGTTGCAAACACTGAATAGCCTATTACTCTGCCTTCAAAACAAACTCAATTTTCCTTTGAAGAAAGCACACTACTTATTACCTCTCATTACTCACTGTATTAATGAAAGAGCAGCCTATTTGAATAGAAAGAGCATAGCTCTTGGATGACATTCAACTTGGGCTGGAATCCTACTTGAAGCTCTGTCACTTCCTAGCTGTTGCTTAGCCTTTTTGTGTCTCAATTTCCTCATCAATAAAATGGGAATGAAAATAGTCAGTTTCTCAGAGGAAACCACTGTAATGCTTAAATAAGACTCTACACAAAATATAGAATAGTTCCTAACACAAATAACAGCTCAAAAATTGTAAGATATTATAATTTTTACTAATACCACTAAAGACAACATTTGAATTAAGTGAAACGATACAATTATACCTACACTTTCAGGTACATTTTAAAGATTACAGGTAGCGTTGTACTGTATTTTATTGAGTCTAAGATGATCATTGTCTCCATGTTTTAACATTTCTTACACTGAAATACCACTTATAATTCATGATTTACTATAATTATAATTGGCAGCATTTAAATAATTTTCTTAGTGAGACATAAAATAATGGGGCATCATACAATCCCTGGTGCCTTATACTAAGTAGAATATGTTATAATATAACAGGTCTGGGGCAGTTCCAGTCAGATGACTAGCATTTAGATAAATTTTAGTTTTTAAAAGAACTATGGAATAAGAGGGCTGAGGTGAAAACAAAAACAATTTTCTAAAATAATCTATTTCTTACTTTGGTTTTCAAAAACTTTAAGCCAAAGAAAACTTGAAATTCAAATGAATAGCATGGGCTCATTTTTTTCAATACTTAGATTTATACAATGTATGTACATCAGATATTTCCAATCATTCATATTAGGATTTAAGACTGTTATAAATTTTCTCTTTTTAAAATGGATTTATGAAACTATTTGTGGAGCTTTTCTCAACTTTTACATTCGGGGATACAGGTGCAGGATGTGCAGGTTGGTTAACATAGGTAAACGTGTGCCAAGGGGGTTGGTTGTACAGATTATTTCATTACCCAGGTGTTAAGCCTAGTACCCGTTAGTTCTATTTCCTGCTTCTTTCCTTCCTCCCACCCTCCACCCTCTGATAGGCCCCAGTGTGTGTTGCTTCCCTCTAGGTGTCTGTGTGTTCTCCTCATTTAGCTCCCACCTATAAGAGAGACCATGCAGTATTTGGTTTTCTCTTCCTATGTTAGTTTGTTAAGGATAATGGCCTTCAACACCATCCATGTCCCTGCAAAGGACAGGCTCTTGTTCTTTCTTTTATGGCTACATAGTATTCCATGCTGTTTATGTACCACATTTAAGTTCTTAAAACAGCTAAAACAGTCTTTACCCAAGCCTTATAAATTTTCAAAAGGGCAGTTAAGGGTTATCTTTTACTATTTGTCACCTTCAGAAATGCTTTTGTTTGAAAGGAGGGAGGAAAAGCTTCAATTGAGATTAAGTCCTAATGCCCCAATTTTGATTCTCTCAGCTTGCTCAGGCGCAGCAGGTAAACATGAAGTTTTCAAAGGTGGAAGGATCCTGAGAGATAGCAGAATATGCCTGCCATATAATAGGTGTCTGGCTTATGTTTGATGACTAAACGGATTGAAAGAATGGATAAACATAGGTTGGAAGTTCAATATTTTTAAAAGAAAACTCCTGTTGAGTAGAGCAATACATTTGCGATAGTAACGATCATTTATATTTGCTATTTTAGTTTTCATAAATATATAACTAAACTAAAATAATTAATCCATACTATTTACACATTAATCTATATATAATAAAATGTATATACAATAAAATCTACCAGAAGAGGTAAACAGAAGCCCTCTACTTCTGAAGAGGGTAAAAGTTCACAGAAGATAGCCATCCACAGGTATAAAAATAAATAACAGAATGTGAGAAATTATTTGTATCTATGCAAGTAGCATATTCCTTCTCTTCCCAAGGATTATTTCATTACTAATGAAACTTAACTAAAACTTTTCAGATGTTCATTGCAGAAATCACAGATAAGAGAAAGGGAAAAACTTCACTTACAAATCCCCAGAAATAAGTTTGATTATATTTTCCACATATTTCCAGCTAACACAAGAGCAGATTCTGTTTGTGTATATGTATAACAAACTGATTTTTTCTCACTTGATATAGCAAAGTACATCTTTGCATGCCGACATATCTCTGTATCTACTGACACCCTCAATGGTTACATATTATTCCATCCTATGGATGCACTGAAATTTGTTTATAACATCTTTATATGAGTTCTTCTCAATACATGGCTATTTTAAGCAATACTAAGAAAAACAGCTGTGTCTGTTTCATATAGATATTTCAGTATAATGGAATAGATGGGTAAAAGGCATACACATTTTAAAAATATGGTTCTTACCATCAAAGTGTCTATTTGAAAAGTCGCAGCAACTTAAACTTTCAGCAAGTATATAAGTACCACTGTTCTTCACCCTCACAAACTTTGTGGACAGAAAACAGTATTTCATTCCTTTATATTTATTTATTTATTTTTATTTATTTATTTTTTTGAGATGGAGTCTCACTCCATCACCCAGCTGGAGTGTAGTGGTGCAATCTCAGCTCACTGCAACCTCCGTCTCCCTGGTTCAAGCAATTCTCCTGCCTCAGCCTCCTGAGTAGCTAGGATTACAGGTGCATGCCACCATGCCCAGCTAATTCTTTGTATTTTTAGTAGAAACGGGTTTCACCATGCTGGCCAGGCTAGTATCAAACTCCTGACCTCGTGATCCACTTGCCTTGGCCTCCCAAAGTGCTGGGATTACAGGCATGAGCCACCATGGCTGGCCTTTCATTCCTCTTCTAACTTAAACAGAAAATAGTCTTTCATTCCTCTTCTAACTTAAATTCCTTCTCTTAGCAGGAATGCTGTTTTCCTATGTGCACAGGTCACTGGTAGACATGCAAAAAAGTACCTTGCCCAATTTTAAATTGAGCTTATTTTATTATATCTGCATATATATGCCGGTTTCAGTGGCTCATGACTGTAATCTCAGCACTTTGGGAGGCTGAGGTGGGTGGATCACAAGGACAGGAGTTCAAGACCAGCCTGGCAAAGATGGTGAAATCCCGTCTTGATTAAGAACACAAAAAATTAGCCAGGCATGGTGGTGGGTGCCTGTAATCCCAGCTACTTGGTAGGCTGAGGCAGAGAATTACTTGAACCAGGAACCAGAGGTTGTAGTGAGCTGATATTGCACCACTGCACTCCAGCCTGGGCTATGGAGTGAGAGTCTGTCTCAGAAAAATAAATAAATATTTTCACATATAAATAGGCATTTGTGTTTTCTTCTGGTACTTTTCTCCTTTTGTATCTTTAAAATTTTTAATCTATACTCCAGGAACTTATTTTTGTGACATAAAAATCTAGGTAGTTTTCTCCAAGCAGCATGCATTTAATTTATGAATAATTCACCTTGTTTTACCAATATGAAACATCACCATTATCAAGTGCTAAATTCTTACATATATTTGGGTATTTCTGGATTTCCTATTCTGTTCTGTTCATTTATATCTTTTCAGCTGTTAGTAAACAATTTGTGGAAATAACACATGCACATTTTGATATCTGGAAAAGCAAGTCTTTTTCCATTCTGTTAAAAAAAATCAATTTATCACAATGATAAAATACATCATGTGCAATTTAAAGACACTAAGACTTTGCTATTTTTATTTGGCTTATGTAAAAGTGATAAACACAGAAAAAGCTCACATCTTAAGAAAAACGAACCTTCCTATTCAAAGATATGAACCATACTTCCCATTTCAGTTTCCTTTTAAGGTTACTCAGTAAAGAACGTATTTACATAGGGGTACATCGATATAAAATCCATATTGGATTTTATTTGAAAGATATTTAGCCCAGAAGTTGATATATTATGGGACTTAGTTCTCAATATACACCTTTCTATAGTGTACAGAACATTGTTTTAAAATGTGTACATTAAAAATAATCTGCTGCATCGACTTAATTTTGCGAGTTAAATCACTTTAAAACAGTCTATTAGTGTTCTATAAGGGAAATTGTAATTGGATTGGAAATCAGCTAAAACTTTTTGTGTCGCTGTTTATAAAGGGACCTGGGCCCTGACCTCTCTGAGGTTTCCACACCCAGGGTGGTGTGGGGCCTGCGGAGGAAGAGAAAGCCTGGCTCCTCCCTCCCTGCGCCAGGAGGGTATGTCCCCATCATCCCCCCATGTCCTGCCTCCTCCCATCCCAGGCCCGGTTACCTCTTTTCCTTGTCCCTCTTGTTCATGTCAGTGTCCCTGAGCATGACGATGAGATCCTTTCTGGGGACTTTACCCCACCAGGCAGCTCTGTGGAGCTTGTCCAGATCTTCTCGACGGATGTGGTACCTCGGCTCCATGAAGGCGCTGTGGTCGTAGTCTCCCCAAGCGCCCACGTTGCTCTTGCCGCTCCCCCTGCAGCAGGGGAAGCAGTGACAGCACCACTTGCCCATCTTGCTCCTGAGCATCTTCATAAAGGAGTTTTCATGGTCTCCAGAAGTGCCCACGTTGCTCGTGCCGCTCCCCCTGCAGCAGGGGAAGCAGTGGCGGCAACACTTGCCCATCTTGCTCCTGAGCATCTTCATAAAGGAGTCGTCGTGGTCTCCAGAAGTGCCCATGTTGCTCTTGCCGCTCCCCCTGCAGCAGGGGAAGCGGTGGTGGCACCACTTGCCCATCTTGCTCCTGAGATCAAATGGCTTCTTCACAGTAGAGGCAGTGGGCATTGAACAAACCTCAGCCACCATCTGCTTTTAACAGCCAGGGGAGGCCGGTAGTAGCGAACAGATCGCGTCTACCAACCAGTTTCACCAACTAGCAGGAAACCTTGGGTTTCCAATCTGTTTGAAGAGAAAGGTCAATCCCAGCCAAAACTTGCCAACCCCAGCAAGGGAGCCCAGCCCACCCCACCCAGGGAAAACCCACACCCACCCGGGGAAAGCCCACGCCCACCAGGGGGACCCCAGGCCCACCCCAGGAAAGGCCAAGCCCCCCCTCCGAAGGAAACACCCAGCCCAGTCAAGGGAATGCCAAACCCAGCAGAGAAAAATTCAGGCCCAGCAAAGGAATGCGAGGGAGAAAACGCCAATCCAAGCAAGAAACACCAGGCAAAGCGACTAACGCCAAGCCAAGCTAGGAACGCAAGGCCAAGCGAGGAACGCAAAGCGAAGCGCACCCATTACAGGTAAGCCAAGCCGTCATGTGCGTGCGGGGCGCGCGTGAGGCGGGCGCGCGTGCGGGGCGCGCGTGAGGCGTGCGCGCCTCAGACGTTATGCGGCGTGCGCGTGAGGCGTGCGCGCGTCATTGCACGTGGTGCAGGAAGTGGCCGATGTGTGCAATCCGCGTGCGCAAGTCTTGGCGCCACAAATGTCAGTGACAGCCTTGCGTTACTGGCAAAGTTCATGGGAGTTGACCCAGCTTTCTGGCCACTGAGGAGAAGCCTGTGGTGGGAAAAAGCCTCTTGAAGCAGGACTGGGGCTAGAGCGCCTGGAACTCGAGGATGCTGACAGCCTCCTCTGAAGAAAGCCCCCAAGACACTAGTGGTGGTGCTGTTGCGGGTGGCCGCCGCTGCAGCTTAGAGCTCTGGTTGGCGAAGCTGGATGCAAATGGCCTCAAAATCTCCGAGCACAAGACGCCCACGGAGCCCAGGGCCTGCGTGAGGCGCCTTCCACACCTGCTCCTCCTTGGTCCGTGCCCAGAACACAGGGCCATCAGCAACGGGGCACTCGGGGCCACAGAATCGGGGCTGGGCTGCTAGCTCCTGCTGTGGTGCCCCCTGCCTGGTGTCCAAACCAGGGCCAACAGCTGTGGGGCTTCTGGCCCGGGGTGCTTCGCTTCACTGGCATGCAGTAGGGTTGAGGTGCAGGCCGCTGTCTCCAGGCCTGAAAGAGGCGGCTGGGAGGAGCACCTACCACTGATGGGGAGATGCAGGAAGGCACCCCCACATGCAGATCCTGGGAACAGTACACTGCCAGCACCAGGGAGCCAGATCGGAGCCTCCCTGGTAGCCTGTGAGCTGGACCCAGGCAGTGGCACCTCGACCCTCCTGCTGGGACCCTCCTGCTGTGCAGGCTTATGCAGCCAGGCTCCAGGCTGCTTCACCCATACTGCAGGTGCTTTGGTGTGGGAGGAAAAATGCATTCTGGCCGGGCACTGTGGCTCACGCCTGTAATCCCAGCACTTTGGGAGGCTGAGGCGGGCGGATCATAAGGTCAGGAGATAAAGACCATCCTGGCTAACACGGTGAAACCTCATCTCTACTAAAAATACAAAATACTAGCGGGCATGGTGGTGGGCGCCTGTAGTCCCAGCTACTCGGGAGGCAGGAGAATGGCGTGAACCCGGGAGGCGGAGCTTGCAGTGAGCCGAGATCGCATCACTGCAACCTGGGCGACAAAGCAAGGCTCTGTCAAAAAAAGAGAGAGAGAGGGAGAGACAAAGACAGAGACGGAGACAGAGAGACAGATGGAGAGAAAGAGAGAAAAATGGATTCTAAGCCTGGGACACCGACCTGCTCTTGCCAACAAAAGCAGAGGGGAAGCCAATTACAAGTGCAAAAAAAAAGTTTTTATTTCAGTGGGATGAATGTCTAGGTGTGCAGTCACTGGAGTAAACGTCACTGGGACATGATGTGTAATTCTTTGTGTACATCGCTGAGTGCTACTGCTAATGTTGTTAAGAACTGGTGTATCCATGTTCAAGAGAATTACCAGGCTATAGTTTACTTTTTTGTACTATTTTGATATCAGAGTAATGTTAGCTTCATAAAATGAATTGGGAAAGATTCTCTATTTTCAGAAAAGATTGTGTGTATTGGTGTCAATTCTTTAAGCAGTACATAAAATTCTTTAGTAAAACCATTTTGTCCTGGAGATTTCTCCTTCAGGAGTCTTTAAAATTAGAAATTAAATGTCCTTACATTTTAGGGCTATTAAATTACCTATTTTAGATTGGGTGAGTTTTGTGGTGGTTTCTGCTTTTCATGAAATTGGCCCATTTTCCCCAAGTTGTCAAATGTATGTGAGTGGAGTTGTTCATGACATTCCTTTATCATTTTCATGTCTTCAAGGTCTGTAAGGATAGCCCATTTCATTCATGAAATTGGTAATTTATGACATCCCTTTTTTCTTTATCATTATTAGTTAAGGTTTGTCAATTTTATAGATATTTTCAAAGAACCAGCTTTATTTCTTTGCTTTTCTTTGTTGTTTTCTTTTGGCTGTTTCATTTATTTCTGCTCTTATCCCTATTATATTCTTTCTTATATTTGTTTTGATTTTATTTTGCTACTATTTTCTACTTTCTTGATGTGATAGCTTGAATTTTTATTTGAGAGATTTCTACTTTTCTATTATATACATTTAGTGAAATACATTTTCCTCTCAGCACTGATGTCAACTGTGTTAAATCAAGTTTGATATGTTGTATTTTTATTTTTATTCAGTTTAATATATTTAATTGTTTCCCTTGAGACGTTCTCCTTAGAAGTGTGCTTGCTGTTTAGCACTATTCACAATAGCAAAGACATGGAATCAACCTAAATGCCCATCGGTAATACACTGGATGAAGAAAATGTAGTACCCATACAACATGGAATACTATGCAGCCATAAAAATGAAGGAGATCATGTCCATTGCAGGGACATGGATGGAACAGGAAGCCATTATCCTCAGGAAACTAATGCAGAAACAGAAAGCCAAACTTCTAACGTTCTCACTTATAAGTAGGAGCTGAACAATGAGAACACATGGACACAGGGAAGTAAGCAACACACACTGGGGCCTGTGGATGGGGGAGGGAGAGGAGAGCATCGGGAAAAATCTCTAATGCATGCTGGGCTTAAACCGAGGTGATGGGTTGATAGGTAGGGAAAACCACCATGGCACAAATTTACCTATGTAAAAAACCTGCACATCCTTCACATCTACCCCAGAAGTTAAAATAAATAAAAATGTAAAAAAAAGAACTAAAAAAGTATGCTGTTTATTTTTCAAGTATTTAAGATTCTGCTGTTATTTTACTTTTTTATTTTTAATTTGATGCCATTTTGGCTGGAGGATACATTCTACAGGATTTCAGTTTTTAAAAAATTCTTAATGTTTGTTAAAATCCAGGATACAGTCCATTTTGGTTTATGTTCTGTGGGTACCTAAATGTTCTGCTGTATTCTGCTGCTAGGGGGTGGAGCCCGTTTTTTTCTTCTTTTTTTTTTTTTTTGAGGCAGAGTCTCACCCTTTTGTCCAGGTTGGAGTGCAATGGCGCAATCTCGGCTTACTGCAACCTTTGCCTCCCGGGTTCAAGCGATACTCCTGCCTCAACCTCCCGAGTAGCTGGGATTACAGTCATGCACCACCACGCCCGGCCAATTCTAGTTTTTTTTTTTTTTTTTTTTTTTTTTTGTGACGGAGTTTCACTCTTGTTGCCCAGACTGGAGTGCAATGGTGCAATCTCAGCTCACCACAGCCTCCACCTCCCAGGTTCAAGTGATTCTCCTGCCTCAGCCTCCCGAGTAGCTGGGATTACAGGCATGCACCACCATGCTGGGCTAATTTTGTATTTTTAGTAGAGATGGAGTTTCTCCATATTGAGGCTGGTCTCAAACTCCTGACCTCAGGTGATCTGCCCGCCTCGGCCTCCCAAAATGCTGGGATCACAGGCGTGAGCCACCGGGCCCAGCCTTAATTCTAGTATTTTTAGTAGAGATGGGGTTTTGCCATGTTGGCCAGGCTCGTCAACTCCTGACCTCAGGTGATCCACTCGCCTTGGCCTCCCAAAATGCTGGGATTACACCCACCGCACCCAGCCAGTGGTGGAGCACTTTATAAATGCCAGTAAGATCCTGTTGCTTGATGGTGTTGTTGAGTTTTTTTTTTATATATATAACATTGACAGTATTTAGATCTAGTTTTTCTACCAATTATTGAAAGATGCTTGTTGAAGTCTCCAATTACGATTGTTGATTTGTCTATTTATTCTTGCAGTTCTATCAGATTTTGCTTCACATATTTTGTAGCTCTGTTATTGGTTGCACGTACATTTAAGATTGCCAGATCTTTTTTGTGAACTGACTCTTTTTGTCTTACGTGATGCCCTTCTCTGTCTCTCCCAATTGTCTTTGCTCTGAAATTAATTTTAGCTGGTATTGAGATAACACTCCTGCCCTCTTTTATTAATGTTTACATAACATACCATTTTTCCTCCTTTTACTTTCAACCGATCTATATTATTATTGTGTGCTAGTGTAGACTCTCATTTCTTCATGAGTTTTAAAGAAAACTCCTAAGACTGGTTATAAATAGCAAAACAGACCAAATGGCAATAACCACCTACCCACTAAATCTTGTCATGTGATATTCCTGTATATCATACTTGCACCTTCTCTGTTCAATCATTGTGACCCACTTCAAAGAATTTGGCAGGTTCAGCACAGTTTCTTATATACATAACTAATTGTCCAACCTTTCTCAAATTTCCAGTCAAATCTTAGCTCTATTTACAAAACATATATTTTGGATAGCAAACTAAAATTTATTTTTTTACTAAACTCCATATCAATTCCTCTCTAAGAGCCACGGTAACTCTTTCCTGGTATCCAAAAGACACAACCTTGGCTGGCTCTGATTAACATTTGCTTATACATGCTGATAGGCCCACTAAACTATGCAATTATGACAGAATAATATTAGAAAGCTTAGAATTAATCTGTTTTCAAGCCCAAGAGTATATGAAAAATATAGAACATTTACCAATTAACTTTGTATTAGGCACTTCACACATTTCTCATATTCTTATTTAATCCTTGTAATTGCACAAATGATCTTCTGTGGTAGGCATCATCTTCTCTTCTTTACAGCTGAAAAACTGAACTGAACATCAGGTAGCTGGAATTAAGCTGGGCTTTTACTGACACTCACCTTTGTGCCAGTCTTAGAGAGGTTGCACATCTGACTAAAATGTTCACACTTCTCTGAATCCGCTCCACGTGTAGTGTCTTTCTACTATGGCTTGGTGACCTAGGTTTACTCCTGGGGCTTGCTTTGACCAGTGGAACTTTGGCAGGCATTACAAAAGCAAAGGCTTAAATGGAGTTTGCATAATTACACTTGATTTGTGCCTCTTTCACTACCATGAGACAAACATATCTCAGCTAGTCTCTTGTTTCCAGGAAGATTGAAGAAAGGTGGTGCAGATCCTCGTTAGATAATTTGCCCAATGCAAGCCAGTAAATAATAAAACTCCCTCCAGTCAGTAAACTGCAGAAGTGCAAGTTCAGGGAAGCCCAACTAGTTTCAACCTAGATCAACTTGGTCTTAGATGTTTCCAGATACTTGAGCTGAGAGGATAAATGATTATTTTTCTGAGTTGTGGGGTGGTTTGTTATGCTGCAGTTGATAACCAATACAAAATTGGAAACTCTTTCCCCTGCTTTTTGCAGATGATAAAATGAAACACAATGTCTGATTGGAGAAGCTTACAGAAGTGTTGAAGCATCTTTGTTGACCGTGCATAAGGAAAGTTCAACATTAATGTTAAGAGGCCAGAAAGACTGGGTTTAGGTGGCTTGTTAGTTTTTCTGTCCGAAAACAGTACTTGATGTTCTCTATTAATCTAGGACAAAAGATGAGAACTGAAAGGAAAGGATAGAATACTCTCCATGATGTACTGTAGTAACACACTGGTATACTTCTCAGTATATAAATGTCAAAAAGAAGTGTTCTGACTAGCTCCTCTCTGTATGCCCTGCTGGAAGAGGTAAAATATAACATGCAAGACTCACTTTTGCAGTTAAAGTAACCAGGGAAATTTTAAACGTTCCATCATAGTTTGACAAACTATAGCCCACAAGCCAAATCTAGCCTGCTGCCACTTTTTATTAAGTTTCACTGAAGAAGACAGCCATATCTCTGATTACATATTGCCTATTGCTGCTTTTGCTCCACATTAGCAGAGGTGAGCAGTTGAGAGCGACATTACGGCACATAAAACTTGAATTACGGTGGTGGCTGCTTTCCCCCTCTCTATTTGCTTGTCCTTTATCTGTTTTCTTTATTCTTTTCTTTTTTCTTTTTTTTTTTGAGACGGAGTCTCTCTCTGTGGCCCAGGCTGGAGTGCAGTGGTGGGATCTCGGCTCACTGCAAGCTCTGCCTCCCGGGTTCATGCCATTCTCCTGCCTCAGCCTCCCGAGTAGCTGGGACTACAGGCGCCCGCCACCACACCTGACTAATTTTTTATATTTTTAGTAGAGACAGGGGTTTCACTGTGTTAGCCAGGATGGTCTCAATCTCCTGACCTCGTGATTCACCCGCCTCGGCCTCCCAAAGTTCTGGGATTACAGGCGTGAGCCACCGCGCCCGGCCTTGTCCTTTTTCTGTTTTCACACTCCTCCCGGCTGTGTAGTCACTCGTTCTCTCTCATTTATCAAAGCCTTTCCCAGTCCTGACTATCTGGCTCATTTTAGAAAATGTTTGCTGACCCTTGCTGTAGAGTGCTGTAGGAAGGCATGGCTGGAAGATCTTGGACTAGAGCAGGAAAGTACAGCTGATCATGTGAGGAAATCGTGTTGGTGTAGTTGTGGCTGTGGTTGTAGTACTGTGGTTGTACTTAACAAATGGGAAAAGAGACATGATTGCAGGGAATTCTCACTGGAGTCCATTGTGAAATTTCAGGTCAATGCTTCTGTCATTCACCTGCTGTAGAAAATTATTGAATGGTTTATCTACTTTAAAAAATCTTATTTTTATGCAGCACCTTTACAACATTAGTGTCATCCCAAAGATTTAACTTGATTTCTAGACGGAAATTTGAACCAAGAGAAATGGGGCACTCTGGAAATGTAGCCAGGCCCAGATATATTTTCTATAAAACATTGTGTGTGTGTGTGTGTGTGTGTGTGTGGTGTGTTTAAAAGGTATCAGTCAGATATTGCCCCAATAATATGTATGCTTGGATCAAGCACAAAGTGTAGACATAACTGCAAGGCATATGCTGTCTGACCATATTTCAGAGCACTCTAAATTATTTATTTGTTGTGTGCATCCTCCAGCCCTGACAAATCCCCAAGGATGAAATAAAGACTACACTCCTTTCCACTTCAAAGTTCCTCTCAGTTTTACTGTTCAAATTACGGTGGTGGCTGCTTTCCCCCTCTCTATTTGCTTGTCCTTTATCTGTTTTCTTTTTTCTTTCTTTTTTTTTTTTTTTTTTTTTTGAGACCGAGTCTCTCTCTGTCGCCCAGGCTGGAGTGCAGTGGCGCGATCTCGGCTCACCGCAACCTCTGACTCCCGGGTTCACACCATTCTCCTGCCTCAGCCCCACTAGTAGCTGGGACTACAGGTGCCCGCCACCACTCCTGGCTAATTTTTTGTATTTTTTAGTAGAGAAGAGGGTTTCGCCGTGTTAGCCAGGATGGTCTAGATCTCCTGACCTCGTGATCCGCCCAGTAAACTAGTTTTCTGTAGCTTGTATACTGTCATATATTCACAAGGATTCATAAAAGAAATATTCATTTTTACATTGTTTCATATCTCTTAATGCCTTTATTTTCTCTTTATTTTCCTTCAGATTTATGAACTAAAACGTTAATGCTTGAAGCTGAAACTTTTTCCCTCAGCTTTTGTACATGTAAATCTCTTTTTATATTGCAACTCTTCTTGCCATGTTCAAGGTTATTAAAATATGTTCACATTTTTGTAGATGGATTGTTGTGCTAGTAACATTTTTGTAAACACTTTTCCTTTGACTACCTTAATTTGCTTTCGAATTTTTTCACAATCCTTACAATATCATGAATTTTGAAAACATGGAGTAAGGGCTTCTGACATTAAGAAGAATGGGTTTAACGAAATCAGCTAATTTGGTTTCTGAGTATATTTTGCCACTCTTTAGCAAAACCATCATAAAATTGTGATAGAAGATGTCTGTTAGTTGTATGGGTGGATTGTTTTAAACACCGGCTGGGTATGCATAAACAGTCATTTTCTTTTTTTTTTGAGACAGAGTCTCACTCTGTCACCCAGGCTGGAGTGCAGTGGTGTGATCTTAGCTTGCTGCAAGCTCCACTTCCTGGGTTCATGCCATTCTCCTGCTCAGCCTCCTGAGTAGCTGGGACTACAGGCACCCACCACCAGGCCTGGCTACTTTTTTGTATTTTTAGTAGAGACAGGGTTTCACCGTGTTAGCCATGATGGTCTCGATCTCCTGACCTGGTGATTTGCCCGCCTCGGCCTCCCAAAGTGCTGGGATTACACATGTGAGCCACTGCACCCAGCCTATATAGTCATTTTTTAAGATAGAATTTTAATTTTAAAATAGCTTTAGATTGCTAGAAAATTGACTATAACACAGAGTGTTCTCCCATACCCCACACTCAGTTTCCTCTCTCAGTAACTTCTTGTATTGGTATGGTAACTTTTTTGAGACTAACAAACCAATACTGCCACATGATATTAAATTAAAGTCCATACATTGTTTAGATTTCCTTAATTGTTATCAAATGTTATGAAGCCATTTTGATAGGAGAAAAATTTATGGTATATATGAACAGATTGACCACCTCCAAAGAAAGAGGGGAGGTAAATAATAAGAGGGTCTGATGTTTTGCTATAATTTTTACAATCACAGTTTTAAATCATGGCATTTTCCAAAATTTATTAGCTATGTAATCATAGTCAAGTTACTTTGCCTCTTTAAGCCCTACTTCCTTTATGTAAAAGTGAGCAAAACAATAGTATCTCACAGATTGGTGATGAGCATTAAATAAAGTGTTGCAGATAAAGTTCTTAGTAAAGTCTGGAACATAGTTCTCAATAAATGTTGACTATTTTTGCTATTATTACTAAATTTAAAGGCTGAAGACAAGCTGACTGATAGTATTCAGAATTACTCATAGAATGTTTATATTGGCTCAGACTGATGAGTATAACAGAGCCAATATTCACATTGTCTCCAAGTACAATTTGCCCTATGAGACACCGGATATAGTAAGTAGCCCATCAGGTATCCAGCAGTAAAAACTAAATTAGAGGAAGGAAGTCCTGTCCCAACTGGTTTGACATATTGTGGCTGAATTTTTAGGTTTTAGTGAAAATAATAATGATGGCTTGATCTTCAAAGTTTTTTTTACCATTTCCCAAATAGCTGGGGATTATTGTAGTGTAACCACTTAAAACTCTGATGAAATGTGGGAAGAATTTCTTTTTCTAATTGATACTTTGTGAGTGCAACTACTTTGCATTGTGCAGAGAGAAAAATATATATTCCAGGTATTCGCCAAATCAAAAGTGCACAAAGAAGTCCCTAATTTCTTCCTGTCCTCAGATTTGCCATAAAGTTTCAGACCAAATAAAAAATTGTTTTTTCACTAATTTTCTTTTAGGAAATGTAAGAGAAAAAAAGAAAGAAACAAGTGTTTTGAAGGGTAGAATTTTGGCAATTATATGAGATTGTAAAATCTGAATGTGGATTAGCTTCAACCCATCAAAGATTCAAGAACAGCTACAGTTCTAAGAATGAGCCAAAAAAAAAAACAAAAAAAACAGGTATGCATTGAGGGGAGGGAATTAGGAAGGGAATTTATAGCCATTCAGACATTTTTCCAACATTAAGCCTTCACAAATTTTGCATTGGAAAGAAAAATTTATAAATTAAGAAACTCAGTATCCAGTCCACCCTGTGATAAATGCTGCAATGTGCCCAAGTATTCCTAGTTGAGTATGGCTTTGTGCTTTGCCAATCATAACAATGGGAGATAGAAGTAATAAGAGCCTGTATGAAGCACTGTGCTAATGATAATGTTCCCAGTAAGAACAAAAGAGAGGCTATTACTTTTAAACATCATTGAATATAATCAAACACTGGGTAGGCTTGTCTGTATTTAGATTTTATAACTCTATGTTTATAGCTATAAAATAAAAAAGACATGAAATTTCTGTCATTAAGAAAACTATTTATTATTACAAATGTGAATTTCTCTAGACGGTAAATTCTTTGGAATTAGTTGACTTCATGTAAGTTTATTTGTTCAGTAACACAGAGTAGACTTCTTGTAAATAGGAACAAGCATGCATCTGATCAAGATCCACTATTTTCTTACATATATATCCCTTTTCTGCCCTCCCTCAGAATACTATCTTTCACAAAACAACACACATCTCTTCCACCAACTTCTCCCCAGAATATTGCATATTCGATCAGTGTCCACAAATGTTAGATACAGCATGTTAAATTACTATTAGGTTGGTGCAAATGTAGTTGGGATTAATGGCAAAAATCGCAATTATTTTTGCACCAACCTAATAGTAACATTGAAAAACAGTATTAGTTATTCAACATCAGAAAGATCTTCTGGAACAGTCATCACCGCAGATGGGCCGAACTATTATTTATAGGACATTGCAGTAAGTTAGAATTTTGTCAAATTCATAAATTAATGGATATTTTGTTAAGGGATATGAACAGCCTGTAGTATAAATTTGAGCTACACATTGTTGGGAGAACAAAATAATAAAACAATATAATAGTAGCAATCACGTGGTGACCTTTCCGTCACACTTACAATTTTCAATGCACTTGTCTATTTATCATTTCAAGCGTGGATGGGTTAGCTGAGTGGCGGGGCCATCAGATGTCATATATACAGATGACTCCCTTCTATACACCCTTCTGCAATTAGTTGATGTATATTTTACCTTTGCTTTTCCCTTCCCATTTCACTACTAGTTAAAAATCCTAATCTTGAGTCCTAAATCACACCTAGTTTTACTCATGTGTAGTTGTACCTGACAAAGAATTACACTACATAAATTCCATCCATTAGAGGTGTGGCCAAATGGACAGAAAACCATTAACATTGATTACTTCAGTGCATGTGGGATTGCAAATGCAGATGAGAAGGAGAAGATTTTTATTTTTTCTTTATATAAGGTTTACCTTATTTATTCTAATAGAAGACTCAAGTATCATTTATAGTGAAACATTAAAACTTAAAAGTTCATGTCCTTAATGTTCTGTAAAGGGAGCATAAACTCATTTATTGCAACAAATGCAACAATTTATTTCATTCCTCAGATTATTGGTCCTAATATAAATAAAACTGTTCTGAACTTGCACAGATATATTTAAACAAACAAACGAAAACTAGAGAAGAAGTGAAAAAAAGAATGCTTTTTAAATTACTTAATCATTGTTGATGGACTGAAAACATCCAACTTACACCTCCTGAATTAAATCTGATATTTTCCTGGAGAGTAGTGAGGAGTAGTTGAGGGTAGATAGAAAACAGAGTGTATTCTGAAAAATGTAAAGTTTAGAGAAGCTTAATTTAAACACTCCCTGTGTGTCAAAGAGCTATTAAATAAAATTTTCATGATTTTAATGTAAGTCAATCTGAACTAGCATATGGTCTAAATTTCTCTTAGGTTGCACATGGATTTAAAATGTAGGGGGAAAAGATCACTTGGCAAATATGCTTTTGGTTTTGAAAAACTTCCAAATGTTTAAAAAGTACTTTTCAAATCAACCATAGCCATATGCATCCAGGTTTTCTCATTCTCACCACTGAAGGATAAAAAGAACTAGAATTAAGGCAAAATGGATGGAGAGGTCATACATATGCTGTAAAACTAAAAATCAGTTGATTCTTTAGGGAATTGGTTAAAAAATAAATTTAGTCCTTATGGCAATTTAACCCAAAGACTCTAACACTTATTCTTAGTGACTTAGGATCATGGATGATAGTAATCTGTCACAAAATGATTCTATGACTATTTCCAGAAGTGGAAAAGTGCACAAATAGAAAATGCACATGATATTACTATTTTATTTTGTTCCAAGTCTTGTTACTATTGGTGGAAAACAGTGTTCCAAAGGAATGAATATTTAGATAAATTATGGCATGAAGAATCATTTTCAATCCTTTATGCATAGATACATTGATAATAACTGAACATCTTTGGCATCTGGCTTCCAGATACAGTGACGATTCCCTCACGATATCTAGAAATTAAATAGATGTACATGAACACTTTAAAAAATGTAAAAACATTAAATGTCAGTTATTTTGAAATAAGTTATTTTTTTAAATAAGAAGCATTGTTAATTAAAAATTAGAAAATAGAGACCTATATTTGGACAATTAGTTACTCAATGTTTTTTCCAAATAACAGATGAAATATATTTTGACGTTTTTTGTTTTAAATAAATGCAAATATATATATGCAAAACAAATCAGACATTGCTACAAATGAAATATGTGTGCTGTCTGTAATTCTCAAACATTGAATAATATTCAGTGAACTTCAACACATGCCTTTGGTGGCCCGTTAAAATTCATTATAATGAATTTTGAATTAGATTCCAAAATGAACACACTATTTTCTTAGCTTTTAGTGTCTGTCGGTTTTTTCTATTTTCATTTTTTTTTTTTGACTGAGGTGGAGTCTCACTCTGTCACCCAGGCTGGAGTGCAGTAGTGCAATCTCGGCTTACTGCAAGCACCGCCTCCCAAGTTCAAGTGATTCTCTTACCTCAGCTTCTCAAGTAGCTGAGGTTACAGGTGCGTGCCACCACGCCCAGCTAATTTTTGTATTTTTGGTAGAGATGAGGTTTCACCATGCTGGCCAGGCTGGTCTCGAACTCCCGACCTCAGGTGATCCACCCACCTTGGCCTCCCAGATTGCTGGGATTACAGGCGTGAGCCACTGCACCTGGCTGGTTTTTTTTTTTTTTTTTTTCTATTTTCATTACTAAGACTAAACAATAGTTATGTGACTGAATACAGCTGATCATTTTACCAACTCCTTTCAGCAAATTCATCTTGTCATTTTAATTAAGTACAAATTTAAGAAGTGAATAAATATAGATACTATAGCACATATATTTCCCAAAACATAATATGTGTGTGTGTGTGTGTGTGTGTGTGTGTGTGTGTGTGTCTGTGTGCATTTGGGAAATAAAAGAGTATTATATTTTACTCAAACAACATCAAACATGCGGTCAGGTAAGTTTGATGAAGAAGGTAATATTTCAGCCTAAGAACGAAAATTCTGTAAGACAATGTGTTACTTTATAGTATCAGTTATGTGACCCTTCCACACTGATATTTTGGGTGCAATTAAACCCTCTTTGCCATATACTCTTGGGAGAATAGAAGGTTCTTCACATTTTTCAATTCATTATAACTTCTCCTGTAGGACGGCCCACAAATACCTTTCCTGGACTATATTAAGGAAACAAAAGCAAACAAATATGAGAAAATAATAAAGGTAAGTGTCTGGGAGGGTGGGAAATCAAATTCAGTGGGGTTTAAACTATATCTCATACAAGTGCCCCAAAGTTGTGCTTTTGGAGAAATTCACCTTGGAAAGAGACATGGTCAAGTGATATATTCCCTTTACCTTTTTTAAAAAACAATACATAGCTGTATCCTTGGAAGAGAGGCAAGGAGTGCTGTAGGGTGACTATCTTTGATTTCTGTTGTGCTTCAGGGGAAGTGTAACTTTCTTAAAAGATACCTTGACTTTTGTCATATTTAGCTATTCGTTCCTTTTTATTTAGGAAAAAGAGTCTGAGCCTGCTGTGGCTTGGGCTCTTATTATCTTTTCTTGGGCTTCTTGGATCTCATAAATGATAACTCTACTTTTATTGTTGCCTTCTCCAAAGGAACCTGAATACCAGCGTCACCTTCATTTACCCTAAAGCATGATTCTCTGCCTAAGAAAACCCCTATAGTTGACATTTACATTTACTTTATACCTCTCTTAATCTTTTGAGGAATGCCTCTCTACCTATTCTGCATAGTAAAGTTCTAATTACAACTATGAAACAGATATTTCCTTCTTTTCTTATGTTTTATATATTGAATTACTTTATTATTGCCAAGCACAATCTGCTTTGCTAAATTATTCAATATAAGCTTGCCTCTTCCATTAGACTTTGGAATTCCTGAGATAAGAAATTACGTTTTATTCTGAAAGTGTGCTTAAATCAATGGAAAGATGGTTTGTCCAAACAGGATATAGAGGAATAGAGTTATTCTGTACACAGCCACCTTTAGTTGCAAGAGCAGCTAGAAATAGGAGTTATGCTACCTTTTTAAACACATGTCCTCAGCCGGGCGCAGTGGCTAGTGCCTGTAATCCCAGCAATTTGGGAGGCTGAGGCAGGCGGATCAGGAGGTCAGGAGATCGAGACCATCCTGGCTAACACGGTGAAACCCAACTCTACTAAAAATAAAAATAAAATAAAATAAAATAAAATAAAATAAAATAAAATAAAATAAAATAAATTAGCTGGGTGTGGTGGTGAACGCCAATAGAGGCAGAAAATCATTCGTTTTAACATCCATTCATGTCTGTAAAAAATTCTAAGTACATTGGAAATGAAAGGGACCCTCTCCAGTCCAATAAAGGGCAATTATGAAAAACCTACAGCAACCATTATAACATATGATAAAATCTTGAATGCATGCCCCCTTAAGATTAGGAAGAATGCAAGTATTCATGCTCTCACCACTTCTATTCAACATGTGCTAACCACTGAAATAAAGTTTTTTTTTTAAAGGTATTAATATTAGGAAGAAAAAAATAAAAATCTATTTATTCATAGAAGAAATATATGTGTAGAGCATACTATGGTGTCTTTAAAGAACTATAATTTACAAGGAAATTTATCAAGGGTTGCAGGATACAAGATCCACATTTAAAAATCAAATCTTGGTGAGAATGTGAAACAACTATTAACTCTGAAAAATGAAACAAAGTAAACTTAAATGTTCTTCTTCTTCCTTTGATTTTTTTGTATAAAGTGTTAAGGATATAAAAATATTAGAAGTCGTGCCATAAAAGTAAAAAAAGAAAAAAACAATTCTCTTTGAATTTTTATTTTTTGACTTTTTTTTTTGAGACGGAGTCTCACTCTGTCGCCCAGGCTGAGTGCAGTGGTGCGATCTCGGCTCACTGCAAGCTCCACCTCCCGGGTTCAGGCCATTCTCCTGCCTCAGCCTCCTAAGTAGCTGGGACTACAGGCGCCCGCCACCACGCCCAGCTAATTTTTTTTTTTTTTTGTATTTTGTATTAGAGACGGGGTTTCACCGTGTTAGCCAGAATGGTCTCGATCTCCTGACCTCGTGATCTGCCCACCTTGGCCTCCCAAAGTGCTGGGATTTAAGGTGTGAGCCACCGTGCCCAGCCATTTTTTGACTTTTTAATAACAGTCCTTCTGACTGGTGTGAGATGGTATCTCATTGTGGTTTTGATTTGCATTTCTCTAATGAATAGTCAAGCTGAGCATTTTTTTTTCATATGCTTATTGGCCGTATACATGTTTTCTTTTGGAAAGTATCTGTTCATGTAAAAAGTGGTAATATTTTTTGAGAAAAAAATGAATAAATTCAGAGACAAACTCTTTTGTTGGTTAAAAGTAATATTATTGAATATATACATGCCAATGCATAAATTGAATACAATTTAATAAAATACCAGTAATACTTTTCATTGTAAAATTAATTCAAGATTATCTGGAGGAAAAAATCTATCCAAGGTGATAAAACTTTCCTAGAAGGATTAAAAAGTCTCCATTTTGAGGACTATTTTAGATCTTCAGATTAATTTTATCTTATGTATTAGAGTGAACATTAAGAGGTGAGTAAGATCCTGGATTATATGCACAATTATGAAAAAAATCATGTTTTTAAAAGTTTTGGTGGCAAGACTAACCTACTCCAAGATGGGGTTGTTATTCCACCTAAGAACGTATCTAACCTCATTCATTTTGCTTCCTTTCTCTATTTTCCTTTGTGCAGCTCTCTTTATCATTGTTTTCTTTTTGTGGTTATATGGATTTGTAGACTGTGCATTTATATGGACTGCCATGCGAGCTGTCACAGCCCAGGCAGTGGAGTGTGGTTGGCTTGTGGGTAGTAAGAAGAATTTACCAACAACTGTATAGATTTGGAAAGGAAAGCTGTATTAGATGGAAAGAATGCTGCAGAGAAGTGCAGCAGGGCTCCTCAGCAAGAGAGGACTGAGTATGCCACTGCACTAGATTTTTCCTTAGGGTATTTATGGACCTTAAAGTGGGAGCTTAAGGGTAATTTTTACCATATTAGCCACATAGGTCATGGTAAACAATTACATTTATAGACATTTTGGTGCCTTGATGTCAGCAAGGGTTGCACAATGAGTTTAGAATACATGCATTCCAGAGATGCATAGAAATTCTGGTTACTCACAAATTTTTGGAAAAGAAATCTCATACCAGATGCCAGCTTTACATAATAGGGATGTCTAATTACTTCTGAATTCCTTGGATAAGGAGTTCTGCCTCTGGATGGTCTTGCTCTCCTCGTGGACTAGTATCTCTCTGTCTCTTCACCTTTTTTTTTTTTAAGTCATACGACTATCTTTCCATTTATGTCTCTGCTAGTCTTTCTTTTCCCTTTTCTCTTGGTTTTTATTTTGATTATTGTAACTTTTTCTGTACTTCTCTCTCCTTTCTTCTTTCTTTCCTTTTTCTACTCTTACACTTTGTTTTTAAACTGTGAAATAAATTAGAACAAATATATTTGGTGCTAAATTATGTTTATTACCCCCAAATCTGTGTTCTTATTTCACTTGTAAAGTGACCCATAAACTCAGTGTTTTCTTTAAAGCAAAAGATTAAAATAATTTTAAAATAAAATAAAATTAATTTGCATTTTTTTCTGACTCAATTAATTTTTAAAATTAATAATCTTTAATGGAAAAATGTTTTTCATCCTTGTTTTAGTTGAGCAGAGTGAAAGGGAACAAATTACAAATACCAAGATCATGACACATCTTTTCATGCTATGTAGGAGGTCACCTTCCCTTTAGCAATTGTTCTATCCTATACCAAGAAACTATTTTCTCTAAGAAGAATTATGCAACAGTATTCATGAGCTTTTCAATATTTCCTTTGCTAATGTCCTTATCACCGTCAACATCCTACAACTGAGGAAGGTGCTTATCTTGCATGCAAAATTTAAAGGTGTGCCCAAAAATTCAATAGTAGAGATAAATATTTTAATCAATATTTTGAGAAATCAAAATTAATTTTAAAATTTGTGATAAAGTACCAAATTTTAAGCAAAGTCAGGATCAGCAACTGCCATGTTGAGCCATGTTGGAACCTGAGGCAACAGGAAAAATAAATAATATTGGTGAAGTCTTTTTTAAAAATTATACTTTAAGTTCTGGGATACATGTGTAGAATATGCAGGTTTGTTACATAGGTAAATATGTGCCATGGTGGTTTGCTGCACCCATCAACCTGTCACCTACACTAGGTATTTCTCCTAATGCTATTCTTCCCCTAGCCCCCCACCCTGTGACAGGCCCCCGTGTGGGATGTTCCCCTCCCTGTGTCCCTGTGTTCTCATTGTTCAACTCCCACTTAAGAGTGAGAACATGTGGTGTTTGGTTTTCTGTTCCTGTGTTAGTTTGCTGAGAATGATGGTTTCTAGCTTCATCCATGTCCCTGCAAATGACATGAACTCATCCTTTTTTATGGCTGCATAGTATTCCATAATGTATATGTGACCCATTTTCTTTATCCAGTCTATGATTGATGGGCATTTGGGTTGGTTCCAAGTCTTTGCTATTGTGAACAGTGCCGCAGTAAACATACATGTGCATGTGTCTTTATAGTAGAATGATATATAATTCTTTGGGTATATACCCAGTAATGGGATTGCTGGGTCAAATGGTATTTCTGGTTCTACATCCTTGAGGAATCGCTACACTGTCTTCCACAATGGTTGAACTAATTTACCCTCCCACCAACAGTGTAAAAGGGTTCCTATTTCTCCACATCCTCTCCAGCATCTGTTGTTTCCTCACCTTTTAATGATCACCATTCTAACTGGCATGAGATGGTATCTCATTGTGGTTTTGATTTGCATTTCTCTAATGACCAGTGATGATGAGCTTTTTTTTCATATGTTTGTTGGCTGCATAAATGTCTTCTTTTGAGAAGTGTCTGTTCATATCCTTTGCTCACTTTTTGATGGGGTTGTTTTTTTCTTGTAAATTTGTTTAAGTTCCCTGTAGATTCTAGATATTAGCCCTTTGTCAGATGGATAGATTGCAAAAATTTCCTCTCATTCTGTAGGTTGACTGTCCACTCTGATGAGAGTTTTTTTTTTTTTTTCTGTGCAGAAGCTCTTTGGTTTAATTAGATCCCATTTGTCAATTTTGGCTTTTGTTGCCATTGGTTTTGGTGTTTTAGTCATGAAGTCTTTGCCAATGCCTATGTCCTGAGTGGTATTGCCTAGGTTTTCTTCTAGGGTTTTTATGGTTTTAGGTTTTCCATTTAAGCCTTTAATCCATCTTGAGTTAATTTTGTATAAGGTGTAAGGAAGGGGTTCAGTTTCAGTTTTCTGCATATGTCTAGCCAGTTTTCACATCATTTATTAAATACGGAATCCTTTTCCCATTGCTTGCTTTTGTCAGGCTTGTTAAAGATCAGATGGTTGTAGATGTGTGGCATTATTTCTAAGGCCTCTTTTCTGTTCCATTGGTCTATATATCTGTTTTGGTACCAGCACCATGCTGTTTTGGTTACTGCGGCCTTGTAGTATAGTTTGAAGTCAGGTAGTGTGATGCCTCCAGATTTGTTCTTTTTGCTTAGGATTGTCTTGGCTATACAGGCTCTTTTTTGGTTCCATATGAAATTTAAAGTTGTTTTTTCTAATTCTGTGAAGAAAGTCAATGGTAGCTTGATGGGGATAGCATTGAATCTGTAAATTACTTTGGGCAGTATGGCCATTTTCATGATATTGATTCTTCCTATCCATGAGCACAGAACGTTTTTCCATTTGTTTGTGTCCTCTCTTTTTCCTTGAGCAGTGGTTTGTAATTCTCCTTGAAGAGGTCCTTCATATCCCTTGTTAGTTGTATTCCTAGGTATTTTATTCTCTTTGTAGCAATTGTGAATGGGAGTTCACTCATGATTTGGCTGTTTATCTATTAATGGTGTATAGGAATGTTTGTAATTTTTGCACATTGATTTTGTATCCCGAGACTGCTGAAGTTGCTTATCAGCTTAAGGAGATTTTGGGCTAAGATGATGGGGTTTTCTAAATATACAATCATGTCATCTGCAAACTTTGACAATTTACCTCCCTCTCTTCCTATTTGAATACGCTTTATTTCTTTCTCTTCCCTGATTGCCCTGGCCAGAACTTCCAATGCTGTGTTGAATAAGAATGGTGAGAAAGGGCATCCTTGTCTTGTGCTGGTTTTCAAACAGAATGCTTCCAGCTTTTGCCCATTCGGTATGATATTGGCTGTGGGTGTGTCATAAATAGCTCTTATTATTTTCAGATACGTTCCATCAATACCTAGTTTATTTAGAGTTTTTAGCATGAAGGGGTGAATTTTATCGAAGGCCTTTTCTGCATCTATTGAGATAATCATGTGATGTTTGTCATTGGTTCTGTTTATGTGATGGATTATGTTTACTGATTGGGTATGTTGAACCAGCCTTGCATCCCAGGGATGAAGCCAACTTGATCATGGTGGATAAGCTTTTTGATGTGCTGCTGGAATTGGTTTGCCAGTATTTTATTGAGGATTTTTGCACTGATGTTCATCAGGGATATTGGCCTGAAATTTTCTTTTTTATGTGTGTCTCTGCCAGGTTTTGGTATCAGGATGATGTTGGCCTCATAAAATGAGTTAGGGAGGAGTCCCTCTTTTTCTATTGTTTGTAATAGTTTCTGAAGGAATGGTACCAGCTCCTCTTTGTACCTCCGGTAGCATTTGGAAGGCAAGCTGATTAGCAACCTTAAATCCATCTACAAAGTCCCTTTTGGCAATTCAGGTAACATATTCACATTATAATATTGTAAGGTCTTATATATACTTGGTCTATATATAATTCATTGTTCTCAAGTCCCTTATATTGTCAGTTGTTTTCTGTGCTTCTCCAATATTACTTAGATATTACAGTTTTATAATTTGTTTGCAGATTTGATCTTCAACAAAGCTGACACTGGGGAAAGGACACACTCTTCAATAAATGGTGCTGGGAAAATTGGATAGCCACATCCAGAAAAATGAAACTGGACCACTATCTCACTATATACAAGAATCAACTCAAAGTAGATTAAAAACTTAAACAGAAGACCTGAAACTATAAAAATACTTGAAGAAAACCTAGGGAAAAATTTCCTGGCCTTTTGTCTAGGCAAAGAATTTATGACTAACACCTCAAAAGCCACAAGCAACACAAATAAAAATAGACAAATGGGACTTAATTAACTTAGAAAGCTTCTGAGCAGCAGAAGAAATAATCAGCAGAGTGAAGAGACAACCTCCTGAATGGAAGAAAATATTTGCAAACTGTTCATCTAATAGTGGGCTAATACCTAGAATTTACCAAAAACCCAAACAACTCAACAGGAAAAAAAAATTCCATTGGAAAGTGGCCAAAGGATATAAATAGACATTTCTCAAAAGAAGACATACAAAAGGCCAAAAGATATATGAAAAAATGCTCAACATCACTAATCATTATATAAATGCAAATCAAAACCACGATGAAATATTATTTTCCCCTAGTCATAATGACTATTCCTAAAAACAAAAACAAAAACAAAGCAAAACAAAATATAACAGATTGAAAAAGGAACTCTTCTACACTGTTGGTGGGAATGTAAACCAGTATAGCAACTGTAGACAACATTATGGCGATTCCTCACAAAAGTAAAAATAGAATCACCATTGGAAACAGCAATTTTACTACTGGGTATTTGCTCAAAGGGGAAAAAAATCAATATACCAAGGGGATACCTGCACTCGCATGTTTATTGCAGTACTTTTCACAATGCAAAGATATGAGACCAACCTAAGTGGGGTTTTGGGCTTATGAAGGTGATAGTAAAAAGACTCAGGGTTTGTGAAGTTGGTGAGGGATTTTGCAAAGCTCTTCAAACTGCATGCAGAACTGTTGACCAGTGAAGATGGCAAGGTGGACGGCTCAGCAGCCAGGGATGTGCTGGTGCGCAGGGGCAGTAGCATGATGTGCAGGTGTACCCAGCAATGTTTGGGGTACTCAGGTCCCAAGTGGTGCTTGGAAGAGGTGATGAAGCTCTGAAATAATTCCCGAGCATGATCTATTATCAAGCCAGTAACATACAAAATACAGAATATTTCATGATGATATCCTCCAATAAAAATCATGAAAAAATAAAACAGAAAACAAAACAAACCAACAAAAAATGTGGTGTATATACACAATGGAATATTATTCACAGCCATAAAAAAGAATGAAATAATGTCATTTGCAGCAACATGGATAAAACTGGTGTGAAATAAACCAGGCACAAAATGGTAACTATCCCATGTTCTCACTTATATGCAGGAGCTAAAAAAATTTCATCACGTGGAGGTAGAAAGTGGAAAAATAGATCACAGAGACTGGGAAGAGTGAGTGGAAAGGGCAGGGGAAAGAATAAAGAGAAGTGCACTAAAGGATAAGATAGGAGGAATAAATTGAATGTTTGATAGCAGAGTAGGATAACTATACTTTAAAAAGTATTGTACTGGAGTGACGAACACCCTAAATATCCTGACTTAATCACTATGCATTACATACATGTAACAAAATTCCACACGTATCCCATAAATTTGTACGAATAAAAAAAGCTTAAGTTAGCTAAAAACCAAAACATAAAGCAAACAAACGAAATAATATTTCTAATTCTTGACTACTTTAATCTGATTTGCCTTCAGACAAATTTTGAAAATTATTTTGTGAACTCAAAAATATCTCATGGTTTATTGAATTTCATTTTATAGGAGGGAAAATGTATGTGTTGAACGATGTTGCATTTTTCTCCAATACCATAATAAGTATTTAAATGTATTTGTCAACTTTTTTCTTTTTTTAGAATAGTATAGCTTTTGTCATTTATAAACAACACATTTCTGTTTAAGATTATTCCTATTTACTTTATATAGCCTATTGTTCATTTGAATAGGTTCTTTTTGGCTACATTTTAACATATTACATTTTAATATATTACATATTTAATATAATGTTAAATATATTTATTTAACAATTAAATATATTTAAGTTCAATATATTTAACAATTAAATATATTTAAGTTCAATATATTTAAGTTCAATATATTGTTGAATAATTTATAAGAAGGTTATTGAATTTATTTTCTCATTTTGAAATTTGCCCTTGTACTGAATTATCTGGGTTTACTTTTTAAAATTCTACTTTATAAAATTATCTTAAAGTAAAATGGACCTTTTCTTTGTTCTGGTAAACAATCCATTAATTTTAGCATACATATATATTATGTAATCAGCACCACAACCAAGATATACAACAGGTTACTAATACCAAAAAACTCCTTCATGCTCTCTTTCTGAATTATTTTTTTTGAATTATTTTTATTTCTATTATTTTTCTGTTTATTCTCTTGCCTTTTCCAGTATTACTCTAATAATAATTATACCTGTTTTCCAGGATTTATACAGTTTTCCAGGATTACTCTAATAATTACTATATATCCTTATTTTTTGTTTTACAATTGGATACATATTTTAGATTTACAGCTAGACCTCTTTTTCTGTGGGTTCCATATTCTTGGATTCAACCAATAGCGGATCCAAAATATTAATAAAAAACAATACAAATAATACAAATTCAGAAAGTGATACCGTATAACAACTAGTTACATAGCATTTATATTGTATTAGGCATCATAAGTAATCTAAGATGATTTAAAGTATATGGGAGGATGTGTTTAGATTGTATACAAATATCATGCCATTTTAACTCAGGGATTTGAACATCCATGGATTTTGGTATCAGCGAGGGTCCTGGAACCAATCTTCTATGGATACCAAGGGACAACTAGAAAACTATTAAATCTTTATACCAGTTTTGTTAAGTTTTTAAAAAATCATTTCCTTTTTCTTCGTAGAAGGAAAAACATCTTAAAACTAAACGTGCTTCCTTATTTCAAAGAGTGCTAGAAATGTGGTCAGCTAGGGAAGATTTTCTTGGGGTCTATTGCCAGACCTGTGGGGAATGTACGATGGATATGACAGTTGTGAAGAGTTCAGTCTTTCAGGTATTTGGGAAACAAGTCGTGCTTAGAGAGCAAGCCACAGATAAATCATTGACCTGCAGGTAAATATGGCAAGACCCTTGGCTTATGGTTTTGGGTTGTGAATCCACATCTGTATCTTCCTGGATAATCCATTATGAACACTTCAAAAATAATGATAATTATTATAAACATCCCTGCTATTATTTCTACTATATTTTATTAAGTACTTTCCTTGTAGTAAGCATTGAACTGAATGTTTAAAGTTTATTTTTATAATTTAATTTTTACACTATTCATCTAAGGTACTACATACTACCTCTCTTCTCTCCTCCTGGCTATGTTGGACTTTCCAACGTCCCCCTTTCTATGATTCACCTATCCCTCGAAACAGCTATCAGTATTAGTTTGCGCTAATTTTTTAATGTATTGTCAGAAACTTTAATGCATGATACTTCCTTTAATACGCAACTTCCAGTAAGCAAGTATTTGCTGCAGACAAATTGCCTTAGCCTAAAAGAATAATTTTCCAATTGTTGGACTTTGCAAACTGGGGCATAAATATGGGAATATTTCCATAACTAAAGGAGTAATTTTTGTTCCCCATATGCTCTGCAAATGACTGCTTCAATGTTTTCTTCTCCTAGGCCAGTCCCAGTTGTGCTTTTCTCCAATGAACATTGCTACATCACAGGAGTGCATTCCCACTTTAAATAGCAAAGACACACTTCACAGTTCTTGTTGCAACTCTGTGAAGAGTTGGGTCAACATTTTAATGACTCCCACTGCAAGTAGATTATAGTGTTTAATCCCTGATCTAGTAAATGTCACTGCTTTCTAAGGGGTTTTATAATAAAGACAGGAGAAAAATATACATCCATACTCCAGGCTTCTGATGCTTACTAAAGAACTATGGTGATTTCAGTAGGCTTGTGAATCTCGGAGGAAATGGTGTTTTTGACGCTAGGTGCATAACTGGTAGGTTAAAAGCTAGATATGATAGGGTCTTCAGAAGCAGTTGTGGTTTGCATTCTTCAGATAGCAAAACAATTGACATTTATTTAATAATTATATAAAACAGAAACAATGGAGGAATAGCAAAGAAAAAATTATATATGACTTAAAGACATAAAAATGGATGGTTCCATTAAATAGGAACTAAAACATTCTTTCTGGTGATGAAAAGGAGAAAAAAATATAAATATAAACTTATGTGTATGTTTAAATCAATATGAGTAGTTCCCAATAGTAAATAAATTGTCAGTAAAATAGAAATATTCAAATGTGTGAAGCTGAGGGTTTTCAATGCATTTAATATAAAAGGAACTTGTGCCATTTTGATATGAAAAATGCAATTTCAAACAGATGAAATTATTTTGGTAGTACATGGTCTTTTTCTAAATCCCTGAAATTAAATAGATTAGAATTTTTATTGCATATGTTATTAATAATAAAACACACTATTTCTGAACAGCATTGTTAAATTTGGATTTTCAAACCTAGAAAATTCCTTAAATTTTGCCCAGAAAATATGCTTCAAGCTTTACATAGACCATCTAATATAATTCTCACAAGTAGAGGTCAAATCTTAGGCTACTGAGACATAAGTGAAGTCAAGAATACCGTAACTACTCTTAACTACTGAGCCATAGACTCCTTTTAAGAATTCTTGAATATCATTCTATGACAAAATTTAAAAACAATTTTTCTTTTTTTTTTTTTTTTGAGATGGAGTCTAGCTCTGTCATCCAGGCTGGAGTGCAATGGCGCCATCTCAGCTCACTGCAACTTCTGCCTCCCAGGTTCAAACAACTCTCCTGCTTCAGCCTCCCAAGTAGCTGGGAATACAGGCATGCACCACCACGCCCAGCAAATTTTTTAATTTTCAGTAGAGATGGGATTTCACTATGTTGGCCAGGCTGGTCTTGAACTCCTGACCTCATGATCCACCCACCTCAGCCTCTCAAAGTGCTGGGATTATAGGTGTGAGCCACTGCACCCGGCCAAAATAATTTTTCAATATTGACAAAACAATTTAAATATGTGCAAATAAATGGAGATGTAACCAGATTTTCCTCCACATGGGAAAACATGAGGTCATCTAAAGGAAAAATATTGCTGAGGGTAACATTTATTTGTATTTTTATTTTTGAGATGGAGTCTTGCTCTGTCTCCCAGGTTGGAGTGAGTGGTGTGATCTCTGCTCACTGCAATCTCCGTCTCCTGGGTTCAAGCAATTCTCCTGCCTCAGCCTCCCGAGTAGCTGGGATTACAGGTGCCGGGATTACAGATGCCCACCACCACACATGGCTAATTTTTGTATTTTTAGTAGAGACGGGGTTTCACCATTGTTGACCAGGCTGGTCTTGAACTCCTGGCCTCAAGTGATCCACCCATCTCGGCCTCCCAAAGTGCTGGGATTACAGGCATGAGCCATTCCACCCGGCCGTGAAAGTAATATTTAAAATTTTGATATTTAGTGTTCAATCACAGAATGAGTTAAGGATGGAATAGTAAGGTAAATTATAATTAACTGAGTACAATTCATTTCCAGTACATTTGCTTCTGCACAGCAACAATTAAAAACAAATTAAAATTTTTAAAAATGAATCAGATTTTTTCCCATTTTTATTTTTCCACTTCTAACTGGACTCTGAAAGTTGCTGCAACAGAACAATTGGTATAATCCTTCTATTCTAAAGTCAGAATGTGTAGTCAATGTAAAATTTGTGATAGTTATCCAAAAAAGAAGCCAAAATTGTTTTGGAACACTTGTTTTAGCTTTTACTGCAAATCAGATAAGACTTTTTCTTTAGACTAGAAACCATGCTACTACTTTTAACTAAAAGCAATCAGCTTATCTGCAAATTTAATCAGCGAATCAGTTAATTCAGAAAAAAGGGGGCACATAATCATAAAACTTATTTTTTCACTGAATTGATACATTGGCACTGTCAGACAGTTAAATCTATATGTGTATTGATCTACAATCTAAAATTTCAATAGTCAGTAGTCTCAGGCATTCATAATGCAAGATTTTCTTTATTATTATTTATTTTCAAGAATTTTTGGAAGGATCATTGGGAATAAATTAATGGAAGATAATGAAGAAAATAAAAGTCAAATAGTTCTTTTCTTTTTTTTTTTTTTTTTTTTGAGACAGGTACTCACTTAGTGCTCAAGCCGGCGTGCAGTGGCATGTTCTTGGCTCACTGTAGCCTCTGCCTCCGCCTCCCAGGTTCAAAGGATTCCCCTGCCTTAGCCACCGGAGAAGCCGGTGTGGGATTACAGGTGTGTGCCACTATGCTTGGTAAATTTCTGTATTTTTAGTAGAGACAGGGTTTCGCCATGGTGGCCAGGCTGGTCTTAAACTCCTGCGCTCAAGCCATCCGCTGCCTCAGCCTCCCACAATGCTAGCATTACAGGCATGAGCCACTGTGCCCGGCCCATTTTTGAGTCTTTTTCCATTTGTTCATTCTTTGAGTTTATAACAATGATTTTATTCTTTTCTAAGCATATTGACTATAACTTAAATATTAGTATATTGATATTTTAAAATTTTTGACATTCGTCCACCACGTTTCACTGACATAATGAAATCTTTTTTAGTGTACCTTGAAAACTTTTATTGAAGAAGGAATGAAATATTGCATTTTCAAAGACGGTAAGTTAGAATACAGGATTAGATAAAATTGCATTATCTATTATAATTAAATTATTATCAAAACTAGATAAATATTCAAATATATAAAGTGAAATATTCAAATGTGTAATATAACAAGGGAATTCATGTAGTTTTACATGTGGAAAAAGCAATTTAACTAAAAAAATGATTTAGATGCATATAGACTTATAAATGCCTGATGTAACACTATATTTTTTTACTTAATTAATTTTGGTCTCATCAAATTTTCCAGCAACCCGGACAAATTTCCAGTTACTCAGCTAAAATTTCTGTAGTCAAAGGCTTAAATTTCATTAGGTGGCTGGCAAAGTAAACCCTACCTGGTCACAAAATTAGCTTTCATTTACTAGGACTAAGTTTCACTTGTTTTGTACCACACTTTTGACTGTTTGGTAAAGACATTGATATTCCATAGGAAATAAAATTTCTAGAACTTGGGAAGCACTGTAAATGAAAAAAGTAATTTTGAAAAATAATTCTGAGTTCTTAATGTATCTTTTTTGTTTGTTTTTTCTAGTTTAAAATATAGCTTTGGGTAGAATGAAGAGAATTAAAGGAGGGAGATTCTCTTTTTAAAACATGTTTCTATGAAATAATAAATTACCAAAAGTGGAGAATAACTCTTGTAGGTTACAAGAATGCCTTTTGGTTATCAGTTGTCTTATGGAATTAAGAAATTAAAAATTAAATAATTTATCACCCTCATAAGATATTAAATGGATCTTCTGAAATCATTAAAGTCTTAGTTAAGTCTAGTGTTTAACAATAGTTGATTCAAAATATTCACATTTTTGTGTGTAAGAGAAACCTTTGAGAGTTCAACACTTATTTTATTTTTAGTTTTATTTACCTGCCTTATTCAGTAGAGCACACAAATGTAATGTAATCTGCCTCAATAAATGTGTATTACATAACTCGTTAAGTAGTATTCAGATAGGTGTATAATTGTATGGGCATGTGATGACTACAGCTCAACGTGTGCTGATGCTGGTCAAAACCAAGAGGTTAAACTTTTCAGATTATATCTGGTAGCAACTGTTAAGTGAGTCCCCCCAAAAACGTTTACCCTGAGAATTTTTCATTGGAATCTAGTAATCAATCTTTAAGCGAATGATAAGTTAATATGTGGTTGTAGAAATATCACATTTTCAAACTCTGTAATTTTGTTCCTTTTACAATTATAAAGCCGAGTCTGCAGATGAATGGAGGGGTTTAACTATTCCAGAGTATCTGAATTCATGTTACTTGGACTTACTGATTCTCCTGAACTCCAGATATTCTTTTTTGTGGTGTTTTCTGTCTTCTATTTAATGACCATGTTGGGCAACTGCCTGATTTTACTCACTGTCCTATCCACCTCACACCTTCACTCTCGCACGTACTTCCTGCTCAGCAACCTGTCTCATTGACATGTGCCTGTCCTCCTTTGCCACACCAAAGATGATTATGGACTTTTTTGCTCTGCGTAAGACCATCTCTTTTGAAGGCTGCATTTCTCAGATCTTTTTTTTACACCTCTTCAATGGGACTGAGATTGTGCTGCTGATCTCCATGTCTTTTGACAGGTATATTGCCATATGTAAACCTCTCCGCTATTCAACAATTATGAGCCAAAGAGTGTGTGTTGAGCTTGTGGCAGTTTCTTGTTGGACAGTGGGCTTTCTACATACAATGAGCCAATTAGTTTTTCCCTCTATTTGCCCTTCTGTGTTCCCAATGTTGTAGACAGTTTTTTCTGTGATCTTCCTTTGGTCATCCAGTTAGCTTGTATAGATATTTATGTTCTTGGGACCTCCATGATTTCAACCAGTGGTGTGACTGCTCTTACAAGTTTTCTGCTTTTGCTCACCTCCTACATCATTGTTCTTAATACTATCAGGGACTACTCCTCCACAGGATCCTCCAAGGCTCTTTCTACCTGTACAGCACATTTTATTGTTGTGTTAATGTTCTTTGGGCCCTGTATTTTCATTTATGTGTGGCCTTCCACAAACTTCCTGGTAGACAAAATTCTCTCTGTTTTCTATACCATCTTCACTCCCTTTCTGAATCCACTTATCTATACTTTGAGAAACCAGGAAGTGAAGACAGCAATGAAGAAGAAACTGAATATTCAGTATTTCAGTCTTGGGAAAACTGCTCCGTGATACTTCATGCAATGAATAGCGATCTCCTTTGTGAGATATAATATCAACAGTTATGTTCTTAGAGCAATCAAAAAATTAAACTTAGAATTTACCTTTCAAATCATTTAGTTTAAATTATGAAAAGAAGTCAGGGATAAGAAATGTGCGACATCTTGACGAAAAGTTAGTGCAGTGTTTACAAACCTTTTGAGTTATGGGTCTATTTGATAATCTGGTGAAATGTAAAGGTGATTTTCATAGAAAAATGAACATATAATCAAAATTGTGAACATAAATTCAGGACTTCATAGACCTCTGGATCCTACAAACATACCTCGGATTAAGACTAATTAAAGAAGCCTGAGATAAAATATGAATCTCCTGTTTTCTAATCCAGAATACTCCCATTCTGTACAGCCTTGTGGTACTCTGATGGTGTTTAGATTAATTTAGAAGTATAATTAGCAGTGTAGGACAAAACAAGTATAACACTGGAAATAGTTTTATGGGAAAATTTATACTGTGAAGAGATTCTTTTAGTTAATGTTCAACAATCTTGATTTAAGCGGTTCAGTTGTTTGAGTTCTGTGTCAACTCTGAAAATAAGAGAACAGTTCAAAGATTCAGAAATTTAACAATACAGTTTCTTAATAGGTGTTTATACCACTATCACACTTCATAATTAATATAGTAAATAATCAAATAATAATTTGTAAAGTTTAAATCATAGACAGTAAACTACTCAAATCTGACTGGCTTTCAAAATTGGGCTGAAAATTATAAGTATGATGAATTTATTTACTACCAAGACTCAATGTTTGGGAAAAATATTAGCTATTAAATTAATCATAAGCTTTCATTTCCAAAATAAATATTGCAGCATATTATTAGTCTTAGAAGAAGCTTTGTGTCTAATTTTCAACATAATATAACCTATGGAAAGGAAAAAAAGAATTTAAGAAATACTTAGCATGATTCTCCCTAATTTGGTATATTATTGATCATGTTAAACAGATTTTTTATTACAAGAGAGTCTTTGGAAATCAGCCAGCCAGTCCAATTTTCTAACAGCTGAAGTATTGAAGGTCCAGAGAATTCACAGGACAGATTTAAGGCTGAACCACTGTAAGGGGCAAAGACATTTCTGTAGACAAACATGGACCCTGGAATTAAATCTTGATTCTGTCATTTCCTAGTTGTATTATCCCTGGGGATTCACTTTACCTCTCTCCCTTTTTCATCTCTAAAAATATTGTAAAAGGTAAATTAAATATTTGTCATGACTGCTTTATGGAAAGTAATACAGAATGGGTTCTAAAAATGTCATTTCTATTTTCCTAAAACTTCTTCCCAAAATACATCTTATATTAAAGTAGTATGCCTTTGAAGAATAACTTCTTTCAAAAAAAGTCACTAGCAGGTTAAATTCGATATTCTAGTTTTAGCATGTCTCTAAGACTGCAGCTTGTTAAGACATATGACAGAAAAACGAATAGAACGTTTTCCAGTTTTCCATCACTAATATGGTTGGGGTGACAAAACTAGGTTAGATTGCATGGTATTTTGATATACTGATAAAAATGTGTCTACTTAAAATGACTGATGTATATAAGAAGAGTTCCGGAAGCAATCAGTCATCATAGATTTGAACAGCGAGTAGCATAAGAAAAACATGACTTTGCCTTGCAAAGAAAGAAATGGCATTAATAGTTTTGCCACTTAAAAGTCCAAGATAATTGTAAAACATGCTTCAACACAACCTCCAATCCAAATATTTAACATTAAATAATGTGCAGAAGCTTATGAAGAAATGTAGTGTTGGAGCCAGATAGAAAACCACATTTTAAATTGGAAACACTAGTTCATTTTAACAAATTATAGACATGAAGTCCTTGCCCATGGTCCTGAATGGTAATGTCTAGGTTTTCTTCTAGGGTTTTTATGGTTTTAGGTATAACGTTTAAGTCTTTAATCCATCTTGAATTGATTTTTGTATAAGGTGTAAGGAAGGGATCCAGTTTCAGCTTTCTACATATGGCTAGCCAGTTTTCCCAGCACCATTTATTAAATAGGGAATCCTTTCCCCATTGCTTATTTTAATCAGGTTTGTCAAAGATCAGATATTGTAGATATGCGGCATTATTTCTGAGGGCTCGGTTCTGTTCCATTGATCTATATCTCTGTTTTGGTACCACTACCATGCTGTTTTGGTTACTGTAGCCTTGTAGTATAGTTTGAAGTCAGGTAGCGTGATGCCTCCAGCTTTGTTCTTTTGGCTTAGGATTGACTGGGCGATGCGGGCTCTTTTTTGGTTCCATATGAACTTTAAAGTAGTTTTTTCCAATTCTGTGAAGAAAGTCATTGGTAGCTTGATGGGGATGGCATTGAATCTATAAATTACCTCGGGCAGTATGGCCATTTTCAAGATATTGATTCTTCCTAGCCATGAGCATGGAATGTTCTTCCATTTGTTTGTATCCTCCTTTATTTCCTTGAGCAGTGGTTTGTAGTTCTCCTCGAAGAGGTCCTTCACGTCCCTTGTAAGTTGGATTCCCAGATATTTTATTCTCTTTGAAGCAATTGTGAATGGGAGTTCACTCATGATTTGGCTGTTTGTCTGTTATTGGTGTATAAGAATGCTTGTGATTTTTGTACATTGATTTTGTATCCTGAGACTTTGCTGAAGTTGCTTATCAGCTTAAGGAGATTTTGTTCTGAGACAATGGGGTTTTCTAGATATACCATCATGTCATCTGCAAACAGGGACAATTTGACTTCCTCTTTTCCTAATTGAATACCCTTTATTTCCTTCTCCTGCCTAATTGCCCTGGCCAGAATTTCCAACACTATGTTGAATAGGAGTGGTGAGAGAGGGCATCCCTGTCTTGTGCCAGTTTTCAAAGGGAATGCTTCCAGTTTTTGCCCATTCAGTATGATATTGGCTGTGGGTTTGTCATAGATAGCTCTTATTATTTTGAGATACATCCCATCAATACCTAATTTATTGAGAGTTTTTAGCATGAAGCGTTGTTGAATTTTGTCAAAGGCCTTTTCTGCATCTGTTGAGGTAATCATGTGGTTTTTGTCTTTGGTTCTGTTTATATGCTGGATTACATTTATTGATTTGTGTATATTGAACCAGCCTTGCATCCCAGGGATGAAGCCCACTTGATCATGGTGGATAAGCTTTTTGATGTGCTGCTGGATTCGATTTGCCAGTATTTTATTGAGGATTTTTGCATCAATGTTCATCAAGGATATTGATCTAAAATTCCCTTTTTTGGATGTGTCTCTGCCAGACTTTGGTATCAGGATGATGCTGGCCTCATAAAATGAGTTAGGGAGGATTCCCTCTTTTTCTATTGATTGGAATAGTTTCAGAAGGAATGGTACCAGTTCCTCCTTGTACCTCTGGTAGAATTCAGCTGTGAATCCATCTGGTCCTGGACTCTTTTTGGTTGGTAAGCTATTGATTATTGCCACAATTTCAGAGCCTGTTATTGGTCTATTCAGAGATTCATCGTCTTCCTGGTTTAGTCTTGGGGGTGATGTATGTGTTGAGGAATTTATCCATTTCTTCTAGATTTTCTAGTTTATTTGCATAGACGTGTTTGTAGTATTCTCTGATGGTAGTTTGTATGTCTGTGGGATCGGTGGTGATATTCCCTTCACCATTTTGTATTGCGTCTATTTGATTCTTCTCTCTTTTCTTATTAGTCTTGCTGGTGGTCTATCAATTTTGTTGATCCTTCAAAAAACCAGCTCCTGGATTCATTAATTTTTTGAAGGGCTTTTTGTGTCTCTATTTCCTTCAGTTCTGCTCTGATTTTAGTTATTTCTTGCCTTCTGCTAGCTTTTGAATGTATTTGCTCTTGCTTTTCTAATTCTTTTAATTGTGATGTTAGGGTGTCAATTTTGGATCTTTCCTGCTTTCTCTTGTGGGCATTTAGTACTATAAATTTCCCTCTACACACTGCTTTGAATGTGTCCCAGAGATTCTGGTATGTTGTGTCTCTGTTCTCGTTGGTTTCTGGGATCTAATTAAACTAAAGAGCTTCTGCACAGCAAAAGAAACTACCATCAGAGGGAACAGGCAACCTACAAAATGGGCGAAAATTTTTGCAACCTACTCACCTGACAAAGGACTAATATCCAGAATCTACAATGAACTCAAACAAATTTACAGGAAAAAAACAAACAACCCCATCAAAAAGTGGGCGGAGGACATGAACAGACACTTCTCAAAAGAAGACATTTATGCAGCCAAAAAACACATGAAAAAATGCTCACCATCGCTGGCCATCATAGAAATGCAAATCAAAACCACAATGAGATACCAGGTCACACCAGTTAGAATGACAATCATTAAAAAGTCAGGAAACAACAGATGCTGGAGAGGATGTGGAGAAATAGGAACACTTTTACACTGTTGGTGGGACTGTAAACTAGTTCAACCATTGTGGAAGTCAGTGTGATGATTCCTCAGGGATCTAGAACTAGAAATACCATTTGACCCAGCCTTCCCATTACTGGGTATATACCCAAAGGACTATAAATCATGCTGCTATAAAGACACATGCACACATATGTTTATTGCGGCACTATTCACAATAGCAAAGACTTGGAACCAACCCAAATGTCCAACAGTGATAGACTGGATTAAGAAAATGTGGCACATATACACCATGGAATACTATGCAGCCATAAAAATGATGAGTTCATGTCCTTTGTAGGGACATGGATGAAATTGGAAATCATCATTCTCAGTAAACTATCGCAAGGACAAAAAACCAAACACTGCATATTCTCACTCATAGGTGAGAACTGAACAATGAGAACACATGGACACAGGAAGGGGAACATCACACTCTGGGGACTGTTGTGGGGTGGGGGGAGGGGGGAGGGATAGCATTAGGAGATATACCTAATGCTAAATGAGGAGTTAATGGGTGCAGCACACCAGCATGGCACATGTATACATGTGTAACAAACCTGCACATTGTGCACATGTACCCTAAAACTTAAAAGTATAATAATAATAAAATTAAAAAAAACAAACAAATTATAAACTCTTCCTTATGTCAGCTAAGCAAATTAAAAAAAGTTAAGGTGGAAATGTACTTTTACCTCATTTTGACTTTTCTGCCAAAATTCTCATCTTTGTTTTTGAATATTAATCTCTGCTCCTGAAATGTCAATCTTTACTTCAATAATTATTTGTTGGACATGTACTCTGTTTCAGGCCCTCACTGGGTGCCGGAGATCCACTAGAATACAAGATCTGTTTCTGTGTCTTTGAGGGACATGTATCCAGCAATTAGTTACATCAGTCCCTTGTAGATGTCAATTCCAGTGTCACAAATTTCTTGTTTTGCAACGTTGAGCAAGTTTTTTTCAATGTTTCTAAGCCTCAGTTTTTTGCCCTACAAAATGTGGTAATAATATTTAACCATTAGTAATGTTGTGAAAATTAAGCAAAAATACATGTAATATATTTAACAATGCTTGGTGTTCGTTAATGCTTTAATATATGCTAACTACTTATATTATTGTTGTTGTTGTGTTAAACATGCATAAGACAGCAGGTACTAGAATGGAAATAAGGGTTCTTACTTGAAATTAAATGGCAGAATTTCATACTGTAATAGGATGTATCAATTTACCTGGTATTAATTATTGTTAAAATACTGGATTTTTGTCAATTATTATTAGTCTTTGACGCATTTCTGTAGCTAGCATTGTCCTTTGTATGTGTTGGCCTTTGCATATTTTTCCAAAGAAGTATTATATACTTTTGGGGTTTCTTATTTTGAATTGAAGAATATGCCAAGATTGCATAAAAGGAAAAATAATACACTATGTTCAATAGGTCAATGTCTTGTTTTTTTTTCACAGCAATGATTTTAAATAAAATAAACATAGTTTAAAAGTCTAAAGTATTTTGTCCTTCATCTCTTACCTATTCAAAAGATACTAATGGAAATGCTGTCTTCTATAAATTAACTGAGAAGTAAATGACTTAATAGTTATCTATTGAATTTTTTAAAAACACGTTAATAAACAAGGCAGACTTTGTCCAGATTTATAAAAATATAACAAATTGTTTATTTTGAGACATGGTAGAATGTACTGTTCAGGAAATTGTTAAAAATAGAACCATAAAATTAAAGCATGAAGTAAGACATTTCATCTAATAAAAGCCCTAAAGCTGGAGAATAAATAATCTCTACCAGGGAATTTCTGGTAGTAGAGCTCATTTGGGGGGAATCAGCTAAGCCCTGAACTGTGCCCTCAAAGCCTTACTCATGGAGCCTAGTTAAAATTTCTGGATAAATACAGAACGTCAGATTAGCCATTCTTCAACTTGTTCCACATGCCAGTATCTGAATCTGGCTCTCACATTTGCAGTACCCTTGACTCCTCCTCAGACTGCAGTTTAGGTGACTCACTTTAGAGCCCTTGTCATCAAAGAAGGAAGATGAGTCTGAGGTACAAAGAGAAGAAATTGGAGGTAGAATGAGAGGAAAAATGGATGCAGTCAAATAAATAGTTAGCTATTAATAAATTCACAATTTTGATTCCCCCTTTTTTCTCATCCACTACTCCATACAATCCACTAAATAGTCCTCCTATTTTAAAAATATATACTGACTTAATTTATGTCTCTTCATCTCTGCTGCCATCTCCCTAGACAAGGCAGTTGTCTAGGCTACTAAGACAATGGCTAGCTAGTTATCCCAACACCATTTATTGAATGGAGAATTCATTTTCCATTGCTTGTTTTTGTCAGGTTTGTCAAATATCAGATAGTTGTAGGTGTGTGGTCTTATTTCTGGGTTCTCTATTCTGTTTCTTAGTCTATGTGTCTATTTTTGTGCCATTACCAAACTGTTTTGGTTACTGTAGCCCTGTAATATAGTTTGAATTCAGGGAGCATGATGCCATCATCTTTGTTACTTTTGCTTAGGATTGCCTTGATTATTCAGTCTCTTTTATGGTTCTATATGAATTTTAAAATAGTTTTCTCTAGTTCTGTGAAGAATGTCAATGGTAGTTTGATGGAAATAGCACTGTATCTATAAATTGCGTTGGGCAGTATGGCCCTTTTAAAGATATAGATTCTTCCTATCCATGAGCATGGAGTATTTTTCCATTTGTTTGTGTCATCTCTGGTTTCTTTGAGCAGTGTTTTGTAGTTCTCCTTGTAAAAATATTTCACCTCCCTAGTTAGCTTTATTCCTAGGTATTTTATTCTTTTTGTGACAATTGCGAATGGAATTTCATTCCTGATTTGGCTCTCAGCCTGACTGTTGTTCATGTATAGGAATACTAGTGATTTCTGAACATTGATTTTGTATCCCAAGACTTTGCTAAAGTCGTTTATCAGCTTAAGAGTCTTTTGGGCTGAGACTATGAGGTTTTCCAGATACCGGATCATGTCATCTGCAAGTAAGGATAGTTTGACTTCCACTCTTCCTATCTGAATGCCCTGTATTTCTTTCTCTTGCCTAACTGCCCTGGCCAGAACTTCCAATATTATGTTGAATAGGAGTGGTGAGAGAGGGCATCCTTGTCTTGTGCCAGTTTTCAAGTGGAATGCTTCCAGCTTTTGCCAACTCAGTATAATGTTGGCTGTGGGTTTGTCATATATGGCTCAATATTTTGAGGTATGTTCCTTCAAAGTCTAGTCTGTTCAGTGTTTTTATCATGAAGGAATGCTGACTTTTATTGAAAGCCTTTTCTGCATCTATTGAGATAATCATGTGGTTTTTGTTTTTAGTTCTGTTTATGGAACATTACTATTTTAAAATTGGTTTAGCTATTAGATTCTCACTAGATCTTATTCAGTGTGTTCAGAAAGCACTTGTATTACTATATCACCATTGAAAAAATATTTGAATACCACAGTTTAGTATAATTGATTTTCTTTGTGTTCTTATATTCTTAAGTTTATTTTTAATTGACAATAATTCTACATATTTATGTGGTACATAGTGATGTGATACATATAATATGTAGAGATCAGATCAGGGTAGTTAGCATACCCATCATTTCAAACATTTATCATTTTTTGTTGGGAATATTTGATATCTTTTCTTCTAGCTATTTGAAAATATAAAAAATATTATTTTTGGCTATAGTCATCCTACAGTGCTATAAAACATAAGAACTTATGTCTCTAATCTAGCTGTGATTTTGTGTCCTTTAACAAATGTCTCCTTTCTCCTTTTTTCTCTACATTTTTCAGCCTCTAGTAATCTCTATTCTGCTTTTTCCTTCTGTAAGATCAAGTTTTTGTTTTGTTTTGTTTTGAGACGGAATCTCGCCCTGTTGTGTAGGCTGGAGTGCAATAGCACGATCTCTGCTCACTGCAACCTCTGCCTCCAGGGTTCAAGCGATTCTCCTGCCTCAGCCTCCCGGAATAGCTGGGAACGCAGGCACCTGCAACCATGCCCGGCTAATTTTTGTATTTTTAGTAGAGACAGAGTTTCGCCATGTCAGCCAGGCTGGTCTCAAACTCCTGACAGGTGATCCACCTGCTTCGGCCTCCCAAAGTGCTGGGATTACAGGCGTGAGCCACCGCGCCTGGCCAAGATTAACTTTTTAAAATTTCCACATAAGAATGAGAACATGTGATGAACAGCTTTTTGTTCCTGCTTTATTTCACTTAACATAACGTACCCCAGTCTCATACATGTTGTTGCAAATAACATGATTGTTATTTTTATAGCTGAGTAATATTCCATTGTATATTTGTACTGCATTAAAAAAATCTCTTCATCTGCTGTCAGACATGGGTGCATTCCACGTCTTGGTTATTGTGAATAGTGCTGCAATAAATATGAGGCTACAAATGTCTCTTTGATATACTGATTTTCTTTCCTTTGGATAAATGCCCAGTAGTGGGATAGATGGATCATATGTAGTTCTATTTGTAGTTTTTTTGTTTTCTTTTGGTTTGGTTTTTAAAGGCAACTCTGTATTGTTCTTCATAGTGGCTGTGCTAGTTTATTTTCCCACCGATAGTGTATACGAGATCTTTTTTCCGGCTCACGCCTGTAATCCCAGCACTTTGGGAGGCCGAGACAGGCGGATCACGAGGTCAGGAGATTGAGACCATCCTGGCTAACATGGTGAAACCCTGTCTCTACTAAAAATACAAAAACTTAGCCGGGCGTGGTGGCGGGTGCTTGCAGTCCCAGCTGCTCGGGAGGCTGAGGCAGGAGAGTGGCGTGAACCCCGGAGGCAGAGCTTGCAGTGAGCCGAGATGGCTCATTCCTGGGTCTATATCCAAAAGAAAGGAAATCAGTATATTGAAGAGATATCTGCTCTCTCATGTTTATTTCAGCACTATTCACAATAGCCAAATATGGAATCAACCAAAGTGTCTATCAATGGATGAACGGATAATTAAACTGTGGTGCACATACACAGTGAAATATTTTTCAGCTATACAAATGATAAAATCCTGTTATTTGCAAAGCATGGATGGAACTGGAGGACATCATGTTAAGTGAAGTAAATCAGGCATGAAAAGACAACTATCACATGTTCTCACTCATATTTCTCACTCATATCTCAGCTAAAAAAAATTGAACTCATAGAGAGAGAAAGTAGAATGATGGCTACTGGAGATTAGGAAGGGTAGTGGGGAGGGAGATATAAAGAGGATATGGTTAATGGGTACAAAAATACAGTTAGAAGGAATAAAGTCTAGTATTCGGTAACACAATAGGGTGACTATAGTTAACTATAATTCATTGTGTATTTAAAAATAACTGAAAGAGTTGAATATAATTTTAGAAAAACATTTTTTTCTGTATATATATAATACACATTTCTGTATGTCTGTATATATGTAGAAAATATTTTAAGCTATTAAGGTTAACTAGTGCATTTAGCAATGTTGTTTGATAATGGTTAATTTTTCCCAAATTGATCCATAGATTTAATGCAATCTCAATCAAATTTCTAATAATATATTTGAGCTAATTGACAAGCTGATTCTAAAATTTATATGCAAATACAAAGAGGTAAGAATATCCAAAGAAATTCTGAAGGCAGGCATACACTGCATATATCAAGACTTTCTTCAAATTTTGAAAAAAGACACAAGAAGTCTTCATATATGGTAGACTATGTCATCCTTTGAAACTTTCTTGACTATTCTTGCCTCTTTGCATTTCCAAAGACATGGAATTAACCTAGATGCCCATAAATAGTAGACTGTATGAAGAAAACAAGATACATATACACCATGGAATACAATGCAGCCATAAAAAAGAATGATATCATGTCCTTTGCAGCAGCATAGATGAAGCTGAAGGCCATTATCCTAAGCAAAGACACACAGAAACAGAAACAAAAAAACCAAATACCACATGTAGTCACTCGTAAGTGGGAGCTAAACATTGAGTAGGAATGGACATGAAAAAGAAAACAATAGACACTGGGGCTTACTACAGAGAGAAGGGTGGCAGAAGGGGGAAAATCCAAAAACCACCTATTGAGTACTATGCTTATTACCTGGGTAACAGAGTAATCTGTATAACAAACATCTGTGACATATAATTTACCTATAAAACAAACCTGCACGTATACCCCTGAAATAAAAATAAAAGTTAAACAAAAGACTATATATTGAAATCTTGTATTGGTAAAGAAAAAAGAAACATGCTAGTGAAACACATTAGAGATTCTGGGAACAAAAAGAAAGTATATAGTTACCTGATCTATGAGAAATAGGATAATGAAGAGAAGAAACAAAAATATGATGCTTGGCAATTATACTCCTACCTTGAACAAACAACTACAAAAAAGCTTGGCTCTAAATTCACAAAATTCACAAAAATAATTCAGAATAATATATATCTCTATATAAATAAAAATAAAGCTTTTAGAAGATGATATAGGAGACATAGGAGAATGTTTTCATGACTTTTGTATATGCAAGGATTTCTTAAATATGACAAATTATTTTAAACTTAAAAGAAAAAATGACAAGCTAGACTTCATTAAAATACATAATCATCATTAAAGACATTATGAGAGTGAAAATGCAGCTCATAATTTGGAAAAAGAAATTTACTAAGCATATAAGCAGCCCCCAAGATATTCCTCCTTTTAAACTTTATATTGAAAATACTAAAAGTCTGCTCATAAATCAGTAAGAAAAAAGCAGACTAATGGATAAATGGGCAAAAACTTGATAAGCCCTTTACAAAAGGAGATATTCAAATGCTCAATAAGCATATGAAAGTTTGCTTAACTGTATTAATAATTATTCATATACGTATTGAATTTTAATGCAATATTTATTTATATACATCAGAATGGCTAAACTGAAAAAGTAATACTCTCCTAGATGTTAATTAGGATGTGGAGCAACAGAAACTCTCACAGACTATTACTGAAACATGCATTTATACAATCGTTTTGGAAAGCTGGAAGAATATACCAAAAGTGAACACACATATACTACTCTACCACACACTAATTCTACTAATTTTCTCCTAGTTGTATGTCCAACATACAATATATACTAAAAGGCATGTATGAAATATTCATAGCAGTTCTATTAGTAGCAGAACTGTAATACAAGCCATATGCCCAACAATAGACTAAATATTGGTATATTAATAAAATAGATTACCATATAACAACGAGAATAAAAGAACTATAATTGTACACCAAAACATAGATGTATGCTGAGCAAAAAGTCAGACAATAGTTAAAACAAACTGTATTACTTTATATAAATTCTAAAATGGCAAATGTAATCCATTTTGTTAGAAGTCAGGGGACTAATTACTCTTCAGTTAACAAAGTCAAAAACTGATAGAAAGTTTAAAAGGAAGAATAACTTAGGGGCTGGTAATGTTCTTTAGATCAATCTATTAAATAGTCATGTGGCTGAGTTCATGTGAAGGTATGGTAGTCTCCCAAAAGGTATTCATGTCTTCATTCCTGAAATTTATAAATTTTACCTTATATTTGAAAAAAGGGGTATTTGTTGATGTGCTTAATTTATGAATCTTGAAATCTGGAGATCATCCTGGATTATCTAGCTGGGCCTAAAATTCAATCACATGTATCTGTGTAAGAGGAAGGCTAAGAGAGACCTTATACATAAAGTGGTAGATTGATATAAAGTTGGAGCAAAGAGATTTGAAGATGTGAGAGTGATGTGGCCAATAGCCAAGGAATCCTCACGGACACCAGAAGCTGGAAATGGCAAGAAACAGATTTTTCTCCAGAGTTTCTGAAAGAAGTGTGGCCCTGTTAACATCTTGATTTTGATCCAGTGATACTGATTTTGAATTTCTGTCCTCCATAACTAAGAGAAAATATGTTTCTGTTCTTATGAGCCACCAAGTGTGCAGTAATTTGTTACTGTAGGAAACTAATACAATGGTGATTCATCATTCATCAAACTATACATACACTTATGATTTGTGATTTTTTATGTTTCTGTTACACCTCAGTAAAGAGTTTACTAAAAATTAAATGCGTAAAGAACAGGCTTAAGTGATGTATGAATTTCTTCAACAAATATTAATAAAGTTTTTATTCTATCCAGAATTTCTGCTAACTACTGGGAATTTAATGATGAGAAAAATGAAAAATCTCCCAGTCCTAGTGGAAAAGGTAGGTTAAACAAATAGCTATAGAGTCTAAATTGCTTTGATAAAGACTTAAGAGCAGGTAAGACAAATCTGAGGCCTGAAGTATGTTAGTAGACAAAGAAGAAAAGTGAAGTTCTCCCTAGTACAGAACTTTACTTACAAAGGAAATTATCTACAAAGGATAATCAGATAAACACTGCACTGGAGAAATTAAAATCTCAGATTATAGGAGACAGAGTAAATTACAGGGAACTAAGTATTCATCAATTTTCTTATATCTTCTTCTAGAGTGTAGAGCTGTTACTGGAAAATAGCTCCCCTTCCAGAACTACAATTCTTAGTCACCTTTCTTCTAAGCAAGGCCATATGTCCTATTCTTACCAACAAAATATCATATTCTTATCAACAAAAAGAAATAATTTGACTAACATAGTAATAATGAAGTCTGCCTTAACTCTTTAGTCCTTTGTCTGCCAAGAGGATGCAGAAGACTCTGGGATCCTAAATAAATCTTAAATCAAGAAGATGCAAGAGGAAGTGACACCAATAAGATAGCTGACTAGAAGTTCCTAACACTCAACCTCCTCCCCGGCCACCACACAAAAGGACCAAAGAAACAAATAAATAACCACATTTCAACTAAAATATATGAAAGAGAGCCCTGGAGTACAACAAGGAAATGGCAGAGACCATGTGGATCACGGAGACTCAGGATGGCCATATAAAAAAGGGAATGGAACACTCTGCCTTTACCATCTTTTCTCTCCTAGTGGGATGAGGTCAGAGCCAGGGCAGACTCTCCTTACAGAGAAAAGGTATGCAGGAGGCCCTTAGCAACACAAATTAAAATGTGGACACCCACAATCTTTGCTCCTGGAGATCACTGTAGTCCTTACAGGTCCTAGGCCCAGCCTGAGGAGTTGCCTGGAGTTCACATGTCTATGTTACTCCAAACAAGGAGCTCACATTATGTCTCATCCTGCCCTATTATCGAAGCTGCTGCAGTGTAATGACATCTTGAGACTGAAGCCACTGCTAGGGTGCCTTCTCATTTGGGGGCCAGTAGCCACTCTATCTTCCCATATCCTAGGCTTCACTGCCACTACACCACACCTACTCATGGTAGCGCACCATTCTGCAGCTGAGCAGCTACAACTTCTAACCCCATGGAAACAAACTGCCAAGAAGGCACTCCATCTTTCCATCCCAGTGACTGCGGTATCTTGGCTCCATCTACTCAGAGCCGAGGACCAGCACAACAGCTGTAACCTTAGCACCTGAGCCCATGTGGCACCCTGTTCCCCAAGGAACAGGCACTCATGCCCAGTGATGAGGCTGTACCCAAGCTAGCACAGCAGCCTCACAAACTCCTGCAGCCTAAGACATTTTCTTATGAGGAAATCCCCCTATATGGGACTTCATGGCTGTTATCTTGCTGCTTGGACTATCAGCATATTTCTCAGAATATTTCTCAACCTTGCAGGCCAGGAAAGAATGGGATAATATATTCAAAGTGCTGAGAGAAAAAAAAAAACTTCTAGTCAAGAACAGTATACTCATCAAAGTTATTCTTTAAATATGAAGGAGAAGCAAAGTCTTTCCCAGACAAGCAAAAGCTGATGGAATTCATCACCACTAGAACAGCTGTACAAGAAATGCTTAAAAGACGGTTTCAAAGGATGTTAATTGCCACCATGAGGTGAAAGGATGTTAATTACTACCATGAAAGTATTTAAACTCACTGGTAGAAGTAAACTCATAATTAAATTCAGAGTGCTACAGTATTGTAGTGGTGGTATACAGTATGAAGGTTAAAAGTCAAAATGGTCAACAATAACCATAGCTACAATAAGTTTTTTAGAAATAAACCATATAAAAGATGTGAATTAAGACAAGAAAATTATAAATTGGGTTGGAGGGTAAAAGTCTAGAATATTTGCAGGCAATCAGTTAAATTGTTATTAGCTTAAAATAAACCTTTAGAACTATAAGATTTGTTATGTAAGCCCCAGAGTAACAAAAAAGAAAAAAGTTACAGCATATATGCAAATGAAAAAGAGAATGGAATAAAACCATGAAACCACAAAAGCAAACAGAAGAGAGGAAGAAAGAAACAAAGACCTACAAAATAACCAGAAAACAATGAACAAAATCGCAACAGTAAATCCATAACTATTAATAATAACCTTCAATATAAGTGTATTAAATTCTGTAATTAAAAGATGGCTGAATGCATTTTAAAAACATACAACTATATACTGCTTACAGGAGACTTACTTCACCTGTAAGGACACATATTGACTAAAAATAAAGAAGAGAAAACTATATGCCATGCAAATGGAAATCAAAAGAGAGCAAAAGTAGCTATACTTAGATCAGATAAAATAGACTTTAAGTCAAAAACTGTGAAAAGAGACAAAGATGGTCATGATATGATGAACGGGTCAATTCAGTAAGGGGATATAACAACTACAAATATATATGAATCTCAAACCAGAACACCCAGGCATATAAAGCAAATATTATTAGATGTAAAGGGAGAGATAGACTCTAACGCAATAATAACAGAGGACTTCGATATCTCACTTTTGGCAAAGGACAGATCATCTAGACAAAAATTCAGCAAAAAAAAAACAACAAATATAAAGCGCACTCTAGATCATGTGGACCTACCAGATATACACAGAACATCCCACTCAACAGCTGAAGAGTATGCATTCTCCTCATCAGCACATGGAAGTGTCTTCAGGGTAGATCAGATGTTAGGCCACAAAACAAATCTCAGCAAATCTGTAAAAATCAAAATCAAGTATCTCTTTTGACCATGATGGAATAAAACTAGAAATCACTAACAGTAAAAACTTTAGAAACCATTTAAATACATGTAAATTTAACAACATACTCCTCTATAACAAATGGATTAATGAATAAGTTAAAAAGAAAATTCAAACACTTCATGAGACAAATGAAATTGGAAACACAGTATATGAAAACTTATGGAATACAGCAAAAGCAGTTCCAAGAGGGAAGTTTACAGCAATAAACACCTACACCATAAAATACAAAAAATCTCAAATAAACAGTCTAACCTCATACCTCAAGGAACTAGAACAACAAGAACAAACACAAAATTAGTAGAAAAAAGAAATAAATGAGAGTGGATATAAGTGGAATAGTGACTAAAACAATACAGAAATCCTTGAACAGAAACAAACCTTTAATTAGATTAACTTAGAAAAGTAGATGGAAGGTTCAAATACAATCAGAAATAAAAAAGTATACATTACAACTGATGTAACAGCAATACAAAGGATTATAAGAGACTATTATGAACAACTACATGCCAACATATACATATACAACCTACCAAAATTGAATTATGAAAAAGTAGAAAATCTGAAGAGACCAATAGTGAGCAACAACATAGAATCTATAATAAAAAGTCTCCCATCAAAGAAAAGCTCCAGATATGATGGCTTCACTACTGAAATCTACCAAACATTTAAAAGATGTTATCGATACTTTTCAAACTATTTCAAAATAATTGAAGATGAGAGAATTCGTCCAAACTCATTCTACAATGCTGGCATAACTGATACAAAAACCAGTCAAGGACACAACAAAATATGAAATGACAGGACAATATCTCTGATAAAAATAGATGCAAAAATCCTTAAGAAAATACTAGCAAACCAAATTCAACAGCACATTAAAAAGATCATTCACCATGATCAAATGGGATTCATTCTAGATAATACAACCTACATAATACAATAAATGTGATATAGCACATTAGCAGGATCAAGGACACAAGCTAATCTATCACTTTGATAAACAGAAAAAGTATTTGACAATATTCAACAATGCTGTTTGATTAAAACTCTCAACAAAATGTACCTCAACACAATAAAGGCCAAAAATGATAAACTACAGCTAACTGGAGAAAAGTTGAAAGCTTTTCCTCTAAGATCTGAAACAAGACATAGATGCCAATTTTCACCACTTTTATTCAACGTAGTACTAAAGTCCTAGCCAGAGAAATTAGGCAAGAAAAATAAATAAAAAGGATCTATTCAGAAAGAAGGAAGTCAAATTGTTTCTATTTCATGATTTTATACATAGATTTTATATAAAGGTTCAACCAAAAAGCTCTAAGAAGTGATAAATAAATTCAGTAAAGTTGCAGGATACAGCATCAACCAAAAATATCAGCAGCATTTCTTTTTTTTAATAACTTTTATTTTAAGTTCAGAGGTACATGTGCGGGTTTGTTACATAGGTAATATTATATAGATAATGCCTATTACTTGACTACATTTGACTGTAAGGGAGAAACAAAATTGGTGTAAAATTTTCTTGCTTGAGGAGCTAGCAAGACAATACACAACTCCAGGAGTTCATTCATTTAAAAAATGTCTTTATGAATTGTTACATAAGGGAAAGATAAGTTGAATATTGTCCATAATGAATTTGAAGTGTGCATATGAAAACAAGTGGAGATGCTCAGTAGGTAATTGAATATATAGAAAAATATACAGAAAAAAAAAGCATGCTATTAAAAAAAAAAGTACCTTTAACACCTTCTCACAGGAGAATGACAAAATTCCCCCTAAAACCAGAAGCCATTTATTTAGTGAAATAGCTTGGTGGGTCACATTTTTGTAAGTGTTGAGCAAGAAGCAGACCCATTACAATGGGTCAAGAAGTGTATTAGTCAAGGCCACAGAAGAAAACATAAAACCTATTTGGCAAAGGTTTTCAACATAATATGAGAATCAACTATCTATAAAAATCTTGGCAGGATTAAATGAGGCATCCTAACACCAGAACCAGCAGGAAGCTTTATTACTCTTGGCCTGGAGAGACAAGTAGATGGTCAGAAATTGTTGAGAGCTAGAGCCATAAAGGGACCTACAAGGTATAAATACTCAAGGATAGATTACTAGAAGAATTCTAGTGAAGTGGCAGGGAGGAGAAACTGAGTAAAATCCAGACCTTTCTCTCCTTTTTCCCTCTAATCTCCTGCCAGCTCCTTTTATTCTCCAATCTCAATAAAGGCTAGAGGCAGAAAAGCCCAGATAATGTAGCCATGATAATGAGCCAACAGGGGCCTAGAATAGAAAAGGGTGGAGAATGAAACAAACAACTAAAGAAAACTTCAAGAGAAATCAATGGGAAATGATGACCTGGGGACAACTGACATGATGTAATAGTTGATTTCAAGAGTTTAGGGTATAAATGGGAAGAGATGAATTTATAGTTGGGAGACGATGTGTTAAGAAAGTTAGATACTTCAGAGAGAAAGTTGAAGGAATTCATACTAATGGGAATGGGTTTGGTTTTACAAAGTAGAAATGAATTTATACAGTACATATATACATATCCTAAGAGCCCATGTCAAGAAGAAAATCCAAATATCTTGTTCTAGGGTGTGAGAATGATCATCAAGACTGTTTTCTGTGCTTCCTTCCCCTTATCATTACATAGGTCCATAATGGTGAAATCTCCTTACTGTCCAACTGTACAAGAAGGGACCTAATTCTGAGTGGTCTATTTCGGTTCATTTCTATGCAAATTATCCGGCATTAAAATTCAATTTAAAAAATTAGCTCAGCTCCTATTGTGCCACCAGGATGATTTAAATTCTGTTTTTTCTTAAAAGAAAAGGAGCAGAACATCTCTAAATCTTTGTATTTCAAATATTTGGTTTCAGTTTTGGGTCTGGTTCTCAACACTGACCACTAGTATTAACATACAGTTTATTAGAGGACAGTTGTGTGAAATTTTCTATAACAATAGTCACAACAACATATAATGAAAAGAAAAAAATGCAACATCAACAAGGATGGGATGCTAGCATCGACAGTTTATTTTTACTCCTGGTATTACAACCTGTATTTTCACTGTTTAAAAAAAATAATTCGAGTTCCACATGAACCTAGCGGTACACTAGCAATATGACAACAACGTAGCCACTTATCTCAGTAAAACAAAAATTTTACTACTTTTCGTGGTGACTTGCAGACTCATTTTTTTTCAGAAACTGCTTATCATTTGTTTATTTATAATATTCAAGATACCCATAGGTGATATGGAATGAAATGATAGCCAATTGTATTTATTAGATTTTGCTCCATATTAAGCCACCTCAAAATGTATTGAATTAAACTAGGAACCATTTTATATTTGTTCACAAACCAGATGAGTACCTTTTCTGGTCTGGGCCAAGATGTTTGATCTCTACTAGGATATCTGGTAAGTCTGGGTGAGCTGGAAAATCTATACTGACAACCCTCATATGTCTGGTAGCCTCCAGGTTAGCAACATGAGCTGGTTTACTGTCAGCCAGGCCCCAAATTCTCTCTACATGGTCTCTCATCTGTCATCAGCTGGAGGTGACTTATACCTGAATGAGAGCTTGTTTTACATTATCAGGGGTTTTGTGAGGTAGTTATTATACACTTGGTGGCTTGAAATCTGCCATAGTGGGAGTATTTGTACCACAGACATTGGAAAATACTACAAATCAGAGCCTTCTCTGCCCCCTTACCCCAAGAACCAGCTCCTAAACATTTACCAGGACATCATTGCTTCTTGTCTTCCAAAAGACTGGCTTAGGCTCAATTCCATGGTGGCCTCAGTATTCCAATAGTAACAATAGAGGGCAGTCCCAATGCAAAACTCTCTTGTGCTATTATTCCTTTCAGCAGAACAAGACACATGGCCAAGTCCAGAGTCAGTGCAGAATACCACTCATCAATTTAAAGGAACCAACGATTGATTCACAGAGTAACTGGGGTGAATCTCAAAGGCATTATGTTGAGTAAAAGAAGCCAGTGTCAATAAAAACATATGTATGACCCCATTATAACATTCTCATTTTTTAAAAAAAAGAGTTTTATGGTATTTTTGAAAGGTAAAAAGTAACCACCTCGCAGCCGCTTGTACACTCATTTATTCAGTGAATCAATAATATTCTGTGGGCATCTACTATTTGCTAGGTTCTGGGCCAGGTGTTGGGGTGATGATAGTGATCCTAAGACACTCAGTTTTTCCCCACGAGTCCCACAGTCTTGGAGTGGAGATGCAGGAAGGAGAGAGAAACAAAAACATGTAAGAAAATCAAACGAGCAAATTAAAAGTTTAATGAGTGTTACGAAGGTAGTAAATAATGTGAGATGAGAAAAAACAAAGGAGTGAAGAGGGTGGAATGGTGCTCAGAAAAAGCCTCTCTCTGCTCTGTGTAATGAATAATCTTTTATTTAGTTCCAGTGAGAAGGATATACAATAGAAGAGCCGAAGGAAACAATATTCAGGCAGACAAGAGAGAAATGGAAACTCCCTGAAGTGGAAATGGATTATGTGTTTCAGAAAATGAAAGCAGGACTTTAGTGAATGACCAATGAGTGAGAAGAGATGAAGCTGAAGGTTAATATGTAAAATACAGGATATCAAGGGCTCATTATGGAGACTGGATTATATTTCTAGAGCAATGGGGACTATGATGGTCCCTTGGTGTCTATGGGGAATTGGTTCCAAGATGCCCGCAGATACCAAAACCCATGGATGCTTCAGTCCCTGGTATAAAGTGGTGTAGCATTTGCATATAACCTATGCACATTCTCCCATATACTTTTAAATCATCTCTAAATTACTTATAATATCTAATACAATGTCTACATATCACTTCGTTTAAGTGAATTCAATGTAGTACTTGGTGTGTTGCAAATTTCAGTTTTGATTTTGAAGATTTGTGGAATTGTTTTTTTCTAAATACTTTTGATCTGTGATTGATTGAATCCATAGACACAGAACCCATGTATACAGAGGAATGACTGCATGTTTATCATTTTAAAGTTGTTTGACTTATTTATCTTATTTTTAAAGATTTATCTTATTTTTAAAGACTGCTCTGAGCATTCAGGAGAAATTGACTGGAAAAAAATCAGTGCAGAGAGTTGGAGATTATTAGAAGCCCTTCGAAACGTTTAAGGAGAAAGAAAGGGAAGGTTTAGACAAGGGAAACTGTAATAGAAAGCTTTGATGGAAGTGGGAGTAAGAAAATGGAAGGAGAGAAGTTTCTGGCTGAAGCCACTGCGGGAATACAAATGCTGTTACCCTGGTTAAGGGAGACTAAAGGAGGACTAGATTTGGAAACAGAAGAACTGAAATGCCTGTGAAAATTAGAAGATGTGAAGAAGAAATGTGGTCTATCAGTCTGGGCTAACGATTGGGCTCCTTTCCTCAATTAAGCTCATCAAATTTCCTGGGCACTCACTCTGTGCCACAACATTTACTTTTGTCTTTGTCGCCTGCTCTTCTCTGTAGATTTCCTAAGTCTTTCTGCAGCTCTAATGGGATATGTTTCCATAACATCCCAAAGCAAGCTATTTTTATATCTGGGCAGTTTTACCCACTTATGTCTGTTGTATGATCAAGTACTGTGTAGTGATAATTAAAATATTGGATAATTTTGGCAAAATATTGTGTTGTATGGAATTTGAAAACCTTGGACATAAAAATTTTCAAGAAAAGGAAGAAGTATAAGATTAGAGAAAACAAAATTCTAATTTTCTTAGACCCATTGCTGGATTTACATTTCTTTGGATCTAGTTTTCTTCAGGCCCTGTGCATGTGTGCTAGTGCTTACTGGCACAGTCACTTTAGATAAGGACAAAGAAAGCATAGAGGCAGAACATTAAATGAGGGTAAATGTAGTTGTTGCAAACCTTGGGGTCACCACATTTCTGTCTCATGACATATGTTCTCATTTGCAATTATGGGCAAACAATTTAAAAGTTCTTACCATCTTGATATGGGGGAGAAGCAACCAAAATAGTGTTAATAACTACCATAGCAAGATGAATTCACTTAACGAAGTTCGTTTTTTAATTGGCTTTTGCAATTCATGAGATTGGCTATCTGAGACTTTGGGGAGTATCATGATATTTAAATAGTTCCTTTATAGACTCCTGTGATTCCCTTTTTTAAATTATTTTTTAAAAAGTTTTGGAAGCTTCTCCTCTTCACCCTTTATTACTTTCCTGAGATTTATCTCAAAATTGGTATGTGGAATTTAATCGCATCAAGCTTAAAAGCTACTATACATGTTGCCATTCAGAGAGATAAAGGGATTCTGGGCTAAAATTATTACCAAATCAAGGCAACCTGGGTTTTTGAGCATGAGGACTTGGGGTTTGGGTGTGAGAGCCTAATATAAAACAAAATAGTGAATTATGACTGATTATTGTTACTGCTAACACAAGCATGGGATTGAAGTAGCAAGATAAAAGTGAGCATGCTGATGTATACTTCAGAAAGAGCAGAGAATATAATTGGGCACAACTTTGTTATTTTAGAGGTAGGAGGATCACTTGAGGCCAGGAGGTCAAGGCTGCTGTGAGCCATGATCACATAGTTGCACTACAGCCTGAGTGACAGAGCAAGACCCTGTCTCTTAAAATAATAATAATACTAATAAAAATTTATTTTAAAGACCAGGTAGACATCCTTAGATAGAGGTTTTCCGTAATCAGATCCTTATTTAAGCAATATATAGCAGTTAAACGTATGTTCTTTGTGCATTCAAACCTTCAGACTACCAGTGTGCCTTGTGACGCTAACTTTAGCACTAAATTGTAGCTGCTTCTAACACAAAGTTAGGATTATAATAATATCTACTTTATAGTATTGTAAGGATAATAAGGTAATTATTGGTTACATATCACTGCAAGATAACTAAATCAATCTCATCATACATTCACATATGTTCTCTTACCCATTATACATGTTTTTAGAACTTAACCCTCTCTGTCAGACTTATTTTATTACCTATAAAGTTTTGTGAGTCAAATATTATGAGAATATTTTCTAAAGATATACAAATAGAAAACAAACGTAGCAAAAAAATTGATCTAATAGATAATAAAAATGGACCCCTATTAGATTAATAAAGAGTAAAACAAAAGGATATTACTAAATAAGACAAAAAAATTTGAAAACATGGAAGCTCTATTTGGTCAAAAATTACTGAACAACTTTTAGAAAGCAATTTGCTGTATTTATCAAATTATGTCCGTACTCACGAGCTGATAATTGTATTTCTAGGAGTCTATCTTGAATAATTTCTTCCCTAATTCTGTAACATAAAATTAAATGCATATATATATATGTACATTGGAAATGATGAACTGTAGAAAATATAGCCTCATGAAGAAATGGGTAAAGCAAGTCATAAGGAGAAAATAAACTGTTGATTTTCTCAGTGCAAGAGTGTCTTCTGAACACCTACTATCTACCCACAAAAACTGAAAATGAAAATTAAAAAATTAATAAAGTGTCATCTGAAACAGACTGACATTGTTTCCTCGTTCTGAGAAAACGTTGCTTCGCTCACATAATGAGCTAGAATAATTCTGACTTCAAAACTTGAAAAGGGTCATACAAGAAGGAAAAATTATAGGCCAATCTCGCTCAAAAACAAAAATACAAAATTCCTTTAAACACAGAGCAATACAAATTCAGGAAAACAGAATAATAAAATAGTATCCATTTGAGATCACACAGCAATGCAATGTTGATGATGAACTGAATGAACATTTGATAATAATTTAATACAATTCACTGTATTAACAGAATAAAAGAAAAACTGTATATATAATATATATATAGTTACTTCAATAGGTGCAAAAACTGTTTAAAAATAATAATTATTGTTGTAAAGAAAACTTTCATAAAGAATATAAAAAGTATATATGGCTGAAAAGTTTAATATCAGCCATAAGCACACAATGCTATCTAGGAATGACACTGTTATCTACTCCACTTATTTGAAATATCAACGCTCAAGGCAAAAATAATTTTAACAAAAAAGCCAAAAATGTAAACATAAAGTAGAAGGAGGTGAGGTTCACAGCACATGAGGTGAGGAGGTGAGGTTTACAGCACATCTAATTCAAAAGGACTTTAGAGGCCAACTAGCTGAGTGGTTATCAGATTCATCTGATCATCAAAATCCCTGGAAATTTTTTTTCCTTTTCAACTTTTATTTTAGATACAGGGGATAAATGTGTAGATTTGTTACAGGGGAATCTTGTGTGATGCTCACACATGCGATGGGATCCATACTCCAAACCTCACATACTGAGTATGGATCTCACAGGTAGTGAGCATAGTACCTGATTGGTGGTTTTTAAACCAAGCTCCCTTTTCACCCTCTAGTAGTCCACAGTGTCTATTGTTACCATATTTATATTTGTATGAGCTCAATGTTTAACTCGTAGTTATAAGTAAGAACATGCAGTACTTGGTTTTCTGTTCCTGAGTTAATTTGCTTAGGATTATGGCCTTCAGCTCTACCCATGTTGCTGCAAACAACATGATTTTATTCTTTTTTATAGCTGCATAGTATTCCATGGTGTATATTTACCATTTTTATAAATCCAAACTATTATACCACTGATGGACATCTGGGTTGATTCCATGTCTTTGCTATTGTGAATAGTGCAGTGATGAGCATACAAGTCCATGTGTGTTTTTGGTAGAATGATTTATTTTCCACTGAATATATATCCAGTAAAAATGGTAAAAGAAAAAACACCCTACAAAATAGAGTGTTATGCCACCAAAAATGATAAAGTAAGGAGCTAATCTAAAATCCCTCTTCCATAAAGAAATGAAAAATTGACAAAAATTTACAGGGCCACTGTTTCCATATCCCGGAGATTAAGGAAAGGCTTACAGCAACCCAGGGAACATTTATTAAAGAAAAGTAGTTTGGTTCTTAACAGTAAATACTAAAAAGAGCCCGTTAGGTTGAAGTAAAAGTCCTAGACAGTAACTTGAATACATATGAAGAAATAAAGAGGACTAATAAAGGTAAATGCATATGTAAATGTAAAATACATAAATATATATTCTATTTGTAATACTTTTTTCTCCTACCTGATTTAGAAGATAACTTCACAAAGAAACACCTACAAATCCACTTGTTGTTCAGCACAACATGTATAAAGATGTAATTTGTATGACAATAACAGCCCGGAGAAAGGGTAAAAACAGAGCTATATGGAAGCAAAGTTTTAAAAATATTATTGAAATTAAATAGATATTAATCCAAACTTGATTGTTATAAGTTAAGGTGATAATTCTAAGCCCCAGGGAAACCACTAATACAAGATAATTAAAATGATATACTAGCAAACATACGTTTAACATGAAAGAAGACTATAATAAGAAAGAGAAACAGAAAAGATACAAGACATATAGAAACAAATAACAGAGTAGCAGATGCCCTACCTTATTATTAATGACTAGATTAAATACTTCAATTAAAAGGCAGATATAAGCAGAATGGATTGAAAACATGACTTATCTATATGACGCCTATAAAAAATTCACTTTTGATTCAAACATACAAATAGGTTGACAGAAGATTCATGAAAAAAATATACAGTATGCCAACAGCCATAAGCAAAAGAGACTTGGAGTGGATATATCAACATCAGATAAAATGGACTTTATAACAAAACATCTTTTTATATATATATATATATATATATATATATAATACTTTCAGTTTTAGGGTACATGTGCACAACGTGCAGGTTAAATATGTATACATGTGCCATGTTGGTGTGCTGCACCCATTAACTCATCATTTAACATTAGGTGTATCTCCTAATGCTATCCCTCCCCCCTCCCCCCACCCCACAACAGGCCCCGGTGTGTGATGTTCCCCTTCCTGTGTCCATGTGTTCTCATTGTTCAATTCCCACCTATGAGTGAGAACATGCGGTGTTTGGTTTTTTGTCCTTGTGATAGTTTAATAGAGAGAGAAGGACATTGTGTAATGATACAAGCATAAACCCATCAAGAAGATTAAACAATTTTGTACACATGTGTGTATGTGTTTATTTATTTCATTAAATGGCAACAGAGTCCTAAAATACATAAAGCAAAAACTTACGTAATTCAAGGGAGAAATAGACAGTTTCACAATAATAGACAAAAATTTTAATACTTTTAAGTAGAACACTAAGAAGATCAGCAAGGAAATAAAAGACTTGAAAAACTCTGTAAGTCACCTAGACTTAATGTATTTATAAAACACTCCACCAAACAACAGTAGAATACAGTTTCCTCAAGTGCACATGGAACATTCTCCAGGATAGACCATGTATTAGGCCCTAAACCAAGTCTCACTAAATTTAAAAGGATTAGAATCATGCAAACTATGTTTTCTGATTACAATGGAATCAAATTAGAGATCAGTAACACAATAAAACTTGAAAAATTAACAAATAGTGGAAGTTCAACAACATATTCCTAATATGCATTGGACCAAAGAAAGAATTACAAGGCAAATTATAAAATGCTTTAAAATGAAAATGAAAACACAGCATAACAAAACATATGTAAATCTTTGTGACTTTGGATTAGGTAATAATTTCTCTGATTTGACACCTGAAACACAAGTAATCAAAGAAAAATAGATATTTAATTTTATCAAAATTAAAAACTGTTGAGGTTTAAATGACACAATCTAGAGAGTTCAAAGAAAACTCACCAAATGAAAAATTGTGAAGTTATGTCTGACATGGGTCTTGTATCCAGAATATATAAAGAACTCTCAAAAATAATAACTAAAGACAAATAACCTACTTAAAAATGGGCAATGGATTTGAATAGACTTTTCTCCAAACAAGACACGCACATAACCTTAACCACATAATATTGCTCAACACCATTAGTCATTAATAAAATGGAAATTTAAACTATAATGATATACCAATTCACAACCATTAGGATAGCTGTAAGTAATTTAAAAAATGGAAGATAACAAATGCTGTCAAAATTGTCAAGAAATTAAATTCCTCATCTATTGCTTGTAAGAATGTAAATTGGTATAGCCACTCTGGAAATCTGTTTGGTAGTTCCCCAAAAAGTGAAACATATGCCCCAGAAATTCCAATTCTAGTCAGGGTTCATAGGTTTTTATTCCATTTCAGAGAAATAAGATGTTTATCCAAAAACTTGTATACAAGTATTCATAGCAGCAGTACTATCGACAATCAAAACTGAAAACAACCTAAATTCCCATCAACTGATGAATGAATAAACAAAATTTCTATATCCTTACAATGGAATATTACATAGCTATAAGAGGGAATACAGCATTCATACATGCCATAACATGGATGAAACTTAAAAACAATATGCCAAGTTAAGGAAAGACACATTATTATTATGTCATGTCACTTATTAGAAATGTCCAGAATAGGCAATTCCAAAGAGTCAGAAAATAGTTTAATGGTATCCAAAGGCTGCATTTAGGGAGAATGGGAAGTAAATGCTAATGGTTGCAGGGTTTCTTTTGGGGTTGTGGAAAATGTTTTAGAGTTAGACAGTAGTGATAGCTGCATAACCTTGTTAACATGATAAAATTTACTGAATTGTACACTTTAAAAGGATAAATTTCATGGTAAATGAATTATAAATCATTTTAAAAGAGAAGTAAACAATATTCATGATTTTTTTCTTTAAAAGAAAACAGTGGCCGGGCGCGGTGGCTCACGCCTGTAATCCCAGCACTTTGGGAGGCCGAGGCGGGCGGATCACGAGGTCCGGAGATCGAGACCATCCTGTCTAACATGGTGAAACCCTGTCTCTACTAAAAATACAAAAAATTAGCCAGGCGTAGTGGCGGGCGCCTGTAGTCCCAGCTACTCGGGAGGCTGAGGCAGGAGAATGGCGTGAACCCGGGAGGCGGAGCTTGCAGTGAGCCGAGATTGCGCCACTGCACTCCAGCCTGGGCAACAGAGCCAGACTCGTCTCAAAAAAAAAAAAAAAAAAAAAAAAAAAAAGAAAACAGTATGAACTTCCACTTCCAGCCATGAGGTACTACTGGATTTAATTTCCCTTCATAATCAACAAGAAAACTGGATAAAATATACCACTACATTGTGTTTAAGCATTAGTCTACATGCAACACAAGACTAAGATCCTTGAGAGAATAAAATATAAGATTAATATTATGATCAACCTAGTTTCCTCCTTGGAGGTACTTTCTACATTTCAGGGCAGCAAAGGCAATTCAAAGCAGAGTACAGTTGACCTGATGAGTTAGAAACAGAAAATGGAGTTCAGAGAGCTGGCGATGGCCAAAATCTACATCCAGGACGACAACAACAACAACAACAACAACAAAACAGAAAAACTCTTCAGAAGTTTCTATGGGGCCCACTTGAGTTGTTTATTGAATAGTAAGATGAATACACAAAGGCTAAATCTTCTAAAATCAAGAAAAAATTTTGTAGAGCTATAAGCTGAACTGTGTGAGTTTACTCAGGAGACGTATGATGTCTGATCAGCCAGAGAAGACAGTCTTTTAAAAATACCCAAGACTGGCCGGGTGCGGTGGCTCATGCCTATAATCCTAGCACTTTGGGAGGCCGAGGCGGATGGATTACCTGAGATCGGGAGTTCGAGACCAGCATGACCAACATAAAGAAACCCCATCTCTACTAAAAATACAAAATTATCCAGGCTTGGTGGAAGATGCCTGTAATCCCAGCTACTTGGGAGGCTGAGGCAGGAGAATGGGTTGAACCTGGGAGGTGGAGGTTGCGGTGAGCCGAGATCATGCCATTGCACTCCAGCCTGGGCAACAAGAGTGAAAACTCCATCTCAATAAAAAATAACATAACATAACATAACATAACATAACATAACATAACATAACATATAAATAAATAAAATAAAATAAAATATAAAATAAACTAAAAAATAAAATAAAATAAAATAAAATAAAATAAAATAAAAATACCCAAGACCTTAGTCGACCCTGGGCAATTCCTTAAATACCAGATAATTCCTTAATACTAAGGCTAAAGTAGCTTAGAGAAGCCTACTCTAAACCCACCCTAAAATATTTAAAAATAAAATGACATAATTAGCCTAGCCCACAAGTAACTTTGCGACTGAACAAAGACTACTACTTTTGAATAAAAAAAGAAAGAATCCAGCACTCAGAAATATTTTTAGCGTCCACCATTGATAAATGTAAAAAAGCATAAAAATATACATCATAATGAGTAGAATTGGAAACTGATTCAAATAAGCTCAGAAATTACCAAGATGTGGAAATTAGAATAAAATAACTTTAAGAGAGCTGTCATAAATATGCTCAAGTATATAAATAAAAAATATAAACAGAATGAAGAGAGGAATGGAATATATTAACAACATCAAGATTTCGTGAGGTGAAAAATGTTAGACACCACAAAGGAAATGATCAGTAAACTAGAAGACACAGCAATAGAAAATCTCTAAACCAAAGTACAGAGACAAAAATGTGAAAGGAAAAACTGAACAGAGTCACAGCAATATGCAAGAGAATGCCAACTGGCCTAACACGTATGTAACTGGAGTTCCAGAGGAAAGGATAAAATGGGGACCAAAATGTTCTCAATTTGATTGAAAGTTATAATAAAAAAAGTCAAGAAGTTCTACCAACCTCAAGCAAGATAAATCAAAAGAAAATCACAAGAAGACATATCACAATTCATATGGGAAACTTGTCATACAGAAAATATCTTACGGTAGCCATGGATAAAAGAACAACCATATACTGAAAAACCAGGATTTGAATAACTGAATACTTATTATAAAACAGGATTAGAATTGTTAAAAAAACAGAATGAAAACAACAGTCAACACAATCATTTAAGTATGTAAAATATCCTTCAAAATGAAAGTGAAATGAAGACTTTGTAAGTCAAACAAAAGCAAGACATATCATGGTTGATATAATTCTACCACAAAAACGGAAAGTAAAGGAAGTCCCAAATTAAAAAAAAGTAGCAAGGTAGTAGATATAAACCCAACATATCATTTACATTATATGTAAATAGTATAAGAAGTCTACTAAAAGGCAGGCATTGCTAGAATGAACAATACAAGCAAAAGCCAACTATTTGCTGCCTACCTTGAATCCACTTTAAATATAAAGACACAGACTACTTAAACATAAAAAGATGAACAAAGATATACAATACAATGCAAATAGTAATTATAAAGGAGCTAAAGCAGTCACATCAATATCTGACTCTGTAGATTTCAGAAGAAAAAATATAATCAAAAGTAAAGAGAAGCATGTCATATAAGGGGCTTAATCAATCATGAAGACATACCAATCCTAATCTGTTTGCACCTAATTTCAGAGTTTAAAATAGAATCAAATATTTCTTCTTATCAAATCAAATCCTCCACCTGACTTGAAAAATAACATAAACATAAAAACTTACAAAAAATGTTTATAGCAGTTTTATTCATAATCACCAAAAACAGAGAAAAAGCAACCAAGAAGTCCTTCAATATACAAATGGATACACAAACTGTGGTAGAAATACAGTGGGATACTATTCCATGTAACAAAGAAAGAGCTATTAATCCATGCAACAACAAGAATGAATCTTGAATGTATATTGCTAAATGAAAGAAGACAGTTGAAAAGGCTACACATTGTACAATTTCATTTGTCTCATGTTCTGGAAAACACACATCTGTAGGCATGGAAAACAGAAGAATGGTTTCCAGGTGTTTGAGGAGGGGAAGAGGTTATCTGTAAAGGGGTGCACAGGGGAGTTTTGATCATGACACATCTAGACTGTATGGTACTAGAGTCTTGAGTTTTGTATTATGAACCTAGAGTCCCATTAATGCTCAAATTCTTTATTTGAACTCAGAAGTATAAATGTTTGCAAAATTATTTGGAGTCTCTTTACTAGAATCTACTCTGTAGGATACAGTATCTCTATTGTATTAATAAAGCAGCTTTCACTTTTTTACTCTAAAATCCTTGCCCTAGAAACCAAGCACATGGCTTTTGTGAAGCTGTCAAAATGCCAAGGTGTTTGCCGTGTAATATGCACAGTCACATGATGACTCCCCATCAATTTTTGACACTCCCAATAGTGCTTTTCTAAAGCTCTTCGGAAACATAAAGAATTAGCTAACAAAATTACTCATTGCTTTTTAAAAAAAGTGTTACATCTCTTACAGAACAAAGCATTTCCATTAGGCCTGCTGCTTCTTCCATTTGTGAAATCCTCAAGGTGATGCACCATAATTATTGTGGGCAAACAAATTGTCTCACGTAATTATCCCTGATTAAGGTATTTCTGCTATCACAACTCTCCTCTGGGTCTCTTGGTCACTACCGTCCAGTGACGTCAAATTCCTAATTAGCTTGTAATAATCGTGATGGCTTTTCTTATATCAGTGTGCTGAGTATACTGATACTGCAGAGTGTAAAAGGTGAAGACTGAAGTCTGGAAAAGACATGGGTTCTCTATCTTTGTCCCTCATCCAATGGCTCCTGGTGAATATTGTTTTCCTGGGTAGGTGCTGATATTTTAAGGCCAGGGACAGAGATTGAGTCAGAACAGAACAGAGACCAGAGACAGTCAATTCTCCTCCGTATTGTTTTAAATTAATCTTTGAATATTCTATGCCCATTTTACCTATTTACCGTTGTCCCAATACCTAACTCTGAAGAGTGACTGCTGCCATCACTTTACTAAAACCAGCTGTTTTATGCTTTTGATTGGATATACTTTAATTTCAATATAATATTTTATAATTATTCTTATCTTTGAATTGACTTACACAGTTTGGATCATGTTTTTCAAAAACCGGAGACTGCATTTGGGAGAGGGAATTCTACTCTTTTTTTGAGGAAACACAGAGCACCTGGGAGGGTATGTAATTTGCTTACAATTATAAAGTTATTTAGTGAAAGATAGAATTGGAAAATATATTTTCTATATCCTAGGCTAATACATGTATTTAATTTTTAAAAATTAATATATTCTTTTATCTCAATAACTTTTAGGATAACAAGCAGTTTTTGGTTACATTGATAAATTATATAGTAGTGAAGTATAAGATTTTTAGTTCACCTATCACCCACAAACACAAGTAGTGTACATTGTACTCAATATGGCTAATACATTTTTGATAGTCCATAATGTCTTTGGCCAGCATCCATTGATTTGAACTTCAGGTTTTTAAAGCTTATAGTTTAGAATGCTCCTTGTTAATCTATGACTAGAAAGTAGTCATATAAACCACTAATGAAATTTAACATTTCTTGCTGGATATATATTCTATTTGTGAACAAAAGCATATCCCATGTATAATTCCTTAAAATATATTTTAAAATATTACTACTATTATGGTAAATTCATTATATCACTACTGCACAAGATGTTTGATTTAGTTATATAATGATTATATATATCTGTCAGAAGCAAGTAAAAAGTCACCTACACTTTGAATCGAGGGAAAGTCAGATGAAAGGAAGAAAACCCTAAATCTTCCCTGATGAAATTTTTGATAAAATAATGCAGTATCTTACTACTTCAGAGTCTTTACAGATCCCAAATCATATAAAAATCGCTATTATTGATGGTACTTCCTAAAACATTCTCCAGTTTTATAGATCCAGTGAGGCTGAATCCTTTGCAAAATTGTGAAGCAGAAGATTTTGTTTTCAGCATTTCTTCTTTTCAGTCTACTCTTTTTCTCCTTTCAGATTTCTGACTGCTCCAAATGCTCCTCTAGTTGCCTAAGACTTAGATTAAAATACAGCATCCAGACCTGTCTCACCTCCTTGAAGACAACTCAGCTACAGACACCCTGAATCCACTTCTGTCTTTAGAAGTAAATTCTTTATGACTTATCTCCTGAGGGATTGTTCTGTTTTCTTAGGAGATGTGGAAGTAACAACGAAATTCTTCCCAAGCATTAATGACTATAGATTATAGGATAGCTCCACACTTTCCATTTCATCTTAGGTAAGTAAAAGTGTTTTGTCAGCATCCTTCTGAAGACCATGCACCAGCATTTGTCTCCAATATAGTCTATAATAGAGAGACTGCTATTTCTCTGATCTGCATTTGGAGTGGGAGAGGGGTTCAGGGGAACAGCAATATTGGCAAGTTTGTGAAAGATACCTATTTGAACTTGTAGAGTTTGGTGGCCCCTGTAAACGATACCTATTTATTTCACTTCATCTATCAGTCATAATATCTGAGATAGAAATATTGAGGCAAGATTCATTTGACAGAATTTAAAATAGGAGGGAACTGAGATTTGCTGAGCACAGCCCTGTATACATGCATTAATCCATCTTCAAATTTTCAAGAATTTTTTTTTAAAAAACGTCTTTACATAAAACATCTACTTATTGGAAACTCATTCTTGTGTGAGTCAGACCACATAATGTAAAATTATGAGAAAATACTTCTTCTGATCTAAAATAATACATTACTAAGAATGCATACATATACTTAGTCAGTACAGTTGGTTAAAGAATTTTCATTTATATAATCTTTTAAGAAATATTTTTAGTGTCTCTTTGAGGTTAATAGTCTCAAGATTTAATATTTGATGATAATAATCCCTGAATGGCTAAAGGAACTGCTCAGCATCACACAGTTACCCAGTGATACAACACAGAACATTTTAAAATAATAGCTTTGTTTTCACTACAGTACAGCGATTTTATTGGGAACAAAAATACAGTCCATTTTATCTAATAGGGAATGTACTAGGGGTAAAGGGAAGTGAATTCATCAGCTTGTCTAAATAAGGAAAGGGTTATTAATATTAGCAAATAATTTTTAGGGAGACAAGTTATAAACCTAACTGCCTCATCACCAGTGCATAGCACAGTGCCTGGGGAAAAGCAGGCATTTAAATTTATATAAAGTAAGTGAACTAAAAAAGAATGGATTTAGGTAAGAAACAGGTTCAGAGTTCATGTGTTCTACCACTTTAATCTTATATACTAAGAAATTTCTTGATTGAATCAATTTGCCCAATGTTTTCTCCATGAAAAACAGGGTATTTTCCTTTACTGAGCACCTGAAGAAGCCAATGAAAATGGAACAATACAGCTCTGCAGAAGAGTCAGAAAAGCTATCAGGAGGATGATTCTTATGACTGTCTTTCACATAGTTGGATTATGTGTCTTAGCCTAAAGACACCAGGAAGTTTCTGTGCTCAGAAATGCCTCCTGATGCCCCTCTCTAATGCAGCACTGGAGGGTCTCCATAGGACACTCGTTCCTTGTGCTTATTGCTTTGCTCTTTCTGATGGAGTACCTATGAACTCCTATTCACTGATTTTGTTAGATTTTACTTCTATTCATGCCTTAGGGATTCAATGCAGTATTTACGTCACAGGATTGAAGGGTCAGGACTTCTGGGAAGTGAGAAGAAAGAGAGATTTGTATAATTTTTTTCGGTAGCCTGCCTTACCTTCAAGCTCCACTTGTTAAACTCTTCTAAAAAGCCTAGAGCCATAGTTTTGATATAATCTGTGATAATACAAGAGTTCTCCCTTATCCATGGTTTTGTTTTCAGCAGTTTCAGTTACCTCAGGTCAACTGTGGTCCAAAAATATTAACCTATTTTGAGAGCGAGAGAGAGGAAAAAAAGAAACACATTCACATAAATGCTATTTCAGTATCTTGTTATACTTTTTTATTTTATTGTTAGTTATTACTGTTCATCTCTCACTGTGCCCAATTTATAAATTAAACTTTATTTTAGGTATGCATGTATAGGAAAAATATAGCTTATATAGGAATCAGTACTATCAGTGGTTTCAAGCATCCACTGGAGGTCTTGGAACACATCATTTGCAAATAAGGGAGAAAATTTGTATTTTTTTGGGAGAATTGGAGATTTGAAATACAGAGGTGAGTCTAAATTTGGTTTCTGGGAGTTAAAATTATTTATCACACGTTCTGTTCTTATAAATAAACCCTCCAGTCTAACCCAAAGAGAGACTTAGCAATTTGCAGCTATGATCTAAGAAGACATTAATATCAAAAATTGCAAGTGGTTAGAAATGAGTAAAATAAAAGACATCCTCTCCCAAGACCTGATTAAGATGTAGAGAAAGATTCTTCAAAATCAGATAATGTAATGCTCCTTTAAAATTCACATTTTATTTTTTCTTATTTACCATAAAACTTTTCTAAGTTCTAAATAGCTTCTACAAATAAAAATAACATAAAAGGAAGAAAGTTCTGATAACATAGAATATAGAGTAACTGAGTAGAAAAGAAAAATCTTTTTTTTCTGGTCTGATTTCCTTAGTAATAAGTAATATAACTTATTAGTTATATTAGTATTTATAGTAAGCAATATAACTTATACGTTTTTAAGCCACGTCACATCAAATGAAATATCAATCATAGCTCAATAAACTGTCTATGGTTAGTAACACCAATGGCTAAGTTTAAAGACGCTTCATACCTTCAGGGATTAATTGAAAGGAACCAGTGTGCTAGATTTCATGATAAAGTAGAACTCCATGAAAAGCTGAATCATAAAAGAGTTCCAATAATATTGGGGCCTTTCAATTTTGCCAGGGTTCTGTACTTTCGTTTACATAATGTTTAACTGTAGAGAAGAAATAAGATATAATCACTTAAGGCAATGATTTCTCCTGTGAGCTCTCTTACACAAATCTAATGCTGTCTCTCTTTCTATTTTAATTTTCATAATTATGCAACGTATGTATACAAAAGAGAAAAAAGCAAAAGTTCATATTTCAGTAAGTTTTCATAAAGTAAACACTCCCATGTAACTATCAACCACATCAAGAAAGAATATTACCAGCACTTCAGAAACCCCTCCCATGACCACTTCCTGTCCCTTAAGGATAACTGCTATGAGGTTTTTCTACACCTTAGTTTTGCCATTTTTGAACTTCATTTAAATAGACCAATACAGTGTATACTCTTTTGTGTCTAACTTTTTTAGTCATCAAGTTTGTGAAATTATCTTCCTCTGTGGCAGATGTTCAAAAAATTTTTACTATCATTTACTTTAGAAAAATTGGTTTAGATTTTGTCTCTGTAGACTTTTAGACGGGATTTCTGTAGTGTCACAAAAACTTCAGATGCTCAAATTCATTTTTAAATTGTCGATTTTATTTCTTAAATTAATGTATTTAGATATCCCAGTTGGTTGAACATCTCCTTGACAACTCTCCCCTTTAACCCAATCTTCCACACTTAGCTGTATAACTTGTAATAACTCATGAAAACCCAGACACATACATAGGAATAGGAATTGGAATTCTGAAAAGTTTAAGTGTAATTAGAAAACCAAACCCATGCTCACTTCATTAACTGATCTCTGTTTCTCTCCTATTCATGTAGCTGAAATTAAGTCCCTTCCAAAATTCAATGAATGAGACAAATCATTCTTGGGTGACAGAATTTGTGTTGCTGGGACTGTCTAGTTCAAGGGAGCTCCAACCTTTCTTGTTTCTTATATTTTCACTACTTTATCTAGCAATTCTGTTGGGCAACTTTCTCATCATCCTCACTGTGACCTCAGATTCCCGCCTTCACACCCCCATGTACTTTCTGCTTGCCAACCTGTCATTTATAGACGTATGTGTTGCCTCTTCTGCTACCCCTAAAATGATTGCAGACTTTCTGGTTGAGCACAAGACTATTTCTTTTGATGCCCGCCTGGCCCAGATTTTCTTTGTTCATCTCTTCACTGGCAGTGAAATGGTGCTCCTAGTTTCCATGGCCTATGACCGTTATGTTGCTATATGCAAACCTCCCCACTACATGACAATCATGAGCTGCTGTGTATGTGTTGTGCTCTTCCTCATTTCCTGGTTTGTGGGCTTCATCCATACCACCAGCCAGTTGGCATTCACTGTTAATCTGCCATTTTGTGGTCCTAATAAGGTAGATAGTTTTTTTCTGTGACCTTCCTCTAGTGACCAAGTTAGCCTGCATAGACACTTATGTTGTCAGCCTACTAATAGTTGCAGATAGTGGCTTTCTTTCTCTGAGTTCCTTTCTCCTCTTGGTTGTCTCCTACACTGTAATACTTGTTACAGTTAGGAATAGCTCCTCTGTAAGCATGGTGAAGGCCTGCTCCACATTGACTGCTCACATCACTGTGGTCACTTTATTCTTTGGACCGTGTATTTTCATCTATGTGTGGCCCTTCAGCAGTTACTCAGTTGACAAAGTCCTTGCTGTATTCTACACCATCTTCACGTCTATTTTAAACCCTGTAATCTACATGCTAAGAAACAAAGAAGTGAAGGCAGCTATGTCAAAACTGAAGAGTCGGTATCAGAAGCTTGGTCAGGTTTCTGTAGTCATAAGAAACGTTCTTTTCCTAGAAACAAAGTAAACTTATGAGACTGTTACCACTTTAGCCCTGTCTCCATACACTTACAAGTGGATTCACTGTAATCTTAAAGCAAATCAACTTGGCCTGTGGGAAAGGTCAGTTGATTGATTCGAAGCAAACTGTAATGATAATAAAAACTCATGAAATAAACTTTAGTGATTTTAAGTATTCTTTCTCCATTGTATATTTTTTAAATTTCCTACTTTGTATTCTTTATTTTAAAACTTAAGATATAGACTTTGATGACATTGAGAAAATGACATTGCCTTATAAATAAATGGTTAATATACTATTATCTCTCCCTTTGAAAACAGTACCACTCACACCAACTTTGGAGTAATGATAGGTGCATATCTCCAAGCCACAGAGATAACAGATCTATTTATAAGTATATGATACGTGATATACAGCATGTGATAGATCTAGATACGAATGCATTTTATACTGCACTATATATCTGACAGCACATGAAGACACATCTATGAATGGTGTGAAAGATACAGTAAAATGTAAAAGGGCATGACTAACCAGCAGAAGGCATTTACTTTCAACACTTTCACAAACCCTTCGTCACAGTGGCTGCTTAATATATGTTGTTCATGAAAAACAACCACCTGAACAAATTATTTACTGGTGTGTTATGTATTGGCCTATGTTAACTTCTGTTTAATACTGATAAAATAATCTGGGGAACCAGAGATGAGTTATAATTCTCTACCACCTATCTTCATGATAGTAGGAGTCTGAATCTTAGTATAAAATATTTTCCCCCTAGATTTTTATGATCTTACCTTCTTAGAGTATTTTTATATTAGTACTTGGTAGATATTATAATTTTTTCTATGTGGACTTTTTAATTCAGTTGACGTTTCATTTTTAAATTGCCCAAGTAAGCTCTGAAAATGACAGAACCCTATTTCAAGACCTTAGATTTCATCATAAATTTACCCCTCCTTGATCACTTACAAGACCAAGACTTTTGGGGATTCACCACTACAGGCTATTTTAGGCTTTTCCTCTTTTATAGCATTCAAGGCTATTCCTATCTTTTTTTACTGGGTTCTAGTCACAGTCTGGTATAATGTTAACCAATTGTTTTCCAGACTCAGTCTTTAGAGTCTCCTAAAGGGATTCAATAATTCCTATTAGTGAAGGGAAAAACATGTTTCTGAGCCAAAGCATTCCGAGTTATTTAAGAAATAACAAAATAAAAAGAAAACAAATGTGCATTAGCATTTAAGAAAAAAATTAAATACAAAAAAGTATAAGTAAAAAAAGTAAGTATAAAAACGTAGTAAAACATTTTACAATAATACAACACTTCCAAAATTTTACAATATTTTTGCATATTCTAATTTTATGCATAAAACAAATGATATTTTGTGGTACTAGTACTAATTACAACTGAGTTGACATTGAACAACAAGAAATGTAGTAATAGTTTTACATCTTTTTAAGCTTTAAAATATCTCTAGGATATATTCATTCCTTTCATTTTACATATGATAAAAATAAGATAAAGAAGCATTAAGAATACGGTGCAATATTATAAAGCTAGAAAATAGCAGAATGGATTTCCTACGCAGGTTTTGTGGTGTTTTGTTTTTTTGATTTCTTTGACCCAGATGGCACACTTTTTAAATGTATTACTGCTTACAGTAGTACGTTTACTGTGTATTATAGTTGGAGTACAGTGTGCCTTGTCCAGAAAATATGATTCTCTGCTTATCCTCTCACACACTTTTTCCTATTCCTAGTATGCAAAAATGTCTCCGAATATTATGTTTTTCACTAAAGAGGGTACCCAAGTTCCTTGCAAAGTTACTCAGATAACAGGAGCTCAGGCTGACTGGTACAGTTTTTCTGTAAACTGGACATTAAAATAAAAGCACGACGGGTTTTTCTTAAAGCACTAACCTGTTCTTTAACAAAAATTATAAAGGCTTAAAAAGAGTCTATAAAAATCTTACCTTATGGTCAGACATTAAAATTGGATAAATATGCCTACAAGGTTTTATTAAAATTGAGTTTAACATTAATGGCACACTAATATAAAGGTGAAATTTAGCTTATCTGGTATAAAATCATACAGGAAGCATTGTCAAATATAAAATGGTGTTTGGCTTTCTTTGGTCTAAAAACTAATAAAAATAGGTGCTAAAGAGAATTTAGAAGGAAAATGGATATTGCTAGACCAGAGAGAAATGTTATCCAAGCCCCTTATAAGGGAGTTCTTGTTCCAACTGCATCAAGGGACCGATTGTGGGTCCCAAGCCATGTGTGATGCAGTCCTCAGAGTTTATGGGTGCATAGGAATTTATACCCTGGCCAAACAGGTTACAGATAGTTGCTTAGTAAAAGATTACCCTTTGGGGGAAGGAGTCCAGGCTTAAGGCCATTCCAAAGTATCCAGATTGATTACACACAGATGCCTCCAATTGGTCGTCTGAAATATTTATTAGTAATAGTAGATCACCTTACTCATTGGGTAGAAGCTATTCCCTTTTCAAGTACAACTGCTAATAATGTAGTCAAGGCATTAGTTGAAAATATTATACCCAGGTTTAGATTAATAGAAAACATTAATTCAGATAATAGGACTCATTTCACGGCACATGTCATTAAGAAATTATCCCAGGTACTGGATGTAGCATGGGATTATCATACTCCCTGGCACTCATCTTCATTAGGGAAAGTAGAAAGGCCTATTACCCTGTTAAGAGTCTGAACTGCTCCCCCAAAAGACACAGGCCTATCCCCTTAAGAGATGCTTTATGGATCACCTTATCTACATTCTACTACTGATCTTCCTACATTTGAAACAAAAGATCAGTTTCTCAGAAATTATATACTTGGTTTATCTTCCATTTTATCTTCCCTCAGAACTAAAGGTCTTTTAGCACAGGTGCCACCTCTAGAGTTCCCAGTACACCAACATCAGCCTGGGGACCACGTCCCCATCAAAATTTGGAGAGAAGGAAAAGCTGGAACTGGCCTGGGAAGGACCTTACCTAATGCTCCTAACTACTGAAACCGCAGTCCGAATAGCAGAAAAAGGATGGACCCGTTACACCTGAGTCAAGAAAGCGCCACCCCCTCCAGAGTCATGGGCCATAGTCCCAGGGGAAAACCCTACCAAACTAAAGCTAAGAAAAATTTAACTTCCTTTCATCTATTCTGTTACTCCTTCTTTCCTCACTCTATTGCTGACCACCTAGTTATTAATGTAACCAAGTCAATTTCACCTCAAACTATTAAATTTGATGCTTGCCTTGTTACATCCTATGGAGACTTTTTAAGTCAAAGACAGCTCTCCACTTCAGAAAAGTACCTCTGTCCTTCCTGGCTCTTCTCAGACTGGACATTATTGAATTGGGATCATTTAGTCTGGGAAGATTTCAATGAGGACCCTGGCATCAGCTGGGAGTCTTGCCCCCCATAGAGCTTTTATGCTGCAGTTGGTCCAACGTTCTGTGGACCACTAAAGAGCAAGGATGGACTGCCTCAACCAGTAGTTGTAATTTCCTAAAGCCATACATTCATTTTACTAAAGGAACAGCTTCACCTAGCTGTCAGCTAAACCAGTGCAATCCAATACAGGTTATTACCCCAAACCCTCAAAGATCTTCCCCTTCTCTAAGCTGGTTCCCTTCTTTAAGCTGGTTTTTATGGTATGGGAGATGAGGTTTCAGGAACAGACCCTATCAGATACTTTGAAATATGTTTCATTGATCCCCCACCACCTACACCTTCCCCTAAGCCTTCTTCCAAAACCTCTCACAATGAAACAGTTGTTACTCCTCCATCTAATGATAGGACCAAAGTAGACGCTGTAGAAGTAAATGATTTAAAACAAACTTTAGCAATAGAGACAGGATATCAAGATGCAAATGCCTGGTTGGAATGGATCAAATATTCCGTCTGCAGGTGAAACAAAAGCAATTGTTATGCTTGAGTGCATGGCAGGCCAGAGGCCCAGATTGACCCCTTTCCACTAGGGTGGTCCTCCAGTCGACCAGGCATGGGCTGCATGGTAGCTCTTTTCCAGGATTACACAGCCTGGGGTAACAAGTCATGTCAAGTTCTCTCTCTGCTATATCCCGAAGTTCAACACTCTGCAGGTCAGCCCCTGAAGGCCATCCAGCTTCCATCTCCCCACATTAATTTCACTTATTGTCTCTCATGACAGGGAGGAAACTTGGTGTTTCTTGGAGACCTGAAAGGATGCAATGAGCTTAAGACTTTCCAAGAGCTTACCAATCAGTCAGCCCTTGTTCATCCCTGAGCAGATGTATGGTGGTATTGTGGTGGACCTTTACTGGACTCTCTGCCAAGTAACTGGAGTGGCACTTGTACTCTAGTCCAGTAGGCTATCCCTTTCACCCTGGCATTTCACCAACCAGAGAGAGGAAAAATACAACATCATAAAACAAGGGAAGCCCTTTATGTGTCTTCTGACTCTCGCATTTATTTAGATGTAATTGGGGTCCCATGAGGATTACCAGATAAATTTAAAGCCAGAGATCAAATAGCTGCAGGATTTGAGTCAATATTTTGGTGGGTGACAATGAATAAAAACATAGATTGGATAAATTGCATTTATTACAACCAACAGCGGTTTATTAACTACACTAGAGATGCTGTTAAAGGAATAGCTGAGCAATTAGGGCCTACTAGCCAGATGGCTTGGGGAAATAGAATAGCCTTAGACATAATATTAGCAGAAAGAGGAGGAGTCTGCATCATGATTAAAACTCAATGTTGTACCTTCATCCCAAACAACACCGCCCCCTGATGGAAGTACAACAAAGGCATTGCAAGGTCTAACTGCCCTGTTCAATGAGTTAGCCAAAAACTCAAGAGTGAATGACCCCTTCACAGGGTGGCTAGAAAAACGGCTCATTAAATGGAAAGGAATCATAGCCTCAATTCTTATTTCTCTTGCAGCTGTAGTAGGTGTACTCATTCTTGTCCAGTGTTGTGTCATACCATGCATCTATGGGCTAGTGCAAAGACTTACAGATGCAGCGTTTACTAAAACCTCCCTTAGCTCTCCTTCACCTTATTCAGATCAGCTTTTTCTTTTAGAGGATTAAGTTGAGCAGCAAAGCCAAGATATGTTAAAAAAAGTTTGAAGAGGAAATACTATGAAAATTGAAAGGGAGAAAATTGTAGGATATCATAAATTCCTCCTCAAAAGTTTTAGCCTGTAAATTGTTAAATACAATGAGTTCTGAGATCCTCTCCAAAGAACCAATGTATCAGTATGTTCGGCTCCCCGTTCTTTGCTCTTCATTTTAAAGTTGAATTTCCTTGTTCTTTATGTCTCCTTGCCCCTAGTTTCAGTAAACAACCTCCTCCTACCCTCTATCACCTGCTCTGATCTTAGTCACTCTTGTTCACCTGCTCTGATCTTGGTCATCCTTGGTCACCTGCTCTGTTCTTAGTCATCCTGAGTCACCTTTTCTGTAACTGTCCTTCCCACCAAACTACTCATCCTGCCACTCTGGCTCGTACCTCTGTTCTCTTTAAAATAGCCAATCTGAATTAGCTTAGATGTGCGGTCTGACCCTAGCCAATAGGGGAATGACACAGCAGTAGGGGTGGTGAGGGATAAGAACCCCTTCCCCTCCCTTGTTCGGGTGTGCTCTCACCGTTGCTCCATCCATGAGACACACGCTTCTATAGAAGTAAAACTGCCTTGCTGAGAAAATTCATGTTCGAGTGCTATTTCTTTTGCGGCACCAAAAATTTATTTCCAACACTCTCTTCTAGCTATTTTGTAATATACTGGCTACCACGTATATGTGAATAGAATAGGAGATAATTGATCATATAGAGCAGAGATTGGCAAATTTCTTCTGTAACAGGCCAGATATTAAATATTTAGACTTTATGAGGTGCATATAGTCTCTGTTGCATATTGTTCCTTACTGTTGCATTTTTTTCTTTTTTACATCCCTTCAAAAATATAAAAACACTTCTTAGCTTGTGGGCCATACATAAACAGACTATGAGTGAGATTTGGCCCATGGAGCCATAATTTGCCAACCCTGGCTACAGATAATCAATTATAGTAGGGGACACAGAAAGCAAGTAAACAAGCAAACAAACAATAAGTAAGTGCTAAACTAACAAGAAAACATCACTACCTATAACATACAAATCACTCCCAAGGGATCCCTTGTAATACTATGGAGATCCTGTCCACTCTCCTCCCCCCAGAGAACCACTGGCCTACTTTTTGTCACTTTAGATTAGTTTGAATTTTGTAGAGTTTTAGAAAATTGAAATCATACACTAAGAACTAATTTTTTAATCTGTTTTTCACTCTGTCTAATCATTTTTTCAATTCATACATGGTCATTACAGGAAAGGTGTCTGGATCCAGACTCCAAGAGAGGGTTCTTGGATCTCATGCAAGAGAGAATTCAGAGTGAGTACACAGAGTAAAGAGAAAGCAAGTTTATTAATAAAGTAGAGGAATAAAAGAATGGCTACTCCATAGACAGAGTCATCCCTACGGATGCTGGTTGCCCATTTTTTATGGTTATTTCTTGAGTATATGCTAAACAAGGAGTGGATTATTCATGCCTCCCCTTTTTAGACCATAAAAGGTAACCTCCTGATGTTGCCATGGCATTTGTAAAGTGTCATGGCGCTGGCAGAAGTGTAGTAGTGAGGACAACCAGAGGTCACTCTTGTCACCATCTTGATTTTGGTGGGTTTTGGCTGACTTCTTTGCTGCAACCTGTTTCGTCAGGGACTTGTATCTTGTGCCGACTTCCTATCTCATCCTGTGACTTAGAATGCCTTAACCTTCTAGAAATGCAGTCCAGTAGATCTCAGCCTTATTTTACCTAGCTCCTGTTTAAGATGGAGTTGCTCTGGTTCAAACACCTCTGACATTTCCCCCTCACTTTTATAAGAGAATCCTTAATACCAAGGGCTGCAAAGGGATGAAGATCCATCTTCTGAAACTTCTTCAGGCTGAATAGGGGTAATGATATTCCTGCCTAATTATTAGGGTCCCCTGTATTTGGGGTAGAGAGGAGCTCAGTCAGAAAGCATCAGTATGGTGAAGGCCATTCCTAACTCTGAGTTCTGACAAAAGGTGATATCTGGGAGATTAGTAAGTGTTTAATTTAAGGAAACATTGAATAAGTTTATCCTATGTTCCTACACAGAGAGTACAACAGCGATATAATCCACAAGAGTAGAGCAAAATAAGTAAAAATATCTGAAGTAAACTAAATTAGAAGGCTTTCCGTGAGCTGGGCAGTTGTTGGAACCAAGCTAATATGAGATTACTAGCCAATTCTAATATGTGCCCAGAATTAGAAATATTGATTCAGATTTTTACATTATCCATCCCTCGTTTCTTCTGAACAGCAGTCAGAGATCACTGGTTGGCTTAGAAGGATTCTTGTTAAAGGCTGGCCAAGAACTTAGCTATCAAAGGTTGGCAGTAAAAAAACAAATTTGATTTCAAGGTTGCAGGGATTCTTACCAAACTGACTTAACAGGATTTTTCACTAAAACCTGGCTAGGTAAGTCAAGAGAGTAGGGTGTTGTGTCAAAAGACAACAGGGGTGGCTATACTAATATCAGAAAAATTAGGATTTAAATAAAAATGTTTACAAGAGACATAAAAGGACATTATATACTGATGAAGGGTTAAATATAGTAAGAAGATATAACAATCATAAACGCTTACAAACCATCAAAATATTTGAAGCAAAAACTGACATAATGGAAGGGAGAAATAAGCAATTCTACAATAACAGTTTAAGACTTCAATACCCTACTTTCAATATGGATAAAACAACCAGACAGAAGATAGGTAAGGAAAATAGAGGACTGAGAATAAACCAAATTGTTCTAACATATACAGAATATTTACCCAACAACAGCATATACATCCTTCTCAAGTGTATATGGGATATTTTCCAAGACAGAAAATATGTTAGGCCCAAATTAGGTCTCAGGAGAATTAAAAGATAGCTATCACACAAAATATCTTTTCTGAACACAATGAATTAAAGTGAGAAGTCAATAACAGAAGTAAAACTGGAAAACTGACAAAATCGTGGAAATTAAACACACTCTTACACCATCAGTTGATTAAAGAAGAAACCACAGTAGAAATTAGAAAATATTTACAGACTAATGAAAATGACAACACAGCATACCAAAACTAATGGGATACAGCAAAAGCAGTACTAAGGAGAAAATTTATAGTGATAAATGTATACATTCTGAAAACAAAAAGTTTTTTTTTTTTTTCAAGCTGACTGGGGAAATTACATGCCAGCTCTTCTCAGAAAGATCAAAGTTACCAGTGAATGAACAAGTTTTGAATGGAAAATATAGAGAAGTGAGGACCTGTTGGAGTAACCACGCGAAGAAGTTGAAGCCCAGAAGAAGAATGCAGCAAGACTCTGGCTGATATCAACCTCTGAGCAACTCAGAGCTCAGCCAAAATGGTAGGTAGAAGTTGCTTCTTTCTACACCCCTCTGACGACCTGCCGAGTGCTAAACGGTTGGGGAGCCCCTTTGCGCTTGCTAGCCAGGGCAACACAATCAGTGATGATTAGAGAATTTCCTGAGAACACAGAACCAGTGGCCAGCTCGCACAGCCATACCCACTCTCCCCTTGGACCTGAACTGAGATGGTGGGCACCATACTGGTTGTGCACCAGTGTGTCACTTTCCTTCCCAAGGATCCTCTGCCCTTAAGTCATTGCACCACCAGACCACCTGCAAATATACTCTACAACCTGCTCTGACTTTGGCAAGCACAGGGGACCAGTGGGTGCCTGGGGTATTGTAGGTTCTCTGGAGATCTTACTCTCAGCATGGAGCCACCCCTTTAAGGAGCTGGGGAGCACAGCCTGCGAAAGTACTCCCTGGGACAAAGGAAATACAGATGTGGCACCAAATGAGGAGTGAGACAGCATCAATATCCAGGAATAATTATGAAGAAGAAGATCGTCTCCCACCTTTCATCCACCGTACACTGTTATGAATGCAGTAGCAGTTCTTCCTGCAAGAGCTGGTGAGTGTGCACTGAAAGAAAGTGATTCTTTGTGCTTTCAGCAGGGGTGGTGGATCCATCCCTGCTGAAAATGAGACTGTGCCTGCTGTGGCTTTCACAAGGGGTGGGGTCCAACTCCCCCTTCCAACACAGAGTGGCAGCACCCTGACAACAGAGGATAGACTACAAAGTTGTGTGTCCTGTACTGGAGGAAGAGGTTCTACCCTGACCCTCGTTATAGTGGTAGCCATCAGAGAGGCAGATCCATGGCCCACAAAGGCACTGTGCTGGGAACTAAAGGATGAAGATTTTACAAACAAGGTCATGAGACCTGTGACAGGGATATGATAGGGAAGCAGACTGCATTTCTTCTAGTTCAGGATGAAGAGCTGGTGCACCCCTCCATCTCTTTCCTGGAGGCTTCAGGGCACTCCATCATGATCTCTTCCCACCATGCTCATCAGTGCAAATTCATCCAATGGGCAGCAGCTTACCTGCCATATCATACTCCTAAGTGCTATATACTGGACTACAGCCTGAAATGCACCATCAAATAAAAAATACATGGCTATACCAAACAATATCTGATAAAGCCACCACACAAAACGTATCCACATATCCACAACCAACATGTAGAGCCTTGTCGCCCACCAAAAGCATTCAGAAACTAAGCCAAAATACATAACATCCACCACAGTTACACCCTCAAGGGAAAAAAAAATAAAGAGCCCCATCCAAACAATACAAATTCAAAAATAAGAAACAACACTTTCCTTAGATGAGAAAAATCAGCATAAGAACTCCAGCAGTACAAAAAATCACAGTGTTTCAACATCTCCAAAGGATTGCACTAGCTCTTTAGCACTGAAACCTAGCCAGATTGAAATGTCTGAAATGACAAATTAAAAATTTCTAAGTATGGGTTGTAAGGAAACTCAATATTCAAGAGGATGTTGAAATCCAATAGAAAAAAAAACAGGAAAATGATTCAGGATATGAAAGATGACATAGGTATATTAATGAAAACCCAAACAGAACTTCTGAAATTGAAAAATTTACTACAGGAATTTCAAAATACAATCAGAAGACTTAATTGCAGACTAGACAAGCAGAATAGAGAATGCCAGAGCTCAAAGACCACGTTTCAAATTAACTCAGTCAGACAAAAAGAGAGGGAAAGAATTTAAAAAATGAACAAAGTCTTCAAGAAATATTATATGATATTATGTTAAACAACAAAAACCTATGACTTACTGGCATTCCTGAGAAAGAAGAAGAAAGAGTAAGCAAATTGGAAAGCATATTTCAGGAAATAATTAAATAAAATTTCCCCAATTTTGTTAGAGACATTGCCATCCAGATATATGAAATTATGAAAACTACTGAGAGATACTAAACAATATGACCATTCCCAAGGCAAATAGTCATCAGACTATTCATGATTAATGTGAAATAAAAAAAAATCTCAAAGGAAGCTAGAGAAAAGGGCCAAATTACCCATAAAGGGAATACCATCAGACTAATGGTGGACATCTCAGCAGAAACCTTATAAGCCAGAAGAGACTGGGGGTCTATTTTTAGCATTTTGAAAGAAAACATAAATGCCAACAAAGAATTATACATCCCACCAAACTAAGCTTTATAAACAAAGAAGAACTAATGTCTTTTCTAGACAAGCAAATGCTAAGGGAATTTGTTACCACCAAATCAGTCCTACGAAAATTTTTAAGAGTTCTAAAAATGGAAACGAAAGAATGATACTTGTTATCATAAAAGCACACATAAATATAAAGCTAACAGACCCTATAAAGCAACTACACAATCAAGATTACAAAGAAACTACCTAACGACACTACAACAGAACAAACTCTTACATATAAATATTAACCTTGAATGTAAACAGCTTAATTGCTCCATTTAAAAGATAGAGTGGCAAATTGGAAAGAAAACAAGATACAACCTTCTGTTGCCTTCAAAAGACCTATCATACATGTAATGACACCAACAGGCTCAAAGTAAAGTGATCCACCCACCTCAGTCTCTCAAAGTGCTGGGATTACAGGCGTGAGCCACTAAGCCCGGCCTTAACCCTAATTCTTAAAGTATGTGCACTGAGGATTTTCAAATAACGTTTGGACAAATACAAAAATAATGTTATAATTTCTTGTATCCTGGTTGCATCATTCATTATGTTATGTAAGAATTTCCTTTTTCTCTGAGATGAAATCGCTTTCTGCTACTAATACTTTCTATGTGAACATAAAATTAGCATTAACTCTTCATTGTTTTATTCCTTGAATAACTACTCTCAATGTATTAGTAGAGCTTACAAAAAAACATAGATATTCAAGTCACCAGTTATGCAACTTTTTTTCACATCTCTAAAATATTGTAATGGACAGATGTATGTGTTTATGTATGTATGTATGTATGCATTTGAGACAGAGTCTCGTTCTGTTGCCCAGGCTGGAGTGCAATGGCACAATCTCTGTACACTGCAAACTCTGCATCCCAGGCTCAAGCGATTCTCCTGCCCCAGCCTCCAGAGTAGCTGGGATTACAGGCACAGGCCACAGTGCCCAGCTAATTTTTGTATTTTTAGTAGAGATGGGATTTCATCATGTTGCCCAGGCTGGTCTTGAACTGTTGACCTCAGTTGATCCACCTGCCCCGGCCTCCCAAAGTGCTGGGATTACAGGTGTGTGCCACCATGCCTGGTCCGATTAACTCTTTCTTATTGGTATATTAGGCTTTTCTTATTGATGTGAACACACTCAATATTATACAAAATAAGTTATTTATCATTCAAACTTGTGATGGTATTTTTTAATTACAGCAAAAATATACACATAAAATTGACTATCTTAATCATGTTAAGTGTAGATATCATAAGTATTAACTATATTCACATTTCTGTGCAACAGAGCTGCAGAAATTTTCCATCTCACAAAACTGTAACTCTATAGCCATCAAGTAACAACTCCCCATTTCCTACCTGTTGTGGTGGTTTTAAATATAATGCAATATATACTAGCTGAAAATAGAAAAAAAAGGAATCCATGAAAATATTAAATGCATAGCACAAAACATGAATAACAGTGTAACTTTGGTTATAATTTTAAATGAGAGAACCCAAAGTAAAATAATGGTATAAATATCATATAAAATGCACAATTTATACCTAAATTTTAAAAAATTTAATATTAACAAAAATAAATGTAATATACTACACAAATAGGTATTCAATAAAACTAAAGTTAAATTACTTTTTAAAACCATGTTATACTATGGATAAATCCTATTAATTTTTAAATATTTAGGAAAGAAAACAAAGTACATCTCTTCTTTAAAAAGTTTGACTCCAATTTTAACAAACAGGTGTTTTTGGTAACCAGTTTATTTCCTTACTGAAATTTTGAAGGCACAGAAAGAAGTAATATCCATTACATTGTCAAAAACAACAGTACCTGGAAGATTTAGAGGCAAAAATGAAGCCTGAGAATAGCAGGACATAGACATATTTCATAACATAGACTCATAGCAGAATGATGGTTATGTTGGTTCATCAGGGAAGAAAACACTAAACATCGCTTGCAAATCCACCCAATATACGATATCTTGTGACTTTAACAAGTTAGCCATGCAGAACCATGAGGCAAATGCAAAAACAAATAAATACACTAAAATAAATCCATTTTCTAGAAAAAAAAATTAAAGTGAATTTTCTAGATTCACTAAAGAATTCAGTATTGGCTTATTATGTCTTCATTATATTTTATACTGGAACGTGTCTAATTTTATGCTAAATTTATGCTGTAAGGACACCTACTCTGGAAAGGTTAAGAGGACACACAGTGGGTAGTGGACCACACTCTATTAAAAAAGAGCATATTTTGACACATGACTTTTGTGCCTCTACATTTTTAAGTAAGGATAAAGAACCTGATGATTAATTAAATGATTTTTCAGTTGCTCATCAATGCCATCAGATGCCTTGAGTATACTGATGGGGATGGCATTTGGAAGAAAAGGAGGAGACCTGAATAATACTTCAGAAGAAGCCTATTTCCACATCTTATTTTCCCTATCTCTGCAGCTCTGAATTTAATTATCTGTATTGTGAATCTGGGTGAACCACCTCAGAAGACATCAGGCAACTGGATGACTGCACTTTAGATTTCATGCTAGTGATTCTTATCCTCTCTCCACCCCGACACTTTGATACTTCCTTGAAATTAGATTACATATGAGATAGAAACAAAGAATGCAGCTGTCATCATGACTCTTTCTCAGGGGCCACCACATCTGTGTTCATGATGTGATTACTGTGCCACCTGCCTCCCTCTTCTTAAGGCCCTTTTTTATTCCTGGAGATGTGCTTACAACGAGATAGCTACAAACATATCATCTGCTTGCCCTGCCAGTTATAGCAATTATGAAAATAAATTTGCAGCATCATATATAGCCTGAATATTCTCAAAAGATGTTCCTAACAGTTCTAATAACAAAATAAGTTTTCCATAGAATAGCCGTACCTACATGCTCTCTGCTTATGCAATCTTATGTTTTAATTAATCTTAAAGCAAAACTTTTCCTAAAATTTCAGAACTGAAGTCTTTTGTCATTATATGAAGAAAGACACAGTATCTAATATTGTGAACTTCTCTATTTTAAGAAGTTTTCAGACATCAAGTCTGCATAATAAAATTAATTTAACAATTTGGAATATAATTTTATAAATAAAAAAAGCTTTAAACTATATGTTATTAACACGTTTTTCTTCAAGTGTGGTTGACCTGCAACTTTTTGGTAGTTCAATGAAAACCACTACTTGAGAGAAAACTGAAATAGACTAGGACATAGAAGATAGATAAACAGAGAAAGAAAAGGTAAATTAACTATTTGTGCCACATGGCAAAGAAAGTTTACAGTATGTAGTCATTAATGTACTTGGTTATAATTATATAACCAACAATGAATAATTTTAAGTGCAATTTAGAATTCAAAATGTTTTATACTTGATATACATTTCTGAAAGAAATATGAAATCTACCGAATGAGGGAGATACTTTATATGTGTAATTACTTACAAATGGAGAAAAGTTTTACAATAATTTTGATTATAAACTATAATCAAGAGATTCAGTAAGAGAAGCATTTTTTTCTTCCACAAACCACTTTAATTGTGTGCTCACCACCTACTTCAGAATCTAAGAGAACTCTGACACCTGTTTTTGGCACCCCATTGCCTTCTCATTAGTCTAACTCCAAGACCTTCCTCCAAGCGGTAGGCTCTGGTAATTCAGCGAAAGCAAGGCACTAACAGGCAAGTGTGAAGCCAAATGGCTCCGAGTAACATCTCTGACACCTTTTTGCCAGCTATTCATGTGTACTTAATATATACCACTTCCCTGTGACTGTCTGCATCCTCTTCTACCAGCAATTCCTCCTGATTTATCCTTCTCCTCCAGCAATTCCTAATTTCTTTGCCTTTCTAATAGATGTGGCCTAACAGAACACCTTTGCTGGAGTTCTTTAAAGGCTAATTATAACCATAAGGAACAGGAAAGAAGAAGCTATTCCTTGTAAGTTTGCTAATCTTACCTGTTCAGAGCAATAAAAGTTCCCCATCAAAGACTTATGAAGGGAGATTTCACTCCCCCAGCTTGCTATTCCTACTCTTTTTGCATTCTTAAGACAGGAGGCAAGTGCTTTACCTTCTCCTGGGAAAAGCTGAGGCTGAATATGCAAGTTGTCATGCAAATTTGCTGAAGATAATGAGAGGGTCACAAATTCAAAAACCCAGTTGCTCTAGGGCAGGGGGTTGGGAGGAGAGACAATAAATAAAATGTGTGGTACAAATGCCTTTCAGGAAAGGGTGTGAAGGGTGCGGTGGATTTACCAGAAGCTTTTGCAATCAGCTTTGAAGTCTTCTGGAAAGGAAAAGTGTAGCCTTCCAGGGAAGCAGCCTGATGACATCTTCCATAAGGCTGATGTGTTGGGAAACAGCAACACATGAGCAAGAAGTCCCTTGAAAAATTTTCTTCCCTCCTTCTTCTTCTGGAACTGTTGGGAAACTAGGTAAGACCCAGGAGTCTGGTTTTTGAGAATGGCCCAGAATGAATTTTTAGTTTCCGGGTAGGAACAGAGAGCTCAGAAGGTTGTTCTTTCCTCCAAGGAAATCTGGCCATTGCTTTTTTCCTGTTCTATCCAGAGCTTGTGTGCTGGTGGATTAAATACATCTGTGCACAGGGCCAGGGTTCTGGCAAACAATCTCAGGGAGGACGGCAAAAGGAGAAGCAAAAGGGGATTGTTCCTCTACCTCACATCTTCTTTTCCCAAAGGAAACAGAATCTACTCACCAACAACAATCCCAACACCACAAAAGGGACATGGAAATAAATGTGCATGCAACTGGGACACATACCCTGTGTCACCTGCTACAAATGGAGAAGTGGGAGAGAATTGAGCCACTGGGAGCCTAGGCCTTCTGAGCTGTAGCCTACTTCCAGAGGATGCAGGCTTCCTCACTGGTCTCTGGGTGGCTGAGTAACTCTACTTCCCTGACCTGGGAAGGATGCGGGAATAACCAACTATGAGGAGACACCCATCCTCTTAGGGCTGCCTGGGGTATCTTAAGCAGAGGTGGTAGCAGCGGACTCCTCAACAGAGGCACTGAGATCCAAGAATTCCAGGATAATGTCCCCAAGGCAGTAAATCAAATGCCTGTTGATGAGTGGTTGTTGTAGTGACTCCAAGACTAAACATTCAGCTGGCATTTGTTCACCCCAAGAATTTCTACTATGAGATCTGGGAAGACTCCCATTAGGCTCTGCAAAGCCTGTTTCTCAGCAGCCAGTTTCTGCTCCTGGGTCCTTACAGGCCGTGGAAACTTAGGCAAAACTCCACCAGGCCAGATGGACTCCTGAAGAAGCCAGAGGTACTGCACCCAGCACTGTGGACTTGTTAAATTAGCTACCTGCACCTCTAGCCACCTTTGAACTAGGGTACCAAAGATAAGACGAAGAAACTTCTGCATGTTTTCAATACACAGCCATTTCCACTGTTCTGTTAGTAGCAAGAGAAGCAGATTCAGGGCTGTGTCAGCTAACTCTGTCTCTGTTCCTGAATCGCTGTTGCTGGGATCTTGGGCTGGCACAGCTGCATCTGACAAGCAACTGTCCACATGTCCTTTGGGAAGTTGTTCAGGATCTTTTTCTGGGGCTTCTGTTGGCTGCACCTCCAGTAACTTTGTCTGTTTTTCAATAAAAGATTCCATCCCAGACATGGATAGGGTCTTGGACTCCACATTGCCTTCCTGGAGACAATAAAGAATCGTGTCTTGTGCTTCAGTCACACTTAATGCTGGCGAAATTTTACTGGATGAGAACCTCAGCCTGGACTTCCTAGCCTTCTTGCCTTCTGTTTGGGACTTGCTTTCAGTCTCGGCCTCACTCAGCTCCTCTGTTGGGCCCTGGGATTCAGAGCAAGGAAATGCTGTCTTCAAGTTGTCCACAATGGCACTCACCACCATCTTCTCTATTCTAGAGACCATAAATGGTTTCTTGACAAAGGAAATGTGAGCATCTGTGTTCACAGCAAGAAACTCCTGCACCTCCTCACTGTTAGCGATCTCCGGAATGGCACACAATTGCTTCAGGAATTATTATAGGAGGCTCTTTCGGGCTTCTACTCTGTCACTGTCTATGTTTTCCAAATGGAAGATCTGGAAAGAGCTTTTTAGAACCCTTCACATTTTTAATGAACTTTCATAGATCTGGTTTCTTCTCCTGATGGCCTGCAGATTCAAGAACTCCCAATAGCGGTGATTCACAGTGTGGTAGGCCAGCTGCTGCAGGCTGCTGTTTTCACCATCAAGGGATGTCTCACACTTCACAGTATAGCGTGTGCATGGTTGCAATCCGGTGCCACTGAGCTCTTGGGCTGTAATGGTGCCAGTGATATGAAGGTTCTGGATGACAACTGGGCCATCTGGACTGCTTAGGGGTTCAAAGCTGAAGATGGCTGAGCTGAGAGGACCAGGTGAAGAGGAGGAAAGCAGAACTGAACTGGTAGCAGACTAGGATCAAGGTAGGTCACATCATTGGTGAGATCCTTCTCTAAGCATGAGGGCCGTGAGGAGCAGGTCTTTTCCAGCCCCTCCAGCAAAGCTGTAACAGAGGTGGTAACTTCTCCTTGTTCTATCTCCTTGTCTGCTATGTCAATCTGTATCTCTGGGCAGAAGTTCAGTGTGGAGACAGGCAGGACTGTCTCTGTTTCTGTCCCTGGACCCTCAGCCTCTACTCCTTCAGATCCCTCACCACCTTTGGGTTCCAGAGCCTGGGAACCCTCTAGGGCACACAGGGCATCCTGAATCCTGTCAGACAGAAAGTGGCCTGGAGTCATGAGCATGATGGTTTCTTAGCCTACTTCAGACAGCGGAGACTCCAGCTCTGAGTCTCCACATAAGAACAGGGGGCCTCAAGTATTTGGCTATAGGAAATGAGATGAGTTGTTTCCTACTTTTTTTTTTTTCAGACATTCCACCCAAATCTCCCTCTACAGCTTCGTGGCCACCTTCAACCTCTGAGGAGGGGCCTGCAGGAATCTCTGGCTCACTGTTTACTTAGGAACCCTGGGGCTGCTACTGGAGAAGGAGCCCTCCCTTCTGGAAGCTGCTGTACCTCAGCAATAAGTGGCAGAGACGTGGGCACTGAGGGCTGTTCAGGGCCACTGGCTGGGCAGGGTGTTGGATCTCTGGCCTTGGAAAAGATAACCATGAGGACAAGGTGGATCCAGTCAGGATCTGACAGCCTGCTGATCAATGGTAAGACTACACTGCATATGATGAGTTCAACCACTACATGGCATCCAGTATGAGTCTCCAAGTGGGACTTGGGCACCAGCCCTTGAAGCAACAAATTCACAATACCACATGTATAGGTGACTTCAGCACTGGGGCTGTGCACAGCAGGATGTGGGGCAGTAGCCCGGCAGTAAGCCTCCCAGAGGTGGGAAGGCTCAACTGGACCATTCTTCCCTGTAGTGGTCTCCTTTGCCTGAATGTAGCTCTGCAGGTGAAAAACGACAGAGAGTCAGAACACTCTGAGCAAGAGCATGATGGTCCATCATGCTCATCCTCCTCTGAAGCTCCTGGACCAACTCTTTCATGGCTGCCTCCATTTCCTCTGCAAAGGCTGGCTCCTGGCTCTCAGAATGGTACCAGGATAATATAAAATCTCAAATAATCACATCTGGATGGTGCAGTTGATCTCCTGTTCCAGTTGTCTTTCTGTCTCAGGGAATAGAGGACAGGTGGCCAATGGGATGAAGCCTTCCAGGAGCAGTGGACTCGAAGCCACTCCAGAGACACTGGAGCCCAGCCATCCTCCCAGCACCACTAGCAATGCAGACAGAAGGCACAGCAGCCACATGCTGACCAGAAGGTGTATGACCAGGAGCCAGCAAGCAAGACCCCCACAGCCATCACCTTCCGCCTACTCAACAGGTTATTGAGGTGACAGCTGGATCCAGCTGGAGTCTCCTGGAACGATGGCACTGTTTCTGTCTTCATGGCTGAACGGACAAGGTGGCTTCCCCAGATGACAGCCTCAAGATTTTACTGCAGAGTTAGGGAAGGGGGGAATGAACTGTGTCCCCAGTACAGGGTGATCTGGGTGCTGTTCAGGGAACTGATGCTCCAGGCCCTCTAAGTCCTATAGGCACTGCAAAGCAACAGCAGCAGCTCTGCATTTGCCCATGGCTACCACCCACAGAGTCCTCGAACTCGCCCCTTCCAGTCGAGGTGTGGCTTTGGAGGAAAACTCTGCAGCCTTGATACTGCCCCAGGCAGAAGGCCTCTTCGCAGCCCTGGGGCCCGCAGAGGGCAGCGGCTGGCCAGGACTGGGTCACACGCTGCCGGGAACCATGTGCCCACACCCAGCCCCGACCTGAAGTGGGCTCATCGGGGTCATCTCCGCTGGCCTCGGCCTGCTGCTCCTGCAGACCTGGGTGACTGCACTCGCAGCCCTGCCTGTGTTAGGGCTGCCAGCCTGCCGGCCACCGGCGACCAACAGTAGCTTTTTATAACTTAAATTTTCTATATTTTCCTTGCATATATTTTTGACTTTGATCATGTATTTTATTTAACCTGCTAACAGAATGTACCTACAGTAAGATTACAATAAAAATTACCATGGTCCATGACAAATTTACTTGTAAGTGCAGTGGGAAAAAAAGTTTAATAAACACAATAGAGATATACAATATGTGGCTTTTCACACAGTCTTTTGTCTCCCATATTATTCCTATCATTTATTCTATATTTCTAAGGTTAAGTAATATTAAGATCAGGTACAAGCATTGTAATGTGCTTTTAATTATGATATATAAATGTATCCCATGACAATTACATTATTTCAAGCTATGTACAATTTTAATAATAATTTTATACATGTTGCTTTGAAAATGAGAGTGCATTTGAATATAATCAATAATCACAAAAATATTTATCAGTGCAAATATTCTCAGCAAGATGTGAAATTGTTGGTAAATTCAAAACAAATAGAATTAAATAGATGCTAGAGGAATTAGGAGAATGCAATAAAACAAGCAAAATTTTGTATAATTTTCATTTAGTTTATGTTAAGATGTTTTGAATTCAGATTAATCACATACCATGATATAATGTTTTTGGTTTTGTTTTTTTGAGACAGAGTCTTGCTCTGTTGCCCAGGCTGGAGTCAGTAATATGATCTCAGCTCACTGCAACCCCTGCCTCCCAGGTTCAAATGATTCCGGTGCCTCAACATCCCAAGTAACTGGTATTACAGGGGGGTGCCACCGTGCCTAGTTTTTTTTTTTTTTTTTTTTAGTCAAGACAGGTGTTTGCCATGTTGACCAGGCTGGCCTGGAACTCTTGGCCTCAAGTGATCCACCCACGTCAATTTCCCAAAGGGCTGAGATTACAGGCATGAGCCATGGTGCCTGGCCCTGATATAATGTTTGAAAGTAATGGGTGAATAGTACATTTGAGATACTAGAGACCTATTTGGAACATTAAGTGAATGTATCTTACTCTCTTCTTTCTTTTAAGAATGTATTCTTTACCATTCTATGCAATAGCTAACATACGTGCATATGTTCTTGGGCTGTCTACATGATATACAAATATTTGGATACATACAGTAACATAAACCACTCATCTAAAAGCTTTTCAACCTGACACATAAACTCGGGTTATTTGAAAATGGAATGGTAAGTGTTACTGAACAGCTTTTACTATGGTTCACGTTTGGTAGTATATGCTAATATACTAAAAACAAAACAAACACAAAAAATACCTTGATTTTATAATCTAACTTCTGATGTCTAAATTAATCAATAAGATAATTTTTCTATTTTAACTAACTGTATTATATTTTATTTTGATGCTGTGTAATTTCACAATAGATTAAATATTAGCTGATGCTCATCAGAGGTAAACTAGTGAATTATTATCCCATTAAGATAAATTTTGTTTCTGCTAAAGTAACATCTTATTTTAAATGGAGGAATTTACTAAATCAAGGCTAAGATTTTATTTCTGCTAGTAAATGAAAGACATATGTAAAATTCAAATACATTCCATTACTCAAACTATTCTTTGTAATCATGAGAATATAGACAGCATATTTTACACAGAGCATACATACAAAGCCTTATCTTCATCGAATTACAAGTAAAATATAGGTATATGTAAATATATATACATAATTTAGATATTAAATGACAGAATTTACTTATTTACCTGTGCATGACACAATTTGATTCTATTATTCCAGGTACAGTAACTGGCTGAAAATGGGACATGAAGTAAACTAATAGTCTTAAAAGTGACTACATCCAGTGAATTCATTTTAACATCTCCAAGCAAGGCAAGACCACCTTCTTGAGATAAGGAATGAGGGATTACTTATTTTGGCCAAGTTGGCTCAATGATCTGGGGAACCAAAAACTGTATGTACATGGATAGTTGTTTTGTTCCCCCCACAAAAAAATTGGGGAACCCATTATTTCCCAATTCATGCTTTTATTTTCATGTAGGAGAACAGTTGATGCTCCAGAATCTAAAATTTTAATTAACCAAATACAATGTTCCTAAAGATAAACATTTCCTTAGAGTTAAGCTGGCCAGGCAAGGTGGCTCATGCCTGTAATCCCACCACTTTGGGAGGTCGAGGCGGGCGGATTGCTTGAGGTCAGGAGTTTGAGACCAACCTTGCCAACACAGAGAAACCCTGTCTCTACTAAAAATAGAAAAATTATCTGGAACTAGTGGTGTGTGCCTGTAATACCAGCTACTAGGGAGACTGAGGCAGGAGAATCACTTGAACCACGTAGTGGGAAGTTGCAGTGAGCCAAGATCACGCCACTGCACTCCAGCCTGGTGACAGAGCCAGACTCCGTCTCAAAAAAACAATAAAAAAATAAAGATGGGGGGAAAATAGAGTTAGGATAACAGAAAGATAAGGAATACGAAACAGAAAAAATCAATAAACCAAAATGAAATGTTTGGAAAGATAAAAAAATTGGCAAATGTTTACTTAGGCTAAGCAAGAAAAAAAGAGAAGAGACTCAAATTATTAAAATCAGCAATAAAAGAGAACACATCACTGGCAGTATTACAAAATAAATATGATTAAAAGAGAATGCAATGAAAAATCTTATGCCGAAAAAGTAAGATAGCCTAGACAGAATGAAGTCCTAGAATGACAGAAACTAAAACAGTCTAAAGGAGAAATTAAAAATATAAGTAGATCTATGGAAGGTTAAAACATTGGATTGTAATTTTAAAACCTTACAATAAAAATCTCATCTCAGCTAGCTTCCCAGGTGAATCAAACACTCTGAGAAATTAATATCAATTGTTCATCAACCCTTGCAGAAAATAAAAGGGCAGAGAACACTTCCCAATTCATTTTACAAACAGGATTACTCTGACACCAAAACTGAATAACAAAACAATATAGACCAGTGTCTTTAATTGTTTTATAAAATCAAAAATCTTCAACAAAATACTGCCAAGCTGAACCCACCAACATATAAAATAGATTATGCACTGTGTGCAGATGTGATTGACCCCAGGAATGCCCCATTGATTTAATATTTGAAAAATCAATGAATGCAAACACCATATTAACAGAATAAAAGACCAAAATATATGAGCATCTCAATAGACAGAAAGCATTTGAGAAAATATTACACATTTTCATCATGAAAACACTCCAGTTATGGACAGTAAGATAACTTCCTGAAACTAGTGGTAGTTACCTATGAAACCCACAGCTATCATTACACTCTGCAATGAAAGGGTGAATCCTTTCCTGGCAGGGTTAGTTACAAGAATGTCCACTCTTGCAAATTCTACTCAACATTATACTGTGGATTCTAGCGAGGTGTATTTAGTAAAGAATAGAAAATTGAAAACATCCTGATTGAAAAAAAAATAAAATTATTTATATTTACAGATGGCATGATCTCGTATATATGTAATTCTAAGAAATTCAGTAAAACAGTATTCAAAATAATAAATTTGGCATGGTTTCCAGATATAAATGTAATACTAAAAATTAATTTTATTTCTATATACTGTCAATGAACTGCCTTAAAATGATATAAAAGAAACAATCCCATTTATAATAGCAACAAAACAAGTAATAAATTTAGAAATTAACAAGAGCAGTTCAAAACTAATACTCTGAAACCTCCAAAGCATTGTTGAAATAAACTGAAGAAGAACTAAATAAATGAGAAGAGGTGGAGCGAGATGGAGGAAAGAATCTCAGTGACTGTGTCTCTGCAGGAATATTAAATTGAACCACCGTCCAACAATCCAAACAAGATAATACCTTCACAAGAGCTAAAGAAAGCAGGTGACAGATCACAGAACCTGGTTTTAGCTTAAAAACAAGAGAACACACATTAAAGAGGGTGAAAAGACAGTCTTGCAGTGACTGCACTGCCCCTCCCTCAACCCCAGGCAGTGCAGTGCAGAGAATGTGTCCACCTCTTGCAGGAGGGACAAGGAAGGGTCTGTGGGACTTTGCCTTGGAGCCCAGTGGCAGCTCTGCTATAGTAAAGGACAGCACTGGGCAGAACCCCATGGCCTTTCGTTCCAGGCTAGTGCCCATAGATACAGCATTTAGACACAACTTGGTCTAAAAGGGAATCCACTACCCTGGTGGGACAAACCTGAGTCCTGACTTGCTTCACCACCAGCTGATTCAAGTGGCCTCAGGCCCCAGATAAATTTCAGTGGCAGGCAGGCCAGAGTCACTTTGGTCCTTGGGTGAGCTCCAACAACCAACGATGTGCTGGTCTGGGAGGCTGTGGGCTTCCTATGTGACATCAGCTGCAGTGGCCACAGGGCTGCCTGTGTTACCCCAATCCCAACTCCAGGCAGTGCAGTGCAGAGAGAATTCCTTCTCTATGCAAGAAAGAGGAGAACCCGGTGTCAGCCCTACCACAGTGGACACAGCATCAGGCAGAATACTGTGGCCCTGATCCTAGGCAGGAGCTCCCAGACACCTACAGACCCCCCTGCAGGGAGAAGGGATTCTGCCACCCTGGCGGGATGGACCCAAACCCAGGCCAGCTTCATCACCAGCAGACTAACCTGGCTTAGAAACCTAAATAAGTCAGCAGCAGTCAGGCAATATAGTGGCCACAGGACTCAGATAAACCCCAGTGCTGCTCTGGTCTGGGAGGCTGTGGGCTTCAGGTGTGTTGCGCCAGCTGCAGTGGCCATGAGAGTGCCCAAATCACATGAGAGTGCCCAGATTCACAAAGTCTGGTGCCCAGATTCTTTGCAAGGGGAAGAAGATGGACGTGAAAGAAGAACTTTGTCTGGGAACCCAGGGAACCCCTCCCTTATCTTCTCCAAGTGTGTCACGGCCACCAGGGACCTCAGTCTGCAAAAGTCATGGTGAACCTGAGCTTAAGGTGCCCTCTGGTGCTGTAACAGTTGCAGTGACCACAGGCTTGGGGAACTCAACAGTCTTGAATTTCTTGGAATTTCTGGAAGACTGAAGAAGGACAAGCACACACAAGAACAGACTGCAAAAAGTGGAATAAATACACACTTATTCAACTCCCAGGCATGAACATATGCTCAAAAGCGTTAAGAACATTCAAGGAAATAAATAACAACAATAAATAAGTCACCAGTGACCAAAGCTAAAGATGTGAGACTCAACTGGGTGTGGTGGCTCACACCTGTAATCCCAGAACTTTGGGAGGCTGAGGTGGGTGGATTACCTGAGGTCAGGAGTTCGAAACCAGCCTGACCAACAAGGTGAAACCCTGTCTTTACTAAAAATACAAAAATTAGCTGGGTGTGGTGGCAGGTGCCTGTAGTCCCAGCTATTTGGGAGGCTGAGACAGGATAATTTCTTGAACGTGGGAGGCAGAGGTTGCAGTGAGCCAAGATTGTGCCTCTGTACTCCAGGCTGGGTGATGGAATAAGACTCCATCTCACAAAAAAAAAAAAAAAAAAGATGTGAGACTCTCCAGACAGGGAAGTAAAAATGGCTGTTTTGAGGATACTCAATGAAAATCAAATATAGAGAAGTAATTCAGAAACTTATCAAAGAAATTTAACAAAGAGATAGAAGTAATTTAAGAAGATGACAGAAACCTCAAAGCTGAAAAATGCAACTGATGAACTGAAAAATGCATGAGAGGGCCTCAACAGTAGAACTAATCTCAGCACAATAAAGTTCATATATGACAAATCCACAGCTAACATCATAATCAATGGGGAAAAGTTAAAAGCTCTTCTTCTAAGATCTGGAACAAGTGTGGCTACTTTTACCACTTGTATTCATCACAGTACTAGAAGTCCTAGCTAGAGGAATTAGATAGGAGAATGCAATAAAAGGCATCCAAAATGGAAATAAAGGGAGTCAAATTGTCTCTGTTTGCAGGTGACATAATCATACACATATGCAGAACCCTAAAGATTCCACAAAAAAACCTACTAGAAATAATAAACACATTTCATAAAGTTGCAAGATACAATATCAATATATAAAAATGAGTAGCACACCCATGTACCAATAGTGAAACACCTAAGAAAGAAATCAAGAAAGCTATTTCATTGCAGTAGTTACCCAATGCCCCCCAAAAAAGATACCTAGAGATAAGCTTAACAAAAAGGCGAAAGATCCCACAATTAAAATTATAAAACATAGACGAAATATATTAAAGCAGACACAAGTAAATGTAAAGATATCCCATGTCCAAGCACTAGAAGAATATCGTTAAAATATCTGTATCACCCTATGTGATCTACAGAATCAATGGAATCCATGTTAAATTAGGAAAGAGATTCTTCATAGATATAGGAAAAAAAAAAACGGCCAGGCATGGTGGCTCATGCTTGTAATCCCAGCACTTTGGGAGGCCAAAGCGCCTGGATCACGTGGTCAGGAATTTGAGACCAGCCTGAACAACATGGTGTAACCCTGTCTCTACTACACACACAAAAATTAGCTGGGCATGGTGGCGCACGCCTGTAATCCCAGCTACTCAGGAGGCTGAGGCAGGAGAATTGCCTGAACTCAGGAAGCAGTGCCTTCAGTGAGCCTAGATCGCGCCAATGCACTCCAGCCTGGGCGACAGAACGAGACTCCGTCTCAAAAAAAAAAAAAAAAAATCCTAAAATTCACATGGAAATGCAAAATACCTCAGATAGACAAAAGAATCTTGAATAAAAAGAAAAAAGCTGGCGGCATCACACTACCTGATTTCAAAATATACCACAAACCTAGTAACCAAAACAGCATGGTAGTGGCAAAAGAAAAAAAATAGGTAGGGGACAGACAGAGCGAGAGAGAGACAGAGATACACAGACCAATGACTGACAGACATAGACAAATGAAACAGAATAGAGAACTCAAAAATAAATTCAAGCTTTTACAGTCAACTCTTTTAACAAAGGCACCAAAAACACACATTCGGGAAGGACAATCTCTTCAATAAACTGCTAGGAAAATCCAACACCCACAATACATGTAGGCTGTTATCTTATCATCTACTGAAAATAAAGATTTAAATGTAGGACATGAAACTATGAAACTACTAGAGAAGAAAACATAGGAAAATGCCTCGTGAAATTGGTTACAAGGGATTTTCAAATACACATCAAAAACACAAGCAACAAAAAGCAAAAATAGACAAAATGCAGTTGCATTAAACTTAAACGCTTCTGCAAAGTAGCGAAAACAATCAATAGAATGAAGAAACAATCCAGAGAACCGAAGAAAGTATTTGCAAACTATGCATCAGGCAAGGGGTTAACACAACAAAAAATATATAAAAAACTAAAACTACTCAAAGCAAAAATACAAATAATTTGATTTAAAACTCAGAAAAAGTTCTACCCAAAAACTTTGTCCCCCACCTTCTTTTCTCAACCACCTTTGGCCCCCTCCCTCTCGCCACCCTTTCTCTTCATCTACCCCAAAACATTTCTCCCACTATTTTTCCCCACTGTCATTTCGCAAAGCCTTCTCTACTCTCCTGCTCACCACCCTTTTCGCCAACCATCTACCCAAAAACTTTTCCCTCATATTTTCCCAAAGCCTTCTCCCCATTCCTGCTGCTCGCCACCCGCTTTTCCAACCTCCATCTACCCAAAAACGCCCTCTTCTTTCCTCTATCCTTACCATCCTCCTTTTGCCCTCCATCTACCCCAAAACTATTTTCCCCATCGTCTTTTTCCCAACTCTTTCCCTCCTCCCTCTCGCCACCCTCTTTTATCCTCCCAATTGCCACCCTCTTTTCCCGCTGCATCTACCCACATTTTACCCACCGTCTATCTTTTCTTTCCCCATCATCTGTCTTTTCTACCCATCTTTTTCACAAAACCTTGTCTCCCTCCCACTCGCCATCCTCTTTTTCGTTCTCCCGCTTGCCACTCTCTTTTCCCCCTCCATGTACCGAAAAACTTTTCTCTCCCCACTGTCTTTTCCTTACGGTCTTTTGGCAAAACCTTGTCTCCCTCTACTTGCCACCCTCTTTTGTCCCTCCTGCTCACCACCCTCTTTACCCCCTCCATCTACCCAAAAACTTTCTTCCTCACTGTCTTTCCCCCCTCACCATCTCTTCGCAAAGCCTTCTGCTCACCACCCTCTTTTCCCCATTCCTGCCCCTCCTCTTACATGCCACCTTCCTGTCGCCCTCCATTTACCCCAAAACTATTTTTCCATCGTCGTTTTCCCAATCGTCCTTCCACTCTCCCGCTTGCCACCCTTTCTCTCCTCCATCTACCCAAAAACTTCTCCCACAGTTTTTTCTCCCCACTGTCTTTTCTTCCCACCGTCTTTTTGCAAAACCTTCTCCTTCCTCCTACTCGCCACCCTTTTTTCTTCTCCTGCTCACCACCCTTTTTTTCTCTACTGAAAAAAAATATTTCCCCACCATCTTGTCCCCATCGACTTTTCACAAAATCTTCTCTCCCTTCTGCTCACCACCTTCTCTCTCTTCCCCCCACTCTCTGCACCCTCTTTCTTCCTCCCGCGTGCCACCCTTTCCCACCTCCATCTACCCAAAATCTTTTTACACATCTTTTCTTTCCCCAATGTCTTTCTGTTGTCTTCACCGTGTTTCTCCCCACCGTCTTTTTGTAAACCTTCTCTCCTTCCTACTTGTCCCCGTTTTCCCCCCCCCACCACCCTCTCTTTCCTCCTTCTACATGCCACCCTTTTTTACCCCCCAGCTACCCAAAAACTTTTTTCAACCATCTTTTCCCCAGCGTCTTTTTGCAATGCCTTCTCCTGTTTGCCATCCTCTTTTCCCTTTGCCGCTAACCACCCTCTTTATCCCTCCATCTACCCAAAAACTATTTACCCCCTCCTACCAGTCCAGCCGAGCTGCCGTCTCTGCCGCCAGCGCCCACCACAGCGAGGCGAGCCGTGGTGCCACACGCTCCAGCCTCCAGCTGTGGCAAGTGACTACCCCTTCTCCTGGTCCTCCAAGCCTGGCACGGAGCAGCTGCGCAAGCAGCCACACACGAGTCTGGAATGGCCTGACGCCCCTTCTGCATCCTTTAGATGTGAGGTTATGCAAATGAGGTTCCTGGACTACATATTCTGATTGGATGAGAGAAAACTTCTAGGCCTATTCTGATTGGACTTTATTTTCATGCTGTGATTGGTTGTCCTAAGACTTGCTCTCATCCAATCAGAATCGAAGCTGGGAGCTCAGCTTAGAGAACAGGAAGTGGGAGCCATGTACCCCGAGCTGGAGGCTTGATCCTGTGGCATCTAGGCTCACCTCACTGCGGTTGGTGGAGGTGACGGAGGTTGCAGCTTGGCCAGCATGGTAGAAAGGTGGCAGGGTAGGTGAGCTATCCAGGGATGCACTACCATGGATAGGAGCAATATCAAGGTCACATTGCCGGTAAGGGTATCAGGGGCATGGTTGGCGGAGTTGGTGGGGGCTATACTGCCTGGTGGTGAGGGTGGTTGTGTGTGCTACAGGGGGCTGACCAGCAGCTGGGGGGAGGGTTAGGGGTGCTATCAGCTCCTGCACTGTCATGGCAGGGGGGCAGGTTGGGGGCACTATCTGGGCTGTCACTACCCCCAGCAAGGGCTGGTTGGGGGCACTATCCCTGGCTGCACTGCTGGAGGCAGTGGGGCAGTTTGGGGGCACTATCAGGTTTACATGCCCTGTGGCATGCCAGTGGGGGGGCACTATTGGGGTTTGCACTGCACTGCTGCTTCTGGCAATGGGCTACGGAGGTGGCAGCGATAGCTGTGGCCTCCAAGGAAGGGGCCGTCCTCCTCTTCCCAGACTCTGGATTCTAGAGGGCAGCCTCTGTTTGCTCGTGCTGGAGCGTGGCAGGTGCACAATGTTTCCTTGGGAATCCTGAGCACGGTAAGGCCCCCACACCCGCCATGGTTCCCGGGCCTGCACCCTCTCACTGTGTTGCAGAGACAATCTGGGACTCCTGGGCACGGAGTAGTGGGTATCACGGGGGAACAGGGCCCTGTGGGTGGAGGCATCAGAAACAGGAACTGGCACTTGGTTGGAGAGAGCTGGCTGGGTCTGAGTTTCTGCTTCTCCTGCTCACCAAGGAGTGCAGCCAGGGTGGGCCCAGCAGTTCCTGGCCAGCTGGACCTAGCCAGAGGCCGGTTTCAGCAAAGGCAGTCACACCCACCCCAGGTCCTAGTTGTGCCTTTGCCGAAACCAGCTCCTGCCACCCAGTGACCAGCATGACAAGGTGAACCTCTAACACTACCACTCCTTCCATCCTGTTCTAGGCACATCTGGCTTTTACCACCCAGATGCTTCAAGCCAGGAGCTGGAGGAGTCATCTGTTGCACGCTGGAGGCTGGAGCCTGCAGATGGCATGGTTCTGTGGCTCCCCTTGCTGCAGTTGGTGGCAGAGACAGAGACTGCAGCTTGACCGGAGTGGTGGAGTGGTAGGAGAGTGTCTGCGGGGGCCAGGTGGTAGGAGGCTTGTAGGGTGGGCCCATGCATTGAGGGCAACAGCAGCAGTGGTCATGTTGGTGTTGGTGTTAGTGGTCGCAGCAGCAGCAAGTCTGGGATCCGAGAAGTGGGAGTGGGAATGCTGTGGAGCCCACCGGGCCCAGCCTGGCCTGAAGTGGGGAGGCAGCTGTGGGTGCTGTACCGCGGGCTGAGGTGACAGCAGTGGAGGCCCAGCCATGGCAAGGAGGAGTCCTCCTCCTTCTCTTGCAGAATCTGGAGGTGCCCTCCTCCTGCTGGTGCCTGGGCCAGGTGTGAGTGGCAACATTGTCTTATTCTTATTTAGGGGATGACTATTGGTGTATCTTTTAGCTTGGTTTTGTTGTGAAAAGTCTTGAAATTTTTTCAAATTTCATAAATCAGGAGGGGAAATAAGGTATCATAATAGGCTTTCTAATTCCCACACCTGTTCTTCTTCCTTTCTTTCAGTCTGTTTTTTCTTCTTCTAATCATCATCTTCTTGTTCCTCTTCATTTTCTTATGCTGCTGCTTCTATTTCTTGTTTATATTCTTGTTTCTCCTCCTCTTGTTTTCATTATCCTAAGCAATGGCCTTAACAAACAACAAACCAAAACTGAGTTAAACATAAACTACTTGTCACCGAGTTGTATTCTTAAAATAATCAGTCCATTACTATGCTTTAGAGATGAGGAAAAACATTGATTGCATAATTATTTGGTTACTTGAATAGCTATGCTTTTCATGATCCTGTTAATGTGTTGTAAGTAGTTATTCAAGGAATCAAAAATGAAGCATCAAATAAAATATTGCTAGCAAACAGCCATTTCATCTCTCTCACATAGTCTAGAGCTATGCAAGAGTCAGGGGGGTAATTAGTTCCAATTTATGAGCTCATTAAGTGAACTGTATTCCTTTCATTTTATTTCTCTGCCACCATTTTCAAGAGTATTGTCATCTGCATGAGCAAATCTGGTTCATCACATCTTTGCAACAGGAAAAGGAAGGGAGGATCATGTGTATAATGTTTTAAGGCCAAGATTCACAACCAAAACAAAGTCTTTATTAACTTTTGCCTTCAAGAACCTGCAGTGTTGAGCCCTTTTTTATTTCTGGTATTACTACCTTTGGTATGAAATCTTTTTTTTTAGTGAGTACTCTAGAAGTTTATGCATTTTATTGACTACTTTAAAGAAACAATCTATATTGTATCATTTTTCAAGCCCACAGGAATGCGTAAGGTCTATAATTTTGACACTTTTTATTTTTAAGGTTATGAGCATGTAAAATACTGTTGATATGTGTAAGGATATGTAAAAATGCCACTAGATAGCTTATATTGAAGAGATAGTGTCTAAATTTTGGTCCAGAATGGATTGGTTGCTGTTTCTTAGGTGTGTTTCTCAATATATTGCCTCAATGTTTTAAAGCATAAAGAAATATTAATACTATTTAACCTCATATAGTCCTTCGTAGGTTGTTTAATATTTCTACAGACTAAAGATATCACAGCCTCCGTTAATATTCAGTAATACTAATAAAATTTGGGATATATAGCGTTAGAAGCCAACAAATCCAGAGGAAAATTGTTAAATTATATAGCTGTAGAGCAGGAAATGAAACCCAGGTTCCAAGCTCTAAGGGGCCCACGAGCTACCATACAAGTGAATCAGTGACGGACATAGAGTTAGCAGAATTACAGGATGGTTAAAAGAGAGAGCTGTGGAGTCTAACACTATGTGAACATAAAATTTTAAACTGCATGGTGCCTCAGTTTATCTGTCTTTACAATGAAAGTAGTACTAAGTTTTTCTTTTTCTTCTTAGTTGTCTGAATTACTTTCCTAGTCTGTCTTGTTGCCACTCTCGGTGCCCACATGAGAGGACCTGAGATAATTTCTGACAGCCTGAGAATCCATGGGAAAAACAGAAGGTGCCACAGACCCCCTTTTAGGAGAAACCTCTCTTTTCCTCATGTAATCCCAAGAACTGTAGGCAGACAGGTCCCTCTCAAAATCTAAGGCTCTATTGTTTTGCCTTGCATTACCTGATCTTGTTTGATTTGGGTGGGCATAAGAAATTAGTAGGGAGGAGAGATACAAAGAAAATTGTGGATATGAAGATGTGTTTATGGTTAGAAATGTTATGAAGAAATGTTACATGAGAGAGGAGCTGGTATGGCAAATTCTTGTCCTAAAGTAGAATGACTAATTATTTAGGAAATAGGGAAAGATAGGACAAGTCATAAAGTTCAAGCATGTCAAAGAGAGTCTCCCTCTGTCATCCAGGTTGGAGTGCGGTGGCATGATCTTGACTCACTGCAACCTCCACCTCCCGGGTTCAAGCCATTCTCTTCCCTCAGCCTCCTCAGTAGCTGGATTACAGGTACCTCCCACTACACCCAGGTAATTTTTTGTGTTTTTAGTAGAGAGAGTTCACCATGTTGGCCAGGCTCGTTTCAAACTCCTGACCTCGAGTGATCCAAACAGCCTCGGCCTCCCAAAGTGCTAGGATGCCAGGTGTGAGCCACCATGCCTAGCCTTATCTATGATTTTATTTTGGCTTTCTTTCTCTTTCCCTTAGTCTAGTTAAAGCTTGTCAATTTTGATTTTTTTTTCAAACCCCTCTAGCTCTTTGTTCCATTGGCTCTTTGTATTTTTTTGTATTTTATATTTTTTGTTTCTATTTGTAAAATTTCTGTTCTAATCTTTCTGATATTCTTTCTACTAATTTTAACATTTGATATTTTTGTTTTTCTCATTACTTGAGGTGTACTGTTAAGTTGGCTATTTGAGATCTTTTTACTTTTCTGATGTAGGCATTTATAGCTATGCACTTTTCCTCTTACAACTGCTTTTGCTGCATCCCACAGGTTTTGTTATGTTGTGTTTCTATTTTTATTTATTTCAATAAATTTTTAATTTTTTTATTTCTTTATTCATTGTTCATGAACATGTATTTTAATTTCCATATGTTTGTACAGTTTTTAAAGTTCCTCCTGTTACTGATTTCTCATACTATTCCACTGTGATCAGAAAAGATGCTTGATATGAATTCAGTGTTTAAAAATGGGCTGTGACTTGTTATTTGGCCTAACACATAGTCTGTCCTGGAGAATAATCCATGTGCTACTCAGTAGAATGTGCATTGTGCAGTTGCAGAGTGGAAAGCTGTGTAAATGTTAGGTCCATTCAGTAGAGATTACAGTTTAACTGACGATTTTTTGTCGTTTGGGTGATCTGTTCATTGATGATAGTGGGGTGTTGATTATAGTTGAGTGTTGAGGTACTCTATTATTGTATTGCAGTCCATCTGTTCTTTAAGGTCTGTTAATATTTGCTTCTGTGTTTAGGTGCTTCAGTGTTGGTTGCATTTGCACTTATAATTGTGATACTGCTGTATTGATTTCTTTCTCATTATATAATTATCTTTGTATTTTATCTAATATAAGTATAGCTACTCTTGCTTTTTTGTTTCCATTTGTATGGGATATCTTTTACCATCCCTTCATTTTCAGTCTATGTATGTCTTTATAGGTGAACTGAGTTTCTTGTAGGCAGTATATAGTTGGATCTTGTCTTTAAATCCATTCAGCCACTCTGTCTTAATTGGAGAATTTAATTCATTTATATTCAAGGTTATTACTAACAAGTAAAAACATACTACTGCCACTTTTACTTGTTTTCTGGTCGTTTTGCTACTCTCTTTTTTCTTTTATTTCTCTCCTCATTTCTTCCTCTTTCTGTTCTCTCTCTCCTTCCTTCTTTCTTCCTTTCCTTTCCTCCCTCCTTCCCTTTCTTCCTGTCTGTATTTATAGTGAGGTAATTTTCTCTGGGAGTGTGATTTAATTCTTTGCTTTTTAGGTGTCTATTATTTTTAGGGTGTCTGTTACTGAATTTTGTTTTCTAGTTACCATGAGGCTAAAGAATATCATTGTAACCAGTGGTTTTAAACTGAGGAAAACTTAAGTTTGATTGCAAAGAACAAAAAGGAGAGAAACAAAGAGCTATAAACATTTATTACCCTGTAACTCTATCCCCCCCAACACACACACACATTTTGACATTTGGATCTCTTCAATATCTTTTTATGTTGACTCCCAATTTAAAAATTGTTGGGTTATTATTATTTTAATAATTTTGTATCTTAGCCTTTTGTTATTGTTAATTGCTGTTTGCACCATTGTTCAATAATGTCTTAATTTGTTCTAATAAATACATACATATATATATATATATATATATATATACACACACACAAATTTCTTAGTGGCATGGGCATTTTCTTCACCATTGTTTTTCCAGCCTCTAGTTCCTATGGCCTAGCGAATAGAACACTTACACTAAATGCTTGTCAGATGAGTAAAAGAGCTCTTTACAGTGAGTAGATCTTAACACGTTGCTATGTGTAATTTGATTTGAAATAATTTTCCAATAATTTAACTCATTTTGTTCTTTTTTAAACTTCTATTTTTTGACTGGGGTACATGTGTAAGGTACGCAGGTTTGTTACATAAGTAAACGTGCATTATGGGGGCTGATTGTACAGATTATTGCATCACGCAGGTATTAAGCCTAGTATCTGTTAGTTATGTTTCCAGCTTCTCTCCCTCCCCCAACCCTCCACTCTCTGATAGGCCCCAGTGTGTGTTGTTCCTCTCTATGTGTCCATGTTCTCATCATTTAGCTTCCACTTAAAAGTGAGAACATGCAGTATTTGGTTTTCTGTTCCTGCTTTAGTTTGCTTAGAATAATGACCTCCAACTGCATCCATGTCCCTGCAAAGGACATTATCTCATTTTTTTTGTGGCTGCATGGTATTCCATGGTGTATATGTACCACATTTTCTTTATCCAGTCTATCATTGATGGGCATTTGGATTAATTCCATGTATTTGTTCTTGTGAATAGTGCTGCAAGGAACATATGCATGCATGTCTTTTTGCAATGGAACAATTTATAATCCTTTAGGCATATACACATTAAAGGGATTGCTGTGTCGAATGGTAATTCTGTCCTTAGGTCTTTGAGGAATTACCACACTGTCTTCCACAATGGTTGAACTAATTTACACTCCCACCAACCATGTAAAGTGTTCCCTTTTCCCCACAATCTCACCAGCATCTGCTTTTTAACTTTTTAGTAATGGTCCTTCTTACTGGCATGAGTTGGTATCTTATTGTGGTTTTGATTTGCATTTCTCTAATGATCAGCGATGTTGAACTTTTTTAATATACTTGTTGACCACATGTATGTCATCTTTTGAGAAGTGTCTGTTCACGTCCTTTGCCTGCTTTTTAATGGCCTTGTTTTTTTCTTGTAAATTTGGTTAAGTTCCTTGTAGATGCTGGATGTTAGACTTTTGTCAGATGCATATTTTTCCAAAATTTTATCCCATTCTGTAGGTGTCTGTTAGTTCTCATGTTAGTTTATTTTTTTCTTTTTGCTGTGCAGAAGCTCTTTAATTTGATTAGATCCCATTTGTCAATTTTTGCTTTTGTCGCAATTGCTTTTGGTGTCTTCACCATGAAATCTTTGCCTGTGCCTATGTTCTGAATGGTATAGCCTAGGTGGTCTTCCGATGTTTTTACAGTCAACAAACCACTGCCCAAGGAAATCAGAGATGACACAAACAAATATGAAAAGCATTCCCTGTTCCTGGATAAGAAGAATCAATATTGTTAAAATGGCCGTACTGCCCAAAACAATGTATAGACTCAATGCTATTCCCGTTATACTACTACTGACATTCTTTGCAGAACTAGAAAAATCAGTTTTAAAATTCATATGGAACCATAAAAGAGCCCAAATAGCCAAGGCAATCCTAAGCAAAAAGAGCAAAGCTGGAGGTATCACACTACCCAACTTCAAACTATACTACAGGACTACAGTAAGCCAAACAGCATGGTATTTGTACAAGAACAGACACATAAACCAGTGGAACAGAACAGAGAACTCGGAAATAAGACCATACATCTACAAACGTCTGATCTTTGACAAACCAGACAAAATCAAGCAATGGGGAAAGGACTCCCTATTAAGTAATTGATGCTGGGATAAGAGGCTAGCCATATAGAAAATTGAAACTGACCCCTTCTTTACATCATATACAAAAAAAAGACTCAGGATGAATTAAAGACTTGAATGTAAATTTAACTCATTTTGATACTGTTTCTTGTGCATAAAAAATTTAATACCTCTTTAATGTGCTATATCCATTTGCTTGTATTTGCGATTATACTTCTATTGATCCAATCTCAGAAAAATTATTCTGTGTTCAATAAAGGCAATAAGATGGATGGATGATTTAGTTCATACCTTCATTTTCCCTGTCTCAAGGTCACTGTCCTATACTATCTGATGTTCGCTGTCTGAAGACCATTGATATGTATATTTTATCAAAATTTTCTTAGTTTATTTAAGGCAAGAGTACAAACCTAGTCCTTATTATGCCATGTGTCTGGAATAAGTTCCAGTGTTATAAAAACATATGAATTCTAATGTGAATACCAGCCAAAGTAGACTTCACAGGAAAAACAGTACAAAAGTGAAAGAGAAACATTTTATAATGATAAAATAACTGATTCATTTAAAAGACAAAACAATTTGAAATGCATATGCTCTTAATAATATAACTTCAAATTATATAAAGTAAAATTTTACATAGCTAAAAATGAACAGCCAAATTCATAATCTAAAGATTTCAAGTGGGGTTTATACCAGGTATGCAGGGAAGGGTTAACATATACAAGTCATAAATGTGATACATCATGTAAACATAATTAAAAACAAAAATTATATGATCATCTCAATAGACACAGAAAAAGCATTTGGCAAAATTCAGAATCCCTTTATGGTTAAAATCTTCAGCAAAATTGGCATAGAAGGGGCATATGATACAAGCCATCTATAACAAACCCACAGCCAACATCAGACTGAACAGGGAAAAGTTGAAGAGCATTCCCCCGGGAATATGATGCCCACTCACCACATCTATTAACCTTAGTTCTGGAAGTCCTAGCCAGAGCAATCAGATGAAAGAAAGAAAGGGCATCCAAGTCAGTAAAGAGGAGGTCAAACTGTCACTGATTTCCAATGATATAATTGTGTATCTAGATAACTCTAAAGACTCATCTAAAGAGCTCCTAGATCTGATAAATTCACTTAAGTTTCAGGACACAAAACATCAATATACACAAATCATTAGCACTGCTATACACCAACAACAATCAAGCTGAGAATCAAATCAAGAACTTAATCCCTTTTACAACAACTGCAATATACATATATATGTATATAAACACACACATAAATATATGTATATACATATGTCTATGCATATAATATATACATATGTCTATGCATATAAAATACATATACATATGTCTATGCATATAATATACATATTATATACATATGTCTATGCATATAATATACATATTATATACATATGTCTATGCATATAATATACATATATGGGTATGTCTATGCATATAATATACATATATGGATATGTATATGTATTATGCATATACATGTATATGTATTATACATATATACATGTATATGTATTATACATATATACATGTATATGTATTATACATATATACATGTATATGTATTATACATATATACATGTATATGTATTATACATATATACATGTATATGTATTATACATATATACATGTATATGTATAATACATATATACATGTATATGTATTATACATATATACATGTATATGTATTATAATATACATATTATAATACATATGTATATGTATTATAACATACATATTATAATACATATGTATATGTATATAATATACATATTATAATGCATATACATATGTATTATAATATGTATATAATATACATATGTAATGCATATACATATGTATATGATATGTATATAATATACATATGTAATACATATACATATGTATATGATATGTATATAATATACATATGTAATACATATACATATGTATATGATATGTATATAATATACATATGTAATACATATACATATGTATATGATATGTATATAATATACATATGTAATACATATACATATGTATATGATATGTATATAATATACATATGTAATACATATCATATACATATAATATACATATGTATACATATACATATGTATATGATATGTATATAATATACATATGTAATACATATACATATGTATATGTGTTATACATACGTACGTATGTATATGTATTATACATATGTAAGTATGTATATGTATAATACATATATACATATTATATACATATGTATCTCTTAGGAGCATCCAAAGCCAAGGAGGTGAAAGATCTCTTCAAGGAAAACGGCAAAACACTGCTGAAAGATACCATTGACCACAGAAACAAATAGATAACACATCTCATGCTAATGGCTGGGTAGAATCAGTATTGTGAAAATGACCATACTCTGCAAAGCAATATACAGATTCAATGCAATTCTCATCAAAATACCATCATCATTCTTCACAAAACTAGAAAAAACAATCCTAAAATTCATATAGAACCAAAACAAGAGCCTGCCTAGCCAAAGCAAGACCAAACAAAAATAATAAATTTGGATGTATCACATTACCCAACTTCAAACTATATTACAAGGCTATCCTTACTGAAACAACATGGTACTGGTATAAAAAAAGGTACATAGACCAATGAAACAGAATAGAGAACCCAGAAATGAAACCAAACACTTAGCAGCCAACTGATCTTCATCAAAGCAAATAAAAACATAAAGTTTGGAAAAGACACCCTATTCAACAAATGGGAATGGAATATTTGGAAAGCCACATGAAGAAGAATGAAACTGAATTCTCATCTCTCATCTTATGCAAAAATCAACTCAAGATGGATCAAAGACTTTAATATCATAAACCATAAAAATTCTACAAGATAAGATTGGAAAAAACATTAAAAACATCGGCTTGGTTCTTCATGACCAAGAAACCAAAATCAAACACAACAAAAACAAAGATAAATAGATTGAACATAATTAGACTAAAAAGCTTCTACACAGCAAAAGGAAATAATCAGCAAACAGACAACACATAGAGTAGGAGAAAACCTTTGCAATCTATACATCAGACAAAAACTCATATCCAGAATCCACAAGGAACTCAAACAAATCAGCAAGACAAAAAAAAAGTCCATCAAAAAGTGGGCTAAGGACATGAATAGAAAATTCTTAAAAGAAGATATACAAATGGCCAACAAATATATGAAAAAAATGCTCAGCATCACTAATTATCAGGGAAATGCAAAGTAAAAACACACTGAGATATCACCTTATTCTTGCAAGAATGGCCATACTTTCAAAATATAATAGATACTGACATGGATGTGGTGAAAAGGGAACACTTTTGCATTAATGGTGGGAATGTAAACTAGTATAACCACTGTGGAAAACAGTATGGAGATTGCTTAGACAACTAAAAGTAGAACCTCCATTTGATTCAGCAATCCCACTACTGGGTATCTACCTAGAGGAAAATATTTCATTATATGAAGAAGACATGCACATGCATGTTTATAGCAGCACAGTTTGCAATTGTAAAAATATGGAACCAGTCTAAATACCCATCAACCAATGAATAGATAAAATGTGGCACGGAATACTACCCAGCCATAAAAAGAAATAAAATAATAGGCCAGGCACGGTAGCTTATGCCTGTAATGCCAGCACTTTGGGAGACCGAAGCAGGCAGATCATCTAAGGTCAGGAGTTCAAGACCAGCCCGGTCAACATGGTGAAACCCCATCTTTACTAAATATACAAAAATTAGCTGGGTGTGGTGGAAGACACGTGTAATACCAGCTACTTGGGAGGCTGAGGCAGGAGAATTGCTTGAACCTGGGAGGCAGAGGTTGCAGTGAGCCAAGATCGTGCCATTGTGCTCCAGCCTGGGCAACAAGAGTGAAACTTTGGCTCCAAAAAAGAAAAGAAAAGAAAAGAAAAGAAAAAAATGTGAAATAATGGCATTTGCAGCAACCTGAATGGACTTGGAGGTTATTATTCTAAGTGAAGTAACTCGGGAGTGGAAAATCAAACATTGCATGTTCTTAGTTATAAATGGGAGCTAAGCTTTGAGGACACAAAATCCTAAGAATGATATAATGGACTTTGGGGACTTGAAAGGAAGGGTGGTAGGAGGGTGAAGGAGACCACACATTCTGTACAGTGTACACTGCTTGGGTGATGGGTGCATCAAAATCTCAGAAACCATTGCTAAATAACTTATCATGTAACCAAAAACCACCTCTTCCCCTAAAAACTATTAAAATAAAGACAATTTAACACCTTTCCATCACCACTTGATCAAATGAATATCAGTATGAAAAAAGAAAAGTTAAAAAATAAAACAGAAATAAATATTTGACATTTATGACCAATTAACTATATATATATATTTTTTTCCATTGGTAAATATTACCACACATTTAACAAGATAGAATATATGATGAGTTATACGTTGTCTCAATATATTTGAACTTTTTATATCATAGAAAGTACATTCTCTGATCACAAGCATATTAAGTTAGAAATAAATAAAAATCAGATACTTAGAAAAACACAAGCTATCTGGGAAATAAACCATAAACCTCTGTACATTCTGTAACTAATGTTTTAAAAATTCCTTATATTGGAGTGTGTGTGTGTATGTTTTGTTATTAGACTTACCATATGTCAAACAAATAGATCAGTCTTTCGCAGAACAAATTTTTCCTTGTATTTTTCTCTGTCCTTAATTTCTACTTTTATATTTGCTGTTGCCGTTCTTCCTCCTTTAGTTTTAATGTAATCTGTTTTTGTAGCTTATCGTGGATGTTTAGAAAATTGATTTTGCATTATCTTTTTTAGGATCAATACACAAGACTATAAATATTTTTTAATACTGCTATGTTTGCATCCCACAAATTGTGATATATAGTAGTATCATTATTTTTCAGTATGAAAGGTTTTCCAACTTCCCTGTGAATTTTTTCTTTGATTCAAGTACAACTAAGAGAATGCCTTGAAGGAACACAATGTCTGCGTCTTTTAAGGAAAAAGACAATGATAAACAATTATAGTACAATGTTACAGTTGGGGACTTTTGATACATGGTAATTATTGGTATTATTAAGTCAACTTTTCTGTAAGTCGGCAATTATGCCAAAATGAAAATTTTAAATTAAGTAAGGCTTTTACTCTATTAAAAAACACTTACATCAGGAACTCAAGGATAATACAGCTTTAAAAAACTTATGTAAACATGTCATATTAAAAGATTAAGGAAGGAGGATTATACAGTTATCTCTACAGTTTTAGAAAAATACACTAAAAAATAAATATTTACTCCAAATTTTAATAATAATTCTTACAAACCGTAAGATTGAAAGTTCTTGTTTGGATAGAGCACATCTATGAGAAATATATTGTATATTATGTTTAAAGCAAAACGTTAGAAAGATATCTTTTATTTTGGAAACTAGGATGCCTGTTATAATTAATTTTAAATGCAAAATTTGAGATGATTTTCAATAAAATAAGAGGAATAAAACTGGAAAATACATGAAAGAGTGAATATCAAGCAGAATCTAGATTCTTATGTATTGCAGAAGTCATAATGATATGGTTAAGATAAAAATAACTAGGCCAGGCATGGTGGCTCAAACCTGTAATCCCAGCACTTTGGGAGGCCAAGGCTGGTGGGTCATGAGGTCATGAGTTCAAGACTAGCCTGGCCAAGATGGTGAAACCTCGTCTTTACTAAAAATACAAAAATTAGCCAGGCATGATGGTGGGTGCTTGTAATCCCAGCTACTCTGGATGCTGAGGCAGAGAACTGCTTGGACCTGGGAGGCAGAGGTTGCAGTGAGCCGAGATCGCGCCACTGCACTCTAGCCGGGGCGACAGAGCCAGGCTCTGTCTCAAAAAAAAAAAAAAAAAAAAAAAAAAAAAAGAACTAATAAGATTGTATAGAACATGGTTAATTGTAAGGTCAGCATAAAACAAATAACATCTTTCTTTTACATTATCAAAAGAAAAATGAAAATTATATAAGAAATTCATTTTACAGAGGAAATTTATGTCTACATGCAGATTGCCTAGGAATAAATTAGCAATAAATACATTGGAATATGGAATATAATCTATTAAAATTTACTGAACTATGTAAAAGAAAAAAATTAGAGAATTGCTTTTAATGCTTGGCATAAGTCAATATTTAAAGACCTCAATTTTTTCCAGTCTCTCTTTTTTTTTTTTTTTTTTTTTTTTGAGACAGGGTCTTGCTGTTATCGCCAGGCTAGCCTGCAGTGGCACCATCTCAGCTCACTGCAACCTCCGCCTCCCGGGTTCAAGCGATTCTCCTGCCTCATCCTCCCGAGCAGCTAAGACTACAGGCACGTGCCACCACACCCAGCTAATTTTTGTATTTTTAGTAGAGACAGTGTTCCACCATTTGGCCAGGATTGTTTCAAACTTCTGACCTCAAGTGATCCACCTGCCTCAGCCTCCCAAATTGCTGGGATCATAGGCATGAGCCTCCATGCCTGGCCTTTACTATTAATTCACAGTAATATCAGTCTGTTCCATCTAGGATACTTTTTGAAACCTAATAATTTCTTTCTAAAGTTTATATGGAAGACTAGATGGGTGGAAGTGGGAATTACAAAGAAACATTTAAAAAGAGTAAAATGTTTTACCAATTTAAGGATCCCTGCCTATACTTATAAAATACGATATTTATCTAAACGTGATAATTATGTTAATTCAAACCAGACAATAATGATGGAATAGCAAAATTAAATAATGAAAGAGGAAGACTAAATATATGTACTATAGGTCAGATTTTGTTAAATTTGGATTTTCTTCATTTTTTTTTTTTTTTTGAGATGGAGTCTCGCTCTGTCACCCAGGCTAGGGTGCAGTGGCGCGATCTCGGCTCAGTGCAAGCTCCACCCCCCGGGTTCACGCCATTCTCTTGCCTCAGCCTCCTGAGCAGCTGGGACTACAGGTGCCCGCCACATGCCTGGCTAATTTTTTGTATTTTTAGTAGAGATGGGGTTTCACGGTGTTAGCCAGGTAACTCCTGACCTCGTGATCCACCCATCTCGGCCTCCCAAAGTGCTGGGATTACAGTTGTGAGCCACTGCGCCCAGCCAAATTTGGTCTTTCAAATCAATGATATTATTCAATATTATTTATACCACACAGATGTAAATGCTGTATTATGCTGAAATATTTAAGCATTTGTTTTTGTGCCCCCAGTCAAATGATCACAGATCACATACATCTATGATATGTATATAATAGTGAAAATCCTACATCCCTGAGATAATTACTTGTTGATTTAATTTCTGCTATTTTCTGTTACTAGACATACTGCATTTATGTTTTTAAATAGAATTCACCTTGTGTGTGTAGTGCATACACATGTGAGGTGTGCACACACACATGCACACATATGCCCTCATATGTGTGCATAAGCATACTCAGGTACACTTATTTTTGAGTTTATACTAGCTTTGTATGAGTAATTTCTAGTTTTTTTGTGTTTTTGTTTTGAATCAATTTATATACTAAGGAAATTATGCATTCTTTCTTTTCCTTTCTGAACTATGAATTCTGGGCCCAGGGACTTTATTAGAGGAATTCTTTGATGAAGTTCTTTGATAACCTTCTCATTAATTATTTGTATGACAAATATTTTAGTATTGATTTCTTCTAGAGTCAGTTTTGAATATTTCAGACCACACATTTTAAAAAATGATTTGAGATTGGCACTTCATTTTTGGTTTATATTATGTCACTAATTATAATTCCTGTTTTTTCTCCTGAGTTTTCCATATTCTGTTTATATCATTGTACTTTTTGAGTAGCTAAATATATTTTTAAAAATATTCTCATGCCATAGAAGAAAGAGCCTAAACACCTTTTGTGTGATCCATATCACTAGTTAGAATAAAGATCAAATAAACAATTTTAAATGCTATTAAGTTTTGATCAAATATTATTTCTCCACACCAGAATACCAAGTGAATGATGTGAAGTGTAAACCAACCATTGTTGTGTTTCATGTTACTGTCATACACTTGTTTCCTTCAGCATAATGTTAGCAAAAATTGTGTGTGCAGTCATCAGATAAATTTTCTGGGCATGATTTCCTTCCAGATGTAATTTTATGATCATCCATTTTCCAATTTCCTATGAAATTCACTCATTTAGTAAGAATTTAGTGAATATCTTCTGTGCACACTGCTTTGTACTGAAATTGGTGATTTAAAAAGAAGTTAAAATGTGTTCTTTATTAATACTTTTTGGGAACATTCATTGTACGTGTGCATCAAAGACGTGCACATAGGAAGAATCTGCAACAATTTAATTTACATACAATATGAACTATAAAAATGTGTGATACAGAAACTGTGTCTAAAATAACAAACTAGCCCTGCAGGAAATAAATTAGAAAGACAATGAGAATCTGTACTTGAACTGGACATTGAATAATAAGTAAATTTTAAGAGCCAACAGGAATAGAAAGACAATTGGAAAATTAGGTATATGAAAATAATATTTTTTGAAAACCTCTTTTCTGTTTTTATTCCGTTAAAATTTTAGTATGTTGGCGCAAGATAAATCTAAGAGATTACCATAGAATAGTAAATATGTGCTATAGACCTTAATGGTTGTCTAAATGCAGAAGTTTATTATATGGTTTAAGTCTGTATTGATTCAGAAAAAAATGCATTATTTTTATATTTACTTTCCCTGCTGAGTCATTTGGCCTTCTTTTTAGAAATATATATGGGTTATTCACATTATATCAACCACATGTATAGACAATTGAAGAAAGCTGTAAACAAAAAAAAAAAATTGCTCTGATCCTCACATAATTTATATTCTAGAAACAAAAGATACAATTTAATAAACAAGTCAGATAATATGCACTTTATGACAGGAGACATTATCCATGTCAAAGGTTCATAAACAGTCCCCTGGATATGACCACGGCATGCCAATGTATGTATTGTGGAAATATCATAATGTTGTAACCGAGCGAGTTGTAGTTAAATGCCACACTATGAGACGAATTCAGGAGTCCTTTATTAGCCGGCAACCGAGAGACCCTTAGTGCTCAAAATTCTCTTGGCCCCAGAGAAGGGGCTAGATTTTCTTTTATACTTTGGTTTAGAAAGGGGAGGGGGAGCTTAGCTGAAGCAATCAGCTGAGTAAAAAAGGCAAAAAAGTTAAAAGGACAAATGGTTACGGGAAAACAAACAGTTCCAGGTGCGGGGGCTTTAAATCCATCACAAGGTGATAGACCTGGGGGCTTTGGGTGCTATCAACGGGACACAAACCCCGGGGGCTTTGGGTCCTATCAACCGGGTGAATTCCTGGGAACTGCGGATATAGCTTGCCACAGTGTCTTATCAGTTAATCGTGTTCTTTGATGTGCTGGGAGTCAGCCTGCACAAGTTAAGTCCTTGAGAAAGGGGGGTGGGTAAGAGGCTGCAAGGGGCTGCAAGTGAAGGAGCCAAACTGGAGTTTGTGTGGCTCTCTCAGCTAAGGGAGAGTCAATTCAGGTTAAAACAAGGCAGGATGTCACAATAAGACCTTCCGTGTGAAAAAGAATTGAAAGGAATCCTAGACTCCAGCAAATATGTAAAAAGTTTTTATAGAATGTTAAGCAGGAAATGATTGTGATTTGAAATAACAGGTTGTAGGTGGGAATGGAAAGAGTAAATAGACCAAGGAAACATTTGAGAGAAACATACTTTCTGATGTTGTATTTATGCTGCAAGGGAACAGAGAAAAGGTATAAATGATTATTTTTCAAATTTTTGGCTTAAAAATGTGTTAATCCAGTGCCTGATACAGGGGGTATTAGTTAAGACTAACTGCTTTGGTTGCCAGGTAAAGAAACTCTACTTTGTCAGGAAAAGGCGGGAGTCAATAAACTATGATCCACGGCTAAATTGGTCTTGCCATCTGTTTTTGTAAATCAAGTTTAACTGCAACACAGCCATATCCATCACTGGAGCTTAATAGTTGCACCCAAACCTTATGTTCCATAAAACCTAAAATATTTGCAATCTAGCCCTTTACAGAAGATGCTTACTGACCTTGGGCTAAAATAGAAAATTAAAATTCGTCAGTGTTCAACGTGTTTTCAGGTGTTCAGACAGTGTTATCCGGACTCTGCCTCTGCATCTTTCAGTTCTGCCTCAACATCAGCTCCTGCTTCAGTAGGCTCAGAAGGTGCTTCATGAGACAGCAACATTACCCTATCCGTTTAGAATCCAGAGAGAGTAAACTTTGTCCAAAAATTTTAGCTAAGTTCATGGAAGTCACTGTCTGTACTGAGGTCTGGATTTCATGGCATCTATGGAGTTATAGGTGGAATAAAGTCATTTGGACTGATTTCTCCAAAGGAAAATCATGGTGCTATTATTACCCACACCTGATTTCCAGCATATTGGGAACATAGGAGAAGCATAAGGTCTTGAAAGAGAAAAAAATACTTAATTTTAGTCATAATGAGTTAAAAAGATACAGTAATTAAAAAAATGAATACTCATGCAGAACATATGAGCTAGATAAAGTTTTGGTCTTTGGAGAATTTTATCTATATTGACTCTATTGTCTCTCACAATGCTGCTGTGAAATATCTCCATTTTTCAGATGAGAAAATTTAGGGAAACTGATATTCAGAAATAATAGCAACCAGCTAATACTGTTTATTTACTATTTGCTAAATAATGTCCTAAATAAATTTTTAAAGTAATTATCTTTCCTGGCAATGAATAATTATCGAGAAGTCACTGTTACAAGCATCAAATGCCTAGCTATGTACAAAAAGACAAAGTTTCTGCTGTCTGGGAAATCATGCTACTATGACATAATAGTAAGCAGGTAGAAAAAGTTGGCTTTCAATACTTAAATACCATCAGCAAAGTGTGACGGGAGGCCTTCATTTTAAATGAATGCTGTATGTTTAGCCCAACTCCCTCTAAACATAACTGATATATGAATTGATATCGTACTAGATATTTCTGTTTTTGAGTCTCAGCATAATTTCAAGTGGAGAAAAAATATACATACATCTTTATCTGCGGTGAGATGCTCCCTCTATGTAAAGAAAATTGAAATAGAATTGTGTTGTTTCAGAAAAGCAAGATTAAATTTCTTTTGTTTAATAAATGTAAATTATTTACTTATTGAAAGTAGGTAAGGGGAAGATCATGATCACAGTTAATGATTATTGAGTCCTTGAAAAACACCAAATAGTCTTCACTTAAAGCATCTTTAGATTAACTGGCATTATTATAAACCTATTTTACCAGCATAGAAATTCTTGTGGTCAGCGGGCTGTTAATGCACCATATGCCGTATAGTCAGGATTTGAACCCAGTGAGATACAGCTAGAGTAGCATGCTTCTGCTCACTACACCATGATGCCTCCATAGAACCCCGTGGTTTTCATTGGTGCTTCTTGTTCTCTTGTCTCAACTGTGAAAACATCTGAGACTTTGCAGTTGACTCAGAGAAGCAGAAAGGAAATTGCAGCCCCCTTCCTGATAATATCAGGGATAGGAAAGTGACTGCAAACATTGAACACAATTTTAAGAGTAAGAAATGCTTGGACTCACTATTTCCTGAATCGCATAGTGCAGAATATGAATTCAGGCAGTGGCTGACTTTGTCCTCCAGCTGTATAAACAAGGCAGTAGACTCCAGGAGGGAATCTGAGATAAGTCTTTTAATTTGTTTTAGTTATTAGTTTAGTAACCTGTGACACCTGGAGGTGCAGTTTCTGTGGTCCTCTTTAACTCTAAACGGATTATGGAGCAAGTTGATAATAGTCCATCACCTAGAAAACAGTTACGAAGAACAGGCCTCAAAAAACAACTTCATTAACGTCTATGTTTTTGGAAAAGAAATTCTCCCTTATGCTTTTCACAGTTACAGAAATCTCAGGCACAAAAAAGCCTTTTCCTAAGTATTAGCATATGGATTTTTTTAAAATAATGAGAATGTTTTAAATGTTACAAAGAAAATATAAGGAGACATAATAGTTACATCTCAATAATACACTTATGTACAAAGTAGTAAAAATCGTATGTTGTAATAGATGGGAATCGTATGTTGTAATAGATGGGAAATAGTAATTTGGTTCAAAATATTTGGAGCATGTTCATTAATCTAGATTAATACATTGTCTATTTAATTTAGATAGAAATAACATTTTTATTTTATAATTATATAAGAACATAGCTATTTTTCAAATTTATACATTATTTCCTTAGAATCTGAAACTAAAATTTGGTTTTAACTGTATTGTCACCTTAGTTTTTCTTTTCGGAGATATGTAGTTTAGGTCAGCTTAGTAATATCCAGAATTTACACGTGTAAAATTTAGCAGGATTTTAAGATATACCGATATTGTCAAGAAAGTATTAAATAAATCATAAATTAATGAAAATTAATGATAAAATAATACTAACAATAATCGTGGAAAACATTGATCTTACTATCCTTGAAATACCAAAGAATTGGCACAATGATGGGATTTTTTTAGATTAAATGATCTAAATAATTGCTTCAGTCTTCTATTATACTTTCCCAAACTAGATTCTTAGGACTTTATGATATGTGGTAGTTAAGAGTATACAGAATGGAAGAAATAACTTCCAGTAAGCTGTTTGCTTAACATACTTATCACAGTTCTCACTTATAAGCTAATTTAAGCAATCTTTTTTAGGTACGCATGTTCTAAGCTAAATCTAACATGGTTTTATTTTCTGATCTCAAAGAAGATAAATCTTAATTCTACTGAAGATATTGTTATCAATATCACTGTCTCATAAGCTTGCTCATATTTAGATATTGTGATACATACATGCATACGTACTTGATAAAATATAGGAGTAGACATACCTAGAAACAGATCTACCTTTTTTAATGAGGCTTTAGCTCATGGCAACTTGTGCACAAAGAAAGCATGACTGTAGCATCCATAGTAATAATATACAGGAGTAATCCTACTTCACTGAAGTACATTTATGAAAGGACAGCATTGTACCACAATAAAAGTCATAAATTATAATGATACTGGTGAATGGATTTGTTAGAGAAAATAAGTAAAATGGTATTCAATATGTGAGAATCATTTAACACTCAAAATTTTATTTTTCTCACTAACTTCTACGAAACTTTCTATTGTTTTTTTCTGGGATTTGACTTCTCCATTTGGCGAGCTGTCATTTTGACAGGGGTTAACACCAAAGATCATCTTTCTGGAGGGCCATTTTACTAGAAAGCTTGAAGACAGCTGTGGTGGGATTTGCTTTATATTAAACCCAGTTTAGAGGAGAATGCAAAGTCCCCAGGTATACTGTTAAAGCAGGGCATTTCAAAGTAACATCTTGCCTGGTTGCCACTGTGAACTGCTATATCTTTATATTGTTGAAGCAGTATTTTTTCCTTCCGCCATTAAAGGTATTAATTGTAAGTGCTTGAAAAGAACTTGTAACAAAGCACCTCTGCTCCTACTATCATTTATTTAGTTTTAGCTTTCAAAACATAGAGAAATAACTGTTGTTTTATTTTTATATAACAGCACTTTAAAATGTTTATTTTTATGCTGTTCCTAAACAAAGTCATAAAGTCATCTCCATTAGAGATCTTTCTGCTTATTTCAAACATCAAAAATTATCCATATGTGCTGAATAATTTTCACACTGTATGAAAGCTTCGGGTTTTCCTTATAATTTTTCCCAATCTAGAATTTTGAATCTACATGGTTTAAGTAGTCCAGACCTTTGGTACCCAGATATGGGTGAATTAATCATCGATGACTAATATATATTTTATATAGTTTGAATTTTATTAATTTGTATAATGAAGGGAACTTCAGCCTGTTGTATTCCATGGGAAAGCAATCATCTGATGTACAGTGTTTACTTCCCAGCTTTGCAACTATAGTGACTGGAAATGATGAAGTAGTTCCCAGAATTTCAGTGTTAATTACAGTGTAGTACATCATTGGCACCTTGTTTTAGAAAAGAAAAACTTTTCAAGATTTGTATTACATTACCATCTACTTCAAATGCAGTTTAATTGTATAAGAAACACATTGTTTTTACAATTTTGATTTTGAGTATTTTCCTACTAAACTATATCAAAGATATTTAATGTTTTCAAAACATGTTTTCGTAAACATGTTTTGAAAGAAATAAAGAAATGAATCACCCTAATAAATATTTTTAAATTGTTTTAAATCTGGGATATTGTAGCTGTTATTGTGATACTCTGTCAGTTTTCCTCTTCGGGGCCTCCAAGAAAACCATTTCCCAGTTTATGAAGAAAACCATTTACAGCTTCATCACTCAATTAGGAATTGCTCTCAACCACAGGAAACTGCATAGTCAAGAGTATGCCCATTGTGTGAATGCATCCTGAGGTCCATTGTTGTCCTATGGTGGGGATATCAAAGTTGAACTCTTACAACTCAATTTGGAGCAATGTGAAGGCTCATTTTAAGTCCAGAGCTGTTTATAGAATCAGCAGAATCCTCCATTGTCACCTTATTGTTTGGCAGCTTCCCCCTCTGTCTAATCCTGCATTTCTCACTTCTTTACAGGTGTGTATCTCAAGATCACTCCACAACAAAGATTCTGCCTGCAGTCCTCCACTTCAAGGTCTGTTCCAGGAAACCTGTGTAACACAGTTATGCATAGAGCGGTCTTAGGAAGCTGACTGTAACAAGAAAATTTAGAGTTGGATCTTTTGCTGACATATTGAATATTCGTAAGAGCATATGATATGTTTGTCTACCATAAACATGTCATTTCAAAAAACCCTCAAAGTTGCCTTGTAGAACATAATTTTAAAACTAGTGTGTAGGAATATTTCATATCAGTTATTCAGTCTTCTTAATATCTGAATCCAAATTAATCTTCCATTCTGCTTTCATTTATAAAGAATATGATTTATTGTCAGATTCAATAATCTATATTTTCATTTATTCTGAAGTAGGAAATACCAGCATAAAAATAAATTGTTTGAAACAAATCACATTGTTGTCCCATTTTACCATTACTCACATGTAGAAGATAATTGTTTTTAACAAAAGCAATAAGAGAAACAGAAACTACCAATTATTAACTGATGCTTACTGGAAGCTTTAGAAGGATTTTCTTATTTAACTTTAAATCAAGTTTTTCATGGACATTGTTGTTATTGACAAATAATTTTAATTTATCAAATCCTCACAGCAAATTATAGGTGCCATTATTAACAGATTTTTTTTAAAACCTGATTCATAGAAAAGGTTAATGATATGGTTTGGATCTTTAACTCCATCAAATCTCATGTTGAATTGTAATCCCCAGTGCTGGAAGTGGGGCCTGGTGGGAGGTGATTAAATTATGGAGGCGGAGTTCTCGTGAATGCTATAGCACCACTCCTTTGGTGCTGTCTTGTGATTGAGTTTTCATGACATTTGGTTGTTTAAAAGTTTGTGGCACCTTTCCCATCTCTCTCTCTTGCTCTTCCTGCAGCCAGGTGAAGGGCTGTTCCCCCTTCGCCTTCTGCCATGATTGTAAATTTCCTGAGGCCTCCCCAAAAGCTGAGCAGATGTCAGCATCATGCTTCCTTAACAGCTGATGGAATTACGAGTCAATTAAATCTATTTTCCTTATAAATTACCAGTTTTTGGTTTTTCTTCATAGCAGTGAGGAAATGAACTAATTCAGCTAGTAAATGACAAATGCCATAAAAATAGCAAATAGCACACGAAGATATCCAACCTAGACTAGGGGACTCCAGAACCTAAGGATTTCTAAAAGTATAGGTTTTTAAGAGTGTGAAGAAACTAAGCCTGGGGCACATTTAGGAACTCAATTACATAAGTAATAAAAATCATATATAGACTATTTAAATTTAGAAGAGGAGGAGGAGAGGAGAAAGACGAAGAGGAGGAGGAGGAAGAAGACATTCTGGCTTAGCACATTTACTCTAGTCTGTAGGGAAAGCTCAGTTATACCCGTTCCCCGCTAACCCTAAGAGGAGCTCTAATGTTCATAAGGGGCTTTCTCAAGGACTCAAATAAATCCTCAGGGATACAAAATAGGGTGGGATACCAAGCAGTAGAGTTGTGTGTGTCTCTCTGTGTGTGTGTGTGTGTGTGTGTGTGTGTGTGTTAGACAAATAGATGAAAAATTTTTTTTTCTTTTGAGACATAATCATTTTGTTTGGAGAGTCTCTCTTTTTCTCTCGATTTTCTCTTTCTCTCCTTCTCTGTCTTTTTCTTTCTCACTTTCCCTTTGCAATACTAGTGAAGTAAGACAAAATGAAATGAGCATGGGGTCTTTCTCTAGCTTGATAGATCGTTTGTTATTATTTGTTTCTTCATTACAAACTGCCCTGTTAAACTTTCATGGCTTAAAACAAAATAATATATCTTGTTCCTGTGGGGGCAGCTTGTGGTCTTAATCCTTACCGGCCCTCTGATATCTTAGATTCTTTCTTTCCTATTTGTGAATAAAACTTCTGCTCCAGTAGGATGAGCTTGTTTCCCTTGTGACTGCCTGATTAATCTATTGCTTTATATCCCAGTTTTTAGAAGCAGGCAGATTATATTACCGGGATTAAAATATTTTTGACACTAAAGGTAGTATCTTCAGTTTTTACTTATAAGTTACTTTATGTACAGCTTGGATTAAATTACATGGATTGAGTTTCCATAGCTTTCACCATAGTGAAAATGGAAAACAGGGAGCATTCCACAGCAAACCCTGAACTTATAGAGAGTTAATTGTCTGAGCAAAGCAAGCATTCATGCTAATTTGTTTGTGTGTGTGTGTCAGTGACAGATGAGCATGGTACTTGAACCATAATTGTACTTCTTCAGATTCCAATATCCAGTAATTTTATCACATAGATACACTAATATTAAATCCCTAAACCTACTTGAGTCTACTGTGTATTCATATTTTAAAATAATGTTTTCCAGCTTCCAAATATGTGTTATATTTTTTTCTGAATTAGAAACATTGTTTGGATTGAGTTAAAAGGATCATTTTTTATATGTTTATTATGTCTTAAAAGTGTTTGCATTGTTACCTAGCTTCTCTTTTCTCTTTCAATGTGAATTTTTACTGGTTTATTGTATGTTGTTTATTTTCATTTTATGAAGCCATTATTATTTAGAGGGCAATGATGGAACAGTACCAGCAGAAATTGAAGTACCAGCAGAAGGATAGGAGAAAAAGAGATTTCATATTTTACTGTATTTTTTGTATTTATTTATTTTGAGACGGAGTCTCACTCTGTCACCACGCTGGAGAACAATGGCATGATCTCAGCTCACTGCAATTTACCACTCCTTGGTTCAAGCGATTCTTCTGCCTCAGTCTCCTGAGAAGCTTGGATTACAGGCACACGCCACCACACTCAGATAATTTTTGTATTTTTAGTAGAGATGGGGTTTCACCATGTTGGCCAGGATGGTCTCGATCTCCTGACCTCATGATCTGCCTACCTCGGCCTCCCAAAGTGTTGGGATTACAAGTGTGAGCCACTGCACCCGGCCTGTTGTATGCTTATTCTATTTTATAGATTACATTATTCTTTTTTTTTTTTTTGAGATGGAGTCTTGCTCTGTCACCCAGGCTGTAGTGCAATGGCGCGATCTCGGCTCACTGCAAGCTCCGCCTCCTGGATTCTCGCCATTCTCCTGTCTCAGCCTCCCGAGTAGCTGGGACTACAGGTGCCTGCCACCACGCCCGGCTAATTTTTTGTATTTTTTAGTGGAGACGGGGTTTCACTGTGTTAGCCAGGATGGTCTTGATCTCCTTACCTCATGATCTCCCTGCCTTGGCCTCCCAAAGTGCTGGGATTACAGGTGTGAACCATCACGCCTGGCCAATTTTAGATACCTTATATAAGTGGACTTGTACAATATTTTTCCTTTTGTGTCTGGTTTATTTCACTTAGCATAATGTTATCAAGGCTCATTTATAACACTAAGAGAATTTCCTTTAAAAAAAAAAAATATATATATATATATATATATATATATATATATATATATATATATATATATATATATTTGTAGAGATGAGGTCTTGCCATGTTGTCCAGCCTGGTCTCAAAATTCTGGGCTCAAGTGACCTGCCCACATTAGCCTCCCAAAGCACTGGGATTACAAGTGTAAGCCACCAAACCTGGCCAGATTTTTTTTCTTTTTATGGCTGAATAATATTCTGTGTATGTATATATTACATTTTCTTTATTCATTCACCTACTGATGGGCATTTGGGTTGGTTTTACCTTTTGGCCACTGTGAATAATGCTGCTATTAAACAGGTGTACAAATACCTGTTTGAGTCTCTGCTGTCAGTTTTTTGGGCATATACCCTTAAAGGGTGTTGTTGGATCATATGATAAGTCTACGCTTAGTATTTTGAGGAAATGCCAAACCATTTCCCACAGGGGGCTGACATTCCAAACAGCAATGCATAAAGTTTCCAATTTCTCTATATGCTTACTGACAGTTAATATTTTCTGTTTATGTATTGTATTTTTATAGTGTTTGAAATTCATCTGAGGGTTTTTACTGATACCAAAATATTAGAAAAGGTTTTCCAAAGAAAATAATATGCTGTATTATAAAGACTTTTACATATTACGTGATGCCCTGTGATCTATTTTGTCAGTAAGAAGAGGAACTTCTCTCCACCCAGCCTCATTCCACTGCACCCACTCTTTTCTGTGTAGGGTTATGGACGGGAGTAAAGGAGCTTGGCACCTCTTTCCTGTGTTGATGTGGTAGCCCATCACTGGGTTGTAAAGCGCCTTGCTTCCTCTTTTATTTGGGAGAAATATACTGGGTGACGTGTATTTATTTTCGGAGTGATACTGATCTAACTTTATGGAAATAATACTAGCTAGAAAGTTAGGGAATGGATTTTCTATCTGATGAGAGTTTTGGGCAAATCGAATACCTAGTTTCTGAGCCTTATTTTTTCTCTGATGCAAGAAAACTGTAAATTAGCCAGTGAAAAACTCTCACAGCTCTGGATATGGGTTTAGGGCACTGGATTTTTACCACTTACTTTCTTTTCTTTTTGTGTGTGTGTGTGTGTGTTTTGTTTGTTTGTTTTTGAGATGGAGTCTCATTCTGTTGCCCAGGCTGGAGTGCAGTGGTGCGATCTCCACTCACTGCAACCTCTGCCTCCTGGGTTCAAGTGATTCTTCTGCCCCAGCCTTCTGAGTAGCTGGGACTCCAGGTGTGCACCGCTACGCCCGGCTAATTTTTTTTGTATTTTCAGTAGAGACGGGGTTTCACCATATTGGCCAGGCTGGTCTCAAACTCCTGACCTTGTGATCCACCCACCTCACCCTCCCAAACTGATAGGATTACAGGTGTGAGCCACCACACCCTGCCCACCACTCACTTTCTTACTACTTCTCTTGTGCAGGGATCATGGCCCAAGTTTTAGTGTCTACCCTGTCCATTGAAGATGAGGACTCCTACGAGAGCAGGATGGTGGTGACGTTCCTCATGTCAGCTCTTGAGTCCACGGTGAGGCCTTCAGTTCTAACATTCAGTAGTTCAGTAGGACTTGGTTGTAAATATGGTTGATTTGTTTTTGTAGAACATACAATTTTATGTTTTTAAGTTCTAATGAGTAGTTTTTTTTTCTTCTTGAATAGTAGTTACGGTCAAACACTTCCAACCAAATGTGCGTGCAGAGTTTCTACACCAGTTTTCAGACAATCTGGATACCAACCCGGTATCCCATGATTCCGTTCTGACACTCCCTGGAGTTAGTGCAGACCGCACAGGTCAGGGCTCAGTCCCACAAGACTACCCTCACTTCAAACGCCAATTGCAAGCCCTGAGTTGTTACATGTTCTTTTGACCAATCAGTTAGAACCAGGGTCTCATGGCCCCCTTCTTGGGTTGAATCATTTGCTTAAACACCTTGTAGAACTCAGAAAACAGGTTATTTTCCTTTTTTTTCCTGAGATTCAGGGTCTCACTCTGTTGCCAAGCTGGAATGCAGTGGTGTGATCAAAGCTCACTGTAGCCTCAAACTCCTGGCCCTAAGTGATCCTCCCACCTCAGCCTCCCAAATAGCTGAGACTAATATAGGACTGCACCACCATAGCTGGCTATGTTCTTTTATTTTTTGTAGAGATGGGGTCTTGTTATGTTGCCCAGGCTGGTCTCAAATTTCTGACCTCACATGATCCTCCCACCTCAACTTCCACAACGTGCTGGGATTATGGACGTGAGCCACTGTGTCTCACCAATTTATTATTACTGGTTCATTGTAAAGGATGTATCTCAGAAACAGCGAGTGAAAGAGATGTACATGCTGGGCACAGTGGCTTATGTCTGTAATCTCAGCACTTTGGGAGACTGAGGCGGGAGAATCGCTTAAGTTCAGGAGTTTAAGACCAGCCTGGGCAACATGGTGAAAACCCATCTCTACAGAAAGTTTTTGTAAAAATTAGCCAGGTACGGTGACATGTGCCTATAGTTCTAGGTACTCACTTGCTATTTAGGAACTTAGGAATTTTTCACTGGAATTCATGTAAAGAAAGACCATGGGCATTTGCAATGGATTTAGCATTCATCATTTGACTGCATGACTCATGCCAGAACCATAATTTTACTAATTTTTCAGATACTACTCAGCTGGGAACTGAGCCTAACCAGCAAACCACCCTCAACCATTCAGTGGTCTTTTGTTTTACTCTATTCCTCCTGAAAGTCCATTACTCTCAGAAGGTGATAAAAACTTGCATTTCTTTTTCTTTTTTCTTCCTAGAGACAGGGTCTTGCTGTGTCACCCAGGCTGCAGTGCAGTGGTGCGATCATGGCTCACTGCAGCTGGAAACCCCTGGGCTCAAACAATCCTCCCACCTCAGCCTCCCAAGTAGCTGGGACTACAGACATTTGCCCCTATGCCCAGCTGACTTCTTTGTTTTTTATTGTACAGATGGGATCTTACTATGTTGCCCAGGATGGTGTCAAACTCCTGGCCTCAAGTGTTTTTTCTGCCTCAGCTTCCCAAAGTGCTGGGATTATACGCAGGTGGGAGCCACCTGTGTTCAACCCCTATTTTCTTTCTTTTTTTTTTTTCTTTTGGAGACAGAGTCTTGCTCTGTCACCCAGGCTGGAGTGTAGTGGCATGATCTTGGCTCACTGCAAACTCCACCTCCCTGGTTCAAGCAATTCCCCTGTCATAGCGTCATGAATAGCTGGGATTACAAGTGCATGCCACCATGCCTGGCTAATTTTTTGTATTTTAATAGAGACAGGGTTTTGCCATGTTGGCCAGGCTGGTCTCGAACTCCTGACCTCAGGTGATCTGCCCGCCTCAGCCTCCCAAAGTGCTGGAATTACAGGCATGAGCCACAGCACCCGGCCCCTTTAATGATTTTATTGAAATATGATTAACATATCATACAATTCATTTGTGAAAGTATGCAATTCAGGCTGGGCTCAGTGGCTAATTCCTATCATGCTGAGACTTTGGGAGGCTGAGGGAGGTGGATCACTTGAGTTCAGGAGTTTGAGACTAGCCTGGGCAGCAAGGCAAAACAGCATCTCTCTTAAAAATACAAAAATTAGCTGGGTGTGGTGGCTCATGCCTGTAGTCTCAACTACTTGGGGACATGAGGCTGGAAGATCACTTGAGCCCAGAAGGCATAGGTTGCAGTGAGACCAGATGGCGCCACTGCACTACAACCTGGGTGACAGAAGGAGACCTTGTCTCTAAATAACTAAAGAAAAAAAGAAAGTATACAATTCAGTGGTTTTTAGAATATTCAAAGAGCTGTGTATCCATCACCACAGTCACTTTTAGAAGTGATTACTCACTTATGAGTTACCCACTTATGAGTGAGAAACCCTCACTTATTAACTGCTACCTCCTACTTCCTCCATATTCCTGTGTCTTCATAGACGACCACTGATTTATTTTCTGTCAATGTAGTTTTGCCTAATATGGACCTTTTATGGAAATAGAATTGTACAATATGTGATCTTTTGTAGTTTGCTTTTTTTTCTCTTAGCACAATGTTTTCAAATTTCTTTCATGTTATAGTGTATATCAGTATTTTTTTCTTTTTGTAGCTGAATAATAGCTTATGTTTATCCATTCATCAGTTGATGGACATTTGTGTTGTTTCTGCATATTGGCCATCATGAGTAATGCTGCTATGAACAATCATATGCAAGTTTTAGTGTGAACATATATTTTTATTTCTCTTGGATTTACACCCAGGAGTGAAATTGTTGCATTATGTGGTAAGTTTACATTCAGCCTTTGAATAACGGCCATGTTGTTTTTCAAAGTGGTTACACCAGTCAGGCACAGTGGCTCACACCTGTAGTCTCAGGTATTTGAGAGGCTGAGTTTGGAGGATTGCATTAGGCCAGGAGTTCAGGACCAGCCTGGGCAACATAGGGAGACAATATCTTGATTTTTAAAAAAATCAAATGACAAGAAAAGAAACACCTAAATTGATTACACCATTTTATGTTCCCACCAGTAATGTATGTGGGTTCCAATTCTTCCACGTTGTCACCAACTTTTTTTTTTTTTTTGAGACAAAACCTTGCTCTGTTGCCCAGGCTAGAGTGCAGTGGCGTGAACATGGCCAGTGCAGCCGTGATCTCCCAGGCACAAGTGATCCTCTCACCTCAGCCTCCCAAGTAGCTGGGACTTACAGGTGAATGCCATCATGTGTGGCTGATTTTTACATTTTTTTGGTAGAGATTGGGTTTTCACATGTAGCCCAGGTCTGTGTCAAACTCCTGAGCTCAAGTGATCTGCCTGCTTCAGCCTCCTGAAGTGCTGGGATTACAGGTGTGTGCCATCAAACCCGACTGGTGTAACCACTTTGGAAAACAGCCACTGAGCCTGGCCTTCACCAATATACCAATATTTGTTATTATCTTTTTTTTTTACTTACTGTTTTTTATTTTAAAAAACTTAGATTTTTTGTCTGCCTTATTAATTATAATAACAAACAATTTTGTAGTAGAGTCCCCCAAAAAAGTATTTGTTGTTTAACTGAAATAGTTTTTTTTTTAACCTGGATATATATTTTTTCATTTTCATTTTATTTTTAGTTTTATTTTAAAAATTTTTTTTTAATATTTTTTATTTAATAGGTGTTTCGGAAAAAGGTGGTGTTTGGTTCCATGAATAAGTTCTTTAGTTTTGAGTTCTGAAATTTTGTAGTACCCCTCATTACTCATTAAATATATATTAATTCATTATAAAATAATTAATAAACCAAAGACTTTAGTAAAATGGAAATTTTATTTTAACTTGCAACCTGAGAAATAACTGTCAAAAAAATTAGAGAAATTACCATATTAAAGTTTGAAAATCTTGACCCTAGCAATGAAAACGCAGGTGCACTTAAGAACCACCAGCCCACTGGTCAAGGTGAACAAAACTAAATAAAAAGCAAAAGAAAACCAAGAAAACCAAATTCAGGATTATTCAGTATTCTGTAATGCTATTTTATCTTGGGAGTCACAGGAAATGCTTCTTCTTCTTCTTCTTATTATTATTATTATTATTTTGATATGGAATCTCTGTCACCCAGGCTGGAGTGCAGTGGCACAATCTCGGCTAACTGCAACCTCTGCCTCTCGGGTTCAAGTGATTATCCTGTCTCAGCCTCCAGAGTAGCTGGGATTACAGGCATGCTCCACTATGCCTGGCTAACTTTTGTATTTTTATTAGAGACAGAGTTTCACCATGTTGGCCAGGCTGGTCTCAAACTCCCGACCTCAAGCAATCCACCTACCTTGGCCTCCCAAAGTGCTGGAATTACAGGCATAGGCCACTGCACTCAGCTGATTTTATGCACATTCCAAGTCAGAATACATTCTATTCTTGAATACTTTGTGAATACCCAAATCATAAGCATTTTTCTGGATGCATTCATAAATATTTTATTTAAAAAGAACATTAATTGAAGTTTTACACCATTTTATGATTCATCAAACGCAGCAACTGAATACTGGCATATAGCAACATTACAGAGGTTAGTCTAAGATAAAACTCATAAAAGAGTAAAAGGAAGGAAAGGAGAAAGGATACCAAGCTATATAAAGATTTTAAAAACAGGCCGGGTGCAGTGGCTCATGCCTGTAATTTCAACATCTTGGGAGGCTGAGGTGGGCGGATCACGAGGTCAGGAGATCAAGACTCATCCTGGCTAACATAGTGAAACCCTGTCTCTACTAAAAGTACAAAAATTAGCTGGGCGTGGTGGCACGCACCTGTAGTTCCAGCTACTCAGGAGGCTGAGGCAGGAGAATCACTTGAACCTGAGAGGAAGAGCTTGCAGTGAGCCGAGATCGTGCCACTGCACTCCAGCCTGGGTGACAGAGTGAGACTCTGTCTCAAAAAAAAAAAAAAAAAGAGATTTTAAAACAAACATTATATGTCTGAATCTTTGCCTGGAGTTTCATATTTTGTGAAAAGCATTTTGTAAGTAGAGGACTCATAAGTGCTATAAGTCACCTAGTACACTACAATGGCATAGATGTGACAGATACTCAATGAAATGATTATAACTTCTGATGTATGTTATTTTTGTTGTTCATTTATTAATCTAGTGAAAGCCAGCCAATAGATGGAATGACATTCACCTGTAAAACTTCCAAGATCCCATCCAAGCTTAGTGTCCTCTGAAGTTCTCCATAATTGATTGTCTGTTCCCACCAACATTTAGCATAAGCTCTAGAAGCTTATATTGTTAATCATCCTTCTATGTTTATGTGCTGACTTGCAAATAAATGGGCCTATGTGGCCTTTATCTTCACAGCCCTAATAATATCTACATAATGTAATAAATTTGTTATAAACCTGATGTTTCATAAAATTATGTCTTATCACCTATGTTCTGGTAAAAGAACTGCTCATTTTTGCTTAAGCTTTTCTGACTCTCCATTGCCTGCTGAATACAGTAAGTTCTTACTTAGTGTGAGGATTTAATATGTTCTTGAAAACTGTGACTTGTAATTAAACCAATTTTACCATAGCCTAATTGATAGAAATAGTTTCTATGGCATATTTCTGGTCACAAAAACATCACCAAACTTGGAAAGCCCCAAAACACTTACAATATTAAACACTGAAATAAATGTGCGCTCTACATACATTTAAGAAAAATTAGGTCGGGCTCAGTGGCTCATGACTGTAATCCCAGCACTTTGGGAGGCCCAGGTAGAAGGATCACTTGAGGTCAGTAGATTGAGAGCAGCCTGGCCAACACGGCAAAACTTTGTCTCTACTAAAAATACAAAAAATTAGCTAGGTGTGAGGCTGAGGCAGGAGAATCGCCTGAACGTGGGGGGAAGTGGAGGTTGCAGTGAGTTGAGATGGAGCCACTGCACTCCAGCCTGGGTGACAGAGCAAGACACCATTTCAATAAATAAATAAATAAATAAATAAATGAAAAATTAATAAAAATATTACCAGGGCCACCCTGATGAAATAACTGGGAAAGTTCTTTTTCTTACTGTGTTTCTTTAGTTTCTTTATTTGTAGGCACAGCTGCATAAAGAAACCAGATGGCCCAATAGCACCAGAGCTTCTCCACCCCGACCAGATATCAGAAGGAGATAAGATCTCCAACCAGCACAAACTTGAACAGGTGACCCCTAGTTGCTTTTAGATCTTTTTTTTTTTTTTTTTTTTTTTAGACAGAGTCTTACTCTGTTGCCCAGGCTTAGGTGCAGGGGCACCATCTCAGATCACTGCAACCTCCGGCTCCCAGGTTCAAGTGATTCTCCTCCTCAGCCTCCCAAGTAGCTGGGATTACAGGTGTGTACCACCTCGCCTGGCTAATTTTTTTTTTCTATTTTTTATTAGTAGAGACCGGGTTTCACCATGTTGGCTAGGCTGGTCTCGAACTCCTCACCTTAGGTAATCCACCCACCTCAGCCTCCTAAAGATGTATGTTTATGCACTGAACCTATGCACCTAGAGTCCCACCCTGTATAGTTCTTAAAAACCCCTGATAAAATTGTGTATTTATTCTAGTGATATTTTAGTGAATCCTTTTTTTTTTTTTTGCAGAAAATTACTTCATTTGCAATAATGACAGTTCTACTTTTATTTTACAATCTGGACAATTTTTTTTCTGTTGTAGAATTTTCCTGGCTAATACTACAATGCTGAATAGAGTGGTTAAAGTGGAAATTCTTGTCTCTCAAACTTTCAGGTAAAGAAGCACAAGTCTGTCGCCATTAAGTATGATGGATGTTAGCTGTAGGTTTTTTATAGATACCTCTTAGTGGGTCTCAAAATCTTTTCTATTAGTAGTTTGCTGGGGGTTTTGTCAGGAATGATGCTTGATATTTGTAACTTTATCTGTATCTATTTAAAGGATCACTTTTTGTTCTTTACTAATATTGGGTATTATCTTGATTGAATTTTAGATACTAAGTCACAATGACATTTACAAAACAATCACATTTGTTCTTGGTGTATATTCATATTTTATGTGCCTGGATTTAGCGTGCTAAAGTTTTCTGAGGCTGTATGTGTCTACATGAATATGGCATATTTGCCCACACACCTTCTGTTTATACTTGTGTCTGGCCTTAGTATTACAGTAATACTGGCCTCTAGAATGAATTGGAAAATATTCCCTCTTCTTCATTTTTTGGAAGTATTTTCTGCTGAAGAATTAGTATTAATTATTTATTGAATATTGGTAGAATGTTTTATATAGGTTATTTTGCCCTGGACTTTTCTTTGTGAAAATATTTTAAATGAATGCTTTTGCTTTACTAGAATAACAATCCATAATATATAAATATTTATTTTATATTATACTTTTCAGTTTACTTTTATAATTTGTACATCCAAGGTGTTAATTTCTAATTTATAACATTCCATGTGTAGTAGATTTTCTAGGCTGTTAACGTGAAAAAATTAGAAATAATAGAGAGTGAGTGAGACTTCAGCCCAATCAATGAATGACCCGAAGTCTGTCTATTGTAGGATGAATCATTTAAATATGATGTTGTCCTTAATGTTTACATTTTTGTGTGAGGAAAATAAGGTACTGAATCTAAAGGAAATTAGTAAAACTACCATTTAACTTTGGATTTTCTCAAGAGGGCAGAACAAGTAGACCTTCTAATTTTTGTTGCTACTTAACATAAGACAGAAACATAGTTTTTAATTAGAACAAACAATATGCCATTTGAAGAATGGTATGAAGATGATAATTTGATGAATAATTTTACTAGTACTTGCTTAGTGCATACAATATGTTAGGCAAGATTCTGAGCCATTACACACACACACACACACACACACACAGACACAGACACATATCTATAGACCTTATGTATAATTGTTTAAGGAACCCACAGATTCATGAGCAGTGAAAAATTGATATATTCTCAATCTTAGTAACTTTAAAACTATCATAAAAATTTACTGTTTTGATTTACAATAACTAAATGTACATAAAACTATTAACTTCATTAGAAAGTTTGACTCGGCATGGAGATAAATGTGTTGCACAGTTGAAAAGTAACCATAGACACATTATTATCAAATACCAAACAAAAGCATTTAAAAAAAGATTAGGAGTGAAAGATGCCATAGAATTTGTCACAGCAAAAATACAACAGAGCACACTTTTAGGCACTGTGATATGTTAATAAAAATGATCAATTAATGTGTAAACACAGGCCAGTGTGCTCATCATTACATGAAAAAATTTTAGAACTAGTAAACAAAGTCAGTAGGTTTGCAGGATACTATATCAATGTACAAAAAATCAATTGCATTTTTATACCCCAACAACAAATATCTGGGAAAAATCAAGAAGACAGTTACATATACTATAACATCTAAAATAATAAAATATTACGCTGGTAATGGCAAAAATCACAGTTACATTTGCACCAATCTAATACTTAGAAATAAATATAATAAAGAAGGTAAAAGATTTGTACAACAAAAACCGTAAAATATTAGTGGAGGCAATTATAGAAAAGAGAAATTAAAAATACTTAGTGTTAATGGATTAGAAAAATTAGTATTAAAACATTCATGCTGGCCAGGCATGGTGGCTCACGCCTGTAATCCCAGCACTTTGGGAGGCCGAGGCGGGTGGATCATGAGGTCAGGAGATCGAGACCATCCTGGCCAAAATGGTGAAACCCTGTCCCTGCTAAAAGTACAAGAATTAGCTGGGTGTGGTGGCACATGCCTGTAATACCAGCTACTCGGGAGACTGAGGCATGAGAATTGCTTGAGCCCAGGAGGCAGAGGTTGCAGTGAGCCGAGATTGCGCCACTGCACTCCAGCCTGGTGGTAAAGTGAGACTCCATCTCAAAAAAAAACAAAACCAGAAAAAAAAAACATTCATACTACTGAAATTGGTGTATATATTTAAAGCAATTTCTATCGGAATTTCAATAGCATTTTCAACAAAAATTAAAATCCACGGTTTGTATGGAATTACAAAAAACCTCAAATAAAGCAATTTTGAGCAAGAGGGACAAAGCTAGAAGCAGTATGCTGCCTAATTTCAAGCTATATAGCAAAGCTGTGGTCATCAAAACTGCAAAATATTGGCATAAACACAAACACATAAGCCAATGGAACAGAATAGAGAGCTTAGATATGTATAAAATATATCCATCTGTGTATGGTCAACAAATTTTCAACAAAGGCATATAAACACATAATGGTGAAAGAATAAACTCTTCAATAAATGGTGATGGGAAAATGGGATATCCATATGCAAAAACAGATTGCACCCAACCTTTACAACATACATAAAATTAATTTAAAATATATTAAAGACTTAAACATTGGACTTGAAACCATAAATCTTCTAGAAGACAACACTGAGCAAAATTCTTTGGCATTGATCCTAGCAATAGTTTTTTTTTGTATTTGACACCAAAAGCACAAGAAAAAAAAGTAGGACTACATCAAACTAAAAAGTTTCTACTGCATAGCAAAAGACCATCATAGACATTAAAACGCTATCTACAGAATTGGAGAAAAATACCTGTATGCCAAATATCAGATAAAGGATTAATGTTCAAAATCTGCAAGAAACTCATAAAACTTAAGCCCCCAAAATAAAAATAACGACAAAACGTAACACATACTTTTAAAAAGTAGCCAAAAAACTAGTTTTTTTTAAAGAAGCCATTAGTAATTCTGAGAAAATGCAAATCAAAACCACAGTGAGTTAGCATTCAAACACATATTAAGGTGATATTTATCAAAAATTCAAAAGAAAGCAAGTGTTATCAAGAATATAGAGAAAAGGGACCTTGTACACTATCACCAGGAATGTAAATTGGTAAAGCCGTTATGGAAGATGGCATGGAGGTTCATCAAATAATTAAAAATAAAACTATCATGTGATTCAGCAATCTCACATCTAAGTAAATATCCAAAGAATATAAATTCACTATCTTGAAGAGATATTTTCACTCCTATGTTGATTGAAGCATTATTAACTATAGATAAGGGGCCGGGTGCAGTGGCTCACGCCTGTAATCCCAGCACTTTGGGAGGCCAAGGTGTGTGGATCACGAGGTCAGGAGTTTGAGACCAGCCTGGCCAATATGGTGAAACCCCGTCTCTACTCAAAATACAAAAATTTGCTGGGTGACAGCAGGCACCTGTAGTCCCATCTACTCGGGAGGCTGAGGCAGGAGAATTGCCTGAACCTGGGAGGTGGAGTTGGCAGTAAGCCTCCAACGTGCCACTGCACTCCAGCCTGGGCAACAGAGTGAAACTCCATAGGCTGGGTGACATAGCAAGACCATGTCCCTACAAATTAGCTAGGCATGGTGGTGTATTGCTGTGGTCCTTGCTACTTTGGAGGCTGAGGTGAGAGAATAATTTATACCCAAAATTTATAGGTTACAGTGAGCTATAATCATGCCATTGCACTCCAGCCTGTTGTTATATCTAACAACAACAAGAAAAAGGAAATGTTACATATACGTATTGTGTGTGTGTGTGTGTGTGTGTGTGTGTGTGAGAGAGAGACACAATTCAGGCCTTGAAAAAAATCTTGACATTTGCAACCACATGGATCATCTTGAGGGCGTTATGCTAAATGAAATAAGCCAGACACAGAAAGATGAACACTGCATTATCTCAATTATATGTGGAATCTAAAAAAGGGCTTGAATTATAGTTACAGAGAGTAGAATGGTAGTGACCAAGGGCTGTGGCTTGGGAGAATGAGATATTGGTCAAATGGTACAAACCTGTTTTATAAGATGAATAAGTACTGGAGACCTAATGTACAGCATGGAGGCTACAGTTAATGTATAGGTAAATTTTATTAATAAAGAAGACCTCAAATATTCTTATTACACCAACAGTAACTATGGGAAGTGATGAGTATGTTATTTAGCTTGATTGTAGTGATTTTATTGTATATATTTACGTATACATAAACCACATTGTATACCTTAAATATATACAATTTTTATTTGTCAATTATAGCACATGTGGGAAAATATTGTGTAACCATATAGTATCTAATTACATATAAATTTCATTTAAAACCCTTTAAAATAAATTCTAAATTAAATGTAAAATCCAAATTGACATATTTCCAGTCAGGGAGGTTCTAATGAACAAGCATAGTATAAAAGCTAAAATTGGATATTTAGCTAAAGTACCTTTCATAAATAAGAGTAAATTAAAATATATTCAAAAGTAAAAACATTGAGGAATTTGATTACCAAGAGAAGATTGTTAAGAGTATACTTCAAGGCAGGGTGCAGTGGCTCACGTCTGTAATCCCAGCACTTTGGGAGGCTGAGGTGGGTGGATCAAGAGGTCAGGAGTTCAAGACCAGCCTGACCAACATGGTGAAATCCCATCTCTACTAAAAATACAAAACTTAGCTGGGCATGGGGGTGCGTGCCTGTAATCCCAGCTGCTCAGGAAGCTGAGGATGAGAATTGCTTGAACCCAAGAGGTGGAGGTTGCAGTAGCTGAGATTTCACCACTGCCCTCCAGCCTCAGCTACAGGCCAAAAAAAAAAAAAAAAAAAAAAGGAAGAGTATACTTTGAGAGAAACATTTTCTACTACCAAAATAAAATGAAAATAAAAATGTAAGAAACTTGATACAGAAATGTCAACCCATGGTAGACACTAGAATTAAAGAAATTACATGGTCCTTAGAAGCATCAGTTTTGAAAGCATATAAATATAATAAAAGTATGATTCCATGCATTTTATTAAATAAGATAAAAAGAACTCCAGGGCTACTTGAACAATTTAAATATAGGAGAAGACTATTTTTTAGAAATGTTTTCCGTCGCCAACTTGTTAAAGCTTTATAGCACTTTGCATATTTTGGAGAATGTCAACTATATTTTTATCAGAGCTGATTTGTTCCAGTGGAACAACAGTGGCGTAGACATCGCCCACAAGGTTCTGCATACTCAGGAAGACTGGGTTACACGTCCACAGCAGGGTTGAAGAAGATGAGATGATGAGGTCCACCCAGCACATGACCAGACAGTAGCTCACTAACAGCGGGATGGTCTGAGCAGCCCTTTTCTCTGGGAAGGCTTGTGGAGAGATGCTGATGCTGTGAAGGTGCTGAGATTGCCTCTCATGCCTGGACACAAGGATCACCATGTGTGCAATTGAATGCAGTGTAATTCCTATAATGAAGACATCCCTGGATAATGTCAGAGTAAAAAATACTTTTCTCATGAAGGACTTCATGGGAGAAAGTGAACAGTATTTGCTGCCCTTGGGTAGACTGGTCTGGGTCACATTAGCATTAGAAGAAGCCACAGTAAAGAATACTATGTTATGACTGAAAGACAAATTGATGGACCAAAAAAAAAAAAGAAAAAGAAAAAAGATGACATGATAATGTTACTTGTGAATTTCTGTTTAGGCCTTGCCAAACAGAAGTTGCTGGGGCTGATGGTGCTGGCCTGGTGTATACTCAGGAGACAGGTGTTACAGATACATAGGTCCATCCTCACTCTGTTTATGTAGGACAAGGACTTAAATTTGAACTCATTCCCTAAGTGCAGTGATTCAAGCATATCTGGAGGCCAAGCATCCACCACAGTGAGGAACATCACTACATGAATGAAGGCCGAATTACAGCTGATGAGGTCATGGGGCTTTGATTTCTGATCCTGGAGGAATATGAAAATGTTGAAGAAAAGGAATAAGGTGTTGGCTAAAAGTCCAATGGTAGCTTGGGAAAAAAGGTTTTTTGTTTTTTGGTTTTGAGAGAGAGTCTCGCTTCGTTGCCCAGGCTGGAGAGCAGTGGCGTGAACTCACCTCACTGCAAGCTCTGCCTCCTGGGGTCATGCCATTCTCCTGCCTCAGCCTCCCGAGTAGCTGGGATTACAGGCACCTGCCACCATGCCCGGCTAAGTTTTTGTATTTTTAGTAGAGATGAGGTTTCACCGTGTTAGCCAGGATGGTCTCGATCTCCTGACCTTGTAATCCGCCCGCATGGGCCTCCCAAAGTGCTGGGATTACAGGCGTGAGCCACTGCACCTGGCTGAAAAAAAGGTATTTTTAAGCATAACAGAAGCATTATGCTTAAAGTATGTTCATCTTAATGACAAAGAAATGTATTTCATGTATCTGGGAAAAAACAGATCTCACATTATCAATGTTTGTTCTTTAGTGCTCCAAATAATTACCACCATCATTTTAATTTTACCTTCTCCTTGGTTATCTCTGATTATCTCAGGTACATTCTGGATAATCTGGCCTCTTCACTCATTTACACATCAAATAATATAAAACATCAACACAGCCACAGAGTGTACAATTTCTAAACTTTTATTGTACCATCTGGGTTCCATACTTTTTAATGCGAAAGCTCATTTTTCTATGTAGCTTCTGCCTAATGGATTGTATGTTCTCAGAACTTGTCAACAAAATATACCTCCCAATAATCCAGCCTTCAAAATGTGCACAACACAATATCACATTTCCTAATGTGTTTCTATGGGTTCCCTACAGGTGATTTGTAGTGTTCTTCAAATATGTTCCTTAGTGGATTTTAGTTTTCTGAATTGAATTAGAGCAAAAGTATTTTGGAAGTCAGAAAAATGTTACTTCTTTCAGAGTTACATAGGAGAAGTGCTCTGTCCTCCAGAGGACACGTCTGTGACACAGAGCATGAGATACAGGGAGGAAAACCTAGGCTGCTTATTACTTCCACTCCCATCAGTTTGTCCTGATGCATTTATTGAGAATAGAAGGATATCTCCATTCCAGCCCCTGAGTTTTGTGTCTTGTAGTGAGTCTGTGCCTCTGTCTTGTCATCTTAAAAAATGCTGCACATTTCTTTTCCCACCCCCTTAGGTTTAACAGGAAGGCTAGAGGGAACGGGAGTTGCATTGTTTCTTCTCTCACATGAAGGGCTCAAGTGGTCTGAAGTTGAATATTTCTCTTCTTCCCCACTGAAGACTACAACACTCTGATGATGGGTATTTCCCTTAACTTAGGTCATATAAACTCTGACAAAACCCCAGTAGGTTATGCTTTGCTCAAATAGTTTTCTGATGGCAGAGCTTGGTAAGAAGAATAGAATGTTCTAGGTGGCTTTTAGAATGGGTACATTTCCTTTCCCTATGCCAAAAACATGAGATTTTTCTACCTCTAGTGTAAGAATCTGGTAGGGCTTCTGACGATAAAACCCTCAAAAGTGAGAAGGAGGGACTAAGACTGGCCTCCCTGGAGATTTTCACTCTCATGCTTGTCCACTCTCAGGCTTCAGCAAGTCCTCAATTACAGTGTAGGTTTCCTACCGTAGTACTAATTGCTACTGAAGTTTTTTCTTACACGTTTCTCTTCTGGTGAGTGGTGATGATCTTTATTCATATACCTTTCCATATAGTTTGGGGGCAGATGTTTAGCTCATGACCTCATTTTTCCTTTTTTAATTCTTTTTTTTGAGACAAAGTCTCACACTGTTGCCCAGATTGGGGTGCAGCGGCGTGATCACAGCTCACTGCAACCTCCGCCTCCTGGATTCAAGCAGTTCTTTTTTTTTTTTTTTGTACTTTAAGTTTTAGGGTACATGTGCATAATGTGCAGGTTAGTTACATATGTATACATGTGCCATGCTGGTGTGCTGCACCCATTAACTCGTCATTTAGCATTAGGTATATCTCCTAAAGCTATCCTTCCCCCCTCCCCCCACCCCACAACAGTCCCCAGAGTGTGATGTTCCCCTTCCTGTGTCCATGTGTTCTCATTGTTCAATTCCCACCTATGAGTGAGAACATGCTGTATTTGGTTTTTTGTCCTTGCGATAGTTTACTGAGAATGATGATTTCCAATTTCATCCATGTCCCTACAAAGGACATGAACTCATCATTTTTTATGGCTACATAGTATTCCATGGTGTATATGTGCCACATTTTCTTAATCCAGTCTATCATTGTTGGACATTTGGGTTGCTTCCAAGTCTTTGCTATTGTGAATAGTGCCACAATAAACATACGTGTGTATGTGTCTTTATAGCAGCATGATTTATAGTCCTTTGGGTATATACCCAGTAATGGGATGGCTGGGTCAAATGGTATTTCTAGTTCTAGATCCCTGAGGAATCGCCACACTGACTTCCACAATGGTTGAACTAGTTTACAGTCCCACCAACAGTGTAAAAGTGTTCCTATTTCTCCACATCCTCTCCAGCACCTGTTGTTTCCTGACTTTTTAATGATTGCCATTCTAACTGGTGTGAGATGGTATCTCATTGTGGTTTTGATTTGCATTTCTCTGATAGCCAGTAATGGTGAGCATTTTTTCATGTGTTTTTTGGCTGCATAAATGTCTTCTTTTGAGAAGTGGCTGTTCATGGCCTTCGCCCACTTTTTGATGGGGTTGTTTGTTTTTTTCTTGTAAATTTGTTTGAGTTCATTGTAGATTCTGGATATATTAGCCCTTTGTCAGATGAGTAGGTTGCAAAAATTTTCTCCCATTTTGTAGGTTGCCTGTTCACTCTGATGGTAGTTTCTTTTGCTGTGCAGAAGCTCTTTAGTTTAATTAGATCCCATTTGTCAATTTTGTCTTTGGTTGCCATTGCTTTTGGTGTTTTAGACATGAAGTCCTTGCCCATGCCTAGGTTTGGGCATGGTAATGCCTGAATGGTATTGCCTAGGTTTTCTTCTAGGGTTTTTATGGTTTTAGGTCTAACATTTAAGTCTTTAATCCATCTTGAATTACTTTTTGTATAAGGTGTAAGGAAGGGATCCAGTTTCAGCTTTCTACATATGGCTAGCCAGTTTTCCCAGCACCATTTATTAAATAGGGAATCCTTTCCCCATTGCTTGTTTTTCTCAGGTTTGTCAAAGATCAGATAGTTGTAGATATGTGGCATTATTTCTGAGGGCTCTGTTCTGTTCCATTGATCCATATCTCTGTTTTGGTACCAGTACCATGCTCTTTTGGTTACTGTAGCCTTGTAGTATAGTTTGAAGTCAGGTAGTGTGATGCCTCCAGCTTTGTTCTTTTGGCTTAGGATTGACTTGGTGATGCGGGCTCTTTTTTGGTGCCATATGAAGTTTAAAGTAGTTTTTTCCAATTCTGTGAAGAAAGTCATTGGTAGCTTGATGGGGATGGCATTGAATCTATCAATTACCTTGAGCAGTATGGTCATTTTCACGATATTCATTCTTCCTACCCATGAGCATGGAATGTTCTTCCATTTGTTTGTATCCTCTTTTATTTCATTGAGCAGGATTCAAGCAATTCTTATGCCTCAGCCTCCTTGGTAACTGGGATTGCAGGCACCCGCCACCATGCTCAGCTAATTTTTGTATTTTTAGTAGAGACGGGGTTTCACCATGTTGGTAAGACTGTTATCGAACTCCTGACCTCAGGTGATCAGCCCACCTCAGCCTCCCAAAGTGCTGGGATTTGTACAGGCATGAGCCACCACACCTTGCCTTTAATTTTGTTTTTAATTGATATAATAATTTTACATATAGATGGGGTACAATGTGAGCTTTAGATACGTGTTTATATATGTAATAATCAAATTAGGGGATTTAGCATATCCAACATCTGATTTATTATTTCTTTGTGGTGAGAACATTCAAAACTCTCTTTTCTAGCCATTTGAAATATTCAATACAAAATTGTTCACCATAGTCACCCTACTGTGCACTAGAATATATTCCTCCTGTTAACTGTAACTTATTGCCAATTGACCATTTTCTCCTCATTTTGCACTCTGTTGCACACCCTAGCTTCTAGTAACCACCATTCTACTCTCTACTCCTATGAGATCAACTTTATTAGATTGTATATATTAGTGAGAATGTGCAGTATTTTTTTTTATGCCTGGCTTATTTTACTTAACACGGTGTCCTCCAGGTTCATCCCTGTTGCTGCAAAGAAAGGAATTTTATCTTTTTATGGCTGAATACTATTTCATTGTGTGTGTGTGTGTATATATATATAATGATATATATATACAATGAAATACGATTGTGTATTTACATTATTGTGTAGTATATATCTATATTACATTGTGTAATATATTACATTTTGTACACACCCGCACACACATTTGTAAAATCCATTTATTTATTAAAGGACATCAGATGATTCCATGTCTTTGCTATTGTAAATAGTACCGTGTACTAGTACAATAGTACTAGTACTTAGTATGATTGTAAATAGTATTGTAATAGTACTGTGATGAACATAAGCATGCATGTGTCTTTACAGTTGAATGATTTCTGTTTTGGGGTATGCACCAAATAATGGAATTGGTGGGTCAAATGGTAGTTTGGTTTTAAATTCTCCGAGAAGTCTCCAGAGTACTTTCTAAGTGGCTGGAAAAATTTACATTCCATCTAGCAGTGTATAAGCTTTCTCTTCACTACCCACCAGCATCTATTATTCTTTGCCTTTTTAATATGGCTACTGTGACTGATGTGAGATGGTATCCGGTGGTTTTGATTTGCATTTTTCTAATGATTAGTGACATTGAGCATTTTAATATGCTTGTTGGATGCATGTCTGTCTTCTTTTGAGAAGTGTATGTTCATGTTCTTTTTTCATTTTTAATAAGGTTTGTTTTTTGCTTGGTGAATTACAATTTTTTAAATAGATTCTACATATTAAACCTTTGATGAAAAACATAGTTTGCAAGTTTTTTTTTTCTCATTCTGTTGATTGTGTGTTTACTCTGTTGATAGTGTCTCTTGCTGTGCTGAAGCTCTTTAGCTTAATCCGGTATCATTTGTCAACTTCTTGTGTTTCAGTTGCTTTTAGAGTCTTGAAGTCTTTGCCAGGGCCAATGTACAGCATGGTATTTCCTAGGTTTTCTTCTAGGGTTCTTACACTTTTAGGTTTTATATTAAGTCTTTAATCCATCTTGAGTTAATTTTTGTTTATGGTATAAATGAAGTGGTCCAGCTTCAATCTTCTGCATATGACTAGCCAGTTATCCCAGCACTATTTATTGAATAGGGAGTCTTTTTCTTCCTTCCTTTTTTTTTTTTTTTTTTGAGATGGATTCGAGTTATTGCCCAGGCTGGAGTGCAGTGCCACGATCTCAGCTCACTGCAACCTCCGCCTCCCAGGTTCAAGTGATTCTCCTGCCTCAGCCTCCAGAGTAGCTGAGATTACAGGCACCCTCCATCACGCCCAGGTAATTTCTGTAATTTTAGTATAGATGGGGTTTTACCATATTGGCCAGGCTGGTCTCAAACTCCTGACCTCAGGTGATCCACCCGCCTTGGCCTCCGAAAGTGGTGGGATTCCAGGCATGAGCCACCGTGCCTGAGGGGGAGTCCTTTCCTTATTGTATGTTATTCTTGGCTTTGTGAAAAAATCAGATGGTTTTAGATGTGTGGCTTTATTTTTATTTATTTATTTACTTATTTATTTATTATTATACTTTAAGTTTTAGGGTACATGTGCACATTGTGCAGGTTAGTTACATATGTATACATGTGCCATGCTGGTGCGCTGCACCCACCAATTCGTCATCTAGCATTAGGTATATCTCCCAATGCTATCCCTCCCCCCTCCCCCCAACCCACAACAGACCCCAGAGTGTGATGTTCCCCTTTCTGTGTCCATGTGTTCCCATTGTTCAATTCCCACCTATGAGTGAGCATATGCAGTGTTTGGTTTTTTGTTCTTGCGATAGTTTACTGAGAATGATGATTTCCAATTTCATCCCTGTGCCTACAAAGGACATGAACTCATCATTTTTTATGGCTGCATAGTATTCCATGGTGTATATGTGCCACATTTTCTTAATCCAGTCTATCATTGTTGGACATTTGGGTTGCTTCCAAGTCTTTGCTATTGTGAATAGTGCCACAGTAAACATACATGTGCATGTGTCTTTATAGCAGCATGATTTATAGTCCTTTGGGTATATACCCAGTAATGGGATGGCTGGGTCAAATGGTATTTCTAGTTCTAGATCCCTGAGGAATCGCCACACTGACTTCCACAATGGTTGAACTAGTTTACAGTCCCACCAACAGTGTAAAAGTGTTCCTATTTCTCCACATCCTCTCCAGCACCTGTTGTTTCCTGACTTTTTAATGATTGCCATTCTAACTGGTGTGAGATGGTATCTCATTGTGGTTTTGATTTGCATTTCTCTGATGGCCAGTGATGTTGAGCATTTTTTCATGTGTTTTTTGGCTGCATAAATGTCTTCTTTTGAGAAGTGTCTGTTCATGTCCTTTGCCCACTTTCTGATGGGGTTGTTTGTTTTTTTCTTGTAAATTTGTTTGAGTTCATTGTAGAGTCTGTATATTAGCCGTTTGTCAGATGAGTAGGTTGCAAAAATTTTCTCCCATTTTGTAGGTTGCCTGTTCACTGTGATGGTAGTTTCCTTTGCTGTGCAGAGGCTCTTTAGTTTAGTTAGATCCCATTTGTCAATTTTGTCTTTGGTTGCCATTGCTTTTGGTGTTTTAGACATGAAGTCCTTGCCCATGCCTGTGTCCTGAATGGTAATTATTTCTGGGTTCTCTAGCCTGTTCCTTTGGTCTATGTGTCTATTTTGTACCAGTATCCATGCTCTTTTAGGTATTGTAGTATTGTAGTGTAGTTTGAAGTTGGGTAGTATGATGAGTCTAGCTTTGTTCCTTTGCATAGAATAGCTTTGAGTATTCAGGCTCTTTTTTTGTTTCAAATAAGTTTTTTCATTTTTAAAAAATTCTGCAAAAAATGTTGTTGGTAGTTTAATAGGAATAACATTGAATTCAAAAGTAAATTTATTTCAGTAGCAGGGCCATTTTAGCAATATTGATTCTTCCTATCCATGAGCGAGGAATGTTTTTCTGTTTGTTTTTGTCATCTCTAATTTTTTTTTAACAATGGTTCATAATTCTCATTGTAGAGAACATTTGCCTTCCTGGTTAGCTGTGTTTCCAGGTGTTTTATTCTTTTGGTGGCTATTGTGAATATAATTTTATTTTCAGTTGGATGTTATTGGTGTACAGAAATGTTACTGATTTCCATACATTTATTTTGTATGCTGAAACTTTACTGAAGTTTTTTTTCAGATCTAGGAGCCTTTGGGCAGAGACTGTGGGCTTTTCTAAGTATAGAATTATATCATTTGTGAAATGAAATCATTTGACTTCCACTCTTCCAATTTGGATGCCTTTTATTTATTTCCACTGCCTGATTGCTTTGGCTGGGACTTCCAGTATTTTATTTAATGGGAATAGTGAGCGTGGGTATCCTTGTTTTGTTCTGGTTCTCAAAAGGAATGTTTCAAGCTTTTGCCCTTTCAGTATGATCTTGACTGTGGGTTTGTTATAGATGGCTGTTATTATCTTGAGGTATGTACCTTTGATGCCTAGTTTTTTAGGGTGTTTAACCATGCATCCCAGGAATAAAGCCTACCTGATCATGTTGGATTAGGTTTTCTGATGTGATGCTGGATTCAGTTTGGTAAATATATTTATATTTACATGTAAATATTTATGTTTATCTTTACATAAATACATAAATATATTTATATAAATATATGTTTATGTAAATATATATTATATTTATATAAATGAAAATAATATATATTTAAATTATATATAATTTATAATTATATATAATTTATATATTATGTATAAATTATATATAATATATAAATTATATATAATATATAAATTATATATATTATATATGCATTATATATAATATATACATTATATATAATATATGCATTATATATAATATATGTTATATATATAATATATAAATATATATATATATTTTTTTTTTTTTGAGATGGAGTTTCACTCTTGTTGCCCAAGCTGGAGTGCAGTGGCGTGATCTCGGCTCACTGTAACCTCCACCTCCCATTTTCAAGGGATTCTTCTGTCTCAGCCTCCCATGTAGCTGGGACTACAGCCCTGTACCACCATGCCCAGCTAATTTTTTCTATTTTTAGTAGAAACAGAGTTTCACCATGTTAGCTGGGCTGGTCTCAAACTCCTGACCTCAGGTGATCTGCTTGCCTCTGCCTCCCAAAGTGCTGGGATTATAAGCGTGAGCCACCATGCCCAGCCCAATTTGCTTTTTTTTTTTTTTTCCCATATCTGCTAGGTTTTGGTTTCAGAATGATGCTGGCCTCATAGAATGAGTTAGGAAGATGTCTTTCCTCCTCCTTTTTTTGGAATAGTTTCAGTAAAACTGGTACCAGCTCTTCTTTATATGTGTGGTAGAATTTGGCTGTGAATCCATCTGGTCCAGAGTTTTCTGGTAAGCTTCTTATTATTGATTCAGTTTCAGAAGTCAGTATTGGTCTGTTCAGGATTTTAATTTCTTCCTGATTCAGTCTTGGGAGTTTATATGTTTCCAGGTATTTATCCATTTCTTCTGTGTTTTCTAGTTTGTGTGCATAAAGGTGTTCATAACAGTCTCTGATGGTTTCATGTATTTCTGTGGCATCAGTGATAATATTTCCTTTGTCACTTTTTATCATGTTTAGGTAGATCATCTTTTTTTCTTTAGCTAGCAGTCTATCAATCTTATTTATTCTTTCAGAAATAAGTTTCACTGGATTTTTGTACAGTGTTTTTTTTTTTGATCTCTGTTTCATTCAGTTCAGCTTTGATATTTCTTGTCTTCTAGCTTTGGGATTGATTTGCTGTTACATTTCTGTTTCCTCTAGATATCACCTGGCACAGTGGCTCATGCCTGTAATCCCCGCACTTTGAGAGGCCGAGGTGGTTGGATCACCTGAGATCAGGAGTTTGAGACTAGCCTGACCAATATGGTGAAACCCCGTCTCTACTACAAAGAAAATAATTAGCTGGGCATGGTGGCACACACCTGTAGTCTCAGCTAGGCTGAGACAGGAGAGTTGCTTGAACCAGGGAGATGGAGGTTGCAGTGAGCTGAGATTGCTCCACTGTACTCCAGCCTGTGTGACCGGGCAAGACTCTGTCTCAAAAATAAATAAATAAAAAAAAAGATACAATGTTAGGTTCTCAATTTGGTGTCTTTCTAACTTTTTTATGTGGGTGTTTAGTGCTACAAACTTTCCCTTTAACACTTTTTTTAAACAGTTTCTCAGTGATATAGGTATGTTGCATCTTTGTTTCTGTTAGTTTCACATAATTTATTGATTCCAGCCTTAATTTTATTCTTTACCCAAAAGTCACCAGCAGCTGCTTATTTAATTTTTTATTAAATTGTATGGTTTTGAGAGATCTTCTTGGTATTGATACCTATTTTTATTGCACTGTGGTCCAATAAATAGTGTGGTTGGTATGATTTTGATTCTTTAGAATATGTTGTGAGTTGCCTTATGGCCAAGTGTGTGGTGGTCAGTTGTAGAGTATGTGTCATGTGCAGGTGAGAAGAATGTACATTCTGGTTTTGCTGGCTTGAGTGTTCTGTAGATGACTGTTAGGTCCATTTGGTTAAGTGTCAAGTTTAGGTCCTAAATATATTCTGCCTTGGTTATCTGTCCAGTACTTTCAGTGGGGTTTTAAAGTCTCCCAGTATTATTGTGTGGTTATCTAAGTCTCTTCATAAGACTCTAGGAACTTGATTTATGAATCTGGGTGCTCCAGTGTTGGGTGCATATAATTAACATTTAGGATAGTTAAGTCTTCTTACTGAATTGAACCGATTATCATGAAATGCCCTTCTTTGTCTTTTTTGGTCATTGTTAATTTAAAGTCTGTTTTGTCTGAAAAAAGAATAGTAACTTCTGCTCTTTTTTGTTTTCTGTTTGCTTGGTAGGTCTTTCTCCATCTGTTTTCTTTGAGCCTCTGGATGTCCTTGCATGTGAGATCGGTCTCTTGAAGACAGCATGCAGTTGGGTCTTGCTTCTTTATTTAACTTGTCACTCTGCGCCTTTTCAGTGGGGTATTCAGCACATTCTTTTTTGAGGTTAATATTGATATGTGCAGATTTGATCCTGACATTGTGTTGTTAGCTGTTTGTTATGTAAACTTGATTGTGTATTTACATGATAGTATAAATAGCCCATATACTTCAGTGTGTTTTTTGTGGTGGCCAGTAATAGTCTTTCTTTTCCATGTTTAACATACCCTTAAGAATCTCTTTTAAGGCAGGTTTGGTGGTAATGAATTCCCTTAGCATTTGCTTGTCTGAAAGGATATGTTTTATCTTTTGTTTATGAAGTTTTAGTTTGGTGTGATTAGATTCTTGGTTGGAGTTTGTTTTCTTTGAGAATGCTGAATATAGGCCCCCCAGTTGCTTTTGTCTTGTACAGTTTCTGCTGGAAGGTCTGCAGATAGCCTAATGGAGTTCCCTTTATAAGTGACCTGCACCTTGTCTCCAGCTACCTTTAATATTTTTTCTTTCACACAGACCTTGGAGAATCTGATGACTACATGTCTTGGGGATGGTTATCTTGTGTACTATCTCCCAGGGGTCCCCTGAATTTTCTGAATTTGAATTTTAACCTCTCTAGGAAAGTTAAGAAAATTCTTACGGACAGTATCCTAAAAAATGTTTTCCAGGTTACTCGTTCTGTCTTCCTTTCCCTTAGAGATGCCAATGAGTTGTAGATTTGGCGTCTTCACATAATCCCATATTTCTCAAAGGTTTTGTTCATGAAAAACAATCTTTTTCAGTTATTTTTGTCTGACTGAATTAATTCAAAGAACTGGTCTTTGAGCTCTGAGATTCTTCCCTCAGCTTGGTCTTGTCTGGTGTTAATATTTCTGATTGTATTACAAAATTCTTTTTGTGAGTTTTTCAGCTTTATCAGATCAGTTTTGTTCCTTCTTAAGAAGGCTATTTCATCTCTCATCTCTTGAATAGTTTTGCTGAATTTTTTAGATTCCTTGAAATGGGTTTCAACTTTCTCCTGAATCTTGAAGATCTTCATTGGCATCCAGGTTCTGAATTCTCTGTCTGTCATTTCAGTGATTTTATGCTGGTCCTCCACTTGAGTACTAGCCATAGGTCTTGGCTTGGCACTCCCATCCCATAGCCCTGTGCACCATAGCTCTGGGGTGAACTCAGGCTTTTCATTTTCTCCCCAGCTTGGGAGCAGCAGGGTTGGGGACCTTGGCAATGGCAATGGCAGAAAGCCTTTCAGTTGTCTCTTGGGGTACCACATCAGAGATGTGCAGAGCTCTGCCAATCAGAATGATCAGTCAGAAATGGAGAAGCTGGATTGTGGGCCCAAGCTGGGACCCCTGCCTAGAGAAGAGCAGGGGATTTGGGGCCAACAGGGAAGAGAGACTGGGCTTCCCCCCATATGGTGGCTGTGGCCTGCTGGAAGTGTGAGCAAAGCACTCAGGCACTTTGTTTCTTCCCCAGCCTGAGGGCAGCAAGGGCAGTATCACTGCAGCAGTAATGGCAAAAGGGCTCTCAGTTGCCTCTGGGAACTCCACCCCAGAGAGACGCAGAGCCACTGCCAATGAGAATGTTCAGCCAAGGGTGAGGTGGCTGAACTGTGGGATTAAACCTGGGCCTCCTTCTGGTGAAGAGCAGGTTGCCGGAAGCTCACAGAGAAGAGAAACTGGGCTTCTCTCCATCTGGTGGCTGTGGCACACTGGAGGAGCTGGCAAAGCAATCAGGGTCTTTATTCTTTCCCCAGGCCAAGGGCAGCAGTGGTGGTACTGCTACAGTGGCAATGGCAGAGAGCCCGTGGGTTACCCCTGAAAGCTCCATCTCAGAGAGATGCAGAGATGCCATTGAATGAGCAATCCTTCAGGGTGGGGGTGCAGGATGGCTGTGCTGGGGGCCCAGATCAGGAGACCCTACCCAGTGAGGCATAGCAGGGAGGGGGACCCACGTGGATACAGTTTGCCCACTTTCTGTAAGGTAGCTGTGGTGTGCTAAGAAGCCTATGATAGTTCTTGGGCTCTTCAGTCCCTCCCTAGCCTAGGAGAGGTAGAGGCAGGGACCATGGCAGTTCCAAAAACAGTAGGCCTGATAGTTACCTCTGGGAGGTCAGTCTGCAGAGTTGCAATTAGCCTGAGTGCTCAGGCAGAGGGTAAGTGGCTGCACTGGGACCCAGGCCAGTGGGCACTACCAGGAGAGGTGTAGTGGAGGTGAGGCCGCTACAGGAGGTAGAGTAGAGACAGGAGGTGAGTCTGTCTCCTCCTCAGCACTGTAGATATGGCCCCTATCCTGGGGGCATGTGAGAGAGTCTGGCCTCTTCTGGTGGCAGAGCTATAGCAGCTGGCACTGTGGTGCTCAGGGGTCCAAGGCCCTTAGGGTTCCATGTGGGCCTGACTGGAGGCTCTGCCCAGACTCCATGCAGCTCTCTGTGTCAGCTGGGGAGCCCTGAGGGGAGGGTGTCGGGGGATTTTCTGTGCCCAGGATTTTAAAAGTCGATGGCAGAAGGGTGAGTCACCAGTGGCTCTTGCTCACTATTTTCCTGCCGTGGGGAAACCCCCCTGGGATCCACACCAGTTCTGGGTGGGTGGCTTTTCTGTCTCACTCCTCTCTGTTCTCCGTGGTTCACATTTCTTCCTTGATGAATTCCCCATTTTAAAACAACTTTACATACATTTGTGGAGTGTAAGTGCAATTTTGTTACATGCATAGATTGCGTAGTGCTATCAAGGTTCATCTATAGCAGTATCAGAATTTTTTTAAAAAAAACTTACAGAGATGAGGTCTTGCTATTTTGCCCAGGCTGATCTGGAATTCCTGGGCTCAGGTGATCTGCCTGCCTCGGCCTCCCAAAGTGCTGAGATTACAGGGGTAAGTCACTGAACCTGGCCAGAATTGTTTTTTCTTTATACAGCTGAATAATATTTCATGTATGTGTGTATATCACATTTTGCTTATCTATTTACCTACTGATGGGCATTAGGGTTGGTTGTACCTTTTGGCCATTGTGAATAATGTTGCTATGAACATAGTGTACAAATACCTGTTTGAGTCCTTGCTCTCAGTTCTTTTGGGTATATACCCTGAAAGGGAGTTGTTGGATTATGTGATAATTCTATGCTTAATATTTTAAGGAGCTGCCAAACCATTTTCCACAGGGGCTGCACCAGTTACATTCCAAAAAGTAGTGCATAAAGGGTCCAGTTTTTCGATATCCTTGCTGACATTTAATATTTTCTGTTTATGTGTTGAATATTTAAAGTGTTTGAAATTCATTTGAGGGTCTTTGTTATTACCAAAATATTATAAAAAGTTTTTCAAATAGAGCAATATGCTGTAATATAAATCGTCTTACTTGTTTCTTGGTGCCGGTGATCTATTTTCACAGTAAGAAGAGAAACTTCTCTCCACCCATCCTCAGTCCACTGCACCCACCCTTTGCTGCGTCAGGATGTGCAGGGGAGAGAGGGAGCTTGGCGGCTCTGTCCTGCATTGGTCTGTGGTAGTCCATCACTGGGTTGTAAAGCACCTCTCCTCCTCCTCCTTCTTGGGAGAAATTTCACTGATTCTGAGTGCCATCTGCATTTATTTTGGGTGTGATATTAACCCAATGTTATTGAAATAACACTAGATAGGAAGTTAGGGGGTAGATTCTCTATCTGATGAGAGTTTCAGGCAAATCATATACTTAGTTTTTTAGTCTTGTTTTTTCTCTTAGGTAAGAAAACAGTAAATTAGGCAGCCAGTGGGAGATCCTCAGAGCTCTGAATGTGGATTTGGAACACCACATTTCTACCACTGATTTTCTTATTACTTGTCTTGCACAAAGATCATGGCCCCAGTAACAGTGTCCACCCTGGCCGTTGAAGATGAGGAGTCCTCAGCAGGATGGTAGTGACATTCCTCATGTCAGCTCTTGAGTCCATGGTGAGACCTTCTATTCTGACATTCCATAGTTGGGTAGAACTGGGCTGTAGATAAGGTTGATTTGTTTTTGTAGAAGATATAATTTTATGTCTTTTTAGTTTTAAGGAGTAGTTTTTTTTTCTTGAATAGCAGTTATGGCTTTCAAATGACATTTTATTACCATGCTTCAGAATGTTTAATTTTTACTTTGAATCTCAAATAATTTTCTACCATTATTTTAGGCAATCCTTTGTTTTGTAAGTGTGAATTTTGAAATTATGTATAATATTTGTGGTTACTCAGAATGAGTTTGTATACTAGAGTATGGGGCTGGAGTTTTATTGTATCAATATGTAGAAGATTCCCAGAATTTGGGGTCATTAGGGCATCTTTACTATTGTGTATCTATATTTCTTCTGCTTACACATTCACTATTGCATTAACCACCTCTTTCTAAATTGTTTAGTGTTAGCTGTTTATGTTTCTTTTTCTTTTTTTTTTTTCCGGAATCTCACTCTGTCACCCAAGGTGGAGTGCAGTGGTGCGATCTTAGCTCACTGCAACCTCTGCCTCCCAGGCTCAAGTGATTCTCCTGACAGCCTTTCCAGTAGCTGGGACTGCAATGTGTGCCACCACACTCAGCTAATTTTTGTATTTTTGCTGATGATGGGGTTTCACAATGTTGGCAAGGCTTGTCTTAAACTCCCGAGCTCAAGTGATCTGTCTGCCTTGGCCTCCCAAATTGCTGGGATTACAGGTGAGAGCCACCACACCTGGCCAGCTCTTTACTTAAAAAAAAAAGCCTATCATATGCATAATTACAGTGAAATATTGAGTACTGATTATGTAGTTTTGTATTTTTATATTACTATCATGGTAGTTATACAATTAATTTATATTTTTATGGGTATGTAGTTGGAAATAGTATTTATTATAAAAAGTATCAGGTGGCTGGGCACGGTGGCTCACGCCAGTAATCACAACACTTTGGGAGGCCAAGGCGGGTGGATCACGAGGTCAGGAGATTGAGACCATCCTGGCTAACACGGTGAAACCCCGTCTCTACTAAAAATACAAAAAAAATTAGCTGGGTGTGGTGGCGGATGCCTGTAGTCCCAGCTACTCGGGAGGCTGAGGCAGGAGAATGGCATGAACCTGGGAGGTGGAGCTTGCAGTGAGCCAAGATCGTGCCACTGCACTCCAGTCTGGGCGACAGAGTGAGACTCTGTCTCAAAAAAAAAAGAAAAAGTATCAGACTTAGGTATTTTCTTTTTTTTTTTAACCTTTTTTTTTTTTTTCATGGCTCACTGCAGCCTGGACATCCTGGGTTCAAGTGGTCTTCCCACCTCAGCCTCAGAGTAGCTGGGACTGTAGGCATGTGCTACCACATCTGGCTACTTTGTTTTGCTTTTTAGTGGAGATGAGGTCTTAATATATTGCCCAGGCTGGTCTGTAACTCTGGAGCTCAATCAATTCCACCTCTGCCTTTCAAAGTCCTGAGATTACAGGCATGAGCCACTGTTCCTGGCCTAGCTAATTTTTAAGCTTTTTTGTAGAGACAGGGTTTCTTTATGTTGCCCAGGTTTGTCTTAAACTCCTAGGTTCAAGCAATTGTCCTGTCTTGGCTTCCCAAAGTGTTGGGATTACAGGTATGAGCCACCATGCATGGCCTTAGGTGTTTTCCGACATATTAAATGTAAATGTTTTAAGCAGGAGTATGCATTTTCCTCCTCTTAAGTGGTTGAAAAGTATTTAGGTGGTGCTTAACCTCACAGAACTCTGTGTGACAAAGTTTGTGGATGCTTTTTTTCATTTTTTTGAGACAGGATCTGACTCTTTTAGGATGGAGGGCAGTGGCATGATCATAGCTCAGTGCAGCCTTGACCTCGGGTTCAAGTGACTTTCCTGCCTCAGCCTCCCATAGTGCTCAGATTACAGGCTTGAGCATCCGTGCTTGGCCATCTGTTTTGTTTTCTTATTAGGGCATTAAAAAAATGTTTTAAGAACTTTATAAAATTATCTCCTTAAAGAAATTTTAGAGTGGTTGGTGGTTATATATTGTTATTTTATGAATGACTTGTTTCTGCCTTGTGATCATAAAACCAGGCAAAATTTGTGACTTTAATGTTAAATAAAAATTTAGAGATGAAATGCTGTTCTGTTGATAATAAAATATTTTTTTAAAATATTGATCTCTGCAAAGAATACCATAAGGCCACGTAAGATCCATTCACTTCCTTAGAGTTTCTTAACAGTTCCCTCATCTTTGGCATAGTCATTTCACTATTCTCAGCCTTTATGTCTTCCTCACCAGCATTATTAGTAAGACCATTTCTCCTCCTATTCCTAGTTGTATATTACACGGTATAATTAAGTTTGTAGAAACTGCTGAGTTTTTCACTGGCTTGTCAGAGTGCTAAGCAGATCCAGGCTGACTTTATCTCTTCCTTGGCTGGTAGACTTGTTTTATCTAATCTATGGATAGTACATGAATCTTGCTTACTCTTTCATAAACATTGCCTTTGTTGACAGGATTGTTTTAGAGTGTGGATACTGAAGCAAGAATGTACCCTCATTTACCGCAAGGTAAGTAAATAATAGTTCCTTACAGGAGAGTAGCCACAGCACATGTCATGTAAGTGCAACGGAAGGAAATTACCGAGGCTCATCATTCTTCACGCTGGGGCAGTTGTTGGCCCACCTCCAGCTCAGAAGTTCTCTACCATGGCTTTATTATGGCTCAAAAGATTTCTGATCACCTCACTAGCTGCTAAATTAGTTACTGAGGATAACATTTTAAAGCAATATTATGCAGAAATGATCTCCATTTAAGAAATTAGAGGGCGTTTATTGTACAAATCAAAAACAAATACTGGAAAGCTTACAGTTTTCAACAAATGATACTGAGAAAATAGGCTATTTGATAAAAAGTAAAAATTTTGGTAAAAACAAGCTTCAACGTATAGTCTTCATCATGTGATGAGTTAAATTCTAGATGAGCAAAAATAGTTATACTGAGACAAATTTTAAAACCAAAACAAAATATATGTAATTATTATATAATTATTTAATTCCATAAATGGCTTTTCTATGCCTAAAATAAGTGACGTACTTCTATGGGTCAGTTGGAGGTACACTAACACATTTGATAAATAGACAAAAGAAATGGTAATTTGCAGAAAATTATGCTACGATACTCTTTAATTTTAACACCAATCAGTGGAGTATGTTTATGACACTAAGATACCCTTTTTCAAGGTTTCTGGAAAAGTCACATGGTAACATTTGCTAGGATATTATGAACCTTATTAGAAAGCAAATTTTAGTAGATTTTGAGTATTTGGAGTATTGACTCTTAATGGTTTTTCTTGACTCTCATGTCTTTTTTGAGAAAGTCATTGAAGAAGTACATAAATATTTGCTTCCCAGGTTATTACAGTAATGTTATTTTTAGGAGGGAAAATTGGAATCACTGACCTTTGAAATGATGTTAAATGAATTATGGTGTATCCATAAAATGGAATACTATGTACTCTATAATGTTTTTAAATAATTTGACTCTCATAGAAATATTCTTAGTGAAAGTCAGTAAGTAATCACCTAAATGTGATTCTGGCTATGTGTAGATGGGGTAATACTTCTGGAGGAGGGGATTATGTACTGAATACTGTAGTGTGGGTTTCAGTCCCTTCTTTCAATTCTGATGGCAGTAATTTCCCCAGCTGCTGCGAGTGTTCGAGTCACCTTGTCCACCTTTTCCCTGGGGAGGGCCACACTGGCTTCTGAGCTCTTGGTGCAGCTGCATCCCTGTTCAGCACTTTGCCTGTTCAGCCAGGCCTGCCTCCCACCTCCTGGGTGCTGTTATTGACAGTGCTCCCCAGCAAGCCTTTGTGAAATCTCAGTCTCTTTCTTGGAGAATCTGACCTGTAATAGATTACAAGGGATTTCTGCATTTTTTTCTTATAAATCTTGTGGTGTCTTTTGCTTAAAATCAGGCAAAAATCTATTTAGAAAGAGTAGTAACTTTAAAAAATGGTGTTAGATTTTTTTTTTTTTTAACAGTCTTGCACTGTTGCCCAGTCTGGAGTGCATTGGCACGATCTTGACTCACTGCAACCTCTGCCTCCCAGGTTCAAGTGATTCTCCTGCCTCAGCCTCCCAAGTAGCTAGGATTACAGGCATGAGCCACCACACCCGGCCTTTTATTTATTTATTTGTTATCATTATTATTATTATTATTATTATTATGTGCATTTTTAGTACAGACGGGGTTTCACTGTGTTGGCCAGCCTTTTCTCAAACTCCTGACCTCGTGATCCACCCGCCTTGGCCTCCCAAAGTGCTGGAACTACAGGCATGAGGTGCTGTGCCCAGGCTTGTGTTAGATTTTTTAATTCATCTAGCAGAAATGGTGCTTTTAAATGTCTGCCTTTAACATAATATTTGCTGTTATTATTATAGTTTAAAGAACTGGCCAAGTTTAAGGCCAAAGTGGCCTGCATCACAGAGTATAAAGCAGATCTCTTTGCCTTCAGAACTGAAGGACAGAGGACACAATTTTTTCAATACCAGAAGGGATTTTCAAGCCGATTTTGTGAAATATTGTAAGCATTGTATTGTTATCATTTTTATTTCATTGTTTTTAAACCTAAATATTTATAGATAACACTAGTCATAATTTCTTCTAAAGCAAAATGAGGTTTAAACTATAAAAAAAATTTTTTTTTTGAGATGGAGTCTCATTCTGTTGTCTAGGCAGAGTGCAGTGGTGAGGTCTCGGCTCACTGCAACCTCTGCTTCCTGAGTTCAAGCAAATCCCCTGCTTCAGCCTCCTGAGTAGCTGGGATTACAGGCACGTGGCACCACACCCAGCTAATTTTTTTTTTCTATTTTTAGTGGAGATGGGGTTTTACCATGTTGGTCAAGCTGGTACTGAACTCCTGACTTCAAATGATCCACTCACCTCAGCCTCTCAAAGTGCTCGCATTACAGGTGTGAGCCACTGTGCACGGCCTAAACTATGAATGATTTTCTGAAATGTTTATGAAGACATTTCAAAATGCTTAAAAGGAATCACCGAAGTGGTGATATGTCAGGGTAGATACTGAAGAGTTAAGAACAATGGCAAGTGTTGATTGTACGGGGCTCCTTGCTTGGCTTCACTCTGGATTAATGAGATGCATTAGAGAGAAGGTAATGAAGGGAGAGAAATTTTGAATAGATTAAAAGTTCTTACTCAGATACGGAGTTCTAGATAAAGGTGGTGAACTGAAAACAAGAAATTCACTGTGCAAAGGAGTTTGTTTAAGTATGATGCAGAATTAAACAGTTCTCAACTCGCTGAGTGGAATCACCTTATCTGAATCTTCAGTGGGTTTTGTAATCCTTGTTTAGAGCAATGAGCTTATTTGACATTGGAACACAGTATTAAAATTTACTATAGGGTGTTAATACTTATGGCCTTTCACAGTATGACAGTTTTCATATCTGTGTGTAACCTAACACTATCGATAGGTTTCACGTTAACTGAGTGAAACACTGAAAGGGAACTAAAAAAGGCAGGGCGATAGGCACAGAATACATACAGGCATAACTCATTTTTTTGAGCCCTGCAGATACTGCAGTTTTTATAAATTGAAGATTTGTGGGAATCTTTTGTCAAGTCTTTTGTGCCATTTTTCCAACAGCGTGTGCTCTCTTTGGTTCTCTGTGTCACATTTGGTTACTCTTAGAATATTTCAAACTTTTTCATGATTATTATATGTGCTGTGGTGACCTGCGATCAGTGAGCTTTGATGTTACTGCTGTAATTGTTTTGGACTCCATGAACGCACCTGTATAAGATGGAAAACCTCATTGGCAAATGTTGTGTGCTCTCACTGATCCACCAATCAGGTGGTTTCCCATCACTTCCTCTCCTAACGCCAGCCTAGTCCCTGAGACACAATATTGAAATGAGGCCAGTTAACAGCCCTCCAGTGGCCTCTCAGTGTTCATGTAAAAGAAAGAGTTGCAGTGTGCTTACTTTAAATCAAGTTAAAAATGATGAAGCTTAGTGAGGAAGACATGTTGGCAGCTGAAAGCTAGGCCGAACAGTTTGCCAGGTGGTGAATGCACAGGAAAAGTTATCGAAGGAAATGAGAAGTGCTGCTCCAGTGAACCCACAAATGATAAAAAAGCAAAACAGCCTTATTGCTGATATGGAGAAACTTTGAGTGGTCTGGATAGAAGGTCAAACTGGCCACAACATTCCTGTAAGTCAAAGCTTAATCCAGAACAAAGCCCTAACTCTCTTCAATTCTGTCGTGGCTGAGAGGAGGTGAGTAAGCTGCAAAAGAAAAGCTGAAAGCTAGCAGAGGTTGGCTCATAAGGTTTAAAGAAAGACACAGTCTGTATAATACAAAAGTGCGAAGTGAAGCAGCAAGTGCTTGATGTAGGAGCTGCAAGTTCTTCAGAAGATCTCGCTGAGATAATTAATGAAGATGGCTACACTCAAAAAACAGATTTTTAATGTAGACAAAACAGCTTTATATTGGAAGATGCCATCTGGGACTTTGCTAGCTAGGGAGAATTCCATTACTGGCTTCAAAGCTTCAAAGGACAGGCTGAGACTCTTGTTAGGGGATAATGCAGCTGATGACTTTAACTGAAGCCAGTGCTCATTTACCATTCCAAAAACTCTAGGACCCTTAAGAGCTATGCTAAATGTGCTCTGCATGTGCTCTATCAGTGGAACAGTAAAGCCTGGATGACAGCATATCTCTTTATAGCATTGTTCACTGAATATTTTAAGCCTACTTTTGAGACTGACTGCCCAGAAAAAAAAGTTCCTTTCAAAATATTATTGCTCATTAACACTGCACCCAGTCCCTCTGAGAGCCCTGATGGAGGTTGTACAAAGAGATGAATGTCATTTTCATGCCTGCTAATGCAACATCCATTCTGCAGCCCATGGATTTAGGAGTAATTTCAAGTCTTATGATTATTATTATTTTCTTTTTTGAGAAGGTCATCTCACTGTTGTTCAGGCTTGAGTGTAATAGCACAATGACAGCTCACTGCAGCCTCAGTCTTCTTAGGCTCAGGTGATCCCACTTCAGCCTGCTGAATAGCTGGGACCACAGGTGGTATACCAGCATGCCCGGCTAATTTTTGTGGATTTTTTTGTAGAGATGTTTTGTTTCCATGTTGTCTAGGCTGGTTTCAAACTTCTGGGTTCAAGCAATCTGCCCACCTTGGCCTTCTTTAGAGCTTGGGATTACAGGTGTGAGCCACTGCACTCAGCCTTCAAGTTTTATTCTTTAAGAAATGTATTTTGTAGGCCAGGCGTGGTGTCTCATGCCTGTAATCCCAGCAATTTGGGAGGCCAAGGCAGGCAGATCACAAAGTCAGGAGATCGAGACCAGCCTGATCAACATGGTGAAACCCCATCTCTACTAAAAACACAAAAATTAGCTGGGTGTGGTGGTGTGTGCCTGTAATCCCAGCTACTCAGGTGTCTGAGGCAGGAGAATCGCTTGAACCAGGAAGTCAGAGGTTCCAGTGAGCCGAGATCGCACCACTGCACTCCAGCCTGGCAACAGAGCAAGACTCCATCTCAAAAAAAGAAAGAATTACATTTTGTAAGGCCATAGCTGCCAGAGATAGTGATTCCTCTGATGGATCTGGGCAAAGTAAATTAAAAACCTTCTGGGAAAGATTTACTGTTCTAGGTGCCATTAAGAACATTTGTGATTCATGGGAAGAGAACAAAATTAACATTAACAAGACTGTGGAAGAAGTTGATTCCATCTCTCATAGGTGACTTTAAGGGGTTCGGGATTTTAGAGGATGAAGGAACTGCAGATGTGGTGGAAATAGCATGTGAACTAGAATTAGAAGTGGAGCCTGCTGGCTGGGCACAGTGGCTCATGCCTATAATCCCAGCACTTTGGGAGGTCGAGGTGGGATCACCTGAGGTCAGGAGTTTGAGACCAGCCTGACCAACATGGAGAAAGCCCATCTCTACTAAAAATACAAAATTAGCCGGGCATGGTGGTGCACGCATGTAATCCCAGCTACTTGTGAGGCTGGGGCAGGAGAATTACTTGAACCCAGGGGGCAGAGGTTGCAGTGAGTGGAGATCCTGTCATTGCACCCCAGCCTGGGCAACAAGAGTGAAACTCTGTCTCAAAAAAAAAAAAAAAAAGAAGTGGAGCCTGCAGATGGGACTGAACTGCTGCAATTTCATGATCAAACATGAACAGATAAGGAGTTGCTTCTTACAATGAGCAAAGAAAGTCGTCTCTGAAATGGAATCTACTCCTGGTGTAGATGTCGTGAATATTGTTGAAATGACAAAAGATTTAGAATATTCCATAAATTTACTTCATAAAGCAATGGCAGGCTTTCAGAGGATTGATTCTGATTTGGAAAGAAGTTCCACTGTGTGTAAAATGCTATCCAATAGCATCATACCTCCCAGAGATCTTTTGTGAAAGAAAGATTCAACATAACTTTTAAATGCACTGGGAAACGAAGACATTTGTGTAACTTCACTTTATACTTCCATGATTGTGGTGGTCTGGAATTGAACCTACAGTATCTCCCACAGATGTCTGTATGCCACTAAGCTTTAAACTTAAATTTGCGTTGTCAGATTAGATTCAATTCATGTTAAATTGAGCAGATTACTAGTGAGTTAAAAATTTTGCTAATTCACTAATTCCTATTCCCAGTAGTATTTTTAGTTTCTTAAAAAAACTATCCTCGCCACTGTGTCCCTCCCCTCACCACCGTATCCCTCCCCTCACCACCTGTGTTATAATCTTCCAAGCTTTATGGTAGTAACCTATTTTTTAAATTTTGCCAATATTATAATTTTGAGAAATGTTAAGTCCTTGATTGTGTGTTTCTTTATACTAATAATGCTGTTTTGATTTGTGTGTGTATCACCTGCCCTCTGACCCACAAATACCACAATCTCGTGGGCAGCTGTGTTTATTCTCCCCTCCCTGTGCTCCGTGGCTTACATGGTTCTCCACTGATTGGAACTAAGCATTAGGGGAGTTGTCCTCGTTGCGAGTTGTAGTCCCCGCCTATTGGTATTTATAGTTTGTTTACATTGCTACTAATTTGATACCATGGAGAAGGGTTTTTGTACCTAATTCTCAAGTACCTTTTATTTGTTTGCAATAGTGTTCTTCTGAAACATAATCAATAGTTTCATGAGGAAGTTGTAGAAATTCTTCAGGAGAATTCTGAGCCCTTTTCTGGGATTTAGTGAAGTGCTATTAAATAGAACTAAATATAATGCGAGTCATTCACATGATTTAAAACTTTCTACTTATAACATTAAAAAATACAGGGAAACAAGTGAAAATCGTTTAGTGGTAATACTTTAAAATATTTCGATGTTTGATCAATATAAAAATTATTAATGGGATATTTGGAATACTTTTTGTGCTGAGTTTTCAAAAGTCAATGTGTATTGTTCACTTACAGCACATCTGAATTTGGACTGGCCACATTTCAAGTGTCACGTGTGTCTAGTGGTTATTGTGCTGGACTTTGTAAGCCTAGAATTTGTTTCCTGATGATAATCTTCCCATATTTAAATTTATAGCCAATAAATTACTCTTATTTTAGGTTTGTATCTTAAAAGCTCCCTTTAAGATCTTCCCCCTGACTTTTTTTTTAAACACAGGGTCTCTTTTTGTGACCCAGACTGGAGTGCAGTGGTAAAATTATAGCTCATCGTAACCTTAAATTCCTGGACTCAAGCAATCCTCTTGCTTCAGCCTCCAGAGTAGCTAGGACTACAGATATGCACCACCACACCTAATTTTATTCATCTTTTTTTATAGGGATAGGTTGTTTCTATGTTGCTCAAGCTGGTCTTGAAATCCTGGGCTCAAGCAATTCTGCCTCAGCCTCCCAAGGTGGTGGGATTATAAGTGTGAGCCACTTCACTTGACCTATTTTTTGTTTGTATAACAGATCACAAATATTGGAATACAGGAAAAACTATTTTTACTAAAAGCCAAATAAATATTAAGAAAATAGATATGCACCTTAATATTTTTTACAGGTGTTGAAGAAGAAGAAAAGGTTGCAGAGATGCATAAAATAAAGTCTACAACCCAGGTGAATCAGATGAGTGTAGATGTTGTAGAAATGGCAACACTCGGAAAAAAACAGTTGAGGACTATTTCTGCTTTTGCTGCCTTAAAAGCAACACACTTATATTTTATAAAAGATACCTGATAGAGTTTTCTAAAGGGTAGACTATGTTATGTCGTTGACTTAACAGTCATATAACAACATTTTCACAAGCTGAATGGATGACTTTCCACTTCCTTTTAGGAGGAACCCAAGAAATACGCCAGAGTAGGACCATCTTAAAGACAATAATGCAAGAAATCAGACATTTCTCTCTCCTTTTGTGTAGTTTTTAAAGTCAGATATTTAATATACTTTACATTTTGGCCCTTTGGATCAGTGTCAGGTTTAGAACTTCTTACATGTGAATAGGGTGCTGTAGTGTTAAGTAATTTTAAAACCACATGTTACAAAAGATCATGTATGCCTTTATTAAGCCACAATAAGGTAGTGATGATTTTGTTTTTTAATCTTAAAATTTAATGACATTTATCTGCTTTTTGCCTCTCCCAGGGAAAGCTTTACAAAAACCCACAGAGGTACCTGTACCATATGAGAAGATGCTACAAGACCAGTCAGCTTTGATAGTACAGGGGCTTCCGGAAGGTGTTGCCTTTAAACACCCTGAGAACTATGATCTTGCAACCCTGAAATGGATTTTGGAGAACACAGCTGGGATTTCATTTATTATTAATAGGTGAGGTGCTTTCTCCCTCCATGCCCATCAATGGTTTATTCATACAAATTTGAATATTCAGCTTATGTTAATATAGTTTAAACATTCTTGGTTAAGACAATTCATTTAAATTTATGCTGTCATTAATTTTGTGTATTCACGTGTAGTTTTATTAGTTTTGTTTTATTGCAGATCTTTCTTAGAGCCAAAGAAGCCTCTAGATTAGGGATTGCTTTGCTTCCTTGATAGCTGGCTGGCTTCCTATCCCGTTTTGCTAGATTTTAATACACTTTAATGGTTTCTGTTTTATTTTCTTTGAGAATATGATGTAAGACATTTTCAGATGGGCTGCTTCGATATTTATATAATCCAAGAAAAGTTCATTGAGCTGAAAAGGTAGACACTTGTTTTTTGTTTTCAGATCAGCTACTTGTTTTCTACATAAGATCATAGATCTGCCCCCACTTCCAAGCATCGTGAGTAGAATTAATTGACCTAATGTCACTGAATAGGCATGGCATTTTTGGGCACAGCTTTGGGTGGGGAGGGGATGCACAACTGTGTATAAGCATTATGGCTTTGGAGTGCTCAGAGTCTCATGGAAGGGAGAAAAGTTTGTAAAATGGCCATGGCAAGAGCCTCACATCCCTGCTGTAAGACTGGTTCAGAGAAAGTGCTGCGAATGTTCATTAGGGGTTGGATTCCTTTATAGTTCAGGAAGAATTTCATGAGGAAGAGGGCATTTACATGAGCCCTTGGAGAATGAGAAGGATTTCAGCTTCCTTTATGGAAGTTTAGCCATTTCATTTGAAGAGAAAAAATGATAGAGTGGTACCTTTTGGAGCCAATTTTTTTTTAGACTTTTGAAAGGAAATAACAAATATCATTGGAATACTCTTCACAATGTAAGGATAAAAGGGAAAATAATATGTACATAAACACACACATTTTGTTTTCTGTTAACCTTTGTTTTATTCTCATTGTGGTGAAAAGATTAATTTTTAGCAGCTTTATTGAGGTATAATTGATGCACCATAAAATTCACCTGTCTGAAGTATTTAATTCACTGATAGTAAATTTACAGTCTTACATTTTTTTAAATGATTTTGCAACAATCATCATAATCTAATTTTAGGATGCTTTTATTACCCCTATCTCTGAATTATGATATAGAAATTGAGTATATAGTGTGTTTCCTATTGAAATTAGTTTTTTTTCACTGAGCATAATTCACCTCAGGCTCAGTGGGCTTGTTGCGTGGATCAGTAGCTCCTTTTTATTGCTGAGCATTAAGTATTCTATGAACATACCGCCTGTTTAATCATCACTTGATGATTCTGTTGTTTTCATTTTTTGCTGTTATGAATAATGCTACAGTGACCATACTTGAGCAAGTTTTTGTCTGGACATATACCTTAATGTTTCATGCACTGTATATATACCTAGGAGTATAATTACTAGCAATAGGGTACATTTACACTGAACTTTTAAGAAACTGACCAGTTGTTTTCCCAAGTGGCTGTACCATTGTATATTCCAGCAGCACATTATGAGGGTTCACATTCTCCACATTGCTGCCAACTTACTGTCTTCTTGATGTTAGCCATCATAATAGGTGTGAAGTGGTATCTCATTTTGGTATTTTGTTTTGTTTTGTTTTATATTTCTCTAGTGACTATTGATGTTGTGTTACCTTTTACTTTTTTTTTTTTGTTTGAGACAGGGTCTCACTCTGTCACTCAGGTTAGAGTCCAGTGGCATGATCTGGGCTGAGTGCAGCCTCAACCTTCCTGGCTCAGGTGATCCTCCTGCCTCATGTGTTGAGTAGCTAGGACTACAGGTGTGCACCATCATACCTGGCTAATTTCTGAATTTTTTTTTTTTTTTTTTTTGTAGAGATGGGGTTTCCTCACATTGCCCAGACTGGTGTCAAACTCCTGGGCTCAAACAATCCACCTGCCTAGGCTTCCCAAAGTGCTTGGATTACAGGTTTGTGTTATCTTTCAATGTGCTTATTGGTCATTTACAAATGTTTTTTGGAGTAATGTCTATTTAGATCCTCTTCCCATTTTAAAATTGGGTTTGTCTTTTGTTGAGTCATAAGAGTTTTTTACATAGCCTCAATATAAGTCCCTGATTGATGATTTTAAAAAATTTTGCATGTGAGACAGGATGTCACACTTTCATGCAGGCTGTAGTGTAGGATTTGGAAATATTTTTCTCCAATTCTAATAATTCTACATTATTCTTAATATATAAGTTGTCTTCTCCCTTGCTTGGTAGTATCGTTTTGAGGCAGAAAAGTTTTTAATTTTGATAGAAACCAGATTATTCTCTTGGCACTTGTGCCTTTGACTTCATTTTTTTTTTTTTTTTTTTTTGAGACAGTTTCGCTCTGTCACCCAGGCTGGAGTGCAGTGGCATGATCTCGGCTCGCCGCAACCTCCACCTCCTGGGTTCAAGCGATTCTCCTGCCTCAGCCTCCTGAGTAGCTGGGACTACAGGCGTGTGCCACCACACCTGGCTAAGTTTTTGTATTTCTAGTAGAGACAGGATTTCACTGTATTAGTCAGGATGGTCTCTATCTCCTGACATCGTGATCCACCCGCCTCAGCCTCCCAAAGTGGTGGAATTACAGGCATGAGCCACTGCATCCAGCCTTGACTTCATATTTAAGAAACCATTGCCTAACCCAAAGGTATGAAGATTTTATTTTGTTTTACTTTTTTTTTTTTTTTTGGTGACATGTGTATGTAAGTGTCTGCCCATTTAAAAATTGTGTTTTTCTTCTTTTACGAGTTACAGGAGTTCTCGATATGCTCTGGATACAAGTCTTTTATCAGAAATAAGATTCTGCACATACTGTTTCTGTCTGGCTAGTTGTTTCATTTTCTTGGTGGAGTCCCTTATTGCTCAAAAGCTTTTGTTTTGGTGAAATTCAGTTTTTCAAGTTTTCCTTTTATTACTATGCTCTTGGTGTTGCATCTAAAGAATCTTTGTCCAACCTAATGTCACAAAGGTTTAGACTTAGATCTTCTTCCTGAAATTTATAGTTTTAGCTCTTATGTTTAGGGGTAAGATCCATTGTGAGTTATTTTTTGCACATATTGTGAGGTAAGAGTTTAAAGTCACCATTTTGCATGTGATGTACCAGCAGCATCTGTTGAAAAGACCATTCCTTCTCTGCTTACTTGCCATAAAACCTTTTTCAAAAATCAACTCTTGGGCTCAAGTAGTCCACTCAACTTGGCCTCCCAAAGTGCTAAGATTACAAGCATGCATCACCGTGCCTGGTACGAGTTTGTATATTAAGGGATTTATAGCTTATATGTTCCTTTAAGCTATATAACCTGTCTTTAGGTTATATGTGGGGTCCAAAATTTTAATCATATGAAACACAATTTTACATTGTTGAAAAATAGTCAATGTCTCTGGGCTTAACCTCTTGCAGAGGGTGGGAGCCAGTTGTCAGTTGCGTTATATCTGAATTTTCACTGTTGTAGATCCTGCCATTGTGGGGCTTTTAACTATGCTTTCACATGAGTTGAAAAAATATCTTATGGCTCAGTGTGATGACTCATGCCTATAGTCTCAGCACTTTGGCAGGCTGTGGCATGTGGATTGCTGGAACCAAGGAGTTAGAGACCAGCCTGGGCAACATGGCAAAACCCCACCTCTATCAAAATACAAAAATTAGACAGGTGTGGTGGTGCATGTCTGTAGTCTCAGCTACTTAGGAGGCTGAAGCAAGAGGGTCGCTTGGGTCCAGGAATTGGAGGCTGAAGTGAGCTAGGATTATACCATTGCACTCCAGCCTGGGCAACAGAGCATGATTCTATCTCTAAAATATAAAAATTTATATTCTACAGTGAATTTCAGATTTAGGATTTATCCAGAAACACAGGATAATTTTATAAAAAATCTTAATTCATTTTCTCATATTATTGAACTAACTAGAAATAATGTATCATCTAGGTATCTCATGAAAAAGCAGCAGAAATCCTTAATATAATTGGTTGGAATATTATTGCAAATGCCAACCCATTATTGTCTAATAGTAAACCACTAGAAGCATGCTTCATATGAAAAAGATACACACTCCCACCAGTTGCTCATCAGTTTCCTAGATGTATAAACCAGTACAGATTAGTTGCAAATAATTAGAAAGTAAAGGACACATCTTCTTTTGCAGGTCATATTATATATGTAGGAAACCAGTCAGAATCATTTAGAAAATGAATAAAATCCAAACATTTATAATCTGACATTACTTTTAAGAAATGTTAAAATCCAGATATAATAAGACTTTAGATTAAAAGCAGGTGAAAAAAGAAACACTTCAGTTTCTTGAAATGTTTTCTAAGCCTACATTTAACTGAAAATTGAAATGTTTTGTATGGCTAAACCATCTAAAATGTGTCAAAGGACGTGTAAGAGAAAGGGTAGGCTATTTGCAAGAAATGACAAAGGGTTTGATTTACGAAGAACAAATCCAGGCTGGGCATGGTGGCTTACACCAGTAATCCCAGTCATTGAAGGGCCAAGATGGGAGGATTGCTTGCACTCAGGAGTTTGAATCCAGCCTAGGCAACAAAGGAAGACCCCATCTATATGTTGTTTTAAAAGAAGCAAACCACAAAATAAATGAGCAGAGACTCAAGAAACTCTCAATCTCATTAAAGAAGTGGGGATAACAATCTAAAAATGAAAATGTTTGACACCTAGCAGGTTGGCAGACAGTAAATTTTGCTTATGCTCAGTCTTAGCAAAGGGTTTGGAAAAACAGGCAGGTTGAGGCATTGTTTATGTGCATATAAACTGTAGCTATCTTGTGCATGGTACTTTGACAATATCTATTATTTTAAGATGCATGTATTCTTTAACCCATTGCTGCCTTATAAAAAAGATAATTAACCTACTGTTCCATTCTGGAAATTCCATCCATGTTGCCAGTAAACACAAAGTAATAGATCTGTTTATATTCATATGGAAGTACCTGTAAGATAGACTACAAGAGAAAAGCTTGATGTAGGAGAGATAAATAATACTGTAATTCCTTAAAATTTTTGTTATAAAATCAGTTACAGTTTGAAGCAATTTCAAGCTAACAGAAAGACTCCAGAAAGCATCCATGTAGATGGTGCAATAAACTTTTTCCTGTACTATTTGACAGTAAGTTGCCAGCACAATGCCCTATCTCTCAGCTACTTCCACGTGTAATTTTTACAAACAAGGACATTGGCCTGTGTAACCACAATACAGTCAGCACAATAAGGAAAATCATCGTGTGCATGCACACATTTACATCTGTATTTGTCTGTGTACTTACACATGTTGAAGGCCAAAAGCTCGTACCTGTATCTTCGCTTCTGTTCTTAACATCCAGGGCTTGGGTTTGTTTGTTTGCTTGTTTGTTTGTTTGTTTCTTTCTTTCTTTCTTTTCCTATTTACAATGCTTTCATAGAACCATGCCACCCAGATATTCTCAACCTACTGATTTATTTCATCATTTACCCAGTATTTATCTTGTGTACTAGTGCCACCATTGAGCCTCCTGCTGCTCAGCCCATGTCCTTTACTCACATGGGACACTCTTTGGTAGGCTGTTACCACCTTGCCTGCCCCTCATCTGCCTCTGTCTGCCCAGGCCCTTGGCAACTTCTCTTGCTCCTCCTAAACCTTCTCATCTTGCTGTGCTTCCCGGGGCAATCACCTGCCACACTTAGCACCATCTAATGGCATCTGGAATGAATTGTTGGGGAGAGGGGAAGAGCTGTGATAATGTGTGTGTGTGCATGTATGTGAATGAGCTTTTATGTATGTAAATGTATTTTGGGAGAGCTGCAAGAAACCATAGAAGTATTATTATTTTTTGTTTTGTTTTGAAATGAAGTCTCACTTTATTGCCCAGGCTAGAGTGCAGTGGTTTGATCTCAGCTCACTGCAACCGTCGTCTCCCAGGTTCAAGTGATTCTCCTGCCTCAGCCTCCTGAGTAGCTGGGATTACCATGCCCAGATAAGTTTTGTATTTTTAGTAGCGACTGGGTTTCACCATGTTGGCCAGGCTGGTCTTGTACTTCTGACCTCAAATGATCCACCTGCCTTGGCCTTCCGCCAAAAATTAGAACACTAAGGTGTCTAAGGAACAAATCTAGGTCATGGCTGCCACTGCACCCACTCTCATTTTGACTTTGGAGGTGGGATACTGTGTGGTTGGCACTGGCGGCTTTGGGGCATAGTGAAGCTGTCGGTAGTGTCAGAGACATTGTCAACCAGACACATATCTTGTTATTGGAGGGCCTTCATTCACCAGGCTGAATGACGGTACCAAGGAGTGACCTTGATGGGATTAGGGTGCAGACAAGGAGACAAAAAGAAGGCACAGATCCCTTCCCCTTCTCTAGCCTATTGTCTCCGCATAGTGTGTTCTTGTGGTAGAGACTCACGCAAAGCCAGTTGCTGTGCAGAGCTCAAGCTTCACCAGAAACCCAGAGGGTGGGCTTGCAACTAAGAGACATCAGCTTTAATGGCTAGCCCTGGCTGCCCTCTGGCTACTCAGGAAATATACACACCCTTCCCTGCACATTTGACTTTCTGTACAACAGCACAACTGTTCCATCCAACAGAGTGCAACTTCCTACAAAGAAATCAGTTTTTACCATCTGCTCAAAATGAGGAGACGTAGTGTTCCAACAGCCACACCCATCTCTGGGAGACTGACTATCTAGTCATGAGGCGTATCACTTACTCTTAATTCAATCCTAACCTATTTGAGTAATCTCTAGTCTAATGGACAAATGGAAAAGAAACCTCCAATAAAACTTCTGTAAAATACTGCGCATAGAAGAAGGGAATAGTTAATATATGCAAATACATAATCTGCATACAAACACATTCATAGCAGGAAAGGAAGAAAATACGTACAGTTGCTACAGTCTACTTTTCTGCAACTTACAAGACTTTTTTTGGATTTAACCTTTTAGTTCATACATTTGTAGGTTTTTATAGGGTAACTGTGATATTTGTTATATGTATCATCTGTGTCATGATGAAGTGAGAGTAGTTGGGGTGTCCATCACCTTGAGTATTTATGATTTCAAGTCCTCTCTTCTAACTAATTTGGAATGTACAATGCATTGTTGTTAACTATAGTCATTCTCATCTGCTGTCAATTGTCACAAAAATTTATTCCTTAGTTTACTACGCTTACATTAATGTTTTCAGTTTTTTTTTGTTGTTGTTGTTGTTGTTTGAGACAGTCTTGCTGTGTCGCCCCGGCTGGAGTGCAGTGGTACAATCTCGGCTCACCCGCAAGCTCTGCCTTAGGGGTTCACGCCATTCTCCTGCCTCAGCCTCCCGAGTAGCTGGAACTACAGGTGCCCACCACCACACACAGCTACATTTTTGTATTTTTAGTAGAGACGGGGTTTCACCATGTTGGCCATGCTGGTCTTGAACTCCTGACCTCAGGTGATTTGCTTGCCTTGGCCTCCCAAAGTACTAGAATTGAAGGCATGAGCCACCACACCCAGCCTACATATTCAATAACAAAGATTTCATTTGCCTATTTTGACCTTCAAATGAGAGGAATTACCCAATATGCACTCTTCTGTATCTGGCCACAAAGGTGGCTTCAAATTACCTGTCCTAATTGTGGGCAAACCTTTATGCAGAAAGGTGTGCTTTGTCCTCTTGTTAATAGAAGAGATTTATGAGGAGGAAAAAAAAATCAATGTATCTCATTATTGAAATTGCCAAAAATTATACCATCTCTACTCTGGAATATTGAGTTATTAAAACTGATGTATATAACAGTGGTTTATAATAGTAGTTTTAATATTCAGTGAACATGGATTGTGACTAAATTTTCTTTAATTCTAAAGATAAGAATTTGCTGGAGAAAAAAATTGGCAGCAAATAATTGCAGAATATTAATAAATGGTTAAAACTTTTTCTCGGTTGGGACTATAGGTGATTCCTACACTCTGCTACACGTGGTGAACTTTTGTCCTTTCAAAGACTTTTAAAGTCTTTATTTAAAATGGGTATTCATTGCTGTATTTATAGGGAGCATGGAGAGGATTTCGCTACACAGTTTAGCTGAAAGCCCTGACATGCAATCATATAATTTCATTTGCTTTTATAGTCATTTCCCTGGAAGTGGCAGCTGTGACAGTAAAGGAAGAATCAGAAGATCCTGATTATGATTATATCACATTCAAGGTAATAAGGGTGAATGCAATTTTTTAATAAAAAAAATTTGTGGTTAAAATTAAAGTTTATCAGTTGCTTTAACTTCTTAAATAGTATTTTATTGATTAGTTCTTGATGGACATCTATATTTGTAAATAAGTCACTGGGATAAAACATTTTAAAAATGTGGATATAAGGTCAACTCACACAATTCAGGGGATATGTAAAATAGTCATTCATGTTTGTAAAAGTATAAGCACAAGTTGTGGCACAATTTAGAATTCAATCCCAGTTTCTAGTGTTGCAAAATAAACCTATTAGGCAAATGCAGATATAGTCAGCTTAATTTTTTTATCTATGTGTAATTGTAATAAATTAAACATTTGAAGTATAAAATCCAGTTTTGACATGTACATACCTAATAAACCATCTTCATTGCAACCGAGATAATGAAATATCCATACCCCCAAAAGTTTTCTCATGTCCCCTTGTAATTCATGACCCTGCCCAGTATTCAGGCAACATGCTGATTTTCCGTTTTAGCTTAATTTGCATTTTCTAGAAAGTCATATATATGATATCATATGATATGATTAAATGTGGACTATTTTCATGGGGTAGGGACTATTGTGACTTCTTTACTTCACATGATTGTTTTGAAATTCATCCACAATGTTGCATGTATCAGTAGGAGATTCTGTTTTGTTGTTGATTAATACGCTGTTGTATACATGGGTCAAAATTTGCTCATCCCTTTGTTTGTTGATAGCCATTTGGGTTCTTCCAGTTTGGGGCTGGGGCTGCTGCAGGTAGAGCTGCTATGAATGTTTGTGTACAAGTTTTTGTGTGGACATAGGCCTTCATTTCTCTTGAGTAGATATCTGGGAATGGAATAGCTGGGATCTATAACTTTTGAAGGAAATGCCAAACTGTTTTCCAAGGCACCTGCATTATTTTACATCTCCATCAGCAGGGTATGAGAGTTTTGGTTGACATTCTTGTGAATACTTGTATGGTCAATCTTATTTTTACCCTCTTAAGTTGATATGCAGTGGTTCCTCATTGTGGTTTTAATTTGCAATTGCCTAACAGGTTTATTTTCTCTCAGAGGATAGCTTTATCAGGTCTAGAGAACTCTGAAAGTGTTTTGAGTAAACCTTCTGGCCCGTAATTATGTGAATATGTGTATACACGTTAGGCCGTGTCCAAGTGAATTGCATGTTTTTAGCAGTCAGTTTTCAGTAATTGTCTGCTTGTGACATTAGGAATTAGTTACATTCTTTTTTTTAGTAAGTTGGTAAAATATGCCAGTGAAACCATCTGGGCCTTGAGGTTTCTCTGATAGAAAGTTTCCTAACTCCCTTTGTTACAAAAATTACCCTCATCTGGGTTTGCACCCTGTTGTCCCAGCCACTCTCAAACCTGAGGTGGGAGAATCACTTGAGCCTGGGAGTTCTAGGCCAACCTGGGCAACATAGTGAGATTCCATCTCTTGGGAGGCTGAGGGGGGTGGATCATCTGAGGTCAGGAGTTAAGACCAGCCTGGCCAACATGGTGAAACCCCGTCTCTACTAAAAATGCAAAAACAAAACAAAACAAAAAAAAACAAAAAAACAAAAAAAACCCAGCATGGTGGCAGACACCTGTAATCCCAGCTACTCGGGAGACTGAGGCAGGAGAATCACTTGAACCTGGGAGGCGGAGGTTACAGTGAGCCAAGATCTTGTCATGTCACTCCAGCCCAGGCAACAAGAGCAAAACTGTCTTAAAAAAATGCTTTTAATCGATACAGGGCTATCAGTTTTCTCTTCTGTGAATCTTGTAATGAATCTCAAAATGGATATACAACACATTTTCCTATTTAAGGTAAAGTACACATTTATACCTTAGAATAGTCAGAAGTCAGGTTCTTATTGTATAATTAGTAATGAAAATATTGATAAAATCATGTTCATACTTAGTACTGATAAGAATTCTGAAATATTCATTTGTTCATCTGTAAGTTTTATGAATTGATTACCTTTTTTGGAATTTTTCATAGTGTTCCCAAACTTGATACTCATAGGCTATTTGTAACAGGTTTTACTTTGATCTACTCTGGTTTTTAGCACATGAAATGGATTTTCTTTAGGTCTAGCATATAACATACATTCAATTGTTTCAGATTTTAAAACAACAAAAAGGACCTATAGAATCATTGCTTAATTTGAAACTAGCCTGGTAGTCCCATAGACGATAAACGTAGAAATTTAACCCTGCTGTTAAAGCTTGAAACTATACTTATCTGCCTTCCCTCCTCAAAAAAAGATCTTCAGAAAGTATCAAAGATCTGAAATTCACCATATCACAGTACCCAGATGCTTCCTTGCTCCTCCCTAATTCCTGTTTTCTTATACATTGTTGCATTTCTTCCTGCCAAATAGACTCCTAGTTTTAGTCAGTGAAGGAGATGGATTTGAGACTGAGCTTCCCTCTCCTTGGCTGCAGCACCGGGTTACAGCCTTCTTCCTTAGCAATACTTGTCATTGGGTTTCTATGCAGTGAGCAGCAGGACCTAGACCAAACCTCTTTTGTTTCAATAACAACATGAACAACCATCTTAACTGTTCTTCTTTACTGAAAAATTTTACTTTTTAACTCCTGGCCCATTTTTCACTGTCTCTCCTTTCTTTGACCTCACATCTCTTTTTGCTTTTTGATTTTACAGTCAAGCACTTAATGCTCCATAAATTCAAATTTTAAGGTTAAAAAAAGAGGAATAACTAATTTACACTCCCAGAAAATGTGGCACATATACACCATGGAATACTATGCAGCCATAAAAAGGATGAGTTCATGTCCTTTGCAGGATGAAGCTGGAAACCATCATTCTCAGCAAATTAACACAAGAACAGGAAACCAAACGCTGCATGTTCTCACACATAGGTGGGAGTTGAACAATGAGAACACATGGACACAGGGAGGGAAACATCACACACTGGGGCCTGTGTGAGGTGGGAGGCTACGGGAGGGATAACATTAGGAGAAATACCTAATGTAGATGACAGGTTGATGGGTGCAGCAAACCACCATGGCACGTGTATACCTGTGTAAGAAACCTGCATGTTCTGCACATGTATCCCTTAAAAAAAAAAAACTCCTAACTCAGAGAATTGCTTTGAGGATTAAATAAGATAATGCACATAAAAAAGGGAAAGAAAGTGTGTGTAGAGAAAGTGTATTTTTTATTGAATTAAAGGTTGATTCATAGGTATAGGTTTATAGATTTACCTAGAGTTTTGAGTTCATGTGCATTTTTACAATCTAAGTGGAAAAGAATCTGAAGGTAATTGTGACATGATAAAGCTGGATATTGAAAACCAAAAGATTTGGCCTCAGCATGGCACTAGTCGCTGAATGACAGTTTTTCAGACTGTAATCGTTGCTCTTTAAAAATTAAGAGAAAATATATTTATAACATTTGTATTACTTTTATTACAATGTCTGAATTTAGTTATCAGTAGATAAGACAAAATAGATAAGCATCTGCTTCCCTTCCCCCTAAGTGATGCATTCTTACTCAGATCTAATGTATGTTTATTCATACCTGAAGGCAGTGTTTTTCAATCTTTTCCATGTTCATAGCTCAGGTCTTTAAGGACAGAGGATGCATATTGGGGGCAGCTTGCATTCTTAATCCTAAGTGGCTCTCTGATGTCTTAGGTTCTTTCTTTCCTATTTGTGAGGATTAAGGAGATAATGTATGCAAAAGGCATGTTACTATTATTATTGGTTGTATTAATAATCTGCTTTCTAATGTGAAAATCTCCTTTGTATTAAATAACCCTGGCAGATGATCCTTGACCCTTATGTAGAAAAGTACCCATTGTCTAGTGAAAAAATTTACTGCCCGTTCCTAGCTGTGAGACTTTGAGAAAGATACTTGGCCTTGAATGACTCACAGACTTTCATGAAGCTTAATCAGATAATGGCTATAATGTATCCAGCACAGCATTTGATAGGTAATATATACCATTCCATTTCTCTTTGGTTTTTAGAAAGGATTGATTTAAAATGTGTAAAATTCAGTGGCATTTAGTTACATTCACAAGGTTTACAACCATCATGACTATGTATTTCCAGAATTTTCCATCATCCCAAACAAATTCTGTACCAAATAAGCAATAACTTTCCATTCTCTCCTCCCTGATACCCTGGTAACTTCTTAATCTAATTTTTGTTTCTATGAATTTCCTTATTTGGGCACCTCATATAAAAGGAATTATGCAATACTTGCCCTTTTATGTGTGGCTTATTTCACTTAGCCAAATGTTTTCAAGGTTCAGCCAGGTTGTAACAATATATCTGATAGCATTGATCAGAACTTCATTCTTTTTCGTGGTTGAATAATATTCCATTGCATGTATATGTCACATTTTGTTTATCCCTTCATCTCTGGATGGACACCTGGGGTTTGTCCACCTTTTGGTTATTGTGATTAACGCTGCAGTAAATACTGTCCTTGGACTTTCCTTTCTTCTCTTGTCCCGAGCCAACATCAACACTTGCACATCAGCACTCGGCATGTTTCTGAGTTCATTTTTTCAATTCTTTTGGTTATACACCTGGGAGTGGAATTGCTTAGTCATACGGCAATTCTGTGTTTAACTTTTTGAGGAACTTACAGACTTTTTCACAGTGACTGTACCATTTTACATTCCTAGAGAGAATATTCAAGGGTTCTAATCTCTCCACTTCTTCACCAGTGCTTGTTATCTTTTCATTATTATTATAGCCATTCTAGTAGGTGTGATGTGATATCTCATTTTAGGACTGATTTTCTTTCCTTAATAACTAGTGATTTTGAATATCTTATGTGCTTATTGGCCATTTCTATATCTTTGGTGGAATTACTATTCAAGTCTTTTTTTTTTTTTTTTGACAGAGTCTTGCTCTGCCACCTGGCTGGAGTGCAGTGGTGTGATCTCTGCTCACTGCAGCCTCCGCCTCCTGGGTTCAAGTGATTCTCATGGCTCAGCCTCCTGAGGAGCTGGGACTACAGGTGCGTGCCACCATGCCCAGCTAATTTTTGTATTTTTCATAGAGACAGGGTTTCCCCATGTTGGCCAGGATGGCCTCGATCTCTTGACTTTGTGATCCGCCTACCTCGGCCTCCCAAAGTGCTGGGATTACAGGTGTGAGCCACCATGCCTGGCCTACTATTCAAGTCTTTTGTCTCTTTAAAAGTTTAAACAATAAACTCTGGTCAGCTATATGATTTGTAAATATTTTATCCCATTCTGCAGAGTGTCTGTTCTCTTTCTTTTTAGAGACAGACTCTTGCTGTGCTGTTCAGGTTGGAAGTGCAGTGGCACAATCATAGCTTACTGTAATCTCAAGCTCCTGAGCTCAAACAGTCCTCCCATCTCAGCCTCCTGAGTCACTGGACTTACAGGCGCACACTACCCTGCATGGCTTAATTTTGTTTGTTTGTTTTTGTAGAGACAGAGCTACCTCTTTCTTCATAGGTAGGAGAGTGTTCCGTAGTAAAGATTCCCTGGTGATGGATGGATCCAGCTCCCTGTTGAGTCCGGCAAATATTTGAGAGCGGTTGTCATATTGTCTTCTTTCTTCCAGTCCAAAGTCCTCCCAGTTCCTTTAGTCCAAAGGTCAACACATTAAAGGGACAGATGCTAAATATTTTAGGCTTCAAAGACTAAGAGACAAAACCAAGAATGGCATGTAGGTATAACAAGAGAGAAAACAAGAATGGCATGTAGGTATAACAAGAGAGAAAACAAATTTCCACAAAATTTTAATGAATGAAATTCAAAATATAAATGAGTACAACTTTTTGTAATATAGCTCCATTAAGGAGAAGAATTGGGTTGTTTTGTAGGGGATGGGGTAGGAAGTAGGGGGTAGGGTGATCCAAAGAGGATCTTGTGCTAGAAACCTAGGACTAAGACCAAATATTGAAACAAAAGATGCTCCTATCACCTCTATCACTGAGGACTTTATAAGAGCTTTAGAAGCTCTGTGCCAGGACCAGGGGCAGAGACCAAATGTGTCTTTCTCTTCTTTTGTTTTCTATTTTTGAGACAGTGTCTCACTCTGTGACCCAGGCTGGAGTGCAGTGATGTGATCATAGCTCACTGCAGCCTCAACCTGGGCTCAAGCAATCCTCCCGCCTTAGCCTCCTGAGTAGCCAGGACTACAGGTGCATGCCACCTACGCCCAGATAATTTTTTTTATTTTTTATAAAAATGCCATCTTTTTATGTTGCCTAGACCGGTCTCAAACTCCTGGGCTAAAGCAATTCTTTTATCTCAGCCTCTCATGTAGCTTGGACTACTGGTGTGCATCACAACGACTGGCTAATATTCATTATTACTACTATGTCTGTAGAGGTGGAGTCTCACTATGTTGCCCAGGCTGGTCTTGAACCCCAGGCCTCAAGCATTCCTCCCACCTTGGCATCCCAGGGTGTTGGGACTACAGGTGTGAGCTACCATGCCAAGCAATCACAAGGGTCTTTATAATAGCAAGAGGGAGGTAGAAGAGTCAGAATTGGACGAGATGTGATGATGGAAGCAGAGGTGAGAGAGGCATATTTGAAGATGCTCCACTTCTTGCTTTGAAGACGGAGTTAGGAGCCATGAGCCAAGGAATGTGGGTGGCTTCATGAAGCTGGAAAAGGCAAGGGAACACATTCTCTCTAGGCCCTCCAGGAGAATGCAGCCCTACTGACCCCTTGACTTTAGCCTTGATATGCCTATTTTGGATTTCTGAGCTTCAGAACTGTCAGATAGTAGACTTGTGGTGTTTTAAGCCACTCAATGTAGGGTACTGTGTAAAAGAAGCAAGAAGAAATGAACACAAAGCCAGGCACAGTGGCTCATACCTGTGATCCCAGCATTTTAGGAGGCTGAGGTGGGAGGATGAGTTGAGCCCAGGAGTTCAAAACCAGTCTGCACAACATAGTGAGACCCTGTCTACAAAAAAACCAGTCTTGGTAGCACACACCTGTAGTTTTAGCTAGTAAGGAGACTGAAGCAGGAGGATTGCTTGAGCATATGAGTTCAAAGTTGCAGTGAGCTGTGATTGTGCCACTGCACTCTAGCCTGGGTGACAGAGGGAGGTCTTGTCTCAAAAAAAAAAAAAAAAGAAAGAACAAATGAGTGAGCATGGTGGAAGTGGGGACAGATGGCAATATTAAATAGAGTGTTCAGGGTTGTCCTCATAAGTGAAAATTGAGCAAAGGCTTCAAGGAGGGAAAGGAGCTGGCCAGGGTGCTTAGGGAAGAGCATTGCAGGCAGAAGCAACAGAGTGAAGATGTTAGGAGGGAACTCCTTGGTGTGTCTAAGGCTCAGGATGGAGTCTGGTGCAGCAGAGAGAGGGAGGAAGAGAAGCAGGGGAGGAGGCCAGGGAGTAGCTGGGCTGAGATCAGTACAGATTGTGTAAGCCCTGGGAGGTTATTGCTGGGGCTTTGACTTTTACTCTGACTGAGATGGGAACTGCGGGAAGGTTCTGAGCAGACAGGTGACATCATCTGTCTCCCTATTTAAAAGCACCCCTGGCTGCTGAGTTGGGAAAGACTATAGGAAGATTTTGGTAGAAGCAGGGAGGCCGAGCTGTCACCACATCCAGGTGGGAGATGATAGTGGTCCTGACCAGGGTCATGGTGGCGGTGAGAGATGATCAGAGCCTGGAGACATGTTGAAGACTGTCAACAGGATCCTGACAGACTGGACATGGGGTGTGAGAGAAGGCAGGGGTCAAGGTTGAGTTTGATTCAAACTGAATTATTAAGTAATTAAAAAAAACCACTGCTGCCTTTCCCAATCCTACTAAGTAAAGGATGCTAGATTAAAGAAATCTCAGGTCAGGCCAGGTGCAGTGGCTCACACCTGTAGTTCTAACAGTTTGAGAGGCAGAGATGGGAGTACCTTTTAAGGCCAAGAGTTAGAGAGCAGCCTGGGCAATAATAGCAAGACCTCCTCTCTACAAAAGTAGAAGAAAGAAATTTAGGAAAATAAATATAGCCAGGCATGGTTGTGTATTCCTGTGGTTCCAGTTACTCTGGAGGCTGAGGTGGGCAGATCTCTTGAGGCTAGGAATTTGCGGCCAGCTTGGGCAACATAGCAAGACTTCTTTCTCAACAAAAATTAAAAAAAAAAAATAGCCTGGCATGGTGGAACCTGCCTGCATTCCCAGGTATTAGGGAGGCTGAGGCAGAAGGATCTCTTGAGGCCAGTTGGTCAAGGCTGCAGTGAGCTATGATTACACCACTGTACTCCAGCCTGGGTGACAGAGTGGAACCCCGTCTCAAAATACAAATCCAAATAAAATGAAATCTCAAGTTGGACCAGTCCCATCTAGGCTATGCAGGCCTTTCAGCTGCATAGCCACATGATCGGGTTTGTGTGGCTGTGGATGAGGAGACCCCTGCCCAATTGTTGTTGACTATACAATCGGTTTATTTTTAAATATAGTAATCAAATATATTTCATCATACTTGATGGTCTCAGATATGTGTGGGTTTTGGAATTCTCCTTGGAACAAATTTTAACATCTTATTTGTGCCATCGTTTCATAATTTTTTTATCTGATCAATTTTTTTTTGTTTGAGACAGAGTCTCACTTTGTCACCCAGGCTGGAGTACAGTGGCACAATCTCGGCTCACTGCAACCTCCACCTGCCAGGTTCATGCAATTGACCTGCATCAGCCTCCTGAGTAGCTGGGATTATAAGCACACGCCACCACTCCAGGCTACTTCTTTGTGTTTTTGGTAGAGACGGGGTTTTACCATGTTGGCCAGGCTAGTCTGGATTTACAAGTAGATTTACAAGAATCCGCCACCATGCCCGGCTAATTTTTTTAATTTTTAGTAGAGAAAGGGTTTCACCATGTTGGCCAGGCTGTTCTCAAACTCCTGACCTCAGATGATTCGCCTGCCTCGGCTTCCCAAAATGCTGAGATTACAAGCATGAGCCACCACGCCCAGCCCTTTTCTGTCCCTTTTACAGACAGAGTCTTGCTCTGTCGCCCAGGCTGCAGTATAGTGACATGATCATGGCTTATTGCAGCCTCAAACTCCTAGTCTCAAGCAATCCTCCCACCTCAGTCTCCCAAACAGCTGGGAATACAGACGTGTGCCACCATGCCCAGCTAAATTTTTTTTTTTTTTTATTGTAGAGGCACGATTTTGCTAGGTTGCTCAGGCTGGTCTCAAACTCCTGACCTCAAGTGATCCTCCTGCCTCACCCTCCCATGGTGCTGGGATTACAGGCAGGTATGACTACCTGTGCCCAGCTCCTTATTATTATTATTTTAAATAACAGCTTTATTAAAATGTAATTCACATATCATTCAATTTATTTGCTGAAATCTGCAGTTCAGTGGGTTTTAGAATATTCACAGAGCTGTGCACTGATCACCACAGTCACTCTTAGAAACTTTCCTTACCCTGTAGAGAAATCCGCACCCCTTAGCCACTGCCTCCTACTCCCCCCACCTGCCTTTGCCCCCAGCCTCAGACAACCATTGATTGATTTTTCTGTCACTGTAGATTTGCCTAATCTGGACAAATAGAATTGTACAATATGTGTTCTTTTGTGGCTGGCTTGCTTTCCTTCTTAGTACAATGTTTTCAAAGTTCCTTTATGTTGTAGCGTGTATCAGTATTTCATTCCTTCTGTGGCTGAATAATATTCCATGGTAGAAACACACTGCATTTTTTTTATCCATTCATCAGTTGGTGCACATTTGGGTTGTTTTCATGTATTGGCCATTATGAATAATGCTGCTATGAAGGTTCCTATACAAGATTTTGTATGGACATATATATTTTTTTTCCTCTGGGATATACGCCTAGGAGTTAAATTGTTGCATTATGTGATGACTGCACATTTAGGCTCTTGAGAAACTGCCAGACATTTTCTAAAGTGATTAGATCAGTTGGGTGTGATGGTTCACACCTGTAATCCCAGCTACTTAGGAGGCTCAGTTGGGAGGATGACTTGAGCCCACAAGTTCAAGACTAGCCTAGGCAAGATAGCGAGACCCTGTCTTGATTTCAAAAAAAATCCAATTAAAATGATAAGAAAAGAAATTCCTAAAGTAGTTATGGCAATTTATGTTCCCACCAGTTATGTGTGTGGGTCCAATTCCTCTGCATCTTCACTGACATTATTTTTTTTTCTAGACAGGGGCCTGCTGTGTCTCTCAGGCTGGAGGGCAGTGATGTCATTACAGTTCACTGCAGCCTTGAACTCCCAGGCACAAGTGATCCTCTCATCTCAGCCTCCTGAGTAGCTGGGAATTACAGGTACACAGCACCATGACTGGCTAATTTTTATATTTTTTTTGTAGTGATGGGGTTTGACCATATTGCCCAGTCTGGTCTCATACTCCTGGCCTCAATGATCTGGCCACCTTAGCCTCCCAAAGTTCTGGAATTAACAAGCTGAGGCCCCGTGCCTGGCCTTCACCAACATTTGTTATTATCTGCGTTTTTTTTTCCTTTTATACCTTAAAGCAGTATAAGAACAAGTGTCTTCAATGATAGTAAACAAAAAATATAATCCCAGGGCATTGGAAGCTGAGGTGGGAGGATCTGTTGATGCCAGGAGTTTTAGACCAGCCTAGGCAACCTAGCAAAACCTCATCTCTACAGAATATTTAAAAATTAGCTGAATGTGCTGGTGCCTGCCTATAGTTTCTCTCTCTCTCTCTCTCTCTCTCTCTAACTTTTTGAGGCATGGTCTGGCTCTGTCACACAGGCCAGAGTTCAGTGGTGTGATCATGGATCACTGCAGCCTGAAACTCCTGGGTTGATCAAGTGATCAATCCTCTCACCACATCCTACCAAGTAGTGGGGACCACAGGTGCATGCCACCCGGGTCTTGCTATGTTTCCCAGGCTGGTCTTGAACTCTTGGCCTCACGTGATCCTCTCCCCTAGGCCTCCCAAAGTGCAAGAATTACAAGTATGAGCCACTATGCCTGGCCCCCACCCTGCCTCTTGAGAACCAAAAGAAGGAACCAAATTCTCCGTAGCTCAACTCGAGCCATTTCCTGATTTCTTCATCAGGAATGAGCTGGTTATTGGGATGTCCAGGCCTCTCAAGCAGCACAGAAATGAGGTGAGTGCGTTTTCCTGCTGCTCCACTCTGCGGAGAATTAGAGGATGTTTACTCATTTTCAGAGAGAGATGCCTTGTAGGCACCTTAGGATGGAGGAAGCCCTGATTCCAATGTCCTTTTTTTTTTTCTTCAGAAACAGGATCTTGCTCTGTCACCCTGGATGGAGTTCAGTGGTGCAATCACAGCTCATTGTAGCCTCAACCCCCCAAGCTAGCAATCCTACCACGGCCTTTCGAGTAGCTGTGACTACAGGTGAGCACCATGACACTCAGTGAATTTTGAATTTTTCGGTAGAGGTGGGGCCCGGCTGTGTTGCCAGGGCTGGCCTTGAACTGCTGCACTCAAGGGATTTTCCTGCCTAGGGCTTTCAAAGTATTGATATTACAAGCATGAGCCACTGTGCTCACTCTGTCTGGTTCTTAACTTCCTGCCTCCCTCGTCCATATTTAAAGAACCCTTGTAATTACATGGGCTCACCCAGGTACTCCAGGATAATCTTGTTTCAAGGACAGCTGATGAGTAACATTAATTCCATCTGCACTCTTAATATCCCCCTTCCTCTGAAACTGTGCTGTGTAACCTAGGACGTGAGCAATTGGTAGGGGGCATTACTTTGGCCACCACAGTGACCAAAAGGATTGGTGGGGGACAGGTTAAAGACACAGGGAAGTTGGAGGAAGAACTGACAAGTGAGGTTCCAGAAAGGGCAGGTGAAGAGGGGATTCCAGTAGGGAAATTAGATTAGCACTTTCTTTTCTTTTTTTTTCTAAGACAGGGTCTCACTCTGTCACCCCTGCTGGAGTGCAGTGGCATGATCTTGGCTCACCGCAGCCTAGACTTCCCAGGCTCAAGGGATCCTCCCATCCCAGACTCCCAAGTAGCTGGAACTACAGTTCTGCACCACCACCATTCCTGGCTGTTTTTTTTTTTTTTTTCTTTTCTTAGTAGACACAGGGTCACACCATGTTCCCCAGGCTGGTCTCCAACTCCTGGTCTCCAACTCCTGGTCTCAAGTGATCCTCCTGGTTCGGCTTCCAAAACTGCTGGGATTATAGGCCTGGGTCACCATGCCTGGTCTCTGCTAGTTGTATATTTTATTTTATTTTAAGTTCAGGGATACAAGTGCAGATTTGTTACATAGGCAAGCTTGTGTCATGGAGGTTCATTGTACAGATTATTTCATCACCCAGGTATTAAGCCTGATACCCATTAGTTATTTTTTCCTGATCCTCTCTCTCCTCCCACCCTCCTAGGTCTCTGTGTGTCTATACATTCTCATCATTTAGCACCCACTTATAAATGAGAATGAGAACATGTGGTATTTGCTTTTCTATTCTTGTGTTAGTTTGTTAAGGATAATGGTCTTTTCAGAAATCTATAACGATACTTATTAAAATGCAAGTGATATATAAGTGAACTATGATAGGAAGCTAATTGGCACATTTTACCATTTCATCTCACCAACTTGTTATGCTAAAGACCTTTGAAAAGTGTTACATAAAATTTCAGCATTTTTAAAAAGTTAAATTGTAGATTTAAATTCAAAATTACTAACTTCATTTCAAAACTTGCTTCACTGATCTATCACAAAGGAGATAAAAATATATTGTTAATATTGCTATACTCAAAATAGGTTATGATAGCTTGTTTTTTAAAAGAATATGCATTCATCAAGCAACTGGAGATTTAATGCCTGCAATCAGCATTCAGCAGAGGAAAGAGACATTTTGTTTTTTTTAAAAAACTATTTGTATATTAAGTACAGGAAGTCCTTGCTTGATGTTGTTGGTAAATGCTTGGCAACTGTGACTTTAAGCAACATTACATACAGAAAGTCTTTGAGTAACATCATTTTCTTCAAAATTGTTTGGTTATACCATTGATAAGAAAAAAATTGGTTTTGTTATATGTCATTTTGAATAGATATTTAGAATTTCAATGTATTTTCCTATACAAAACTATTATATTTGGTAAATTAATGAGACCATCCTCTTTGCAGAATAAAATATTTACCAATTGTAAAGGGAAAAAAGGATAGTGATTTATGGAGAGACAAGGAAGGTTGAAATACATACTGAATAAAAGAAATGTTTAACTATATGGCACTGGAAACAAACAATTTGAGTTTGAAGGACATATTTTCTCTCAAGGATTATATAATATGAGAAATTAATCAGAAATTGAAGCAATGAATTCAACCAATTACGAAAATTAGAATGGTATGAAGTATAAATGAAGAAAATGAATTTTAAAGTATAGAAAATTTGGAACCATGGTGTATGTCCCACTTAACCAGCATAATAAAAATTTGATTGTGCAAAAAGTGATTATTAAATTTACTAATAGAATTTGATGAGGGTAGATGTTGAATGCTAGGAGATGGGTAACAGAAAGTTTCAATAAGACATTTTCTAATAATTTCATAAACTTCTTAACTTTCAATAGCTACTTGCTACCTCCAGTTTATTGGTGGATCTCCTGTCATTGGGCTTCATTAAAATAAAAACAAATCTGTGGCATTTATGTAAAGTCAAAAGAATCTATGCATTCAGAGTTGTGGCAGGAACTGCATATGAATAAAGGAGTCCCTTTACTACATTCTAAGGAAGAATTTGTATGTTCTATTACAGACAATGCTTTGTTCTCAGCCATGTCTGTCCTGATATGGCTATCCAGATAGACTTATCTTCCAATTCCTCTGACTCCGCAAATCTTTTTTTGTGTCCTCTGGAATTCATGGCCAGTCAGCATCATAATTCTATATAATCTCAATATATTTATTTTATTTGAATGTTGCCCTAATAGGAGATTGTGTTGAAGACACAGCTTGTTCAGCAGCTCATATCATTCACATCTCCCTATGCTTTCCTTCAATCTAATGTGAGTTCATTTTTTAGCACTGCAGGTCCAAAATGTTGAATAGATAGTTCGACTTTCAAGATTTTTAGATGCCTTCTTCTGCCCCTTTCAATTGGCAAATGCATCATAGCATAACATAAGGATGCTTGCACATAAATTTTGTGTGTTTTAGAGAGTTTATATCCCCTGAAGTGTCTTCATTACTGATCAATCAACTCCAAAGGAAACAACATATATACTTGACATGTCTAAATATATTAAAGTGTGTCTTACTGAAAAATAACAAAGTAGAGAAAAATGAGAGATTAAGCATGTTTTATTCATATTATTTGATGAAAGGAGATATATTTCTATGTCAAAGAAATGTCTGTTTTTTCTTGAAGCTAAGCTTTCTATAAAAGCTTTTTCATAACAGTGGTTTAACAACTCGCATGGTATAACAAATAGAATTAGTTTTAGCAAAGCAAAGCAATTGTAGAATTCATTCCTTGAACAATAAAACTGTTATTTTCAATAACCATTATTCTAACATTGAAATATGCAGGTTAATGATATGTAAAAAGTCTCTGGAAATTGACGTCTAGTTTTTGATACTTTCATATCAGGTGTTTTTTCTTTTGTTGAGACAGAGTCTCGCTCTGTCATCCAGGCTGGAGTGCAGTGGCATGATCTTGACTCACTGCCACCTGGGCCTCCTGGGTTCAAGTGATTCTCACAGCTCCGGCTCCCAAGTAGCTGGGGTTACAGGCATGTGCCACCATACCTGGATGATTTTTGTATTTTTTGTGGAGACAGGGTTTCGCTATTTTGGCCAGGCTGCTTTGGAACTCCTGGCCTTGAGACATCCGCCCTCTTCGGGCTTCCAAGGTTCCGGAGTTACAGGCATGAGCCATGGCACCCGGACTGTATTAGTTTGTTGATGGGTGTGCTTTGACTTTTCTGTATAAGTGGATCAGGAAATTTTGAGAGGACTAAACCGGAGAACCCCATAAATGTAAAAATACTCCTATATCACAGAGGATCAAAAATAAATATATTCATAAACTTTTATTCTATAAGTAGATATTTATGCTGATAAATTTAGAACATCCTCTGCAATGATAAGTAAGTTGTACCTTTGAATTCTCATCGCAGCTTTGCAATTCTTAAATTACAGGACAAATTGAAGAACATAATAGCTACTTGCAGTATATTGACATAAGAGATTCTGATGTGTTTCCTTAACAGTATGCCATAGCATTCTACCATTACCTAGGACTTTTTTTTTTTTTTGGCGGGGGGTCATGACTTGGTCATCTTAATAAATTCAACTTCTTTCCCTATACGGCAGATTAATCTGACTGGTATTAGGATTTTTCTACTTTAGTTATTGTCAGTTGAAATATATTTTGACTGTTGAAATCTTCATAGCAAGTTTGATGAAATTTATTTTTTAAATTTTCTTAAGTATATTTCTGTCCCGTTGGCATGTTAACAAATACAGAAACCCAAAAGACCCCAAAACCTAGTGTAATCCCTTTTCAATCAAAGCATGAGGATTCATCTTCATATTCACATTGTACGAATGCTTGGTAGGCTTTGTCAGGCTTGCATATAATCAATTATATATGTCCCTTTTCTTTTAGAGTCTCCTGATAAAGATGGTCTTCTGAAGGTAATTACTTTTATATTTCTATCTTGAATATTAACTACATATATTTGAAGTATACATTATCTATTAATTTTTGTGTTTCCAAACCCATTTAGCCTACCTGTGGAAGGAAAGTTTCTCTTCCAAATAAAGCCTTAGAATTAAAGGACAGAGAAACACTCAAAGCAGGTAAATTTTGTAATTTAAATTTTAATCTGGAATTAAGAATATTAAACTATTTGAAATGCCGAGAGCCTTTTATTCCCAATGTTGTTTTCTTTAGAAAATTTGATGGGAAAATTTGATACAAATAATGCAAATGTTAGTATTTATGTTTGAGAAAATGTCATTTAGAAGCATAAGATTTAGAGATAAAAAAAATTCAGCTTTGCCTCATGTGGATATCTGTCCAGCAGCCTGCAGTGCAATGGGGCCTTGTCTTTGTTCCCAGGTGGATCGGCAGGTTGAGAAATAATAGACACAGACAAGATAGTGAAAGCTGGGTCCAGGGGAATCACAGCCTTGTGTTCCCGTGGTGCCAACAATTCACTGGATATACCCGCATTTACTATTAAGTTTAGTGAGGGTGGGGGTGGGTTAATGAGGGATTTAGGATCATTTGATTATGAGGTGAGATGGTCACATGGGGGTGAAGTAATTCTTTAGCTAACATCTGTATGTTAGCTAAATACAGTACACAGGGATAAGAATTTACAATATAGTGTGTGCATCGGTAATTTCTAACAGAGCCTTAAAAAAGAAACAGTCTTTCTATAACCTATGATTAGCAAGATATTAATCAGCAGTAACAGTTGCAGCAAAAGCTGGTTAGAAACAATCCATAGAAACAGGATGTGAAGCTAGACAACTGGTTAGACCAGAAATTCTCAGGAGTATGCCTTAACCCTAAAGAGGCCTAGAAGAGCCGTGGCAAGATGAGGGCGTTCACAGCACTATCTTATCCATATGGACAGGCGCCCCCCATGCATCTGTTTATAGGCTCTCCACAAGGGTGGCATTCCATTCCCAGAGCTATGAACATATGCGTTTCTGGGATAGGAATCTTGGTGATGTAAAACCTCCCTGACTGCACATCCATTCACAGGCTCTCTGCAGGGGGAAACACATCATGTGCTGTTGGCTCATTCTGGCAGTCCAACCTGGCATTGTCTTTACACAATCCTGCATGCAATTTTGTATTTACAATAATCAGGAGCATTGCATCTTTCATTCCATAGCAATAGTTTCAGGGAGTCATCCTACAGTTGACATGTTAACAAATAAAATAACCCAAAAGACCCCAAAACCTAGTGTAATCCCTTTTCAATCAAAGCATGAGGATTCATCTTCATATTCACACTGTATGAACGTTTGGTAGGCTTTGTCAGGCTTGCATATAATCAATTATATATGTCCCTTTTCTTTTAGAGTCTCCTGATAAAGATGGTCTTCTGAAGGTAATAACTTTTATATTTTTATCTTGATTATTACCTACATATTTTATGAAGTATACATTATCTATTAATTTTTGTGTTTCCAAACCCATTTAGCCTACCTGTGGAAGGAAAGTTTCTCTTCCAAATAAAGCCTTAGAATTAAAGGACAGAGAAACATTCAAAGCAGGTAAACTTTGTAATTTAAATTTTACTCTGGAATTAAGAATATTAAACTATTTGAAATGCTGAGAGCCTTTTATTCCCAATGTTGTTTTCTTTAGAAAATTTGATGGGAAAACTTGATACAAATAATGCCAATGTTAGTATTTATGTTTGAGAAAATGCCATTTAGAAGCATAAGAATTAGGGATTTAGAAAAAAATTCTGCTTTACGTCATGTGGTTCTTCTTTAATATCCCGATAGTGTAAAGTTTCCAATTTGCAATTTCTGTACGTGCTCGGTTTTAAGGCAGGTGAATTTTGAAACTGTGAAATATTTTCAGTGGTTCAAATGCTGATTGGAATTCTGATCTTTACTTTGAGGAAAGTTTCACTTGCTGACGTGACAGTTGTGAGTGTTGTCACTCTGAGAATCTAAAGAAAATCAGTTTCTTGTTTTTCTGATTAGGTGACTGAGAGTGTGTGTGTGTGTGTGTGTGTGTGTGTGTGTGTGTGTGTGACATATAATTTTTAAAAATCACTACTTGATGACTCTTTGCTAGACACACTGTTTTAGAAGTGTGACTCTAAAGCTTTTGGCCTTGGTGTCTTTTTATGCTACTGTAATTAATTGCCTAGAGGTACAAAACAGCCTGAATTAATTTTTGTTGTCATTCCCATGCATGTTTAAATCATGTTACAACAGGCTGTGCACGGCGGCACATGCCTGTAATCCTGGCAATTTAGGAGACCAAGGTGGGCAGATTACTTAAGGTCAGGAGTCGCAGACGAGCCTGGTCAACACAGTGAAACCCCATCGCTACTGAAAATAACATACAATAGCCGGTTGTGGTGGTGGGTGCCCGTAATCTCAGCTACTCTGGAGGCTGAGGCAGGAGAATCGCTTGAACCCATGAGGCAGAAGTTGCAGTGAGCCAAGCTTGTGCCACTTTAGCCTGAGTGACAGAGTGAGACTCCATCTCAAAAAGCAAACAAACAACCATAAATTCACAAGATATGTGTGTGGTTCTGACTATGTGTAGAGTTTGTTTTCACGTCTTAAATTTTCTTTTTTTTTTAAATTTTGATATGGCGTCTTGCTGTCTCGCCCGTCTCATTGTCTTGCCCAGGCTGGAGAGCAGTGGTGTGATCTTGGCTCACTGCAAGCTCCACCTCCCGGGTTCACGCCATTCTCCTGCCTGGGCCTCCCAAGTAGCTGGGAATCCAGGCGCCCACCACAACGCCTGGCTCATTCTTTGTATTTTTAGTAGAAACGGGGTTTCACCATGTTAGCCAGGATGGTCTCGACCTGCTGACCTTGTAATCCACCCACCTCGGCCTCCTAAAGTGCTGGGATTAGAGGCGTGAGCCACCGCGCCCGGCCCAGAGTCTTTTTACACTAGTACCATTTATTGCCTAGAAGTAACCGATATTCTAAACTACTTTTTTAAAGTATTCTTATGCATGTTTAAACATTTTCCAACATGTGTACGTGGTCATATTTAATATGTAAAATTTTTTTCAACTTCTAATGCATACATGGTTGTACAGTGTAATTTTTGGCAACATTCTGTTTTGATCAGCATTATAATTTTTAGAGACGTCCATAAAGGACACAATTAACTGTCTTTTTAAATATCAGATTGTTTATAAAATTCCATTAAGTACATAATTATTATGCTGATAAATAATGAATAAAAATGAAAACATGAAAATTTCAGAGTCTTTAAGTTAGTTATATGTACTGACTTTTTAGTTGTGAGAAAGTAAAACTAAAATATTTAAAGTATCTCCTTGTGCAATCATACATTCCACTAACAATTTGAACTGCGACCCACAGATTATTAGAGCTATGGTACCGCAACACATTAGATCTCTGAAACGATCCAGGGTACACTTCTAAACATGAGTGAAAATGGTGGCATACCAAAGTATGATTTTAGTTTCTTGGTTCCTCTGCATGAAATGTGAACTTTAGGGATGCTGAGATCACACGTTAAATTTACTTTTAAAAATCAGATACACAGTTGATGGATGTCAAATGATAAACGTACCTTTAACGATGATACAGTCTTTTAGGCTTTAGTTGTGCATGTTTGCTTTTTTCTTTAACCTGATTCAAATAGTTGTAATGTGTACTTTTGGTTGATAAAGAAAGCTGAACGTTATTTTTGGTATAAGTTCATTTTCTGTCTCATTGGCCTGAGAGCTCCTCAAGTCTTGTGTGGGCCTTGATTTTATCCTATAACATGTGGGGATGTGAGATTACTTAGGGCAATTATTTTTTCCTATACATTTCTGATGTTTCTCCTAGTTGTCACAAGCTGACTCTGAAGACATTGTTGAGTTAGGGAAGAACTATGTCATTGTAATTAAAGCACTTCTTAATTTATATGCAATAAAAGTTTTTTAAGCTTATCTTCCTAAAACATATAGACACCCAAAACACACCCAATATACTGTCATGGCATATTGAAATGTAAAAGTGTTGGACATATAGTTTACTAACATCAGAAAGTTAATATCCCTAAAAAATCTTGTTCGTTGATAAATCATCTTTTTTGAAGAACTGTGTAATAGAGATTGCAGAGTCAATCAAACTAAGTAATACTAGAAAATAAAAATTTACAAAGAAGTGAGAGATGATAGGTAATTAAAGTTTTCTGAATGAACAGCAAGTATAGGACACACTGTGTTTCACGGGAGAAGAGGATATGACTGCTTTGTGAAGAAATAATTCTAGGAGTTAGTCAAATTTCTATTTTTCTGCATTCTAACGAATGATACAATGTTAATTTTCCGATTTTTTTAGATTTCAATTCTAACGGATTGACTATAGAAGTAGTGATTGTAATCAACAAAAAGAATATACGGGCTACAGAGGAATAACCGCAGATTCGTGAATGAAAGTAGATTTATATATGTTTTTAAAGTTTATAGTAGAGAAATGTTCTCATGAATGTATCTGTGATTAACCTTTTATAGCTCAGATGTTCCAATCAGAATCCAAGCAATAGGACGATGAAGAACATTCTTGGGATTTTGAGGTACTGTGTATTATTAATTTTCTTTAATACTAGTATTGCATGATACAAAAACATAAAAGCAGAGGCTTAGACTTTATTTTCTCACCTCTGCATATGTCACTCCCAAATTATTTTCGATATTTTTCAGAATACGCTTAATAGATGACTGCTTCATAGTGAAATTCTGCTAATTTGTAGGCTTAATTTAAGAAGCCGGTGTGGTATAGTGTAAAAAATAAGGCTTAGAAGTCACTAGAAATTCACATGGGATCTGAAGCAAGTTTGTCTAAAAGCGAAAGAATTACACTGAGTCCAGCTGTGGGCAAATTTATGATTCTGTGGTGTATCTAGATGTGCAAAAGTTCTAACTGGATTCATAGAGAGACAGTTTAAACTGCAGTATTGTAAAAGTTGGGACCTGAAAAGTTAATGCCTGGGACTTGAATATATTGACATTTCTGTATTGTTCAGTATAGATCTGAGGGAACATTTCAGGAGAAAGAGGAGCATGAGGACTAGGAAACCTTGTGGGACTACAGTAACAAGAGTATTGGTTGAGTAATCTTTTGAAAAATATAAATTATTTTCACAAGTAGAACTCCTCGAGTCCCTTTGTGGCAGGCAGTCAAGCTGCAGCAGCATGAGCGTGAAATAATAGTGATGTATTTTAAGGTCACAACTGTGGAAAGACATGGAAAATATCTGACCTCTTAGAAACAAGCAGCTGCTGCCTGGTGGTAAGAGCAAAGGGTGGAAGTCAGTAGACAAGTAGATTTTATCTGATTTGTCGTCAGACAAAAAGACTTTAATATTTGTTGGCTTTCATTTAGACATGACATAATTTCTTTTCTTACTGCATTTACATTCTCTTCAAGCACTTTTTCTATCAGCATAAATTTTGTCAAAAACATGTTGCTTGTTTTAAGCCCCTGTTTACCAAAATAAAGCAGCTTTTTAAACATTCCGTGCATGCATTACATGACAGACTCTAAAAGTTCTCCTCACGGCATGCATCATTTTTAACACTAAACAATTCTATGATCATGAATATTTTAAATGTTTAATGCAGTATGTGTTATGGCTAGTAGCAAGTGTATTGTATTTTGTTTGAAATGGCATATTTACTTTTAATGAGGACTACAACACAAGTTAGATATTTTTAAGAGAGTTACTTTCTGAAATATGCACGAGTGAATTCTTTCGTGAGTGTGATTTGTTTTTCCTGCTCAGTAACCAAGTTAATAGCCTCATGAACGTAAAGGTAAGTTGATGTGGAGAGTGTTATGTGAGGTTTTCTATCAGAATGTTTTGGGTTTCAACACATGTCTGCTCTTAAGTCGAATTGTTTGTAAAGTAGGAAACTGTGTTTTTAGAAAAGATTTTAAGTAGGAACTTTTGATACTCTTCATTATTGGGATTTCTCCATTGAAATTATTTATTGATACTACTTTTAACAGAGTTTCCTTGAGACTCTCTTACAGAATGATGTGTGTTTACCCAAGGCTACACATCAAAAAGAATTTGATACCTTAAGTGGAAAATTAGAAGGTAAGAACCATATTTTATTTAAAAAGTCATTTGACCAAATGTTTCTCTGAACTGATGAGGAGGGATATCCCCTAATAGCTGAAGAAAATTACCTCCTGAATGCAAAGCATGGAAAAAAAGAGAAGTGAAATGGTGATAAGTTACATGTCTTATCATGTGTTGGCAGCAGACTACATTGAGAGTGCTGGAAAGGAACTGAATTATTAGTTTGAATTCAAGGTATTCCAAGAGCTGAGGAAAATGAGAAAATAAGAAAGGAGAAAGTAGTAAAAGAGGAAATGAAGATCGAGAAAGACAGAGAGTACAGAGAGGACGGGAAGGAACAAGAGGCAGGTTTATATAATGGAGGATGGTAAAATGAAATGATTCTTTAGGAAAAGATCGGGTATGGTTAGAAATTTGGGAAGAATATAAAGTGACTTTCTAGTGCCAAAACATACCAGAGAATTACAGCAAAAATATTCTGACTCTTCCTGTCTTTCTCACTGGTGGGAAGCCATTAGGGATGGAAGCAGCTGACCATGGAGAGCTGTGTTCTATTTGCAATAGTTGAGAATAAGCATATATGCACGGCCTCACATGTATATAATTCGTCATATACACTCCGTATAGACCATAAGTTTTCAAACTTTAGAAAATCATCTGAAAACCTTGTTAATAATTCACACTGTGATTCAGCCGACTAGGGATTCTGCATTTTTAGTAAGTTGTCAGGCGATGCTGATGCTGGTGGTCCTTGGACCTCAGACCGAGTAGCAAGAGGAGAGTCCTTTCATGGGAAAAATGTGGAAAAAGAGTAATTGGATAGAGGGTCAAGAGGAGAGGCCTTTCATGGGAGAAATGTGGAAGAAGAGTAATTGGATAACGGGTCAAGACAGAAAAGGTTAGGAGAAAGCGTTATGTTGCTCTTACTTTTGAGTATGTTTTTAGCCAGAGAAGAAGAAAAAAAATTCTGAATTTATTGCTTGAATACCTAAATTGTTCTTATTCATAGGTATTGTACTGATTTTAACATAGAAAATGTTATTAATATTTAATAAGTCTGTTGCAACTAAATTTAAAACAAATATATCAATATTGAAAGCTTATTATATTTGCTATTCCTGATGAGTTTTGTACATCTTTCTCCATGAGTGGATCAAGGAATATTGAGATGGCTAAGCTACAAATTACAAAAATGTTGGCATACCGTTATACCATATGGGTATGAAAATTAGTGGATATTTATATTTAGTATTATTCTCTAAGTATTTATCCAAGCTGATCAATTCATAACACTTTCACTGCTGAGATGTCAGTTCTACATTCAGCTGAACTCTCCTCCAAACTTTTTACCTTCTCAGTGACAGGACGTATTAAAGAACATGATGAATGTTTGTAATGTAATGATATAAATTATTATAATGTGTTGCATTAAAGACACATGGTGTAGCATTCTACGTTCAGCTTTTGCATTTATTTTCTCAGTGTCACGAGTTGCTCCTCTGATTCAAGATCACTTATCTCCTCATCACTCAGCATATACACATTGGCATTAACACTTTTTGCAAAAACCACATATAAATGTTTGTAGAATGTTCTTGTCATTCCACAGCGATTTTTTATTTTTTTGTTCAGCGATTAGCTCGTTTTTCATTTATTTCAAGATTTCAGGCCGGGCGCTGTGGTTCACGCCTGTAATCCCAGCCCTTTGGGAGGCAGAGGCATGCAGATCACGAGGTCAGCAGATCGAAACCATCCTGGCTAACATGGTGAAACCGCGTCTCTATGAAAAAATACAAAAAATTAGCCAAGCATGGTGGTGGGTGCCTCTAGTCCTAGCTACTCGGGAGGCTGAGGCAGGAGAATGTGAGAACCCATGAGGCAGAGATTGCAGTGAGCCAAGATCGTGCACCTACACTCCACCCTGGGTGACAGGGCCAGACTCTGTGAAAAAAAAAAAGAATTTATTTATTGTGGCACTATTCACAATAGCAAAGACTTGGAACCAAACCAAATGTCCAACAACGCTAGACTGGATTAAGAAAGTATGGCACATATACACCATGGAACACTACGCAGCCATAAAAAATGATAAGTTCATGTCCTTTGTAGGGACATGGATGAAACTGGAAACCATCATTCTCAGCAAACTATCACAAGGACAAAAAACCAAACACTGCGCGTTCTCACTCATAGGTGTGAATTGAACAATGAGAACACATGGACACAGGAAGCGGAACATCACACTCCAGGGACTGTTGTGGGGTTGGAGGAGGGATAGCATTAGGAGATATACCTAATGCTAAATGACGAGTTAATGGGTGCAGCACACCAACATGGCACATGTATACATATGTAACAAACCTGCACATTGTGCACATGTACCCTCAAACTTAAAGTATAATAATATTAAAATAAAAAAATAAAGAAAACATTTCTGACTGTGCATTTTTACTTTGCACTACGTTTAATTAGACTCTCTTCATGATGACTCAAAAGCAACATAAATATAATTACAGATGTCAACAAGGCTTTGTTTAAGTGTATGTCTTACTTCACGCTACATTAGAAATTAAAAGTGAAGTACTTAAAATGCAAGGATTCACAGCCATACATTTCAATAGCCATTACAAATGTGGCTCACTAATCTTTAGAGCCATGCCATGTGACCTGTCCTGACTCTAAAAAACTCCAGTGTACACCTTTATAAAAATAAAAGTAATAAAAAAATAACGAAGGTAGTATTCCCCTGCTTCCTTCCTCTGCATGGATTTTGAACTTCAGGGGTAATCAGATCACAATTTAGAACCAGAGTTTTCAACCATACATAGGATTCCTAAATGCCAAGTGATAAACGGTTCGTTGATGATGAGATAGCTCTGAATGTTTCATCTCTGCATGTTTTGCTTTTTTATCTTGTCTTAGAAAGGTCAAAGCCAGCTATTTTCTTCATAAAGGAAAATATTTCGGTTACATATTCATTTCATATCACATGACACTCTGCTTTCTTTGCACTTAGTGAGGATGTACATTTATCATATTTTTACCTAAAACAAACAGATGTATTAATGGTATCATTTCTTATATATGAAATTCTGAGGTTTCTTCAGTGCTTCAGAAGTAAAGTTTAAAGATATTAATAAATCGAGAATGACCTTCTCATCGTAATTAAGGCAGGTTTTTATTTAAAGTGTGTTGAATACACTTTTAAGCACTTTTTTTCTAAAACACCTACCTGCAATACGGTCATGTATTTAGCCTTAAAATGCTTGGACATACATTTTTTGTGTTTTAGAGAGTTTATATCCCTGAAGTGTCTTCATTATTGATCAATCATCTCTCAAGGGAAACAGCATATATACTTGATATGTCTAAATATATTAAAGTATGTTGTACTGAAAAATAAAAAAGTAGAGAAAAATGAGAGATTAAGCATGTTTTATTCATATTATTTGATGAAAGAAGATATATTTCTATGTCAAAGAAATGTCTGTTTTTTCTTGAAGCTAAGTTTTTTGTAAGAGCTTTTTCATAACAGTGTTTTAACTACTCGCATGGTATAACAAATAGAATTAGTTTTAGCAACAAAATAATAAAACTGTTATTTTCAGTAACCATTATTCCAACATTGAAATATGCAGGTTAATGATATATAAAAATTCTCTGGAAATTGACTTCTAATTTTTGATACTTTCATATTAGGTGTTTTTTCTTTTTTTTAATTATACTTTAAGTTTTAGGGTACATGTGCACATTGTGCAGGTTAGTTACATATGTATACCTGTGCCATGCTGGTGCGCTGCACCCACCAACTCGTCATCTAGCATTAGGTATATCTCCTAATGCTATCCCTCCCCCCTCCCCCCACCCCACAACAGTCCCCAGAGTGTGATATTCCCCTTCCTGTGTCCATGTGATCTCATTGTTCAATTCCCACCTATTAGTGAGAATATGCGGTGTTTGGTTTCTTGTTCTTGCGATAGTTTACTGAGAATGATGATTTCCAATTTCATCCATGTCCCTACAAAGGACTTGAACTCATCATTTTTTATGGCTGCATAGAATTCCATGGTGTATATGTGCCACATTTTCTTAATCCAGTCTATCATTGTTCGACATTTGGGTTGCTTCCAAGTCTTTGCTATTGTGAATAATGCTGCAATAAACATACGTGTGCATGTGTCTTTATAGCAGCATGATTTATAGTCCTTTGGGTATATATCCAGTAATGGGCTGGCTGGGTCAAATGGTATTTCTAGTTCTAGATCCCTGAGGAATCGCCACACTGACTTCCACAATGGTTGAACTAGTTTACAGTCCCACCAACAGTGTAAAAGTGTTCCTATTTCTCCACATCCTCTCCAGCACCTGTTGTTTCCTGACTTTTTAATGATTGCCATTCTAACTGGTGTGAGATGGTATCTCATTGTAGTTTTGATTTGCATTTCTCTGATGGCCAGTGATGATGAGCATTTTTTCATGTGTTTTTTGGCTGCATAAATGTCTTCTTTTGAGAAGTGTCTGTCCATGTCCTTCGCCCACTTTTTGATGGGGTTGTTTGTTTTTTTCTTGTAAATTTGTTTGAGTTCATTGTAGATTCTGGATATTAGCCCTTTGTCAGATGAGTAAGTTGTGAAAATTTTCTCCCATTCTGTAGGTTTCCTGTTCACTCTGATGGTAGTTTCTTTTGCTGTGTGGAAGCTCTGTAGTTTAATGAGATCCCATTTGTCAATTTTGTCTTTGGTTGCCATTGCTTTTGGTGTTTTAGACATGAAGTCCTTGCCCATGCCTATGTCCTGAATGGTAATGCCTAGGTTTTCTTCTAGGGTTTTTATGGTTTTAGGTCTAACGTTTAAGTCTTTAATCCATCTTGAATTGATTTTTGTATAAGGTGTAAGGAAGGGATCCAGTTTCAGCTTTCTACATGTGGCTAGCCAGTTTTCCCAGCACCATTTATTAAATAGGGAATCCTTTCCCCATTGCTTGTTTTTCTCAGGTTTGTCAAAGATCAGATAGTTGTAGATATGTGGCATTATTTCTGAGGGCTGTGTTCTGTTCCATTGATCTATATCTCTGTTTTGGTACCAGTACCATGCTGTTTTGGTTACTGTAGCCTTGTAGTATAGTTTGAAGTCAGGTACTGTGATGCCTCCAGCTTTGTTCTTTTGGCTTAGGATTGACTTGGCGACACGGGCTCTTTTTTGGTCCCATATGAACTTTAAAGTAGTTTTTTCCAATTCTGTGAAGAAAGTCATTGGTAGCTTGATGGGGATGGCATTGAATCTGTAAATAACCTTGGGCAGTATGGCCATTTTCACGATATTGATTCTTCCTACCCATGAGCATGGAATGTTCTTCCATTTGTTTTATCCTCTTTTATTTCATTGAGCAGTGGTTTGTAGTTCTCCTTGAAGAGGTCCTTCACATCCCTTGTAAGTTGGATTCCTATTTATTTTATTTTCTTTGAAGCAATTGTGAATGGGAATTCACTCATGATTTGGCTCTCTGTTTGTCTGTTATTGGTGTATAAGAATGCTTGTGATTTTTGTACATTGATTTTGTATCCTGAGACTTTGCTGAAGTTGCTTATCAGCTTAAGGAGATTTTGGGTTGAGACAACGGGGTTTTCTAGATACACAATCATGTCGTCTGCAAAGAGGGACAATTTGACTTCCTCTTTTCCTAATTAAATACCCTTTATTTCCTTCTCCTGCCTCATTGCCCTGGCCAGAACTTCCAACACTATGTTCAACAGGAGTGGTGAGAGAGGGCATCCCTGTCTTGTGCCAGTTTTCAAAGGGAATGCTTCCAGTTTTTGCCCATTCAGTATGATATTGGCTGTGGGTTTGTCATAGATAGCTCTTATTATTTTGAGATATGTCCCATCAATACCTAATTTATTGAGAGATTTTAGCATGAAGGGTTGTTGAATTTTGTCAAAGGCTTTTTCTGCATCTATTGAGATAATCATGTGTTTTTTGTCTTTGGCTCTGTTTATATGCTGGATTACATTTATTGATTTGCGTATATTGAACCAGCCTTGCATCCCAGGGATGAAGCCCACTTGATCATGGTGGATAAGCTTTTTGATGTGCTGCTGGATTCGTTTTGCCAGTATTTTATTGAGGATTTTTGCATCAATGTTCATCAAGGATATTGGTCTAAAATTCTCTTTTTTTGTTGTGTCTCTACCTGGCTTTGCTATCAGAATGATGCTGGCCTCATAAAATGAGTTAGGGAGGATTCCCTCTTTTTCTATTGATTGGAATAGTTTCAGAAGGAATGGTACCAGTTCCTCCTTGTACCTCTGGTAGAATTCGGCTGTGAATCCATCTGGTCCTGGACTCTTTTTGGTTGGTAAGCTATTGATTATTGCCACAATTTCAGAGCCTGTTATTGGTCTATTCAGAGATTCAACTTCTTCCTGGTTTAGTCTTGGGAGAGTGTATGTGTCGAGGAATTTATCCATTTCTTCTACATTTTCTAGTTTATTTGCGTAGAGGTGTTTGTAGTATTCTCTGATGGTAGTTTGTATTTCTGTGGGATCGGTGGTGATATCCCCTTTATCGTTTTTTATTGCATCTACTTGATTCTTCTCTCTTTTTTTCTTTATTAGTCTTGCTAGCGGTCTATCAATTTTGTTGATCCTTTCAAAAAACCAGCTCCTGGATTCATTAATTTTTTCAACAGTTTTTTGTGTCTCTATTTCCTTCAGTTCTGCTCTGATTTTAGTTATTTCTTGCCTTCTGCTAGCTTTTGAATGTGTTTGCTCTTGCTTTTCTAGTTCTTTTAATTGTGATGTTAGGGTGTTTTTTCTTTTGTTGAGACAGTCTCACTCTGTCATCCAGGCTGGAGTGCAGTGGCATGATCTTGACTCACTGCCACCTGGGCCTCCTGGGTTCAAGTGATTCTCACAGCTCCGGCTCCCAAGTAGCTGGGGTTACAGGCATGTGCCACCATACCTGGATGATTTTTGTATTTTTTGTGGAGACAGGGTTTCGCTATTTTGGCCAGGCTGCTTTGGAACTCCTGGCCTCGAGAGATCCGCCCTCTTCAGGCTTCCAAGGTTCTGGAGTTACAGGCATGAGCCATGGCACCTGGACTGTATTAGTTTGTTGATGGGTATGCTTTGACTTTTCTGTATAAGTGGATCACGAAATTTTAAGAAGACTAAACTAGAGAACCCCAGAAATGTAAAAATACTCGTATTTCACAGAGGTTCAAAAATAAATATATTTATAAACTTTTATTCTATAAGTAGTATTTATGCTGATGAATTTAGAACATTCTCTGCAATGATAAGTAAATTGTACCTTTGAATTCTCATCGGAGCTTTGCAATTCTTAAATTACAGGACAAATTGAAGAACATAATAGCTACTTGTAGTATATTGACATAAGTGATTCTGATGTGTTTCTTTAATAATATGTCATAGCATTCTACCATTAGCTTGGACATTTATTTATTTATTTTTGGTGGAGGGGTCATGTCTTGGTCATCTTACTAAATTCAACCTCTTTCCTTATGTGACAGCTTACTCTTACTGGTATTAGGATTTTCTGCTTTAGTTAATGTCACTTGAAATATATTTTGACTGTTGAAATCTTCACAGCATGTTTGAGGAAATTTATTTTTTAAATTTTCTTAGGTATATTTCTGTCACGCTGGCATGTTAACAAACACAATAACCCAAAAGACCCCAAAACCTAGTGTAACCCCTTTTCAATCCAAGCGTGAGGATTCATCTTCATATTCACACTGCATGAATGTTTGGTAGACTTTGACAGGCTTGCGTATAATCAATTATATATGTCCCTTTTCTTTTAGACTCTCCTGATAAAGATGGTCTTCTGAAGGTAATAACTTTTATATTTTTATCTTGAATATTAACTACTTATTTTATGAAGTATACATTATATAGTAATTATTGTGTTTCCAAACCCATTTAGCCTACCTGTGGAATGAAAATTTCTCTTCCAAATAAAGCCTTAGAATTGAAGGACAGAGAAACATTCAAAGCAGGTAAATTTTGTAATTTTAATTTTACTGTGGAATTAAGAACATTAAAATATTTGAAGTGCCAAGAGCCTTTTTATTCCCAATGTTGTTTTCTTTTCAAAATTGGATGGGGAAATTTGACACAAATAATACCAATGTTAGTATTCATGTTTGAGAAAATGCCATTTACAAGCGTAAGATTTAGAGATTTAAAAAAAATTCTACTGTACCTCATGTGGTTCTTCTTTAATATCCTGATACTATAAAGTTTCCAATTTGCAATTTCTATACATGCTCGGTTTTGAGGCAGGTGAATTTTGACACTGTGAAATATTTGCAGTGGTTCAAATGCTGATTGGAATTCTGATCTTTACTTTGAGGAAAGTTTCACTTGCTGACATGACAGTTGTGAGTGTTGTCACTCTGAGAATCTAAAGAAAATCGGTTTCTTGTTTTTCTGATTAGGTGATTGAGTGTGTGTGTGTGTGTGACTTATAATTTTTAAAAATCATTACTTGATGACTCTTTGCTAGACACGGTGTTTTAGAAGCGTAACTCTAAAGCATTTGGCCTTAGTATCTTTTTATGCTACTGTAATTAATTTCCTAGAGGCACAAAACAGCCTGAATTAGTTTTTGTTGTCATTCCCATGCATGTTTAAAACATGTTACAACAGGCTGTGCACGGCGGCACATGCCTGTAATCCTAGCATTTTGGGAGACCAAGGTGGGCAGATAACTGAAGGTTAGGAGTTCCAGACCAGCCTGGTCAACATAGTGAAACCCTATCTCTACTAAAAATAACAAACAATAGCTGGTTTTGGTGGTGGGTGCCTGTAATCTCAGCTACTCTGGAGGCTGAGGCAGGAGAATCGCTTGAACCTAAGAGGCAGAAGTTGCAGTGAGCAAAGATCGTGCCACTCCAGCCTTGGTAACAGAGTGACACTCCATCTCAAAAAGCAAACAAACAAACAAACAAAACCCCAGAAATTCACAACATATGTGTGTGGTTCTAGACTATGTGTAGAATTTGTTTTCATGTCTTAAATTTTCAATAAATAGTTGTACACTGTACATATTATTTTGGAACTTCCTTTTTTTTTGCTTATCTTATATTTTAGGTGTACTCAATACAGTTAGCTCCGCTTTGATTTCAGGCTTCATAGTTTGTGATTTTAACTCTAAAACACATTTAATTAGGCTGTCTTTCATAGCCACTAAAAGTCAACATCAAATGATAGCTTATATCAGAGAGCTTTTATTGAAGTGGGAGCATTTACTGCTTCAACTAATATTAGAAATTAAAACGAAAATATTTAAAATACTGGAATGCATTTTAAATATTTGTGTTTTTGGAGATGGAGTTTCCCTCTTTTGCCCAGGCTGGAGTGCAACGGTGTGATCTTACCTCACTACCCTCTCTGCCTCCTGGACTCAAGTGATTCTCCTCCATCAGCCTCTGAGTACAAATACTCATTTGTAAACCAGTCACTAGAAAAGCAAATGTTCTTACTGTGATTAGCTTAGAATAATGATTTCTCATTTTGTAGATGAGATGGGAGTAAAGGAATAATAAATATGTAAATAAACTTGTGTTTCTGCTGTAAGAAAGAAAAAATAATTTCTATGCATTGGCAGCCAGCAATGTTTTCTGCACGGATTCATTGGAATTGTTTGAGCAGGGGAGTCCCAAGATTAGATTTAAGTATCAGAGCATTCTGGTCATGGTATAAACCAGGCACTGGCAAACTTTTCCTGTAAAGTGCCAAACAGGAAATATGTTAGGTGATGTGGTCTCTATCACAGCTTTTCAACTCTACCATTGTAGCATGAAAGCAGTCATAGATAACATGTGAAGAAATAGGCGTGATTGTACTCCAATAAAACTTTGTCTAAAATCCATTTGGTAAGGTGAATTTGGAATTCCATAACCATGGGTGGTGGAATACAACAGTTTGCACTGTGTCCCTTAATTGAGGGACCGCGATACCAAGGCTGCACTAGCTTTAAGCAGCTTTTTCAATACTTTTATATACTGTTTCTTTTGTGCTGATAATTGTTGTCCCATGATGAAACTCTTGCCTGAACAATTTCCCCCAAACTTGGAAATCCTGAGCAGGCACCAATGACTTACTCGCTGCCTGCGCAGTTCTTTTCACCTTCATTTTTGAGGGGTCCATCACGATCCTTTTGCATCGTTTGTCTTGCCACCTGCCGGGTCCATCCTATGGACACTGACCTAAGTGATGGATGAGAGACGTATACTGAAACAGATATTTTGCCTGTCAGTGCAGCTAAGGGGTTCTGCTGCCTGAGTCTGCATTGTTGGCCTCGATAAGCCTGCAAAGTTCGCATTTATTTAATACAGATTAAATGACAAAGCTGTTGAGTAAACATCACTAGAGGGTAATTAAGATTGCCAACCCCCAGTACAAAGCAATCATGCACCCTCGGATGATCAAACTTTTGTCTTAGGACCACGTGAGTAAACAAGGTATTTAGATAAACTCCTCCACATTCCCTAGATATTTGCTCTATTGCTACCAACTCAAAGTAAAGAAGATTAGGCTGTTTTCAGCCAAATCATTTACTGAAGCTATGCAACCCCCCGGCCTTCCAAGAAGGTTTGTGTCTATTTCCTATAACTATCTTTATAATTTTTTTAACCACTTTGTCCGATCCCCTACAGGTAGGGTTGCTTTTTTCCTGTGAAAGCCATCAGTTAAGGGGCCATGTCTAACTAGGAAATATAAATATAAAATAAATAAGTTTGTATTTCCAGTTGCAATGGAAAGATAAAGCAAATGCAGAAAAGAGGTACAGTTAAGATGATTTAGTGATTATTGAGTTGAAAAAGCTACGGGAGAGAAGAAATTTCAGGTCATTCATAAGTTTCCACATGGGGAATGCTCATGGGGAAGGAGTAGGAAATTGTCAGGTCAACAGAAAAGTGCAAACAGTCATGGGACAGACCAACCGTTTTCTTTACATATTGAGTTCAATGAAACATTCATGTGGGATATTTTCAGTAGGTAATTGGTTTATACGTATTTCTAGCTGGAGATAGAACTCTGGTTGGAGATGCAGGCTTAGAATAATTTTATTATAATTATTAAGCAAAGCCATAGATCTCACTGAGCTTATCCATGATGCAGAAGATGTAGAATAAGAAGAAAGCCATTGACAAAATCCTGGGAGTATCAACATTTCACAGAGTCACAGGACTTGGTAAAGGAGACTGAGCAGTGGCTAATGAAAAGTACGAGAGGAGTCAGAGAAAGTGATGTTGCAAATTTCTTTTAAATATGAGAATTTCAGCAGTAAGATTATAACTGAAAAGTCAATTGGATTTAACTTACAAGTTCTTCAGTGGTAATCTGTTCAAAAGAATTATTTTAGAGTTGTTAGGTATAATGTTGATGTGGTTAATATTTCGGCGTCCAAGAGGAAATCTCCCAAGATCCTACCTAACTTTTTGCAACTAAAGCAGCATATATACACAGGGTCTAGGAAATTGTCTAGACTGGGGAGTACACATGCCAGCATTTTTCCAGAATTGTCAAAACCTAAGGGTCATGTGTGAGGAAAAGTGTTGTCTTTTTTATCTGCTTCTTGTGGAGAGTGGAGATCTGTATTGTTTCTCTCTCTCTCTCTCTCTCTCTCTCTCCCCCTCTCTCTCTCTCTCTCACACACACACACACACACACACACACACACACACAAGTACAGTAATTCATCCTTATCCAAGGCGGATATTTTCTAAGACACCCATTGAATGTCTGAAACTGTGGATAGTATGGAACCCTATACATCCATGCTTTTTTTCTTCTATAAGTGCATATTTATGATAAAGTTTAATTCATAAATTAGGCAGAGTGAGAGATTAACAAGAACTCATAATAAAATATAACAATAACAATATATTGTAATCAAAGTTAGGTGAATATGGTCCCTCAAAGTGTCTTGTATTGTACTCGCCCTTCTTTTTTGTGTGATGGCTGTGAGATGATATAATGCCTATGTGATGTGTTGAAGTCAGGTGAATGAGGTAGGAATTGTCATGTGGTGTTAGGCTACTAATTATTTCTTGCTGTCTGACCACACATCAGAAGGAGGATCATCTGCTTCATGTGACCCTAGATCATTGAGCCATGATAATGTTGATGGTTGGGATTCAGGAACAGACCATTTTGATGACTAATGGACAGATAGCATATACAAAGGGATGATTCATGACCTGGATGAAATGGAACAGGATGCCTTAATATTTCATTGTACTCCTTAGAATGACACATTATTTAGGACTTATGACTTGTATATTTCTGGAATTCCACATTTAATATTTTTGGACTATCATTGACTATGAGTAACTGAAATCACAGAAATTAAAGAGACCCAGATTTGCAACTGGTGTGTGAGGGAAGTCTTGTGAGACTGAGCACTCAGTCTGTGGGATCTGAGACTATTTCTAGATAGACAGTGTTGGAATTAAATAGAGGACAGTCAGCTGTTTTTTGCTACAGAATTCATTGCTTATTAGTTGGTGGAGAAAATCCTCCACACATTTGGTCGCAGATGTCTTCTGTTTTAATGATTTTGGTATGAGAGCAGAGGGAAATCATGTTGTGTGTGTTTCTTTCTACACATACAGCAGATAAGAGACTACTGTATACTCTGTTCTAACTGCTTCTAGTCCATTTGTCTAGAAATTATACTTTCTAAGTTTGACACTGTCCACTTATACTAATTCTTCTAATAATACAGTTTTCTGTCAGTCTTATAGGGTTCTGTTTGGATTATGACTATTGTACACTGTAGTTCACTTGCAGAGATCAAATTGTGATAAATTCCATTTTTCCTTGCATTTGAGAACTACAAAGGAGGGGAAATAAGCATTCTTAATGCATTAATTTCCTACCAATAGTATACTTAATAATAATTTTACTATAGTCTCAATGTATGGTCCCAAAAGAATGCTTTGTAACAAATCATCTGAGTCTTTGTAACAAAGTGTCAGAGTATTATGCTTTTTAAACCAAGACCTGAATCATGCATGAAAGTGTGCAGGATTCCTTTAAGTTAAGTTGAAGTCTTGCAATGTCTCCCAGGCTGCTTTCAGACTCCTGGGCTCCTCAGATGATCCTCCTGCCTCACCTTCCCAAGTAGCTGGGATTACAGGCATGTGCCATCGTGCCCTCTTATGTTTTTAATATTCTGTATTTTTTATTTGTATTTGTTGATTTAATGTATTTTACTCTTTTCTTTAATAGTGGATGTGAGTTCTGTAGAGTCCACATTCAGGTAAGACTTTGCGGTTTTTTAAAACGTATATGTTAACTCAGAAAATATAGAGAAAAGAAATCACTATCTGCTGAGTATTCTACTCTGGGCTATACAACGTATTATGTGCTTAATATTTATCATTTCACATAGTCATCACACAGCTTTGCAAAGCATCTGTGCTACTGTCACCTACTTTGTATTAATCAGGCAAATGTGATTCAGAGAGGTTGATTAATTGACCTATGATTTCATAGCTAAAAAGTAGCTGACCCTTGAGTTTGCCATCTGCTTACCTTGCTCCCTAATCCCTTCACTTCCCCCTCGGCATAGATGGATGGAGACCTGTGCATCACTAGGATCAAGATACAGGTCCAGATGGGATCAATTCACAAAGTCACATTTTGTTATATGTTAACTCTTTTTAGAGATTTCCCATAGAACACTGATTAATTCAAGACTTTGTTCTAACATGTTTAACTGTTAAAGTGGTAACCAGTACCTTGTTTTTATCGCCGTTTTTAGAGCAGATCTTACTTAGCTGTGGCCACAAGACATAGGCTTTTGTTTCATATGCAATACCAGGTAAATCCTATAGATGGATTATTTCACTTTTAGTGGAGAATATCTACATATAGATATGTTAATCATATTTAGAGACTATTTCTTATAGAATTCTCTATTTACTGACTTCTTAATTTAGTTCTTCTTCAAAGCATTCCCCTCTTAGTTGCATGCACTCTTCATTTTCTTTTCTAGAGTCTTTTCTCTTCTTTCATGACTTATTTATAATCTTTTCCTGATTACTTTCTTCTCTGCTTTCCTTGGTATTCTTTTCTTCTATTATTTTATTTCTTTCTGCCAGCCCCGTTTTTCTATAGCTAAAATTAAAGCACATGGAATTTTAGGATTTTTAGGACTCTTGGAGACTAATCAAAATACTTTCATATTTTAAACTCTATTTAATATCCTGGAAAAATTGTTGTTCACATGGAGAATCTGAAACTCAAAGTGACTTATTTAAATACAAGAGGTAGCAGAAGTAATATTTAAACTCATTTCAAAGCCCATTACTCTTGTTTTTATATCATCATGTAAGTGAGTGTTTGAATAATAGAAAGGAAAAGGGGATGGATCTGATTAAACAAATGGAAAGGGATAAGAATGGAATTAGCTGGAGAACCCAGTGGAAGTAGATAAGAATGGAATTATCAGGGAAAGGCCAAGTTTGAAGAGAAACAATCCCAGGATTGGTAGGAGTAAGGGTTTTATTTACCAAAGAGATCAGAATATTGGATCTTATGACGTTTGATGAAGATAAATTAGAGGACCAAAAACACAGAAGACATTGGGAGTTATCTAGAAAGGCATACTAAAATAGGGTTCAAAGAAGTCCTGAATAGGTTGCTGCTTTTTTTGCTTGTTTAATTGGAGGAATGGGCAAACTTCAAGATTTCTATTGAAAGATTTAGAAAAAAAGACCAACTCAGAAAAGTCTCCACAATCAGAATAGAAATGTCCTATTCTGTTCTTTCACCCCAAATCTCACAGGAGTGGCTTAGAGCCCCTTGAGTGCTAGGGGATTGAAGGTTGCTGAATTACATAGATCTGTGGCCTAAGGCAGGTGTCCCCTCCCGTTTGCCTCTTCTTCCAAGCCTCTGATGTCCTACCCATGTACATGTAAAGCAGGGGGAAGATTGGCTGTCAAATTAGTCATGGAGCTTCAGTTGGGTTTTTGGTAACATGACTGAGACTCCATTTAGTTGTTTTTCAGGAACAGGTAAATACAGAGCTTATTGGTTGGTCATTGAGTTTATCTTTTCAGTAATCTGTGCTTAGATGAGCTAAATGTTTAAAGGTTGGAGACTGCCATGAAGCTCTGCAGAAGAAAGATCTGGAAGTGGGAGACACTTTCACTATATATAGTGGCTCCCACTTCCTGATCTTTCTCTCTGTATATATAGTACTTAGAGAAATTCAACTATCAGGACTCAGTTTTTCTAGCAGTCTCTCTCCTTGGGTATAAGTACCTATGAAGATTTTTAAGGCTTTGCTAGTTTATGTAGACCTGAACAAGGAAGGACAATTATAAAATAAGTAGTTAGACTTTATTACTTTTAATATTTCAATTTTTGTGAGAAAACTATTCCCAATAACAAATATAGATTTGTATTTTGACATTTGTAGGTTCAGCTTTTCAACATTTCAGATATTTCAGGGCACTCTCTTGTAGCGTTTTAGGGTGAAGGGAAGCAACAAGGCCTTTTTAAGTGGTTTTTATGCCGAAAAACAAAGAATGTCATTTTCCAGTGACACAGATTAGTCTTTGAATCAGAGATAGACAATGGATAAGGGACAAGGTAACTGTACCTTTCTTCCTCATTTTAGGTTATCAAGTTTGTTCCAGTTTAGATATCAAAAGTTATGTCAGCCATTAAGTACATTTTCAGTTCACCATAGAGGACAGTTTGTGAGGACGAATTATACTCAGGGTATGCCAATTATATTGGCGGTCACTATTTTTTATGGAACTAAGAGTGAGTGTTCATTGGATGTTACAGGTTGGAGAGATAGAGTCGAAAATAGGTAAATACAATCTTTTTTAAAAACAGAGGGGCCGGGCGCCGTGGCTCACGCCTGTAATCCCAGCACTTTGGGAGGCTGAGGCGGGCGGATCATGAGGTCAGGAGATCGAGACCATCCTGGCTAACACGGTGAAACCCCGTCTCTACTAAAAATACAAAAAATTAGCCAGGCGCGGTGGTGGGCTCCAGCCCTAGCTACTGGGGAGGCTGAGGCAGGAGAATGGCGTGAACCCCGGGAGGCAGAGCTTGCAGTGAGCCCAGATCGCGCCATCTCACTCCAGTCTGGGCGACAGAGCGAGACTCCGTCTCAAAAAAAAAAACAACAAAAACCAGATGGCATATTTTAATTATGCCAAGAAACATGATTTAATATATCGAGGACTGATCTTTCCCCAGATTTTTTTTGTTCTCATTTTTTGGAGTGAGCACCAAGATATGAACTAGCAGATTTTCTTTTTAAATATATGAATTTGCTCATTTTTGTTTTATCTTTTTTCTCTAGTCTTTTTGGCAAACCGACTACTGAAAATTCACAGTCTACAAAAGTTGAGGAAGACTTTAATCGTACTACCAAGGTAAAATGGTCTCTTGTTAAATTGATTTTCTCAGTTGGAATCTAATTCTGTATAGTATTTACTTTTCATGTTTAGCAGTGGTGTATGTATCATAATTTCATGTTGGTAATATAAAGTTGGTCACATAAAAACATTTTATAGAAATATGAGTAGTTGATTTAAACAGTTTTTTTGTTTTTTGTTTTTGTTTGTTTGTTTTACTTCAGTAAATAACAAATGATTGGTAAATACTTTGAGGGTGTGAGGGCCAAAAACTGGAACGGGCTGTAGAATACATAGTGACAGCAACATTATATTAGAAAAAACGTGTCCACAATAGAGAATATATAAAATCTGGTAAAGGTTTCTTTGCATAAGTAAACTTACTGTGACTTTTAAAATTATTCTATTGTAACTTTAAAAAAACCTCATCCTTAAAATTATCTTTAATGGATCCAGTTACTTATTACAGTAATCAGGGAATCTGTCTGATAAAGTTCAGTTCTGAAACTGTGCCACATAGCATATAGGTTTTTTTGGCACATATTATTTTGATATCATGTAGTTTTTAGGAGAGAGCTTTTTATCAGTTTCTCTTCTTGGTTCTTTAATTAAACACCAAAATAATATTAGAAATTGTGAAAATTTATTTGGGCATGGTGGTGCATGCCTGTAGTTCCAGCTACCAAGGAGGGTGATGCAGGAAGATTGCTTGAGCCCAAGAGTTTGAGACCAGTGTGGGCACATAGTGAGAACTTATCTCTAATTTTGAATATAATTGTAGAAATTTAGAAATGTAAATTCTCTTTCTCAGAATCTGTATTATTAAGGCATGTGAGGATGTTTTCTAAGTTATTTCATTAAAAGTATACTTTAAATTCTTCAACTAAATGAAGAATGCAGGTTTCACCCCAAGTAAACAACCAGTTCTGGAAGCAGAGACTCTTAATAAGCATATGGTAAGATTTTAATTTCAGAGTTTTTAAATTGCACTTTTTAAACATATTGTTCAAAGATCTTTGATCACATTTGAAAATTTTAAATTTCAGAAGATTTTTTATTTAGTTATTTAAATAATTGTTTTGAAGCTCTTGCATCACTATGAGATACTGCAGGTTAGAAAACATACTTGTGTGCATCCTAGTGTACCCAGAATACAGTCTTGCCTGTAAAAAGCATTTTAAGAGGTTTTCAATGTGAATAAATAAGCAAATGAATTTTTATGTAATGGAATATTACAAGTAAGATAATATGCATAATATACCTTATAATTAAATCTAATGCGTTTCTAAAATATGGCTTAAATTTATATTTTCTTTTAATATTTAGAATGCATAAATTAACTTGTGTTATCTTAAGAAATTATGTCATAAATAAGAAGACAATAAATCAGAGATATGTAGTAAATAGGAAAGAAGATTACACTATATTTTCTAGTATCCTCCAAGTGGAGTTCAGATTTTAAAAAATTTAATATATTTTAGTCTCAACTCATGTTTTGTTTGTTTGCTTTTTGTTTTTTTTGAGATGGAGTCTTGCTGTGTCGCCCAGGTTGAAGTGCAGTGGCGTGATCTCGGCTGACTGCAACCTCTGCCTTCTTGGTTCAAGTAATTCTCCTGCGTCAGCCACCTGTGTAGCTGGGACAGCAGGTGCATGCCACCATGCCCAGCTGATTTTTGTATTTTTAGTAGAGACAGGGTGTCACCATGTTGCCCAGGATGGTGTCAATCTCTTCACCTCATGATCTGCCCTCCAAAGTCCTGGGATTACAGGCGTGAACCACCATGTCCAGCCGAAACTCATGTTCTTTTTTTTTTCTTTTTTGAGACGGAGTCTCGCTGTGTCGCCCAGGTTGGAGTGCAGTGGCGCAATGTGGGCTCACTTGCAAGCCCCGCCTCCCGGGTTCACACCATTCTCCTGCCTCAGCCTCCAGAGCAGCTGGGACTACAGGTGCCCGCCACCATGCCGGGCTAATTTTTTGTATTTTTAGTAGAGACGGGGTTTCACCGTGTTAGCCAGGATGAAACTCATGTTCTATTGAACATATCTTTTCAAGGAATACATTACTCTAAAATTCTGATTACCAATACTTTCTTCAGGTGAAAAGTTTATGAAACATTCCTTTTTAAAATTTTCTCTCTCTGTAGTAAGAATATTCTCGCTTTTAGGTATTGGCTGAAGACCATGTTTAACTAATTTTCTTATTATATAATATTAAAAATAAAATCTTTACTACACAAGTATTAACAAAATAACTAATTGTAGTGTAAATACTGATCAGCAATATTATTAACAAAAGTCTGTATTTTTTGTATTTCATCACATGTCTTCGCGTAGCTGTTTCTCCTTTTCTTTCACGACTGAAGCTCATGATTGACGGATCATGGCTCTTGTTTGTTTCTTCCGTCTCCTTCACCTTTTTAAAAATGATTTACCCGAGACTTTTTTCTCACAGAATACATTTCTTCAATGTCTGTTTTTGAGGGCATCTCTGTCTCAATTGTCAGCATATTTATTTACAGGTCTCTATTTAGTTGCTATGTATGATTTTCATTACTCAATCATTGCCCCCCCCCCATGATTTATTCTTTTTTTTCTCTGTTTCTTGGAAGAAGCAGAATTTATACAATTATTTATTAGCTTTTTGCCACACAGAATAGAAACAACCTATACCATTTCAATGCAAACCCAGTTAAATAAGGTACTATTAAAAACTAAACTCTCACATTTTTCCACACAAGAGGTAATTAATACAACTGTAAATTGTGAAGAGATATTTCAAAATATAACATGTAATTTTAAAATTTTAATTATTTCTACAGTACTATAAACTGTGTAAGAATAAATTTTTGTCGTAGGTAATTTTGTTTAAAAAAATAATGGATACCACCATATTTGTATAATAATAAATTAGATGAAGGGGATAATAGGAAATAATTCGTTGAAGAAGGGTAAGATAAACACAGAGACTACATGAGAGAGGATGAGACAGATTCTTATAAAAACACAGCAAAAATAGTGGTTTAAATGAGAGCAGGAACTCTCTAGAATAAAAGATATGATGTAAATTATTTAAAATAAAAATTAAGAAAACATAGCCAGCTAATAAAAGATAGCTCAGGTGTTTTTGAGTGACTTATAGCTGATTTTAATAAAAAGCTGACAGAAAATATAAGGACGAGTATAGGTAGGAGCAATTTGTTGTACTCTTTAAAATACCTAGTAGAGAATAATTTGAATGTTTCTAGCATAAAGGAAAGATAAATACTTAAGGTGATTAATATCTCAATTATTCTGATTTGATTATGTGAATGTATTAAGTGATGATATGTACCCCCAAAACGTACATTTATAGTGTGTCAACAAAAAAATTATAAACAAGGAACAAAAATTTAATTCTTACTTCTTTTAGTAACTTTATGTCTTATATTTAATCTAGTCGTACTTATAATTTTGTAGAATGCAAAGTGAAATCTGTTTTAGGCCTTGCCAACTTTATTGTGAATTATTACTTTTTGATTCTTTGGTTTCTGGTTTAAGATTTCTAACTTAATATTTGACATATTCTTAGGTTATTTAACTTATCTTACTCTTTTATATAATCTTGGTAGCCATTTTGAATATTTTTGATAATAGAGTATAAATAAATAAACATTTTATTTAAACTTGTTATTAAAATTAAAGTTTCTGATCATATGAACATGGTTCTTAATCTGTGTCTCCTAAAAGAGAAGAATCACTTTTAAGCTACAACACTGTCAAAGAAATGTAGAAATTATTAATCTCTAGAAATATTCTGACATTTTTGCTCATAATATAGGTATGTAATGGTATTACATGCACACATCAAATGAATGTAATCAATATTTGTCAATTGTTTTAAAGTAAAGTACCTATTATCATAGAATCATACGTAAGGGAAGATTTAACAGAGTAAACAAACTTATCATTGGAAGAATACTTTTTACACTTAAAAATATCTCTTGCAATGGGGATATTTTATATTTTTTCCAGGAAGCCTTATTAACTTTAGTCTTCATAACTATTACACCTTGCACATATATTTGTTTATTTCTAAAACTCAGGAATCTTGTTGACTTGAACTTTTTAGTTTCTTTCTTCACTTCTCCTGTGAATACTGAATTCTACTTGACAATCATAGATATACGTAAAAACTATTAAATCATCAACTTGAATAATTGTTGCTTAATTTTCTTTATATGAGATCTTTTCTCCAGTTTTAAACTACCATCCTATATGGTGTAAATAGGCAATTTGAGCTAGCATTATCTTGTTTGCAGGAGCATAAGAAAAGCATGTGAATTTTAAAACAGTTTCACATTTCTATCTCACTTTATAGTAGTACTTAAAAATGCCTTATAATTCTATGGGTAAGCATTTCTCTTGTACAGTTAAAAATTTCAAGGTTTTTATAAAGGTCATTTTGCAGAATCTTGTTGTTTTAGAATTAAATGTTTTCATTCAATTCAAAGATGCATATTGCAAAAAATATTTCAGAAATAAATATTTACCTATATAAATAAAATTATATTCTTGAAATAAATTTGGAAATATATAACTGAGAAACTTAATCCCATGTTTTTCTCTCTCCTTTGATTTCATTTTCAAAATTTCAGCAGTCTGCATAGATTTGTGTTGCTTAATTCTACCCATTTAGTCTATCTTACAAATATTTATTTTCTAATCACTATGTAATTTTCCTCATGTAGGTCATCTACTCATACTCCAAATGTCTTTATCCAGATCTTTCTTCTAAGCCCCATGGATGCCTCAAATCTTATAGGTCTCAAACTGAAAACATTATTTTATTTTTTTCTGACTCTTTTCTGACTCTTTGTAATCTACTCTGTCATCTGGTTTCCCCATCCTAGTAAATAACACCTAGGAAGTAGCCATGAAATGCTCAAGCACTTCAACCGGCACTTCAACCGTCCCCTACATCCTGCACTTCAACCCTTCTCCATGTCACCCATCCAGTCACACACCTAATTTTGTATTTTCTGCCTTCTTATAATTTTCCATATCTTATTACCATAATTAACTCTCTACCTATAATTTTGAAGTACTCCTTTCTAGTTTTGCCCCATCTCCCCATGTTCATCTTTACATCACTGGAAGGGTCACCTTTCTGAAATATACTTGTAATGATGTAACTCATCTGCATATTGAGTGGATACCCATTACATGAAGGGGTAAGTTCACATTCTAGCGTGATACATATCTTATATGGTTTGGTCTCATTTTATCTCTTTAACTCATTTGCTCTGACTGTGTTCCAGTTTTACCACATCACTCTGGCATCCCTCAGTGGCCATGTTGTTTCATGCCTTATTATTTTGCACATGCTATTGCACCTAGAGTCTTTGTATCCTGACTCTGCACTTTGTCTGTCCTTCCCAATATGGCCCCATTATGGCAGCATTTTCTAAGCTTTTCAGGTAAAACTGATTTTTCTCTCCTTTGTGCCCTTATGTATTTTATTGACTTAAATTGTAGAACTGGTGAATTTTACTTTTTGTTCTTATTTGTTTTCACATATCTCTACCATTTCTTGAACATAAGCCAGAATGTATCTTCCATGTATATTTTCTGCTTCTCCCAGGATAGTGCATATGATTTGACAGATACAAAGTATGTTTTTTGTTGTTGTTGTTGTCTTTCTGACAAATTGATTGAGTGAATAAATACAATTTTTTCTGAAGTTTTTTTTGTGTGTGTTTGCTTTCTGTGTTTTGTTTGTAATAGGAGGCAGCAACAAAGACAGTAACTGGACAACGAGAACGTGATATTGGCATTATTGAACGAGCTCCACAAGATCAAACAAGTAATGACAATTTTATTTTTTATACCAAAATAATAGAAGTGGTAAGTTAGTGAATATCTCTGAAAATTTTTCTGTGTTTAAATGCTGTTATATAGAAAACAATTTTTTAGCCCAAAATACAATGTCTACTTAAAAAAGTACATTTTGATATCTTTCTTCATACTATCAACTCTTTTTTTTCTGAACCTGCTTCAATTCTGAAATTCTATTTTTGCTATTATTTTTATTTTTGAAATACTCATAAATGGAAATAGATTTGTATATAGTTTTATGATTTACAGTAATAAACATTCTCATATACATGTCTGTGAATAACATTTTGTAGATAAGATGCCCACATCAGAATTAGGAAGAAAAGAAGATACAAAATCAACTTCAGATTCTGAGGTACTGTGTATTGTTGTTGTTGTTGTTATTTTAAAACTTAAGTACTCAGTAATCTTAAAACATAAAAAGATGATTTGACTTTATTCTCTCACCTCTGATTATGTCCATAAGGCAGGTGGATCACGAGGTCAGGAGATTGTGACCATCCTGGCTAATATGGTGAAACCCCGTCTCTACTAAAAATACAAAAAAATTAGCCAGGCATGGTGGCAGGCACCTGTAGTCCCAGCTACTCAGGAGACTGAGGCAGGAGAATGGCGTGAACCCAGAAGGTGGAGCTTGCAGTGAGCCCAGATCATGCCACTGCATTCCAGCATGGGCAACAGAGCGAGACTCCATCTCAAAAAACAAACCAAAAAAAAAGAAATTATTTTCTGACATTTATCAGAACATACTTTATAATCATGTTCCAAGTAGATAACAGCTGCATAGTGCAATTCTGCTAATTTGCAGGATTAATTTTGAAGCCATTGTAGAGTAGTGCAAAACAAAATAAGGCTTAGAAGGCATTAGGAATCTACTTGAGTTCTGAAGTTAAGTTTGTCTAAAAACTAAATGATGTCTCCACATTCATTTATGGGCAAAACTGTATGATTCTGTGTATATCTAGATGTACAAAAGCTCTAACTGGATTCGAGGAGAAAGAGTTTAAACTGTAGTCTTAGTCTTACTCAACTTGGAACTTGAAAAGATAATTCCTGGGACTCTGAAAGTATTGGCATATTTTGATTATCCAGTATAGATCTGAAGGAACATTTCAGGAGTTGGATAAACATGAGAAATAGGACACCTGTAAAACTATAATAACAACAATTTGGTTGAGTAGTATTTTAATAAGTGGACTTTTTTCCACAAATAGAACTCTTTGAGTCCATTTATGGCAGCCATGTTTGCAGCCACATAGGTATCAAATAATAATGATGTATTCCAAGGTCACAACTGTGGATGTGGAAGAGATAGCAAAGGCCTCACCAGTTAGGCAGAAGCAGCAGCTGCATAGTGGTAACAGCAATGAGTGGATGTCAAAAGATAAGTCTGTATTTGGTTCTGTCACTTACTAGCTATGGGAACTTGGAAAAAAAATCAATTAATCTAATCAAATACCAGTAACTTTGTTTATAAAAATAGCGCTCATATCTACCTCTTAGGTGCATGTGAAGAAATAATGTTGTAACAAATGTGAAAACATTTTTTAAACTGGAAAGTCTGTATACAAATGTAAGACAAAATGTTCAAAGTGGCATTTATGTGAAAGCAGTATTGTTAGCACAAGAATGGGAAGTAAGAACAGGCATGTGGATTTCTAATTTTGGGTAAGGGGATGGTAACTTTCAGCAGGCTACTACTGCAGATTTTCCATAGAAATATAGCAGTTTGGAAAGTGAGACTTTCCTGATGAGATTTTCAATGTTTTGACCTGGAGTAATTTCTTTCTGAGTACCAGCTGTGTACTAGGCAGTGAGTCTCTGAATATCCAAGATGAAAGATTATGCTGCAGTAGTAGGAAGAGAATAACAAATGAAAAACACTTACAAATTACTGTAACTTTTTCTTTAAAACAAAACAGAGAATGTTCCTTAAGAGAAAATTGAAGAACTTTATAATTAGCACGCGTATGGGAGTGGCAGTGGAATTCCATGGTCAGAGTAGATCTTTCTGCAACTGCCATTTAATCTCCCGTCTCAAAGATGAGGAGTATGCCATATGAAAGTCTAGGAGGAAGACTTCTGAACAGAGAGGGCAGTGGACCATATTTGTTCATCATTTTGTTCTTAACAACCTAGAATGACTAGGATACAGAAAGTGGGGTAACCACCAATGTCATCGTTATCCTCATTATTCTAAGGTGAAGAAAAGTCTGCAAATATGTGTCTGTCACATGTTAGATGTTTCACGAATACATGTTTTTATTTTTCTCTTTATATGAAGGCTTGCTCTACTTTTCTGAAGTTATGCCTTAAGAACGAATTGCATACTTTATCTAATGATTGCTTGTTTTCATTTAAAAATAACATAAATATAAATTTTCCTTAAGAATCTTTCCTTTTATTCAAGCAGTTCTGTATCAGCAAAAAAGATGTAAAATTATTTTCATTATTTTATGCCCTTGTTTTCCTAAATGAAACAGCTTTTAACAGAGTTCTATTCCTACTTCGCACGACATACTCTGAAAATTCTCTTCATGCCATGCATAGTTTTTAACCAAAAAAATCTATAATTATGCATATGTCAAATGTTGAATCATATTGTATTTTGTTTGAAATGTCCTATTGTTTTTGGTGAGGACTACAGTGTAAGGCAGATACTTTGAAGTAAATTCCTTTTAAAATATGCACGAGTGAATTTTTTTGCGAATATGATTATTTTCCTTGCTCAGTAACCTAGTCAATAGCCACATGAAAATAAAAGATAAGCGTAATCTACAGAGCATATTTGAGGTTTTCTCTTGAAATGTTTTGGTTTTCAGTATGTGAACAGCCTTAAATCTAATTGCCTTTAAAGTTAAAAAATGTGTTTTAAAAAAGATTTTTAATAAAAAATGTGATGCTTGTCATTATTATTTTTAAATTGAAATTATTTATTGAGGCAGGCTGTGGTGGCTCACACCTGTAATCCCAGTATTTTCGGAGGGCGAGGTGGGCAGATCACTTGAAGTCAGGAGTTTGAGACCAGCCTAGCCAACATGGTGAAACCTGTCTCTATTAAAAATACAAAAATTTAGCCAGGTGTGGTAGCTCATGCCTGTAGTCCCAGCTACTCGGGACACGGAGGCAGGATAATTACTTGGTCTTTGGAGCCGGAGGTTGCAATGAGCCAAGATCATGCCACTGGGCAACACTGCGAGGCTTCATCTCAGAAAAACAAAATAAAAAAATAGTAAAAAAAGAAATTATTAATATTATCTTTAACAGATTATCTCTGTGAGTGATACACAGAATTATGAGTGTTTACTTAGGCTACATATCAAAAAGAAATAAAGACAACAAATGGCAAAATAGAAGGTAAGAACCATTTTTTATTTAAAACATCTTTTGTCCAAATGTTTGTCTCAAAGCATGAGGACTGATATACTCTGACAGCCAGAGAAAATTATTTTTTAAATGCATAACATGGAAGAACAAAGGCAGTGAAAGTTATGTGTCTTCTCAGGTGTTGGCAACAGATTATATTGAGAGTGCCAAAAAAGAGCTGAATTATTAGTTTAAATTCAACATACTCTAAGACCTGAGGAAAGGAGTAAAACAAGGAATGAAGACTGAGGAAGACAGAGAGTACAGGGAGTACATGAGGGAACAAAAAGCAGGTTTACATAATGGAGAATGGTAAAATAAAATAACTCTTTAGAGAAAGATAGAGCATGGTTAGAAAGCTGGGAAGAATATAAAGTGACCTTCCATTACCAAAATTTGGCAGAGAATTACAGCAAACATGTTGTCGGTCTTATCTTTCTCACCGGTGGGAAGGCATTAGGGATGGAAGCACCTGACCATGGAGAGTTGTGTTTTATCTGCAGTATGTGAATATAAGCATATTTGCACAGCCATGCGTGTATATAATTTGTTATATACTCTCAGTATAGACGAGAAGTTTTCACACTTTAGAAAATCAGCTGAATACCTTGTTAACAATGCACGCTGTGACTCAGCAGACTTGGGATTCTGGCATTTTTAATAAATTCTCAAGTGATGCTGTTGCTGGTGGTCCTTGGACCTCACTCTTAAGTAGCAAGGGAACAGCCTTTCCTTTGGAAAAATCTGGAAGAAGGGCAGTTGGATAGAAGTTCAAGACATAGCAGGGTCAAGAGAAAGCATTATATTGCTTTTATTTCTGAGTATGTTTCTGACCAGAGGGGAAAAAAGAGGTAAAGAAATAGTAATTACAGATGTCAGATACTACCCTAATCAAAGAGAAAGAAAGTGTTGGGAAAATTGATTTTAAAAGATGTTGAATGGGAAGAATCAAGACCACAGATGTAGACATTATTTTGGCTAAGGAAGAGGGATTGTGAGGCATGAAACGCAGCAAGAAAGAATATAGCCAGCCAACTTTGGAGTTTCTGAAAAGGAAATTTGAGTGAATTCACTTCAGTTGCATTTACAATATTTGCACTCCAGAAGATTAGATTGTGGGTACTCCAGAGACTACCGGAAGCAGGAGGATTACTAGAATTGGAGTAAACCATGGTGACTCATTAGTTTTCTCTATTACTATCAGGCATAAAATGTTTATATTTTGTTGATATTAGCTATTCAAATGAGAGATATTTGAATCTAAGAGCATTGGCTTTATGTTTAATGAAGCAAATTGTTTTGGTAAAATTGTTGTTCTATAAAAATCTATTAGACACTTACCATAATAAACAAAGCCAACTAATTTTTAGAAACAAAAAATTACAGAATTTATTACTTGAATTCTAAAATTGTTTTTTAAAATAAATATTGTCTGATTTAAAAATATAAAATGTTATTTATATGTGATAAGTATGTTGCCATAAATTTTCAAATAAACATATCAATATTGAAAGCTCACTATACAATTTTTTTAATGAGTTTTATAGTATTTTTTGCATGAGTGAATCAAGAAAATTTCTGAGGATAAACTAGAAGATACAGCAATGTAGGCATATGATTACACTGCAAGGATATGGGAAACAATGAATATTTTATTTAGTATTATCCATTAAGTAAATATCCAAGCTGATCAATTTGTAACATGTTCAGTGATGAGATGTCAGTTCTGCATTCAGCTGAACTCTCATCATAACGGTGTACCATCTCAATTGTAGGACAAATTAAAGAACATGATTAATGTAATGATATAAATTATTCCAGTGTATTTCACTGAATATATGGTGTAGGATTCTATATTCAGCTTTGACATTTATTTTTTCTGGGTCATAATTTGCTCCTCTGATCAAAGATCATTTCTCTTTTCATCACTCAGCATATACATATTAATATCAACACATTTTGCATGCACAACACATTCTCACTTTTGAAGTCTTACGTGCATGTTTGATGAAGCCTAGATTCCTAGTTTCTTCAGTGTATTTCTGTCATGTGAGTGTCCTAAAGAAACATACCGAAAGAAAACCCCCTAAACCTAAAGGAGTCATTCTCAAAGCTGAGAAAAAGGACTTAGTTAGATACTATCACTGGATTCATTTGTGGCTGATTTTGTCATATTTACTTATGACCGATAATAAATCTCTTTTGCTTTTTAGAGTCTCCTGAAAAGCCTTCTCACTTTGAGGTATTGAGTTTTATAATTTTATCTTGCATTATTTATTAACTATGTATTTTGTGAAGTACACATTCGTTATTAATCATTTTTCTTCCAAACCCGTTTAGCCTGCCACTGAAATGCAAAACTCTGTTCCAAATAAAGGCTTAGAATGGAAGAATAAACAAACATTGAGAGCAGGTTAATTTTACAGTTCAACTATATTAAAATGAATATTTCAATAGTTGACATATTAATAGTCTCATCTCCCCAATGTTTATTTTTCAAATATTATGGAAATATTTGAGTTAATAATGTCAATAGTGGTATCCACATTTGAAAAACTGATTACTTACAAGAACACGAATTTTAATTAGTTTTTTTAAAAAGTAGCTTTAATTTCAGGTGTTTCTGCTTTCATGTCCTCATACTGTAATGTTTTGTATTGGGAATGTCTGTATGACTTAAAGATTCAAGAAGGTGTATTTTTAAACTCTAATATTTTTTCTGTTCAAAAATTGATTCAAATTCTACCCTTTACTGCAGGGAAAGCTTCAATTTTGACATGCCAATTGTGTTTTAACATTGGTTACCTCATGGGACTGTAGTCATTTGAAGCATCCTAAGGAAATCTGTTGTTCTGATTAGCTTACTTTCTGTGTGTGTGTGTGTGTGTGTGTGTGTGTGTGTATGTGTATGTGGTGTGCACGTTTGTGCCTGTGTGCATGCATATGTGTGTTTGTGTGTGGTACCCTTAATTTTTAAAAACTGAGAGAAGTAAGTCCCAGCTACTCGGGAGGCTGAGGCAGGAGAATGGCGTGAACCCTGGAGGCGGAGCTTGCAGTGAGCCGAGATGGCGCCACTGCACTCCAGCCTAGGGGACAGAGCGAGACTCCGTCTCAAAAACAAACAAACAAACAAACAGAAATAATAATAATAATAATAAATGGGAGAAGTAATCATTTCTTTATGATCATTTTGGTAAAACTGTGATTCTGAAGCATTTGGCTTTGTGTCTTTTCATGGTTTAGAGGTAAACAATTGTCTAAACTGGTTTTTTATATTATTCCTATGCATGCTTAAACATTATACGACATATGTGCATGGTCATAGATAATATGTAGAATTTGTTTTCAACTGCTAATATGTAAATAATTGTACATTGTGTAATTTTCTGTAACATTCTTTGTTTGATCAGCATTATATTGTTAGATCCATCCATAATGTGTAGAATTAACTTTGGTTTTGTTTATATTAGGTTCTTTATAGAATTCCATTATATAACTGCACCACAACTAATTAAAGTTTGTTTATGCAAAAAACAAATATATGAAAATAAAAATAAATGAGATATCAGTCTTCATTTAAGTTGGTTTTTACCTACTGATTTTTGATATATTAGAAACTGAAACTAAAATATTTCAAGTATCACTATGTACAATCATCTACTTTAATAAAAGTGAAAACTGTGACCTATGGACCATTAAAGCTATGCTGTTGTAACACATTATTTCCCTGAAACAGTGCAGTATAGACTTCATAGTACATATGAACTTCATGGTACATATATGCCACATTTTCTTAATCCAGTCTATCATTGATGGGCATTTGGGTTGCTTCCAAGCCTTTGCTATTGTAAATAGTGCCACAATAAACATATGTGTGCGTGTGTCTTTATAGTAGCATCATTTATAATCCTTTGGGTATATATCCGGTAATGGGATCGCTGGATCAAATGGTATTTCTGGTTCCAGATCCTTGAAGAATCGCCACACTGTCTTCCACAATGGTTGAGCGAGTTTACACTCCCACCAGCAGTGTGAAAGTGTTCCTATTTCTCCACAGCCTCTCCAGCACCTGTTGTTTCCTGACTTTTTAATGATCGCCATTCTAACTGGTGTGAGATGGTATCTCATTGTGGTTTTGATTTGCATTTCTCTGATGGCCAGTGATGATGAGCATTTTTTTCACGTGTCTGTTGGCTGCATAAATGTCTTCTTTTCAGAAGTGTCTGTTCATATCCTTCACCCACTTTTTGATGGGGTTGTTCGATTTTTTTTTTAAAACTTGTTTAAGTTCTTGTACATTCTGGATTTAGCCCTTTGTCAGATGGATAGATTGCCGAAATTTTCTCCCATTCTGTAGGTTGCCTGTTCATTTTGTTCACTCTGATGGTAGTTTCTTTTGCTATGCTGAAGCTCTTTAGTTTAATTAGGTCCCATTTGTCAATTTTAGCTTTTGTTGCCATTGCTTTTGATGTTTTAGTTCTGAAGTATTTGCCCATGCCTATGTCCTGAATGGTATTGCCTAGGATTTCTTCTAGGCTTTTTATGGTTTTAGGTCTAACATTTAAGTCTTTAATCCATCTTGAGTTAATTTTTGTATAAGGTGTAAGGAAGTGGTCAACTTTCAGTTTTCTGCATATGGCCAGCCAGTTTTCCCAACATCATTTATTAAATAGGGAATTCTTTCACATTGCTTTTTTTCCAGTTTTGTCAAAGATCAGAGGGTAATTTTCACATTTCAATGAATTTGTCCATTTTGTCTAAGTTGTCATGTTTATTCACATAAATTTTATAATATTACCTTGTATTTTTAAGTATCTGTAGAATCTAAAATAATGTCACATTAACTCATTTCCAAAGTTAGTAATTGTAGCTTTCTCTTTTCAAGAGCTAGTTTGGCTAGATAGACTTTTGCTTTTATTGATCCTCTCAAAGTGTTTGGTATTTTTCAACTCTTCCATCATTTTTGTGTTTTATTAGTTCCATCTCTGATGTTTTAGTTCTCTTTGCCTAGTATTTAAAAAATCTATAGTTGGGAGCTTATCAACAACATAAATTGAATTCTCACAATTTTGGAAGCTGCACAGTTCAAGATCAAGGTATCATCAGATTTGATGTCTGAAGAGGTACCACTTCATGATTCATTGATGCATTCTTTTTCCCTGTGCCCTCACATGGCAGAAAGGGTAAAGAGGCTCTCTGGGGTTATTTCTGTCAGAGCATTAATCCATTTATGAAGGGTGGCCCTCATGACCTAATTACATCCAAAAACTCCTACCTCCTAATAACATCACCTCTGTGATTTCATTTTGGCATATGAAAATTGCAAGGACAAAGACATTCAAACCAATACGAATATGTATCCTTTCCTCTGCTTCCATTGAATTTACTTTCTTTTTTTTTTTTTTTAGTTTCTTCAGGTAAAAGTCGAAGTTATTTACTTGAGAGTCTTCTAATGTAGACATTCAATGCTGGAAAGTTTTATTTAAGTGCTGTTGTAGATGCATTTTACAATATCTAATGTGCTGTGTTTTCATTTGAAGTTAGTTCAAAATACTTTCTAATTTTTCTTTTTACTATTTTTGGAACCAACCCAGGGTTATTTGGATGTTATGTTACTTAATTTCCAATAGTTGAGTTGTTTCAGGTACATTTTTATTATTGATTTTTAATTTGATTGCTTTTGGGTCAGGTAACATGTTTTGTATGACTTAAATCCTTCTTAATCCTTTTACTAAGATATAATCTAGAATATAGTCCTTGAGTACTTCTGAAGAATGGTGTTAAGTCTACCATATTCTTGCTGATTTTCTGCCTCCTTATTCTACCACTTGAGCAAGGGGTTTAGAAATTTTAGACTATACTTAGGCATTTGTCCATTTCTTTTGCAGTTCTATCTATTTTTGTATCATGTATTTTGAAGCATTTATGTTATTATCTACATAAATATTTAGGACTTATGTTTTCTTGATTAAGTGAACCCTTTGTCACTATAAAATCACCTTGTTTATTGCTGGTAATGTTTTTGCTATGAAATGTACTTTGATATTAATACAACCAGTCTTCCTCAGCCTTCTTTTTTCAAGCGTTAGGGTGGTATATCTTGTTTCATCTTTAACCAATTTTTGTCTTTATATTTAAAGTTTATTTCTTATAGGTGTTATACAGGTAGATCTCACTTTTATATCCGTTCTGACAATCTGCCTTTGAGCAGAGGTTTTTAGACCAGTTTAATTTATAATGTAATTATTGATGTGATAAAAGTTGTCTGTCACCATGCTGTTTGATTTCTGTTAGTCCCAGATCTTCTTTGCTTTGTTTTGTTCTTTTATTGCTTCCTTCAGACTAGTTTAGTAATTTTTATAATTTAGTTTTATATGTATATATATATATATATATATATATATATAGGTATAATGTTTTTTAGTTATTGATCTGGTTGTATATTTCTTCATGATTTAGTCATATCTTTTTGTGGTATAAGTTTATTTGGCTATTAGGTATAACTTTGCTTTGCTGTCTTAGTGGTTGTTTTAGGATTTATAGTGTATGGATTTACCTCATCACAACTCACCTTCAAGTTATATTATATCATATCATAGATGGTATAAGAAATTCCAATCATATATTTTCATTTCTTCACTTCCAGCCAGATACCAGCCTGGATCTGTGGGATTGTAGCATTTGTTAAGTTTAGAATATATTTAGCCAATTTTTCCTCAGATGTTTTTTCTGTCTCTCCTTCTACCTCTTTGTGGACTTACATATTACCTGCTGGGAGTTTGCTCATAGTTCTCTAGTATCTCAAATTTGTGAATCTTTTCTTTCATGATGGCAAATCAATCTATGCTCATATCTACTCAGTGTAGCTTTCATCTGCAGCATTGTAACTTGTATCTCTAGAAGTGCAATTTAGTTTTTAAAAGTATCTTCTATTGCTTTACTTATCTTCTTGATTTTTATTGTAGAATAGAGTTGAGTTACTTATAAACAGCTTGATCCTTTTCATTTTTGCTTTTTATGAGCTGACTCCCCACACCTGAGGCAAGGCCTTTCAGACTATTCATTTTCCTGTGAAGTCTGAGTCTTCCCAGGTAAATATATAAAAATAGACACTCTTCTTGGCACTATGTGAGCACCAGGTGTGATTTTCTCTAATTTTATAAGTTCCGCCCTGACCTGGCTTGGTCTTAGGTAGTTTCTGGCTTACATGCAATCTTCATTATTTTGCTAAATACTGGGAGGCAATTTCCAGGGGTTTCTTGCTTTTGTTTCTGTATCTCTGTCTCCTCCTCAGTGTTCTGTTCTATATTGTCTGTCTCCTTTGGTTTTACCAGACTCTAAGCTTTATCACTGTAACCAAGAGAGTCTGGTAGGTTCCACCTCAGTTTTTGTTTCCTGTGTCAGGTCTTGGAATCTCTGTCAAGGCAAGAAGCTGAAACATTCATTAAGGTTTGCTTTCCACTTTTTTTTTCTGTTTTTCAGGGACTATCATCTTCTTTGCCTAATGTCCACTGTCTAAAAAATTGTTTAGTGTATTTTGTGTATTTTATTTTTAGTTATTTTAGCTAAGAAGAAAAATCAATACCTGTTGTTCTCTCTTGGCTGGAGGCAGACTACACTAGAGCTTCAGCACATGCCACACACTGGCTAAAATGCTTTTATTCCCCCCTTGCTCAACTGCTTCCTTTTCAATCTTTGTTCCTCAGTGTAGCCATACATTCCTCGGGGGAATTTTCCGTGGGCCTAGTACAGATCCTATTCTTAGCAATCTATTTTTTTACAGTATCTATCTGAATTTATAATTGTAACTTTTCTGGGGCTTTGCTTTTCAGTATATTTTAAGCTAAACAAGAGCAGAGTTTTTTTTTCTGTTTAATCTGCAGAGCTTAGTATAATGCCTTCCACATGGTAGGCAATCAATATATATTTGTTGAGTGTGTGAGTTAGTGATTGTTAAAATATGCAGCCCTTTATATCCCAAAAGTACTAATATATTTTATTTCTATCTCCTCCTTGAGACAGATTCAACTACCCTATCAAAAATCTTGGATGCAGTTCCTTCTTGTGAAAGAGGAAGGGAACTTAAAAAAGATCACTGTGAACAAATTACAGCAAAAATGGAACAAACAAAAAATAAGTTTTGTGTACTACAAAAGGAACTGTCAGAAGCAAAAGAAATAAAATCACAGTTAGAGAACCAAAAAGCTAAATGGGAACAAGAGCTCTGCAGTGTGAGGTATGACATCCTAGTTTTAAATAAATATTTCAACTATTTATACTAAAAGTATGTAGGAAACTTTTTGTAAAAGCTGACTTACATTCTGAGATTTAACTGGAGAAAAAAATCTGTCTTGTAGAGTGTCAAATTCTTTTAAATAATAAAAGTTCTTAAATGTGAATACTTCCACTGATAATTAATGCATATTTATTTAAATCACAATTTTAATGGCTATATAGAAGGCCATTATTTGGAAATACCATTACTTAACAAATTAATTTTTTTGATTTTTAATTGTTTGTATTATAAATGCTACAACGCATAACTGCATGTAAATCTTTTTTACCTTTCTAATTATTGACTTGGAATAAATTCTTCAATATAGAAATATTTAGTTAAATTATAGGAAGTTTTTAAAAAGTTCTTTGTTCATTACTTCTAAATTGTTCTCAAGAAAATTTATATTCATTTACAGTTCAATAAAGAGAGTGTGAAACGGCCATTCTTCTCTCTCCAAGAATCAATTTCCTTTAATTATACACTTTTAATCTTAATGTGCATGGAATATAAAGAAAATATAATTTATGATTAGTTTATTCAACATCTCTCGCTCTCCTACATAAATAAAATTAATTCAGAGTTCTAGGTTAAAAATACATATTATTTTTATTCTTTAATTAAATGTTTACACTCTTGTTCTAAAGGAGATTTAAAATTTGTTGAAAAATATATAATACTCAACAAGATATGTTTAAGTCTTACTCAAAAAGAAACAAAAGGCATATGGGATGACACATATTAGACTCTTTAATCTAGTCTGAGATTATAATATTCAAATTATTTTTAGGGATATTTGCCATATTTTATAAGTAGAAATATTTATGTCTAATAAATCTGTAAACCTTTTTCATAAAAAGTAATGTCACTTTAATCAGTTAACTCTAAATGATTTGTCCTCATTGAGGAGTAATTTTGACTGTGTGATTTTTTAAAAACTAATTTTCAACTTATAAATTTACTAGATAGCTTCCAATATTCTTTTCCATAACAGTTGTCAAAGTTACTAGTAACAGAAACTTTCTAACTAGAAGAAGTTTTTTCTCACTATTTTTCAAGTATGTATGTCATTTGGAAGAGGTTACAGAGTAATGAATACCAGAGAAATAGAAAGAAAAAAAAATTCAGGAATATAGGAATTTTATTGGAATAATAAACCAGTATAGGAAGAAGTAGATCTCAAAGTGAATTCTATTTTCTAACAAAATGAATTTTAAGATAAGTATGTTTAATGGCAGATTGACTTTAAATCAAGAAGAAGAGAAGAGATGTCGATATATTAAAAGAAAAAATTAGACCTGAAGAGCAACTTAGGAAAAAGTTAGAAGTGAAACAACAACTTGAACAGGCTCTCAGAATACAAGATATAGAATTGAAAAGTGTAACAAGTAATTTGAATCAGGTAAATCAATCTCTGGCAAAAATTTTATATTTCTGACTTTATTTCATCAGTATTACTTTTAACATCCCTTTGATTTAGTATGTGTTATTCAGGTCTAAATCAAACAAAAGTATTGTCTTAAAATTAACTATAACTTTTGTAGCTACAGTTATTTATTATAAATTATGGCATGCAAATAGTATCTTATTTCAGTACAAAGAGCTTTTGAAAATAATGATAATCCCTACCATATACTTAGTGATAATTTATTGGTAAGTATTTTATTCCTAGCAACATAGTTTAGTGTATTTTTCCTAGTTAACATTTAATACTGACTCAAACATTATCAAGAGGAAGCAAAAGTTAGTGTAGTAGTAAATAAGCTCATGGTTTTCTAAGTAGGGCTGTCTAGATTTTATCTTCTTTACCACTTTTGTTTTGAGATAGAAGACTTCTTTTATATTTACATATTTACCCAGTAGAATTAACTGAGATTTGGTGGAGAAGTCCTGGATGTAGACTCAGAAGACTTGGAGAAAATCCTACAACTTGATTATATTTTTAATCTTTTCCTTTCAGAATTGTGATAACTAAAAGTGCTTGTTACAATGTCTCAACTTATCAAACATTCATAAATATAATTCTCACAATTAACTATATTTTTTAGAAAAACAGAATATCTAGAGAATATTCTCAGGAAAAAGGAACTGAAAGAGCTTCCAGAAATTTTATCTGTCTAAATATATGTAGCACTAAGGCTCTTAGTATGGGATCTTGTATAGGTTAGACATCAGAGTGTAAACCCAATTTTCGTATGTAGTCAAATTGATTAATCTTTTATTTTATGCTTTTGAGCTTGTTGTAATTCAGGGAAAGTTTTTTTTTCAATTCTGAGGCTCTTAAAAATTCTCTAGTCATTTCTCTTTTACTTTCATGAATTCGTTGTCTCCAAATAAATGTTTGAACTTTGGGGAATTTATGCTCTATAGCATTTGAAGTTTTGATTCAATGGTTCTTCAACTGATACCTACTTATAAAAACCCTTTCATTGTATAAACGTACAAGTTATTCTTTAATTTCAGAGGAACTATGATATGCCATTTTACTGAGTGCTAGTTAAATGTTTATTTTGTTTTATTTAGGTTTCTCACACTCATGAAAGTGAAAATGATCTCTTTCATGAAAATTGCATGTTGAAAAAGGAAATTGCCATGCTAAAACTGGAAGTAGCCACACTGAAACGTCAACACCAGGTGAAGGAAAATAAATACTTTGAGGACATTAAGATTTTACAAGAAAAGAATGCTGAACTTCAAATGACCCTAAAACTGAAACAGAAAACATTAACAAAAAGGGCATCTCAGTATAGAGAGCAGCTTAAAGTTCTGACAGCAGAGAACACGATGCTGACTTCTAAATTGAAGGAAAAACAAGACAAAGAAATACTGGAGACAGAAATTGAATCACACCATCCTAGACTGGCTTCTGCTTTACAAGACCATGATCAAAGTGTCACATCAAGAAAAAACCAAGAACTTGCTTTCCACAGTGCAGGAGATGCTCATTTGCAAGGAATAATGAATGTTGATGTGAGTAATACAATATATAACAATGAGGTGCTCCATCAACCACTTTATGAAGCTCAAAGGAAATCCAAAAGCCCAAAAATTAATCTCAATTATGCAGGAGATGATCTAAGAGAAAATGCATTGGTTTCGGAACATGCACAAAGAGACCGATGTGAAACACAGTGTCAAATGAAGAAAGCTGAACACATGTATCAAAATGAACAAGATAATGTGGACAAACACACTGAACAGCAGGAGTCTCTGGAGCAGAAATTATTTAAACTAGAAAGCAAAAATAGGTGGCTTCGACAGCAATTAGTTTATGCACATAAGAAAGTTAACAAAAGCAAGGTAACAATTAATATTCAGTTTCCTGAGACGAAAATGCAACGTCATCTAAAAGAGAAAAATGAGGAGGTATTCAATTATGGTAACCATTTAAAAGAATGTATAGATCAATATGAAAAAGAGAAAGCAGAAAGAGAAGTAAGTATCAAAAAATATAAATACTTTTCAACCTTCCTGAAAGAAAATGGCCTTGGCTAAATGCTGAATCTAGTTGAATATATATATATACACACACACACACACACACACACACACACATATATATATATATGTGTGTGTATATATATATACACACATATATATGTGTGTATATATATATGTATAAATAGATGATAAATGTACTTACTATATCAGCTTAGAAACATGCCTCATTTCCACCAAATTGAAAGCTAAGAGACGTTTTACTTTGAGTAAAGGCATTGTGTCACTGATGAAATTATAAGAGTTTAAGTTAAAGATTTTTAATAGATTAACATTAATGACATTGGCTTATACTGCTGAAATAAAGGTTTTAATGTCTCTTTGTGGCCACATTTTTTGACTACAATGAAGCAGAAAAATGGGAATGCCCATATCAGCAATTAGTATTTTGAAATTAAGATTCAGTTCAGCAATTTACATTGACAGTTAATTCTAAATTTTCCAGAGGAACAGAAGTGTATTTGAAGTATATTTTGAAGTGTACATTTCTGCATCTTGTAATAACACTTTTTTAGTAGCTTTTTATATATTTTAGTTGGTAGAATTTTATTTTCATTTATGTCAATTTGACTTAATCTGAACATATTTGAATCTGAAATTATGTATTGTTAAAACCTCAATTTTTTAAAGGCATCTGTGTTTTGTTAAATAATACCTTAGGACAAATGTAGTGGATTTTAGCAATATCAAATTTGATTTAATCACCCCACTGGTATTCATAATTTATTTTGAATATTGTTACAAATCATTTGCTCATAATTTCTATTTCAAGGCTCAAAAACTATCATGTGGATAGAACTTTGTCCCACAGAAAGATGATTGTAGCTATCTGTGATTTATTAGCTTTGCATTGGATCCCCATTTTTCAATTCATAAGGGGTGGCAGGGTTCATGTATAGTACAAAAGAAGTGAGTAGAGGAGAGAAACATAGGAGCTGAGGTCAGGAGGGATGTGGAGACCAGGTTACCAAGGGCCTGTAAAGTTTGAAATAAAATTACTTTTATTCTGAGATAAAAATCTATTGGAAAATTTTCAGCAGGTGATTGAATATGTGAGGAACTTTGATGTTGATTTGTGCTTCTAATACAGAAGAAGGAAAGAATTCCACTGTGTAGAATTTACCACCACTAGTCCTGCCTTTTTTTTTTGAGACTTCAGTAAGTTGTGAAGAACTACAGATTCATTAAGGGAAAAAATTACTAGTGAGATGAATCTTGTGTCTAGTAAGACAGTACCAATTTGGCAGAAAGATTGCACCTTCTTGTGTCCTTAAGTAAATTCACTAACAAGCAGCAATGTGCACAAATGAAGAAAATAAACTGAATCAATATATTTGGGGATATTTTTGAAAGTAAATATTGTTAATTTGATAAGATGATTCACAAAATCAAAAAAATGTCTTGTCAGGTCATTGTGAGACAACTTCAAAAAAAATTGGCTGATCTTAATAAACAGTGTGAGGCTTCACTAAAGGTTACATCACGTTCTCACTCTCTGAGGCATCAATAGAGGCTACATCACATTATCACATTAATCTCAAAGGTGAGATACAGGATTTAATGAGGAAATGATTTCAAATCAAAAGTCAAGTGTGTGTTAAATGTAACATGCCAACAGTGAGTCTATAACTGGTTAAATAATATAAATTGTTTTATGATACTACTATCCACGGGAAGACTTCTTTTATATGTTCATTATAATTAGTTTTATTACAATTTTATTATCTTTATAATGTGCTTATTTTTAAAACTGTGGCTGTCATTCTGCAATGTTTTTCTTTTTTTTTCAGATTAAACAGTAAAGTTTATTGTGAACATTTGCTTCTTTTTCCATTTTAAAGTTAAACAAGAAGAAAAGGCAAAATGAAAAGAAATAACCAAAAATTTACTTCCCAAGATAGGATGTACAGAACTAAAATGATAAAAGTCATATAACAATGGTACCCTAAACCACCCACTTCACAGCATAGTGCAGAGATGTCCTGGCAGTGCTTCTGGTGTGTGGGATGGGGGTAGAATCCCATGCATGAGAAGGGGACAGGTCCTTTCTTCACAAGACCAGTCTTTGCTCCAGAAATGAATCCTTATCATGGATCCCTGACACGTTCAGTGTTTTCAGTTATTTTTCTTGGCTGTAGGAATGTCACAATGGACTGTAGAGTGTCATACACAGTTTTCAGTAAAATACTGGACAATAGAGTTTATAGTCTCCCATTTAAGTACAAGCCTAGACAGACAGGAACACTTTTATGTACTTATAAAAACACAAATTTCCTTGTTTTGTGGAAATAAATCCCAACTATTGAACCTTCTAGTTAAGAGATTGACAACTCTATACTTGGTTCAGGATACTTCTCCCCTCTTTTCTCTCTTCCTGTCCCAAGACTCCAAGTTCCTGTCTTATGGTTAGCTAGGAGAAACTATCCACGAACACACACACACACACACACACACACACACACACACGCTCTACCCTTGGGGTGATGCACTATGCTTTCTTTTATTATTATTTATTGATCATTCTTGGGTGTTTCTTGGAGAGGGGGATGTGGCAGGGTCATAGGATAATAGTGGAGAGAAGGTCAGCAGATAAACACATGAACAAAGGTCTCTGGTTTTCCTAGGCAGAGGTCCCTGCAGCCTTCCATAGTGTTTGTGTCCCTGGGCAGTTGAGATTAGGGAGTGGTGATGACTCTTAACGAGCATGCTGCCTTCAAGCATCTGTTTAACAAAGCCCATCTTGCACCGCCCTTAATCCATTTAACCCTGAGTTGACACAGCACTTGTTTCAGAGAGCACGGGGTTGGGGGTAAGGTTATAGATTAACAGCATCCCAAGGCAGAAGAATTTCTCTTAGTACAGAAGAAAATGGAGTCTCCTATGTCTACTTCTTTCTACACAGACACAGTAACAATCTGATCTCTCTTTCTTTTCCCCACATTTCCCTCTTTTCTTTTTGACAAAACCGCCATCGTCATCATGGTCCGTTCCCGATGGTGGCTGTCTCTTCGAAGCTGTTGGGTACACCTGCAGAAAGGCTGTCACTTCACACTTGGAAGATTGCACAACGGCCAGGCAGAGGCGCTCCTCACTTCCCAGATGGGGCAGCTGGGCAGAGGCACTCCTCACTTCCCAGATGGGGCAACCAGGCAAGAGGTGCTCCTCATTTCCCAGATGGGGCGGCTGGGAAGAGGCACTCCTCACCTACCAGACGAAGGGCAGCCAGGCAGAGGCACTCCTCTCACATCCCAGACGATGGGCGGCCGGGCAGAGGTGCTCCACACTTCCCAGATGGGGCAGCTGGGCAGAGGTGCTCCTCACTTCCCAGACGGGGCGGCTGGGCAGAGGGTCTCCTGACTTCCCAGAGGGGGCGGCCGGGCAGAGGCACTCCTCACCTCCCAGGTGGGGCGGCCAGGCAGAGGCACTCCTCACCTCCCAGACATCGCGGCCAGGCAGAGGTGCTCCCCACTTCCCAGACGGGGCAGCTGGGCAGAGGCACTCCTCACCTCCCAGATGGGGCAGCCTGGCAGAGGCGCTCCTCACCTCCCAGACGATGGGCAGCTGGGCAAAGGCGCTCCTCACCTCCCAGACTGGGCGGCCAGGCAGAGGCGCTCCTCGCCTCCCAGATGGGGTGGCCGGGCAGAGGCGCTCCTCACCTCCCAGATGGGGAGACCAGGAAGAGGTGCTCCTCACTTCCCAGATGGGGCGGCCAGGCAGAGGTGCTCCTCACTTCCCAGATGGTGTGTCATCCGTGAAGAGGCGCTTCTCACCTCCCAGATGATTGGCAGCCAGAGAAAGGTGCTCCTCACTTCCCAGATGGGGCGGCTGAGAAATGGCACTCCCCAATTCCCAGATGGGGCGGAGGTCAGGCAGAGGCGCTCCTCACCTCCCAGACGGGGCAGCTGGGCAGAGGCGCTCTTCACTTCCCAGATGGCGCAGCCAGGCAGAGGCGCCCCTCAGTTCCCAGATTGTGTGTCGTCTGTTCAGAGGCACTCCTCACCTCCCAGATGATGGGCAGCTGGAAGGAGGCACTCCTCACCTCCCAGATGGGGCAACCCGGAAGAGGCGCTCCCCACTTCCCAGACAGGGTGGGAGCCGGGCAGAGGTGCTCCTCACAACCCAGACAGGGTGGCCGGGCAGAGGCACTCCTCACCTCCCAGACAATGGGTGGCCAGGCAGAGGCACTCCTCACTTCCCAGATGGTGTGTCATCCATGCAGAGGTGCTCCTCACCTCCCAGATGATGGGCAGCCGGAGAAAGGTGCTCCTCACTTCCCAGGCGGGGCAGCTGGGCAGAGGTGCTCCCCACTTCCCAGATGGGGTGGCAGTCGGGCAGAGGCGCTCCTCACAACCCAGACGGGGCAGCCAGGCAGTGGCGCTCCTCACTTCCCAGACGGGGCTGCCAGGCAGAGGCGCTCCTCACTTCCCAGAGCGGGTGGCCGGGCAGAGGCGCTCCTCAACTGCCAGACTGGGCGGCCGGCAAGAGGAACTCCTCACCTCCAAGATGATGGGCGGCCAGGCAGAGGCACTCCTCACCTCCCAGATGGGGCGGCTGGGCAGAGGTGCTCCTCACCTCCCAGACGGGGTGGCCGGGCAGAGGCGCTCCTCACCTCCCAGATGGGGCGGCCAGGCAGAGGCGCTCCACACTTCCCAGATGGGGTGGCCGGGCAGAGGCGCTCCTCACCTCCCAGACGGGGTGGCCGGGCAGAGGCGCTCCTCACCTCCCAGATGGGGCGGCTGGGCAGAGGTGCTCCTCACCTCCCAGACGGGGTGGCTGGGCAGAGGCGCTCCTCACCTCCCAGATGGGGCGGCTGGGCAGAGGTGCTCCTCACCTCCCAGACGGGGTGGCCGGGCAGAGGCGCTCCTCACCTCCCAGATGGGGCGGCTGGGCAGAGGTGCTCCTCACCTCCCAGATGGGGCGGCCCAGCAGAGGTGCTCCACACTTCCCAGATGGGGTGGTGGCCGGACAGGGGCGTTCCTCACATCCTGGATGGGGTGGCCAGGCAGAGGCACTCCCCACTTCCCAGACGGGGCGGCCGGGCAGAGTGGCCGGGCAGAGGCACTCCTCACAACCCAGATGGGGCGGCCGGGCAGAGGCGCTCCTCACCTCCCAGACGGGGCAGCTGGGAAGAGGCGCTCCTCACCTCCCAGACATTGGGTGGCCGGGCAGAGGCACTCCTCACCTCCCAGATGGGGCGGCCGGGCAGAGGGGCTCCCCACTTCCCAGACAAGGTGGCCGGGCAGAGGCGTTCCTCACCTCCCAGACGATGGGCTCAAACAAAGGGCCAAATTACCTATAAAGTAAATTAGATTAACAACTGACTTATCAGCAGAAACCCTGCAACCTAGAAAAGATTGGGGCCTAGCGTTAGTCTTCTTAAAGAAAAAAAAATGCCATCCAATAATTTCTTGTTTTTGGAGACAGAGTCTCACTTTGCCACCCCGGCTGGAGTGCAGTGGTGTGATGTCAGCTCACTGCAACCTCTGCTTCCTGGATTCAAGCAATTCTCCTGCCTCAGCCTCACCAGTAGCTGGGATTGCAGGTGTGCGCCACCACACCTGGCAAATTTTGGTATTTTTAATAGAGAGGGAGTTTCTTCATGTTGGCCAGGCTGGTCTTGAACTCCTGACCTCAGGTGATCTGCCTGCCTTGGCCTCCCAAAGTGCTAGGATTACAGGTGGGAGCCACTGCACCCAGCCATGCAAGAATTTCATAACCTGCCAGACTGAGCTTCATAAAGAAAGGAAAATAAGGTATTTCCAGACAAGAAAATGCCAAAGGAAGTCGTTACCTCCAGACTGACTCTAAAAGAAATGTTTAAAGGAGTTTGGCTCGTGAAAATAAAAGAATGATACTTGCTACCATAAAAGCATACATGAATACAAAATGTACAGAACCTATAAAGCAATTAAACAATTGAGACTACAAGGTAACTAGCTAACGCTATAAAAGGAAGAAAACCTAACACATCAATATTAAGCTTGAATGTAAATGGCTGAAATGCTCCACTGAATAGACACAAAGTGGCAAACTGGATAAAAAAAGAAGACACTTCTGCTGCCTTTGAGAGACCCATCTCATGTGTAATGATACCAACAGGCTCAAAGTAAATGGATGGAAAAATATTCATCACATAAATGAAAAACAAAAAAGGAGAGGTATTGCTATTCTTGTATCAGATAAAACAGACATTAAACTAACAACAGTAAAAAGAAATACAAAGAATGACATTATATAATGATGGAGTGTTCAATTCAACGAGAAGACTTAACTGTCTTAAATATATATGCAGCCAACATTAGAGCACCCAGATTTTTAGAATAAATATTACTAGACCTAAGAAAAGAGATACACAGCTGTACAATAATCATGGAGGACTTCAACACCCCACCGACAGCAGTAAGCAGATTAGTTAGGCAGATTATTAGGCAGAAAACTAACAATGAAACTGTGGACTCAAATTGGGCCCTTGACCAAACAGACCTAATAGATATCTACAGAATACTCCATGCAGAAACCACAGAATGTACATTTTTCTCATTTGCACATGGAACATTCTCTAAAATTGACCACATGCTCAGTCATAAAATAAGCCTCAGTAAATTTTTAAAAATCACAACTATATTAAGTATCTTCTCGGACCACTGTGGAATAAAATTAGAAGTCAATATCAAGAACTCTCAGAACCACAGAGGTACATGGAAACTAAACAATCTGCTCCTGAAGGACTTTTGTGTAAATAACAGAATTAAGGCAGAAATTTAAAGAAATTCCTGAAACAAATGAAAATAGAAACATAACATACCAAAACGTCTGGGATACAGAAAAAACAATGTTAAGAGGAGAGTTTATAACACTAAATGCCTACATAAAAAGAGAGAAAGATCTCAAATTAACAAGCTAAAATAGCCAAACACACTAGAAAAGAACAAACCAAACCCAAAGCTAGTAGAAGGAAATAACAAAGGTTAGAGAATAAGTTAATGAAATTGGGACCAAAAAAACCATACAAGGAATCAGCAAAATTAAAAAGTTGGTTCTTTGCAAGGACACATAAAAATGATAGATTGCTAGTTAGATTATACAAGAAAAAAGAAGATTCCAATAAGCACAATCAAAAATTACAAATGAGACATTGCAAAGGATACCACTGACACAAAAAAAGATCCTCAGAATATCTTTGTGTGCATAAACTAGAAAACCTAGAGAAAATGGATAAATTCCTGGAAACACACAACCTTCCAAGACTGAATCAGAAAGAAATCAAAAGTCCACTAGGGCAGTGCCAACAGGAAATATGGGATTGAAGCCTCCACACAGAGTCCCCACTGGGGCACTACCTACAGGAGCTGTGGGAATGGGGCCGCCACGTCAAGATCCCTGAATGGTAGAGCCACGGGAAGCTTTCATCCTGAGCCTAGAAATACCACAGGCACTCAACTCTGATCCAAGACAGCAGCCATGGTGACTGTACACTGCAAAGCCACAGAGGCAGAGCTGCATAAGGTCTTGGGAACCCACCCCTTGCACAAGTGTGCCCTGGATGCGGGACATGAACTCAAGAATTATTTTGGAGCTTGAAGGTTTAATATTTGCCCTACTGGGTTTCCGATTTGCCTGAGGTCTGTTGCCCCTTTCTTTTGCCCAACTTTGCCATTTGGGAATTGGAATATTTACCCAACACCTGTACTGCATTGAATATTGGAAGCAAATAACTTGGTTTTGATCTTATAGGCTCACAGATGGAGGAACGTACCTTGAAGCTCAGATGAGATTTCGGACTTTTGAGTTGATGCTGAAACAGCTTGAGATTTTTGGGGACTACTGAGAGAGGATAATTGTATTGTGCAATATGAGAAGGTCATGAGATTTGGGGGGCATAGGGGTGAAATGACATTGTTTGGATGTGTTTACCCTCCAAATCTCTTGCTGAATGTGATCTTAAACGTTGGTGGTGGGCCTAGTGGAAGGTGTTGAATCATGGGGGTGGACCCTTCATAATTTGCTTAGCTCCATCCCCTTGGTGATGAGCGAGTCCTTGCTCTGTTGTGTCACACGAGAGCTGGTTGTTTAAAATAGCCTGCCATGTTCCCCTTCTTGCTATTCATTTCTCTCTTGACACGTGATACACTGGCCCTCACTTTGCCTTCCTCTGTGATTGGATGCTTTCTGAGGTCTCACCCAAACCTGAGCAGGTGCTGGTCCCATGCTTCTACTGCCTGCACAACTATAAACCAAATAAATATTTTTTCTCTATAAATTTAAAAAAATCTGAACAGACCAGTAGTTAATTATGAAATTGAACTTGTAATAAAAATATTTATCAGGCAGGAGAAGCCCAGGACTAGATGAATTCACAGCTGAATTTTACCAAGCATACAAAAAAATAGATGGTATCAATCTTACTGCAACCATTCTAAAACATTGAGGAGAAGGAATTCCTCTCTAACTCATTCTACAAAACCAGTATCATCCTGACACTAAAATCTAGCAAGGAAACAACAACAACAAACTACAGGCCAATATCTGATGAACATAGATGCAAATATCCTCAACAAAATGCTAGCAAACCAAATCCATCAGCATATCAAAGATGTAATTCATCATGATTACATGGGTTTTATTCCTGGGATGCAAGGACTATTTAACATATGCAAATCAATAAATGTGATTTACCATATAAACAGAATTTAAAACAAAAATCATATGATTATCTCAATAGATGCAGAAAAAAACATTCAATAAAATTCAACATCCTTGCCAGGTGCAGTGGCTCAAACCTGTAATCCCAGCACTTTGGAAGGCAGAGGTGGGCCAATCAACAGAGGTCAGGACCAGCCTGACCAACATGGAGAAACCCCATTTAGAACTAAAAATGCAAAATTAGCTGGGCGTCGTGGTGCATGCCTGTAATCCCAGCTACTCAGGAGGCTGAGTCAAAAGAATGGCTTGAACCGGGGAGGTGGAGGTGGCAGTTTGCCAAGATCACACCACTGCACTCCAGCCTGGGCAACAGAGCAAGACTCCGTCTCAAAAAACCAAACCAAACCAAACCAAAACAAAAAAACCCTGAAATCATATCAGTTATTTTTTCTGAGCAGAGTGGAAGAGTATTAAAAAATCAGTAACAGGAATATTTTCCCTGACCATCTTTGGCTCCCTCTCTCACCACCCTTTTTCTTCCTCCATCTACCTCAAAACTTTTTCCCCACCATTTTTCCCCACTGCCTTTTTGCAAAGCCTTCTATACTTTACCGCTTACTTCCGTTTTCCCCACCCATCTACCCCAAAACTTTTCCCCACCGTCTTTTCTCCCTCACCCTGGCCAGCCTTTTTTCCATCTCCCGCTCTCATCATCCTCTTTTGCTCCTTCATCTCCCCAAAAACATTTCCCTCATCTTTTCCCAAAGCCTTCTCCCCACTCCTGCTGCTCGCCACCCTCTCTTTCCCCTTCCATCTACCCAAAAACTGTTTCCCTATCGTCTTTTTCTCCCGTCCTCCTTGCCACCCTTTCCCTTCTCCATCTACCAAAAACATTTTCCCACCGTCTTTTTGCAAAGCCTCTTCTCTACTCCTGCTCACCATGCTCTTTTAACCCATCTACCTCCCCAATTTTTCCCTGCCACCTTTTCACAAAGCCTTCCCCGCTTCCCGCTCACCCTCTTCTTTCCTCTGTCCTGCTTGCCACCCTCTTTTTGCCTTCCATCTACCCCGAACTATTTTCCCCATTGCCTTTTTCCCAGTCCTCTTTCCCCACTCCCTCTGGCCACACTTTCTATTCTCCTCCCACTTGCCACCCTCTTTTCTCCCTCCATCTACCCAAACACTTTTTACCCACTGTCTTTTCTTTCTACACTTTCTTTTCTGCCTATCGTCTTTTCGCAAAACCTTTTCACTTTCCTCCTCGCCACCCTCTTTATCCTTCTCCCACTGGCCACCCTCTTTTCCCTCTCCATCTACCTAAAAGCTTCTCTCCTCACTGTCTTTTCACAAAACCTTCTCTCCCTCCTGCTCGCCACTCTCTCTTCCCCCTCCCTCTCTGCACCCTCTTTTCTCCTTCCACTTGTCACCCTTTTCCCCCCTCCATCTACTCAAAATCTTTTTACTTACAGTCTTCTTTCCCTTTCTTCTCTCCCCACCGTATTTTTGCAAACCTTCTCTCCTTCCTGCTCATCCCCGTTCCCCACTCACGACCCTCTCTTACCCCCTTCCATCTACCCAAAAACTTTTTCCCTACCATCTTTCTGTGAAACCTTCTGTCCCTCCTGTTCACTACACTGTTTTTCCCCCTCCATCTACCCCCAATTTTTTTTTTCCCAACATCTTTTCCTCACCGTCTTTATGCAATGCCTTCTCCAGCTCGCCATCCTTTTTTCCTTTTGGCACTAACCACCCTCTTTACCCTTTCATCTATCCCAAAACTATTTTCCCCTTCCTACCGCTCCAGCCACACTACAGTCTCTGTCACCACCAACTGCAGGGAGGCCAGCCATGGTGCCACAGGCTACAGCCTCCAGTCTGTCCTGGTCCTCTAAGCCGGGCTCGGAGCAGCTCGGTGAGCAGATACAGAAGAACCTGGAATAGCCTGACTCTTCTTCAGCACCATTTATGTACTGAGGTTATGAATATGCCTTTCCTGGACTACACGTTCCAGGATTGGATAAGAGAAAGCCCGGAGGCCTACTCTGATTGGACTTTGTTATCATGTTCTGATTGGATGAAAGAAAGTCTTAGGACAACCAATCAGAGTATGAAAATAAAGTCCAATCAGAGAAGGCCTAGAGGTTTTCTCCCACCCAATCAGAACATGTAGTACAGAAACCATGTGTGTAACCCCATGTGCATGCTGAGGAGGCCTCATGCCAGTTTAGGCTCTCCAGTATCTCCAGCCAAGCTACTCTGTTCCTGGCTTAGAGGACCAGGAGAAGGGGGAGCTGGAGGCTGGAGCCTGTAACACTGTGGCTCGTCTCACTCTGGATGGTGGTGGCAACAGAGATGGCAGTGTGGCTGGAGTGTTAGGAGGGTGGCCTGAGCGGTAGGAGGGCGGCCTGAGCGGTAGGAGGGGGGCTGGAGCAGTAAGATCATGGCCGGAGTGGTAGGCGGGAGGCTGGAGCAGTAAGATGGCAGCCGGGGCGGTAGGAGTGCAGCCTGAGCTGTAGGAGGGTGGCTGGCAGCTGGAGTTGCTCTTGACCAACTAGAGGTCTAGGAGAAGGTGGGGACCGTGCCCAATGCTGGCAGCTGGAGCCTTGGCCACCACGGCTCGCCTGGTTGCGGTTGGTGATGGCAACGGAGACTGCATCTCTGTTAGAGTAGTAGAAAGATGGCAGGGTAGGTGCGCTCTCTGCAGCTGCACTGCCCACTTGTGGGGTGGTGGGGGAGTGGGTTTGGTGTGCTTTTGGGTCTGCACTGCCTGCCGCAGGGGGCTAGTGGGTGGCGCTATCGGGCATTGAATTGCTGGCAGTGGGGCAGGTTCACTGCGCTATCAGGGTCTACACTGCCTAAGGTGGCAGGCGGTTGGAGGCAGGTTGTGTGCGCTGTCGTGCACTGCCAGCGGCGGGTAGTGGGGGGTTAGGGGAATTATTAGCTGCTGCACTGGCCGATGCAGGGGGCAGGTTGGGTTAGCTATCATGAGCTACAATGTCAGCAACAATGCCAACTGGCAGGCAGTCGGGGGTGCTTTAGGGGAGCTGTCAAATGTTGCATTGTCCATGGGGGAAAGGGGAAGGTGGGGTCGGGGGGTTGGTTGGGTGCAGTACCCCGGGCGTTCACTGCCCGCGACAGGAGCAGATTTGGGGTGCTATCTGGGGCTGTGCTGCTTTTGGTCCGGGTTGGGGGCGGGTTTGATGGGGCACTATTTGGTGCTGCAACACCCGTGGCAGGGATGGGTTATGGACACTATCAAGTGTCCACCAGGGGTGGTTTGGGGGCGCTCAGGGTTACACTGCCTGCAGCAGTCTCTGGGTGTGTTGTGGGCACAATCCGGGGGCTAAGCTTGTGGTGGGGGGGGCAGGTTAGGGGTGGTATGGGGGGAGGCTGCACTGCTGCTGCCAGCAGCAGGTTGTGGAGGTGGCCATGACAGTGGTGGCCTCTGAGGAAGGGGCCCTTCTCCTCTTCCTGGACTCAAGGCTCTAGAGGGTGAACAACTTCTGCTTGTGTTGGAGTGCAGAGGGTGCACAGAGTTTTCACGGCAATCCTCTGACCACCACAGAGCCCTCGCACCCACCATGGTTACCCGGCCCTTGCCCTCTTGCTCTGTGTTGTGGAGTCCATCTGGGAGCCCCAGGCATGGAGTAGTGGGCACCACGGGGGCTCAGGGTCCTGTGGGTGGAGGAGTCAGGAATGGGAACTGGTACTTGGGTGGGGAGGACTGGCTGGGTCTGAGTTTCTGCTATTCTTGCTCCCCAGGGAGCCCCGGGCACTGTGGTGTCTCCAGTCCCCACCCCAGGTCAGGAGGCCAGCTTGGTCTAGGCGGAGAGGCTGGACTTTGGAGGGTGGGTGTGAGTGCCTTCGCCAAAACTGGCCCCAGCCACCCAGTGGCCAGCATGACAAGGTGAGGCTCTAACACTGTCACTTTCTGCATCCTGTTGTAGGTTTTTCTGGCATTGTCTGCCCAGCTGCTCCAAGCCAGGCTGATGAAGGAGGTGTCCCCTGTGGTGAGCTGGAGGTTGGAGCCTGAAGATGGCACAGCTCTGTGATTCATCTCCTATGGTTGTGGCAGCCATGGTGATGGAGACGGCAGCTCAACAGGAGCAGTAGGAGGGTACCTGTGGAGGCCAAGTGGTAGGAGCCTTGGAGGGTGGGCAGGTGCATGGAGGGTGACAGCAGCGCTGGTTCCTTTGGCGTCGGTGCTAATGGTGGCAGCAGCAGCAGTCTAGGGGCCAGGAAGGGGAAGTAGGAGAGCTTTGGGGCCCGGCCCAGCCTGGGGTGTGTAAGAAGCTGCTGGTTCTGTACTGCAGGCCTCAGTGACGGTGGAGGTGCAGCCAGGGCAAGGAGGAGTCCTCCCCCTTCTCCTGCAGTCTCTGGAGGGTGCCCTCCTTCTGCTGGCATCTGAGCCAGGTGTGAGTGGCAGCATTGTTTTGTTCTTAACAGAATTTAGGGGCTTACTATTTGTGTATCATTTTGTTTTTGGTTGTGATAACCCTTAAGGGACAAAAGGCTTCTTTCCTGGGTTTTGGTGTCGTGGGATCCCGCCATGTAAGACACAGGGTGCTTTCCTGGCAAGCTGTGTGTTGGAGGGAGTTCACCAAGGGGAAGAAAGGGAACCTCTCAGGAGGGTGGCTGCTGTGGCAGGTCCCCTGCCTCTGGGCACCCTTTGGGCCACCTAGTTTCCCCTGTGGAAGAGGCGAGGCTTAGACCGGTATCACTTGTATCATCAAAGAGGCATCCTGGCTGGGCCAGTTGATTTGACCTTCCCACTTCTTCAGCCCACCTGCCCATGGTGTCACCTGGGGAAACTGGAACCTCAGGCCACAGGGGCAGAGGCTTCTCCGGCAGGCTGATTGCTATAGCGGATTCTGTTCTGCCTGCTGCTCAGGAGGGCTTCTATGGCCAGGAAGTGATGCTGGGACTCTTCTGTTGGTGTTCTGCTGCCTCCGTGTTGTCTCTGGCTTCTCACGGACTCTCAGATGTGTGAAGGCAAAAAGGTTTCCTGGCTAGTTTGTGTGGTGTGGTTGGGATCACTTTTGCTACATGCCCCTCAGGCACCCTAGTGGGGGAAAAGGGAATTTTAGATTTAAGGAGAATGTGTCTATGTTGGCTGCTTGTTGTTAGCAAATTTCTGAACAATTCTATTCTAAATGGTCGCCTCTTGTTGAGTAGACTCCAGCTCCATTGGAGAAGAGATGAGCTTACCTGGGCTGTGTTTTCTTGCTAGCTTGAGGGTTGAAAACACTAGGTTTTTGTCTCCTTTTCCAGTTGAGTTAGGGAAGTGACATGCATTGCCACAAAACAATTTATTCAGTTCTGGAGTCCTTAGACAGTCATCTTACTAGCACCTTCCAGCATTCTCCTTTCAGTGAGATAATAAGGGAGGGTTCCTAATCTAAAAGGAAACATGGATGGTGTTCTTATGTTGTATGACAAGAAATATGAAATAATTCTGAAAAATTTAGTCATTCTTCTTTTAAATTTAGAAACCCGTTTTTTATATTTATAATATTTAAAGCCATTAAAAGTTAAGATGTCATAATTAAAATAATCTTTTAACATTTTACATTAATTAGCATTTAGCAGATGACCATAATAAATTATTTTTAATTATGTTACATTAATTGCCAATACAAATATCTTTCTGGTTTTTACAAATCTGTTTGCAAAATTTTATTTTGTCATTTATTAAATTTTTGTATAATTAGCTGCTACATTGCAGGTATAGGAACTTCCAGTATTAAGCATGATTACAAATACTTCAGTTTTCATGTCTTACCTTTTATTAATAGTCTAAAAGTTATAAAATGCTTTGTGCATTAGTATTGGTAACATTCTTTAGTATGAACTATCATTTGAAAAATGTTAGGAACATAGCTTTCCCATCTTATTTATTTTCTTGAGGTGGGGTCTCACTCTGTCGCCCAGGCTGGAGTGCAGTGGCCTGACCTTGGCTCACCGCAACCTCTGCCTCCTGGGTTCAAGCTATTTCTCCTGCCTCAGCCTCCTGAGTAGCTGGGATTACAGGCACGGGCCACCACGACCTGCTAATTTTTGTGTTTTTAGTAGAGATGAGGTTTCACCATATTGATCATGCCGGTCTCAAACTCCTCACCTCAGGTGATCCACCTGCCTCGGCCTCCCAAAGTGTTGGGATTACAGGAGTGAGCCACCACGCCAAGCCTATTTATTTTAGATACAGTGTCTTCCTCTGTTGACCAGGTTGAAGTGCAGGGGTGTAGTCATAGCTCACTGCAGGCTCAGACAATCCTTCTGCCATGGCCTCCCAAAGTGCTGGGATTACAGGCATGGGCCACTGCCCCTGGCCTAAATTGTAATAATTTTACAGTTTGCCTCAAATGAGGGGTGACGTCTGGGCAAGGTTTGCTGGGGGCCTCCCATATGCAGGCAGTCTCTCTGCTGTGCCCTCCACCAGCACTGAGGGTCACCTCCCCACAGGCACCCCTCTCCTTTCCCCTCTGGGGAAGGCCAGAAGTGACTTTTGAGGTTACCTACGGGACTTTGTCTGGAAAAGTGTGTGAAGCTGAAGCTGATGGTCTCAGTGTCCAAAGGGGAACACTTCCCACAGGCGTTTGGAAGCCACAGACCTGACAGTGGGGTCCTGGTCTTGGGGGTCTCAGTCACCTGGCCACCCATTCCTTCCTCACTTAGGCATCCACCTAGCGGGCTGCCCACACCCTCTTCTATCTGTCTGTGCTCAGCCAATCAGGCAAGCCAGGGTTACAGCCCTCCCTGTCCCGGGCCCTGGCTCCATGAAGCACCATGTGCCTTGAAAGACCTCCCTGATTGATCCTGTCTCCCCAGTATCTTCTGCTAAGGCAGAGGTTTCCCTTGGCCCCTGCTCTGGTCTGCTTCCTTGGCACAGTTTCTAGCTGTGCCTGACACAGCCCACCTGCCTGGCTTCTGTCCCAAACCTGCAGCCAGGCCATGTGACAGCTGCTGCCGGTGCCCAAACATTCATCCAGCCCCACCCAGAAGAGCCAAACAGCACTCACACCCTAACCCACCCACCCCTACCCACACACCCCTACCCACACACCCTCACCCACACCCACACACCCCCACCCACACACCCCCAGCCGCAGACCCCCACCCTCACCCGCACACCCTCACCCACACACCCTCACACGCACACCCTCACCCACACACCCTCACCCACACACCCTCACCCGCACACCCTCACCCACACACCCCTACCCACACACCCTCACCCACACACCCCCACCTGCACACCCCCACCCACACACCCCCACCTGCACACCCCCACCCACACACCCCTACCCACACCGGCACATCCTCACCCACACACCCTCACCTGCCTGGTCCTGCTGCGCCCCCACCCCACCCTCCCTCTAAACCTACTGGGTGAGCAGCTTCCCCTACATTCGCTTGCTCCACCTCCTCCTAGAGCTGGGTCACATACCAATTCCCACGCTCTTGGCAGGTTGGTCATGGTCCCGGCAGATCTGAGGACAGAATGGGCACAGGACTGTGTGCAGCATAGAAAGGTCAAGGAGTGCAGCCTCGTACTCTGTGCCAGCTGCCAGCCCCTGGAGCTTACTAGGCTGATGGGGACAAAGAATGCACCAGAGGGGACAGTGACCATTGCCCCTGGGTTAGTCCACCACAGGACTGTTGGGAAGTCCATGGATGTACTGATTGCCCTGTTGCATTGGTCCTCAGGGGCAGATGCTGAGATGGGGTTAGGAGAACAAAGGGGAGGAAGGGAGCTTGGCATGGTGGCTCATGCCTGTAAATCCTAGCACTTGGGGAGGCCCAGGTGGGAGGATTTCTTGAGGCCAGGAGTTTGAGACCAGCCTGGGTAACATAGCAAGACCCTGTCCCTACAAAAAAATATATTAAAAATTAGCCAGCCATGGTGGCTATATTCCCAGCTACTCGGGAAGCCGAGGTGGGAGGAACAGTTGAGCCTAGGAGTTGTCAATAGAAATCAAGTGTTGGGATATTGAAAATGGCATTATAATGAGGGTCCAGAGTATGTTGTTAATACTAATGGTATAATTTTGAGCTTCTGATATATACACAAGCATGTATAGCTACACCAGAGATTGTGCTCAAGATTTGACTTACATTAGCTTGTTTAAGCCTCTCCCACACACTATTTGAGGCAGGTACTGTTGTTATTTTATGGATGACAAAACTGAGAAGCAGAAAATGTAGGAAACTTGCCCAAGATCACACAGCCACGAAGCAGACACCAGAACCAGAGCCCTAGGCTCACAAACTTCACTGCCTTCACTCCTAGGCTCTATGTTATTCTGACCATCTCTCAGCTAGGAAGTCACTTCCTTATGCAAATGACATTGTTGGTGCTGATGGTGAAATATTTCTATTCTCACAACTTTGGAAAGAGAGAGCCTGATTTGTTAGCTAAGCCCCAAGGGTTTCTCCTACCATTTCTGAGAGATGGAAACTTTTTTTTGCCCCTAAACTGTGGCAAAGGAAACAGAGAGGAGGAAACAGCCATCAGAAGACTAAAAATCTCTCATCTTTGCAAATAAGAATTCACTCTCAGCTTTTTTGCATGCAGCACTGGGAAGAGACCTTGTTTTTTATTCTATCAACTTATCCATTTAACAATTTATTGAGAACCTGTTGTGTATCCAATGCACTGCTGCCATTGGTTATGTAGAAATCAATGCAGCATGGTCCTTTCCCCAAGCAACTCAGTCTCCTGCTTGGTTCTCTTTTCTGGATCATTTTAATTATGGTTCTCCTTTTAAGTAAAGGACAAACAGAGAATTAGCACTGAGTCAGATTTTTGCCACTAGTCTTATACAGGTGACCTATTTTTCTTAATGCTCCCCACACATGGAATCTGAGCCAGCTGAGCCCTGAAACCTTCCAGGCTGAGAATGTAGTGTGGCACTTCACATGAGACTGTGCAGGAGTCGATACAACTGGCATGTTAGCCACAGAAACCCTGACAAGCGTTCGGGAATAGAAGGGGTGGACAGGACCCCACCTACTTTTCCTAATCTCATGGATACCAGGCACCAGACCAGGCAGCCTTGCCCCTAGAATGGAGACATCTCAGGTAGGGGTTGTCACTGTTCCAAGCTTCCTTTGATGCCGTTTTGATCCTGGATGTAGAGTTGCCACATGGAGAGTGAAACCACCAGAATATATAATTGAGAGAGGAATGGAAAGATGGACAGATACCTAAATAGATACATAAATACTTTGCAGAAGTCTGGGACAGTGGAACGTAGGAAGAGAGCCTCAGCTAGAGACAGAACAGTAGGTTGATTGTGGTAAAGGGAAGACTTCACTTTGTTATTCAGTATACTTATTTATTGAATTGTTTAAACAATATGTATATCTTTATAATTAAAAGATAATTTGGGGCCGGGCGTGGTGGCTCACACCTGTAATCCCAGCACTTGGGGAGGCCGAGGTGGGTGGATCACGAGGTCAGAATTTTGAGACCAGCCTGGCCAACATGGTGAAACCCCATCTCTACTAAAAATACAAAAAATTAGCTGGGCCTGGTGGCAGGCACCTGTAATCCCAGCTACTCAGGAGGCTGAGGCAGGAGAATCACTTGAACCTGGGAGGCAGAGGTTGCAGTGAGCCGAGATGGTGCCATTGCACTCCAGCCTGGGTGACAGAGCAAGACTCGGTCTCAAAAAAAAAAAAAGAGAGAGAATTTGGGCTTTAGAATAAGATTGGAGTGTGAATCCTGGCTTCTGCTATTTCTGAGAGCTATGTGACTGTGGGCAAATTGTTTCAGTTCTCTAAACCCCTAATTCCCTTGTTTATGAAATGGAGGTCATGGGGATTGAATGAGATTAAGTCCTGTATAAAATGCTGATGGAGCTCTCAATAACATCAGCTCTTTATTATTAATAGCATTAGGCGAGGCTGAGAGTCAGCTACAGAGGAGACCTCTGTGGGCAGAAGAGAACCACAGAGGAGTTAGCAAGTAGCAGTAGAGCCGAGCGAGGAATGGGTTCCATTTAACTCGGTGTCAAGTGCACTCCTCATTAGGGAGATGTACCTCCCTCCCTTCTTAACCTGCCAGCAATTGTTTCCTCCCGGGGAAACACCCGGCACGGCAAGCTTTGTATGTGGTAAGGTGGCTGAGAACATGAGCCCTGGTGCCATTGATTTCCATTCTAGCTGTGCCACTTACTTGCTTAGTCAGTTTCCTCACCTGTAGAATAGGAATGGTGATTGTGTCTACCTCAAGAATTGTCTCACCAATTAAGTGAGTTAATGCATGGGAAGGGCTTCAGAAGAGCCTGGCACAGAGTAAGTGATTTATAAATATGAGTGCATATTCTATACTCTGGTTCTACAGTAATCCTAAGACTTTCGAAGACCCTGAACGCTCTTCCTTTTGGAGATTTCAACCCACATTTTATCAAACATACTGAAAGTCACCCACATTTCACGTTAATTATTATTATTATTTGCTGTAGTATGTTTAAAAGAGGTTTTAATGATTTTGCTTGTGGTTGGCTGTGACTAATTCATGGCTATGAGGCCTTAGCAATCGCTGGACTTATTTGAAAACCCTTTCAAAGTGAGTAATTCTAAGGAACAAATTGTTTTTAAGTGTAATACAATTTGTATGAACATCAACTTTAACAATTAATGATGTTTTCATAACATTCCATTATGTAGACATTTAATTAAAGTTTTATCTATTTCGATTTTTCAGTTTTCTCTTTTTGTATTTTGAAGCCAAAAAAAAAGTGTTTTCAGACCTCAGGTTAAGGGAATAGATGAAAGCGGTTAGTAGGGACCAGAAAGACCTCTTGGCCACCCTCCCGAAGTTGTGGTTCAGCAGAATCAGGCAGAGCCTGGGTGCAGAAGGGACCTATAAGCTTATCTATCCCTGTTCTTCCCTTTTATGAATGGAATAACTCATGTACAAGGAGGGGAGTGACTTGCCCAGAAGATAGTATAGTTTGATTCTTCAAATGCAGAGTCCTGAGCCCTTTCAAACCTCTTGTTGTTTGTTTTACGCGTTCCAAGATGATATTCAAGGAGTGGTTCTCAAAGCCTAGGGGAGTGACCTCATGAGAGGTCAAGGCCGCTGATTCTGGGAAGACTCATACAGGTCCACCCCAGGCTGCATATGTGTGTAACCCAATGACCAAATCAACAGTGACTTGAACCCACAGCCAGGGGAGTGTGAGTGAAATATGAGCAGACGTTTTCACCAGCTGTTAAAACCTAGCAGGAGCATGAGGAATCAATCGCAGACTGTGCCTCAGCAAACCTCCATGAGGAAGGCTCAAGGGAGCGGAAGAGCAGTCACAGGTCTCCACTAGCCAAGAGCAAATCCAAGCAGAGCTAAGCGATTTTGTGTCCTCTGGAGCAAGGCAACCCCATAACCTTGCAGACTTTCGGGAATGATGGAAGCTGAGAAGCTACATGGCCATGTCAGGAGGATGATGAGATTGCCAGGCAGCTGCCATCAAGTTAGGGTTCAGAGCGGTCCTGGAAGAGAAGGAGATGCCCCTGCCCAGGACCACACAGGACAGAAGGGCATCTGGACAGTGCCAGGCCATGTTCAGAACGTGAAGGGGCTTTCCCATAGGAAGGTTATGGGCCCAAACACTTATTGAGCGCTTACTGTGTGGCTGGCATAGTCAATAAGTGTTAAAGGAAGGGAGAGAGAAACTGCGAGGGAAGAGAGGAGGAGGAGCCCCTGGACAGCAGGTGCTGTCACTCTGAGGCTCCTCCATGTCCACAGTTGGTGGCTTCTACCTTACATCTTTATACCTTTGAATTGAATGAAATGTATTTTCTCTTGGTCATTAGGGCACTGGTGCACAATTTCAGCATGACCTTGTTGGTTCGTTCCACCTGGTCATTAAGGTTCTGGGGACTGTTTATGAAGCAGTATCATACAGGAGAAGGAGGCAGGCAAACCTGGTTTTGAATTCCAGCCTGGCCACTGTATAGCTGTGGTACCATAGAGACATTCTTTACCCTCTCTGAAAGTGAGTTTCTTCATCTGGGCAATGGGCGCTAAGAATTCTTGCTTCCCAGGGCTATAGCAATGTGCTAACACAGTCCCTGCTACATCATAGTAGAGGCCCCATAGAGTGCCTTTTCATGTCCCATGGTCAAGGTGGTCTTGCCTGAAACTAAGACATAGCTCATTGTACTGTTCAAGTCAGAGCAAGCCAAGTGTGCTTTGGACAACTAATGTGCCTAAGCCTGGGTCGTGAGACTCCTAAAAAGGAACAGGGCATGGCTCTGGACCTCAGGAAAACAGAGTCAGATGTGGGGGAGACATAGATCTGAAAAAAAAAAAAAGCACTGGGCTTGGGGTCTGGAGTTTGGGTCACCTTCCCAGCTTTGCCACAGACTTGCTATGTGTCCTTGATTAAGTCACAGTTCTCTGAATCTCAGTTTCCTCTTCTCTCCTGCAAGGGCAAAACTTGATGGTCTCTAAGATTCATCCTTGTTGAGTAAGTGCTAAGCTGCATGGCACAAATTTCAGATGCTTCTTTAAGTGTGTTCAAGAAGAAAATTCTCAGAGTCAGTTGGAGTGCCTGGGAGTGGCTAGAAAAAATTAGGGAAATGATACCAACATTTAGCCACAAGTGATACAACTAACTTAGGAGTCTGCTCCTGATCTCATGGGGGTCTTAAATTCTTCCCTCCAGTCCTTCTCTCTTGGGTTGTATTAGAAAGATTACTGAGGTAACCTTAAGCACAGCAGGTTGGATTCAGGTTAGATTTAAGGAAGGACTTCCAAACAAATGCTTTGAAAGGCGTGAGCTTGTAAGTGAACAGAGAGAAAGGCATCATCTACTTTTTAAAAGACTTAAGATGCTGGGCACAGGTATATTTTGCGTTCCTGAAAACTGTGTGCTAAGAGAATACACTGAATCAGTCCTGCTTAAAATGCACCAGAGTGTTCACTATTTAAAAGCATGGGGATGCCCTTAAGTTCACCTGTTTATGAATACGAGCTTTGTTTAGCCAGGTTTTTAAGGTGAAGATTCCCTAGCTGGATCTCTGTCACGCAAAGTTTAAATGTAATCTTCCTCAGATTCAGAGAAATAAATTCAATGCATTCTCAAGGTTGCTTTCAGATCTATGGGTCCAGGAATGCATCAAATACAAGGAAAATGTTTATGATGTTTCTGTATTGGCCAACATTCCTGGCTTCTGTCCCTGGAGGACCTGCAGAGCCAGCAGTCTCTTCTTTGAGTATGTCTCAATCGTGAGCACCAGGCAAAACCACAGGAGCAGTACCATTGTTCTGGAGAGTTTAGTCTGGGGCCTACTGGGAGTTGAGTAGAAGTTGGAATCTGATTTGACTTCCATTTACTCTGCACCTTGTACTTTGCAGTAACAAGACTGTCAGTGCCATGGGGCAGGGAGTATTTGTGATTTGCTTCTCATTGCCTGGCGTGGAACGGGTACTCAATAAATGATGAATGAATGAATGAATGAATGAAAATGGACACATCAATTCTAGTTGACTTTCTGGCCTTTGGCCAGGTACTTAACTGCTCTGAGCCCCAGTTTCTGCATCCATAGCATGGGGGATAGTAAGAGTTCCTACTTCACAGGGTTGTCATCAGAATTCAATGAGACAAAATATGCAAAGTACTTAGCGCGTTGTGTAGAATGTAATAGGCACTCAACCAATGTTAGCTTAGTACTACTTTTTCTGTGTAAGATTATGTTGTCCTTTCCACAGCCCTGTAAGGAGAAATATACCATCCCCACTGAACAGATGAGAAAACTGAGGCTCAGAGGTGTCAGGTGACTGCCTGAGGTCACAGGTGGGACTGGGGCTCCTTGGTCTGTCCTCTTTCTACTGCGAAACAGTCTGGTGAAGCCACAGAAGGACCCATTCCTGCTAATGAGGCACTAAAGGTAATGCACGAGGAACTCTCAGGAATATGTGGAAATTCTCCTGGGTTTTCCAGCTCCTGAGAGTGCCCTGGCTTTGTGGGGTGAAGTCCTTTGATTGCCTCAGGTTCCTGATCTGTTCATGACCATGTTAGCCCAAAAGGTGGCAGAGCTCCATGTAAGTGCTACTGTTCTTTTTGTCTCCCTGACTCTCCCCTGCTACCCACCTGCATCGCCTTAGGCATTTATTCTTTGCTTAAACATGCCTATTTGCAGAGACACACTGAGCTAAGCAGCAAAAGTGGAGGTTTCCAGTGAGAGGTCCACTGTGAGGGAATAGGGTGTCAGGAGAGGTCCTACCAGCTCATCTTGACCGAGATGCTCGTGTGCTGTGCTTTTGAAAACGCAAGCAGTCAAAGAACATTTAAAATGCACTCAGTGGTTACTCTCCCTTTGTGGAACCGAGCAGACAGGAGTGCAGGTGTGAAACATGACGTCCGTATGGAAATAGAAGGACAAAACACGGTCTTTGTTAACTTGATTTTCTACCCTGTGGTTAGAAATGAGGGCCTGGCTAAATGCAACACAGAGAATCTAGAAACTTCGTTTTGCAAAAAAAGGCACCTACCCCATTTACACTTTACTGCACTATTATTAATAAGGAGCTTATGAGTCTATTAGATACGGTCTTTGCCTTCTTTCTCGATTCTAAGGTTGGGTTTCTGGGGACAGTGAAAAGCCCCAAAGGTGGGAAAAGCAAGAGGAGGGCAAACAGAAAGTCTGCAAACTCCATCATCCGAATAACAGGGCTGATGCTTTAGAGTGTGCTGCTTGAAAATCTGGTGTGCATATTTAAATTATAGCTTTCCACACACAGAAAGGGCAGCCGTTCCCTTTAGCCCAGCCCCTCCCTTTAGCCCAGCCCCCTTTCCCTCTTATTATTAAAATAGAGGACAAAAGGGGTGCTTTTTTTCCTGGGTTTCTATTTTGGTATGAATTTACAAAATGTGGTTTAACTATTGATTTTATAGGAAGAATGTCACATTTTAAGATTCCGTGTTAGGCGTGGAGCTCTCTAAAAGATTGTTAAGTAAGTATTAAGGCCAGGAAAAAGGTGCTGTGCAGCAATGCCCAGCAATAGAGGGCATTCAGGCAGGAGGGGCTGCCATTCATCAGCTACCCAGTCACCCTCTTGCGAGGGCGGAGCTGAGTTCTCCTCTGCACAGACTTCGGAGATATAGCGAGGGCGGAGCTGAGTTCTCCTCTGCACAGACTTCAGAGATATAGCAAAGGCAGAGCAGTGTTCTCCTCAGCACAGACCTGGGCGGGCAGGCAGGCCGGGGGCACCGCGAGGGTGCAGCTGCGTTCTGCTCAGCACAGACCCGGGGGACACCGCGAAGGCAGAGCAGTGTTCTCCTCAGCACAGACCTTGCGGGCACTGCCTCGCTTTGGGACAACTCGGGGCCACATCGACAGTGAATAAAATCCTTCCTGTTTGCAGCCCTGAATAATCAGGGTCAGAGACCAGTTAGAAGGGTTCAGTGTGGAAAACGGGAAACCAAAAGCCCCTCTGAATCCTGCCCACCGAGGTTCTCCCCAGCCAAGGCGAGGCGGCCACAGTGCAAGATCCACACCGCAGCCTCGGAAGACAAATGCAACATTCCTAATGCAGACATGACACCCAAAATATGACACCCCCATTGCTCATGTAACAAGCACCTGTAATGCTAATGCACTGCCTCAATACAAAAATATTAATATAAGATCCGCAATCCCCTCGCTGCCGTGCAGTCCTGAGACAGCGATCATAACAATCAACATTGACATAGTCAATACAAACGTAGTAACGAACCTAGGGTTAAGGTTGGTGTTAGGGTTAGGGGTTAGGGGTTAAGTTTAGGGTTAGGGGTTGGAGATAGGAGTTAGGGTCAGAGTTAAGGGTTAGGAGTCAACGTTTAGAGTTAGGGGTTAAGAGAGGTTAGTGGTTTGGGATTAGGGGTTAGGGTGAGAGTGAGGGTTGGGGTTAGGGGTTAGGGTTAAGGGTCCGGGGTTAGGGGTTAGGGGTTAGGGTCAGGGGATAGGGGTCAGGGTCAGGGGATAGGGGTCAGGGTCAGGGGTTAAGGGTCAGGGTCACGGGTCAGGGTCAGGGGTCCTACTCTGTGGGTTGTCTACTCTGCTGACTGTTTCCTTTGCAATGCAGAAGCTCTTTAGTTTAATTAAGTCCCAGCTATTTATCTTTGTTTTTATTGCATTTGCATTTGGGTTCTTGGTCATGAAATCCTTGCCTATACCAATGTCTAGAAGGGTTTATCCAGTGTTATCTTGTAGAATTTTTATGGTTCAGGAATTAGGTTTAAGTTCTTAATCCATCTTGAGTAGATTTTTGTATAAGGTGAGAGATGAGAATCCAGTTTTATTCCCCTACATGTGGCTCGCCAATTATCCCAACATCATGTGTTGAAAAGGGTGTCCTTTCCCCACTTTATGTTTTTGTTTACTTTGTCGAAGATCAGTTGGCTGTAAGTATTTGGGTTAATTTCTGGGTTCTCTCTTCTGTTCCATTGGTCTATGTGCCTATTTTTAAACCAGTACCATGCTGCTTTGGTAACTATGGCCTTATTGTACAGTTTGAAATCAAGTAATGTGATGCCTCCAGGTTTGTTCTTTTTGCTTAGCCTTGGTCTGACTACATGGCTTTCTTTTGGTTCCATATTAATTTTAGAATTGTTTTTGTAATTCTGTGAAGAATGACGGTGGTATTCAGATGGGGATTGCATTGAATTTGTAGATTGCCTTTAACAGAATGGTAATTTTCACAATATTGGTTCTACCCATCCATGAGCATGGGGATGCGTTTCCATTTGTTTGTGTCATCTATGATTTCTTTTCTTTCTTGTTTTTTTTTTTTTTTTTTTCAGAGGGAGTTTCGCTCTTGTCGCTGAGGTGGGAGTGCAATGGTGTGATTTTGGCTCACTACAACTTCTGCCTACCGGGTTCAAGTGATTCTCCTGCCTCAGCTTCCCGAGTAGCTGGGATTATAGGCATGCACCACCATGCTTGGCTCCCTCTATGATTTCTTTCAGCATTGTTTTGTAATTTTCACTGTAGAGGTCTTTTGATTCCTTTGCTAGGTATATTCCTAAGTTTTGTTGTTTTATTTTTGTTCGTTTTTTGCAGCTATTGTAAAAGGGGTTGAGTTCTTGATGTGATTCTCTGCTTGGTAGCTGTTGATGTATAGAAGAGCTACTGATTTGTGTCCATTAATCTTGTATCTGGAAACTTTGCTGAATTCTTTCATCAGTTCTAGGAGCTTTCTAGAGGAGTCCATAGGGTTCTCAAGGAGAAAGGTCATATCATCAGCAACCAGTGACAGTTTGACTTCCTCTTTACTGATTTGGATTTCCTCTATTTCCTTCTTTTGTCTGATTGCTCTGGCTAGGACTTCCAGTACTATGTTGAAGAGGAGTGGTGAGAGTAGGCTCCTCATCTTGCTTCAGTTCTCAAAGGGAATGCTTTCACCTTTTCCCCATTCAGTATTATGGTGGCTGTGGGTTTGTCCTAGATGGCTTTTATTACATTAAGGTATGTCCCTTGTATGCCTATTTTGCTGAGAGCTTTAATCATAAAGCAATGCTAGATTTTGTCAAATGCTTTTTCTGCATCTGTTGATATAATCGTGTGAGTTTTTTTAATTCTGTTTATTTGGTGTATCACATTTATTGACTTGCATATGTTAAACCATTCCTGTATCATTGGTATGAAACACACTTGATCATGGTGGATTATGTTTTTGATATGTTGTTGGATTCAGTTAGATAGTATTTTGTTAGGGATTTTGGATTCTGTGTTCATCAAGGATATTGGTCTGTAGTTTTCTTTTTTGGTTATGTTCTTTCATGGTTTTGGTATTAGGGTGATGCTGGCTTCATAGAATGAATCAGGGAGGGTTTCTTCTTTCTCTGTCTTGTGGAATAGTGTGAAAGGATTGGTATCATTTCTTCTCTGAATGAAAGAAGACATTCTTTGAATGTCTGGTAGAATTCTGCTCTGAATCTGTCTGGTCTTCGGCTTTTTTTTTTGGAAATTTTAAAATTACCATTTCAATCTTGCTGCTTGATTTATTGGTCTGCTTGGGGTATCTAATTCTTCCTGATTTAAGTTAGGAGGGTTGTATTTTTCCAGCAGTTTATCCAACTCTTCTAGGTTTTCTAGTTTATGTGCCAAAAGGTGTTAATAGTACCCTTGAATAACCTTTAATATTTCAGTGGTGTCAGTTGTAATATCCCCTGTTTCATTTCTTAGTGAGGTTATTTGGATTTTCTCTCTTCTTTTCTTGGTTAATCTTGCTAATAGTCTATCAATTTTATTTATCTTTTCAAATAACCAACTTTTTGTTTTATTTATGTTTTGTATTTGTTGTTGTTGTTCTTGTGTCAATTTCATTTAGTTCTGCTCTGATCTTGGTTATTTCCTTTGTTTGCTGGGATTGGGTTTGGCTTGTTCCTGCTTCTCTGGTTCCCTGAGATGTGAACTTAGATTGTCTGTTTGTGCTCTTTCAGACTTTTTGACGTCGGTGTTTAGGGCTACAAACTTTCCTCTTAGCACTGCCTTTGCTGTATCCCAGAGGTCTTGATAGGTTGTGTCATCCAGTTCGAAGAAATTTTTTACATTTCCATCATGATTTCGTTTTTCACCCAATGCTCATTCAGGAGTAGGTTATTTAAATTCCATGTATTTGCATGGTTTTGAAGATTCCTTTTGGAGTTGATTTTCAGTTTTGTTCCACTGTGATCTGAGAGAGTGCGTGATACAATTTCAATTTTCTTCAATTTACTGAGACTCATTTTATGGCCTATCATATGGTCTATCTTAGAGAAAATTCCATGTGCTGTTGAATAGAATGTGTATTCTGTGGTTGTTGGATGAAATGTTCTGTATATATCTGTTAAGTCCATTTGTTCCAAAGTATAGTTTAAATCCAGTGTTTCTTTGTTGACTTTCTGTCTTGATGACCTGTCTAGTGCTGTCAGTGGAGTATTGAAGTCCCCCACTATCATTGTGTTGCTGTCTATCTCATTTCTTATGTCTACTAGTAATTGTTTTATAAATTTGGGAGCTCCAGTGTTAGGTTCATGTATGTTTAGGATTGTCATATTTTTCTGTTGGATGAGACCTTTACCATTATATACTGCCTGTCTTTGTCTCTTTTAGCTACTGTTGCTTTAAAGTTTGTTTTGTCTCATATGAGAATAGCTACTGCTGCTGGCTTTTGGTGTCCATTTGCATGAAATGCCCTTTTCTGTTCCATAATCATTCTGATGCAAAAACAATTGTAACTCTCTTTCTAGTGCCTACATTTCCTGTGAGCCCCAGTTGTGCATAGCAGAAAATATGGAGGCATCTAGGAAAACCTAGGGGCAGGAAGGGCTGGGAGGGAATAAGGCCTTTCAAGGTGTTTAAAGAAGAGACAAAGATGAAGAAGCAGGCATAGTTTCTGAAGAGGTTTTTTGGTTTTTGTTGTTGTTTGCATTTACCTAATTAGTTCTCAACTGCAGAGGCACATTAGAATCTTCTGGGGAATTTTTAAAATACCACTGCATGGGCCACCTGTCATATACACTGATGTAATTGGCCTGAGTTGGGGCCTAGGTGTCTCTCTCTCTCTCTCTCTCTCTCTCTTTCTCTCTCTCTGTCTCTCTCTCTCTCTCTCTCTCTCTATATATATATATATATATATATATGTATATCTCCTGTTCTGTTTATATCTATATATCTATAGATATATACGGAACAGGGGATACCAGTGTGTACCTACCATTGAAATCAATTGTTTTCAAGTCTTTTTAGGTCTTATTCTCAGACGGTCTTGGGTAAATGGTGGCTGATTGCCTTCAGCATCTAGAACAAAACACTCTATGGCCCAGAGGAATTCCAGCTGGAATCTATGATCTTATTCTCTTGAGGTAGGGCAGCCAAAGGGAGGATTATCTTCATGTTGAGTCTGATGGCAGGGTAATTTGCTTCATGTGGAGGCAAAGGCATATTGTTAGTTTTCCAGCTTCATTGGAAGTTCTAAGTAGCCACATCTCAGGCTAATAGGAAGTCCAGATTGGTTCAAACCTTTTCTTAATTATCCTGTGTAGGAATGGACCACGCAGTATCCTTCAAGGAAGAATCAAGAATGTTTCCACAGAGAATATACATATTTCATCTCTTTCTCTGCTGAATGGATCCCCACTGAAAGCCATGAATTACTCTCATTAGACCCTGTAGAATCCCAGTTTATGGCAGTGACATTAAAAACATCTAGTTTATGACTTGGATTAGGCAGCCTGTAAAATGGCTTCCAGTGATCCCTGCTTTCTGGTATGTATGCCTTTGTATAATACCCTCCTCATGAGTGTAGGCAGAGGTAACATCACTTTTGAAACTAGGTTATATATATTAAAACAAACAAACAAACCTGTGGCTTCCATTTTGGGTACTTTATCTCACACTCTGATTTCTTGCTCCGTGGGAAACAGACTGTAATATTGTAAGCAGTGCTATGGAGAGGTCCATGTGGTAAGGAAGTGATAGGTCCTGATAACAGCCAGTGAGGATCTAAGGTGGATCCCTTTCTGAGTTGAATATTGAGATAGATGACTACAGCTCTGGGCTACACCTTGATTGCACCTCATGAGGAATTCTGACCAAAAACACTGTGCTGAACCATGTCCAGGCTCCTGAGCCACATAAACTATGAGAAAACAAATATTTGTTTCAAGCCATTAAGTTTTAATTTGTTACACAGCAATAGATAACTACCACATGGAAGGATTCAATAAGAGAAGGGTTTTTCATAAGTGAAATGTTATTTTCATCTCACATTTCAATTATTAGAATATAAATGAAAGAAAATAAATTTGGATAGGCTCTCATAAATTCAATGATAAGAATTTGGAAAATGCAACCACATGAAAACCAGGAAGTAAAAGGAAAACATAAGCGACATCTTCCCAGATGAGAGTAAATATCTGGTTCCCTGAGAAGTGTAGTTTGAGAATGGAGAAATCAGATGTTACTGGAAAGAGGCTAGGACTGTATTATTTCTTGCTTCCTGTCAAGTCTTTTCAACTCAAGAGAAAGTAAATTTTCTTGACAAACCATTCAAAATTAAAGGATAGGTGGGAGTATATGTGTCCCTGAAGGAACAAGTGACCTTCACTGAAAGCAGCAGCTTGGTTGAATAAATACTGTACAGAAGTGGAATAAAGAGTAGCTGACAACAGTGCTGAAATAGTTACACATGAAGTTTTAATGAGCTATTTCATATTAAGATACATATTGAGAATTCAAACCAGAGAGACCAGTTAATAGACATTTTCCCAACTCTGCTTTAAGGTGATCATAGAAATGATACCCACAAGTTAGTCACAGTGGCCTGCATCCATTTCGATATATCAGTGATGTATTCTGATTGGCCAGTAATCACCTATACCGACTGTTAAATATTTTAGTTATCACTCCTATGCATGGTGAATTTGAGTTCTGGTTTTCTTTAGCCTTGTGTTATTTATGTGTAAAGTTGGATTATGGGAGGCAAAGACTCTCTCATGTATCATTCATGCTCAAGTAAATGGCAGTGGGGTAGGGATGTAAATGAAACTGCATGATAAGCCCTGCAAGTCATTCTGAGGTATCAATTTTGCTTACTGGTGTTTAATTGCAGTCATTGTCATATTAACGCAACCACTAATACATTATGGAGTAAGATGCAAAAATCACATGAGTCTTAAGAGAAAAGAAATGTGCTGTCTGTGGTGGGCCCCCTTTGCATTATTCTCTAACTTCATATTTTATACCTCTACTATTAGAGAAATTTCAGTAGAAAATCGTGAGGGGCACCGTTTTAGAGTTTTTGTTGTTATAGGAATGCTTTTACCACAGCTAGGTCCCCTCGTACATCTTTATGTTCTTTGGCAGTCTAGAGAACCAGAAGAGCAAACTCTATGAGATAGAAACCCTAAGAATTTACCTCCAGCATCCCTTCTCTTCTGTCATTAAATTGAATTTGTAGCCAACTCAAAGGCTGACAATTTATACTATGGTTTTTATATTTTTATATTATAATTTATATTATGGTTTATGTCAAAATGTTTTGTTCACTGCTTTGAAAGTATCTTCTGTTTACTTTTGTTATCATTTCATATTTTAATTTTTTCCTTTCTAATTGTTAGAAACTCATGTATTTGATTTTATCTTTCAAATAACATTTTTAAAAGGCTTACTCTGTTTATATGTATATTTTGCACAAAGCTTTCCATTCATAAACAAAAGGTGAATAGGAATCTGAATTGAAAACTACATAATTTCTTTTCTCCTTTTTGTCAAATCATCACAGTATAGATTAGTCATTCTGTATGAAGTGCATTGCCAAGACATAGTCACATTTGTGTACAAATGTAAAGGCTATATCTCAATAGAAATCAAAAACAAAAAAATGCAGAAGACCATTAGCTAATAATACTAATGATCTAGTGTAGAAAGCATGTGCCAACTGATCTAGACTCTTGTGACAGTTGTATATCTACCCAGCTGCATGACCTTAGGTTTATCAAAATCTCGATCTCCTAGACTACAAATGAGTAAGAGGGATGGAGGCCCCTTACAGTTTTAAGATTCTAGAATTCTAAGTGTGTGTAACTGGAGCAAATTTTATTTTCTAAAATTTGCATAATTTAAAAATAGGAGAAAAACAAATAATTAAAGTACATATTTCTAGAAGTCTTTTTTAGGTGATTTACACTACCAGGAATGGATTTACTACTAAATATTGGTTTTGCCTAATTCAGCATTGCTATGTAATTGGATGGAAGTATAACTCCATAGACAAAGAGCATTTGGTCCTAACATAGCTTGTATTTTATATGTATATACACTATTTCTATTTAAATTTCTGTGTAGTCATGTTTTACCCTTTCAAAATGAAGATTAGTTTTATTATGTATTTTCTTTTGTCTATAAACATTCAATGAATTCACACTGAAAACTGATTATGAACAGATAGTCTGGTAGGCACTAAGGAAACACATATGAAAGACTAAGTCCTCCTCTGCCCTCAATATGCTCACAAGACTACAGTTACTGAAGCCTGATTTCAAAACCTAGCTAGCAAAGTCCTTGAAACAGGTGATAGTTCAGAATACCATTCATGCTCTCTCCCAGGAGTATATCTGAGGAAGGACAGTTCTTTCTAGTTTTCTGCATCCTGGTCGTATAGGTCAACCACAGGAAAATTAAATGAATCTATTGTTTTGTTGACCTAGCCTTTTCATATAACTCTCATCTATAAATGTATTACCAAATACTATTTATGTAAAGGGACTTGAATGACAAATATTTTGAAATTAAAACCACAATGGTTACAAACCTTTTAAATTAGATAAATGTTGACCTCCCATTGGTGAACATATAAAGTGCTACCAAGATCTGCCAATGAAAGACTTTGGAAGTGGAAATTCATCTTTGTAATAATCCTGTTATCTGTAGGCTGACCTCAAGCCTTCATGACATTCAGGGCCCCTTATTCCTAACTGTATCTTCTATGTTGGGCATTGTGCTCTTGCATCTAACAGGAAAACAACTTTCAGTGTTGCCACCTTTTGAACAGCAGAGATTTCTAAAGATTAGAAAATTACTAAATTTAAATATACATAGTTTTAAAATATGATACTTTTCTACCCATGCATTCAAATATATTCTAACTTTAAAATCCTGTAAATACTTATATTTGTAATGATTTTACTTATATGATCCAATTAATTGGCAAGAATATGTGGTGAAAGATTTTTTACATATTTGTATTGTTCTGTGTGAGACATCTATTGTAAGCATTGCTTCAGGCTCTCATTTTTGTCTGCCTTCCAGGATTTGCTGGCTCAAGTGCTGTGTGCTAGACTTAGTGTCAGTCACAAAGGGGAGGGAAACTTGCAGTTGAGCCAGACAGTTTTGTTATTCCTTTAAAATTAAAAGCATATGAAACAGATACAGCTTATTAAGGTTTTTAATAAATAAAATAAACTTAAATAACAAAACAATAAAATTCAAAAACAACTTAAAATAGAGTTTAATGCTGTAACCGTAGGAAAAAAGCATGATTATTTGTGGGAAGAACATTATTAAAGGCCATATTCCCAAATATGAATTATACAAAGATAGATTATGTTACTTGAAAAAAACTTAAAGATTTCTCAATTTTACTTTGAGGAATTATAAAATGTTATTTTGTGGCAAATAAGATGAAGTACAGTATTATCATCAATCACTGTTGCTATCTTATATACAAGATTTTTGGAAACATCCTTTTAGCAATACCCTTTCCACTTGAGCAGCATTAGAAATTTTGTTCTTGTTAATAGGTATAAGCATGTTCTAATCCTGTACTTTTGTTAAATTATCTATTTTATTGACTTTCATAATAGATTTTTTTGAGAATATTCTTTTTTTCTGATTAGAGTTTAAGTAGATTATAATTTTTCACTAGAAAGCATTTAAAAGGCTGCTCATTTTCCAAAGTTAGTGTGGCTTGATTATCTGACAAATCCTGCCAGCAGCCTGTAGGTCTGATATACCTTATATAACATCATCTGCATTATTATTATTATAGCAGCCATTTTATAAGCAGATAGGAATATTTAAATAATCATTATCAGGTAATCAAATCTAACATACTCTTAAGGGTAAATTAATTTAAAAAAATTACCATTACTAACATCATGATTGTACAACCAGTTTTACAATTTTGTACAACCTTTAGTTACTAAATCTGATTTTTGTGTATACTTTTCAAATCTTTCTTTAATGCAGTGTCTTAAAACAAACATAAATGCACAAGTCCAGCTTGATCAGTTTTTCAGTAGTTTTCCAGCCTTTCTTGATTACTAAAAAATAAAAGGAAAGAAAATTTTGAGAAGAAAGAAAACAGTCCACTTAAAGAAATCTCCCTGCTGGAACTGGTTCTTTATATACCATATGCAATTAAGTTATTGCCATAGGAACAAAGTGGGCTGTTTTTGTTCTTTCTTCATTTTTTTTCCTTACAGGAATCCCCTTTTGATTTAAGGCAACAAACATTTCCCCTCCATTGTGTGTCCATTTAGCTGAGGCATATGTGTTGTAATGGTTTTCCAGAATTAGTCCTTTGAAGTTACAATCTTCATTGCATTCTTTCTGTTAAAACAAACAAACAAACAAACAAACATGATCCAAATGATTTTTAGAGAGGCTCAATTAAACGAAGAGTAAGCAGGTAATATTTGTTAGAATTGAAACATACACAACTTTTTTTAACCCTCAGATTGAGCAGGCCTAATGTGGTTTATTAGCTATACTTATGTAGTATATTTGCATAAAAAGGTATCTTAAATTTGAAATAAAAACACCACATAATACACAGCTAGTTATGAAATATGTGTAGCTTTTTGGAAGTTCATGTCAACTATTCTTTAAAATTAGGACCTATTTCCCCCTAAGTAACAGGCCTCATATTACTATTCCCATATCACTCATTCTTTAACCACTGGAAATTTGGTATAACTAGCAGAACATCTGCCTCCCTCGGTGAGAGACTTGTTTCATAACTTTTCTTTATTTACTTCTACATTGTCTTCAATGGTAATGGAAGATAAAAGGTTAATTTGTTTGTTCATGCACGCAACCATTTGTTCATTCAATTAAACCTGTATCATTATATAATTAGCCTGCTCCAGGCATTATACTGAGCTCTGGGAATACAAAGGAAAGCCAATCATATTTTATTACAGTGGGATGAACTGTTACATATTTTGCATTGTAGTGAAGTGGGAACAATGTGAATAATTACAGTTCAAAGCCCATGATTGTGAGATTGATGTTGATGAATGAACTAAACATTTCAAGATTTTTTCCCAAGAATTTTCATGTCAGCAATGTGCAAATTGGGTGAACTTTAACAAAAAGAGCTTTAATACTGGCAAATGGAAATTTTGGATTTTAAATATCTAAAATGCACATGGAATTTTAGAGCTGGAAGGATCCTTAGAGGTCAGCTAATTCAAATCATTTTACAGATGAAGAAACCAAAATCCAAAGAACAAGCCATTTGTCCAAAGTCACACAGAAAACATTTTTTCTTAACGTTTGAGTATAAAGTGTTTTAATAAAATCATTAAATTACACAGTTGGAGATAAATTAAGTCCATTTTTCCTTTTCAGAATGGTGAGATATTTTGACAAAAATGAGTTTTAAAAATTAAGCCTAAGCGATCAATTATCAATACCTTTGCATAGAGTTTTCCTTCCTCATTCATTGCAAGATAGAATTCACTTTCCACCCCTTTGATTGCCACAATCCCAACTGCCACTGTCCTGATTTCCATGATATCTGCAAGGAATCACAGAAAGACATGTCAGGTATTCGTTCAGCTTTGCCAGTGATCCATGAATGGCCATTTGTTCTTATTTCTGTTTTAATCGGAAGTTTTTAAAATTTTTAGTGATTATTTACGCAGCCCAAAACTCTGACCCACAACAGATACACACAAACACCAGAATAGTCATTATATAAGGGAAGTGCAAACTGACGGTTTTTTATTTTGTAGAAAATGTGTCTGTATCAAATAAATAGTTACATATTTGAGTTCAGCTTTTTATTCTCTAGAATTAAATTTCTAATTTACTATAATAATAATAGCTAATGTTTATTTAACTCATACCACATTCCAAGGATTATTGCATTGCTCTTATGTATTAACTCATTTACTCATAACCACAGATTGAGGCAGGTAGTCTTGTTATCCCAGTTTTACAGATCAGGGAACTGAAGCACAGAGAAACTAAGAAATTTGCCCAAATTCTTATACCTGAGAAGTAGCAGAACTGTAATTTGAACCCAGACATTCTGGCTCTTAATCATTATATAATTACTTTTCTATTTGGATAAACTTTATCTTAAAAATTATGGCTAACAGAATAGCTCTTGAATATACTGAAAGTGAAGAAAATTCTAATTAAAGCAATTGTAAATGATGGTAAACAGAGCCTACTGCCTTAAAAAAAGAGATTGTTTTAAACTGATAGTATTTTGATACATGAAAAGACCATTTAAAACAAAATTATGAATCCGGTTTATATAATACTTCATAACTTTATACCTTTGTAATTAACTTTTAAATCTTTGTTGAAATAGTATTTACAAAACGTGTTTACACAAGAATGGTAACTTACTATTTTCCTTTATTACATATATCGTCCTTAAATCCTGTGTTTTAATGACACACTAAATAAAGTAAAATCTCAAGAAATTTATTAAAATGATGTAAGAATTAAAATTTTAGTGTACTTTTATGCAATTTGCTATTAATTACATTTTCTACATGAAGGTACAGTGCTGAGACATTCTTTTACCTATGTCTAACACAGTGCAAAGAAAAGTCGTAGTGTCAATTATCTGTGTGATTGGGCCTTCAGAAGCTATTTTCTAAAATATTGACTTAAATAAAAAACTAATTGTTTTGCCCCATACCTTCACTTCATTCTCTTATTTATTTTTTTGACTTCATTTTTGCTACCTGGATAATAAAATTTCTATTCATGTCATTGGGATTTAATGTAGCCCAGCTAATATTTCTCATTTGCCTCACATATATGTTGCATATAAAGCCCTGTTCCCAATATACTATACTTAACACTAGTCAGAGCTCATCCAGTTGAGAGTTTCACAGCTACTCATCCAGAAATTGGGTTTAAGAAAATGTAAATGAATGGATATTAATCTTTTTATATATTTATTAAGCATTATCACAATGCATACAACCCTACTGTGGTTTTAGGACACAAATTAAGAAAAACAGCCCTGGTTTCTGACACCAGAAGTTAAAACCTAATAGAAACAGCAAACACGTCCATATATTTTGGAGAATTTTGAAGAACACAGGCCTGAATAGGCTAGAGAAAATTTTAATAATTGCTTACAAGCACATGAAGGATTATGATGTTGATGCATTCATGAAATGTTCAACAGATCTTCACTGAGAGCCAATTCTATGCTAGGCTCAATTCACAGACAAGCCTTGCCCTTTTAGAGCACTCTATTTGGTAACTACAACTTCATTGCATTAAAGGAAGCACAAAGGGAAATAACATGCAGAAGAATACTATTAGGTTAAATTTGTACTAATACAATGAAAAATACTGAAGAAATTCATTGATTCAGCATATTTGCAATACCTCCAAAATGGAATAAATGTATCAGTTAGGTTGGTGCAAAAGTAATTGTGGCTTTTGCCATTACTTTTATGACAAAAACTGTAATTACCTTTGCACCAAACTAATATTTAAAAGACATATGGAGTAGTTGGTTTCTAAAGGTCTTAGCATTGTAAAATATCATTAATAAGTCAATATTTTCTTTTCCTTCAAGTCTCTTTACTCCTGCCATTCCTCCCTTTATTTAATATATTTTCTTTTAGATAAAAAGAGAATGCTGATGCACAAGCTTAGAGTGTCTTTCATGATCAGTTATTAGGGACTGGAATCTGTAATATTTGCTGGCTTTTACAGAACAATTGTAAAACATAAATGTTGACTGACAGAGTTATTATTAATTATGATAGGCAGACATCTTCCCTTTTTGGTCCTGTCATGACAATAAGTTCATATTGTCCCACTCCCAAAACATTTTCCTCTATCCCCTGCCTGTCTATTGCCCACTATTTCTTTACTGCACTTTACAGGAGGTGATGGCTGGATGTGGTAGCTCACACCTGTAATCCCAGCACTTTGGGAGGCCGAGTCAGGCAGATCACTTGAGGTCAGGAGTTCAATACTAACCTGGCCAACATGGTGAAACCCCGTTTCTACTAAAAATACAAAAAATTATCCGGGTGTGGTGGTGGGTGCCTGTAATCCCAGATACTCAGGAGGCTGAGGCAGGAGACTTGCTTGAACCCAGAAGGTGGAGGCTGCAGTGAGCCAAAACAGTGCCACTGCCCTCTAGCCTAGGCAACAGAGTGAGACTCCATCTCACCAAAAAAAAAAAAAAATAATAAATAAAAAAAATTAGTTGGGCATGGTGGTGAATTCCTATAATTCTAGCTACTTGAAAGGCTGAGGCAGGAGAATCACTTGAACTTGGGAGGCAGAGGTTGCAATGAGCCGAGGTCACACCACAGCACTCCAGTCAGGGTGGAGTGAGGCTCTGTCTCAAAATAATAGATAAATAAATAAATAAAAATAAGGTGGTGAACATTTTTAATCTTATCCCTCCACATATTAGGGTTAAGGATACCAAAAATTCTTTGTAAAGATTCTACGTTTAGCTGAGATGAGAATATACTTATATTCTTAATTGCTTGACATATTTAAAAAATACCATTCACACTGGGAAATAACATATCTAAAAGACAATTGCTTGGGGAGAGCATTAAGCAGTGTTGGCAGAATCAGTACCTTATCAACCCTATTTTCTAGTCTATTTTGTTCCATATCCTATGACCCTCTTTTATTCAAGAAAAGCCCAAGAATAAAGAAATTAACATTATCACTCTTTTGTTCAGTTGCAGTGTAGGGAGCGATGTTCCTTTCAATAGGCACAAATATTTATAGAAGTGTTAACTATGGGCCGGGCGCAGTGGCTCACGCCTGTAATCCCAGCACTTTGGGAGGCCAACGCGGGCGGATCACCTGAGGTCAGGAGTTCAAGACCAGCCTGGCAAATATGGTGAAACCTCATCTCTACTAAAAATACAAAAATTAGCCAGGCATGATGGTGGGTGTCTGTAATCCCAGTTACTCGGGAGGCTGAGTCAGGAGAATCATTTGAACCTGGGATGCGGAGGTTGCAGTGAGCCAAGATTTTACCATTGCACTCCAGCCTGGACAACAAGAGCTAGACTCCATCTCACAAAAAAAAAAAAAAAAGTATTAACTATGAAATCCTACCCTCCAAAACAGAAGCCACGAAGTTGCTCAGAAAGCATAATAGAAAAATATGTAATATGCAGATATTAAGTTAGTTAACAATATAAGTTAATTATACTTGGTCTTTTTGTCTACAGTGTATCCGTTGCCTCACATAAAACAAATAGAAGAGGCTGTCTTTCTTTGTGGATTTCCATTTGTGCTTAAGAGAAGTTTGTTCACATAAGTAGCACTCAGTAAATTTATTCCCAAAGATTTAAAGCATATTACATAGATGCATCAAATTGTTAACATAATGTCCATGATAGCATAATGGTAGAGTTCAAAAATATAAATAAAAGAGAGAGAGAGAATCAGCTCTTGCAATAGAACATGAAAAACCAGGCAATATGTCAAGCACATTGACCATTTAGCCTTGCCAGCAATATTGTCAACAATAGCATAAATTTATTACTTAGGATGTCACCCTTACACACTAGAGACTATGCCCTAAATAGCTTCCCTATTGTTTATCATCTGGTTCAATAATTCGTGAATTTATCTAAACTTTTTTTTCTGTTTATTATTTAAACCTGTATCACACTTGGAATGAAAAGTGGGGAACTTTGATCTAAATTGCAATTACTTTTTAAAAAAATTCTCTAAAATCTTTCAGAATTTTAGGTGTCCCTCTAATCTTGTATTTCAGAAATTGATACTAATTCTTTTTTAATTACCAATAGGTTTGTGATTTTAAAGTGCTTTAACTTTCCTGTTTTAAAAATTACTTTTCAGTGTCTCACTACACAGAATCCATGCCCACCAATCTCAGCATCATTAATATTTCTTTTTCGTGAAACTGTTAAAGCTTTATATTTAAAGTTTTGAAGGGGTATATATTAATATGGCTGTGCTAGCATGATAACTAAATATTATTTTCAAGTTGCAAAAAAAAGTGGAGGCAGCGGTTTGATAGTTAGCCAATCAGAACATTTAATCTTGTCCTTGATCAAGTATACCCTCTTCGGCATGTTAAAACTAAGAACTAGTATCAACAAAGAAAAAAACATTTAAATTTAAATACATTTTATGATTTTCTGTCAAGCCTGGATTGTTGAGTGGGAAATCTTAACCATTATATATTTATATTATGTTTAAGGCTATAGATTCCATTCATTTTACGTCACTAAAATACACCGACATATACATATATGCAAAAAATATATCAATATATCCAACATATACAAAAAACACTGAAAACACAACAATAAGAAAAAAAACCTAGTTAAAAAGTGGGCAAAATCTGGACACCTCACTAAAGATACACAAAGGGCAAATAAGCAGATGAAAAGATGCTCAATATCATAGATCATCAAGGAATTGCAACATGGATGCAGCCGGAGGCCATTATCCTAAGCAAATTAACACAGGAACAGAAAACTGACTACTGCATGTTTTCACTTATAAGTGGGAGCTAAACACTGGGTACTTAGGGACATAAAGATGGCAACAACTGACACTGGGGACTACTGGCGGGGAGTAGATGAGGGAAGGGTTGAAAAACCATTAGGTACTATGCTCAGTACCTGGGTGATGGGAGCAATCATACCTCAAACCTCAGTATCACACAATATACCCAGGTAAAGACCTGCACATGTACCCCCTGAATCTAAAATAAAAGTTGAAATTATTTAAAAAGGAATCGCAAATTAAAACAACAATGAGATACCTCTATACAACTATTAGCATGACTAAACTCCAAAAAACTGACAGTGCTGTATGCTGGCAAGGATGCAAAGCAACCAAAATTCTTTCATTACTAGTGGGAATGCAAAATGGTGCAGTCACATGGGAAGACAATTTGGCAGCTTCTTAAAAACTGAATATGCTATATAATCCAGCAGTCATGCCCCCAGGTATTTGCCCAATTGAATTGAAAACTTATGTCCACACAAAAACCTGAACATGACTATTTATAGAAGCTTTATTCGTATCATCAAAAACCAGATGCAACCAATATATCCAATAGGTAAATGGATAAACAAACTATGGTACACGTATACATTGGAATATTATTTAGCAATGAAAAGGTATTGAGCTGTGAAGCCACAAAAAGACAAGGGGAACCTTAAGTACATATTGCTAAGTGAAAGAAACCAGCCTGAAAAAGCCACATACTGTATGATTCCAGCCATATGACATTCTGGCAAAGGCAAAACTTTAGAGATAGTAAGATCAGTGGTTGCAAGGGCCTTGAGGAGAGGAGAAAAAGGATGAAAAGCTGAATCACAGGGGATTTTTAAATCAGTGAAACTATTCTGCTTAATACTGTAATAGTGGATACACGATATACATTTGTCAGAACTCATAGAACTATACAAAGCAAACTGTGGACCTTAGTATAAACTGATGGTATAAATAAATATTGGCTCATCTATTGTGATAAATGTGCCACATTAATGCTAGATATTTATAATGGAGGAATGTGGGGGGAAATGGAGATTGTTTATGGGACTCTATTATCTGCTCTTTTTTTTTTTTTTTTTTTTGAGGCACTCTCACTCTGTCGCCGAGGTTGGAGTGCAGTGGTGTGATCTCGGCTCACTGCAAGCTCCGCCTCCCAGGTTTGCGCCATTTCCCTGCCTCAGCCTCCCGAATAGCTGGGACTACAGGCACCCGCCACCACGCCCGGCTACTTTTTTGTATTTTTAGTAGAGACGAGGTTTCACCGTGTTAACCAGGATGGTCTTGATCTCCTGACCTTGTGATCTGTCCACCTCGGCCTCCCAAAGTGCTGGGATTACAGGGGTGAGCCACCATGCCCAGCCTATCTGCTCAATTATTTTTTTAAATCTAAAAGTGTTCTAAAATACAAATTCTACTAATTTTTAAATGCAGCTGACTTTAATAATATAATATCATTGAGTGTAGAGAAACTATTTGTACCGACATTTTACATTATTTATTTATGTCCCAAATATATAGAACATATGGGATTTGTTATTAATTACTATTAAAAATGTCTTTGGTAATGGATTAAGATCTTCTTCCCCAATGGATAACTTCTTTTTGTGAAATATGGACAGTAAGGAGGAGTAAGGTCATAATAAAAACACACTTTGGAGATTGTAGGCTACAAATGCTGGATATACAGACCACTGTTTCACTTGTTAAGTGGACAGTATCTCTCAGGTGTTTGGGAATGGAAAACAAGAGCCAGTAATATTTTAGAAACTTGATCTGATTACTTTAATTATGATATCCTATCTGGATATTAATAAATATATACAAAAATTCAGTTAGTATTTTTTCTTTCCACAGAAAAAATGAGTGATACCTAGCAGTATATGCCAATTGCAAAAAAAAAAAAAAAAAAAAAAAAAAAACCAGGAAAATAAATAGGAATTCAGAAGAAAGAAGTGGCCAAGGAAGGATGTGAGGAATAGATAGAGCTTGAATTAGATCTTGATGGATGAATAGAGTTGACATAGGTAGAAAAGATGGAAACATGCTAATCGAGAGATAAAAGTACTATGTGCAAGGCTAGAGAGATAAAAGTACTATGTTCACATGGTGTCTATAAGAGTACCTTGCAGTGATAGAAAATTAGAAACAACATTTATTAATAAGTGCCAGGTTTCAAGGACTCCTGATCCATCCCCATGACATAAATCCTGGAATCTGAAGCATGTATATTTGAAATACATTACCATAAAATATTTATAATTATTTTTTAAATTCTCTTGGACTTGTCTTGGTGTCAGAAATATAATATTTATTTATTATTATTTTTCTCTTGGCTCATTTCTCTTTGTGCATTTTCAGAGAATAACACTTGACCTAAACATTTGCATTTTTAATTTATTTATAATAAAAAGAACTGATAATTTGCCAACTGAGACATTATGCTGATCTTCACCACAAGAAATAGATGCTATGTATCTATGTGTGTACATACTGTGATGCAAACGAAGAAAGTAAAATGTGGAGCAACTAGATAGTTTGTCCAAGGTCACACTGAAGGAAAGCCAACACCCAGGAATCTCACTCTGTTGCCTGTTTGCTTAACAATACCTTAAGCTGCCCATCTATCAACTGCAGCTCAGTTCAAATCCATCCTCCTTCATGATCCCTTCTCTGACCTCTTGGACTCCAAATCCTCTGCGGCATCCCTACAACATTGGCTGTGTCATTTATTTAGAACATATCATGTACCGTTTTCCATTGTCAGTTATCTAAGCTGACTAAAATTTCTGGTAGGCAGATCCTAAATCTTGGATTATCAAGGACCTACACCCAATATCATCCCTAAGACTCAAAGCTAAGCAGTTACTCGATTTTATAACCTCTTTAGAATAATCAAAACTGGAGTATATAAAAAGCTTTTCTAAATACAATTTTGAATAATAGGGTCATAGATTTACTATCATTAATACTTGCGTATAAAGAAAGAAAACCAAAGGGTTTATTTACTTTTGCATCTTATAATTATCCAACTCATATCTATCAAAAGTAGGTACTGATTACAGACCAATGTTTCACAAGCCCCAGTGAGCACAGATTGCTTAACACAGAGAGAAACTGTTATTCCCTGATACACAGACTGAGAAACAGAAATGATTAAGAAAGATTAATCTTCTGTGTGAAGATTAAGAATTCTTAATGAATTCTGTTCAATTCATTAAGAAATGAACAGAAAGGCCACTGGCCTACCTGCCAGTGGCCAACCTCTTTGGAAGTAGAGGATATCTACATCATGTTTCCTTTGATGTTAGGAATGAGGACTCCAGACTAACACAGATTGTATTTTCCCTGATACTAATCATAATTTCCTCAAATTTTCCAGTTCCAACCACTAGATGTCATGCAGAGACCATAAAGTAGAACATCTTAGTGGTTTTCGTTGTTTTTTTTTTCCCCCACGTCGAGCATTACCAATTTTATTAACTTCAACATTTAAGGTGGTTTGGAAAAATTTTAAGTGACAGGCACTAAAGACACAGGTCAGTGCAATTTATTTCACAGGCTGGGTGCATAGACATTATGGCAAAAATATATAGAATTAAAAGTACTACCTCATTCATTGCAAAGCATTATTTCTGGAATCTGAAAAATTCATGCAGTGGGTTCCAAAAAAATAAAAAATAAAAAAGATAGAGAGAGAGAAATTCTAAAGCCTCCCTTCTTTAGCAATCATGTACTTTACCCTGGTAGACAAAACTGGAATTCAAGAAAATGGAAAGAAAGCGTATATAATAGAAAAAAAATCAAAAGTTTTGGATTAAATACTAGCTTGGACATGTGCTAATTGAGTAAACCTGCTGTAATACTTAACTTCTGTAAGTATCTGTTTCCTGGTCTGTGAAATGAGAATACCTGACATGCAATAATTGGGAAGTTTCAATAAAACATTGTGTATATATATATATTTTATATTTTATATATATGTATATATGTATCTCAGGACCTCAGAAAAGAATTAAAGAGTTATAGATTCTGGAGTCAGCAAGTTATGAGTGAGAGGTGAAGCAACTGGAAGAGGACTAAGTTGTCCAAAAAGACTGCAGCAGATTAAAAAAAAAAAAAGAGCATCTGGCTTTAGGCATAGGAACATTTCAGAAATGGGTAAGCAAAAGATAAGAAAGAATCTACAGATACCAGTTTGGGTGTATAAGTAAAAAGATAATTTCAAAATCATTTCTTTATTGTTTATAATTAGATAAGCCTCCACTAGTGGGAAATGAGAGTAAGAAGACAGAAAAAAAATTGACCTCTTGAGAATAAAAATTCTCAAGGAGGTGAAAGGAGATGGGATTCAGACCTGGACAAGGCTGATTGGAAAGATAAAGGATCCCTCCAAGCATACAATTAAAAATACAAACAATAATAAACCAAAATAAGTTTAAGGAAGGCTAACAGAGTTTGAGGAAGTAAACAATATAACATCTCACCCACCACCACACAAAACTAGTTTTCTAATCAAGAGAAAACTTATAAAATGGGAATCATGGCCTTTATCTTAAGAGCCATACTGGATGTAAAAATCTCTCTAAAGTACATGATACATATTTAAATATACACATATACATACACACATACACATACGCATATATAAGTTTTTGAAAAACAAAATTATGAAAAATTTTTCTTTTTTATGCATTTTTGCTTGTATCAATAAATCCTACAGTCAACTTACAATGAAGGCCAGTTCTTCTCAAATGCCATAATGCTCTGCCTAAATCATTCATTTTAAAAATGATGGGTAAAACTTTACAAATAAAATGAAGTATACTTTATGTTAAATAATTTTGAATTCTCTATATTTAAAAATAATATTGAGATTATGACTCCAGTAAACAAAACTGAAATGCTAAAGATTACATTTAAATAACACATTCTTTATTATTATTATTTTCTTATTTTAAGTTTTACTTTAAGTTCTGGGATATGCGTGCAGAACATGCAGGTTTGTTACATAGGTATACATGTGCCGTGGTGGTTTGCTGAACCTAACAAACTGTCATGTAGGTTTTAAGCCTCTCATGCATTAGGTATTTGTCCTAATGCTCTTCCTCTCTCCCCTTGCCCCCCACCCCCCGACATAGTGCATTAAAACATCAAATATTGTAATTTGCAGTTTGTGATACACCATTTAGGCTAGAATAAGAAACCTTTTAAGTATGAAATAGGAAGATATAAAGAAATTAATTAATTTTTAAATTTAATTTTAAATTTTCAATTAATGTTTATATTTTAATAATAATGCTTATAGTTTAATATTAGCTATTGATGTTTTATCTATAAAGGTAGACTATGAAATTAATTTACTTTTTACATATTTCAACTTTCTTAGTTTTCAAGATTTTTCAAATCATGTACATATTTGATGATTTTTATGATTCATTGAGGTAACTATTTGATAATATTGTTCAAAATGACCACATTAATTATGTTTTTAGTAACGATTTACTCCCCAAAAGGTATATGTTTCCACCTTAAATTCCTGTAAATAAAATTCTTGTGATAGCTTCTTAAAAAGTAAGAGAAAGGAAAGACGGAGAAAACTGATTCCTTTCTACTTGGAGCTTGATTTCCCAATATGTAAACCCCAACTACGTAATTCTGTACACAGGGATCTCATTATTTATTTTCATAGTTGCTGCTTTGTTTAAAATTTTGGCTCTAAAGTTTATATTTGGCAAGACAAATAGAAATAAGCTGGTTTATAATTTTTCTTATTCTAAGATGTGCATGTGTATATGTGTAAGTATGTTTTAATTTCTAATGGCCTGTCCAGATGATGGTATCACTCCTGGAGACATGGCAACCCATATGAGAATGTTTATATACACTGGGGTGGAGAAGAACAACCATGCCCAAATCCTAATTTAAATCACCTTCACCTTTGAAATGTTAAAACTGTATGTGTCTTTTTCAATTTCTCTCTGCTCCTCCTTTTCTCCTATGCTCTTGCTCAGAAAACATTTAATTTCAACTCAGGTGTATTTATTAGCAAGAATCCTTCCATTTTAATTTTTTAAAAGTCATTGGAAGCAGATCCTGTGTCCTTATAAAATTCCACAATAAAACATTTACTTTTGTAAGCTATGTGTATCTAGATGGTGATATTATTGTTAGGAAATAAAATGAGAGCATTTGGTAACTATGGCAACATGATATGTTTCAAAAGAAATATGAACTCTTTTTCCTTGAAGAAATTAGATATTTTCCTTGACTGGTACTTAGGGATCCAAGTCTAGAAGAGAAATAGGATTTTTAAAGGCTCACTATTTTAGTCTTTTTTTTGGGGGGGGGGTGGGAAATTGTTCACTTAGCCACATCTGACAAAATAAAAGATTAAATTTGAGGCTGCAGAAACAAAACTGCAGTTGTAATTTGCCAGCACCCAGTCCATGTTAGGGTAAACAAACACAGTCAATTCCCATTTGTCTAAAGTTCAAGCAATAATAATTTTCAAAAATGGAATTTCTTGCCTTATTATTTTTTCTCTGAAACACACAAAATGAGAATGTGTTAGTGTAGTCTCATGCTGTTGATAAAGACATACTGAAGACTGGGCAATATACAAAGGAAAGAGGTATAATGGAGAACTCACAGTTCCACATGGCTGGGGAAGCCTCACAATCATGGCAGAAGACAAGGAGGTGCAAGTCACATCTTACGTGGATGGCAGCAGGCAAAAAGAGAGCTTGTGCAGAGAAACTTACATTTTTAAAACTATCAAATATCATGAGACTCATTCACTGTCTTGAGAACAGCGTAGGAAAGATCCACCCCCATAATTCAATCACCTCCCACCCGGTTCCTCCCAGGACATGTGGGAATTGTGGGAGTTACAATTTAAGATGAGAATTGGATGGGGACACAGCCAAACCATATCAGAGAATATTCCTTATATAAAGATATATTGAAAAATGTTACTTCTTGTTTCAGTCATTACACAATAATAGAGTCCAACTTCTAAGTCAATAGTTTTAAACAAACAATTTATTTTCACCACAAAGATTCCAAAACACTATGTGACTGTGAATTATCATCCTAATCACATTAATTTTTTGGTATAATTTTAGGGTTAGTTTGGATTATTTATATATGGGTTCTGTGAAAATTATGACACTAAAATATGCCTGTAGCCATTAGCCTATAACAGGAGATCTCATTGTGAGCTCAAGGAAGAAGTAAACACACTGAAATTTCTATATTGGTTCAGGATGATGGTAATTGCAAGAAAGGGCTTAAATAAAACAGTAGAATAAAATTCAATCTGATACAAAAAAGTCAGAGGCAAGACAAAAATAGTTTATAAATATAAAATAAGGAATCAAATCTAAGCTTGTGCATGAATAAGATAAAAAAATTATCAAATTCATGTTCAGTCTGGTAGGAGTGACCTAGACAAAACATGAGGAAGAAAGAGGGACTATCTCAGTAATTTTATGGGATTATTATGACTTTTAAAAATATTTGATCTTTTGAACATCTCACAGGATAAAATATTGAATTAATTAGAATATTTAGTTGACTGAAACACCCATTTTCCTACTCATTTTAAAAAACTGAATTTTAATGTATATAAGTATAGATTAATGAACGTATACATAAACACAGAGAAAGAGAGAGAGAGAAAAAAACATTCTCTGCATATTGTTTCTTCTTGCAAGAATGTTAAGAACAAAGGTTTTTCTTTATGTCTCTCTCCAATTAAGTTAAAGATGGTGGAGCTGCATACTAGTTGCTATTATAATAGCTTTTGCATAACATTTTGTTCACAGTTGGGAAAAACAAATGAGCAAATAAACATTGAGATGTAAAAGCAGTATACCACTACCTTTAATGTACCAGTCTTTATTAGGTAAGAGAGTGTTTTGATGTGTATATTATCTTCTGCTTTATGAGGTAGCTTACTTTCACCTGCTTAGGTGGGAACAGATAGATGATAGATGGATAGATAGATAGATAGCCAGATAGATTAGATAGATATATAGACATATAGGTAGATGGATAGATAGCGTCTTAGTCCATTTTGTGCTAATGTAGCATACCTTAGACTGGGTGATTTATAAAGAACAGAGACTTATTTCTTACAGTTCTTGAGACTGGGAAATCCAAGGTTGAGGAACCTACATGTAACAAGGACCTTCCTCCTGTGTTATCCCATGGTGGAAGGCAGAAGAGCAAGACAGCATGTATGCACGTGACAGAGAAATAGGAATAGTGCTGAACTAATCCTTTTATCAAGAACTCACTTCCTAGGTAGCTAACCTACTCTCAAGATAATGGCATTAATCAATTCATTCAGCAGAGCACTTGTAACCTAAGTTACCTCTTAACAAAAACATTTTTGTCAACTAAAGTACAGTGTTCATGAGACAAATAAAATTCATTTATATCATATATAAAGTAACTTAGGTTAGCACATTTTCTTCCTCTACTGACTTCAGTGAGGTTGTGTCACACATGTGAAATACAGTTAGATTTTTTTTGCTTAGTTGGTGTCAGGGATCTCCAGACATACTATATGTTTCTTTTTAAATTTGCATACATTAAGGTTTACTATTTCTTCTGTAAAGTTCTGTTGGTTTTGACAAATATATAATGCCATGTATCCACTATTACAGTATCATACAGCATAGTTTTATTGACAGAAGAATCATTTGTGCATCAATTATTCTTCCATCCTCCTTTACTCCCCACAAACATCTGGCAACCCCTGATAGGTTTCTTTCTTGTGGAATATCACATAATCAGAATCATTAGTCTGTATCCTTTTCAGATTGGCTTATTTCACTTAGAAATTTGCATTTAAGATTCTTTCATTTTTTTCATGGTTTGATTGCTCATATCTTTTTATCATTGAATATTATCTCACCGTATGGATGTATCACAGACTATCTGTTCACCTCTTGGGGAACGTCTTGATTGCTACCAGTTTGGGGTAATTATGAATAAAGCATCTATAAAAATATAAATAGAATTTTTGTGGGCAAAAATTAACAAATCAGTTTAGTAAAAATCTAGGAGCATGATTGCTGAATTATATGTTTAGCTTGATAAGAAATTGAAAAGCTTGGGAGGCTGAGGCAGGAGAATGGCAAGAACCTGGGAGGCAGAGCTTGCAGTGAGCCAAGATTGTGCCACTGCACTCCAGACTGGGTGACAGAGTGAGACTCTGTCCCAGAAAAAAAGAAAGAAAGAAAGAAAGAAATTGAAAAGTTGCCTTCCAAGTAATCTGTACAGTTTTTCATTTCCACCAGAAAAGAATGAAAGTTCCTGTTACTCTGCATTCTTCTCAGTATTAAGTATTATCAGATTTTTAGATTTTAGCAATTCTAATAAATAAGTAGTGGTTCCTAATTGTTTTAATTTGCAATGTTCTAGTAACAAATGATGTTGACCATCTTTATTTTCTATCTGTGTATCTTCTTTGATGAGGTGTATATTTAAATCTTTTGCCAACTTTCAAATGTGATTGTTTTCTTATTGTTGAGTCTTAAGTGTTTATTGTATATTTTGGATACAAGCCTTTTATCAGATGCATGTCTTGCAAATTTTTCCCCAGTCTATTACTTTTTAAAAATTATCCTAACAGTGACTTTCACAGGGCTGAAGTTTTTAATTTTAGTAACATCTAAGCTTTCACAGAATCTTTTTGTGGTTGTATCTGAAATCTTATGGCCAAATTCAAGGTCACCTAAATTTGCTCCTATATTTGTAGTTTTGCATTTAAATCTATGTCCTATTTTAAGTTGATATTTTATGACGCTCTGAGATTCATGTGTCCAGGTTCATTTTTTTATGTGTGTGCAGAAGGATATCCCATTGTTGCAGCACCACTTACTGCATTTATTGCAAAGACTATTCCTTTGCTATTGAATTGCATTTTGCTTCTTTATCAAAGATCAGTTGATTACATTTGTATGAGGCCTATTTCTGGACCCACTAGTTCCATTGAACTATGTGTGAATTCTTTAGTCAATACCACACTGTCTTGACACTGTGCCTTTATAGTAAGTATTAAAATCGGGTAGTATGCATCCTCCAACTTTATGGTTTTTCAGTTTGCATTGAGTATTTCAGGTTTTTTGACTTTTCATATAAACTTTATATATCTGTTTGTTGATATCTAAAAAAAGTATTTTTCTAAAAATATATTCATCAAATAGGAGAGAATTAACATCTTAACAATATTTAGTGAAGTAATGTTGAACTTATCACACTTTATTTAGATCTTCTGTAATTTCTTTCATCAGAATGTGTAGTTTTTCACATGTAGTAAAAGACATGGAGATTATTAAAATTTTTTGTCTGATTTATATCAGTATTTATTTTCATGTCTGTGCAATTGTAAATGGCATTTTTAGAAACTAATATTGTTTCTCATTGCTCACTGCAAAGGATGAATTTCATAGTAAGTAACTAACTTTTGTATATTGACCTTGTTTTCTGAGATCTTATACTTAAATTAGATTTTAAAAACTTCTTGTTTTTGCAAATTCCTTGAGATTTGTTATATAGATAATAATATAAACTCAGCACAGATAGTTCTAATTCTTCCTTTTCTATCTTTTTTATTTCTTTTCTTGTCTTATTGCACTAGTTAAGACTTTTAGTATGATGTTGAGTAGAAATGATGAGAGAAGTTATCTTTGCCTTGTTCCCAGTCTTAGGAGAAAAGCTTCCAATCTCTCAACATTAAATATGATTCCACCTGTAGGATTTTTGTAGGTGTCTTCATCAAATACAGGGAGTTCCTATCCTCTCTACTTCTAATTTGTTAATACTTTTTATTATGAATAGGTGTCATGTATTTTCAAATGCTTTTTCTGTATCTATTGATATAATTATTCAATTTTCTTCATTTGTCTTTAATGTGGTAGATAACACTGACTTCTGGATGTAGAACAGCCTTGCGTCCCTGGAATAATTCCTTCTTCATCATGGTGTAGAATTATTTTTATATGTTGTTGTTTGATTTGTCAATATTTTATTGAAAAATTTTGAATCTGTATTCATGTAAAATTTTCACCTGTGTTCATAATCTTTAGTTTTCTTTTCTGTAAGGGTTTTATCTATATTTAGTATTAGAGTAACACTGTCTTATAAAAAATGTTAGGAAATATTCTTGTTTTTTTCTACTTCCTGACAGAGGTTGTGGAAAATTTGTACAATTTCTTCTTAAACAATTGGTGTATTTCAGCAGTGCAACCATTCAAATATTGTGGTTTCTTATTTGAAAAGTTATTAGTTATTGATTGTCATATTTTGTTTTATGTGTTAACTTTCCTGGATCATGGGATCCAGACATCTGTTTAGACAACATTTCTCAGTGTCTCTGTCATGGTATTTATGGGAGAAATTAGCATTTTTATCAATAGACATAGTAAACTTGATTGCCCTTCTCTATGTGTGATATCAACTAATTCAGTGAGCGTCTGAATAGAAGAAAACGGTGAAGCACAGGAGAATTCACTCTTTCTCTGCCTGATTGATTGAGCTGGAATATCTATTCCTCTCCTTTCTTTGAAATGCCAGGCCTACAAACTGGGACTAAAATTACACCATTGAATCTTTGACTTTCAGGCCTTCAGACTACACCAGCTGGGTCTCCAGGTTTCAGAGGACAGATTTTATTGATTTTATTTCTCTGGATAACCCTGACTAAGACATATATTGGTACTGGGAGTGGTTTTACAGAAACAGAATTTTATAAATAACTTTCCCAAATTGATGCTGTAGATTTTGGAATAAATTGTCTAATCTGATTATATGTAAAGGTTTGGATGACTCTATTTCCAGTAGTAAAGAGCACTAACATCCATGACATAATCTGGTAATAGAGATATACAAAACATCTGCCTTGGATACCACTTATAAAAAGCAAGGAACTGAATTACTGTGTAGATGATGCTTTTGAACAGTTTTGGAAAACTAACAAATATAACAAGGTTGGCCGTTTGCTCCTAATGTCACTGGACAAAGTGGTGAAAGAAAAGGATGAGCTTAGGATTTAAAGTCCCACAAGCATAAGTGACCTGAGGACTTATTGTCATCTGAAGATAACTCTTATTTTTGGTGTCCACAGAGTTGAGATTGCAGAAAGTGAAATGCAGAATCTCATCCTGTGAATGGCTGAATTGTAACGGAAATTAAACTCCAAGTCTTTCAGCATGTTCTTGTTAAAGCAAGAACATTTGTTGAGATAGAATGGGGAAAGGGTTTCCAGAAGGCTGTGTATGTTCTGTATCAACATATGATATATGATCCTGTTTCTCCTACAGCCAGCATTCATGGGTCTAGGAATTAAGGAGTAGAAATGGGAGTGAAAACCCTCACTACTACCACTAACAACTCACTAGCAAAATATTTATTTTCTTTTCCCAAACCCTGTGCTGTGCTGGGCTGGAGGTCTTAGTTGCAAAGGGAGGAGTCCTTCCATTAGGAGACACAATAATGATTCCATTTAAATGGAAGCTAAGACTCACCTGGGCACTTTGAACTCCTCATGCTTCTCAATCAATAGGCAAATAAGGGAGTTAAAGTACTATCTGGGGTGATCCTGACTACCAAGGGGAAATTGGACTGCTAGTTCATAATGTAGGTAAGGTAAAATACATCTAGAGTGTGGGTGATCCCTTATAGTTTTCCTTAATATTACCATGCCCTGTGATTAAGGTTAATAGGAAACAACAGCCCAATGAGGACAAGGTTGTTAGTGATCACAGCCCTTCAGGAATAAAAAATTGGGTAACCACAAAAGACAAAAAACCACTACCAGCTGAGGTGCTTCCTGAAGACAAAGGGAATACAGAATGGTTAGTTGAATAAAGTAGTTATAAATACTAGCTATGACTACATGACCAGTTACAGCAATGATAATTTTGATTGTCATAAATATGATCTCCCCATTTTGTTATAAATGCATTTTTGATTGTGTATATATTGTGTATATAATACCATTGTTTTCTTCTTTCTCCTATTCTCTTATCATGTAACATAAGATATATTGGCTTTATATCATAGTATTTAAATATGTAAGGAGATGAATATAATGCCACATTGACAATTAGTGTATTTGTGAAAGTTAATTTTGTTAACTTGACTGGATCACAGGATGCCCAGATAGCTGATTAAACGTTATTTCTGTGTGTGTCCATGAGAGTGTTTATAGAAGAGATTGGCATTTTAATCAGTAGACTGAATAAACTGAGTTGGCTTCCCCATTGTGGGTGGGTAACATTTAGTCCCTTGATAATTGAATAAAGAAAAAAAAAGATGAAAGAGAGAGGATTCATTCTCTTTCTGCCTACTTGAACTGAGACATCAATCTTTTCTTGCCCTTGGTCCTTCTGTTTCTCAAGCTTTCAAACTCAGACAGAAATCTATACCATTGGCTCTCTGGCTTTCAGGCTTTTGAACTACACCACTGACTGTCCAGTGTCTCCATCTTGCACAGATGGGATTTCTCAGACTTTATAATTCCATAAGCCTATACCTCATAATAAATCATATATATATATAAATCATAATATATATTATATATAATATATATTATGTATATTATATATATAATATATATTATATATATATATAATATATATTATATATATATATTATATATATAATATATATTATATATATAATATATATATATAGCTCTAGCCAGATCATAGATAGATAGATAGATAGATAGATAGATAGATAGATAATTAGTTTGTTCTTAGGCTGCTGTAGAGAAATACCTGAGGCTAGGTAATTTATAAAGAAAAGAGGTTTAATTGACTCACAGTTCCACATGGCTGGAAAGTCCTCAGGAAATTTACAAACATGGCAAAAGGCACCTCTTCACAGGGTTGCGGGAAACAGAATGAGTGCAAGCAGGGGAAATGTCAAATTATTATAAGACCATCAGATCCCATGAGACTCACTCATTATCATGAGAACAACATGAGGGAACTGCCTCCATGCTACAATTACCTCTACTTGGTTCTGCCCTTGACACATGGGATTATTACAATTCAAGGTGAGAGAGATTTGGTTAGAGACACAGAGCCAAACCATATAATTTCACCCATGGCCCTCTCAATTCTAATGTCCTCACATTTCAAAACACAATTATTCCCTTCCAACAGTCCCACAAAGTTTTAACTCATTCCAGCATTAACTCAAAAGTCCAAGTACAAAGTCTCATCTGAGAAAAGGCAGTCCCTTCTGCCTATGAACCTGTAAAATCAAAAGCAAGTTAGTTACCTCCCAGATACAATGGAGTATAGTCATTGGGTAAATATACACATTCTAAGTGGAAGATACTGGCCAAAACAAAGAAGCTACAGTGTAACGGTTAATATTAAGTGTCAACTTGATTGGATTGAAGGATGCAAAGTATTGATCTTGGGTGGGTCTGTAAGGGTCTTGCCAAAGGAGATTAACATTTGAGTCAGTGGGCTGGGAAAGGCAAGCCCACCCTTAATCTGGGTGGACACAGTCTGATCAACTGCCAGTGTGGCCAGGATATGAAGCAGGCAGAAAAACGTAAAAAGCCTAGACTGGCTTAGCCTCCTAGCGTACATCTTTCCCCTGTGCTGGATGCTTCCTGCCCTGGAACATCGAACTCCAAGTTCTTCAGCTTTGGGACTTGGACTGGCTTCCTTTCTCCTCAGCTTGTAGATGGCCTATTGTGGGACCTTGTGATCATGTGAGTTACTGCAACATAATAAACTCCCTCCCTTTCTATATATAGATCCTATTAGTTCTGTCTCTCTAGAGAACCTTGACTAACACAGAGTTTGGTATCAGGAGTGGTTCTAGAGGAACAGAATATTAATAATGGAGTTCTTCTGTTGTTTTTAGCATTTCTAGAATGGCTGTTTAATATGATTAGACCCCAAAATGCTAAGGACTCTACTCTAATAGTATGGAGAACACTGATAGTCCTTGGCATGAACTGTTTAGATAGTTATGAAAAATAAACCCATTTGACACTCCTGATTCACTGCTCATGACAGTCAAGGAGTTTAGTGACTCTATACGTAATACCTTTGACTATATATGGAGAATGAAGGAACAAAATGAAGTCGGTTGGGTGCTCCTAAGTTCACTTGACAAAAGGATGAAAGAAAATGATGAACTCAGGGATTCTAACTCCCAGGTTCAGAAGCAGATACTAAGTATCAAATCTGCTAAGATTACCCTGAGTGGGAGTCTTATCTCCTGTAGAGACAGAGCTGAAATTGTGGAAAAACAGATACAAGCTCTTATCATGCGAGTGGCAGAACTGTGATGAAAGTGCATGCGCAGCCTCACCAGGTGTCTACTGTTAAAGTGAGGGCATTAATTGGAAAAGAATAAGACCCTGCAACTTGGAAGGGGAATGTGTGGGAGGACTCTGATGAAGGTGGGCACACTGAGCTTGTCAACTCTGATGAACCCTTTTTGCCAGAAGAAACAGCTTCTCCATGTCCAATAGTGGCAACATCCCCTCCCCAGTCCATGCTGCCATCAGCCTTTCCACCTTTGTCTGAGGAGATAAACCCTGCGCTGCCTGAGGCAACAGTGATGACCTCCCCTGAGGCAGTCGTCAGGCAAGATAATGTTGATTCTCCTCAGGAGCCACCCCCAACACCCCTGTTTGCTTCTAGGCCTATAACTAGACTAAAGTCCCAGTGGACCCCTAAGGGGAGATTGAGAGTGTGACCTATGAGGAGGTGCACTACACTCAAAAGAACTGCTTGAGCTTTCTATTTATATAAGCAAAAATATGGTGAACAGGAATGGGAATGGATATTAAGGGTATGGGATAATAGTGGAAGGAACATACAGTTGGATCAGGCTGAATGTATCGATTTAAGCCCACTAGGTAGGGACTCTGCATTTAATGTTACAGCTTGGGGAGTTAAAAAAAGGTTCTGATAGTTTATTTGCTTGGTTGGCTGAAATATGGATTAAAAGATAGCCTACTGTGAGCGAGCTGGAAATGCCTAATTTCCTCCCTTGGGTTAATGTAGAGGAAAGAATCAAAAGGCTTAGAAAGATTGGGATGATGGAGGAGATTAGTCACTTTACACCTACTTATCCGAGCTGGGTGGGTCCAGAAGATATACCCTTGACCAATGTTTTGTGAAATAGACTTGTGAGGCAGCACCTGCATCTTTGAAGAGTGCTGTAATTGCTCTTCTCTGTATAACAGATCTAACAGTGGGAGCTGCAGTCACCCAACTACAAAATTGAAATACAATGGGAATAATTGGATCCTGAGGTGGCAGGGGCCAAGTGGCAGCACTAAACCATCGCAGGCAAGGTGGGCATAGCTATTATAATGGACAGCAGAGGCAACGCAGCAATTAAATAGTGCAAACTCGTGTAGAACTCTGGTATTGGCTAATCATGATGTTCCTAGAAATGAAATTGATAGGAAGCCAACTGAATTCCTGCTTAATTTATATAGGCAGAAAACGCCCAGGTCAAATGGACAAAAGACTAACTTGAATGATAAAAACAGAGAACCATGGCCCCTCAATGAATTTCCAGATTGAAGCCAGAACCAGAACCCCTTGAATAAAGGGGAGGCCAGGTCCCTTTGATCAAGAACCCCACTATACTACTGACAATTTATGCTGTTATTCTTTCTCCCATTCTTCCCCAAGGAGACTTCTGACCTGTTACCAGGGTAACTGTGCATTGATGAAAGGGAAATGATTAGACGTTTCAGGGACTACTAGACATTGACTCTAAGCTGACGTTGATTCCAGGGGGCCCAAAATGTCACTGTGGTCCTCCAGTTAAAGTAGGGACTTATGGAGGCAGTAATTGATACAGTTTTAGCTCAGGCCCTACTTACACAACTCCAGGAGTTTCCCAGAGTCATCCTGTGGTCATTTCTTCAGTGCCAGAATGCATAATTGGCATAGACATACTTCACAGCTGGCAGAACCCCCGCATTGGCTTTCTGACTGGCAGGGTGAGGGCTATTATGGTGAGAAGGGCCAAATGGAAGCCATTAGACCTGCCTCTACCTAGAAAAATCATAAATCAAAAACAATATTGCATCCGTGGAAAGATTACAGAGATTAGTGACACCCTTAAGGACTTGAAAGATGCAGGAGTGGTGATTCCCACTACATCCCTGTTCAACTGTCCTATTTGGCCTGTGGGGAAGACAGATGGATCTAGGAGAATGACAGTGGATTATTGTAAGCTTAACCAAATGGTGACTCCAATTGCAGCAGCTCTACCAGATGTGGTTTTATTACTTGAGCAAATTAACACGTCTGCTGGTATCTTGCATGCAGCCATTAACTTGGCAAATGCCTTTTTCTCCATTCTTGTCCATTGGAAGCAATTTGCCTTCAGCTGGCAATGTAAATATACCTTTACAGGAAATATACCTTTACTGTTCTACCTCAGGGGTATATGAACTCTCTGACTTTGGATCATAATCTTATTCAAAGAGACTTTGATCACTTTTCACTTCCACAAACATATCACACTGGTTTGTTACATTAATGACATTATGCTGATTGGACCCAGTGAGCAAGAAGTAGCAAACATCCTGGACTTATTGGTAAGACATTTGCATACCAGAGGATGGGAAATAAATCTGACTAAAATTCAGGGACCTTCTACCTCAGTAAAATTTCTAGGGGTCTAGTTGTCTAGTGGTGTTGGACATATTGAGACATTCCTTCTATGGTAAAGGATAAGTTGCTGCACTTGGCCCTTTCTACAAGCAAGAAAAAGGCACAACGCTTAGTGGTTTTGTGCCTATTTGGATTTTGGAGGCAACACATTCCTCATTTGGTTGTGTTATTCTTGCCCATTTACTGACTGACCCAAAAGGTTTCCAGTTTTGAGTGGGAACCAGAACACAAGAAGGCTCTGCAACAGGTCCAGGCTGCTATGCAAGCTGCTCTGCCACTTGGGCCATATGGCCCAGCAGATACAAAGGTGCTTGAGGTGCCAGTGGCAGATAGGAATGCTGTTTGGAGCCTTTGGCAGGCCCCCATAGGTCAATCACAGCAGGGGCCTCTAGGATTTTCTAGCAAGGCCCTGCCATCTTCTGCAGATAACTACTCTCCTTTTGAGAGACAGCTCTTGGCCTGTTACTGGGCTTTGGTGGAAACTGAACTTTTGACTATGGCTCATCAAGTCAACCATGTGACCTGAATTGCTTATTATGAACTGGGTGCTTTCTGAGCCATCATCCCATCAAGGGGACCATGCACAGCAGCATTCAGCATCCAGTCATCAAATTAAAGTGGTGTATATGTGATCTGGCTTAAGCAGGTCCTGAAGACACAAGTAAATTACCTGAGAAAGTAGCTCAAATGCCCATGGTCTCCACTCCTGCCACCTTGCCTTCTTTCCCTTAGCCTGCACTGATGGCCTCATGGGGAGTTCCCTATGATCAGTTGACAGAGGAAGAGAAGACTAGGGCTTGGTTCACAGATGGTTATGCACGATATGCAGGCACCACCTGAAAGTGGACAGCTGCAGCTCTATAGCCCCTATCCCTGAAGGACAGTGGTGAAGGCAAATCTTCCCAGTGGGCAGAACTTTGAAGAGTATACCTGGTTGTGCACTTTGCATGGAAAGAGAAATAGCCAGTAGTGCCATTGTATACTGATTCATAGGCTGTAGCTAATGGTTTGGCTGGATGGTCAGGCACTTGGAAGAAGCATAATTGGAAAATTGATGACAAGGGAATTTGGGGAAGAGGTATGTGTATATACCTCTCAGAGTGGCCAAAAACTGTGAAGATATTTGTATCCAAAGTGAGTGCTCACCAACGTGTGATCTCAGCAGAAGAGAATTTTAATGATCAATTGGATAGGATGACCTTTTCTGTGGACACTACTCAGTCTCTTTCCACAGCCACACCTGTCATTGCCCCATGGGCCCATGAACAAAGTGGCCATGGTGGCAGCAAAGGAGGTTATGCATGAGCTCAGCAACACGGACTTCCACTGCCCCAAGCTGACCTGGCTATGGCCACTGCTGAGTGCCCAGTTTACCAGCAGCAGAGATCAACACTGAGCCCTCAATATGGCAATATTTCTCGGGGTGATCAACAAGCTACCTGGTGGCAGGTTGATTATATTGGATCTCTTCCCTCATGGAAAGAGCAGAGGTTTGTCCTCACTGGAATAGACACTTATTCCAGATATAGGTTTGCTTATCCCGCACCCAGTGCTTCTGCCAAAACTACCATCCATGGACTCACAGAATGCCTTATCCACCGTTGTGGTATTCCACACAGCATTGCCTCTGACCAAGGCACTCACTTGCGACAGTGGGCAAATGCTCATGAAATTCACTGGTCTTACCATGTTGCCCATTATCCTGAAGCAGCTGGATTGACAGAATGGTGGAACGGCCTTTTGAAGTCACAATTACAATGCCAACTAGATGACCATACTTTGCAGGGCTGAGGCAAAGTTCTCCAGAAGGCTGTGTATGCTCTGAATCAGCATCCAACATATGGTACTATTTCTCTCATAGCCAGAATTCATGGGTCCAGGAATCAAGGGGTGGATGTGGAAGTGGCATCACTTGCCATCACCCCTAGTGGTCCACTAGCAAATTTTTTGCTTCCTGTTACCATGACATTACATTCTGCTGGCCTAGATCTCTTAATTTCAGAGGGAGGAATGCTGCTACCAGGAGACACAACAATGATTTCATTAAATTGTAAGTTAAGAATGCCACTTGGACACTTTGGGCTCCTCCTACCTTTCAGCCAAGAGGGTAAGAAGGGAGTTACAGTGTTGGCTGGGGTGACTGAACTGGACTATCAAGATGAAATCTACCTACTACTTTACAACAGAGGTAAAGAAGAGTATGCATGGAATACAGGAGATCCATTAGGGCATCTCTTAGTATTACCATGCTCTGTGATTAAGGTCAATGAGAAACTGTAAAAGCCCAACCCAGGCAGGACTACAAATGGCCCAGACCCTTCAGGAATGGAGTTTTATGTCACTCCACCAGGAAAAAACCCACAACCTGCTGAGGTGCTTGCTGAAGGCAAAGGGAATACAGAATGGGTAGTAGAAGGTAGTCATCAATACCGGCTATGACCACGTGACCAGTTGCAGAAACAAGGACTGTAATTGTTATAAGTATTTCCTCCTTTTGTTAAAAACTATTTGTGCATGTGTGCACTTGTACTAAGAAAATATCTCCATTTTATTCCTTTTTTCCTTTATCAGGTTACATAGGATTTATTGACTTCATGCTAGCATTTAAGTATTGTTAACTTTATGTAATAGCATTTGGGTTGGGAATTGATGTAGTTCTGGTTGTACCAATGATAGTTGTATTATGTTAGGTGTAATTATGATCTTATTATTGTCTTTATTTGAAGATTATGTTTGATCTCAGGTGATGTGGATGGGTTCAAGTTGACAAAGGTGGACTTGTGATGGTTAATACTGAGTGTCAACTTGATTGGATTGAAGGATGCAAAGTATTGATCCTGGGTATGTTTGTGAGGGTGTTGCCAAAGGAGATTAACATTTGAGTCAGTGGGCTGGGAAAGGCAGACCCACCCTTAATCTGGGTGGGCACCATCTAGTCAGCTGCCCGTGTGGTCAGGATATGAAACAGGCAGAAAAACATGAAAAGTCTAGATGGGCTTAGCCTCCAACCTACATCTTTCTCCTGTTCTGGATGCTTCCTTCCTTTGAACATCAGACTCCAAGTTCTTTAGCTTTGAGACTTGGACTGGCTTAGTGATATATATATATATATATATATATCTCCTATTAGTTCTGTTCCTCTGGAGAACCCTGACTAATACATACAGGCTCTATGCAAGTCTGAAATCTAATAGGGCAGACATTAAACCTTAAATTTCCAAAATTATCTCCTTTGACTCCATGTCTCACATCCAGGTCATGCTAATGCCAGAGGTGGGTGCCCATGACCTTGGGCAGCTTTGCCCCACTGCCTTTGCAGGGTACATCCCCCTTCCCTGTCTCTATCACAGGCTGGCATTAAGTGTCTGTCTCTTTTCCAGGCATACAGTGAAAGCTGAAGGTATATCTACCATTCTGGGGTCTGGAAGATGGTGGCCCTCTTCTCACATCTCCATTAGGCAGTGCCCTGGTGAGGACTCTGTGTGAGAACTCTGACCCCACAATTCCCTTCCATACTGCCCTAGCAGAGGTTCTCCATGAGGGCCCCATCCCTGCAGCAAACTTCTGCCTGGACATCCAGGTGTTTCCATACATCCTCTGAAATCTAGGCAAAGGTTCCCAAACCTCAGTTCTTGACTTCTGGGCATCCACAGGGTCAACACACATAGAAGCTGACAAAGACTTGGGGCTTGCATGCTTTGAAATCATGGCCTGAGCTGTACCTTGGCTCCTTTTAGCCGTGGCTGAAGCAGCTGGGATACAGGGTACCAAGACCCTAGGCTGCACACAGCAAGAGGGCCCTGATGGCCCATAAAACAATTCTTTTTCTCTCTTAGGCCTCCAAGCCTGTGATGGTGGGGGCTACCATGAAGGTCTCTGACATGACCTGGAGACATTTTCCACATTGTATTGGTGATTAACATTCAGCTCCTTGTTACTTATGTAAATTTCTGCAACAGGCTTGAATTTATCCCCAGAAAATATATATATATATATTTTTTTTCCTATCACATTACCAGGCTGCAAACTTTCCAAGCTTTTGTTCTCTGCTTCTTCTTGAATGTTTAGCCCCTAGGAAATTTCTTCTGCCAGATACCCTAAATCATCTTTCTCAAATTCAAAGCTCCACAGATCTCTAGGGCAGGGGCAAAATTCCACCAATCTCTTTGTTAAGCATAGCAAGAGTGACCTTTACTACAGTTCCCAAGAAGTTCCTCATCTCCATCTGAGACCACCTCAGCCTGGACTTCATTGTCCAAATCACTAACAGCATTTTGATAAAAGCCATTCACCAAGTCTATAGGAAGTTTGAAACTTTCCCACATCTTTCTGTCTTATGAACCCTTCAAGTCCCTAAGAAGTCTCAAACTTTACCATAGTTTCCTGTGTTTTTCTGAGCCCTCTAAACTGTTCCAACCTCTGCCTGTTACCTAGTTCCAAAGTTGCTTCCACTTTTTTGCTTATCTTTACAGAAGCACCCCACTCCTGATACCAACTTACTACATTAGTTTGTTCTCATGCTCCTGTGAAGAAATACCTGAGGCTGGATGACTTATAAAGAAAAGAGGTTTAATTGACTCACAGTTCTGCATGGCTTGGAGGTCTCAGGAAACTTACAATCATGGAGGAAGACACCTCTTTGCAGGGTGGTGGGAGAGAAAAATGAGTTCAAGCAAGGGAAATACCAGGTGTTTATAAACCTTTATAGACCTTGTGAGACTCACTGATTTTCATGAGAACAGCATGGGGGAAATAGCCCCCATGATCCAAATACCTCTACCTGGTCCCACCCTTGACATAGGGAGATTATTACAATTCAAGGTGAGATTTGGGTAGGGACACAGAGCCAAACCATCAGATAGATAGGTGGATTATTCTTTTGATTTTTGTTTTGATTCTGTTTCTCTAGTGTATTGTGACTAATAAATTGATTCAATGTACTTAATAGATATAGACCTATTTAGATGATCTAATGACTCTTGTTTGCATTTCAGAAGCTTGTGTATTTTGAGAAATTGTTTTATTTTATCTAAGTTATAATATTTTTTATCATAGAGTTATTAATATTATCCCTTTAATGTGCTTTTAATGTCTATAGACTAGTTAGTGATGTTCCAACTTTCATTTCTAATATTGGTAATTTTTCTTTGGTTGTCATGCTAGCATGCAAGTCATGCAAGCATGCAAAATACTACATTAAAAATGAAGACAGATGTAAAGCACAAAAAGAGCCTAAGTTATTCTTACAAAACTGAGAAAAAAACAGAAGAACATTTTCACAAAAGAAAAATGAAAGAGAATGTAATCTTTAATTTAAAAAGACATCAAATATATAAGCAATGTGAATAAACTCAACAGACAATTGTAAAGTTAATTGAGCAGAGAACCAAAATGACAACATTACAGAGATAATTAAATGGAAACCATAGAAAACAGATTAGACAGTGTGGATGACAAAATTAGTAACAGAAAAAGCCATGAAGTAGTCTCAGTGAAATAAAGGGGTAAAAAAAAGTAATCAGAAAGAAGTTAACGCTAATGGTATACAGGAAATGTGGATCCAAAATAAAGGTAAATGATTCACCAGCAAAAAAGCCCAACAAGTGAAATTAAAAAGAATAATTATGTAATAGAAGAAAATATTTCTAAAATGTAAAATAATACTCATAGACTTAAAGAGGTATACTGTTCTCAAGAAATTCATTAGAAGAACCAATTTTATGACACTCTGGTAAAGTGATTGAATTTCAAGGATAAAGAAAGAATTCATCAGGTATCCAAGAGCTTACAAAGGGGATAAATCTGGCTGGGCACAAATGCCTCCATGGAAAAATAAAGTGCCAGAAGATAATAGAACAATATTTACAAAATTCTAAGGGAACAAGTGTGTCTCAAGAATATTATAACCAGGCAAGTTGTTATCCAAGTACAAAATGGCAGTACTGGCATACTTAATCATGCAAAAACTCACAGAATATGTCATTCCTTATTCTGTCTTAGAATGAAACTATGTAAGAGATAAAAGAAGAAACCATTGTAAAAGAACTGAATGTAGCCTTGTTGCTGCTTCCTCAGAAGGGAAGGAACACCATGTCCTCACATGTAGAAGGTACAGAAGGGAACAAACCCACACCCTCAAACCCATTTATAAGGGCCCGAATCCCTTCATCACCTTCTAAATACCCCATCTCTTAATATTATTACATTGTCTATTCAGTCTCAATAAAAAATTTGGGGCACACCCAATTTGGTCATTGTTTGGATATTAGAAGACAAAATTTAATTACTCAGTTTCTTGCTATACATAAGACATTATTATCACCACATTGATTTTGTTATTTTTATTACAATTGTAACAAAACCTAGGAACATCTGTATACAGAACGTAAACACAAACAAAGACTTTTCTGATTTTGTCATTTAATCCCCAAATCTTACCACTTAAGGTAAGGTATCTTAATTACGGTTATCCCCAAACATATGCAAATGCACAGATTGGAAGAGCTAAGTAACTACTAAGTTGTGGAGCTAAGACTGAATTCTGGGTTTCAGACTACAACTTTCAAAACATTTCTGTTGCAAAATGAGGTAAAAAATATAGTGCGTAAACTGGAAGGTTAAATGATTCCTTCATAGAGGAAATTCAAAAAACAATATAAAATAGAAGAAAACAATTCCTAGTTATTTTGGAAATTGTATTATGTGTTGCAAAACAATGACAATAAATGTACTTAAATAAATCACCAACTTAATAAATGATCTTCAGTTGAATCCTTAGCTTTCTCATGCAAAGTCTAGTATTCCTACAGAGCCAGAACAGTGCACAAGGAACAAGACAGGGAGATAAAATTAATGCTAGCTTAGTTTTATATGAAGCAGCAATTGGGAATATTAACTGTTCTCATGTTTAAATATTTGCTTTTGGCAAAATCCAAACAAGCTCACTATTTGTTAGATTAGTAGGTATAGGGTCAATGTGGCAGTAGGTCTGGAGTGGGGCACATGTATTTTGTAGATTAAAAGATGTTGTCAATTTTAAAACATTAATTTTATATTAAATTTGGAGAGAATACCACCTTATTGAGTGCATGCCAACATTTTAAGATGTCTTCCATTTTCAGAGCAATTTTATAAAAAGGATATATTGAAGTTTATTCTACTACAGGCATGAAAGTTACCATGCAAACCAGAGATAGATTTGCTCTGTGTGAAGAAGCTTCTGCCCATTTGTCCATTTTAGTATATCATTTAAACAGTACAGCCAGTGCTCAATAGTGGCATCAGCTGAAGTCACCATCATGGCTACACAAATTGATTCCTTATGTGGGGGAAAAAAATCCTCAAATGGCAGATGGACAATTAAATATCTTGGTTCCCATGTTATTTCCCTGGAACCTCAAGTAGATTTAGTCAGACCCTTGTTAATTGATAAATATGATTGAGGACTTTGCTCTATCTTTTTTTCATTAAATGAATACATTACTCAGAAACGTAAGTAACCCATTGTAGTGATCATTGCCTACATGGGGAGATTTTTAGCTTCAAGTAACGGATACACAACCCAAAGTGAATATTTATTCTATGAGAGAACACAAAGTACAGATGGAGCGTGGTTCCATGATTGATTCAGTAGCTCAGTGACACGATCCATGTGCTAGGTGTTTTTTCATCTTTGCACTCTCCCAGACTCAGCCTATCAGCCAAGTGTAAGTCCATATTTCCAAAACGGCTGCAGCCTTTCCAGATCTTTGCAGGGAGAAATGATCATGACCACATTCTCTGAAGGAGAAGAAGGGAACTTCCTCCCCTGAGTCTCATTTTATTAAGGAAAAAAAAAAACTTTTTACATGCTCAGCCTTCACCCAGAAGACATTCACAATTCTTATTTTTCAACAGCAATTAATTTTATTAGTTTGAGAATTTATGATCATAAAACAATGCAATTCAAGAAATGACTAAAATATGTTAAAGAAAATATCAGAATTATTCCTGGCAGTTATATCTAATATTTCAAAACAGACTATTTCAGCAACTGATTTATAAAGTGCTAATATAAAAATAATCTCAAATATGTTTAATTTCATCCATAAACTATAACTTATGAATTGCTATAAATTTTTGGTTCACAAAAAAAGCCAAAATATTTTTCCTCATGAGACTGAATTATAGTGATAATTAATTTCAAGAGCACTTATATAGACTGAATGTTGACACAAGAAGTAGTTTTTGCATGAGCATTTTGAGCATTATCTTGGAATTAGAAGTAGTTTTAAGTCACTTTCCCCTCTGTATTGGTTTCCTGCTGCCTCTGTAACAAATTACTGGAAACTTGGTGGCTTAAACAGGAGAAATTTATTCTTTTACAGTTGTGGATGTCATAAATCTGAAATCAGTATCAGGGGGTTTAGAGGGTGTGGCCATCAGGAAAGTTCTAAACAGATAATTCCTAATCCTTTAGATAATATTTCTAGTGGCCACCAACATTCATTGGCTTGTGGTACATCAGTCTAACCTCTGCCTGTGTGATCACATCCCCTCTCCTTTTCTGTCTGTGTGGTCAAATTTCTTTCTGCTTCCCTCTTATACAGATACATGTGATTGTATTTCGAGTCCATCTGGCTAATACTGGATAATCTTTTAGGTCAAGATCTTTAACTTAATCACATGCAATGATTGATTTTTGTTTGTCTGATTTTTCATGTAAGGTAATATTCAGAGGTTCAAGAAATTTAGATATGAATTTTTTTTCTGGAACATTTTTGGCCTACTGCACACTCATTCACTTATTCATTTATGCATTTAACAAATATTATATGAATACCTGCAATGGACCAGAGACTGTTCTAATGCTGGGTATATAACAGCAAACTAAAGAGACAAAGGTTTTACATTCTTGGAGTTTACATTCTAGTACAAACATTGGCAAACTGTTTCTGTAAAGGGCCAGATAGTAAATATTGTTTGTAGATCATACAGTTTCTCTGTTGCAACTACTGAACTCTCCTGTTGTAGCATAGACACAGCTCCTCCTCTCTGAATACAGAAATTAATAGCTGTGGCTATATTCCAAAAAATAATTACATATGAAAACAGGAAGCAAGCTAGATTTGGCTCTTGGGTTATAGTTGGCCAACACTTTCTCTGGACAGAAGATACAGGAGAAAAAGTGACAGGCAAATACAGAATATGTCAGATGGTGATAAGTGATGTGGTTTTAAATAAAGCACATTCAGAGAAATAGGACATTGAAATGGGAAGGCTATAACTAACTGCTATAATAGATAAATCAAAAAATTTTAGTGGCTTCCCAAAGAGCCATTTTCTCAGTGTTTATGTGAAGTCCAATACTAAGATTTCTTATTAGTGGGAAGCCTTCCATGTGGTCATTCAGGAACCCACCCTCCTGCTCTCTTGTATCTGCCCTCCTGAGAACTCTAGAACCCTGTGTTCAGTTGGTGGTTGAAGAAAGGGTGTAGAGAACAGCACACAGGCATTTTAAGGAAGCAGGATGACAAGGTTTGATCAATTCCACTCAGTTTATATGCATTTTCTTGTCTAAAAGCTCCATTGCCTGACTTCACCTAACTTTAAGAAAAGCAAAACATGCAATTGAGCTGGGTGTCCAGGGACATTAAAAAAAACAGGATTGGGCCGGGCGCAGTGGCTCACACCTGTAATCCCAGCACTTTGGGAGGCCGAGGCAGATGGATCACTTGAGGTCAGGAGTTTGAGACTAGCCTGGCCAACATGGTGAAACCCCGTCTCTACTAAAAATACAAAAATTAGCCAGGCATAGTGCTGGGCACCTGTAATCCCAGCTACTTGGGAGGCTGAGGCAGGAGAATCACTTGAACCCATGAGGTGGAGCTTAGAGTGAGCCAAGATCACACCACTGAACTCCAGCCTGGGTGACAGCATGACTCTGTCTCAAACAAGCAAACAAACAAGCAGGATTGGAGATCACTGAGCAACGTTTAATTTAGGAAGTGCTGCTCTTTTAAGCAGGGTAGCCAGAAAAAGTTTTCCTTGTCTTCCTAAGGAAAGCAGGGGACTAATGTGGCAGAGATCTAGAGGGGGGCATTCTAATATTTAGGCTAGCTTTGTGCTTCTGAATTTATCTCTTTGCAGATAGATTAGTCATGAGACTGAGCAGTAGTTGTTGAAATGTGGGAAGGAAAAATATAGGCCATTTACAGGTCAGACTCTTAAAACTCACTGTACTCTTCTCCTTGCTTTTTCTTTCTCTCTTTGGGACCAAAATCAAGGACGTAATCTCTGCTTAGAAGAGAGCTAACCAGAGGTGCTGTCATATTCTCACTGGACTGTAATATTAGCCAAAAAAAAAAAGACATTGTATTAAACCACTTAGGTTTGTAGTATATTTTTCAAATCAGCAAGTGTTATTTACCTTATATTCTAGTTCTAGAGCTATCAGAGAGTAGAATGTTCCAGGCAGAGGTCCTGAGTCTGGATCAAGTTCAAGGATTCCAGGGTATAAGGAAAAGAGATAGAGAAGGAGAGAGGTAAGAAATGAGGTCAGGAGATAAGATGGACAATTATGAGGTGTCATTGTTAGACCTGGCTTTTACTCTGAGAAAGAGGGTTTATACTGAGAGAGAGAGATGATCTAACTTTTATTTTAAAATGGTCATTTTGGCTGCTGTGTTAAGAGCTGATGTTGGAGGTGGTGAAAAAAAAGAGCAGCTTCTTAGGAGGATATTGCAATAATGCAGGTGTAAAGTGATGATGGCTTGAAACAGGTGGTACAGGGGTGGGTGAGATATGTGATGTAAGAGAAAAATATTAATCAAGGATGAACATTAGGTTTTCCACATCAGCATCTGGAAGAAAGTATTTGCCATCGTTAATGAGATTGTGCATGTTCAGGATGATATGGCCGTAGAGAGTATTTACCATTACTGAGAAGAAGACTTGAAACTTAGAAAAACCACTGAACAATAAGACATGGGACTCGGGTCCTTATTGTGGTTCTGCAGCTGACACATTGGGGTCTTGTTTTCTTACGGTTTAAATGGGAAGTCAATCTTGAGGGTCTCCAATGATCTTTATTCTGCAGGGGTTACATGAATGTGGATTGATTACTGGAGTTGATCTAAGAATGTTTACAGGTGTGCAATCTGTCCTGATGAGAGTGGAATTAGAAAGGCTAAGGCCAAATGTGTGTACGTGTGTGTAGGTTTATATTTGAGAAATAGGCAAACCAGTGGCATAAACTACATTACAATCAGAAGGCATTGCTGGGAGATGTAAGAATCATTTTTATCAGATAAGGCAGCTCAGGAAAGTGAAAAAGAATGTGTTTTCCCCTGGGGAATAAGGCTGAGCTGAATCCACTAGTGGGCCCTGCTCTTGCCTCTCTCTCCTGTACTTCACATTGGCAGAGGCTTTGAAGATAAAGGCAAGAAGGAGACATTTCTCAGCCACTCCACAAAGACAGTAACATCAAGCCATATGAAAGGAAAATAATTTAGTGGGAATCACACACATTTTCAATTCCTCTTTGACTTGTGTAGTAAGCGGGAATGAGTTTTGAATATATTTAATTGAAGAAGCCACTTCCAGAATCCCTTTTAAGAATCATCCCCACATTATTATTTTCCATTAATGGATATGAAAATAATTAATATGTGTTGAATTTGATAATTCCTATATTAGATATTTATTTATTTGGATACAGGATCTCGCTCTGTCACCCAAGCTGGAGTGCAGTGTCACTCTCATAACTTTTTTTGTTTTATTTTTAGTAGAGATGAGGTCTCACTATGTTGCCCCAGCTGGTCTCTAACTCCTGAGCTCAAGCAATCCTCCTGCCTTGGCCTTCCAAAATGTTTGTATTATAGGCGTTAAGTGCCATACCTGGCCCATAATTCTTATCTTGCAGAAGGCAGAATAATAATGATTTACAAGGATCATTGTCAAGCATATTTTAAGGTCATCAACATTATTAGAATGTTAAATAACAGAATGCATAGACCAAAGTGTATACATAGATCAAATGTATGTATTGCCTTGCACAAAGGCAAATGTGTCTCTTTTTCAGGGAGAGAGGGACATGACAGTGTGACCAGGCAACCTCCATCCATACAGTCTTCCAGGCTGACTGAGGCACTTCCATCACTGCAATCTTCAACATTCCTCAGTCATCTGGTTATCCTGGAACCTGTGAACTAGAAGTAGAAAGAGCATGAGGAACATTTGCAGGACTTTTTTGTCCTGCAAATTTTATATATTAAAGTGTGTAACATAGTGTTTTGATATACATATGCATAGTTAAAACTACTACTGTCAAGACAATTAACATATCGTTCATCTCATGTTGTTAACTTTTTTGTGGCATACACTATTACCAGGTAGAGTCCTCATGCTGTATATTAGATCCTAAATACAGTTATCCTAAGTAATTGCAATTTTATACCCTTTGTCCTGTATCTTCTTATCTCCAACCCACTTTGTCTCTGGTAACTGCTGTTCCTACTCTCTACATCTGTTTATTGAACATATTTTTAGATTCCACATGAGAGAGATCACACAGTATTTTTTGTATGTGCCTGGTTTATTTCACATAGCATAATGTTCTCCAGGTTATCTATGTTGTCTCAAATGGTAGGATCACCTTCTTTTGTTTAAAGGATGAATAATATTCCATTACATGATGTGCATATGTATATGTATCATGATATCTTTCTCTGGCCATTCATATACAGATACGTTGTTTCTATATCTTGGCTGCAATGAACATTGGAGTGCAGATATCTTTATGAAGTACCGATTTCATTTCCTTTTGGTATATGCCCAGAAGAAGGATTGCTGGGTCATATAGTAGTTCTATTTTTAATTAAAAAAATTAATTTCTTATTTTGAGATGGAGTTTTGCCCTCGCCCTGGCTGGAGTACCCTGGCGTGATCTTGGCTCACTACAACCCCCGCCTCCTGGGTTCAAGTGATTTTCATGCCTCAGCCTCCCAAGTAGCTGGGATTACAGACAAACACCACCATGCCCAGCCAATTTTTGTATTTTTAATAGAGATGGGGTTTCACCATGTTGGCCAGGTGGGTCTTGAACTCCTGGGCTCAAGTGATTCCCCCACCTTGGCCACCCAGAGTTTGGGGATTACAGGCATGAGCCACTGCGCCCGGCCCTCTATTTTTAATTTTTCGAGAAACCTCCATACTTCTTTCCATTATGGCTGTACCAATTTACATTCCTACCAACAATACACAAGGGTTTTCTGAGAAAATCTTTCTTTTTTTTTCGGATGAAGATAGTGGGCTTTACTCGAAAAGAATGGAGGGATCTATTAGCAAAAATTGTATAAAATTCAAATTCCTAAAACGTCTATAGGTCAGACATATAACATTCTTCATAATTAGTGATTAAAGACCCTAGAATCTCATTTTAATTTTACTAAGACACTAATTTGAGAAATTGTGATACTCTTGTAAGAGCTTCTGGGAATTAACTCAAGGCCTATGCACACAATCTGCCAAGCTTCTACATCTTGACCTGATTTTGTGGCACTTTGTTATGTCTTGTCCATATTTTAGGGAGAAAATTACATGCTTTGTGAATTTAAGATTTTATAGAGGTCTCAGGATTCCTTCTGAATGCCCAAAGCCTACTGTATTACAGGTTTTGATATTTGAGGTAATTTTATGAATAGCAATATATTTAATCTTTTTTGGGGGGAGGCAGGGATGGAGTTTTGCTCTTGTTGGCCAGGCTGTGGTGCAGTGGTGCGATCTCGGCTCACTACAACCTCTGCCTACTGGGTTCAAGTCATTCTGCTGCCTCACCCTCCCCAGTAGCTGGGATTACAGGCGCCTGCCACCATGCCCAGCTAATTTTTTGTATTTTTAGTAGAGACTGGATTTCATCACGTTGGCCAGGCCGGTCTCAAACTCCTGACCTCAGGTGATCCATCCACCTTGGCCTCCCAAAGTGCAGGGATTACAGGCGTGAGCCACTGTGCCTGGCCGATATATTTAATCTTGAATGGAATTGAAATTATAGAAAAAATATGTCACTGAGAGTATATTGCTGAACATTTTGCAAAGGGGGATGGGCAGTGAAAAGAAGGCACCATGAGAAAACAGTGTGTTAACTTGAGTCCAGGAGTCTGAAGCTGTAGTGCACTATGACTGCATCTGTGTGTGTGTGTGTCTGCGTGTCTCTGTGTGTGTGTGTGTGTGTCTGTGTGTGTCTCTGTGTGTGTGTTTAGAACTATATATGTGGCCAGGTGTGGTGGCTCACGCCGGTAATCCCAGCACTTTGGGAGGCCAAGGCAGGCAGCTCACGAGGTCAGGAGATCGAGACCATCCTGGTTAACACAGTGAAACCCCATCTCTACTAAAAAATACATAAGAAATTAGCCGGGCGTGGTGGCGGGCACCTGTAGTCCCAGCTACTTGGGAGGCTGAGGCAGGAGAATGGTGTGAACCTGGGAGGCGGAGCTTGCAGTGAGCCGAGATCGCGCCACTGCACTCCAGGCTGGGCAACAGAGCGAGACTCTGTCTCAAAAAAAAAAAAAAAGAACTATATATGTTACGTAGCATTTGTAGTGTCAGATTATATCTTTATTAAGTTTATTTAAATGTGGTGGATACAGAAGTCCCACCAAACTTTACAGTACAGTTTCTTAGGGTTGAAAAATATACTTGCTGTTTTCTATTGTCTACAAAATACACTGTACTAACTGCATTCCTGTTTATGGTACCAAAATATCTAAAGGATTAAAACTTAAGACACAAATCAAACATATCTGGGGAAGAAAACAAATTTCTATCCACATAAAATGTTTAGGATAGTGTTGTTTCATTTTTAAATACAGATTCCAGAAGGATTTTAAAGAGGAAGTTGAAGTCAACATTTTCTACAGTGACCTGCACAGTTACTGACCCACTTTGACAGAGCTACTGGGTACTCCACACCTAACTTACGTCTTGGCCCCTTGTTTCCTACTGTCTTGTTTCTTCTCTCCCACTTACTGATTTATTTTACTCAGATCTTCAGGCTCAGCTGCTATCTTCTAGGGCATTCATTTCTTCAATTCATACAATAATTAGTTAAATCAAGATATGACAGTCTATCTTTGACCTTATGCCTCCATCTTTTTGTAATTTGGCTTCTGTCCTGTCTGAAACCGTTCTAAGCACTGTGGCTTACTTTTACTTTCATTTGGTTCCCGTGATGGTAGCAGCCCTCCAGACAACCTGCCACTGCCATCACCCGGCTGGAGCAGGGAGGCGCGGTTGGGGCTGCCTACTGTGTGGAGCCAGGGGACTGTGGACAAGCTGGAGCCCCACCCCTTCTGAGTTGGGGTGGTAGCTCCCCGGGTGCTGCTGCAGCTGCCCAAACCAGGGCTGCATACCCAGCCTCGCTCCGTGGAGCAGGCAGGAGTCCTGCCCCACTCCCGGGTGCAGCTGCAGCTGCCCAAACAGCGGCTACAGACTCAGGCATCCTTACACTCTTGGAGGCCTGGGAAAACCTCCCTGCACTCTCGCTCAGGAAGGCCCCTGTCCTTGCAGGCTCGGAGGTGCCTGTTCTTGATGTCTGGTTTCTCTCTTTTTTTGTGCCAGGAGATAGGAGCAAAGTCAGGCAGCCTGGTTGCCTTGAACAGCAGTAGAAAGATGGCAGGTTCATGGGCAGAAGGGGGCAGGTCCCCGTGAAGCCCCGCCTTTAGGCCGGGGAAGGTCTGAAGCCTGGGGGCAGGCTGCCAGTCTGAGGGGGATCTTGTGGTGCTTTTACGTGGGCCTGCCCATGGCTGCCCATGTAACAATCAGCATGCCCTTCCCCGCTCTGAGGCCCACAGAAGCCCTGGGCTCAGCCACAGCAGAGCAGAGAAGCAGATAACCAGCTGCAGAGAGGAGCTAGGAGCTACTTTGCTGATAGCTGGAGAATGTAGGGACAACCAGCGGCAGAGAGGAGCTTCCACTCCAGGGAGACCTGTCTGCAGAGAGGAGCAACCTAACCCAGGGCTTTCTACACTCTGCTGAGAGCTGAACACTCGTCCAGACACCCTGGCTACAGAAAAGAGCTATCTACAGCAGGTCTCTGAGCTATTCTACTGCTCAATAAAGCTCTTCTTCCTCTTGCTCATCCTCCACTTGTCTGTGTGCCTCATCTTTCTGGTTGCAGGACGAGAACTTGGGGCCTGCCAAATGGCAAGTCTAGAAGAGCTGTACCACAAACCCACAAACAGGACTGAAACATGCCCTTTGCTCACCTCGTTGTGGGCGGAGAGGGAGAGAAGAGCTACAGCCCTTGTAGGAGCCCAGACCTGGGAGCTCTCCGAACCAGGGCTGTTAGTCCCTCTTTGAGGCCCTGTGGTTCCTGGCATCTCAGAGCTTCTGGGTGCCACCACATTCTCCAGTGTCAGCTGCTTGTGGGGTGCCTGTCCAGCTGCAGCCTTGCAGAGAGCTGGCACCCATGCCCGCACCTGGTGCTGCCTGCATTGCAGTAGCTGAAGGGTCTGACTGCATAGAGGCTGGACCTCACGCTTGCTGACACACCCCTCACCACTCCATGCCTAACTCACCCTTGGGAGGCATGGGATACAGGCTAGTAGCTTGAGCCAAGCACAGCCTGCCAGGCTGAGTGGGTGGAACTAGCCCAGCGAGCTGAGCAAAACTCAGGAAAAGGCACCACTGGACAGAGGTTTTAGGCCAGAAAATCTACACCCCCAAGGATCCCATAACACCATTGTGCCTGAAATCCTGACTTGGTTGTCTGACGCAGTTTTCCTTGGCCAATCCCCCTACTTGAGACTAGACACACGTCCTCCATCTGTAATAGTGCTGGACCTGGACCTCAGGTCCAGCTATGTTAGAAGGCGTACGTTTCCTGAAGACTTCATACCTCTATTCTATCAGTCCTAGAGCCGCTGAGTGGTTCTGATTGTTTTACAAACTGAAAAATTAAGCCAAAAATAATATCTAGGAACATCTCTCACTCTCTCACAGATTCCAGTATCCTCAAGATAAATTAAGTTTATCATAGCTTTTACTTAAGCAAACAAGCTATATCAAGACACCCATACATGCTTTGAAGTTCATCCTAAGTGTTATGGATTATGAAAATTTGCTGTAATAAATGTTCAGTGGATGAACATCTAGTACCTTTTACCCAAGTGTGATTATATTTGGCCTCAGAATAAATAATACAGTCTTTTCCAACCTCTCAACAGTTGCCAAAGTGCAGGAAAGGATAAGATTATGGCATGAAATAATTCACATGAAGCAGTTCATTAGGAAATACATACTGAGCTTCGAAAACACTTTGTGTGTGCGTGTGTGTGTTTGTGTGTGAAAAAGAAAAATAAGACAAGAATAAAATTGTGTAAGGTGATTGAAGAAAGAGCACACTAATGTTCCTTTAGGTATCTTGCGTATATACACAAGATATAGAGAAAAGAGAGGGTTAGAAGCATTACGGCATTTTTCAAAGAACTAGATATCAGTTTATTTGAAATTTTTATTATATTTTACTCTGCTGTTTTGTCTAGAATACATTCAAATGCACGTGTTTGCTGCTGCTAGAAGTTTGTCTATGAAATTCAGATTTATGGTTACCCTGGAATAAATTACAAAGCTGCTTTTCAAATCTCACAAAAAAACATGATTACATAATTGAGTTTCTGATCCTGCAGGCCCCTGAACTTCTGTTTGTGAAATGTTATTATGAAATCTTATTTCTCTATACTACGGTTTTCTCATCAGTACTGTCCTAGTAGTCTCATTTCATGTTAAGCTGTCTGATGAGGTACAATAACACTCCGTAAGGATACATTGCCTTAATTTTAATGTCAGATTATTTTGATTTGTAAGATGAATTTTCTTTATGTATTACCAGGTATTATGGTTAATTTTATGTGTGCATTTGGCTAGACATCAGTACCCAGATATTTGGTCAAACATGATCCTGCATGTATTATGAAGGTATTTTTTAGGTAAGATTAACATTTAAAACAGCTGAGTTTGAGCAATTACATTCCATTAAATTCCAAAGCAGATTACATTCCATTATGTTGGTAGGCCTCATCCAATTAGTTGAAGGCCTTAATAGAAAACTACCTTCAAACTCAAACTGCAGCATCAACTCTTACCTGGGTCTTCAGCCTGCTAGCCTATCCTTCAGATTTTGGAATTGCTAGCTCCCACAATTTTGTAACCTAATTCCTTAAAATCTCTCTCTCTCTTTCTCTCTCCAGAATTATCAATAGGCTATATGTGCCTATATATATACATATACATACACATATGTATATATACATCTGTGTATATATAAACACGTGTATATACATACACATACACATCTGTATATATATATGTGTGTGTGTATATATGTTTCTGTTTCTCTGGATGATATTAATACACCAGTCAAAATGTTAGCTGCATTATAAATATAAATGGTTCTAAATACCTCTTCTAGGCAAAATTATTATCACTCAATGATTGTACTTTCTTCAATTTTTGTATAAGCACACTGAATTCTTATATATTTTGGGAGAATGCTGCTATATTTTCTTTATATTCATTAGCAGGTTAGTGTGAATTAATTTGTCCTATCACTTTAATTCAAGTGTTGGCCAGGAGAATTGGTTAAATTACTACAAGTGGTTAGAAAAAGCTGGATATACAAAATGATTCCTTAGGAGAAAGAGGATCTCATATGAATGTTTTTCTCAGGTAATAGATTAGGATCAGGTTAGGATTAGGGATGGGAAGAAAAGAAGACAGATTCCCTGTGTGCTCAAGTAAGCCACAGTGGAGAATTAAACCAACAAGCAAATAAAACCTTGACCAAAACTTTAGGAGAAAGGGGGAGTGTTAGATAGGCTTGAATCTAGAATAATATCTCCTGAGAAAGTGATAAACATAATTAAACAAAAAAGTATTTCCATGGAAGGCAATTGTGGTATAGTAAAAGGTAGTATTGACCCCAAACTCCAGATGTGAGTTATAATTCAATAAACTTAGGCAAGTTTTATTATTTACTCCAAGTCATAGTTTACTCATGTTTCATGCTAATATTAAGGCCCCAAGACTTTAAGAAAATTTGTCATGTAAAATATTCATTAGTTCTAAAATCTTGCTGTGAAACAGGCTTTAAAAAAGTATGTAGAGTTCTTTAAAAGTGTAGTCTACTGGACTCTACCTCAGAAATACTGGTTTAGAATCTCTGAGCACTGGTACCTCTAAACTATCTCTGGAAAACTGTCTTCAGCTAATACTGATCCAGTTGTTGAATGTATATGCCTTTGAAATTTATTGAGCTCTGAAATGTCTTGTTCACTAAATGGCCTAGAGATAATTCTCCATGAAAAGATGATCCTGAATGGGTGGTATGAATGAATGGGTCTTCATGCCTTCCTGTTTCTGGCAAATTTCCACTATGTGAAGGATTCTATGTGTGACACTATGTGAGATACAAACCCAATATATAGCAAGAGACAGCTTTCAAGAAGGTACTATTTTTTAGTAAGGCAATATAAATTCACAAATACCTATAAAACATGATGAAATACAGAAAATTGCATAATAGACACACATGACTGATTTCTAAGTTATGGGGATAGATACCAGGGAATGAAAAAGAAATGTCAATTTCCATGAATTTTTAAAATATGTGCAGCATGTAAATTGAGAGGATTCTGTCAATTGAAGAATGATGAGGTTCATAAATTTGGAAAGGAGAGACTTATTTCTTATAAAGGGTTGCAGCCTTCCTGGTGGATATTCTTTTTCTGTTTTCCTTTTGACACAGGGTCTCACTTTATTGTGCAGGCTGGACTGCAGTTGTACCATCATGGCTCACTGCAGCCTCAATCTCCCAGGCCCAGGAAATTCTCCCACTTCAGCCTCCTGAGTAGCTGGGACAGCAGGAATGCACCACCATGCCTGGTTAAATTTTTAAATTTGTGTAGAGATGGAGTCTCACTATGTTGCCCAGGCTGGTCTTGAACTCCTGGGCTCAAGCGATCCTCCTTTATCAGCCTCTCAAAAGGCTGGGCTGGAATTACAAGAAGATACATTCCTTCTTGTATTAGTAAGGAAGGCGTATTAAGAGCAAAATTTCCAGAGAATAATTTCATTTTAGGTAATAGGAAAAAAATAATGATGAATGTAGAGATATTTTTATTTGTAGGTAAGATCTTGAAGAGCTGAGAGAATTTTTTATAGAGAAGCTGTAGTATATAGACTGTGAAGTAGAAGAAATTTTACATAGGGCAATATCACAAAGTTGATTATTTTTTCATAATTTAGTTATGTTTTCTTAAATAAATTACAATATGGGTATATCTCATACTTTAACAGTCTTTCCTATATACAAAGTATAAGATTTGTAGTTTTCTTGGTAAATATATAAGTGATTGAATAAAGTGATTGTATAGACTGTTAAGAGAGGATTCATTCCTACCTTAGTAATAATTTCTACATAAGATACAGAAATAAACACTTTTTATTTATTTTATTGATTCATATTCTGAAAAAGTTTCCTGTAGAAAGAAACTTTTTAATCATGGAGAATTATCTCTAGGCCATTTAGTGAACAAGACATTTCAGAGCTCAATAAATTTCAAAGGCATATATCTTATAAATGCAAATTTATAAGATATTTTGCATTTTCTAAATTCCTTGTAGATACTTAAAAAGATAACTTTTTCAAAATCAACCTATTCGTTTATAAATTGATAAAAACCTAGTCTTATGTGGGTGATTTTTGCCAGGATATTCATAGCCCAAATAATATTTTAGTGAAAAAAATTCATATTTATTAATGCTGAATTCAATCAAGATAAAAATTAGATGTAAACATCCTAAGTGTTATGGATTATGAAAATTTGCTGTAATAAATGTTCAGTGGATGAACATCTAGTATCTTTTACCCAAGTATGATTATATTTTGGCCTCAGAATAAATAATACAGTCTTTTCTAGCCTCTCAACAGTTGCCAAAGTATAGGAAAGGATAAGATTATGGCATGAAATAATTCACATGAAGCAGTTCATTAGGAAATACATACTGAGCTTCTATAATATATGTACTTCCAATAATTGAGAACAATACTTAGAGCATGATAGCATTGTGTGGGCTTTTAGCCTTCATTTAACTTTTCTACTTCATTTAACTGGTATTGCTAGAAAATAATTTTACAATCTTTGGCTAATTAATAGTCTCAAAAATATAATGATGGATTCCACTGGATATTCTAAATAATTTTCTGCTTGTTCTCTGCCTATATCAAGTCTACAGCAACAAAAACAGCCATGCAACTCCCCCTGCATATTAAATTCACGTTAATTTTAGGAATTGAATAGATCTAGTAAATGATTAATATGTGCTAACCAACTTACCATTTTAGGGCAATATTTGAACATGGCTAAACAAATAGATCTTTGCAGAAGATAATGAGATACCTGTCTGTTCTTTGCTTTCTTCATTGATTTGGATCACTGTACAATCATTAATCTGAAGTCTATCTTAAAGAGGAGAGAGGGCTGCTGGCAGGAAGCCACTTTGGCAGGCTCTTCTATGTTGTGGTCTGTTTGATTCATCCACAGAGACATGGATTAAGATAGAATTATAGGAAATCCTATTGAGTAAAGGCTTACTGGATTAGAAAAGGGAAAATTAATTTAAGCCTCTCTACTCCTTCAACATAACCTTTTAAAATACTAGGTTACAGCATGTTCATTTCACTTGTGATTCTGATGTAAGATACTAATGGAAATGACATTTGAAAAGGGACTGATGTGTGTATAAACTGTCACTGGCAGGTCCTAAAAGTACCTTTTCATGAGCGCATTCAGTATGATGACATTTTCCAGGTTATGAGCATAGATTAGAAGTTATGAAATTCAAAGCCTATAAAGGCATGTTCAATCTCTATCTCTTAGAGGGTAAAGAGTTCTGAAATCTTGATTTGTGGAATAAAATATTAACCCAGGACATTGTTAAGGATATCATAATTTTTTGTTTATTGTTTTGATCTGAGGATGGAGGCTTAAAAACGTTTTTGTTTTTTCTTAGCCTGTATGAAATCCACTGCGATGCAACCCTGGGATAGTGAATTGGATTCCTTTAGCTCGTGTACCCAACATCTTGGTCAGTCATAGATGAGGGTCCATCTGACCTAATAGTAATACTAATACAATGCATATGCGAGAGTGCAGAATCTTCAAAGCTCTTCCATCTATATCAACTATTTTCTCCTCTCACACAATTCTATAACTGGTCTCATTTTGTAGTTAAGTCGACAGGGGATGAGAGATTTAAGTGACTTCTACAACATTACAGAGTCAGAGATGGAGCTGGGAGATGCATTAAGGCCTTTGAAATCTACTCTTACACATATGTTTCCTAGTAGTGTCAGCTGTTGACCATCAAATGTATGTGTAGCTTATATTGTTCTCAGAAATTTTTTAAAAAAGAAGGAAAAGAGAAAAGAAAAAGGAGGAAAAAAAGAGAAGAATAGAAAAGAAAGAAACAACTTTTGGAGTTTTGGCAGAAATATTTCTAGTGCCCTAAAATGAAGACAAGGCCTCAGATTCCAAGGGCACAGATGTGTGGCATGCAGTGAAGTGGCCACTAGCCAGACAGCCAAATCCCCATCCAGGGAATGCTTGGCGCTGGTGCCAGAGGAATAGAGTGGGGGAGGGGCAATAAATGACCAGTGTGCCCAATAAGATGAAAAGGCCAAAATGTTGCTTGCTCAGCTTAGCTTACTATTTTAACCAAAAGTTTGGAAGCCATAGCTAATGAAGGTATCCAAAAAACATTTGAATAGTTGCTGTATGCCATAGACTGGAAAATGATAATGCAAAGACAAACAGAAGGAATGATACTATGGGTCTATGTGTCCTTCATGCTGCAATGAGAATAACTCAGCTCACTGGAAACTTCCAGGGAAGATGCCAACTTTTCAGGAGTGATTGTTTTGAGATTCTTTTCCCAAGTGTTTCTATATTTTAACAGGTTTAACAATTTTAGTCATGAATGAGAAATCAAGCAACAGAAATCTAGTGTAGAAAAATCACAATTAATATTTTTAAAGACTTAATATGTCCTCTATTGGCTTAGTAGTAGCTTGTGTTTAATTAACTCAAAATGACTTTAGACTTGGCCATGAAAAAACTTGTATCTTTTCCACTTACTGCTCACTGCTAATTCATTTCTCTTTCTCTTTTCTTTATTGATGTATATGTTTGGGGAGGTTAAGGGCAGGAGAGGAATAAAAGGGCCTGCAATGTAAACGTGAAAGGTACATTTTATGTGCTTTATTCATGATAAAAAGAACAAACGAAAAGAACAAGTTTTCATTTGTAATGAATAAAGCACATAAATTTATCATGAATAAAGCACATTTCATTTATCATGAATAAAACACATAAAATGTAAAAAATCCATTTTTTGTAATGAAGCATTGTTAAATGCCATGAATAGTTGAGAATGTTCAAGTCATTAATGACAAAACATATCTTTAGTTGGTGTATTAGGCTGTTCTTGCATTGCTATAAATACGTAACTGAGACTGAGTAATTTATAAAGAAAAGAGATTGAATAGGTTCATAGTTCTGCAGGCTGTATAGGAAGCACAATGACCTCTGTTTCTGGGGAAGCCTCAGGAAGCTTCCAATCACAATGGAAGGCAAATAGGGAGCAAGCACATTACATGGTGAGAACAGGAGCAAGAGAGAAAGAGAGTGGGGGTGGGGGCGGGGGAGAGGTGCCACATACTTCTAAACAACCACATCTCACAAGAACTCACTCACTATCACAAGGACACCACCAAGGGGATGGTGATAAAACATTTATGAGAAATCCATCCCCATGATCCAAACACCTCCAACCAGGCTCCACCTCCAACAATGGGGACTAAAATTAGATATGAGATTTGGGCAGATCCAAGTCATATCAGTTGGCAAAAGTCTTTGGAATATATCTGTGCATATGTACCTATAATCTATATATCTACATATCTATGTATCTATCTATATGTGCAGATTGCTATATCTACCTATTTTTCTGTCTAATGGGTGGTTACAATGGATATTATCCATTATTTTCACTCTCAGGCAAAAACTAGATTTTATGCATATATTTTATACAGAAGTACTAGAATATCGTCTGCTAGATTTGCTGAATTTGTAAGTACTGTTTTCCGTGAAGATAGTTGTCTGCCTAACAGGAGGTGGAAAGAAGTGGATGCTTTCTACTTCCTAACCCACCCCTGGTAGAAGGATGATGTCAGAGAATGCTTTGGGGACCACAGTGAGAGGATGCTTTGGAGAACTGAGTGTGGGTCCCTGGGGTCCAGGAGATAGAAACCAGTGTCAATCTATTCAGGTGTCTGAATAGAACTTACAATTCTGGCAGGATATAGGCTCGGGAGTACATAGAAGAAAAGGCAGATCCTTCACTATGAACCCAACTAAAGGTGGCCACCAGGTAGGACTAAGCAAGTCCAAGTCGGGGGCTGCATGTTGATATGCACATGGAGCAGAGGCTGAGTGGCAGGATGTTTGCTGTGGAGGGAATGCCTCAGAAAACTGCAGAACGGTGATGCTCAGAGGAGAGGTTGCCAAGGAGCCTGGGAGGCACCAACAGGAGATAGTCAGCTGGAGGAACTGACCCCCAAGAGCAGTGACATTTGACTGCTCCAGTGTCAATGTACAAGTGAGGTAGGATGTGCCCCTTTCCCACACAGCCCACCTCTCCTGCAGCTCTTTGAGTGGGTAAGAAATAGAAAAGTAATGAGGAAAAAAAAAGTAACAAACTTGCAAACACACACACACACACACACACACACACACACACACAAACAGCCCAGGCAGGCTGACCCAAGTAGTGGCTAAGGCTGGAACTTGTAAGTGCATTTCTGCCTGTGTGTGTGTGTGTTTATGTGTGTATGTGTGTGGGTATCTAGAATGCGTGTGTGTGTGCATGTAGAATCTTTGAAATGGATGTAAGATTAAAGTTTAGATTTGAAGTTTGACCTTGACTAACTTCAATGCCATTTGAGAAACCTCAGCAAACATTACCAGCTATAAAATTTATCTTGTGACGCATACATATCACTTGCTTATGAATAAGTCATCTAGATACTTATCCTTATTTGTGCTCTGAATATATATCATAAGAGATATGTGCATAAAACAAATTTTCATGCAATAAAATTGTGCGGCTTTTTTTTGTAACTTGTTGATATTTATGATTAATGCTTGCCCATAAATGTCTACATTTAAAATGTAGTGAGAATTTTCAAATTGCATTCCTTTTTTTAAATTGCTAAAAACCCATTTGATGAAATTTGCTTAGTAATTATCAAAGAATTTTTATTCAAATATAATAATACTGACTTTTAAACAAGTTTTGCTGCTTGGCATTTGTACTTTCATAGTATATATAAGTTTTAAACAAATCTCTCATCTATGCCATTTCTAGTTGGAAATATTTCCCACTATATTAAATATGATTTTTATGTTTCTTAAATGTAATGTTTAGTGGTTTTATCCTTCGACCATAATGGCTATTAGATTTTTTAAAGGTAGAATAATAATTTTTAAATCATTTTTCACTAAACTAAACTAATGAGCAATTAGGATGTGAATTTTAGAGCTAGCTGGGTAATGGACATGACTAATCAGGGAAGACAGAAGAAAATGAAAGGCTACAAAATACATACACAATCTCTTCACCATTATGCAACTATTCATTCATAGGTATCCCACCAATGAATCATGAGGCAAGAGTTATTCCAGAAAGGAGGAAAAAAAATATATGTCAAGACCATTGCCTACAGTCAAAGCTTGTATTTTCCTCATTAACCAAAGTTTGTTTGAATTCAGAGCTCACTCACTTATTAATCATTATTTCCTGGGGAGAAATATGGAATGAATTTGATTTTCATCTACATTTGATTGTTTCCTAGTAAAACCACATTTTGCTAAATTCAAAATGTATCATGTGAAACTTCTTGGCTTTCTTTGCTCCTTTTTATCTACCTCAATGATGTCATTAACATATTTTACAACTTAATTTTTTTATGGAGGGAAACATATGCCAAAGGAGCATGTATGCAAGTCCATATTACATCCATATTACACCCCCTTGCACCTTATTTTCAGTCTGAGTAGTTCTGATTCCTTTGTCTACTGACAGAGTGTGGACAGTACCTCTAAGATTTCATTTTAGGCAATGTGTCTGCTCTCTGAGAAACAGGACAGTTTGAAGCACTACACTAGAAGCAGGCAGAAGTGCTATTAGACAGGCACTGGCTGCTGATTGCCAAGAATCACCAGGGGCAGGGGATGAGACATGTGGAATTGACAGGTGGTGAGAGATTATTGTTGTTCTGCAAAGCAAGACGTCAAAAGATATTCCTAGCTGTTTGCCAGATGACAGACCCGTTGGGGATATTTTCTGTGAAATGATTATTCTCAGTCACATTCAGAACTTTAAGCAATGATGTCAGCATTATCCTAGAGACTAAGAAAAAAAAAAGAAAAAAAGAAAGAAAAGAAAAGGGCATGCAGAAGCAGACACCCAGTCTGTCTTCTAGAGAGCCATAAAATGTTTTCTTATTTCCTGGCTCCATATAGTTATTTTTAATGATTTGCATTCAATGATCAGACACAACCCATATACATTGTGTCTGAATTGAAAATCCTGAGGTACAATGCTAAAAGATGGACTTTGGAGTTCTACTTTGCTGGTTTCTCCAAACAAGCAAACAAATCAACAATAACAACAACAACAAAAACAAACAAACAACAACAACAACAAAAAACACCTTCTCAAAAACTACCTGCTTTAAAATGACTATGCCATGGAATAAACTCTACCCAACTTTTCTACGCTATTTTCTTTTCTTTTTTCTTTTCTATCTTTCTTTCTTTTTTAATATTTAGGGTACTGCTGTCATCATTGCTTAAGAACTTGAGTGTAAATGCACAAAAAGTGACTTTCAAACAGATCGATGTTAGCAGCTCAACATAGGAATCAGCTGCACTAATTAGAGTGGCTCTTTCTTATGTAGCTGACTCCACGATAATCAACTGTGAAGGCAATTAGGAATAGATTCCAAGTGTCTGCACAAAGATTTGTGGTGTGACTAACAGGTAGCTGAATGTGTCCTATAAGTAAACAGATAGAAATTAAAGACTAACATAACCTAAGATACTATATGAAAAGGCCAAGGAATTATACAGAAAGTTAAGAAGACATTAGTATGTGTGGGTGGAAGCTTAATGGAAATGAAAATCACATCTTGGATTAAAGAGTGATTTCTAAGTGCACCGTAAGAACCTTCATTTAACAATTTTCATAACTGCTATCAAGATGTAATAATGTTCAAACTTCTCAATGTGTATCATTCTTAGACCTTGGTGTGCTTAGCAAATACCTGCTTTTCACAGGAAAGCATACCTGCTTTTTCACAGGAAAGCAGAATGGGCTGCTCAGATACTTACCTCTACTCTAACTTACTACTAGGGTGCTGTACCCGCAGGTGCCTCATAGTAATAGTTCCTTTCTCTATGATTACTACAGATAACCACCACTTATTGAATTAACTTGAGTATTCAATAACATCATAATTTTAGTAGCATTAGATATGTATAATACCCTGGTCAACAAACCTAAGATACAAAGACTTCATTTAAGTGTTATAGTTGTTTTTTCCCTTTTTCCCCCACTCTTAAGTCCTAGACTAAAGATTTGTGTTCCATTTGTTGATACAGAAGCTATATCTGGCTTGAAATAATGGCACAATTTCTTTACGTAAAGCCCAAGTACGTCACTACTTACACACTGCTTCTTTCTAACATCTAGGAGAAGCCAAATCATAATGTTTACATAAACCTGTTGATTTACTTCAAAAGACCCACAAAAAGAAATGTGACAAAATTTGAACAGCAATACTACTATTTAGGTATTTTTTCCATGAAAATTGAACTAAGTTATTTTTCCCAAAAATATTCCCCAAAGAAAGCAGAGCGTTTTTTTATTATGGAAACTTGAGAATTTTCCATAAAAGATTTTAAAGTCCATGTAGAGTTTAAAAGGTATATTACAGTATATTACTTATCAAAAATTGCCATTAAACCTGTTTTAAAATTCCAGTGCTGCACCCAAAAGCCCTGTGTAACACCCTTAATTGCCTTACAACTCCTCTGTAATTCTGGATGGGAAATAAAGGCAATGGTGTAACAGGAAAGTGAAAAATTCATTCCTTCATGTTATAATCCATAAGTATAAGTTCACAATTAAATCAACACAATTTGTTGTTTGATTTCATTGGGGAAAATTGGGCTCAAACTGCTTTTATCATATGCTGTACATTCAATTTGGCAGTTTGCTATTCAGCAAAATGTCTCCATCTGGGAAAATTATGTGCTAAATGACACACTTGTAATTTCTGCATTAATATGATCCCAGGATTTAAATTCAAATACAGTGTAAGACCTAGTTTTCATGGAAAATACATCTTATTTGGATTTAATAGAAAATAAATAGAATCTACAACACGATCTTCAATAATCTTCTGTTCTAAAATATTAATAAATCACTGTTAATCAATATTTTTTAATATTTCCTGAAGTGTAACCAAGTAATAGTATACTTTTGTGCTCACAAATGATTATTATCTACAACACATTCAATAATCTTCTATTCTAAAATATTAATAAATCACTGTTAATCAATTTTTTAAAATATTTCCTGAAATGTAACCAAGTACTAGTATAATTTTGTGCTCGCAAATTATTTAGGCTCATGAGAAATGTGTAGATATTTGAGCTGCAATCCATTGTTATCATTGTTTTCTCTTTACTAAATTTAAGTGTATGAGTGTGTGTATTTGCATTTTGAGTTGGTGACAAAAAAAGAAAATAAAAACATATAGTTTCTTTCATGGTTACAAATAACGGATTTAATTCATCTTAAGTGGATATACTGTACACTCACGGCTTAATCTTCCAACAGATCATCGATTTAATGTTTTCAAGGGCAAGTAATAAATAATACTCAGAATAAGTTTTGGAATTTCAACAAAACAAATAAAATAAAAAAACCAAAGTAGGAAAATTTTATCCTTTTTTCTTGCTTTTTCCTTTGTTTATCTGCTTATAATAGGTCTTTAAAACATCCTGTTTTATTTTCTTCTTTTCTACTGTTGCCTGCTGTCTGGTCTCTCTCTACAAAGTAGACTGTGGAATGGAATGCTGTTTCCCTATTCCCTACTTCCTAGTTGCCCTAAAGGAAAACCACCTAGTCTCTTTTTATTGTAAGGTTTTACTGCTCAATATCATGGGGAAACACATAAAAAATAAAAATATTTTAAATAAGGTTAAACATGCTCGTAGTATATGTCTGAGAGCTAAGTCAGATTGACAAGATTATTGTTTCGGTTTCACCACTTATTATTAGCTTAGTCAAGATATTTAACTGCTTCTTTTTCTCTTCACTATGACCTTAGTCAAGATATTTAACTGCTTCTTTTTCTCTTCACTATGAAGAGGATAATGGATCCCTACTTCACTTGGCATTATAATGATTGAATGAAATACCTGTAGAATGCTTAATACTGTGCCTGACATATAGTAGTGATTCAATGCTCATTAGCTCATTAGTTATCTATGTCCTTGAAATATCTACACTTCCCCTCTTTTTTTTTTCCTAATTTCTATTGTCGATCCTTCATTTGTATTTCAGGAAAATGAATAAATAAATGAATTCCTTCTTATCCTTATTTACCACCCTTCATTATTTTCTTAGGTGAAGGCAAAGACAAGAACAACCATGAGTGTTCCCTTGCCTAATGGGAGCATGATAATCTTTAAGAAATCCTCAGATTTCATGACATGTATTCCCCTAAAATTCAGATCCTGCAAAGAATTATTTCTGTAATGAATTATTGCAAGTAAAATAATTAGATCAGTGGCCATAGTAGTGCCCATTTAATGTCATCTATTACTATTTGCTATCATTACTATGTATTTTTGCTATTATTACTGACATTATTATTCTTTAGAGGATGATATGCTTTGGTTGTGTTCCCTCCCAAATCTCATCTTGACTTGTAACACCCACAATTCCCACATGTCCTGGAAGGAACCCGGTGGGAGGTGATTGACTTTTGGGGGTGGGTCTTTCCCGCACTGTTCTCCTGATAGTAAATGAGTCTCACAAAATCTGATGGTTTTTAAAAATGGGAGTTTCCTTGCACAAGCTCTCTTTTTTGCTTGCTGCCATCCACGTAAGATGTGACTTGATCCTCCTTGCCTTCCACCATGATTGTGAGGCTTCCCCAGCCATGTGGAACTGTAAGTCCAATTAAACCTTTTTCTTTTGTAAGTTGCCTAGTCTCGGGTATGTCTTTATCAGCAGCATGAAAATTGACGAATACAGGGGACATTACTTTACAACTGTTGAAATTGCAGTGAGCAGTTTAATTTTAAATTTTGCTTAGTACATATTGGATTCTCTTGAAGTAATTCATAGCTCTTGAGTATATATAGCTCCAGACACTCTGCTTCTTCTGTACGTGTAAGGGTCCCTTATCATCTCTGTTAACTTATGTTTTCACCCCCGAGGGTGCATGATGATAGGTTGCTAAAAATAATAGCAATACCAATAACTTCTCAATGTACAGACACTGTCCCCCTTATGCTGAGAAGAGATAATGGTAGGGGAAACTTTTCAGCAGCATACTCAATATATAATTAAGCCTAGATTGGGAAAAATAATTTTTACCCTTGATGAATTGTGTAATATGCTGAGCTATATGATACATCAGGGATATGAGGTGGTGGGCTGTATAACTAAATCCATAATTATACTATAATGGTGCCTCAAAACAGGGTTTTACTGTATTATTGTTATTCTATTTTTTAACATAATAAAATGAGATGAAAACTGTGTGTCAAAGAATTACTCAGTTAGCAAGCGAGCTTTTTCTAATCAATTGTCCATTGTTTAATAATTGTCCATTGTGTTTGTTTCTTCTTTCATTGTTAAAAAGAAAACAGTCACAGAGGCTAGCCATTTATGTCTACTAAAAGCAGACATGCTCATACAGAAGATGACTTTTTGAGTATTCAGGGTAAAGATTTCATTAAAAGGTAGTGTGATCGAAATGTACTGTATTGCAGTGAAATTCCAGGATAGTAGAAAACACTCGTTGTCTGGAAAGATCTGTTTAACTTATTTTTGTGAGCCTTGCATTGGACAGAATTCAAGCAAGGAATTTTATTAGGAGGTAGCATAGGGTGGAGGAAAGCAAAAGAGGAGGAGTGACAAAAAAGGAGAAGCCAAGAAAAAGATTTTGTTGGGCAGTATGGAGTTCATGAGTTCTTCCCTGGGGGTTGTTATCAGTCTTGCTAAAGCTTTCTGGATGAGCCAAATAAATTATCATTGCCTTATATATAGCAATAGAATGAGTAATGGCAATTAGGCTTTCCTGACATTCATGCATTCATCTAACAAGTACTCACTGAGTATCCTTTTTTGTTTTTTGGAGATGAAGTCTCGCTCTGTCACCAGGCTGGAGCACAGTGGCATGACTCAGCTCACTGCAACCTCAGACTCCCAGGTTCAAGCGATTCTCCTGCCTCAGCCCCCTAAGTAGCTGAGACTACAGGCGCATGCCACCACGCCCAGCTAATTTTTGTATTTTTAGTAGAGACGGGGTTTCACCATGTTGACCAGGATGGTCTCGATCTCTTGACCTTGTGATCCACCCACCTCAGCCTCCCAAAGTGCAAGGATTACAGGTGTGAGCCACTGCACCCACCCTCATTGAGTGTCTCTTACGTGTTAGGCATTGTTCTAGGTTCTGGAGGTATAGTAGTAAACGAAATTCACAAACATACTTGTCTTCCTGTAGTTTTCTTCTTGTCATGGGCTAGGGGAGATGTATATTAAAATCCACTAGATGGTTGTAAGTGCTATAGAAAAAAATAAAGCAGGAAAAGAAGATAAGGAATGCTAGAAAATGGGAAAACTTAAGTAGTAAGTCAAATAAGTCTTCTCTAAGCAGGTGACATTTGAGTCCAGTCCTGAAAGAAATGAGGAAATGAGCCATGGAAATAATTATGGGAAGAATGGTTCCAGGCAAAAGAAAACAGCAATTCAAAAGCCTGGGTTAGAAGCAAACCTGGCATGGTTAAGAAATGGCTCACAAGCCAGTGTGTTTCTAGAAGAATGAGCAAAGGGAGGAGTAGTAAGAGGTAGGCTGAGCAGAAGAAAAAGGAAATCCAAGTTAACAGAATACAATTTTCTCTTTGTATCTCAATCAAAATCTAATTATATTGAGAGCAGTTGAGTTACAGAGTATCCTGCCTCTTTTCATTTCTCTCATCTTAACTTTGCTTGATGGATGTTTGATAATGTTACTTAGTCATCTAGCTCAAGAGTAAATCATCTATGGCATTGAAGGCCATTGTAAGGCAGCCAATGGAGGCTTAGAAGAGAGGAAAGCCATGATCTGAATAAGGTTTTTTGAGGATCACACTGGGTGGCTATGCCAAAAGTAGATGGCACAGGATGGAAGTAAAGGCCAGCCAAGAAGCTATGGAAATAATCTAAGTGAGAGGTGATGGAGACTTGGATCACAATGGTAACAACAGTGCAGGTGGTGAGAAGGAACTGGTTCCATAAATATCTATTTTGAAGGTAGAACCTGAGAAACAGAGGATAGAGATGTTGATGATTGAAATGGGAAAGTCTGCAGCAGGATAATATTATGGTTGGGAAAAAATGGAAATCAGTTTTGGACATGTGAAATTTGAAATACCTATTATTAGTCTACCAGCATTTATGAAAGTGAATATGCTGTTGATTGATGTGTAATTGCCACAACATTGCAGCTGATTTGTACCACTCTGTTACTCATTCAACAGATATTTGTTAAAAGTTTATTACGTGAGTGACACCATGGTTGGCACTGGGTATGTCTCAAGAGCAATACAGATACTTTTACGCCTTCTCTAGTTCCATTCATCAAAATCAATATCAAAGACATAATTAGAGGAGCAATGAAAATATATTCACAGTGTCATTCATTGTAGCTTGATGTTTAGTAGGTTTGAATGACATATATTATTCAACTTGATTAACATATATTGCAGTAGCTGAATAACATGTAGAAAGGGGTCACCATCCACTCCTAGACCTGTTTCTGATATCTTGCATTTACATATATCTTGCTCAGCTTGCAGGCTCTTCTGCATCTAGAATGGGAATTTCTTTGCCTCCTATAACCTTTGACCACAATGATTCTCTAACACAAGCAAGTCGTGTACAGCTTTTTCAAAATAAATTCCTACTGAAGACATAAGAAAAAAGAAAACAAAACTGAATTAATGCAGTACAATGTTCTTATTACAGTTTAACCAAAATCTAATTATATTGAGAGCTGATGAGTTATAAGCATGTTTGTCTTCCTATCTCTCATCCTAAGTGTACCTGATGGATGTTTGATAATGTCATTCCAGTAGGTTGCTTAAGAGTGATTTAAAATTTATTTATTTGGGCCAGGCACGGTGGCTCATGCCTATAATCCCAGCACTTTGGGAGGTGAAGGCAGGCAGATCACCTGAGGTCAGGAGTTTGAGACCAGCTTGGCCAACAGTGAGAAACCCAGTCTCTACTAAAAATACAAAAATTAGCTGGGTGGTATGGTAGGCTCCCATAATCCCAGCTACTCAGGAGGCTGAGGCAGGAGAATCACTTGAATCCAGGAGGCAGAGGTTGCAGTGTGCTGAGACCATGCCACTGCACTCCAGCCTGGGTAACAGAGCGAAACTCTGTCCCCCCCAAAAAAAAAATTAAAAAAAATTTTTTTAAATAAAATTCACTTATTTGGACTTTAGAGAGATTTCTGTTTCTGCCACGTTCTGATTCTGTCTCCTCTCTAGATACAGACTAGCTCTTAGGAAAAGCATCTATTTATACTCATTTTAAAAAATTTGGAATATTCTTTTTCATTTGTCAAGAACACATTCAATAGCCACATTTAAATGGAATCATTAACTTTGGCGAAACTTGGCTTTAACACCTAATCTTCTATGCTGATTTATATGCTTATTTTAATTTTGGGGGCCATTCATGAAGGCTGAGGCCATCTTGTTCTGGAATAAAGCTGTATTGCTCAAGCCTTTGTCAACAGCTATGTCAGAAACTTGTGGTTTAGATGCTCTCCTTTTCCACCTTGATAGGATACCCTATCAATAACCTGTTTTCTAACTGAGGAACACTTGTGATACTCAGGTCATTTGCTGGTAGACGTGATTCAGCTTTTGCTGGTTCATGTTAGTACCACTACTTGCTTTTCCACTTTCTCTCCCCATTTTCCTCCAAGCAATAGTTTCACTTAGCTCAATATCTCTTTTAGAATCTAATATTTTAAACATGAAACATGCTTAACAGACTACATTAAAAGATAACTGCTATTTTAAGAAATAATAAATATTATTGTTCTTAAAAATAATAAGCATTTTTTTATTTTTAGAAATAAACCAATGATTATGGTTGTATTAATCTAAAATTATAAAATAGATGCACCATTTTATACAACTTACGAATTAATAGATTAAAAAAGTGTATTTCAGCAGGTATTGCTGTGTTTTGATAAGTTGTTTCTGATGGTAAAATAATTCAATGAAATGTAAAAAATTTGGTAATAATCATAAACAATGACCTACTTTATTGCCACTGACAAGAGTCACTTTACTGAAGTATATTTTAGATTACTATTTGAAGGAATTTCCCAGTGGCCATCTAGGGCTCTATAAATGCTAGGAACAACAAAAATCTTATTAATTTGTTAACAGCAATATATAATTCTTATACATTCCTTAAAGGGAAACTACTATACTACTACATAAACAAGTAGTCTAGTTAGAGTGATATTTTACAGAAATGTTATAAAAACATGTCAGCTCATGGTAAAACTGGAAAATTTTTGTGTGCTTTTACCCAAAGAGAAAGAATTAGGAAGTAATCCTACAAAAATGCATTTTGAAATCTTTCAATTTAAGATTAAAAGTAGCTATAGTAATATTAATATAATAATAATAGTTTTGATATTAAAATTATATTTCTTGTATATTAAGTACATAGCTCAACATGGGCAAACAAAAATAATCATTCACTTATATATTTATCCATCTAACAGACTTGTTTCCTCTTCTATCCAGGTCACTAGGATTACAAAGGATTGTGAATAAGTCACTCTACTGGCACTTAGATATTTATGATATACTGAAAACCAAATAATAATATTAGGGATATTGTAGAGATATCTATCACTTCTATGGGATTAAATAGAAAGATTATATAATATTAAGAGAGATGAGTCCAGGAAGTCTTTATCACAATAGTTGTTTTGACTGAGGGACAGTGGGAAACCTGGAAGGTTGAAGGGTACAAGAAAAGGCAGAGAGATTCAGTGAGTTCCATAGAGCAGAGAAACTCGTGAAAGAAACATTTTCAGAGACTTGGAAATGAGAGTGCACACATCAAGGAGCTATGAATGTTTCTTGGAATTAGAACTCCAATTGAGTTTAGGGTAATGGTGAGAGAGTAATAAGAGTGAAGCGAAAATCGAAAACAAATTTTAAGGACTATGTAAAATATTTTAAAGAATTTAGTCTCTTTTCTAAAGAAGTGTGTGTGTGTGTGTGCACGCGTGTGTGTATGTGTTATACATGATGTGTGAAGGGGAGGGTTACAAAGCAGATCAGTGTTAATAGTTATATTTCAGGGAAGACTCCTGGATGCAATGTAGAGAATGGCCTGGGTGAATTTAGGATAAACAGATGTGATCTAGTAATTATCTGTTTCAGAACTGATGTAGAGATAGTGAGAACAGAAAATGATATTTGCAGAAGGAAGAAGTAATGATATTTGCAGAAGGAAGAAGTAATGATATTTGCAGAAGGAAGAAGAAGAAATAAATAACCAAGTAGGAATGACCAGTCACAACTAAAAATGGATGAAATTAGATACATTTAAAATTATACTTTCTAATAGGGTTTATTTGGAAAAAGCAGTGAGAAGCAGTCCATGGGGAGCTTTGGGTCTCTGTTAAACTGCTCAGTTGGTAGGAAATGCCATAAGTGGAGAATGTACATATATGTATGTATATATATACATACATACAGAGAGAAAGAGAGAGAGAGAGATTTAAAATAGAAGGCATAAAAGACAAGTTTTACCCACTTCAAAATTCGGCTTTGTGATGGCTCCAACTATATTACTACATAGGAAAGATTTGATAAGGAAACTCTCCAACAATTTTCATAATTTCAAACTCATATAATCAATAATAATGGAAAATGTTCCAGTTAGCCATTGCTGAGTAACACTTCTCCCCTAAGAAATAAAACCTTAATGGATTAAAATAACAACAATCATTTATTTTGCTTATGAATCTACAATGTGGGCAGAGCTCAGTAAAGATAACACGTACCTGATCCCAACATTTGGAACCTCAGCTAGGATGACTCAAATCTTTAGGGCCTGAAACAGCTGAGGCTTGTTGGATGGCTATGTCTCTCTCTTGCTTCAGGTCATCTCAGGGTCTTCCTGTAGTTTCTTAGGATAGTCTAACTTCTTACATGGCATCTCAATGATCTGAGAACCAACATTCTAATAAATCTAGTGGAAGCTATGAGACTTCTTCTGAGCTAGCCTGAGAAGTCTAAGAATGTTATCCCTCGTGCCTTCTATTGGACAAATCATTAAGGCCAGCACAAATTCAAGGAGAGGGGAAATGGACTTCACCTCTCAATATAACATAGGAAAATATTTGTGGCCATCTTTAATTTACCATAGAGGGCCACATTTCACTATGGCAGGGTGCTCGAAGTTTCTATTTCTAATCATTTCCCCTTAAAGGGCATTGTTTACCATTGCCGACCCTGGAAAATAGTGTCTATTATAACACAACTACAAATTATTTATTTTAATCCCTGAACCGGTAACTGACCTGGCTGATTTTACTAAGGGAATGGGCAGATTTCTTTACAAATAATGACCAACTCCTTTCTTTTAAAAAGCTAAATATTTGGCCAGGTGTGGTGGCTCATGCCTGTAATCCTAGCACTTTGGGAGGCTGAAGTGGAGGAATAGCTTGAGGCCAGGAGGTCTAGATTGCAGTAATCTATGATCATGCCACTGCTCTCCAGCTTGTGTGGCAAGTGAGATGGTGCTGCTAAAAAGAAATAAGATAAAATAAAATTAATTAATTAAAAACAACAACAAAAACCCAGAAACAAACCAAAAAAAAAACCCCCATTAATAGTTGCTATCCATAAACTATCATTTATGTTGAAGAAATTTAAATATTCTGTTAGTCACTTTAACGTGATTGGTAGAAATAGCCATCCTAGGCAGAGAGAGAAACATGCAGAAAAGTTAAAGACCCATGAGAGGAAGGGCAAGAGTGGTGTTTATCTGGAATGTGCCTCTGACAAAAAGAGGAGCTAAAAGGACACAGGGTCTCTGTTTTGAACAAATGGTGGTTATAAGGCAAGGACCTCAGTGACTGATTATCTGGAGTCAGGGTTGTTCTTTAGCAGTGGAATGCAGTTTGTTAGGACTATGTTGTTTTAAAGAGCATAGCAGAAGCCAAAAGCACGTAAAGTTTTTGGGAGTCCTGGTCCAAGTAATTGGCGGGGAGTTTAGACAATTGTGCAACCTGGATGTCTTTGCCATGCATGTGTCAGGGTTGAACACTTCCTGCATTAAAGAAGAAAGAATTTTCCCAATCATAAGCAGTGTTCCATAGTGGAATGTTCTACAACAGGACTTTAAATAAAATAAATGTTAAGTGTCAATTGTTATTCTGTTTGGAAACTAGAATGAGAGACACTTTATTTTTGTTCTAGAGTTTTGATTACAGAATACAATAGAGGCATGTCAAGGAATAAATATTCTTAAATCATAATTTTAATTTACAGAAATAAAAGCGTATTTAGATTTTACCATGTTGGTTTTGAAACTTCTAAGTTTCTTCACACAAAGAAAATGCTTTCAAGATGCTCGTTGAAGAGAAAATCAATTGTTCTAAACTAATTGTTATATGATTTTTGAAGACCCTTGTAATTAGATTCAAATATCTTATTTAGGGAATATTAATGATATGCAGTGTTTCTTTTTTTAACATTTTCAAGAAAGTAAAATGTAATGGAGTCTGTTTCCATTATCACTGCTGGAGTAAAAATAATAATGTTTTTTTTCTGTAAGGCAACTTTATTAAACCTATTATCAAGAGTGTTCTATACAAAAGGTCTTTAGAAAATTATAAAAATTATGTTGGATATTAAAATACTTGTTGCAAATATTCTGCAATATGGTAGGTACAGATTTAGAGAATTGTTTCAGCTCCTTTGTTAAATTACTTCAGTAGATAGAAAGTTTAACTGCCTTGAAGTCATATCAAATCAGTTCACTAATTCAACATTTTATAAATCCTTGTTTATTCTTCACCTGATTCTTAAAGATTAAGCAAAGAACACACATCAGGCCTAGGCTTAATGTCAACATTAAAAAGTTGCAGGAAGAAATAAAAGGAAATATTTAGAAGTAAGAGAGGTAACAGTATAATGGAAGGGAAGGATGTCAAGAAAGAAAGCAAAATCCAAAATGGAAACATTACATAAAACTTACACTTCCTTACCTGTCACTTTGGTGCAGATATATTAACTACTCATTAAACTCCAGCGAACCTGTGAGAATGTCCTTTTGTGAATTTTAAAGTGTAAATATTCATGCGATGGCTCCAGCTTGAAAGAAAAGCAAAGACCAAACTCTTTACCAAGGCATCATAAATTAATGCAAACTTATCCTTTTGAGTTGCTATATGTTGATAATTTAAGGAGTAGCACATGGATTAAATAAAAAGTAAATTTAAGCCAATCTAAGTCTAAATTGGCATCACAGGAACAAATCCAGTTTTCTCTCATTCATAGAACGACTGGGTGTAACTTCATTTGAAGCACCTAAATATTAAAAAATATATTTTTATATAAATTTATAGCTATGCCATTATATTCAATCAGTTTCCTCATTATGATTAATTTCCTCATTGATTGAATACTTTTGCAATGAGAACAGAAAGGAAATATACAATTGGAAGTATTTTCAGTTCACCAATTTAAAAAAAGTTGAATGAATCTTGTTGAATGATAGAAATCAAGTGCTGACAACATCTAGGGCACAGAATTCCCAGCCCATGGAACATTTTAATCATCAAGGGGAAACACAGCCTGTGTCTTCTTACTTAGCTAGACTGCAAGGGACTTGAGGGTAGAAACTGAGTCTTATGTGGAAAGACGTGTATCCCCACATAACTATCTGACAGAGCAGATGCTGATTACTGTGTATTAAATTGAATGAAATCTTGATAGAAAATTTGGTTTTATGAAAACAACATCATGTCATTAAATTCATAACCCAGAAGAAGATTTGCTTCTGAAGGAAAATACGTGAAGTAGTATTTGTAAAATAGTAATCTTGCACTATCAGACACTAGCATTCAAGTACAGAAAATAAAATGATATGGACATTTGGAAGGGATTGCTCTAGTCTTCAAACAGCATGTTCAAGCTTCAGGATTGGTTTAAAAAGATATAGAGAACCTCAAAATTGATTGATTTTTCAAATGTTATTAGAATCAACCAAGTTTTATTAAAAAGAAGTGTTATATGATGGAGGTTTATTTTGCTAGATTCTATGGAATAGAAGAGAAGGGGTGGGGTTGTAAATATGTTCTCTTTCCATGAATCTTCCAAAACCTGGCTAAAGAAAAATTTGTCTACCCAACTTCCTTTTATTTCTGGCAAAAACTTGTTTTTCACTAATTATCCCCAGCTGTACCAGATTCTGTAGTTTTTATTTTTAACTTTTCTCTACATGGCCTTACATCTGTGTACCCTTTGTGTTGGAATACTGGGTCTTAAAGTGGGAAATTCTTTAGGAGAGGTAGGTACAATGTGATTGTCCAAAGAGAAAAAAAGCATTTTAAACATTACTTGAAAGCTATTGTATTGGTATCTGCCTGTAAGAAAAGTGGAGCGTACTTAATCAGATATCAGGAATTTTGATGGAATTTAATATTTAAAAACTCATATTTTCCTCCCTCTTCGTTTACTTTTAAAGGAAGTCAGTGTGTCACCCTATAATTTTAAATGTACCTACTGCCCTCATTATGCATATTTTGTCTGATGTATACAAGGCTGTTCAGAAGATTCTTCCCTTTTCCTGGTGAAAAATGGCCCATAAATTTTAATAAATAAGATCTGGGCTTATTATTTTAAACTGCTTATTTGATGGTGATAATAAAACTCAAAAACAGGTACACAGAAATTAGTTTTAAACTGGATAGAGACTCTTCTAGGAAAAATCAAACATTTTTATTACAGGTATTGAAACAAAGTAAACCATGGAGGGTTTTAACATATTATATACCTGCTCATTTTGTGTTTGCCCTGGTTGACATTATCCTTTTCTTGCTTTTGCAATGACTTCATCATTGATACTGAAGTAAAAATAGTGGAGATAAAACTAACAATAATCCCTTTGACTTTTAGCTGGTGCATTTCCTAGTAATTTCCAAAACTTGAAAGTCACAGTTTGGGTAAATGTTAAAACAATATGTATTTCCATAGGCTGTAATACAATTCTTTGTAAATGGCAAAAGCACATTTGCCTTTTAATCAGAAAACAACTTGCTGAATCCAGACAACATGGCCTTCTCCAAGATGCTTGACATGAACAACAATAATAAAATTCAGTGGTATTTGATATTTTGCAGATGTTCTTAGATTGAAAATGGTAGCTTTACACATATCTGCACATGATCATTATAAAGCTATATTGGTCAATGTAGAAGAATAGAATATATTTAATGGGTTTTTAGGTTGATTTATTAACTTTTAAGTATTTAGACATATGGTATGCAGACTTACATTTGATTTCCTGTCCCGAGCCCCACAGATGTTAGGGGCATGAATTTCTGAATAAACTATTACTGTAGTTACAGACAAATGTGGTTCATCTTGTTAAAGGGAACGTTTTGCAAGCGTCTAGATTTCTTACATCAGGGTAAAGAAATGGATGAAAGAGACATTTGATTGATGCCACTGTCACCCAGGTGTTTCAGATCTCACCAGGCCCCTTTTGTGTATTTAAAAGAAACAACCATTGCAGCCAATAAGGGAATTTTAAAAGCTAGTCATGTTTTATGAATTGTGTGTATCTTGGTTTGAATGCTCATCAAAGATAATAAATTTTGTTTACACTCATCATGAATGACTCCCCAAAGTTTGCAAATCCACCTATAAGTCTTATTCTTATCATAACACATCAATGAACTGTTCTCTACCTTTGATTTGAACGTAGATGTGAAGGATATGTTGATCATATTTGACAGTTCATAGAATAGAATTGGTTTCTGCAAAGGATAACTCTTGTTAATTCTATTCATATTTTTTCACTTATTTTTAGTTGACATGTAATAATTTTATTATGTTGGTGCAAACGTAATTGCGGCTTTTTCACTGTTGGAATTTGCCATTTGATATTGGAATACATTCTTAAATTAATGTGCTTATGTTATATAGTGTTTTAATGGGCATTTTTTGCTTCATGTTTTCTTGCTAATGACTTATTACTTGCTGTTTGTTTGATATTTATTTTAGACTGTGGAAATGATGTTAGACAAAAAGCAAATTCCAGTAGTTTTCTTATTCGAGTTCAAAGTGGGTCATAAAGCAGCAGAGACAACTTGCAAACTCAACAATGCATTTGGCCCAGAAACTGCTAACGAACATACAGTGCAGTGGTGGTTCAAGACATTTTGCAAAGGAGACAAGAGCCTTGATGAGGATCACAGTGGCTGGCCATTGGAAATTGACAATGACCAATTCAGAGCAATCATTGAAGCTGATCCTTTTACAACTACATGAGAAGTTGTCAAGGAACTCAATGTCAACCATTCTATGGTGGTTCAGTATTTGAAGCAAATAGGAAAGGCAAAAAAGCTTGATAAGTGGGTGCCTCATGAGCTGAGTGAAAATCCAAAAATTTGACTTTTTGTAGTGTCATCTTCTCTTATTCTACACAACAATAATAAACCATTTCTCGATCAGATTGTGATGTCCAATGAAAAGTGGATTTTATATGACAACCGGTGATGACCAGCTCAGTGGTTGGACTGAGAAGTTCCAAAGCCCTTCCCATGGCCAAATTTGCACCAAAAAAAAGGTCATGTTCACTTTTTGGTGGTCTGCTGCTGGTCTAATTTACCACAACTGTCTGAATCCTGGTGAAACCATTATACCTGAGAAGTATGCACAGCAAATCAGTGAGATACACCAAAAACTGCAAAGCCTGCAGTCGGCACTGGTCAACATAAAGGGCCTGGTTCTTCTCCACAACAATGCCTGACCACATGTTGCACAACCAATGCTTCAAAAGTTGAACGAATTGGGCTACAAAGCTTTGCCTTTTCTGCCATATTCACCTTACCTCCCTCCAACCAACTACCACTTCTTCAAGCATGTCGACAACTTTTTGCAGGGAAAATTCTCCCACAACCAGCAGGATGCAGAAAATGCTTTCCAAGAGTTTGTCGAATTCCGAAGCACATATTTTTATGCTACAGGAATAAGCAAACTAATTTTTTGTTGGCAAAAATGTGTTGATTATAATGACTCCTATTTTGATTAATAAAGATGTGTTTGAGCCTAGTTATAATGATTTAAAATTCACAGCCCAAAACCACAATTACTTTTGCACCAACCTAAATAATATTTCTGGCATCTAGTGATATTTCAATACACGGGTACAATGTGTAATGATCCAATTAAGGTAATCAAGATAAATAAAGATAATTAGCATACTCATAACAGTTTGGGGAACATTCGAAATTCTCTCTTCTAGCTTTTAAAAATATATAATAAACTACTTTTAACTATATTCTCCCTACAGTGCTATAGAGCACTAGAACTTATTCCTCATATCTAGCTGTAATTTTGTATGACTTAGCCAACTTCTCCCTACCCACCCATACTTCCAAGCCTCTAATAACCACAATTCTCTCCACTTCTATGTGTTCAACTTCTTTCAGTTCTTACATATGAGTGAGAACATTCAGTATAAATCTTTCTGTGCCTGAGTTACTTTACTCAACATAATGTCCTTTAGGCTTATCCCTGTTGCCACAAATGAAAGTATTTCATTCTTTTTATGGCTGAATAGTATTCCATTGTGTATATATATATACCACATTTTCTTTATTCATTCATCTGTTGATAGACATTTAGGTTGATTCTGTATCTTGGTCATTGTGAATAGCACTTCAATAAACATGGGAGTTCAGATATATCTTTGATAAGCTGATTTTCTTTTCTTTGGATAAATATTCAATAGTAAGATTGCTGGATAATATGGAAAATTTATACATAGTGTTTTGAGAAAACTCTACTATTTTCCATTATGGCTGTATGAATTTATATCCCATTAACAGTATATAAGAATTCCCTTTTCTCTGCACAAATTTTTTGGGGGGTCTTTTTGATAGTAGCCATTCTAACTGGGGTGAGATATTATCTCATTGTGGCTTTAATCTGCATTTCCCTGATGATTTGTGATGGATTTTTTATATACTTGTTGATCATTTGTATGTCTTTCTTTTGAGAAATGTCTACTCAGAAATGCCTGTGTTTTAATGGATTGTTTTTTGTTGTTGTTGTTATGGAGTTGTTTGAGTTCCTCATATATTCTGGGTATTAGTCCCTTGTCAGATGCATAGTTTGCAAATATTTTCTCCTAATCTACAGATAGTTTCCTCACGCTGTTGTTTCCTTTGTTATTTATGCAGGGAGTTTTAGTTTGATATATTCTTGTTTGTCTGTTTTAACTTTTGTTGCCTGTGCATTTGAGGTCTCATCAATGAAATCTTTTCCTAGAGCAATGTCCTGATGAATTTTCCCTAACTTGTTTTCTATTACTTTTATAGTTTTGCATCTTACATTTAAGTCTTTAATAATTTTAAGTTAAATTTTGTTTAAAGGGCCTCATTTAGCTGTTCTGAATATTGATATCCAAATATCCCAGCACCATTTATTGAAGATACTGTCTTTTCCTCAATGTATGTTCTTGATGTCTTTCTCAAAAATCAATTGTCTCTAAATCCGTGGATTTATTTCTGGATTATCTCTTCTGTTCCATTGATCTATGTGTCTGATTTTTATACCAATGCCATTTTATTTTGGTTACTATAACTTTGCAGTATATTTTGAAATCAGGTGGCATGATGTCTGCAGCTTTTTGTTTGTTTCTTTGTCTGTTTTGCTCAAAATTTCTTTCTTTGACTACTTGGGCCCTTTTGTAGTTCCACACAGATTTTACGATTTTTAAAAATATTTCTTTGAGGAATGTCATTTGTATTTTGACAGGGATTGCATTGAATGTGTAGATTCTTTTGGGTAGAGTGGACAATACTCACCTTACATTTCTTTGAAAGAAAAGAGTAACCTGAAAGAAAATGTATTGGTTATAATGAGGTGCTGTTTATGTCATCCTTCAGGATGGGGGCCCTTATTTTCTTATCTACTGGCAGTGTTGCCTGCATCCCTTGTCAGAAATTGATCTCAACCTAAGGGAACTATCCCATCTCTTTCTCTGTGTCCAGTGATTGGTGTACAATAATTGGTCATTGCAGCATTCAAAGGCCTGGCTCCCTGGCCTCAATTAGTGATATCTCTAAAGGGCTCTAGAATTCCTTATGGGAGTGGCTGACATTACTGTGGCAACTGCAATGCTGTTCATTTAATCTTTATACCTACCTCAGCTTTTCTTGCTCTTTTCTATATACTGTATCAGAGAAGACCCCATACATACAAATATCAAAAGTTTTTCCTCCCTGGGACCAGACTGAGAGAGGAGAATATCTTCTTAGCTTCCCCCCTTCCACTCCATTATCTTTGAGATTGAAAGGATAATGGGATGGAAAGGAAAACTCACAGAAGGAAAACTTATTATTCTGGTGTGGTTGGTATCAGCTCCTTACTACATTAATACATTAATGTTACTATGCTGTCCTAGTTTTACTCAGTATCATTGAGCAACCTGGCCTCTTGCTTAGGATTTCCGTAATGAATGGAAGGGCAATAATCCTCTTAAGTTAATATCAAAAGACAGGAATAGAGCTCCAAAGCTTTCCTCCAAACTTTCCTTCAATTGATATGACTGGAAGTCCCTTTCCACAGATGCGGATATGCCTCCCCTACTTCTAACTCCTGTCACTCCACACTTATCCACACACATATACATCAGCTTTTGATTTCCCAGATTGAATTACTTCTTTTTTGTTAGTTTCTTTTAACTCCAGGAATTTATACATTACTTTCACACACAAACACAAAGGTCATTATATTTTTTAGGAAAGGTGCAATTCAGGTATAAATCCATATGACGATTATTCAGATATAAGCCCATATCTTCTATTAGCAACTTTCAGTGAATAATGAGGTTTTTTGTTTTGCTTTGATTTGTTTTAACAGCTCAACAAAAAAAAGACTATTAGAATTTCAAAAATGCACACTAATTAATGTGAGCTCTCTATGTTCCCTGGTAATGGAGGCCAGCCTCCAACAAACTATTTTCAGGTTCATTCAACCTCTGGATTGAGGTTGAGGATTTGCAATTACTCTCAGCACACTGTTACTCTAGATAATGTGTTCATCCACACTACACAATAAGTATTTTCAACTTAATGATCCTCAGAGTCTACACCTGAAGTTCTCTCCCTCCACCGACTCCATGCAAATGACTTCAGTTCTTATCTTTGTTAGTAGAAAGCAGGAGAGCATTCTACTAACAGTGACTTTCTCATCAGCATCTATAGCATCAGAACATCCTGCCTGATCTCCAACTTGATACATCCAATTGCCTTCACACATTCACTTCCATGTCCCGAAGACTGGTTCAACTCAACCTAACCAATATTGTAATCATGATCTTCACCCTTAAACCTGATTCTCCTGTATCCCTCAATGATCCCTCCTGTTATGTGGCACCACCACCTATCCAGCTGTTCAGACCAGAATTCTGGCTGTCCATAAATTGTCCTCATTTGCATTCATCAATATATTCTGAGACACTTATCTGCCAATTCCTCTTGAGTCTATTTCTCTCCTTCTCTGATGTCAGCATCCTAGTGCAAGCTAGACTTATCCTCTCACTTCTACTGACATGACAACCTATTAATTAGCCACCTCACTAACCTCTACTCTCTACAATTCCTTCTCCGTACTTCAACTAGATAGACTAGTCTTTATGCTTGACCCATTCTTTAGATGTTTAGAAAGATAATTTAGATGGAAATATTATTTCAAATAAAACTTGTAATTCTTAATATGATCCAGTAAACTCTACATTTTTTAGCCTCTGCTGACATTCAGCTCCTCTGAAGTAAGCATTAATGTGGTCTCGATTTTTATGAATGAAGACCAAGAATTATAGAAGTGAAAACCCTGCCTATAGCTTGTTTTGGATGTTATGATATCTAGATCTTCTAAGTCCTATAATCTTCACTCAAATATGACACTATATTTATTCAACACTCAGAAATGAAATAACTGTATTCCTACCACTCAGCTAAAACATGGGTCCACAAATATGAATACTGGAAAGCCTTTCCCATCGGACTCACCAAATTCTAGGTGGATGGTTACAGGGGTATGTGTGTTCCAAGACAGTGTTTTTTTTCTTTTTTTAATTGCCTTTTATATAATTTTCAAAAACTAGGAACTCACTTGTAAATGTTTTAGGTTGACATTTAAAATGTTTTCATTGTAATAGTTGTAAATGGTGTATAATCTTTGGTACATTATAAACAGAAATATTTTGAAATAAAATCTATCAATTTTAACAACATATTTGATGAAATTGAAAATATATTGGCAATTTGATCCCTGCCATCATCCATATAGAAATATTCATGAACATGTTCATTCGTAGCATCTGGAAATCTTTGACTGTTCTTTTTTTTCTTTGAGCATATAGTTCTATTTCACTTCCACAAAAAATTTATTCTACTGCATAGAATTATTTTATTGAACACTTTATCATTTTCTGCAACAAATATAGACGTATGAGTAGGCCGGGCGCCATGGCTTATGCCTGTAATCCCAGCATTTTGGGAGACCAAGGCAGGTGGATCACCTGAGGTCAGGAGTTCGAGACCAGCCTGACCAACATGGAGAAACCCCGTCTCTACTAAAACTACAAAATTAGCCGGGCGTGGTGGCGCATGCCTGTAATCCCAGCTACTCGGGAGACTGATGCAGGAGAATCACTTGAACCCGTGAGGTAGAGGTTGCCGTGAGCTGAGGTCACGCCATTACACTCCAGCCTGGGCAGTAAGAGTGAAAAAAAAAAAAAGAAGTATAGGAATCATTAATTAATTAATTAATTATTATTGTAGGCGGAGTTTCGCTCTTGTTGCCCAGGCTGGAGCGCAATGTGGCGATCTCGGCTCATCACAACTTCCACCTCCCGGGTTCAAGCGATTCTGCTGCCTCAGCCTCCCGAGGAGCTGGGATTACAGGCATGCGCCACCACGCCTGGCTAATTTTGTAACATTCAATGAAATGTTTATCTTGTATATTTAAATTGAAATAGCAGCTTGATTATTATTTTATGTGCAAAGTCATGATATAAGTATCCTTCATAGGTATTGGTACAGGTGTGTACATAACTATAAATTATATGTGTGTATATGTATATACACAGACACACACACACGTATACACATGTATGAAACACTTCATTAAATCAAAACCATCCGAATTACTAATCAGTAAATGTTTAGTATCAATTAATAATAAATTCTATATGTACAATTATTCTTTCATAAAATAAATATTAACTCATTTTAGCATCACTATGCCATAAACTACATGAGTGAACTGTTTTCTTTTCATATATATTTGCATTACCAAGTTGATATATTTTAAAATATATTTAATGCAAGGTTAACTTTGAATGAAGCCATTTACTACAATCAGAAATTTCAGAGGAAAAAGCAGAAGGGCAATGTCACTATTCCCTTCTCCCTTAAGGTGTCCCTGGTTCTCACACAAATGCTTGAAAAGAGGTGGAACACGGAAAACACAGAAAGACCCTATTTGGCTTTAATACCTTCACTCATAAGCCACTGGAAACCAGTCACAAGGAGGGGTTTCTCTTTCCCTCAGTCTTCTCTCTCTAGGACTCCCAGGACTATCAGCTAGAAAACTGGAATTAGACTATATTGGACATTATGTTACACTGAATATTTTTCAGTGTCTGTCATTCTATTTATTCAACTGAATGTATAATATATTCCTAAGAAAGGTAGTTAATTAAATTATCAACCGACAAAAGGGAGATCTAATTCTTTCTTCTGTGTTCCTTCTCTTCCTCTTCCTACCTGTGCATGCTCTCTCTCTCTCTCTCTCTCTGTCTCTCTCTCTCACTTCTTTTTTCCTTCACATATATACTCATTCACTCTTAAAAACAAAATTGCCACCATTTCAGGTTTCTTTCCCTATTGTATTTTTCTTCCACAACACAATTGCAGGGTGTATCTTTCTATTATAGAATATTTATTATATAAAATATATTTTTATTCTTCAAAATTATTTTAATAAGTATTTTTATGCATTAAAAATATTATTAAAGATAATTTCTGGTGTTAGAGTGGGCATGGTAAAATGTGTAGAATTATACATTGCTGATGGGGATCATTCCAAAAGATTCTTAGATGGTCATAGAGGGTGAAGCCGCCCTGTGAGACTCAGATTCCCTGCTTCAGCAGGTCCTAGTCTGTGCCCACTTCAGCAGGTCCTAGTCTGTGCCCACTTTGGCTTTAGAGTTATAAATACCATGTGCCAATGTATGAAAATGTGTTGGTGTAAACACAACTTTATTTTTTAAAATTGATATGTCATAAAAGAATACCAAAGAGAATATTTTCATAAAAGCACAATAGGAAAAGAGAGGTATACTTACATATTTTGCAGCCTAAGGAAATGTAGTGAGATGGTTGACATTCCACAATTAAGGAATGTTAAGGGCTTAGTTTTAGGCTGAAGTAAAAATATATTTCTTATGCTTATACTACTTTTCTTTGAGTTCATTGCTAACACATTTTCCCCAACTGTTGATATCTCAGAACAGTATTTTTAGTAAAATAAAAAACAATTTTATTTTATAAAAATGAGTAAATTTCTAATAGCATAATGTAAACAAAAAAAGTACATGTAACTCCATTTGGATAATATAATCTAAAATATTTTGTGTATTTCTTACTTGTCTTTTTATAAATACATATATAATTTGGATATAAATTCCTTAAATATACTTTTAAACTAACAATTCATAGATGTGATTATTTATAATAATTTTTGGTTTTACTCTACACCTGTGTCATTAAATATTCTTCTATTGCATGACTTTTCATGGCTGCACACATTTTATTTCATGAATATTCCATGAGTTTCACCATTCCCTTACTACTAACAATTAAAATTATTGGAATGTTTTATTATTATAAATAAAATGTCAATAAACAGTATGGTAATAAATACTCATATTCACTCTAATGATATCTTTAATATAAATTAGTAAGAATTGAAATAATGCGTAAAATGATATGAATTTTAAGGCTTTTGAAACATGCTGTCAAAGTATCTTCTATTACAATTAAGATACTATTTTCTGTTCTTACAGCGGAACATCCATTCACACACACACATCCATTCACACACACACATCTTTTTAACATAGATAAATTGTTCCCAGTACCTGATTTGATACATAATTCTAACCCTGGACCAGAAGTGGACATCTGGCTCAGACATGCCCAGGCAGGCCAGCTGTTTCAGATGGTTGCCTTGGCTCCCACATTGACCCCTTCTTCAAATACTTCTCAAGGTCTAGTCATCCTCTGGTCATGAACTCCATGGAAGATTATTGCAAAATTGTACAACTGAAAAATAATTCCGGTTAATTAGCTTTCATTTTCATTCTTCCCACTGTGTGATGCTTTAAAAGGTTTGCTGCTTTAATTTAAAATCCCTTACAAAAGCAACGGGGCATTTGCCATTTTTTTTATATCCTCCAACATTCTGAACCTTTAAACTCTGTCCAACAGCTTTACATAGCACATGATTCTAATTAAAAGCCTCCGCGAATGCTTGATGGCATTACTTTCACCAATGATTATATCAAAATAAATTGGTTGCTTCATACACTTAAAAATATGTTAAAACTTTAAAACATTGGCTTTTTTGCCTCTCCATATCTTTTCACCAGCATGAGTTACCTTTAAAAGTAACTATGTGATTTATTCACATATACCTTATAAACACTTAATAATGACAATACTTTATTATCAAAGAAAGTAATGTTTCCAAGATCAATTTAGCCTCTGACAGTAAAGGGAAATCTACACTATTTCAGACCTTTATCATTTCTTACTAGAATAATTTCAAATGCCAAAATACCTCTACCTTCCTTGTTGTTGGATGTGTGTGTGTGTGTATGTGTGTCTGTGTGATTGTAGCTTTTAGCTATTTTAAATGCTCAAATGACTTGCTACTTTTGTCTAAAAATTTATTTTCTTAACATTCAGTGCAGCGTTTTGGAAAAAACAAAGCTTAGATAGGTAAATTTCCCATTCTCTGACTTGTCTGTTACATAATCCTGGGAAAATTATCTTGACCATCGAAATTTAGTTTTTTCATTTATCAGTAAGGGTGATGATTACCTTCTATAACTGTGGTACTTACCACTCTCTGAAGTTTCATACTATTCAAGTTAATTTCTCATTCTATTCCTCAATGTATCTCTTTATTTTCATGTGAATATGATGCATCTCCTACTCGTATAATCCTACTCTCAGTCTTAAACTAAATTTGATACTCCAAGACATAGTGCCTTGGAGTGCCATTTGAAATCTGTATGTCAACCATTATTATTAATTATTATCTTATTTCATACAAGATTTTTGAAGTTTGGCCCTCACTTTCAAAGCCTACCCTTTGCTTTTATTGTCTCACATCCCATTTACAATTTATGTGTCAGCTACACGAGAATGTTCAACACTCTCACCACTGTTTAGCCCTTCTATGCTACTGAACCTGCAGCCCTTTGCATGGCACACTGCCCTTCACCACCTTGGGAAAATTTCTCCTCTATGAAAGTTCTACTCTGTCCTTGAATATTTTGGATAAACATATATAATAACATTTATTTAAACGTTTATCTTTTAAAATTCAAATACCCTTGTGGAATAAAATACATCAGGTCAGTTTTTTACATCTCAGCATAAATTAAAATCTTAGCTCCCTCAAGATACTGAAGTTCATGTCTTTAACTCCTTTAGTCCTGTTTTTAGTCTCCATAGGGTAATTTGGTATTGGTATTTCCACCTACTGTGGGCTCTGAGTCACAAAGAAAAAAATAACTGAGAGGATCTAACATTTGTCAAGTGTGCTTACCACATGAGATTCACACACTAAGGCAATCATATTCTTTTATATTCATCCTTTAACTCTTTATGAAGTCACAGATAAATATTATTAATTATCAATAAAAATTTATAGACATTAGCTTTAACTCTCAGAAAGATGAATTTACTTTATTTATTTATTTATTTTATCTTACTTTTTTTTTTTGAGATGGAGTCTTGCTCTGTTTCCCAGGCTGGAGTGCAGTGGCATGATCTGAGCTCACTGCAATCTCTGCCTCCCATGTTCAAGTGATCCTCCTGCCTCAGCCTCCCAAGTAGCTGGGATTACAGGCACGTGCCACTGTGCCCAGCTAATTTTTGCATTTTTAATAGAGACAGGGTTTCGCCATGTTGACCAGGTTGGTCTTGAATTCCTGACCTCAGGGGATCCACCCACCTGGGCTTCCTAAAGTGCTGGGATTACAGGCGTGAGCCACCACACCCAGCCTGAATTCAAATTTGCAGGGTCACATAAAGACTAGAATTTAAAAAAATTGAATATCCTAAAGTTACTCTGTTCTTCTGCTTGTAATTAAAGTATGTACTTTGATTGTTCTTCCTTAAAGCCAGTTCCGGTAGAATATAAAAAAAGTGGTTAGGTGGCTGCCCATGAAGTTTTCCCAGGACTTCTCGTATTTCAATTATAATCTATTCTTAATAACTCTAGAATACTAATAAAGATAAATAGAGAAGAATAATAGCAGGCAAAGGTACCATACTGGATAGTTTTTCTCATTGGATGTAGCAACAATGAAACTGCTAAGATTTTCATTTATTCAGTTGAGCTAAATCAAGCTGTAAGTATCCCCAAATCAATTTTGAAGAGGACACTATCCTTAAATGAAGTATTATAGCATATGAGTTAATTTATCTCATGTAATTATGTAATACATTCAGAGAAAGAATAAGCATGTAAAATTTATCAAATTATAAATTGTATAGATACACTTTATATATTAAATATCAGAAATTTGAATTTTTGTGCTTTGATTTCACAAACATATTGATATGTTTGATATGGCTTAGAAAACTTTGTGGGTAGTATTCTGCTAATATTGCCTGGAAAAATATAGGAGATAAAAAAAGACATACAAATGTTTTCAATAGTTAATTTAGTATTCTTATAAATTATAAAATGTTTTTCTGCACAAGACTATTATTAAGAAAATCAAAAACACATATTATGTAAGTATTTTACTAAGATGGCTATTTACATTACTTAAACATAATCTGCTGTTTCCTCCCTATAGTTTTTGCTGGAAGTAGTAGTGATAATGTATAGTAACTTCAGTGAGCAACACAACATAATTTTAACGTCTTCAATACGAGCCAAATAACTTGATTATATGTGACAATTATGATATTTATTAGTAGCTGTGGGATGTGTTCTCTTTCACCAGAATGAATTGATATATGTAAAGTACTTATAAATATAGCTGGCACATTGTAAGCTCTTTATAAAGGCCAATAGCTTGAGAGCTATTATTATATTAATAAAAATGCATTTTCTAACACAGAAGACCCAACTGACAACTATTTAGTTTTTTTATTTGCTTAATAAAAATCCAGCTCTGTGGAGGTTACAGTGGCCCAGAAGTCTCACCCAAACCTTTGTGGCTTTCCATGATTTACTTTGCTATCTATAGACTGTCTATTTTGTTGCCACTTATGATGGCAACATGACCTTAGTAATTTCTGTCAATGCATGCAGGCATAGTGATGTTGTCATGAAGAATATTTTCTTCTGTGCAGTTTTTTTTTATTAGGGTGGAAAATATGGATACATTTTCCTTGAAAAATCAAGAAGATTAAGTTTCTTGCTAACTTCTAAACTAACCACTGTGAAGGAAAATGCCATTTATATGGCTGGCTAAAACCAATCATTCTAATAGTTAAAAGTGCATAGTGTAAAGGTAAATGCTTTAATAATATCAGGCTAAATCAGCAAAGGGTAAGAGAGCTACAGGTGGTGGTGTCAGTAATGGTGGTTGTAGCAGTGGTGAATGGTTCTGGGGTAGGTGGCTGGCAATATCTGCAACAATATTATGAGCAATTCTTAGAATTGCTAATTAAAATTCAACATGCTTCCTACAGTAGACAGTGTTAGTGCCTCATGTAAAAACCGTGGATTCCCCGTAGGAACTGTGTGACCACTCCTTAGGCTCTCTGTGCTTTGCTGCTAAAGACTAGCATGGAAAGTTTAGAGGACAGATTATCTTTTTAGAGCTGAGTTGTCTGTGGACAGCTTATGGCCCATAGCTAATGAATGGTTAGTGGAATACAACAGCTCAGCACACCTGATTCCCCATAGGACCAACTATAAAGTGCAATTTACCCTCCAGAGCTCCCCATCCAGTCAGACTGAGGCTGGTGCCTCACCTGAAATCATAGCCTTGCTTGACTTGTTTTTTCCAGTTGTGTTTCCTACACTTTCTGAGTGGTTTCTTTTGGCAGAACTTCTTTATTGCATCACTTGCTCTCAAATCTTGTGTTCAGATTCTACTTCTGAATGGCCATTAACTAAGATGGCTTCAGAAAGGTTTATTAACACATTCAATATCTGTCATTTTAAAATAGTAACCAATTACATAAGAATCATGTTTAGAACAGTTCTGATTTAATATCAGCACAAAGAAAGCTGATACAATTTAAAAAATTATCATTTCCTCAGTTTCTTAATTTAAACTTTCATAACTGTTATTTTTCATGACTGGAATATCTTTTTTTTTTTTTTTGAAATGGAGTTTTGCCCTTGTCGTCCAGGCTGGGGTGCATTGGCATGATCTCAGCTCACTGCAACCTCCACCTCCTGGGTTCAAGCGATTCTCCTGTCTCAGCCTCCTGAGTAGCTGGGATTACAGGCTCTACCACCCTGCCTGGCTAATTTTTGTATTTTTAGTAGAGACGGAGTTTCACCATGTTGGTCAGGCTGGTCTCGAACTCCCGACCTCAGGTGATCCAACCGCCTTGGCCTCCCGAAGTGCTGGTATTATAGGCATGAGCCACCATGCCCAGCCATGACTAGAATATCTTATATCTTATCATTTATTTATATATTTATCTTTTTTGCTTTTCTGTATGACATAAATATAATTCACTAAATTCTCATCTTAAGTCTTGGACACCATAAATCAGATACAAATTATTTTAAAAAGTAAAATAATATAATAGAAATTTTAACACTGTAGCTACTTATATATAATCAGTATAAATTATTTTCTAAAGCTTTCATATAAATTACAAACATATATAGATTTATAGAAAATAATTGTCTTTTGAATAAAGTGAAACCAGGTAGTCAATCAAATGGACATATTTTATTTGAGAAAAGTTTATAGTTTTTTCAGCTCAACATTTCTTCTATTTTTTTAATAGTCTAAATTCCTAAATCAGATATAGCCTTATCAATAAATGACAATCCTCAGTAGCTAAAGTATTATTTCAAGATACAGGCAATGTAAAATATATTGACATGTTAGAATTTATATAGAGTCCAGCTCTATACTTTCAGAACACACACAAGTGCTTTGAAATTCATTGAAAAGTTATTTCTTTGGCAAAAAACCCTTGCTTACTCTTCCCCTTCAAGAGAACAGGATCTAACAAGGTCTATACTCTGAAATTGTTTAAGATCTTTAAAGTCTGTTGTTACTCTTGAAGTAAGACATTTCCTTTGGTGATGACCTCTTTGGAAAGGTCAAGGAGTGAATAGGAAATTCTTAGAGATTGAGATGGCATTGCCAATAGAGGGGAGGAAATTACTTACTTCATTATTTTCAAAGGACTTTTTTGTTTGCAGGTCAGATTAGGGCTTTCTATCCTCTGTTTTTTCCTCCCATTAAGTCTTTCACAAGAACAAAATGTGTTTCTTGCTTGCTTCCCCTGTAACAGGGCTTACTTCATTATTTTCAAAGGACTTTTTTGTTTGCAGGTCAGATTAGGGCTTTCCATCCTCTGTTTTTTTCTCCCATTAAGTCTTTCACAAGAACAAAATGTGTTTCTTGCTTGCTTCCCCTGTAATAGGGAGGAGAGATTCCTCTGCCTCATGTGCATTTTCTTCAGATAAATGAGATAAAGAGTAACGATAATTGGTATCTAAAGAAACTGAAATAAAGGTTTCTTAAAGTTATCCTGGCTTAATATATGTATATGTGATATCAAATATGCTATTTTTTTAAATATAATTTTATTTGATAATATGCATATAAAATATCCATGTAATTGACTGTTTCTACTTCTCTTACCCAGATGTGAGTCAGTACAGAAAAAAAATTCCAATGAATATTTCACTGTGGGATGATTTTACAAGCCATTCATTCATGATTTACAAGCAATTCAGTTCCATTAACATAAATTTTGAAGGAAATATGCATATCAAAATGATTATAAGAGGGCAGCCTTGGTGGCTCACACCTGTAATCCCAGCACTTTGGGAGGCTGAGGCAGGCGGATCACCTGAGGTCAGGAGTTCGAGACCAGCCTAGCCTAAATGGCAAAACCCCATCTCTCTGTGTCTCTACTAAAATACATATATCAGACCAGAAATGGTGGCATGCTCCATAGTCCTCACTACTCGGGAGGCTGAGGCTAGGAGAATTGCTTGAACCCAGGAGGTGGAGGTAGCAGTGAGCTGAGATCTTACCACTGCACTCCAGCCTGGGCAACAGAGTTAGACCCTGTCTCGGAAAAAAAAAATGATTATAACATATTGATGAAAATCAGAAATGTAAATATCTTCAATCCAAGGAAAGAAGAAACACACAGACAGTTGATGGAAAAAGGAGGTAACTGATGGAATCAGGAAGATCTTGAAATTGGTGTGTTATTTGAAACAGAGGACAGTTTTCCTAGAGAATGCCATCCTATCTTCTAATCTTGAGAGTCTCATATATTCAATGAGGTGGGCTTAAAAATTGATTAATAATAATAATCCAGTTAATCTATAGGCTATAGATATGTGGTAAAATTGAGGGTTTTTTTCCAGATAGTAGCATGTCTTAAATGCCAACCTGCTGTGTGAGCTTCATTCAGAAAGTGGGAAAAGTGGGGATTTTTGGGAAGAGGGATTGCAGTTTCAAAGCCAAACCAAACCAAATGCCCATCAATGATAGACTGGATAAAGAAATGTGGCACAAAAACACCATGGAATACTATGCAGCCATAAAAAAGAATGAGTTCATGTCCTTTGCCAGGGCAGGAATGAAGCTGGAAACCATCATTCTCAGCAAATAACACAAGAACAGAAAACCAAACACCGCACATTCTCACTCATAAGTGGGAGGTGAACAATGAGAACACATGGACACAGGGAGGGGAACATCACACACTGAGGCCTAACAGGTGTTGTGGGGCAAGAGAAGGGAGAGCATTAGGACAAATACCTAATACATGCAGGGCTTAAAACCTAGATGATGGGGTGATGGGTGCAGCAAACTACCATGGCACATGTATACCTATGTAACAAACCTGCACGTTCTGAACATGTATCCCAGAACTTAAAGTATATAAAAAAAAAAAATCACCTGAGATCAGGAGTTCAAAACCAGCCTGGCCAACATGGTGAAACCCCATCTCTACAAAACTACAAAAATTAGCCGGGCGCGATGGTGGGCCCCTGTAATCCCAGCTACTCAGGAGGCTGAGGCGGGAGAATCGCTTGAACCCAGGAGGTGGAGGTTGCAGTGAGCTGAGATTACACCACTGCACTCCAGCTTGGGTGACAGAGCCAGGCTCCATCTAAAAATAAAAAAAAACATCAATGACAAAAGACAGTATAAATTTGTGCATCTATTTGTGCATAGTGATATATATTAAACACATTTCTGTGGAATCTTCTTAAAACAGGTATTTCCTATTTTCTACAAATATGATGGTAGTAGGAAACATCCAGAAAAGTTACGATTCTTAAATTACCATGAGTGATTATCTCAGTTTTCAGTGGAAACTCCTAGGCTCTAGTTGTAAACTGTAGCAATGAATCAGATATGTAATTCCAAATGTGTTCTTTTTGCATGAAAGCTTTACCAGTGCATTTCCATTTGGAAGATACACCAAGAAGGAATTTTTCAAGACCTCAACTTCAGAGAGACCTTTAGGTGAGGATTAAATACTTAATCAGGGAGAAATGGTGCAGTTCAAAAAGAATTTTTGATTTGGGATTTGACCACTCCTCTTATTTGACAATTTCAAATCATAATGGAGGAAAAATATTTTTAATAAGGAATATGTAGTTTTCATTCCTTGAACAAATATTGTAAATAGGAGAAGCTATCAGGAGATGACTTTATTCTGAATTTTTGCGTGTGTGTGTGTGTGTGTGTGTGTGTAAATTTAAATACATTCTTTTTATTGCCAATAAACTTTCTTGCAAGTACCAGTTTTTTCCCAAGTGAGATGCAGATATAGAAGTTTCATATGGTAATTTGGTTATGAAAGAAGATTAAATGCAAAGAAATGCTGTGTTCCTATCTGTGGAAATAATTTTATATGCATGAGGAAAATATAGAGCACAGAAAGCCTTGAGTCAATAGAAAGTTAGGGAAATAATCACTGTTAAGTAGACACAGCAGGTATAAATTCTGCTGGGAGAATCTTTTTACTTCTACAACTCAGATAAATTGTTTTCAATTAAAATTAATTTTCCAAGTAATAATTCTATATAATGAAACTATTACTATAGTAGGCAATTTGTCATTGCCAATCTTATTGCAGATAATCTTTATTAGTACCATACATAAGTGTAAACCTCTGCTCAGAAAATCTATTTATTGGGTGACTCCCAAGAAAATCCCATTTCATTGGAGCTTTCAATGTAATTTCTACTAGAATTGGTTCATATTGCTTTGACCAATGGATAATAATGTAATTAAAGGAAGAAGAGACAGAAAATGGATTTGTTTATATTAAGTAGCAGTTATGGTTATTTTACCTGGTGCCTGTGTGTTCTTTGCACATGTCAAAAACCAAAACAACAACTGAAAACACATCTGCATCTTATGATGTGATTATGTCCCCATTGAAAAAGCAAGTTGTTCAGGTATTTCATATTATCTTATCCTCATTTTCATCCGAAGGGCCTAGGACTTTTCATACTGCCCTTTTTCCCCCTGTGATATCTACATTTTAATTTTTTAGTTTTTATTTATTTATTTATTTATTTATTTATTTATTTATTTATTTATTTGAGATGGAGTCTCACTGTGTCGCCCAGGCTGGAGTGCAGTGGCGCAATCTCGGCTCACTGCAAGCTCCGCCTCCAGGGTTCACGCAATTCTCCTGACCCAGCCTCCCGAGTAGCTGGGACTACAGGCGCCCGCCACTATGCCCGGCTAATTTTTTGTATTTTTAGTAGAGACGAGGTTTCATCGTGTTAGCCAGGATGGTCTCGATCTCCTGACCTCGTGATCCGCCCACCTCAGCCTCCCAAAGTGCTGGGATTACAGGCGTGAGCCACCGTGCCTGGCCGATATCTACATTTTAAAAGAAAGAACATTTAAATTTGTCTTCAAGGTTATTTTATGAAGTGATATCTCATTGCATTGACTCATTCAAAAGGGGGAAGTAACGTCTCTTGTTTGGGAATTGTGAAGAGTGGAATATATAGAATGAACAGAAAAAAAATACCATTCACAGAAGGACCCACCAGCACACTTGCTCATTTATTTACCGAGTGTTAGAAAAGCCTTAGTTTCATGCCAGACCCTGTGATTGATGAAATTGAGCTTAAAATAAATGAGATCTGATTTTTCTTTTCACAGAATTTATAGAAGTCCAGTGTGTAAAGTTGACCTCCAGGCTTTTTCCAAGTAAGCCAATAGCTACTTGTTCAATGTTTAATTAACAATGTTCATCAACATTGAACAACTTGTTCAATGTTGTTGAATAAATGACTAGAAAAAGTAAAGGGCCAGTATGGACAGAAACATTTTCCTTTTCTCTGAAATGCCAAGATTGCAATGACCGTTGGAGTTGGTCATAAATGGCTGAGTACAAAACTATTGAAACATCTTGCCTTCCACTTGCTTGTAACTACATATAGGGCTTTGCTTCAAATTCCAGAATATTTTTATGAAACATCTCATAAAAATCACATTTATGGAAGAAGCAAATAAAGGCAACAACTATATTATATATTTAACAATTTTGCAATCTTCAATTTTAAAAAATAACTGTTTTGTAGATTTTCTTCAATAAATGAAGCACTTTGCTTTCTTGAAATAAGCTATAAGCGATTAATAAATACAAGATGCTAAATCAAGGCTTAGGATTTTAATGATTCAACTATTAATACTATGATAAATTCATAATAAGAGAGAATCAGAACATTGACACATTGATCATACATTTCCTAAAATTAAACTACATCAGATGGAGACTGTGGTATCATGCAGATCTCTTATTCCGGTGAACACATATTTCAGATTTCCCAGTGTATTAGAAAAGATCTGCCTGTCTCTCCCCCAACTGTATCTAATAAATGAAGTTTCATTATATTTGACCAGTATATTCATATTGTAGATATTGAAAGGTAAAAGAAATCAAACAGATTCTGTCTCTCCTGCTATTTTTGGAAGAGTTGGAGCTAAGTTTGAATCCCAGCTGTGCCATTTGCATGCCTCATGGCCTAGTTTGAATGTCTCATTCTCTCCGTTGAAATCCTCATTTGTACAATGTGAGTAATACTAATGGTGCATTGTAGTATGTGTGATGGAGGTTTTACTTATATAAGGTACATAAAAGTAATAAGTATCTGATGCATAATGTATTCTCTATATATTAGTTCTTTCTCTTTGTTCTCTATAAATGGTTCCTAAACCCACAAGCATCTTTGCATAAGCATCTGGATTATAAGTAGCATCAAGTAAATTTAGGCAGGAGAGGACAATCTTGGGCAGGCACCTGTTCCTGATGTTTATACTACAATTCTCCGTTGAAGATATGTGATGTTTGTCCTACCCCAAATATCTGCAAATTCAGAAAAGATCCTGAGGAATAGTAAGAGATAAGTCCCTCCTTCCTATGTCTTTGAAGGCAGTAGCTTCCAAACGTGGCTCTACAAATTAATGATTCCTGAGCCCCAACACAGCAGATTCTGATTCAGTATCTGGCTGAACCTGGACTGATGCTCAGGAATCTGTATATTTAACATTTCTCTCAAGTGATTTTAATATGAACAGCATTTGATCAGCACATTTTGTGACACCGTGTTCAGTCTAAAGTCTATAATTCCTGTTTGTAGAGAAGGTAGATAGCCCTCACTTTTGAAAATCGGCAATAATTAGAAAAAGAGACTCCTGCTATGGTTTGAATGTCTCTCCCATAATTCATGTGTTAGAAGCTTAACCCCTAATGCAACGGTATTGGAAAGTAGGGTCTAGTAAGAAGTGATTAGGTCATGAGGGCAGAGACCTCATCAATGGATTAATGTTGGTCTCACAGGAATGGGTTAATCATTGCAAGAGTGGGCTTGTTATAAAAGCAAGCTTGGCCCTCTTTTGCATTTTCGCTCTTATATCCTTTCTTTCCCTTCTGCCTTCTTGGATGATGCAGCAAGAAGGCCCTCACCAGATATGAGCCCCTGGAACTTCGACTATTTTTTTTTTTTTTTTAGAACTCAAATAAATTTCTCTTCTTTTCAGTCTCAGGTATTCTGTCATAGCAACAGCAAAGCAGACTAAAACAATTCTTCATTTTAAAGAAGATCTTGAATCCATTTTGCTGTCTTGAAGTGAACTGACCTTAAAATGTGTTTTAGTCATAAGCACCCATTTTCTAACTTCTCTCTCCAATGCTATGTTCATAAAATAACAAGAACAGCAACAGCAACAACAACAGCAACTTACTGGATGAAACTGGCAAATATAACCTGATTCATTAGCAGTTACAAATTATAAACTTCATGCTAGAAAATAACCCTTTATTATAATATAGGTAGTACCTGCTGGGAGAATTAAAACTATTGCCCTGGGAACTTTCCTGAAGATGTTATGGTTTATTACTCTGAGATATATTTTTGCTGCTTCTGGCAGAACATTCAGTTTCATTTGGTTGTTTACATTTAATTTAATTTACTATCATAACCCTTCTGGTTAAGACCATTTTGGTCAATCTTGTTCTTATATGACAGTATCTATCTGCCTCTTTTACTTTGTGTTAGGAAATAAGGGAATTGAAATACACTTTTGGCTTCAAATTAAGTTCATCTATTGCAACAACAAGTACAACCAAGTTCATATTTGATATCAAATATTTCATTCCTTTCTAATTTCTGTACAACTGTAGGACTGCTATTGTCCCCACAGCATCTGGGTCAGCATGTGTGACAGTCATTTCAATAATATAAACCTGTTATTAAAAATATACACATTAGTTTCTCTACGAAGGAATAGTTTTGACTGCAATAGAAAGATGTTTAAGCAAAATTCTGGTCATCTCTGTGTGTGTGTGCATGTGTGTGTGTGTGTGTGTGTGTGTGTGGAAATATTTGCTAACATTGTTCCCAATTGGTTAACTAGTCTTATACAGGATTCTAGAAGGTTTTAGAAGCAAAATGAATATAACATATCAGAACACTGCATAAAACTGATTTATTGAGATTCAACTTTTAAGACATTCTATATTCCCAAGGAAACAAATAAAATATATGGATCTACCTCTGTTAATTTAACAATACACATGTTTGGCCTCTTTTTTGTGGGGGGAATTGGATAACCTTTTATTGTGGATTTTGTGTTTTGTGAACTACTTTGGGATAAGTTGCTGATAGTTCCTGTTTTGCTGACTCTAGACCATATGTGCCAAACATGTTTTTTCTCAAACTTTTCACGTGTGTCAAAGAAAATTTAATCCTTATTTTTTTATTTACATTTATACTTAAACTCATCAAAACATTGTTATGCAAAAGCTTTTGAATTCCAAGAGACATTATAGGGCCTAAAAGTCCCAAGAAAACACTCTTCTAAAATTAAAATATTTTATCATTAGAATGTTCATTTAAAATTTTTAACATATATTTGAAGAAACCAAAATAGCAAACAGATTATGTTCCTCTTTTTTGACTGCCATTCTCTGTAATTCAAAACTAGCAAATCGTGCATAAATATTGTGTACAGACTACTAACATTTAGTAAGTCCTTTCCTTTTAAGGAATCCAAAACAATGTGAATTGAGATTTCTCAATTTTGGATCCCATTATCTTGGCTCCAGTATTCTCATGGTTGTAATTCAGAAAATGCATACATAAAACCTATTGCACAGGACAATTAGCTATACACACACAATCATCACAGAGCCCTGTGAAATAAAATGCAGATGAGAAGAGAAATAAGAAATATCATCAATGTATGAAGGATTTTAAAAACATTCTAGAGGTGGATGATAAGACCATGAACATAAATGAAGCTGAGCAGAAATGACCAAAGACTGAAGGAATATAGGAGGAAATTTCCAAGCAGCTGGTACCAGTCTTCTGCAAAGCATATCTTAACGGCTCAAAAAGAATGTTTTTTTTTAAAGAGTCTAAAACTTGAAGATTAATTGAAGGACTTATAACATTCCTAGGCAACGAAAGCAAAAATAGACAAATAGGATCACATCAAATAGAAAGCTTTTGCACAGCCAAAGAAACAATCGGCAGAGTGAAGAGAAAACCTATGGAATGGCAGAAAATATTTGCAAACCACCTATCTGATAAGGAGCCACTATCCAAAATACATAAGGGACTCAAACAACTCAATAGTAAACAAACAATTAAAAATGGGTAAAAGGCCGCACACAGTGGCTCACCCCTGTAATCCCAGCATTTTGGGAGGCCGAGGTGGGTGGATCACCTGAGGTCAGGGGTTCAAAACCATCCTGGTCAATATGACGAAACCCCGTCTCTACTAAAAATGCAAAATTAGCTGGACATGGTGGCACATGCCTACAATCCCAGCTACTTGGGAGGTTGAGGAAGGAGAATCACTTGAACCTGGAAGGAGGAGGTTGCACTGAGCCGAAATCACGCTATTGCACTCCAGCCTGGGTAACAAGAGAAATTCCATCTCAAAATAAATAAATAAATAGGTAAAAGATCTGGACAGACATCACTCAAAAGGAGATATACAAATGGTTAACAGGTATGTAAATAAGTGTGCAACATCACTAATCATCAGATAAATGCAAATTTCTAAGTCTCAGATATTAGGAAACAATTCTTGATGAGAAATTGCACCTGCTAAAATGGCTATTATCAAGATGAATGATAACAATAGGTGCGGCTGTGGAGAAAAGGTAATCTTTGCACATTGTTGGTAGGAATGTAAATTAGTGCACCCACTATGAAAAACAATATAGAGGATCCTCAAAAAATTAAAAATAGAATTACTGTATGTTGCAGCTATTTACTTACTAAGTGTATATCTAAAGGAAGTGAAATCAACGTATCAGAAAGATATCTTCACATCATTGTTTATTGCAGCATTATTCACAACAGCCAAGATAAGAAACCAATCTAAGTAAGTGTCCATCAACAGATGAATGGATAAAGAAATTGTGGTGTATATACACAAGGGAATACTATTTTCCCATGAAAGGAAAGGGAAATCTTTCATTTGAAACAATATAGATGAACCTGGACTACATCAGGCTAAGTGAAATAAGCCAAAGAAAGAAAGACAAATACTGCATAGTCTTATTTACATGTCAAATTTTAAAAAGTTGAACTCATAAAAGTAGAGACTAGAATGACGGCTATCAGGGGCTTGTGGAAAAGGGGTTGGGGCGATATTAGTCAAAGGATACAAAATTTCAGTTACATATGAGGAATTCATTCAAGAGATCTATTGTACAACATGGTGACTATAGTTAATAAGAATGTATTGTATTATTGGAAAAAACTTTTTACATTAAATACAACAACAAAATTGTTCCTAGGATTCATCTGTTTGACAGCATATAATGCCTTCAAGTGAATTTTCACTGTTATATAGTGTTGCATTTTGTGAGCTATGATATTTTTTTCACAGATGGACATTTAAGTTGTTCTCATGTTATTGTTATGAACAAGACTGTTATGAACATTCTGTGGCTTAAAAATATCTGTAAATTCTGGCTGGGTGCGGTGGCTCACGCCTGTAATCCCAGCACTTTGGGAGGCCGAGGCGGGTGGATCATGAGGTCAGGAGATCGAGACCATCCTGGCTAACATGGTGAAACCCTGTCTCTACTAAAAATACAAACAATTGGCCAGGCGTGGTGGCAGGCGCCTGTAGTCCCAGCTACTTGGGAGGCTGAGGCAGGAGAATGGCATGAACCCGGGAGGCGGAGCTTGCAATGAGCTGAGATTGCACCACTGCCCTCCAGCCTGGATGATGGAGTGAGACTCCGTCTCAAAAAAAAAAAAAAATCTGTAAATTCCTTTACAATCTTCCAGTAAGAGATTTGAACTATTTCCTCTTCTTGAACTAGACTGACCTGTGATGCCTTTAATCAGTTGAATGTAGAGAAAATGATGTTATGCCAGTTTCAGATCTAGTTTCAAAGAGGATTTGCAGTTTCTGCTTTGATATATAGAAGACCTAAGCTGCAATGCAGTCTCTATGCACTCAAAGGGTAGTCTGACTTCTCTGCTAAGGGGACTTTATGGAAAGGCTGTAAGACTACATTTAGAGAGACAGAAGCCCATTCATCAGAGGCCAGCCTTCAACTGCCCCATTAAGAGACCAGGCATGTGAGTGAAGTCTTAATGAAAAGTCCTGATAAAGGACACATACACCCTCCCAAGACTGAACCAGAAAGAAACTAAATTCCTGAACACACCTACAATGATCTCTAAAACTGAATCAGTAATAAATAGCTTACCAACCAAATAAAAGCCCAGGACCAGATAGATTCATAGACAAATTCTACCAGCCGTACAAAGAAGAGCTGGTAATATTTCTACTGAAACTATTTGAAAAAAATGAGAAGGAAGGACTCCTCCCCAACTTATTCTTTGAGGCCAGCATCATCCTGATATTAAAGTCTGACAGAAACACAGCAGTAAAAGAAAACTTCAGGCCAATATCTTTGATGGACATTGATGAAAAAATCTTCAACAAAAAAACACTAGTGAAACACATCCAGCAGCACAACAAAAGTTAGTCCATCATGATCAAGTTAGCTTTATCCCTGAGATGCAAAGTTGGTTCAACATATGCAAATTAATAAATGTGATTTGGCAGAGCGCGGTGGCTCACGCCTGTAATCCCAACACTTTGGGAGGCTGAGATGGGCAGATCACAAGGTCAGGAGATAGAGACCATCTTGTCCAACATGGTGAAACCCCATCTCTACTAAAATACAAAAAATTAGCCAGGCGTGTTGGTGCGTGCCTGAAGTCCAAGCTACTTGGGAGGCTGAGGCATTGGAATTGCTTGAACCTGGGAGGTGGAGGTTGCAGTGAGCTGAGATTGCACCACTGTACTCCAGACTGGTGACAGAGCAAGACTCTGTCTCAAAACATATAAATAAATAAAAATAAAAATAAATGTGATTCATCACATAAACAGAACTAAAATACAAAAACAACATGATTATCTCAGTAGATGCAGAGAAAGCTTCTGATAAAACTCAACATTCATTCATGTTAAAAACTCTCAATAAACTAGCTATTGAAGGAACAGACCTTAAAATAGTAAGATCCATCTATGACAAATCCATAGCCAACATCTTACTGAATGGGCAAAAGCTTGAAACATTTCTCTGGAAAACTGGCATGAGACAAAAATACCCTCTCCATCACTCCTATTCAACAAAGTATTGGAGGTCCTGGCCAGTGTAATCAGGCAAGAGAAAGAAATAAACGACACCCAAATAGGAAGAAAGGAAGTCAAACTATCCCTATTTGCAGAAGATATGATTCTATACCTAGAAAACCCCATAGTCACAGCCCAAAAGCTCCCTCAGCTGATAAACAACTTCAGCAAAGTTTCAGGATACATCAATGTACAAAAATCACTAGCATTCCAGCCAGGTGTAGTGTCTGATGCCTGTAATCCCAGCACTTTGGGAGGCTGAGGTGGGTGGATTGCTTCAGCCCAGGAGCCCAAGACCACCCTGAAAAACATGGTGATACCTTGTCTCTACAAAAAATAAAAAATTAGGTGGGTGTGGTGGCATGCACCTGTGTTACCACCTACTGGGGTGGCCAAGGTGGAAGGATTGCTTGAACTTGGGAGGCAGAGGCTGTAGTGAGCCATGATCTTGCCACTGTACTCCAGCCTGGGAAACAGAGCAAGATCTTGTCTCAAAAAAAAAAAATTACTAGCATTCCTATACACCAAAAACAGCCAAGCTGAGAGCAAAGTCAAAAATACAATTCAATTCACAATACTCACAAAAATAATAAAATTCTTAGGAACAGCTAACCAGGGAGTTGAAAAATCAGTACAATGAGAATTACCAGACATTGCTTAAAAAATCAGAGATGAAACAAACAAATGGAAAAACATTTCATGCTCATGGATAGGAAGAAATTAATATGGTTAAAATGGTCATACTGTCCAAAGCAATTTACAAAATCAATACTATTCGTATCCAACTACCAATGAGATTTTTTACAGAACTAGAAAAAAACTATTTTAAAGTTTGTATGGAACCAGAAAAGAACTTAAATATCCAAGGCAATCCTAAATAAAATCAACAAAGCAGGAGGCATCATTTTCCCGGACTTCAAACTATACTACAGGGCTGTAGTTACTAAAACAGCTTGGTACTGTTGGTACAACATGGACCTCATGATACAAAAGCAGTCACACAGATCAATGGAACAGACTAGAGAGCCCAGAAATAAGCCATACACCTATAACTATCTATCTGATTTTCAAGAAAGTTGACAAAAATGAGCAATGGGGAATGAACTCCCTATTTAATAAATGGTACTAGCATATCAGGGGAACCCAACCCCAATATTTCAATGTAGGTTCTTTCTATTTTCCATAAGTGTCAGCCAGCTGAGAAATAAAGAGAAAGAGTACAAAAGAGGGATTTTACAGCTGGGCTGCTGGGGGTGACATCACATATCGGTAGGACCATGATGCTCACCTGAGGCTCAAACCAGAAAGTTTCTTATTGACGGTTTCAAAAGGGGAAGGGGTGTAAAACAGGGAGTAGGTACAAAGATCACATGCTTCAAAGGGCAAAAAGCAGAACAAAGATCACATGCTTCTGAGGGAACAGGACAAAGACAAAGCAGAACTACTGATAAAGGTCTATGTTCAGCTGTGCACGTATTGTCTTGATAAACATCTTAAACAACAGAAAACAGGGTTAAAGAACAGAGAACCATTCTGACCACAAATTTACCAGGGCGGAGTTTTTTCCCCACCCTAATAAGCCTGAGGTACTGCAGGAGACAAAGTATAGATATAGACAAAATATATTCATAAGTCATTAATTGCTAATGAAGCAACTGAATACCACTCAGATTATCTTAAGCAAAAAGGGGAGATCATTACTTATTTAGCCATGAAGGCCAAGAATTATTTTGCTTTGTTCTTGTGCCAGCCCCTGGAATCATGACTATACAAGGGACAGAGTGTTAACTTCTGGTCACTCCAATCACAGGCCACCAAGAGAGTCTCACCAAGGCTGCAAGGAGTGAAGGAAGGAAAAACAGTTCAAGAAGGGAATGTGGGCAGAGAAGAACAACATATTCACTATAGGTCATGAACATGGTCCTTAAAAGATTCTCACAACAAAGGAGAATTAGAATTTGTTTATGAAGGTCCATAAGACTTAAACTGGGCAATTATAGAGATTTAGACATTGACTAAATTATTTAAATCTATAAATAAGATTGGAGGTTCTATACCTATCACTAGAAATGTTTCAGCAAAGATTAAAATAATTGTCTAAATATTTTATAGAAACTTCTGCATCTATTACAATGGTTGGGAGGCTAGAAATCTATTTCTAAAAGTGTAGGGGTGATCTATTAGAAAACAGGGCTTGGAAACAGGGTATTTTTTTTATTTTATTGAACATTAAAAATTCCTTTTGGCTGGGCATGGTGGCTCATGCCTGTAATCCCAGCACTTTGGGAGGCCAAGGCGGGTGGATCACGAGGTCAGGAGATCAAGACCATCCTGGCTAACATGGTGAAATCCCGTCTCTACTAAAAATACAAAAAATTAGCCAGGCCTGGTGGCAGGCGCCTGTAGTCCCAGCTACTCAGGAGGCTGAGGCAGGAGAATGGCGTGAACCTGGGAGGCGGAGCTTGCAGTGAGCTGAGATCGTGCCAGTGCACTCCAGCCTGGGTGACAGAGCGAGACTCCACTTCCAAAAAAAAAAAATTCCTTTTTTTCTCTCTACCCCTATCTCCTAGTGTCTCTTCTTTCAGATATAATGATATCGCAATGAGCCAGTGTGTGATTCAATAGTAAGTACAAAATATACATAAACTCAATGTCTGAGTAGTCTATAGGCATAGAAAACAAAGAAAGAAATATTTTCTCTTTCATGAAGCTCCACGTTCTCTATAGGGCTATTTAAATATTTAAAACATTGGTTCTTGACAACTACCTTTAAAATGATACATTATAATCCCTACCCTATAGATGCGGAAAGAGACTCATGGATCCAGGTCACACATTTGACTAAGTAAACTTAGAATTTTAACCAAATTCTTCTTTATTATAAAAGCTGAAGCCCTCCCTATGACATCAGGAAATATCTCTGTAAAACTCTTTAGTAAGGTATTTGGTGTAACATTCGATGCATTATTTTGCTTTATCTTTAGAGGAAGGAAACAGTGTCACTTTCCAGAAAGATGTCTACTATTTAGCTAAAGGGCTGGTATTTGTTCATAACTTATTCAATGTATTTCAGTTAGAAAACAACCAACACTCTCAAAATTAAGATTATTTCTTAAAAGTTTATTGAAAGAATATTAAACAAAGTTATAGACTAAGTATAGAGGAACTCATCACTCTGTTTTTGGCTAAAAGAAATCTAAAGGATTAAAGCAGTTATTAGCACTGCATAACATTAATACAGTTCTTTGGTAAAACATTAAAAAGGATTACTTCTCATCTCAACACTACTTTTGAATAAGCATTGTAGCTGTCCAAAAGATATTGTGTTCTGTTCCATTTAAAAACAAAACAAAATAAAAACAGGCAAAGATATCAGTTTGGTACTCAGAAAAGAGTTTAAACTGGATTTTAAAAGAGCAGGACAGTTTTAATGGACAATCAAGTGTTTGTTCATAAGGCACTTATATCTGAAAATAAAGTTAAGGATGCAGTTGAAAGAAGAAAGATGCGGGCTAGGTATTTTCTAAGATGAAGTTTATTAAAGATTAAGGAAAGAGTTAATCCCTGATAAGTGTGCACAGTTACACAATAGTATTTTCTATACAATGATTCTTTTATTGATTGTTTCTGATCTTTAACTGTTAGCTAATCTCCAGCAGTATAAATGCACTGTAGTCTTGGGATTTTCAGAGTTATAAAAATGACTTAGCTGGTTTATTACATGCATTTGTAAATTAATTCAAATGTAAATGTCTGAACAAATAGAATTATGTTGTTTTCTACCAAAATATCCTGTGGTAAGATACTTAACTACTCATGTACTTTGTCACATGGTGATGATAAAACATTTTCCTACTTCATAGGGATCTTGGAGGAATAACTTAAGTTACACAGATGAAAATTCAGTGACGTTCTCAGAAGAAATTTTCATAAATATTTCTAATTCTTGTTATTATAAAACCATTACTGACTGAATTTCTTTGGGAATAGGATGTTCTAGTTAATCTAATTTTATGTTAAACTAAACATTAGTGGATAATGTCATTTTATTCCTGTACACATTGCTTAAATGGTTTATAAAATTTCTCAAGACATTTTTTCTTGCCTAAACATAGTCCAGTGAGCATAAACAACCCTCTATATGAATATTTGCAACTTGATGATATTATGTTTCGAGTATCTATGAGGTGTGGAAAATTGAACTAAGCCTCCATTGACATGAGTTCAGATGATTTATTGATTGGCTATCCATGAAAAAGATTGTAAATGTCCCCTCTCTTTGTACATTAGTTTAAGATTATAGTTGTTTGGATTCTAGTTTGATTGTTATATATTACCTTAAAAGTAGTTGTAATAGAAGTGTAGGGGTTCAGTCAGGATGGCAGAAGAAATGACAGGAATAGAAAAAAGCAAACCTTCTTGGAAAGCCGGGAAGTTTTGCATAACTTCCGGTAGTTTGGCTGAAGGCAGCCAGAGTCTGTTTTCAGGAGCCAGAGAGCTTAGGGTGGGGGTACAAAAGAATGTAGAATAGTTTATCTAAATAGCTTGTTTACTCATGTGGTCCTAAGACTAACCTTTCATCATTGGCAGGCAAGATGGCCCTCTCCAGAGTGGGTGTGACCAGGTTAATTACCCACAGGCGTGTTGACTCAAAGCCTTTGTCATTTAATGTGTGCTGAATAAATGCCAGCCAGGCCAGCTAGTCAAGGTTGCGGCTGCCAACTCTTCACAGCACCTTCCTTGGTGTCTGTGAGCGGCGCAGATCCTTAGCTAGACTGACAAGCAGAATATCTGTATCAGCGTATGTTATTCATCTATCGTTGGGTCAGGGTCTGCGGGAAAGATCCCCGCACAGAAGCTCATGGTAGAATTTCAGAGAGTACTGTAAAACTTGAAGAAATCCAATGGTACATGAAGAAAAACGTTTCTTTTTTTTTTTTTTTGAGACGGAGTCTCGCTCTGTCGCCCAGGCTGGGGTGCACTGGCGTGATCTCGGCTCACTGCAAACTCCACCTCCCGGGTTCACGCCATTCTCCTCCCTCAGCCTCCGGAGTAGCTGGGGCTACAGTCGCCCGCCACCACGCCTGGCTAATTTTTTTGTATTTTTAGTAGAGACGGGATTTCACCGTGTTAGCCAGGATGGTCTCGATCTCCTGACTTCATGATCTGCCTGCCTCGGCCTCCCAAAGTGCTGGGATTACAGGCGTGAGCCACAGCGCCAGGCAGAAAAACGTTTCTAATAGAATCTCACAATACCAAAAAAAAAAAGAATGTGTATGAGGGAGGAGGGATTTACCTTTATGGTTTATTATGATAAAAGCTGTCTATTCCCCTGAAGCTTTTATCTTGATAGACAAATGTATGAGAGCTTGGATCTATTTTCTGACTTTATTTAATTGCTGATGTTAACTATTTTCTACTTATCTGATTATATTGGATGTGTATATTCGAAATTTGATTGTTCCCAATATCTGACTTTTCCAAAATTATTTAACTTCTTCAAGTTAAGGCATTATAGCAGAAAGCTGGTAAAAGCCAATTAATTTTCCTAGTGCACTGTGGCTACATACTATTAAATTATCTTGATATCAAATAGGTGGAGCCATACCAAAGGGAAGATATTTCTGTTTCTGGCTAAGATGTAGAAAGCTGGAAAGAACATTGTTCCCATTCTAACAATGAGATAAAGGCAAAAAAAAAAACCCATAAAATTATAACTTTTTTGAGCACATTAGATACCTGAGGTTGCAGTGCAACCAAAATACTTAAATTCCAAAGAGGAACATACCCCTATAATAAGAGATAAAACAGAAGAATAGTCTTATCTGAGTCAAAGAATTAGGGAAATAAGGGGCTACTCAACAGCTTCCATGAAAGAAAATTTAAAAATCAGCTGAAATTTTATAAAATTATTAAATGCCAAGGGTGAGCTAGCTTTCAGGTATGGATGAAATAATTGAGGGCCCAGATACTCTCTTGCAAGCTCTTTTAAAAGTACCTCCTGCAGTAATTTATGAGATAGTCTGGAACAGAACAGACCAAAGAGAGCTCTTCTTGCTGACGCAAGACTGTAGAAAATGATCTGTAGCTACTGGGGCCTGGGAGATACAAATTCCTACAATTATATTTAGAGTCTTTTCTCCTATGAATCAAAAACCTACAGCACTTGGAGGAGGGACAACAACCCACACTTTAAGGACACTGGCAAAGACCCATTTTCACTGTGGAAAAAGCAGAAGAAAAATTCCTGTAAAAACTATCCTGGGCCCAGAATCTATTATCTATTACCAATTCGAGGTCTGCTATCATGGGGTAGGATCAGAGAATACCTTGTAAGAACCAACCACAGATCAAGGACATAGCTGGCTGACATGAGGTGAAGGAGTAAGAATGCTGAGAAAGTTCCCTCCTCCCCAGGAAGCCTGGCACGCAAGGTCTGTCTAAGCTGAGGCTGAATGTGGACAAGAGTGAATCCTTGCCAGCCACCACCGCTAGCCCAGAATCCAAAAGGTAAGAGCAGGCTACCAGTATGGGAGGAGGACAGTAGTATGGAGTGAGACCCCTGCTGTAGTGCAGTTTGCAGAGATTATGAAAGTTGAAGGTACATCACAAACACTAAGAAAAAAAACAAAAAAACAAAGAACAGAAAACCAAAAATCTCTGGCACTTCAGCCACCCCTTTGAGCACAAGGCAACAGTCCTGTAAAACAATACAAAGCCTGCAGTAAATAAAAGAAGTAGCAGCAGCAAAACTCAAACTTGGTTAAACTGAAAATGTTCAAATAACAAAAGAAGGCAGGGAAGGGGAAACAGAAAAATAAAGCAAAGGGAAGAAAAAGTAAACATACATGATAGAGTGGTAGGCATAATTCGAAATACCAATATTGACATTAAATGTAAATGGCTACACAAACCAAGTAAAATACTGACATTATCGGCCCGGCGCGGTGGCTCATGCCTGTAATCCCAGCACTTTGGGAGGCAGAGGCAGGCGGATCACGAGGTCAGGAGATCGAGACCATCCTGGCTAACACAGTGAAACCCTGTCTCTACTAAAAATACAAAAAATTACCCGGGTGTGGTGGCGGGCGCCTGTGGTCCCAGCTACTCCGGAGGCAGAGGCAGGAGAATGGCGTGAACCCGGGAGGTGGATCTTGCAGTGAGCCGAGATCGCGCCACTGCACTCCAGCCTGGGCGACAGAGCGAGATTCTGGCTCAAAAAAAAAAAAAAAAAAAAAAAAACAGACATTGTCAGAATGGACCAAATAAATAAAAAAATCAAATATATCCTTTCCATAAAGTGTTACTTTATGTAATGATATAAATAAGTTAAAAATAAAAGGATAGGGAAAAGGATACCATGGAAACACTAATGAAGAGAAAGCTGAAGTGACTAAATGATTATCAAAGCATATTTCAGAGCAGAGAAATTTAAAAGGAACAATGAGAGATATTACATAAAAATCAAAGGGTCAAGTTGCCAAGAAGAGATAAAAATCCTAATTGTATATGTATCTAATAGTAGAGCTTCAAAATACTATTTTGAAGCCAATACTAAAGCCAGTTGTATATTCTTTGGAGAAATGTATATTTATTCTCTTGCCCATTTTAAAATAGACTTGTTTGTTTTTGTTTTTGCTGAGTTTTAGGAGGTCTGTGTGTATTTTGGTTATTAATCTCTTATCAGATATTTCATTTGCAAATATTTTCTCCTGTGGATTGCCTTTTGTTTGTGATTTTGATAAATAATTTTAAAAAATTTTTTTATGGTGGCTGGGTGCAGTGGCTCATGTTTGTAATCCCAGCACTTCAAGAGGCCGAGGCAGGTGGATTACTTGAAATCAGGAGTTCGAGACCAGCCTGCCTAACATGGTGAGACCCCCCTGTCTCTACTAAAAATATGAAAATTAGCCGGGCATGGTGTCACATGCCTGTAATCCCAGCTACTTGGGAGGCTGAGGGATGAGAATCACTGGAATCCAGGAGGCGGAGGTTGCAGTGAGCCGACATTGCACCACTGCACTCCAGCCTGAGCGACAGGGCAAGACTCTGTCACAAAAAAAAAAAAAAAAAAAAAAAAAAAAGACTAGGAGCAGTGGATCACACCTGTAATCCCAGCACTTTGGGAGGCTGAGGCAGGCGGATCACGAGGTCAAGAGATCAAGACTTATCCTGGTCAACATGGTGAAACCCTATCTTTACTAAAAAATACAAAAATTAGCCAGGCATGGTGGTGCGTGCCTGTAATCACAGCTACTCAGGAGGTCAGGAGGCTGAGGGAGGAGAATCTCTTGAACCTGGGAGGTGGAGGTTGCAGTGAGCCAAGATCCTGCCACTGTACTCTAGCCTGGATGACAAGACTCTGTCACACACACACAAAAAAAATATGATGCCCAATTTTTCTTTGTATTTTTTGTTGTGTTGCCTATGCCTTTGGTTATATCCCAGAAGTTACTGCCAAATCTAACCTTGGGAAACTTTTGCCCTGTGTTCCCTTCTAAGAGTTTTATAATTTTAAGTCTCATATTTAGGTCTTTAACCCATTTGGGGTTAATTTTTGTATATGGAGTTAGGTAAAGTTCCAAAATCTTTATTTTGCATGTGGATATACAGTTTTCAGTATCATTTATTGAAAAGATTGTTCTTTTCTCATTTAATAATCATGGCACCCTTGTCAAAAAACATTTGGCCATACAGGTGAGGATTTGCTTATGAGCTCTCTATTCTATTCCATGTTCATTAATCATCAGATAACTTCAAATCAAAACAAGAACATAGCACTCAATACCCATTAGGATGACTACTATTAAAAAACAAAAAACAGAAAATAACAAATGTTAGCAAGCATGTGGAGAAATTAGATCCCTTGTGTAGTATTGATAGGAGTATAAGATTGTACAGCTGGAAGAAAGTATGGTGGTGTCTCAAGAAATTAAAAATACAGTTACCATATAATACAGCATTTACGTGTCTCAGTATATATCCAAAATAACTAAAATCAGGGTCTTGAAGAGATATTTACCAAATTTATTTCAGCATTACTCATGATAGCAAAATGTGGAAGCAAGCCGTTTCCACCAACAGATAAATGGATAAGCAAAGTGTGGTGTATATATATATATATATATGTGTGTGTGTGTGTGTGTGTGTGTGTGTGTATATATATATATGATAGAATATTATTTAGCCTTAAAAAGAAAGAAAATTATGATAAATGCTACAACATGGATGAAGCTTAAGGACATTATGCTAAGTGAAATAAGCCAGTCATAAAAAGGCAAATACCCTGTGATTCTACTTATATGAGGTAATTAGAGTGGTCAAAAATCATAGAGATACGAAATAGAATGGTTGGTGCCAGGAGCTGGAGAGAGGGAGGAATGGGGAGTTCCATTTTATAAGACAAAAAGTGTTATGGTGGTGATGGATGCATGACATACTGGATGTATTTAATACTATTGAACGTTACATTTAAAATAGTTAAAATGATAAATTTTATATTAAGTGTATTTTACTACAATAACAAAAACAAACAAAAATAAAATAATAAAGCCAAAACTGGATAAACTGAAAGGAAAATTAAAACAAACTCAGTCATAAGGAATGAATGAATGGCATTTGCAGCAAGTTGGATGGAACTGGAGATTATTATTCTAAGAGAAGTAACTCAGGGATGGAAAAACCAAACATCGTATATTCTCACTCATAAGTGGGAGCTAAGCTGTGAGGTTGCAAAGGCGTAAGAATGATAGGAGGGACTTTGGGGACTAGGGGAAAGGGTGTGAGGGGAATGAGGGATAGAAGACTACAAATTGAGTTCAGTGTATACTGCTTGGATGATGGGTGCACCAAAACCTCACAAATCACCACGAAAGAACTTACTCATGTAACCAAAATACCACCTGTTCCCCAAAGCCTATGGAAATAAAATATTTAAAAATAAATAAATAAAACAAACACATAGATCCACTATTACAGTTGAAGACTTTGACATTTCTTTCTCAGTAATCAACAGAACACATGGAAAGAAAATCAGGCAGGGATGTACTTTTTAGAGAATGATTTAAAAACACTGAAGCTAATCACCATACTAGGTAAGAAATATCAGAAATGAGGCATTGATTAGCTTATGTTTCTACACTATCTTCCTGTAGAACTAGCAAAATATCTATTAGTAATTCCTCTGCTGAATTAGGCAATAAAATCAATGATATATTCATGCATAATCTGTCTTAAGAATAATTATGGTTACTGTAGTTTTCTCTGTTTGATTAGAGGTTAAATGAGTCCCAGGGTCATAGGTAAAAATTACTCAGTTCCTGCTCATAATCTGTCCTTTTTCCTTCTCACCATGTGGCAACTTCTTGTCCTACAAGATCTAGAAAGTGGCTGAGGTGGGAGAATTACTTGAACCCAGGCGGCAGAGGTTGCAGTGAGCCAAGATTGCGCCACTGCACTCCAGCCTGGGCGACAGAGCCAGACTCTGTCTCAAAAACAAACAAACAAATAAATAAATAACAATCTAGAAATTGTATGTGTCGGCCGGGTGTGGTGGCTCACGCCTATAACCCCAGCACTTTGGGAGGCTGAGATGGGCAGATCACCTGAGGTCAGAAGTTCAAGACCAGCCTGGCCAACGTGGTGAAAACCTGTCTCCAAAAAAATACAAAAATTAGCTGGGCATGATGACAGATGCCTGTAGTCCCAGCTACTCGGGAGGCTGAGGCAGGAGAATCGCTTGAACCCAAGAGGTGGAGGTTGCAGTGAGCTGAAAGATCAACCAGCTGCAGTCCAGCCTGGGCAACAGAGCAAGACTCCATCAAAAATAATAGTAATAACAATAATCTAGAAAGTGCATGTGTCTCACTTCTTGAGAGGCTTCCTCCATGCTCTCCCACCTTACCCTGCCATCAAGGGGGCTCCAGTAGAGACATAAGTCTCTGAAAAGCACATTCCTCTTCTTTTCTGGGAACTGTTGCAAGAATGGGGTGAGGGACTCTAACAAGGTCCAATAGATTCTATCAGTTGAATGGTACGTTTGAAGCACTCTTGTAACAGAAGCAGCAAGACCTCAATTGTGCTGTTAACTCCGTAGGGCATCTATGGATGACCTTTTACACAAATATCTTCGTTGTGGTTCTCAAGAAAACAAATAGATATTTTATTAACTGTGGCCCTGAGACATATTCTTATAAACTTGATTTTACAAAAGATAAATACGATTGTCCCTGTTTTTCTCTACTCTCTCAGGAATCTTATTATCCTTGACTATTTGCTTAGTTGAACTAATTCCTCTGCTTAAAATTGAAAGGAGAGCATTCCAAATTTTGTTGTTGTTGTTCATGTAGGGTCACACAAAAATATGTGGGGGCACTTTGTAATAATCACACCACTTTTGGTAGTGTGTCAGCTGGCTGTGTTTTGGTTGTTGGTGGCAATTTTATAGCAACTTTATAGAAAAGATTCTAATTCACAGCCAGTTCTGCTGAAAAATAAGAAAATGCTGAGACTAACAAAATCACAAGAGGTTAGAAACTAAACATTTATTAAAAGGTGCTGCATTAGAGAATAAGTACATTACTGTCCAGAGGAAATACAAAGAGGAGAAGAACATCTGCCCCTCACTCCACCACCATAACTATAAGCTAGCAGAAAACATACCTCTTCATCATTTATGGATTATTAACTATATTTTTAAAATCAGTTTCTCTATCCAAAGTTGTAAATTTGGCTCATTTACATAATATCTTGTAGAATTTCATGGTGTATACAGTGTTCGGATGACTTAAACATGCTGATACCAGGGATAGAGAGATGCAGTGATTGAGATGACCAAAATCTCTATTCCAAACTTTAAATAAATTGTTGCCAAAAAAGGGAGAAATTCCACCATCTGTCAGTTACATTTAGAATTAAAATTATATAACTTTTCTAAATTTTAGAAATTATTTACATATTTTTATAATATAGATAAGAAAAATTTAAGCTCCAGAGTTGTTTACACAGGAAGTTAGGAACAGAGCAGTGAGTGTAACCCATGAGCCAGTTCCTTGACGATCATCTCCGTAATGACTCCAAGCTGCAGGTAATTGTCCAGATAGTCCCTAGAGCGAGAGCCACTAGTTCAACATTGTAGAGAAAGTGATCACAGCTGAGGAGAAACATCATGAGGCATCTGTCCCTGTTGCATTTTAAAGTGTATAATAAATGGATGTGTTAAATTTCCACTCTATTTCTTCTCTACCACTGGCTCATTTTGGAACCTGAATTTTAATACTGTTCAGCCAGGGTTCTGTTCAGGAAAATAGGATCATTGTACATGAAAAAAGGCTTGTTTTCTCACTTATGCATAATTCATAAGGAAGTGAAGAAGAAACACTAACCAAAATGAAGAAATGATATTAACAAAAACGCACTTCTATATAGTTACATGAAAACATTATAGATTTGTGTTGTGTAAGGGTACCAAATTCTAAAGCCTGTATTCACCCTTTTGAAGCTACTGGTCCAGCTTATGAAATCTTGCATTTTGAATAAATTGTCTCAGTAATGTGCTGTTTAATAAAAACAAGAGCTGCTATGTCTAATTTATAGCAGTCCTACTGAAGAGAAATGATAAGGAGAAATAAAAGTGCTGGTTTCATAAAAGATGGTTTAAAGTTGTATACACTTTGATTCCAACCAAAGAACAAAAGGTATCAGTCTTTGCCACACAGGTTTTATATAGTTTTTGATGAAAGCATATGCTTAACTCAGCAAGTTGATTGAAGGATTATAATCAAGATTCTCCTGTGGAAAATGCCAGTGCCTTACAGTACCAATTGGGAACAGAGGCAGGGTTGGAAGAATTACTGGACGGTAGAAGAGAAGTTACAAAAAATAAAGAGGAAAGGGTGTGCTGTAACTTAAACTAGAGAGAAGCAAAACCTTCCTCTTTTTCCCTAAGAAAATAGGGCCAAACATTATTTCATATTGCCTTGCTTTCCACCCTGGGATCCAACTCCCTCTGCCACGGCAGGACTGCATGTCCTTTGCCTTGAGTTGACAGAGAACTGTTCTTTTGCTTCTAATTAAAACAGTCAGGGGCATTACTGATTAAAGGTGGGGAAGCAGAGAACTGTTTTCATTTTATTCCAAATTAGTTTGAGCTTACCCAAGATCAAAGAAAATCCAGACCTGAGAAAACAAACAGACCACAAACAAGTAATTTGTTGACCTGATGCTGTTTCCTGGAAGTAAAGTTATTGTGGCCCATTGAAAGGCTAGCTCAGCAGTCATGAATCCATCAAAAGAGCGTCTAGCCAGGGAGCATCTCAGGGTTCCCTGTTTCTGAAATCACACTTTGAAATCAAGATTTTAATAACACAAAGTCCAGTCCGAATATTATCAAAGGCTCAAACACAAGTGGATTTCAGTTGAAACATATATGCAAGCATACACACACACACACACACACACACACACACACACATTGCCCTGTGTGCAACAGTTTGCTTGTCTGGGGCTTTTGGTTGTATGTTTGTCATTAGGGTTGCCTTCTGCTGCTAACAGCCCAGCCACTCCATAGGATGTGCTAGTACAATGACCTCTTTTGGAGTTGATAATTATATCTATTTTCTTACTGTATTAGAAATATCAGCTTTGTTTTTTTTCTAGAACCCATTGTTTTCATGACATGTCCTTTTTAATTTTTTTTTCAGGGCAGTAATAAAAATCTACTCACTTAAAGTCCTAAAACTTTCAACTAATTTTCTTTTCATCCCAGATACTTGGATGCAAAGTAGAATCAAGATAGAGGATTGAAGAGAACATAAAAAGTGAATATTTTGGGCCTTATTGTGAAAATTTGGACAAAACAAAAATTGTGAAAATCAAACATATACGCTGTAATATAAATACGTTTATCCCCCATGCTAAATAAAGCACAAATCTTACATCATGCAGTTCTATTTCTCATGATGTACACAACACTTTCTAAACTGAATGCTTAGTGGATAAGAGAATTTTTAAAGTGCAACTGATATTTATATTTAAATGTTAAATTTAAGGGTAAAGATGAAGTCAAAAACATTCTCACCAGTTATTTAATAGGTATAAGTGAGCTGAACCATCATGAGGAAAGAAAAATCTGTACATTCTACTCTAATGAGGAAGGAAAAATCCATACATTCACAAAGATTCAAATGAGCTTGGGTATCAGAGCTCCGGGGTCAGACTTTCAGAAAATAATGAGACCAATAGATATGCATAGAGATACTTAAAATTAAGTATTACATGAGATATTTAAATTGCTTGCTGGTCCTTTGAGTTATCTCTGTTTGGTGGTGCTTTGAAAAATGTCTTTATCAGAGAATTTTTGAATGGATATTTGAAGAGCTCAATAAATATTTTATGCTATCTATTTTGTGACTTCTGTACTTAGGATAGATGAAAAAAGAAAATGAAAGAGAAAATGAAGAATGAGGGAAAGCCAAAGACACTTTGTCCAAAATTTAACAGAGCTATTTTAAAGACAATTGTCTTAGCTTAAATGTGACTTTAAAAAAATCTTTCATATGTTATTCAAGAAATGAAATATATAGTAACATTACATTTATACCTCTTTTACTTAAAGTTAATGCATATTTTATTTTCATTTCTTTTCTGTTTTTTAAGGAAATCATAAAAAGTACTCAAATTTATGGAATTTTCTACTGACTTGCCTCCTCTGTTCCAAATTTCTGTGCTAAATAATGGATACATAATTGTGTAGTGTGGCGCTTAATCACTTGTGACTTTAATACTAGAACCCTTGAACCAATAGACCCGAATAAACTCAAACACTAGAGACTTGTAAAAATATATTTTTTAAAACATTCGCACATCTTCTTACAATGCAGTATACGATTCCTCATTGATAACTACATTAGGATGCTTAGCAAGTTCTAAAAGAATTCAGAGAAAGAAACATTGTTATGGTGTTTATTAGCTTTCTTTCTTTCTTTCTCTTTCTCTCTTTCTCTCTTTCTTTCTTTTTTCTTTCTTTCTTTCTTTCTTTCTTTCTTTCTTTCTTTCTTTCTTTCTTTCTTTCTTTCTTTCTTTCTTTCTTCCTCTTTCTTTCTTTTTTTTGAGATGGAGTTTTTCTCCTGTCACTCAGGCTGTAGTACAATGGCGTGACCTCGGCTCACTGCAACCTCCACCTCCCAGGTTCACACCAATCTCCAGCCTCAGCCTCCTGAGTAGTTGGGATTACAGGCACCCGCCACCATGCCCAGCTAATTTTTGTATTTTTAGCAGAGACGGCGTTTCACCACGTTGGCCAGGCTGGTCTCAAACTCCTGACCTCAGGTGATCCACCCGTTTCGGCCTCCCAAAGTGCTGGGATTACAGGCATGAGGTACTGCGCCCAGACTGTTTATTAGGTTTCTATTGTGCAATAACAAATTACAGTCAATTTAATGACTTGAACAACATAAATGTATTATCCAAAATCCAGCAAAGGTTTCAAGCAGGCTGTATTCTTCTCAGAAGGCTCTAGAAAAAACCTGTTTCCTCATTTAGGCTGTTGGCTGAGTACATATCCTTAGTGGTGTAGGGTAGAGGCTCCCATCTTTTGGCTGTCTCTCAAGTGAGGGCCATTTCCACCTCCTGGAACCACCTATATTCCTCACCTTTCACCCTATTCGTCCATCTGCAAAGCTAGCAACATCAAAGCTTGTCCCTCTCACTCTTTGAAACTCTTTTCTTTTTCCTGTCTCATCTTGCTCTCTGGCCCAGCTAGGAAAGATTTCCTGCTCTAAAGAGATTATATCATTAGGTTGTATCTATCTAGATAATCCAGAATAATTGTTCCATCTCAAGAATTTAATAGCACCCACAAAGTACTGCTTTCCATGTAAGGTAACAGATGAATAGATTCTGGTGACTAAATCATAGGCATTTTTGGGAGGCTATTATTCTCTCTAACACAAGTTGTTAAATGATGCAAAGTTTCTAAGGGAAGAGGTAGACTAGATTTTTTTGTTTTGTTTTGTTTTGAGACATAGTCTTGCTCTGTCACCCAGGCTGGAGTGCAATGGTGCGATCTCAGCTCACTGCAAGCTCTGCCTCCTGGGTTCAGGCCATTCTCCCAGCTCAGCCTCCCGAGTAGCTGGGACTACAGGCGCCCCCCCACCATGCCCGGCTAATTTTTTGTATTTTTGGTAGAGACAGGGTTTCACAGTGTTAGCCAGGATGGTCTCGATCTCCCGACCTTGTGATCTGCCTGCCCTTGGCTTCCTAAAGTGCTGGGATTACAGGTGTGAGCCACCACACCTGGCCTAGGTAGACTAGTTTTAAGAGAGCGTAGAACTAAAAAAGTGCGGAAAAATACTGTGGCTTGAAGCTGTCATTATAATGAAGCACTATTGATGCATCGATGTCTCACAGGGGCAAACATTTTTTTTTAGGCAATGAGCAACTATGTAAAAATTATTTATGTAGAATGGTGGGTATCAGACAGTATTTAGAGAAGAAGTAATTTGTGCAATCTTCAGCTTAAAACAAGGTTTCTTTAATTTCTTTTTAAATTTTGGCTGCATCTAATAATTATCTACTCTAGACTGTATCTACATAGAAAAACAATGTCTGACAATAAATAGATGCCATGAGAGCTATAAGTGTAATTACAAGTAAAATAGCAGAGCCTCTGTCCTCATGGAATTGTTTATTTATTCAATTCGGATTTGCACATATTCATAATGAACTAAGTAATTGGATAATTAAATTGAGAAGATTTTTTAAACTTTGTTTTAATTTACTTCTCCATAGCACCAAGTAGATACGAAAGAAATACTGTTGCCAAATAAATGGGTGAATTGCTTCCTAAGTACAAAGCACATGCTTGAAAATTTAGGGCCACCAAAATGTTTTATAAGCAAAAAAAAAATCTTTCAAATTCCATCAATTTGTTGGTAAGTTGTATCCTGAGAATATAAAGCATAACATGCACTTTGCTGACTGCTAAAGATAGAATTATAAACAAGGTAAAAGCAAGTATGTATTTTGTGTGAATTTTTCCATTCCTTATTCAAAAAAGATTAAGAAAGCTTATGACTTGAGCATTTTAGAGTATGGTGAGGAACACATATAAATATAATGTGAGTTCTACTAAGATTTACAGCTTGGGAATTTATAGATAACATTAAATAATGGGAAAATTATAATAGAACATACATAAAACAGATAGATATAATCACATATCTTTGGATACCCATCAGAGAAAGCAACTAATCTACCTGAAAGACTCGTGCAAGTCTTCCCCAAAGTTTTGCGTTTTAGCCATTTAATCACCTCAGAGAGAGAAGAGAAGATAATGCATCCATAAAACAAGAAGAGGATGATACAAACACCAGAGAATAGAAAAGGTCTCAGAAATGGCATCTATAATAGAAAGGAAACAATCAATAAAAAGATTAGAAGATAAACAACATACAGTATAAACTGGAAGGATTTAAAAATCAAAGGTAAAGAATTATAATGTTAGAATCAATCAATCCAGTAGATTCAATATCCAAGTAATTTGATAGAGAAAAATGAAGAGAGGAAATCATTCAGTCAATTGAAGAAAGTTCCTGAGAATTGGACAGGTAGAAATAAAACAATTAATACAAAGATTGGAAGGTAAACTTGAGAAAACCTCATACAACATACAGTACAAACTGGAAGGACTTAAAAATCAAAGGTAAAGAATTGTAATTTTGGAATGACTCAGTGTAGTAGATTCAATATCCAAATAATTTGGTAGAGAAAAATGAAGAGAGAAAATCATCCAGTCAATTGAAGAAACTTTCTGAGAATTGGGCACATAGAACTGTTCAGATTAAAAGGGTCCATTTTAACCAGTACAATGGTTAAAAAATAAATGCAGACTAAGACAAAGGTTTTTAAGGCCTTGGAACACTAGAGAAAATAGAAGAGTCCATAGCTTCCAGAGAAAAAGAACAAACACATACAAGGTCAATGATGACTGCCATTGGCATTTTTACCTAAATGCTAAAACTAGAATACAATAAAGCAAATACTCCTATCATAGGGGAAATTTACTTTCAATCTATATTTCCAAACCCTGCCAAGCTCTCACCAAAAGTGAAAGTACAGTGAAGATATTTAAAAACAATAGATCAATAACTACAAAATTCTAAGGGAATATGATTTCCAACCTAGAATCCTATACCTAGATAAAGAATTATTCAAGTTTAAATATAGAATAAAAGAATTTTGATACATTTAATGTTTTAAACACAAAAACAAAATTAAAAACCATGTATACACTCTTTCTTTTAAAGCTTTTGGGGGTTGTGTTCGGCCAATGAAGGGAATAAAACAAGGAAGAGGAAGACATAGGCTAAATGAACAAGATAGTCAAATAAAAGAAGTAAAAGACAAGAAAAGTCAGGATTCATTCATCAGTTCAAAAATTATTTATTAAATATCTTTCTTATACCTATCTTTACTGCTGGGAATGCTTTAGATACATCAGTGAACAAACACAAAAAGATTCTACCTTGTTTAAACATACATTAAAATAATGCTAGAATTATGCTTACAGAAAATCCCAAAATGAGAACTGAATAGAGAGTTGAGAGATAAATCTTCACTTTCCAAAATGGGAGGAAACATATGATGCTAAGTTATGTTGTTTGACTTCTGAAGGTAAATATCAAAATAGTTAACATGATTGAAAGTGGGGAAAAAAAAAGATGGGATTGAATTGGGATAATCCTGTTTTATGGAAAAAATCTAAATCTAACTCAAAACTATGTACATATTTTGATGAAAATAAAAGTTAAATATAAGAATGAAAAGTAAGAGTGGTGTGGGTGTTTCTGTGTGTGTGTGAGAGAGAGATGGACAGAGAGAAAGATCTTTGACATAAACACAAAGAGAGAGAGAGAGATCTTTGACATCAACACTAAAAGACAAGAATTTCAACGAATGCAAAATGGTGAGAAGTGTAAAATCAGGGGTGAAATCGAGAAGGATCCACATACTCCAGGGACCTGACCCCAGGGACACTAGCTAGAGGACCACCGTATATTCAGTTTTACTCTTTACTTTGTCAACTGTCATCAATGGGATGTAGGGGTGGAAAGATATGATACCTTTCTTCATTCATCATAAGGGTTCATGGCCCTGGTTCTGCACTAAGTCTGCATCAAGTCTTATTACTAATTATTACCAACGGATATCTTAATGATATTTCTGATGAACAAACTATTGAACTAAGATTAGTGGGATATTTTTATAATGTATTTCAGCACCAGACACATTTCATAAGAATTAAATTTTATAGAGAAGCCTGATATTAATTAATGTATATATTCACTTGATCGCAATTTTTTTATACTTACTATGGACCAGTGACTATGAGACACTATATAACAGGCATAGCTCAAATTGAGGTGCTGTGGTTATTGTCAGGTGACTGAGTTTGCTCATCTTTGTCCTTCGGCATTTTGTCCCTCTCAAGACTCTTCCACTGGCAATCTAGTTTTCTGCAGGGATTGAACAGTAGTGCTGAGTCAAATTTTTCAATGTTTTCCACAAAATATTAAAAACTAGTTTTGTTGCATGTGCATTTTTACTCTGACAGTCACTGTACCTTCCAGGTATTAATTCATGTGATAGCCTCAATAACCCATTTATTGTCATTTTACAGGTGAAGAAACATAAACGCTAACAATTTACATACTTTGTCCAATATTGTACAACTAAGGACTGGTAGAAACGTGATTTACACCTAGGTAGCCTAGGTTAAATTATTTTTCACATTCTTAAAAAAATGGAAGAAATGATGTATTAATAGTTATATAATTTTAGTTTAGAAAGGACTTCAAAATAATTGTATTATTTATACAATTTTTGATAACTTTATTAAAAGCCTTTTAAGGGGGTTATTCTGCCCCGTTCGAACACTTCCAGTGATGACGATTTACACATCAGAGCCATCCACGTGATGCTTCTCATGTTTAGGATTCTCTGATTTTTAAATTTCTGTTCATAACTTCAGTACATATGTCCTAGATCAGCAGGAACCCCTGGGGCTACAGAGATCACATGTAATATCTTTTTACATGACACCTCTTCATATGTTTGGAGATATTTGGCCTTTACCCAGTAGAATTTTACTTAGTGTCACATGTTCAGTTCTTTGAAATACATTTTACACCTGGCATCAAATTTCCTTTAACCCCTCTGATATCTTCCTTCTGAGCATGATTTCGAAGGCCTACACCTCTTTTGGGATGTCATACCCAGAAGAAATATTTTTAACATCATAGGTGGAGAAATGAGTGGACCACCAATTTCCATTAGATTTTATTAGTTTTTTTTCCCAGAAGTCCAACCACATTTTTCATATTATATTAAAATTGTTGTCAACTATAACTTCTGAGTTTTTTCATCTATCAACTATTTATTTATATCACCCCCCTCTCATACCTTTGAAATTGGTTTGGGAGACTCAGGTGCCTCTATGTAATTTCCTCTTGTCAAAGTCATTCTATTTCTTTAGCCTGCCATGACGTAGTTGCATCCCCATTTCATCATCTAATTGATATATACATTCCCTTATGATTTGGGGTATCCATAAAATTGATAAAAATGTTCAGGAGGTTTTCATCTAAGTCACTGAAATGAAGTTATGAGCAATGTAAGGCTGAAGCTTTTGAGATATCTTTCTATATACTTGAAGTGCTCTCATTCATATATTAAATAAATACTGTTCATTCAGTGACTCTGAGTTGAGCACAGTGCCAGTCATATAGCATATACCTTAGCAAGATGAATATGTTCTCTTCTAACAGGACATTTATAGCTTAGATTATATGCCCTGCAATAAATATTATTCCAGATTCAAATAAGGTAATTTGTAATTAATATTTTAATATTATATTTAAAATGGGTAAAAATTTACCTAATTGCACAACAATTCAATCTCAAGTCTCCATCCTGAAGATGAAAATATGAGACAAGTGAAGCAACTTACTGAAGTTCCCAAAGTATCTTCTACAATGGCCTTACCTGAAGACCTTGTGAAAAAGAAAATCAGTTTGGTCGTATATGCCTTAACCTCAAGGCACTCATTCTGAATCTGTATTTTACTAAGCCACCTTCTATTTCAGTTTTGTTGCCAGGTAATAGTTCACCACCCAGCTCAGGCAACTACGGTAACTCATCACCTCTTGGCCTGAAACATGACTCAAAAGTCTGATGTTTGGTTGTAACATTTTTGTTTGTTTGTTCCTTGTTTTTTGTAAGACTCCTTTGTTGGGGTCAGGTTTTTTGTTTTTTGTTTGTTTGTTTGTTTGTTTTTGACAGACTCTTAGTCACCCAGGCTAGAGTGCAGTGGTGCGATCTCGGCTCACTGCAAGCTCTGCCTCCCGGGTTCATGCCATTCTCCTGCCTCAGCCTCCCGAGTAGCTGGGACTACAGGCGCCCGCCACCACGCCCGGCTAATTTTTTGTATTTTTAGTAGAGACGGGGTTTCACCGTGTTAGCCAGGATGGTCTCGATCTCCTGACCTCATGATCTGCCGGCCTCGGCCTCCCAAAGTGCTGGGATTACAGGCGTGAGCCACTGTGCCCGGCCTGGGTTCAGTTTTTTAACTTTCTTGACATTTACCGGTTCATGCACATCCATGAAACACTCTAATTGACTTTGGTGGAACATGAGGGCTACTTCTGTATTTACAGTGATTTCTTTGCAACACCTCTTAAAATTGAGATGTAAAAAGAAATAATGTAAAAAACTTAAACTGCAGATGGTGTACCATAAAATTTTAATTCATGTTACCTAACATCAAGACAACCTTTTCAGGCTATTAAATTTCAAGGTAAAGGTATCATTCATCAGGCATCTAGAGCAGAGAAAGAAAATACAAACAGAGAAGACAAATCAGATGAGTCCCATATTTTCTCCACAGCCATCAGTATGTTGTGGCTAAAGACAATGAAGCAACTTCTAAAAGTTCAAAAGGTAAAGAAATGTGACCCAATCATTGTATAGCCAGCTAAGTTAGGGTTCAAGTATCAACAAGGCATGGAGACATTTGAAAACATGAAAGACCCTAATAATTTATGGAATGTAAGACTCAAAGAATTCAAGTAAAGACAGTCTTATAACACCTACACTGATAAAAACCTATTCTCCTTGAAAATAGAACTAAACATTTTTGCAGAATGTAACAATATAAAAAGTAAACCCGAATAATGTAAATAGAATAATATATTTTACAAACGTTGGGATATAAGCAGAAGACAGATGGAAATATGCTACATTCTAATATCTTCCTTGTTTGTAGCAAAAAGTTAATAGATTTTTTAAATGGAAAACTATGATTACATTAACAATGCATGTCTTTTAATCTGCGTAAAACATTTTCTAAACTTTAGGTTATTTAAAAATATAAAACAGCACTGTGGTAAGGAAACATTTATTTGAACTCCTTTATTTTGTTTTATTTCAGATATTTTATTCTTATAAATTAAAGTAAAATAAATCCATCCATTGATTTTACTATAATAGCTTTATATAGTACAGTCTCATTTTTATTAACAAAAAGTTTATCTTTGTCTGTTTTTCCATATGTGTATATCCATAGAAAAATATCTGAAATGAGGTTCACTCATAGTTAATGATTACATTAGTCAGGGTTCTCTAAAGAAACGAAACTAATAGGATAGATGAATATATGAAGGGGAGTTTTAAAGGGAAATTGACCCACACAATCACAAGGTGAGGTCCCATAATAGGCCATCTGCAAGTTGAGGAGCCAGGAAGCAAGTCAAAGTCCCAAAACCTCAAAAGTAGAGAAGCCGGCAGTGCAGCCTTCAGTCTGTGGCTGAAGGCCTGAGAACACCTGGCAAATCGCTGAGGTATGTGCACGAGTCCAAAAGCTGAATAACTTGGGATCTGATGTTCAAGGGCAGGAAGCCTCCAGCACAGGAGAAAGATGGAGCCCAGATAACTTAGCCAGACTAGTCCTTTCATGTTCTGTGCCTGCTTTTATCCTAGCTGTGCTGGCAGCTGGTTAGACGGTGCCCACCCAGATTGAGGGTGGGTCTGTCTCTCCTAGTCCATTGACTCAAGTGTTAATCTCCTTTGGTAACCCCCTCACAGACACACCCAGGAATAATACTTCGTATCCTTCAATCCAATCAAGTTGACACTCAATATTAACCATCACAGTGATGCTTACTTTCATGTGTAAATATTTGGAATAATTGTTTCTTCCTATTTGTGATTTTATGCATTTTTTACATCTTTGAAAATCCATATGCATGGTATATGCAGGAATTTACCATGCATATAGAAATAGAGTGATATTTATTTTTTGTTAAATAGCTGTAGGCAAAATTTACCAGCTATTAATTCTTTGTGGTCAAGCCTTTGTGTTGGGAATATGGATGTGTTGGGTTTCTTATTTTGCCTTCTGACCTCAATCAAGTCTTTGTCTTTTCATGTTCTTTTTTCTGTTCTGAGAGGCTGACTCCCTTGGATTGTGTTACTGACTTTCTTTCCATTTGGCTTCAGATTGCTGGGTTCAGGAAATGGGGAGCAATGGCATGCCAATCACAAGGCAAGAGGGAAGGTTGGGGTATTTGTTCCCCACTCCCTATCATATTTGGCAGCATTGTCTGTCAGTGGTTGATACCTTCAATGACTGCAGTTCCAATGAGGAAGACCACTACCTTAAGGCTCTATTACTCTTCAGATCCTGTAGTGCTATTACCTCCTTTGCTCTTCAGCTTAGAGCTGGCAATGACTTCCCACAGCTGCTAATCTCTAGATGTCTCGACATTCGTTCATTCATACTCTTACTTGAAAAATTTCTCAAATTATCTGAGCAGGATTCTGTTTACTGCAGATCTGAAATAATGAATAATAAATAAAATTTTGTTTTGTATTTTCTGATATTCTTAATTTGAAAAAGAAAAAAAACCTACATACTACATACATGATTTGTATAAATTCACATGATAGGCCGTAGGATTTTACTTCAACATTGAAGTTGTGTAACTATGAATCAGTCCTAGGGTAAAAGTTTGAGTTAATAGTAAAATATTTTAAAGCAGATAAATATCATAACATTTTACAAAACTTTTTATTTAAGTATTTTATACAAATGGACAAGGAATATTCATTGATTAAATTTATTTTAAAGTGCTATTGCTATTTACTATTTTTTAATTATGGTATAGTTTTAAGTAGAATAGAATTTTTTTGGCCATTTAGGTATTCTCTATGCATAAAATTGAATTGCTTAATCTACAAAAGAGCTTTACATGGATGTTTCTCCTAAAAGAATAAAAGTTCAGACAGTGGGCCCTTTCTCCAACACTATAATAGATTTATGTATGTTGAAATACTGCAGATAAAAGTGGAGGAAGATAACACTGCCAGATAACATATTAGCTCTAAAGGATTTCTCCCCAGCTCTTCCCCACTCTGCCATTGAGCCTTTTCCCTTTTACCTCTTAGTCTTTGAAATCAGCTGGGATTTTAGGTAACTGCTGGGAAGTATTAAAACTCATTACTTGGTTGACCAGAATAGTTGCCCTCTCTTATTTTCCAATAATGCTCTCTGAATGGTTTCCTTAATACTTTTAAAAGATGTGTGGCACTACAGCAGAGTGTAATGTAGGACAGGAATTATAGTTATCGTTTCAGATGAGGTGTGTTGAAAGGGGTCAGGATGATGCAGATGGCAGCTCTCAGAACTGGCCTCTTTGTTATTACCATCTATGTCAACTTGGAGCCTTCATTACAGAGAAGAAGAGAAAAATGAAGCTGTAGCTGTTTTGGGGGAGGGTTTTTTTTTCATTATGATTGATCCTAGTTTGCACACTAGGTGAATGAAACTGAAAAATTATTCATGTTTCTGCTAGATATCAGTTGGAACTTTCTATATACATAATTAATGTTTTAAAACTTTCTCCCTCTACACAATTTTCATGCATATATTTATTTAGAGAAACAGCAATGGTGATGATAAGGTTCTTTATGGAACCTAGTGAAATTTGCAATATAACCTTTATAGCAAACATATTATTATTGGCCAAAAAATGTGGTTCATTTTTATAACAAAATATATTGGCAGTAGAAATGAGCAAAGAACAGGTATTGAGCAGCAGCCTATATAGAGGGCTTGGAATCCTAAACTGTTTGGAAGCTGACTCATTTCAGGGAAATTATGTAGGCCACAATCAACCGCAAAATGAGGAAGGCCAAGAAAATGCTCAGAGTCAACTTTTAGGTTTCTTTTGTTGAATTCATAGAAAATTACATAATTTAAAGACATTGTTGTAGGGCTACACTGAGAAATATCAAGTTCATAAATGAGTCACGGGGATAAGAAAACTAAAGTGGATTGGTTTATTCTTCTTAACAATACTCACTAAAGCATTTTTATGCAGTAAGAATGATAAAAGACTTTTTTAAATTTTTAGTACTAGACTATAGGAAGTACCATTTCATAATTTCACGTATAAAAAGTTTTTTGGAAATTAATACCAGAAACATGTTGCAATATCTGATCTTTTATATATACTTAAACTTAGTTTAAATATTCAATAAAAGGGTACAATTCTTACAGAATATCAGCCCAGCCATCCTCAATTAACATTCTCATTGCTAATAAAAATTCCTGAAGAAAACATGTTAAATATTAACTATTTGACTGAGGTTCATCTAAATAAGAATGATTGTCAAGATTCAAATGAGTAAATATACAGATTTTAATTAGTGTCATTCCTGGCATTGTGTATCATTTCATAAATCAAAAAACTTAACAGAGACTCCCCATTGCATATATGAGAGAACTAAGAGAGGGATAAGGATGCAACAGGATCTCTTTCAGAAGTGGGTTCCACTATCACTTCACTGTTTTTTTTTTCTTTTTTGATACAGGGTCTCCATCTGTCTCCTAGGCTGGAGCGCAGTGGCACAGTCTCGGCTTACTGTATCCTCTGCCTCCCGGGTTCAAGATATCATCCAGCTTCAGCCTTGCTAGTAGCTGGGACTACAAGTGTGCGCCACCATGCCTGGTTAATTTTTGTATTTTTAGTAGAGATAGGGCTTCACCATGTTGGGGAGGCTGGTCTTGAACTCCTGACCTCAGGTGATCCGCCCATCTTGGCCTCCCAAAGAGCTGGGATTACAAGCATGAGCCATGGCACCCAGCCCTGTACTATTATTTCTATCTGAAAAATGTAAAATGTTTTATGGCTCTCAATGTGATCACAAATTCCAATAAAAATGCCTGAAAATTCACTCACAAACATCATCATAATAATAAGGTAATAATCATCCATTATTTTGCAAGTAGAATGTGAAACCTACAAAAGCAGAATTAAATATTGCTGAAAACACTGATCAAGTATGAGCTCAGGTTCAAATAAACTAATACCAAGATGTTAATATATTTATCTATTAATTTTCTTTAATGGAGACTTTTAGCCCATGAAAGGTAAAAATCTTATCCAAAATTAAGGTTCTTTCTAACATACAGTGGTCTGTCTGATAGAAATAAAGGAATGTGGCTGGGCCCGGTGGCTTATGCCTGTAATCCTTGCACTTTGGGAGGCCCAGGCGGGTGGATCACGAGGTCAGGAGATTGAAACCATCCTGGCCAAGATGGTGAAACCCCACCTCTACTAAAAATACAGAAAATTAAGCATAGTGGTGGGTGCCTGTAGTCCCAGCTACTCAGGAGGCTGAGACAGGAGAATGGCATGAACTGGGAGGTAGAGCTTGCAGTGAGACAAAATTGCGCCAATGCCCCCCAGCCTGGGCAACAGAGTGAGACCCCGTCTCAAAAAACTAAAATAATATTAAAAAAAATAAACAAAGGAATGCATCCAATAGAAAGCATGGAAGGTAAAAAAAGTTAGAAATTTCCTAAGGAAAAAAAAATGAGGAAGGAGTCTGTAAATAAACACATAAGGAAAAATCTTACATCTAACAAGGAAACAATGGTTTGAGGCTATAAATAGTGACTCTCTGTACTTGAGCCCACTTTCAGCTCTATGCCCCTAAAAACCCACATGATCCCTGTGAAACACAACCTATAGTAGGTGGGTACACCAGATATACAGACTGTATCAGTAGAAAGAAAATTCCTCAAAGACTATTTGGAGTTCCAGATGCTTCTGCAAACTTAACACTCCAAGTGTTAAGTTGGACAAGAAAGTCAACAAGTTGGTAGATAAGTACAGTAAACTTTAGTATAATGGGAACTGGGTGAGAACTGAAAAAGTCTCTGTTCAACCCAGCACACCAAAACTTGATCACACTCTAGCCATGGTAATCCTGGACCATGTCCCTAGGGTTACCTCAACCTCTTTAAAATACCAGCCTTAGAAATCTCAGTGCTACTGATATGGATAGGAGACAGGGAAATACTGGGTAGAAGAGGGTGGTTCCCTGGCAAAGACCCTGCCCTCAAGCCTGGAAACCTGTGACCCCAAATGGGAACAGACATTCCAGTTTTGGCACCCAAAAGTTGTCTTTTGGCCTGCCACAACCCCCTATTCTGTACCCATATAAATCTCAGACCCCAGGCTCCAGAAGCAGACAAGCAGACGAGAGGGCTAACAGAAGAGCAGAAGGATGGCAGGAAAATGGGGCAGAGAGAAGAGAAGGAGCACCTGAATGCCAATAGGAATCGGCTGGGGGCAGTCAGAGAGGAGATCAGCTGCTGGACTGTCAACTCCAGGGGAATATCATCTTCCCACTCCATCCCTTTTTCAGTTCCCCATTCATCCTGCTGAGAGCCACCTCCACCACTTAATAAAACCCCTGCATTCCTGCATTCATCCTTCAAGTCCTTGTGTGACCTGATTCTTCCTGGATGTCAGACAAGGACCTGGATACCAAGAGGGCATTGAGCTGGTTAACACTTAAGCCATCCGTAGATGGTAAATCTAAGAGAGTGCACTGTAACATTCACCCCATTGTGATTTCGGAGCTGCAGGCACCCACTCCTGGACGCTGCTGTGGGGCTGGAGACCAGGGGCACTCATTCTGGCTCCTGCACCTGTCCGTCTGCATGCTCCCCTTCTCTTAAGGGAAGACTACCTTTTAAAGGGTCAGAGAAATAATTGACAATTGTAAGCTGTCAAAAATAAATAAGGGAGGTCAGCGCCCTATAGTTAGGTATTGACTGGAACAAGCAGTAAATTCTTCTGGTAGTGAAATGGGAGAGTTCCCTGACCTCCCTTGCAGGACATGTGACAGGGATTGGCTTGTCTGTTTGGCCACCACAGATACTCAAACCCTTAAGGGAAGGGGAGCATGCCGGGCATGGTTGTGGGCACCTGTAGTCCCAGCTACTTAGGAGGCTGAGGCAGGAGAATGGCGTGAACCCAGGAGGCGGAGCTTGCAGTGAGCCGAGATCACGCCACTGCACGCCAGCCTGGGTGACAGAGCGAGACTCGGTCTAAAAAAAAAAAAAAAAAAAAAAGAATGCTAAAAGGCCTTGTCCAACAGGAAAATATCACAATCCTAAACATATGCACCTAACACTGGAGCTCTGAAATTAATAAAACAATTACTAATAGACCTAAGAAATGAGATGAGATATATAGCAACACAACAATAGTAGGGGATGTCAATACTCCACTGACAGCACTAGGTAGGTCATCAAGACAGAAAGTCAACAAAGAAACAACAGGTTTAAACTATACCTCGGAACAAATGGACTTAACAGATATACACAGAACATTTCATCCAACAACCACAGAATACACATTCTATTAAACAGCGTGTGGAACTTTCTCCCGTATTGACTATATTATAGGCCATAAAACGAGCCTCATTACATTTAAGAAAAGTGATAATATATTAAGCACTCTGTCAGACCACAGTGGAATAAAACTGGAAATCAACTCCAAAAGGAACCTTCAAAACCATGCAAATAAATGAAAATTAAATAACCTGCTCCTGAATGAGCATCGGGTCAAACACAAACTCAGGATGGAAATTAAAAAATTCTTCCAACTGAATGACAAGAATGACACAATTTATCAAAACCTCTGGGATACAGCAAAGGTAATGCTAAGAAGAAAGCTCATAGCCATAAACATCTACATCAAAAAGTTTGAAAGAGCACAAACAGACAATCTAAGGTCACATCTCAAAGAACTAGAGAAACAAGAACAAACCAAACCCAAAGCAAGTAGAAGAAAGGAAATAACCAAGATCAGAGCACAACTAAATGAAACTGAAACAAAAAATATACAAAAGATAAACAAAATAAAAAGCTGGTTCTTTGAAAAGATAAATAAAGTTGACAAACTATTAGCAAGATTAACCAAGAAAAGAAGAGAGAAAATCCAAAAAACCTCACTAAGAAATGAAACAGGAGATATCAGAACTGACACCACTGAAATAGAAAAGATAAGTCAGGGCTACTATTAACACCTTTATGCATGTAAACTAGAAAACCTAGAAGAGATGGATAAATTCCTGGAAAAAACAAGCTTCCTAGCTTAAATGAGGAAGAATTAGATACCCTGAACTGACCAATAACAAGCAGCAATATTGAAATGGTAATCTAAAAATTACTAACAAAAAATGTCCAGGACCAGACAGATTCACAACAAAATTCTACCAGACATTCAAAGAAGAATTGGTACCAATCCTTTTGACACTATTCCACAAGACAGAGAAAGAAGGAACCCTCCCTAATTCATTCTATGAAGCCAGCATCACCCTAATACCAAAACCAGGAAAGGACATAACCAGAAAAGAAAACTACAGACCAATATCCTCAATGAACACAGATGCTAAAATCCTTAACAAAATACTAGCTAACTGAATCCAACAACATATCAAAAAAGTAATCCATGATCAAGTGAGTTTCATACCAGGGATGGTTTAACATATGATACAACACATAAACAGAATTTAAAACAAAAATCACTATGATCATCTCAATAGACACAGAAAAAGCCTTCGACAAAATCTAGCATCACTTTATGATTAAAACTCTCAGCAAAATCGGCATACAAGGGACATACCTTAATGTAATAAAAGCCAACTATGACAAACCCACAGCCAGTGTAATACTGAATGGGGAAAATTTGAAAGCATTCCCTCTGAGAAATGGAACAAGACAAGGATGACTACTGTCACCACTCCTTTTCAACATAGTACTGGAAGTCCTAACCACAGCAGTCACGCAAGAGAAAGAAATAAAGTTCATCCAAATCAGTAAAGAGGAAGTCAAACTGTCACTCTTTGCTGATGATATGATCGTTTACCTTGAAAACCCTAAGGACTCCTCCAGAAAGCTCCTAGAACTGATGAAAGAATTCAGCAAAGTTTCTAGATAAAAGATTAATGTACACACGTCAGTAGCTCTTCTGTATACCAACAGTGACCAAGTGGAGGTTGAAATCAAGAACTCAACCCCTTTCACAATAGCTGCAAAAAACAAACAAACGAAAAACTTAGGAATATACATAACCAGGTGCCAAAAGACCTCTACAAGGAAAACTACAAAACATGGCTGAAAGAAATCATAGATGACACAAACAAATGGAAACACATCTCATGCTCATGGATAGGTAGAATCAATATTGTGAAAATGACCATACTGCCAAAAGCTATCTACAAATTCAATGCAATCCCCATCAAAATACCACCATTGTTCTTCACAGAATTTGAAAAAACAATTCTACAATCATATGGAGCCAAAAAAGATCCACATAGCGAAAGCAAGACTAAGCAAAAAGAGCAAATCTGGAGGCATGCACTACCTGATTTCAAACTGTACTATAAGGCCATAGTCACCAAAACAGCATGGTACTTGTTCAAAAACAGGCATATAGACCAATGGAACAGAAGAGAGAAGCCAGAAATAAACCCCAAAACTTACAGCCAACTGATCTTCAACAAAGCAAACAAAAGTCATTTAGAGGTCAGGAGACTCCAAGACGGAATTCAGGCTGAGACAAAAAATATCTAACTGTATTAAGAATGTATGAAAAATCTTATCTGAAGGGAGTGGACAATAACAGTGGTGACATAAGTAACTTCGAAAATAAATGGAGATGAGTCTGTAATAGTAAAGGCAAAAGAAACTGTACATAAGCACTATATTCTAGTTGAAAAACCTGTTTACCTAGGGGTATGGATTAACAATCCTCATACCACTATACAAACATAATGGATTTGAACAAGTATATAAATGATTGGCTGACAGTGGCTGACAGGCAGTTTTCTTACTTTTGGAATGAGAGATTGCAGTGACCAAGGAGATGCGGCTAGAATTATCCATGTGTTATTACAGAAGACTTCAATACACCAGTATGAACTTACATTTTGCTTAATATAGATATTTCTGGATATAGAAATATAGATAACATTTATAAATATGTGTATATACATGGGTTAATATACTCACACATTTTTTTTCTCTGTCAGTTGAGATAGTCTGGAAGCATCAACACTGAAGTAGCAATAAGCCCACTTAGCACTTAGATCTTGGTTCCTAATATTATTCTCTGTTAAAAGGAACCATGAATCTTTGGCGAAATGGCTGGTTCTAGGAGTGAGTCAAGAAATATAGGAGATGTGCTTGGAATACCTTATAGGGGCAGAAGGCAAGCAAGTGCAAAAAACCAAAACAAACAAACAAAAATACTCACAAAGATAGAATTGTGTCAAAGACACACAAAAGACACAGGAGCCAACTAAAATAGCTCCCAATGGCAAAAGCTAGAACACTTTGAAAAACAAAATAGTGTTAAATACTGAATATAAACCCCAGCTTAAAAAATATATTTGTGAGTCCATACAAATATGTTGCAATATAAATAAATGAATAAACAAATAGGAGAGAAGAGACAAATCTCTGATGCAGAAAATTTCGAAGTAATTTACATAAAGAGTAAAAGTAACATAGATGAGTATCTACATTACACTCTGCTCTCAAGGAGGTAGAGAATAAGCCCTCATTCTTTAAATGTAGGCTGTGCAGTGACTTCCTCCCAAAGACTACAGTGTAGAAAGGGGGAAAAAAGTAAGTTTATGGTCAAGGAAAATGACAAACTCTATCAGCTACGTGATCAAGATTAACATCAACAGTAATACATTTTAGGTGCTCTTATCTCACACGCAAAAACAATGTAAAGTGATAGATACATTAATTTGCTTCATTATGCTAATTATTTCACTATGTATAAGTATATCAAGACATGTTGTACAGTTTAAACATACACAATAAAATCAGTGGTAGATTATGCTTATAGTATCTACTTTTAACATAATGTGATGAGAATTGCACTTTACCTTGTGGTCTTCCTTTTAAAAACCAATAACCTATGTCTTATGATGAGAAAAGCATTAGAGAAAACCTGATTGATTCTGCAAAGTACATGATGAGTACCCCCTCAAAATTCTCAGGTCGTTGCATTAGTCTGTTTACTCACTGCTGATAAAGACATACACCAAGGAAGAAAAAGAGGTTTAATTGAACTTACAACTCCACATGGCTAGGGAGGCCTCAGAATCATGGCAGGAGGCAAAAGGCACTTCTTACATGGCAGCAGCAAGAGAAAATGAGGAGCAAGCAAAGGGGAAACCCCTGATAAAACCATTGGATAGTGTGAGACTTATTCACTATCATGAGAATAGCATGGAAACGACTGTTCTCCCATGATTCAATTACCTCCCCCTGAGTCCCCCTCCACAACATGTGGGAATTCTGAGAGATACAATTCAAGTTGTGATTTGGATGGGGACACAGCCAAACCATATCATTCCACCCCGACCCCTCAAAATCTCGTGTCCTCACATTTCAAACCAACCATGCCTTCCCAACAGTCCTTCAAAGTCTTAACTCATTCCAGCATGAACTCAAAAGTGCACAGTCCAAAGTCTCATCTGAGACAAGGCAAGTCCCTTCCACCTATGAGCCTGTAAAATCAAAATCAAGCTAGTTACTTCCTAGATACAATGGGGGTACAGGTATTGGGTAAATATAGCTGTTTAAATAGGAGAAATTGGCCAAAACAAAGGGGTTACAGGCCCCATGCAAGTCCAAAATCCAGTGGGGAAGTCAAATTTTAAAGCTTCAAAATGATCTCCTTTGACTCTAGTTCTCACATCCAGGTTTTGCTGATGCAAGAGGTGGATTCTCATGGTCTTGGGCAGTTCCACCTTTGTGGCTTTGCAGGGTACAGCCTCCCTCCCAGCTACTTTCATGGGCTGGCGTTGAGTGTCTGTGGCTTTTCCAGGAGCATGGTTCAAGCTGTCGGTGGATATACCATTCTGGGGTCTGGAGGACGGTAGCCCTCTTCTCACAGCTCCACTAGGCAGTGCCCAAGTAGGGACTCTGTGTGGGGGCTCCAGCCCCACATTTCCCTTCCACAGTGCCCTAGCAGAGGTTCTCCCTGAGGGCCCCACCCCTGCAGCAAACTTGCCTGGGCATCCAGGAGTTTCCATACATCTTCTGAAATCTAGATGGAGGTTCCCAAACCTCAATTCTTGACTTCTGTGCACCTACAGGCTCAACACCACGTGCAAACTGCAAAGGCTTAGGGCTTCCACCCTCTGAAGTCACAGCCCAAGCTCTACATTGGCCCTTTGGAGCCATGTCTGAAGCAGCTGGGACACAAGGTACCAAGTCCCTAGGCTTCACAGAGCATGCAGACCCTGGGCCTGGCCCACAAAGACACTTTTTCCTCCTGGGCCTCTGGGCTTATGAAGGGAGGGGCTGCCCTGAAGGTCTCTGAGTCTCTGACATGGCCTGGAGACATCTTCCCCATGGTCTTGGGGATTAACATTAGCTTCCTTGCTACTTACGCAAATTTCTGCAGCTGGCTTGAATTTCTCCACAAAAAAAAATGGGTTTTTCTTTTCTACTGCATCATCAGGCTGCAAACTTTCTGAACTTTAATGCTGTTTCCCTTTCCAAACAAAATGCTTTTAACAGCAACCCAAGTCACCTTTTGAATGCTTTGCTGCTTAGAAATTTCTTCTGCCAGGTATCTTAAATGATCTCAAGTTCAATGTTCCACAGATCTCTAGAGCAGGGACAAAGTGCTACTAGTCTCTTTGCTAAAACATAACAAGAATCACCTTTGCTCCAGTTCCCTACAAGTTCTTCATCTCCATCTTAGGCCACCTCAGCCTGGACCTTATTGTTCATATCACTATCAGCATTTTATCAAAGCCATTCAACAAGTGATTTGGATGGGAACACAGCCAAACCATATCATTCCACCCCGACACCTAGAAATCTCATGTCCTCACATTTCAGAACCAATCATGCCTTTCCAAACTTTCCCACATTTTCCTGTCTTCTTCTGAGCCCTCCAAACTGTTCCAACCTCTGCCTGTTATGCAGTTCCAAAGTCGCTTACATATTTTGGGTATCTTTTCAGCAACACTCCACTCTACTGATACAATTCAAGTTGCGATTTGGGTGGGGACACAGTCAAACCATATCAATCATCAAAAACAGGAAACCTCTAAGAAATTGTCATGGCCCACAGTAGCCTAAGGAGACATGACAGAAAAATGTAATTTTATTCTTGATGGGATCCTGGGACAGAAATCGAAAGCCAAGGAAACCTGAATAAAGTGTAGACTGCTGTTAAAATAATATACTTGTATTTGTTTATTAATTGTAAAAAATGTTACCATACTAATGTATAATGTTTGCAACAATAAAAACTCGGTGTGGTGCACATGAAAACTTTGTCACCCTCACAGTTTTTCTGTAAGCCTAAAACTATACTAATTCCTTACAAAGTTTAGTATGCATATATATTTTTTCATATATGTACTCATATACATATAGATACTCTTTATCCATTTATCTGTTGATGGGCACTTAGGTTGATTCCATAGCTTCACTATTGTGAATATTGCTGCAATGAACATGGGAGTGCAGATATCTCTTTAATATACTAATTTCCCCTTTTTGGATATATAGCCAGTAATGGGATTGATGGATTACATCGTAGCTCTTTTTTTTTTTTTTTTTTTTTGAGACAGAGTCTTGCTCTGTCACTCAGGCTGGAGAGCATTAGCATGATTTCGGCTCACTGTAACCTCCACCTCCCGGTTTCAAGCAATTCTCCTGCCTCAGCTTTCCAAGTAGCTGGGATTACAGGCATGCACTACCACGCCAAGCTAATTTTTGTATTTTTAGTAGAGATAGTGTTTCATCATGTTGACCAGGCTGGTCTTGAATTCCTAACCTCAAGTGATCTGCCAGCCTTCATCTCCCAAAGTGCTGGGATTACAGGCTTTTTTGTTTTGTTTTGTCTTGTTTTGTTTTGTCTTGTTTTGTTTTGTTTTTGAGGAATTTCTGTACTGTCTTCCATATGGCTGTACTACTTTACATTCCCATAACAGTGTATGAACGTTCCCCTTTCTTTGCAACCTAGCTAACATTTTCTATTTATTTCTTTTTAACAATAGCCATTCTAACTGGGATGAGTTGATATCTCATTGTGGTTTTGATTCGCATTTCCCTGATGAATAGTAATAGTGAGCACTATTTTTGTATTCTTGCTGGCCACTATTTAGCCATAAAAAAATGAAATCTTGTCATTTGCAGCAACATAAACAGAACTGGAGGTCATTATGTTAAGTGAAATAACCCAGGCACAGAAAGACAAACATTCCATGTTCTCACTCATATGGGGGAGCAAAGAAAGTGGATTTCCTTGAGGTAGAGAATAGAATGGTGGTTATCAAAGTGTGAGAGGGGTAGGGAGGATGAAAAAGAATTAGTTAATGGTAAATAACACAGTTGGACAGAAATAGTAAGTTCTAATTTATTGTTAATATTTTATTGTATATTTCAAAATAGCTAGAAAAGAACTATAGTGTTCCCAATACAAGGAAAAAATAGATTACCCAGTAACCCTGATTTGATCATTTCATATTACATACATGTATCAAACTATCCCATGTAGCCCCAAAATATATACAACTATGATATATATCAATAAAAAGAATAAAAACAACAGTAATACAGGTTTAGTAAATACACTTTTGAATATTTTTGCGTTTTTTATAATTATATTTGCCAAGTTTTTGTGGAGTTCAGAACATTCATATTTTCTGATCTTAACAGTAAACTCATCACATATGATTATCTTCAGGATTTTCAACTTCATATTATATCCACATATGTAACTTGTGTATATTGAGATAAAATATCTGTATAAAATTTAGCATGTATGTTTCAGTTAAGGCTCTAAGGAAAACATATACATTAGATATTATACTATTGAAGATATTTGCTTGTCTGTGTGTATGCATCTCTGTGTGTATTTTTTCCTAAGTAGCCAAGATAATTAAATTCTATCTTGTGCTAAAACTGGTCAATATACCTCTGACTCAAATCAACAAACTTGAAAGCCCAAACATCTTCTAATATTCTACCAAATGATATTTTACACAACTAAAAAAATTGTTTAAACAATATGAAACTTGCCAACATAAAAAAGATAAGGAATAATTCTTGTATGTTTCCTCAATGCCAATTACAAAAAGTGCCAAAGGAAAATAAATCTGCTATGGAATTACTCTACAGCTGCAACACATTTTCAGGAAGTATTGTTGTCACAGACTGCCAATGACCAGAATGAGAAGAAATGTGGTGAGGAGAAAATTCTGGCGTAAAATATGTTGACTTAGACCCTCATTTTGCCCACTTGGCACATGTTCCATTTGCTACTCTCTTTCACAACACTTTTCTATTTCATTTCTCGAACTGCTGTGTAAGAATTTTGGTTTCCGATAATTTTACTGGATATTCCTCCAACGGTCATGTGAGGATAATTAATTTAAAAGCATATTCTGTGCATTTAGACATTTAAATCTTATGAAGTATTTTATCATTTTTATGATATAACTAGATAATAAAAGACTTACCACCTTCTGAATTCATGTATACCAAGAGAATCACAAAGAAACCTAGGCAGGCACTTCACTTATATGCAGAGATTTGGCAACATTCTTTTCTAGAAATCCTTGTCATTCATTCTCTTTAATTAGTTAGTGCTGCAATGTGGCTTTATTTCTTAGAAACAATGGCGGGTACAAATATGCAAAGGAAAGTTCAATCATTCATTACATATTCCTTCTAGAACAATATTAGGTGGATGACAGGTGAAATGGTGAAGACCATGATGAAAATTTCATCAAGTCTATGGTTTTACATATGTGTTGCTCAGAGTTCCCTACTCTGAGCTGTCTTCCCAAGAAAAAACGCTGTAAAAAAGTTTATCTTTTCATTACCAACCTCAGTATTTCTAGTGTGTCCTATCCAAAAGGAAAGTGAAAAAATAAATCACCCACAGTTTTTTTGTTTGTTTGTTTGTTTTTGTTTTTTTTTTAGATGGAGTCTCACCTTGTTGCTCAGGCTGGAATGTGGAATGCAGTGGTGTGGTCTCAGCTCACTGCAACCTCCACTTCCCAGGATCAAGTGATCCTCCTGCCTCAGCCTCCTGGGTAGGTGGGACTACAGCTGCATGCTACCATGCCTGACTAATTTTTATATTTTTAGTAGAGACGGGGTTTTGCCATGTTGGCCAGGATGGTCATAAACTCCTGACCTCAGGTGATCCACCCGACTTGGCCTCCCAAAGTTCTAGGATTACAGGCGAGAGCCACTGTGCCCAGCCACAACCACAGTTTTAATGGGAGTTAACCAATTTAAATATTTTGTTTTATCATTGGTATTTTAGACTCATTCAGCATTCACATATAGTGTAATTCTTTTACCGATTGTTATAACATTATTTTTAATACTCTCTAGAATATTAAATATTTTTCAACACAGAATGTTTTGGATTGAACATAATGTTTTGTATTGTATTTGTAGCCAGCAAATATTGTAAAATTTGAATATATCATACTGAGATACAGGTTGAACATCCTAGATTTGAAAATTGGTAATTCTGAATGCTCAGTTTAAAACTTTTGAGTATTGAAGTGATGCTCAAACAAAATGCTGAGTAAAATGCTTAAAGTATTTCAGATTTGGGATGCTCAAACAGAATAATGCAAATATTTCAAAATCCAAAAAACCCTAAAATCCAAAACACTTCCGTTCCTTAGCATTTCAGATGAAGGATACTTATCCTATATTAATTTTCAAACCGTTTGGCTAATTTCAGATCAATTCGCTAATTATTTGCAATTTAAAACAATGCCAATATTTGTACACACAACTTACCTATGTAGTGCCTAAGATGAAGAATAAGCCTAACTGGGTTTGAAATCAGGCAAATCTCTTTCAATAGCTGTGCAAACTTGAGCAAGTTATCTCTCTGAGTCCAGTTTCTTTACTCATCCACATAATAGGATAATAATGGTACCCACCCATTTGATTGTTGTGAAGATCAACTTAATTTTTATATATCTTTGGTATGTCAATTAGGACCATTCCTGGTGGATAGTACGTTCTCAGTGTGTATATGTGTGTGTATGTGTATGTTTATGTGTGTATGCATGTGTGTGAACATTGCTTAGAATTTTAATTTATATATATATGTTTACATATGTAAACAATGCTTGTCGAATAGTAAGTCCTTATTTGACTGAAAAATGGAAATATAAAGCAACTGTTAATAATGGACCCATAAGCCCTGGGTGGTGGCCTACGCCTGTAATCCCAGCACTTTGGGAGGATGAGGTGGGTGGATCACCTGAGGTTAGGAGTTTGAGACCAGCCTGGTCAACATAGTGAAACCCAGTCTCTATTAAAACTACAAAAATTTAGCTGGGCGTGGTGGTGGGCACCTGTAATCCCAACTGCTAGGGAGGCTGCAGCAGGAGAATCACTTGAACCCGGCAGGTGGAGGTTGCAGTGAGCCAAGATCACACCATTGCACTCCAGCCTGGGAAACAAGATCAAAACTCCGTCTTAAGTGATGATACTACTACTACTAATAATAACAACATATCCATAAAAAGGTCACTGCTGAAATTCATATGAAGAAAAATGCATAAACCAAGGCAGTGGTCATCAAAGCAGCATGAAGTACATCAGGAAAGAGACTTATTTTTTCTTTTCTGAAATTGGACACAACTTAAGAACCATAAAATCACACAAAGTCATATTCAATGCTTATTCTTTACTTCAATGAATGAAGTGAATTCATTTTCTAGTTCTTTTCTAGTTTTCAACAAAGCTTTCAGATGTCTGAAACTAGCCAGAATCTTGTCAACAATTTCCAAAATCAGATTCTGAAATTTGATGTTGTTTGCAAAATTCCTTCACCAAGATTCCCAAGAAAGGAAAATGATAGGAGTGAAGTTCGGGAGAGAGGACATAATAAAAACATAAAATTGAAGAATTTGTTCTTGATCATTGTGGAAATAGGAGAATACCATATTTTATACGTATTAATTATACTTGTCTCTAACGACAGAAAGAAATGTGAAGAAATACTATGAACACCCCAAAGTTAGACAGCCTAGGTGAAATGGACTGTACACCTCAAAATTAGATAACCTAGATGAAATGGACAAATTTTTAGCCACGCAAAAATTACCTAATGTGATTCAAGAAGAAGAAGAAATTCTTAACAGACCTATAACAAGTACGGAGAATAGACCGGCAATCAAAACTCCTCCTCAACAACAACAAAAGCCCAGTATCAGATGTTTCACTGGTGAATTCTGTCAAACATGTAAAAAAGAATAAACACCAATTCATCTTAAATTCTTCCAAAAAATAGAAGAAGGAGCATTTCTTAAGTCATTACATGAGACAAGCATTATCCTTATACCAAAGTCAGATGGAGAAATCCAAAGAACAGAAAGTTACAGACCAATATTTCCTATGAATACAAATAGAAAAAAGTAATTAATAAAGCATTCCAATGTATAATATTATCTCAAAGAATAAAATACCTAGGAACAAATTTGAACAAGGAAGTGAAAGACTTGTACACTGAAAACTACAAAACATTGCTAAAAAAGTTAAAGAAGACCTACATAAATGAAAATATTGGGAGACTTAGTATTGTTATGTTTCTAATTCTACCCAAAGTGATCTACAAGTTCAAAGCAATTCTTATCAAAATTCCAACAGCCCCTTTGCAGAAATGAAAAAGCCAGTCCTCAAACTCATATGGAGTTGCAAAGGGATCTGAATACTCCAAACAATGCTGAAAAAGAAAATAACAAAATGAAAGGACTCACACTTCCCAATTACTGCAAAGCTAGATGGTCAAATCAGTATGGCCCTGGCAAATGGATAAACATACAAGCCAATAGAATTAAATAGAGTCCAGAAATAAACCCGTACATCTATGGAACACTGATTTTTAATAAGAGCACCAGGTGTATTCTATGGGGAAAAGAACAGTCTTATCAACAATGGTGTGGGACAACTGTATTTCTACATTTAAAAGAATAAAATTGGGTCTGCGTTTTATGCCATATAACAAATTACTTCAACATGATTCATTGACCCAATATAAGAGCTAAACTTATAGCATGCTTAGAAGAAAACATGAGTAAATCTACATGATTTTTAAATTTGGCATTTAATCTATTTTTGTGTAAAACTAAAATAATGAGCAACAAAAGAAAAGTTAGACAAATTGAAATTCATCAAAATTTAAATATATTGTTTATCAAAGGACATTATAAAGTGAAATAACGTATAGAAGTGGATAAAATATTTGCAAACTATATATCTAATAGGGGTTTAATAATCAGAATCTACAAGGAAGACCTACAACTTAGCAACAGAAATGCATACAACCATCCGGGCGCGGTGGCTCAAGCCTGGAATCCCAGCACTTCGAGAGGCCGAGGCGGGTGAATCACTTGAGGTCGGGAGATTGAGATGAGCCTGGCAAACGTGGTGAAACTCCGTCTCTACTAAAAGTACAAAAATTTGTCGGGCGAAGTGGTGGGTATCTGTAATCCCAGCTACTTGGGAGGCTGAGGCAGGAGAATCGCTTAAACCTGGAAGGCGGAGGTTACAGTGAGCCAAGATCGCACTATTGCACTCCAGCCTGGGCGACAAGAGCGAAACTCCGTCTGAATAGGTGTTTCTCAAATAAGTTATACAAATGACTAATAAGCACACAAAAAAGACGTCCAACATTTTTAGCCATTAGGGAAATTCAAATAAAAGCCACAGTGAGTTGTTACTTCTATCTACCAGGATAATTATATAATTTTTTAAAAAAAGAAAAATAATAAATCTTGGTGAGAATGTGGAGATATTGTAACCCTCAGACATTGATGATGGGAATGTAAAATAGGGCAGATGCTGTAGAAAAGTTTGGCAGTTTTCCAAGATGTTAATAATAGAACTCCCATATGACCCAGCAACTTCTCTCTTAGGCATATGACCAAAAGAATGGAAAACAAAATCTCACGCAGGTACTTGTATACCAATATTTATTATTCATAATTGTCAAATGGTGAAAGCAACCCAAGTAACTATCCACAGATGAATGGATAAACAATATATTCTATATAACTGCAATAAAATATTATTCAGCAATAGAAATAAATGTTCTGATGCATGCTAAAACATGGATTAACCTTGAAAACATTATGCTGAGTGAAATGAGCCAGACATAAAAGTATTAATATTGTATGATTCCACCTATATAAAATATATATTATAGGGACATAAAATAGAGGAGAGGCTACCATAGACTGGGGTGAAAGCAAATGAAGGGAAACGTTGAAAAATAAAAGAACAAATTGAAAGAACTCACACTACCCAATTACTACAAAGCCAGGTAATCAAATCAGTATGATCCTGGCACATGGATAAACATACAGGCCAATGGAATAAAATTGAGAGTTCAGAAATAAACCTCTACATCTATGGAAAATCGATTTTTAACAAGAGCACTCACCTTGCTTAATGAGTTTCTATCTGAGTTGAGAATTTCTCCCTGGGATGATAAAAAGTTTTGCAAATAATGATGATGGTTGCATAGCATTGCAAATGTAATCGACACCACTAAATGATATATGTAAAATAATTAAGAGATCAAATTTTATTTTATGTGCATTATAACCCAAGGAAAAAAAATAAAAAGGAAATAAAACAGAATGTATGAAATATAGATTTTAATTGATCAATATGCCATTCCAAGTAGTTTTGATTTTATCCTGTTGAATTTATCCTGGTTATTTTTAATTATATCATCATAATTACATTTAATAAAAATATTACAAAAATTAAAAATTTAGAGATTGGCAGAATGGATAAAAGTAGGTTAACTACATGCTCTCTAAAAGAGATACTTTATATTCAAAGACACAATACGTTGAAATTAAAGTGAAGGAAGGGGATATGCCATGAGTAGCCAAAATAGAGCTAGATATACTAATACAGACACATATATTTTAAGCCAAATTTGTTACTGAAGTCAAAGACATTATAAAATGATGAGTGATTCAACTCATCAGGAAGTTATAACAATTATAAATGTATATATGCCCAGCTACAGAAATCAGAAACAAAATAAACAATCTAACAATGCACCTTAAGGAACTAGAAAAGCAAGAATAAACAAAACCCAAAGTGAGTAAATGAAAACAAATGACAAAAATCTTAGCAGAAATGAATAAAAATTAGACTAAAAATAACACAGAAGATCAATTTAAAAAAGTTGTTTTTTGAAAAGACAAATTCAACAAACCTTTAGCCAGAATAAGAAAGAGAGAAGACCTAAATAAAATCAGAAACCAAAAAAGGAGTCATAAAAACTGAGACCACAGAAATACAAATAATCATTAGAGACTATTACAAACATCTATAAATTAGTAAATTGAAAACTTAGAAGAAATGAATAAATTCCTGAGCTCATGCAACCTACAAGTTTGAACCATGAAGAAATAGAAAACCTCAACAAACCAATAGCGAATAATATTATTATGAGTACCTTTATTATGATTGAAGTCATAATAAAAATTTTCCCATCAAAGGAAGACCTTATGGCTTTATTGTTGAATTCTACCAAATATTTAAAAAAGAGATTATACCAATTCTTCTCAAACTCTTTTAAAAAATTGAAGTAGAGTGAGTATTTCCCAACTCCTTCTACCAGGCCAACATTATTTTGATACCCAAACCAGACAAGGACACACAAAAAGAGAATACTACAGAGCAGTATCACTGATAAACATAGATGCAAAAATCTTCAACGAAATACTAGCAAACAAATTTCAACAACACATTAAAAAGATCTTACACCATAATCAACTGGGATTCATTTCAGGGATGCAAGGATGGCTCAACATATACAAATCAATAATTACATAAGTAAGCGAGAACAAAAAACATATGATCATTTAAATAAATGCTAAAAAAAATTCTATGAAATTCCACATCTCTTTAAGATAAAATCCCTCCACAAACTGGGTATAGAATGAGCATACTTAAGAATAATAAGAGCCATATATGGCAAACGACAACTAGCGTCTTACTCAAGGGAGAAAAATGGAAAGCCTTTCCTCTGGGATCTGGAGCAAGACTAGGATGCCTACTTTCACCACTTTTATTCAACATAGTACTGAAAGTCTTAGCAAGAGCAATTAAGCAAGAGAATTAAAGAGTATTCCAAATTGGAAAGGAAGAAGCTGAATTATCATTGTTTGCAGATGACATAATGTTATACTTGAAAAAGACCCTGAAGATGCCATGAAAAAACTCTTAGAACAGATAAATGAATGCAGTAAAGTTGCAAGATGGAAAATAAACATACAAAAATCAGTAGCATTTATATATGCCAACAGAGAATGATCTGAAAAAGAAATAAAAAAATTACCATTTACAACAGCTACAGAGAATATGAAACACCTAGGAATCAATGTAACCAAAGAAGTAAAAGATGTATACAAGAAAAACTGTAAAACATTGATGAAAGAAATTGAAGAGGACAGAAAAAAGGAAAACTATTTCATACTCATTAATTAGAAAAATTAATTTGATTCACATAACAATATTACCCAAAACAATTTATAAATCCATTTCACTCCCTATCAAAATACTCATGTTTCTCACATAAATAGAAAGCAAATCCTGAAATTGATATAGAACCACAAAAAACCCAGTAGCCAAAGCAATCCTGAGCAAAATGAACAAAGCTTGGAGACATCACACTATATGACTTCCAAATTTACTACAACGCTATAGTAACCAAATCAACATGAACCTGGCATAAAAACAGAAACATTGGCTGGGTGCGGTGGCTCATGCCTGTAATCCCAGCACTTTGGGAGGCTGAAGTGGGTGGATCACGAGGTCAGGAGTTTGAGACTAGCCTGGCCAACATGGTGAAACCCTGTCTCTACTAAAGATAACAAAAATTAGTGTGGTGGTGCACACCTGTAATCCCAGCTACTAGGGAGTCTGAGGCAGGAGAATCTCTTGAACCTGGGAGGTGGAGGTTGCAGTGAGCTGAGATCACACCATTGCACTCCAACCTGGGTGACAGGGCGAGACTCCATCTCAAAAACAAACAAACAAACAAACAAAACCAGAAACATAGACTAATGAAAGATCATAGAGAACCCAGATGTAAATCACGCATTTACAACATTTACGCAAATGAGCCAATTCATTTTTGACAAGGATGCTAGAAATACACAATGGGAAAAGGACAGTCTCTATAATAAATGGTGCTAGGAAACCAGATAACCATATGCAGAAGAATGAAACTAACCCCTTGTTTCTTACCATATACAAAAATCAAATCAAAATGACTTAAAGACTTAAATCTAAGATATAAAACTATGACACTAGAAGTATACTTTTGGGAAGCCCTCCAGGACATTGGTCTGGGCAAAGATTATTTTTAAGACCTCAAAATCCAGGCAAAAGCAAAAGCAGATAAATGGGATTACATTAAGCTAAAAAGCTTCTGTCTAGCAAACAAGACCATCACCAAACTGAAGATACAGGCCATGGAGTTGAATAATGTATTTGCAAACTGTCAGTCTGACAAGGAATTAGTAACCAGAGTATATGAGATGCTTAAACAGTCCAATAGAAAAGAAATCTGATTAAGAACTGGGCAAAAGATTAAATAGACATTTCTCACCAGGAAACATGCAAATGGCAAATAGGTGTATGAAAAAGGTTTAACATGACTGATCATCAGAAAAATGCAGATCAAAACAATGAGATATTCTCTAACCCTAGTTAGAGAATTTTTTTTTCAAAGAGAAAAAATAAGAGATACTGCTGAGGATGTAGATAAAGAAGGATGCTCATTTACTGTTCGTGGGACTATAAATTAGTACAGCCACTTACAGTTCTTACCAAACTTCCACCTTTTTTGTTTGTTTTTTGAATAAACACTTTGTGGATTCCTCAAAGCATTTGGCTAATTTTTCAAGTTCTAAAAATGTTGACCCTGATTATTTTTGCCAGTTTTTAAAATTGCCTTTATGGAGGAAGTAATTTGCTGATGCCCTCACTCCACCATTTTCATTGATACCATTCCTTTATCTTTTGCATTGGAGTAGAATTTAATATCACCTGAAATGAAAATATTTTCATCAGCACTTGATAATAAGTGCCAATTATAAGATAAAAATAAGATTTCTTTTACATTATTTAAATCCAAGTTAGGGTCAAGAACCAGCAATTTCACTGCTGACTATGTATCTAAAATAAAGGAAATCAATACATCAGAGACATATCTGTGCTCTCATGTCTATTGCAGTACTATTTGCAATAGCCAAGATAGGGAATCAATCTAATCACCCATAAAAAGATGAAAGAATAAAGACAATGTGGTATATACACTCAATAAAATATTATTCAATCTTAAAAAAGAATAAAATCCTGCCATTTGCAGCAACATGGACAGAAATGGAGGTCATTACGTTAAGTGAAATCAGCCAGACACAGAGACAAATGTCATATGTTCGCACTCATAAATGGGAGCTAAAAAAGTGGATCTCATGAAGATAGAGAGTAGATTGGTGGTTTACCAGAGGCCAGGAAAGATAGAGGGTGAAGAGTAACAAAGAGAGGTTGATTAGTGGGTACAAATACTTAGTTTGGTAGAAGAAATAAGATCTACTCTTTGAGAGATAAGGAGAGTGACTATTGTTTACTCTAAATGTGTATAAATACCCTATTGTGTATCAAAAAAATCAAAAAATAAAAAATAAGTTAAAAAACATAAAGCAAAAATACACAGAAATGATAGAGAAATAAACAATTTGACAACAATAGTTGGAGGTTTCAGTACCTCACTCTCAGTTGTAGATGGAACAACTAAGCAGAAGATTACAAGGATCAATCTTAAAAACAAACAATAACTAAAAGACACCCATGGAACAACCATACCTGGAACATTCTTAGACTATCCATTGGCTTACAAAACAAGGCACAATAAATGTAAATGACTGAGATCATACAATGTATGTTCTTTGGCCCAAATGGGATGAAATTTGAAATCAATTACAGAAGGAAATTTGGAAAAATCCCAAATATGTGAAAATTAATAAACTCCCTAAATAACAAATGAATCGAAGAATAAGTTAAAGAAAAATGGGAAAATATTGTGAGATTAAAAAAATAGAAACAAAACATACCAAAACTTAGAGGATAAAGATAAAATAGTACTTAGAGGAAAAAGTATAACTGCCAATGTCCATATTTTTAAAAATCCAAATCAATAATATGACTATCTTCAGAAACTAGAAAAAGAGCAAATTCTAGTCAAAAAAGCAGAAGGAAGGAGATAATAAAAATTAGAGTAGAAATAAATAAAATAAAGATTAGAAAAGTTATAGAGAAAACCAGTGAAATAAAAGATGTGTAATTCTTTAAGTAGGTCAACAAATAATGACAAAACTTTAGATAGATGAAATAGGAAAACAAAGAACAAAGACTCAAATTGCCAAAATCAGAATGAAGAGGAATAGCAGCACTAACGAATTTTCAGGTACCTAAAAATGGTGTATGTCCACAAATTATATAACCTAGATGAAATTAACTCCTCAAAGACATAATCTAATTTAAATGACTCAAGAATAAATACAAAATCTAAATAAACCAATAACAATTAAAGAAATTGTATTTGTAATAAAATTATTTTCACAAAGGGTAGTCCAAGCCCAGAAGGCTTCATTGGTGAGTTCTACCAAATGTCTATGAAATTGTAATATCAATCCTTCACAAACTGTTCAAAAATAAAATTAAATTAAAAGGTAGAACAAGCACTTCACAACTTATTCTGTGAGGCCAAAATTACCTTAATACCAAAACCAAACAAAGCCATCATAGGAAAATAAACTACACACTAAAATACCTTATGAATATAAATGCAAGATTTCTAAACAAAATATTAGCAAACTACATCCAGCAATATATAGAAAAGAACTGATTATTTTCCATGAACAAGGATCTGTCCCGGGAATACAAGCTTGTTTTAACATTCAAAAATAAGTCAGGGTAAAATACCATCTCGATACAATAAAGGACAAAAGAATACATGATAGATACAGAAAAAGCATTTGACAAAATCACACACTATTTAAAACAAAAAAGTAAAAAAAAAAGACCCAGGAAGCTAGTTATAGAAGGAAACTAGCTCAACCAAACAAATGTTATTTACAAAAGCCCCAAGCCAACATTATACTTAATAGTGAAGACTGAATGATTTACCCCCAAGTTCAGGACAGATGGATATTCTCACAGTGACTGCGCAACATTGTACTGAAGGATCTGGCCCAGACAATTTGGCAAGGAAAAGAAATAAAAGTCATCCAGATTGGAAAAGAAAAAATACAACTATCTCTATTAGCAGATGACATAATCTTGGACATGGAAAATTCTAATGAATCTGCATAAAAACCTCTTAAATCTAAGAAATGAATTCAGTAAGACTGCCAGATATGAGATGACTACCCCAAAAGCAGCTGTATTTCTATACACTTTCAATGAAAAATTCAAAAATTAAGAAAACAACTCCATTTAAAATAACATCTACAATTTAAAATCACTTAGGAATAAATTTAACAAAAGAATCAAAGTCATGTACACTAAAAACTAAAAACTGTTGTTGAAAGAAACTAAATAAAAGATAAGCCACCTGATGGTTATGTGTAAGAAAATTAATATTATTAAAATGGTAAAATTTTCAAAATAATCTACAGATTCAGTACATTCTCTGTCAAAATCCAAGTTTCCTTTTTCAAAATTGACAAGGTGATATTTAAATTCAAAAGGAATGTAAGGGACCAAGAATGGCCAAAATCATCTTGAAAAAGATTGAAGTTGGAAGACCCTGACTTCCTGATTTGAAATTTACTGTAAAACTACATTAATCAAGGCATTGTAGGATTGGCACAAAGATAGATTATATATATATATATATATATAATATATATATATATATAAAAAAGTTTGCCCAGACAATGTACTGGAGAAAGAAGTCTTTTCAACAGAAGACCCTTCTAAAATTTGGGGATAATGTGGTCCTTCTTAGAGGCACTTGATACCTCAACCATATCCCATGATGGTGAACAAAGTTTCCCTGGCCTTGTGAAGGGTGGACAGAAAAAAGCCGTGAAGCAGGCCTAGAATGGTATACAAGAATCCTTCGGCATAGGCAGTCTTCCTTTCTTTGTCACTTATATCCAGGTTACAGATATTTTTTTTGTGTTTCTGTAAACTATGAGAACATGTATCACACTATCTAGATTCCTACCTATATACTCTATTTATATTGATGTATTTCTGAATTTACCACCCTCCTATGGGAATGTAATCTCTCGAAGGAAGGGACCAAGGGCATCTTGCTCAACATTTTGTACTATTCACCTAATATGCTTAGCATGTCACAGTTGATAGCAAAGTATTTGCTTATTGACTGATCAATGAATTTTAAAAATCCATACATCAACTCATATTTCTCTAAAAATGAATTACTGATCAGCCATTATAAGAAAGAAAAGAAAGAGAAAGCAAGCAAGCAAGCAAGAAAGGAAGAAAAAAAGGAAGGAAGGAAGGAAAGAAGAAATAAATAAATAAAGGAAAGAAAGAAAGAAGAAAGAGAAAGAAAGAAAAAGGAAAAGAAAGAAAAGAAAGGAAGGAAGGAAGGAAGGGGGAGGGAGGGAGGGAAGGAAAGAAGAAAGAGTGAGTCAGACAAGGAGATGTGAGTTAGCTTTGTAAATATCCATAATCCATTTTTAACTATAACTAAGAAATCACGTTGCCCAAGGCCTTGGGAGTCCACTCCTTGTACCAGTATGCCTTGGATGTCGGACACGAAATCAAAAGAGATTATTTTGGAGCTTTAAGTTTTAATGACTGCCTTGCTGGGATTCAAACTTGCTTGGGGCCTGTATCTTCTTTCTTTTGATCAATTTCTCCCTTTTTGAACAGGAATGCTTACCCAATTCCTATACCTCCATTGTATCTTGGAAGTAAATAACCTGTTTTTTATTTTACAGGATCATAGATGGAAGGGACTTGCCTTGTCTCAGACAGGACTTGGGACTTTTGAGTCAATGCTGGAAACAGTTAAGAATTTAGGGGACTGTTGGGAAGGCATGATACCATTTTGAAATGTCAAAAGGGCATGAGATTTGCGAGGGCCAGAGCAGAATGATGTACTTTTCAGAATGATATCCCCCAAATATCATGTTGAATTGTAATCCCCAATGCTGGGGTGAGGTCTTGTGGGAGGTGTTTGGATCATGGAGGCAGATCTCTCATGACTTGGTACTTACTTCATGATAGTGAGTTCTCATGGGATCTAGTCCTTCAAAAGTGTGTGGCACCTCCTCTGCTCACTCTCTTTCTTGCTCCTGCTTTTACCATGTGATGTGCCAGCTCTCCCTTTACCTTCCGCCATGTTTGGAAGCTTCCTGAGGCCTTCCCAGAAGCAGATGCCAGTATGCTGCCTGTACAACCTGCAGAACTGTGAGTCAATACAACCTCCTTTCTTATAAACTACCCATTCTCAGATGTTTCTTTACAGCATGGAAGAATGGCCTAATACACAGTTTAATGAGGATGCTGTATTTTGCAAATATATTTGTCTCCCCACAAATCACCTGATGTGTTTTGATCAGATAGCTCTTCTAATTAATATTAGAGGATATAATTTATAGAAATTAATATATTTTTGAAATTTTTGTTCTGTAAAACTATTAATAATATGTAGTTTGCTATAATTATAAAATATAAGCTAAGTTTTTGAAAATTTATTCACAATTTTGACAGTGAAATAAACACAAGTATGTTGGTAGCAACATTATTAAAATTTAATCTATTTTTTTAAATGGTAATATGTGCATTGAGAAGAAAAGTAAAAGACCATAAGAGAATACAAAGTAAAAATCAAAATTCTTTTACCTTTCTCCTCCAGCCAACCAAGGAATCAACCAATAGAAACAGCTCTGTGTTTGTAGGTTTGAATATGTGTTATATGCACTTATAAATTCTTCCAGAGAAACTCTATACATGTAACAGAAGCTTTTTACACAAATGTTTGCACTTAGCACACATTGTTCTGAAATTTGCTTCACCTCACCTCCCCACACCCCCATGAGTTGAATGCTATATATTAGAAAACCTTATGTTTTTATATAACACTATAGTATAATGTTATTTCATTATTATTTGAAATTATACATATCATTGAATGGATATTATAGAGCTAATTAACACAAATTACTTTCAATTTTCTTATTTAGTGTTGTCATTTATAGCAAAATTCTAGTAATATTATTTTAATAGTCTTCTGAAAATGTACTTCCCAAACAGATATTAACATAATGTCTTGCTATTGGGTTGAAAATCTCTCTAAATAACTTGCATTGTTATTGTCTCTAAATAATTGCAGTTATTGTCGCTAAATAACTTGAAATTCTGTATATTGTGCTTTCCTTATCTTGAAATGTTTAAAAATAAATTGGTTTTTATTTACTTGCATAAATATATTAATTTTTCTAAATACTATATTTATATTTTACCTACTTTCACTGAAATATGTAAACACTCTCAAAGAAGTGTCTGGGAATTTTTATTTGCTGATTTATTTATTATTTTTATGTTCTCCTACTTTCTTCTCTTCTTGATTTTGAAATCCTAAAATCCCTTAATTAAACTCATTTATTTAATTATACCTTCCTTGTCTCATCAAAACATATTCCTTAATTTTGCCTTAAAAAGTTATGCACAAAATGAGTTTCCTTGAAAATCAAAAAGCCTCAAACAGTAAAACAAATACAAATAAGCATACTGTTCACCATTTATAGTTCTGATGGAAGGGAAAAGGTCAGAGGAAATGGAAAACATGAAACTAGCACATTTCCAGGCTAAAACGTGTATAAGGATTGTGTCAGGTCTCCTATTCCATTTATAAGTGGAAAGCATGTTTTAGTTCCACACAATACTGAGTAGAAGCTTCAAAGTACAGATGTGCTGAGGAACAAATGCATGCTTGTTACTTTTAAATCACTTGTATATATTCTAATGTTCTTTGTCCTCTTGGAGTCTCCAACTCAGATTAATATTTTATTACAGCAGTTACTGTTTTTAAAATGGACAGCCTGACTTAATCTCAATTTGTTAACAGTGATTTAAATGAAATATCTTTGAATAATTAATATTAAGTATTCATGGTATATAAAAGACTAGTTAGCTAGGTTAACTTTGCTTCATAAAAATGAAGTGATTGAAGTCAATGTACATGATGAGCTATATTTCTTGAATGCCTTTATACTTGTATTTGTTGATTTGTTGGAAAGAAACCTGAACATTTATTAAGGTTTCACTATATGGCTAAAGAATTGTAGGCCGGGCGCGGTGGCTCACGCCTGTAATCCCAGCACTTTGGGAGGCCGAGGCGGGCGGATCACGAGGTCAGGAGATTGAGACCATCCCGGCTAAAACGGTGAAACCCCGTCTCTACTAAAAATACAAAAAATTAGCCGGGCGTAGTGGCGGGCGCCTGTAGTCCCAGCTACTTGGGAGGCTGAGGCAGGAGAATGGCGTGAACCCGGGAGGCGGAGCTTGCAGTGAGCCGAGATCGCTCCACTGCACTCCAGCCTGGGCGACAGAGCGAGACTTCCGTCTCAAAAAAAAAAAAAAAAAAAAAAAAAAGAATTGTATACTTTTCAACCACAGTGCACTCTTTTTTTTGTTATTAAATAAGAAGCCTTAATTTAAATAAAAATGGAGATTTGCTTGTTAGATGATTGTTTTTAAGAATAATTGTGTTTTGTTTCTACATGCAGAAGCTAATTTTAAATACTTATTGAATTAAAAAGAAAAAAGTATGCAAAATTATAAAAATTTTGGCCAGTATTTTTACTGCTTAAATAGTGTAAATCATTTTTAAAAGTCATTAATTTACCTATTAGGAATAATCAATGGATGTTACACAGCATCTTTCTGTCTCTATTAAGAAAGATTTTAGCCTGGTGCGGTGGCTCACGCCTGTAATCCCAGCACTTTGGGAGGCCGAGGCGGGCGGATCACAAGGTCAGAAGATTGAGACCATCCTAGCTAACACTGTGAAAACCCATCTCTACTAAAAATACAAAAAAATTAGCCAGGCGTGGTGGTGGGCGCCTGTAGTCCCAGCTACCCGGGAGGCTGAGGCAGGAGAATGGCATGAACCCGGGAGGCAGAGCTTGCAGTGAGCTGAGATCGCGCCACAGCACTCCAGCCTGGGCAACAGAGCCAGACTCCATCTCAAAAAAAAAAAAAAAAAAAAAAAAGAAAGAAAGTTTTTTGACACAAACAAAGCACTTAATAAAATATTTGAAATTAAGATATTTCAATTAAAATCAAATAATAAAATGTGAATCTGCCAAAGAAAATATTTTGTTTGTCTATATTGTGTTAAGACATACTGTCAACTTTTCGAATGCATAGTATAGTATTGTTAACTATAGGCACGATGTTATGCAGTAGATCTCTAGGTCTTATTTATCTTGCATAATTGAAACTTGGTACACATTAAGTAGCAACCTCTCATTTCCTTTCTCCACAGTCCTTGATAACCACTATTCTGCTCTGTTTCTGAGTTTGATGATTTTAGATATTTCGTATAAATGGAGTCAAGCAGCATTTGTCCTTCTGTGACTGGCTTGTTTCACTTAGCATAATGTCCTTCAGGTTAATCCATTTTGTCACCTATAACAGGATTTCTTTTTTTGTAAGTCTGTATAATATTCCATTGCACATACAGACACATTTTCTTTATCCATTTATCTATTGATGGAGATTTAGGTTGTTTTTATATCTTGGCTCATGTGAATAATGCTACAGTGAACAGGGGAGTGGAGATACTTATTCAAGATCTTGGTTTTAATTATTATATATACCCCAAACTGGGAATGCTGGATCACATGGTAGTTCTATTTTTATTTTTTTGAGAGACCTTCTTAATGTTTTCTGCAGCAGTTGCACCATTTTATATTCCCACCAACAGTACAGAAATGTTCCAACTTCTCTATATCCTTATCAATGCATTTTTTAAAAATAATAGCCATCTCAACAGTTTTGAGGTGAAAATATTGTGGTTTTGATTTTCATTGCCCTGCTGATTAGTGATGATGATTATCATATTTTTCATATACCTGTTGGCTATTTGTATGGTTTTTTTTTGGCTAAATGTCTATTCAAGTCCTTTGCCTATGGCTTAATCTGCTTTTTTTAAATTATTGCATTGTAGTTCATATATTTTACATATTAACATCTAACAGATACATGGTTTGGAAAAACATACATTTTCCCTGAGTTCATATGTTGCCTTGTCACTCTGTTGATTGATTCCTTTGCTGTGCACAAGCTTTTTATTTTAATGTAGTTCTGCTTGTCTATGTTTGTTTTGGTTGCCTGTGCTTTTGCTATTACATTCAAGAAATCATTGCCAACACCAATATCATAAAGCGTTTTTTCTATATTTTTTCTAGGAGTTTTACAGTTTCAGGTCTTACATTACAAAATTTAATCCATGTGGAGTTGATGTTTTTTGTATAGTGTAAGATAAGGATCCAATTTCATTGTTTGCATGAGGTTATTCAGTTTTTCCAATACCATGTGTTGAAGAGATTATCTGTTTCCCATTTTGTATTTTTGTTCCACTTGTCAAAATTCAAGTACATGTGACAGTACATGACAATATATGTATGGATTTATTTATGTACTCTCTATTCTATTTCATTGGTGTATCTGTCTGCTTTATGCTACTATTATGCTGTTTTAATTATTGTAGCTTTGTAATGTATTTTGAAACCCGCTAGTGTTATGCCTTCATCTTTGTTCTTCTTTCACAAGATTGCTATGGTTACTCAGGGTCATTTGTGGTTCCATATGAATTTTATAATTGTTTTCAATTTTTGTAAAAACTTGCCATTGGGATTTTCATAGGGATGTTATTGAATCTATACCCTGTTTTAGATAGTATGGACATTTTAACATGAAGTTTTATTCAATGTTTACTCTCATCTCAGTGAATGAGAACTGGAAAAGAAAATTTAAAACAGAGCAGCATTTATTCTACTAGTTTTGATGATTTCTGTTTTTCAGATTCATTTGGAAGTGGTTGAGTGGGTGACTGAAGAATCTCAGTGGAATTTTTAAGCCTACCAAAAAAAAACAGCTTTACTGGGTCAAAAATTACTCAGGGTAAGTCAGAGATATGACTCTAAACTTATTTAAAGATCCCACTGTAATTTCCAGCCACCCACTACAAAATCAGCCAGTGAAGCAGAAATCATCAAAACTATTTGAGTAAGTGCCATTCTGCATTCTCTTTTCAATTTTCTTTTCTAGTTCATTTTCTAGTTCAATGAATGAGTGAAATAATTTACGAATCCTTATCTTTTACACTAGTTCATTGGTATTTAAAACCAATAGGATTAAGTGATGCCCCTTTGTTGGTGGCCAAAGATGAAATCTGGAATTAAAGATATTTTTACCTTTCCTCCACCATTCAGGGACCAATGAAAATTATAGATAATCTGGGATAAATCTCTCATAACCTTAGTATTTGATTATGCATTACAAGCTTCCCCTGCTTTTCTCTCTCTCTGTCTCTCTGACACACACACACACACACACACACACACACACACGCATTCTTTCCTAACCAGCAATCAGTGTCTTAACACAATAAAAACTGTTCTTCTTTTCACGGTCTTTAGTTCTAATGCAGAAAGGTTTAACAATATGTATAGAGAGTATTTCTTTCTCGAAAAAAATGTGGCAGCATTTTTTATGATGTTGATATAGTTACCTATTTTAGAAATGTTAAGACCAGTCTTGATATAGATTTGAAATAGTAGTTAAATAATATAATAAACATATATATCCATGAATGTATTTCCTCAGGAATGTTAATAATAGAACATTTACCCTGGAACATTGGATAGATAACTCTGCGATAAAGATCATTAGACATTCGGCTGCAATGATCTTTGCCTACCTACAGAATTTGTTCAAATGCTTATGTATGCATCTGTAGAAGATCCTGCAATGTTGCTAAACTGTTCAAACCCAAGGTGACCAGTACATTTCCCACTAAGTGAAAAATACTGAACTGGATGATGACTCAGATTTTCTCTCAATCTTAAGTCTCTATCATTTAAAATAAGTCTGGGTGTCTAGGGTTATGAGATCAAATTGTGTTTCTTTGTCACTGGAAATCCCCACTTCAAACCTTAAGAACAAGCCATTCAAAAGCTTGCACTGAGGCAACACACTTAATAGGAAAGCATGACTTCATTTTGGCATGATTCGTCTTCAAATCAGGTCAGTGATTTAGATTTGAATGAGTGGATTGTTCATGGGCACCGGATCAAATTAGACTTTCATTTATTTTAAGAAATTCATTAGACCAATTATGACAACCACAGAGGGATGTCTTATGACTGAGAAGTGCAAATTATAAGAACAATAATATCCATTGTTAAGTGTGAGATGAAAATTTCTGTGTAGCTTGCTCATTAAAATCTGCTTCCTTTTACAGAAATGATTTTTATGTAATGTAGATGGCAGGTAAAAAACACTGAACCAAAACATAATTACTGAGTTTATAACATTCTGGTAAATGCAAATCATTTATAAAATAAAATCAGTTCAGAAAATTTAAAGGAAACTGAAAATACCAAATTTCTTTTTTAGCATTATGTTATATATTGTGGAAATACACTAATTAGGCTTCAAATAAATAGAAACAAGAATCAAATTATTATATAATTGGTGTTTTTATAGCCACACACTTATATTTTAGATAAAAATACTTACTAAACACTTTATGAAAAAGTGATTGGGATTTGGAGTCTGATTCATTTATATCTGACTCCATTACTGTTTTTCTTTGGGCAGCTTCCATAGATTATGGTCATCTTAATTTAATCATTGGTGAAACAGAGGCAATTGTGCTTATTTTTTTAACAATTCAATTAAAAATGATATGTGTGAAGTGTGAAGTATTTTGCATACTATGTATTCTCTTTAAACAGTTAATTTAATATCATATAACATAATTAGGCACAATTTTAGAGAAAAATAATTGACATTCTTTTTCGTTTTTTTTTTTTTTTGGCAAACCTTTTGAAATACAGCAATGCAAAGGTACACTACTCACAACTTTTCATTTGTTGTGGTTCACCATTCCCTTGTAACTTAACTCTCTCCCTCCATGAAAAGCAAAGAATACAAAAGGATTTAACAAACAATACTAGTATTAGCTTCCTTAGAGTTTATATTTTGTTATGACTGAAATGTTCCATTCCAGCAGAAATATTTAATCATTTTTTTCAGACTGAAAAACAACCTACTAACAAATCTGCAGCCCTCTCAGAAGTGTTATATAGTTTCAGAAATTTTTTTAAAATTTGGTTTAGCAATTCATGTTTTTTCATGCTTATCACATCGAAGCTACTGAGACAACTAGAAAAAGAGACTTTTGAGTGGCCTCATTATTTTTCCTTAGCTAGTATGTCAGATTATGGAAATGGCTTGATACTTGGCTGGAATTAAACTATCTAATAAAAAATATACATTACTATACATATTTCTCAATTCTGGTGATGTTAGTGAAAATGTTTGTACAAACAGCTCTTGTAGTACAATTATATTGTATATATTTGAGTTGAATAATCTCGTAATCTGATTACTAGGTTTGTAAATCTGATTACTATGTTTTGTTTTATCATGAAGAAGAAAAACTAAACAGCCAATAACTATATAAGTTCAAGTTACCGAATGAGGTAGCATTGGTTTCTCACAAATACTATTCTGTGATTGAGATCATATCATTCTGTCAAGACTACATTTATAAAATCATCAAAATTTATATAAATATTTTATTAATATTAATCTAAAGGAGGCTTCACAATTAAAGAACAATATCTCAATCACAGATATTCAAAGGGATTGAACTGCCATCAGCTTAAATTTTTCTGAAACTAAATAAAATTAGAGCTTTGTTGAGGAGGATGATAATGATTGATGATGATCATGATAGAATTGTTAGACGGGCCACATATAAAAAGAAAAAAAAGTTAAACAGAGACTATTTGTGCTCCTTTTACAACTGTAGATGACTGTTCAACTTCCTTTTCCTTAATGTGCTGTTTATGAGTGAGTCAATAACAGCCGTCACTGACTTCTGAGTCCTTTACAACTAACAAAGAAGCTGTGGTTTTCATTGATCATACCCTTGGGTAAGCCTGTGAAATTGGAAAGTTGTTTAAAAAAACTCAGTAACACCAAAAACTGCATAAGTAGCCAAGGCTATAATCAGAAATCACATTTGCATGCAGGTTTCTCTACTGGATTAACTTGTCAAGGCTGTACTAAAAACCAACGTACACACTCATGGATCTTTTCATAGGAACTGAATAATATCTTTAAACAAACTAGACTCAGCATCCCTGTTGTACCTTAGAACTTTGTCTAATTACTTGTAGCAAAAGAAGACAAGGTGGGACAGACCAGAGGATCAAGACCCTACACTCGACTGGGCACTGTGGCTCATGCCCGTGATCTCAGTGCTTTGGAAGGCTGAGGTGGGTTGGATGGCTTGAGGCCAGGAGTTCATGACCAGCCTAGGCAAAATGGGGAAACCTTTTCTACAAAACAGTTCAAAAGTTAGCCAGGCATGATGGTGTGTACCTGTAGTCCCAGCTACTTGGGAGGCTGTTGGGATGATTAGTTTGGGACTAGGAGGTCAAGGCTGCAGTGAGCCATTATCATGCCACTGTGTTCCAGCATGGGCAAGGAAGTGAAACCCTGTCTCAAAAAAAAAAGAAAGACCCTACACCCTGTAGAACAGAAAGCATTGCAGAGGCTGACACCACTACTTCAGATAAACAGTTGGAAACTCTAAGACAGAGTAGAGAGTACTCTAGGAAGAAAAAAACAGGATATTAGCCAAGAATACAAGGCCACAGAGAGACTGTGAGTCTCTTCCTAAATGTTATAAGACAGACCAATTGAGAAAGGAAAGTGGGCCCTCCTCATTGTAGGACAGGGGTGCTCAGCACTTTGCAAAAATACGACCTCAAACATAAGGCTTATGATATAATTCAAGGGCAAATTTAAAAATTCCTATGCTGCCTTCTATGCCATTGCTGATGACAGAGGATTTCATACTTGCTATAATTTAGACAAGGGGTCAGCAAATTTCTTCTATAAAGAGCCAGAGAGTAAATATTTTAGATTTTGTGAGCCATATTGTCTCTGCCACCATAGACAGTTTGTAAATGAATGGACTTAGCTGAGTTCTGATAACATTTTAGTTACAAAAACTGGAGAGTGGGCCAGATTTTGGCAGTGGGCTATCCTTTGCAGACTCCTGATTTAGGTGCTACAACATAAATGTTACTAGTCATATGATAACTTAGATCAATATTAGTTAGACTGATGTGGTCAGCATAATTCCATGCTCGATTTTAGATCCAGTGGAAGTAAGTGCCAGGATTGGGGGCTACCACACCCTCTTTCTTCTCTGGCCTCATCTCCTACTGCCTAACCTCTTGGTTACTCCATTCATTCACACTGGTCGTACTGTTTTTCAAAGATCCAGGCAAAGTATGATTTCTTTATTAGATCTTGGTGTTACTTCTGTCCAAAACAGTCTCCTCTGAGATATCCTCCCTTAAATATTTGTTTAAATGTCCTTATATTTGTAAGGGATGCATCAGAAAACAGATTTCATCCCAGACGTTCAAATGGATATAATTTAATCCGTAAGATTAGAGAAAGATGTAAAAAATGGCACAAGAGCAGGAAGCAAGGCTTAGAGGTAGAGTCACAGTACTCTGGGATAAGAGACCAAGGGGAGAGTCACAGTAGTTGAGTGCAGATTAAGAGTGGAATAGACAGTGGTGAAGGGGTAGAAAGGTGTGAGATATCTTTCTTCACACATCATAGGTCATGGCTGACATTCCTGTAACAAAAGACAGAGATTAACAAGAGAAAAGGATAGCAATTTATTTAATCAATTTTTTACATGACACAGGAGCCTTCAGAAATGAAGACCCAATGACCCAGGGGGAACTGTCTATTTTGATGCTTAGGCTCATGAAGAATGGGTATCCACGTAGAAAGTTGACTGGACAAAAGTGTATAATCCATTGGTAACAGACTGAAGGGGGAAACACAATAATGCCTTTCTATTCAAATATTTATTAGCCTCTTTATGTAGGGTTTCTTCCTCCTAGGTATGGGCAGGACCTTCCTAGAATAAGTGTCTTCAAGGGAGAAGGGAAAGAAGTTAGAATGAGCCTTCTAGGTTTTATGGCTTGCTTTGGAGAAGAATTTTTGTTTCCATGACGTGCCTTGGGGAAGAAGAATTTTACTTTCTATGATCCGCCTTGGAGAAGAGGAAGTCTGAGTTCCATGACTGACTTCAGCAAAGAAGGAGAAGAAGGAAACAGGAGGATAAGAAGTCAGAAAGACCTTGCTTCTGAGGTCCTTCCAATCTCCTGTAGTTCAAAGTACTCAGCACACCAGGTACCAAACTTTAGGGTATTGTGTTCAGAGCCCTAACACTGACCTCGATTTGGGAAAAAGTAGTGTAGATGAACACATGGAATCAGGTAGAAAGAAGATGTATTGTTATCTTACATCAATGCCCATCAGAGAACACCCACTGAAGAGCAGACACTAAACAACAAAGTGGATGGGATGTCTTTTATCCAGCAAATGCCAGCTAGTATCTCTCCTTAGCTGCTCATAGTGGAGGCACTCATAGTGGATGTAGCCAAGGTGGCTGCTGGCAAGCCAACAGCATAGGCTCCCTCTCATCCAGGTTTCTATTGTGGCTGCAGAATATCCATCCTGTCATCATCAGAAACTATGACCTCAACAGGACACTGTTCTATGGGGAGGCCAACCAGCCACTTGGTTGCAAGTTGAGCATTTAGGATCATTCCAAAAAGGGGAGCAGTTGGTTTTGAGTAAGGCTCATGTAAAATTTGCTTTTCTTGCTAACAATGGCTAGGACCACACTACTAGTTAAGGATAGTATTGTTCACAGATATATTGACATGGGACCCTGTATTATATACTCACAGGCAAAGAAACCTGTTTTATGGTGAAAGAGGTGTGTTAATGGACACAAGACGATTGCATACTAAACCCCATATCACCCAAAAAGGTGAGGCCTGAGAAAATTTAAAGTGAAGCTAAGCATAAACTTGGAAATAATATGCATGGGATTGTAGTGTTGTCCTTTGAGATGCAGAATGTGTGTTGACCCGACAGTCATTTAACCATTAAGATAGACTGTATGAGTCCAAGAACCAAAGAGTAAAAAGTGGAGTGACCTTATTTTCATGACTCTGAGAAGCCCAGTGCTTAAGCTTCCATGAGCCAGCCAGGGACTAGTCCGGAAAATAGATATTTCTTGGGAATGTGGAAGGTTTGAGCAATCTCATCTATTGGGTTAACCCTCCTTTCCACAGTTATTTAGAAATTTAGAGGTAAATACCAGGTGAACATCCAAAAAAAAAAAAAGAAAGAAAATGGAGACGTGTTTGCTTTTATGTGAAAAAACTAAGGAAATGTAAAGGGTTCAGCACAGTACTCCTTGTGTAGGTAATAATTCTTATAAATGACAAAGCCAGAAGGCATTAAGTTTTAACCACACATATATGCAGTTATGTGTTTCTCTAATATACATACTCTACATTATTTTCTCTTGCATATTGTTGATGGAAATTAACATTTTCTTTAAAATGCTCTTCTTTCTTACCATAATTAAATTTAAAAGAGAAAAAACATTTCCCATGCCAAATTATTTTAATATGTTTACCACACTAGCAATTTTCTAGATGTTTTCTCATTGCTTTCTTCATTCTGCGTCCATTTATGCACAATATATTATTTTTATGGAAGGCCAAAACCATACTTCAGCACTTTAGCATGTGTCAAAATTTTCCGAATATTTTTAAACAAGTAGTCAATGTGTGCTATTTAATTAATCTTCATTAAATATTGGTGTTCTATGCTTTTTAAGCAAAATTGCTTAGATATTTGATATTATCAACACTAAGTTATAAAAACCTTTTTAGAAAATAAGTATGTTGTTAGAAAGTGTGTCAATAGAAAAAAATTCCATTCGAAGTCTTTCTTTTGGCTAAATGCAACCTATAATCTAAGACTCTGCCACACTACTTGTCAGAATGTCAAACATTTGCAACTGAAAAGACACTAGTTATGTAGAAAAATAAAAGTAATGAAAATGTAGCTATGTAAATCATACTGTCAGAAAAAGTCTTTTGTTGTTTTTTTACTAGCATATCATTTCTTTTGCCAGCAAATTTTATTTAGCATTAGATAATAAAATATTCATTTGCCACAAAGGAAAGCAGTGCTTTTGATCTCTTCACAGTGAAAAGTTTCTATTCTGTAATGGAGTAAAGCTCTAACTAGATTCCACAAAGGTATTATGAAAGTTTGTTCATGTCCATTTTAAATTAAAAAAAGAAATAAAGAACCGCTATTGTGGCTTGATGACATATTTTTAAATTTTTTTTATAATTAGCAATTATTATTTTACAGTCTTTTTCTTGTTTTATAACATTTATTCAGCATTCTCTAAGAATAAAAAGACTAAAAGAAATGGGCCTTCATCATTTTAATATTTATATTCAAATGTGAAAAAATAAGGCTGAAACTTTTGATGATAACACACAATATTTTAATTCTGCTGCTATGCATTATAGTACAGGTCAAAATAGATTTTTAGAGCCAAATATTTATTGCAGAAAATAGTTTTGTCCTAATTCCAGCGACAGAAGTTCTAGTGATATACAGACTCATCTAATTGCTATAAAATGCTAAAACTTACACACATTGAAAAAAACAGGTAGGTTTCTTAAGAGAACAGGATTGCTGGCATGTTGAATAGTTTTGTGTTTTTTTGTTCTTTTATTTTTATTACTTTTGAAATTAATTGTTTCTTTCTCCCAGGTATTCACCTGGTATCTAAGCTAGTGAGTGTAATAAGAATAAATACAAGCTTGAGGCAAAAAACGAACTCTGGGAAACTATAAATGCTGGCATGCCTTTACTTCTTATGAAAGCCAACCACCTGAATGATTAACTAAACCACCTCAAAGCAAGAAGAGAAATATTTATTGGAATTTCAGATGTAAAATGTTATCACAGAAACAGCAAATGCAATCCCCGTTTAGTTCAATGTACCATATCTTAATTCCAAAAGGTTTCCTTCATGGAAAGAAAAAAATAAGCACTTCAGATATGTTACAGAAATTAAATCTCCAGTAACCAGTGACTTCATAATGCCAAAGTTTGTGAAGAGTGAAATTATTTTCTTCTATTAGTGTATGTTTTAATAAATAAATGATTTTTCTTTTCATTTGGCAAGGCAGGTGAAAGAAGCATAAAATGCAACTTAGGAAAATAGAGCCAAATCAAATTTACATAAATGAACAAAAAAGCCTCCACTGTTGACCAATATTTGTGAAATAGTTTAGTATAATGTCATTCTGTTCTTGTTTCATGACTCTCTCGGAAGAAGAAAATTATCTCACTTTATTTCCAGGAAGAAAATATTCATTTTTATTTCAGGACATTGGATTATTACAAAATGTAGGCAAGCAAACAAATATTTTCTGGTATTATTGAGTTGGCTTTGGGGTCATGAAAACGACTGATGCAAATTAATATCACTATAAATCATTATAAAAAGCAACTTGACCATGTCACTGTGCATAGCAGTGTTGCAGCAAAATAAATATAGCTTTGCTTAACTCTTATAGATGTTTTTGTATCTTTTGACAAATAACTACAGCAGGAAACAAGGAAGGAATTCTTTTCTTTTCTTTTTTTTTTTTTTTGAGACAGAGTCCCACTCTGTCGCCCAGTCTGGAGTGCAGTGGCGCCATCTCGGCTCACTGCAAGCTCCGCCTCCGGTGTTCACGCCATTCTCCTGCCTCTGCCTCTGGAGTAGCTGGGACTACAGGCGCCCGCCACCACGCCTGGCTAATTTTTTGGAGTTTTAGTAGAGACAGGGTTTCACCGTGTTAGCCAGGATGGTCTCGATCTCCTGTCTGGATCGTTTGACCTCATGATCCGCCCGCCTCAGCCTCCGAAAGTGCTGGGATTACAGGCGTGAGCCATCGTGCCCGGCCAGGAAGGAATTCTAAAATAACATTTACTCTTTCTTATTTTACAACATCATGAGAGATGACAACGTGCTAGCAGCCCTCGCTCGCTCTTGGCGCCTCCTCGGCCTCCATGTCCGCTCTGGCCACGCTCCAGGAGCCCTTCAGCGCCCCCCTGCGCTGTGAGGGCCCTTCTCTGGGGCTGGCTGAGGCCTGAGCCGGCTCCCTCTGCTCTCGGGGAAGTGTGAAGAGAGAGGCGCGGGCAGAAGCTGGGGCTGCCCGCAGCGCTGGCCAGCCAGCGTGGGGTCCGGGTGGGCGCGATCTCGGCACCTGCTGGGCTTGATCGGAGGCTGGGTCCCGTGCGTAGACCGCCGTCCCTCTTCGCGGGGTCTTTGGCCATGATGGCAGCTCTCCGTCTCTTTCTCTCTTCCCCTCTTTTCCTCTTGATTGTCTGGGAGGAGCTTTCTCTAGGCTGCCAGAGTGCCCGGGTTAGGTGCGGCAGCAAAGTCCTGCAGCCAGCGCCAGTGAGAGGTGAAGCCGGCTGGGCTTCTGGGCCGGGTAGGGACTTGGAGAACTTTTCCATCTAGCTAAAAGATTGTAAATGCACCAATCAGCACTCTGTGTCTAGCTGAAGGTTTGTAAACACACCAATCAGCTCTCTGCAAAATGGACCAATCAGCAGGATGTGAGTGGGGCCAGATAAGGGAATAAAAGCAGGCCACCTGAGCCAGCAGCGGTAACCTTCTCAGGTGCCCTTCTATGCTGTGGTGGCTTTGTTCTTTTGCTCTTTGCAATCAATCTTAATGTTGCTGGCTCTTTGGGTCTGTGCCGCCTTTATGAGCTGTAACCGTCACAGTGAAGGTCTGCAGCTTCACTCCTGAAGCCAGCGAGACCATGAACCCACGGGGAGGGTCGAACAACTCTGGATGGGAGGAAGGAACAACTCTGGACACCACCTTTGTGAACTGTAACACTCACGTGGAAGGTCTGCAGTTTCACTCCTGAGGCCAGTGAGACCAGGAACCCACCGGAAGGAACGAACAACTCCAGATGTGCCGCCTTTAAGAGCTGTTAACACTCACTGTTAAGGCCTGCAGCTTCACTCCTGAAGTCAGCCAGACCATGAACCCACCAGAAAGAAGAAACCCCGGACACATCTGAAAATATGAAGGAACAGACTCCAGACACACCATCTTTAAGAACTGTAACACTCACTGCTAAGGTCCGCGGCGTCATTCTTGAAGTCAGCGAGACCAAGAACCCACCAATTCTGGACACAATCACAAAATTAAACCTCCTCAAATAGAGATTGACAGTAAATGTAATCTGTATTTCTGTTCATGCCATCATTGGTAGCGAATTATTTAAATATATAAAACATTCTCGAATAACTCGTAACAGGACAATTACCTATCTAATTTTTGCTCTTTATAAAATGGAATGTAGTCTCCGTCTAATAATTTAAATTGTTTTTACAAGCTGGTCTAACAGGAATGTTTCTTATTCTTCTATATGTTCTTAACAGACTTACTTTGTTTTTACTTTTTGTCATCTTTATAAAATCACAAATCTACATTATGTATTTATGCAAAACATACACTTCTCTTGGATTGTCAAAACGAACTCTCTCCCTTAAAAAACATTGTAATATTTAGCTTTAATAACCTCTCCCCAGGGTGAAAGAAAACCTTATTATTTCTTACTATAAAAGCAAGAATGTGTCTATGCCTAATTTCTTTAATAACTAGGACCAGTTCTCACTGTCTTTATGTGAACCAAGGTCAAGGGTTCATGAGGGTTAATAGCACATGACATTCTCTCCTAGGGAATAAAACTGTGAAAAGGTATCCTGAGTGGAAAATCCACTTTACGATTACTTTCAAGGTAGTTTTGATAGTATATTATCCTTTTCCCATCAATCAGGGATAATATAGATGTTTATATTGATTTTACTTACACTGAATTACTCTCAGAAATTCTACTTCATAAAAGAATGTCATAATTCATTTTGTTTTGCTTTTGAAATCTCACATGTACATTCCAAAGCATACCTATTATCCAAGGCAGCCACTGAAAGACTTGGGGAATCAAGTAATAAAATGGAAATAATATTTAAATTATTTGTTAATTGAGCATTAGGTTTCTCTCAAACTTTCTCATAATGTATATGAATTAACTCAAATTAAATATTTCAAACTTGTAGTAGTTACCAATAGTCTAAAAACCAGTCTTCTGATCGTCTTGATCAGCATAAGAAAATTGAAAGAGACAAAAAAATATATATTATATAGATAGATAGATAGATAGATAGACTTAGAGCTAGAGTGAGTCAACTAACAATTGTATTTTGCTGCATTAGCAAAATATATTGCCCAGGATGCTACTACTCCATGAGGGTAATTAATTGTCTACTTTATATTTTGACTAGGAAGAGTTTCCAAAATTTTTGCTTGCTATTTCCAAATATCTATTTTAGACAGAGTTCTCCAGAGAAACAGAATCAATAACTATATAAAAATATATAGAAAGATAATTATTATGAAGGATTGGGTCATGTGATTTTGGAGGCTGAGAAATCCTATCAACTGCTGTTTGCAAGCCAGAGGCCCAGGAAGGCAAGTAGTGTAGTGCCAGTCCAAACCTCAAGGTCTGAGAACCAGGGGAATCAATGGCAGAAATTCCATTTTGAGTCCAAAGTCCAGAGAACCAAATATCTGATGTCCAAAGACAGAAAAATATGATGTTCCAACTCAAGCAGAGACAGCCAGTTCTCCCTTCCTCTGCCTTTTTGTTCTGTTTGGGTCCTCAATGCATTGCATAAGCTCCACCCACATTGGTGAGGGCAATCTTTACTCAGTCTATCAAAATGACACCTTCACAGACGCATCTAGAAATAATGTTTTACCCGCTATTTGGGCATTCCTTAGCCCAGCCAAGCTGACCTTAGAAAAATTAACCACCACATTTTCTATGCATGTGCACACTTCAAAGTCTCCAAGTCCTGGAGGAATGAGTTGCCTTTTCTGTAATCACGTCAGATTAATTCAATAGGGAATCTCTCTTTTACTACTAATATGTTTAGTTTGAAGCCCTGGTTAACCTCCACACAATTTTAGGAGTAGAATTAACAAATAATACAGTGAGGATGCAGAAATGGCCAGAGGGAAGTTGTTTGATGGAGTTCTAGATCCACCTTTTCCACAACCACCCCAATTATGGGCTTAGTACTTAAAGAAGATTGCAAATAGGGGAAAAACATTTTCCTCTATTCTTCCCAAAGGCTTTTGAGTATGAGAATTAGTGGATTTCAATAGCACGTTAATAGCCATACATCTCTTCCACCAACCCACACTTCCTCCACCACCACTTCTCATATGGGATTCCTTTCACTGACCTATACCTAGATTCTTTCTGCCTATGTGGCTCTCAGGAAGCTTCAGGATTTTTAACAGTTTATGTATCAGGACATTGTGCTGGGCTGCTCTTGGCGATCTTTCAAGTTAGACAAACTCCAAAGAAAATTTTATAAATCTTATTTTTCAATGATTTCAGACTCCTCGTTTTGAAGTGGTAACTTTACAATAATATTTATGTTATTATAATATATATCACACGTAATACATAATAACATTTAACAAAATAATTGTTGCCATTTATTGAATCTGTATGTATAGGAATAGGTGTGGTGTGTGTATAAATATGTAAGTGTATATTAATATATACCAGGTACTATTAAACATAGTATAGGCATGCTTTTATTAATACTCAGAGCGGCCGGGCGCGGTGCTCACGCCTGTAATCCTAGCACTTTGGGAGGCTGAGGCAGGCGGATCATGAGGTCAGGAGATCGAGACCATCCTGGCTAACACGGTGAAATTCCATCTCTACTAAATACACAAAAAATTAGCCAGGCGAGGTGGCGGCGGATGCCTGTAGTCCCAGCTACTTGGGAGGCTGAGGCAGGAGAATGGTGTGAACCCGGGAGGCGGAGCTTGCAGTGAGCCAAGATCGTGCCACTGCACTCCAGCCCTGGGCGACAGAGTGAGACTCCATCTCAAAAAAAAAAAATACTCAGAGCAACTTTGTAAAGAAACTATTGTCCAGAGGCAGTAAGTCAATCATAAGAAATGAAAGTTTACAGCTGTGGTAGAGATGTACGTGGCCCAGTCCTTCTGAAGAACTTCTTTCTCCAGCTACTGGGAGTGCTGCCAGCATAAAACTCTCAGCTGTCAGCTTTCTCCAGAAATTGTCCTCAGCTGAAGAGTGCTACCTTGTTGAAGAGCACTCCCTTTCTTAGGGCAGGACCTCATATGGTGAGTGGGATGATACAGTGATATCATGGCTCAGAGACTCTTGTTCCAAATGGAACAACTCCAAAGTGTCATTCCAGCTTCCAAGGTCCCTGTGCGGTTTGCTGAGGCTTTTGTTCTTCCCCTGGCCAATCTTGATCTTTTTTTTACCCCCTAAGGTGTAGATCCAGAAAGTATTCCCCAATTAACTTCCGGCAAGCTCATCTGTGACTTCAGAGTCAGCTTCTTGTAAAACCCAACCTTCAACGGTGACCATCTAATCTATTGTCAAATCCAAGATTTTTTTTTTTTGTAAGTGAAAGAATGTGCTAATTGGATGGAATGCAGGTGCAATAAGCACAGACTACAATAGTCCCAGGTGAATTGAGATTTTGTGGTCACTCCAGGTTTCAGGTAATAGAAAGATGGGTTCAATACCACCTTACTAGTTGTGGAATGTTGGGCTGATTATTAACCTTGCTAAGTCTCACTCTTCTCATTTGTAAATGCAAGATAATAATACCTGCTCTACTGGAGAATTGGAATATTGGGAAGATAATATGTATAAAATATTGATATATTGCCCAGGACTTACATGGGAGATGTTATCATTATACTCAATTTATAGATGATACGAAGCTCAGGGAGATTAAGTAAGCCCAAAGTTCACACATCTCATTACATGGATCAGTCAAAATTCAAACTCAGTTTTCTAATTCTAAAAACAATCTTGATAATCTATCAATTTGTTACACTATTTTTCTGGTCATTTTAAGAATTTATTATTTGAAACTTAAAACACTACTCCTTAACTATCTGATGTATAGAGTACTCTTTTGATTATAATTGACAAAAACACACACATTCAAACAAGCTTAATCAACAAAGAAATGTATTCACTCATGTAGTAGAAAACCTCAGGGGGTGCTTTCTGTACAAGCCTGGCTGCTGTCATGCCCTGCAATGGTAATGTAAGAATTTTGCCTCTCTCATTCCATATTTGTTCTATTATTTTCTGTGTTGACTTTGTTTTCAGTCTGACTTTTCTACACATTTGGAAAGATGGCTGTTAGCAGCTCCAGGCCAATATAGCATGCAATTCCAGATCTGAGAAAAGCAAAATTCTTTCTTTTCCACCATTCATACTAATCCCTTAAAAGAGTTTTTGGGTCCTAGCTGGGACATGTACCTTTCTGAGGTATACTTTGACCTCTCTTCTTAAACCTCCAAATTTTTCTGCCCTTCCTCTCTCAGCTAATATTCTTGTTTTTCATTTTACAGGGAAAATGAAAGCAGCCAAAAGAGAATTTCCTGATGCTCCCACCATCAAATCCATCAGCATGCCTGCATCTGAAATCACATTCTTTGCTTTCCTTCCTTTGAGAGTGGCTGGTCTGTCAGTAATTCTAGCAAAGACCACACCACATCCTATCCTCTTACCAGAGAGCATTTTCCTGAAAATGACCATTTCTGCATTCCCCCTTATGTTTTCCCCTATACTGAATCATTCCAGTTATCATTTGTTTCAAATGAAGAATTATAATTCAAGTATTTCTTTTAGTGCAATGAGTGAGAGATAAAGATTACATTTAACATTAAGATTGGTTCAGAACATAAAAGTTCTTTTTGCACCGTGTTGGAAACTATTGAAGTACTATCTTCACAGCGTAACCCTCCGTACATGCACTTCATTGCTCCTCAATTTTTCTGCCTTTCTCCAACACAATACCTGATACTGCCCTACTTTCTATTCTCTTGTATCCTTATTTTTTCCTAATTGAGAGAGAACAGTGATGATAATTAAACAATTGAGTGGAAACCAATTCCTGCGATAGTGCTAGATGCTTAATAGGTAACATCTTCTGCTCGAGTTACTGAGACTTCACCTACTTTGAAGCTACTGATCTCAAAGAAGCTTAAGGAATAATTATGGAGGAGATAATTTTAGGTAAAATTTGAATTTATAAGGAAATGTTGTCCAGGAAAATTATAGGGTCCATTTTTTACCAGGCTTGAGACATATTTGGTACAGAGAATATTAGGGAGTGGTTAGTCAGAATGGCTGCTTTGGAAAATGAATTTAACTGTAAGAAGTCTGTTGAGTACATATAACAGTGGAATAAAATGGTGGTGGAGGTGAAAGATCACTTCATATGATACATTTTGACTTCAAATTTCTAGTCTCTGAGGATTAAGAAGGTACCAGTGAAGAAAGGTTTGATTTTCAAAGAGAAGCAGCCAATGTCCCATGACACCATTAATAAAATAGATAACACTTTAGAGTGTGCAAAGTTCATTTATTTTGATTATCTAATTCAAAAGTGACACAACCTTATGAGGTAACAATTGCTATACTTTAATAAGGAATGGAAACTAAGAGAAATTAAGTAAGATTTACCTTGGATTTCCAAGGTAATCCAATAAGTGAGTCAAACCCAGGCTATAGGTAAAGAAATTGGCCACTCAGTACTACAATATGTATGTTCACCATTGTAGAGTGTGGCTGTCTTTTGAAAAATGGCCCTTAGTGAAACATGCTGTCCAGTATTCACTTTTTTGTATAGTTTTTAACCAAAATAAATGAGGGCTTGCCCTGTGTAAATGATAGAATGTGGCGTGTTTCTTTTTCTCTAGGAATGTGTAGTCTGTAGGAAGCCAACTTTTTGAACATGAAGTTCAAGCACTCTGAGGACTCTAAGTTTGAGGAAGCCCAAGATAGCCAAATGAAGAGTCCACAAAAAGAAAAAGAGCTATAGTGTCTGCTCTTTTAGCAATCCCACCTGAGGTGTCAGACATGTGAATGAAGATACTTTCTTGGTTGTCCAGTCTAGTTGAACTTTCAGATGACTCTAGATTTTGCTACTATCTGACCGACACTCCAGGAGATATCTCAAGTGAGAAATAACCAGTTGAGCTCAGTCAACACAAATTACCATAAATAATTATTTTGGTTTCCAAGTTTGGGGGTGACCTTTTGTGTAGCATTAGATAAACAAAACCCTGCTTATCTCCAAAGTTGGGGAAGGGGAGAAATAAAAGAATCACATAAGGTAAATAAGGGGCATTGTTTTGCAAACTTTGAAAAATACTATATACAATGCATGGATGTAGTGAAATACATAGAGACTCAGAAGTCATAAGCCCTGAGTTTGAAACCTCTTGATATTTTCTCACTCTGTGACTCTTGGATAAATCACACTCAATTTCTCCTAGTCTAAATGTGATTATCAATAAAATTATGTTAATAAAGCCTTGCTCTGTTTAGAGTCTTAGGTGAGAAAATGTGGTTTGTAAATGATTTTGTGAATTTTATAAAATTATACAGATATATTTCATATTGCTATTATTATAATTAAAAATACAGAGTCAGGATAATTTCATCCTGTGCACAAGAGGCAGATTATGTTTGAATTAATCAAATAGAATTTGAGCACAGAAGTCATTCATCCCTTCATTCAACATGCTATTTAGCACTGAGTATACATCAGAAACTGTGCTCAAATCTTGGTATCTGACACTGAAAAAAAACAGATAAAAAACTGTCTACGTGGAGCTTACACTCTAACACTTACCAAATAAATGATGTCCATTTAGTCGGCTTCTATTAACATTATAGGAATCAAATTTTGCCCTGATTATTCTCAGTCATCATAGTGCTGGTGGTGGCAAAGTGACAAATTTTGTGGAGATAGTGGCAGAGAATTTTTACTTTGAAACAGTAATAGAATAATTAATTATTAATTCTTGTGAGAATGACTGAAAATTCTATCACACTGTTTGGCGAAGGGAGAAGGGGAAATTCAGCATCATATTGTTCTTGGAAAATAACAATTTCCTAGGCTTCTCTAGTTTAAAAATAGTGAAATATGAAATTTGATGTTTCTTGCGGAAATGTAGTAAAACAGACACTCATCTGAAAAGGTTACTTCCCTCCTAGTGTAAGCACTTCAGGACTCAAACATGGACCAGTTTTCCATGAAAATAATTTGCTTTAAATTATTCGAAGTGTCTGAAAGGGAAAACTATATTATTACATAGGCCTATCACGTAGAAAAATACAAAATCCACAAAGTGGACATCTGAGTACTGCCTTTCTAGGTTTACAGCTTGAAATGTCAGAAATAATAGCACTTGAAAAGATACGAATTTAGAATGGTGTGATGTAGCCAAAGTGAAAAGTATCACTTACATGCTTACCAACAACCTGTAGGTTTGAGATAAAAAGGAATCCTGTTTCAATTCCATGAAAAATGGTGTGCCTACTATACATCATGTAAATGAATTTCTAAAAACTTATATGCTTAGAAGTTATTGAATGATTGCTAACCCTCAGAAAGAAGATGACCACAGGAGTCAGATAATTCTAAAACATAAGGGAGTTGAGGGAAAAGACATTTGTTGAATGAAATGGGTGAGGAAAGGAAATAGATCCAATTGTTTACAGCTATGTTGTGTTATTTAGGAAGGAACCACTACCTTCTGAATATTGAAAAGCATTTCTGAAAAGGTCAAGTTTAAGACTGAATCTTGATCTTAGCAAGTGCTCATGAAAATATTTTTATTTCTAGTGATATTACATTTGACCATAATATGAAGAAGAAGAGTGATAGCAATGCAAATGATGATGTGAGGGCATATGCAAATTATCTCCTCCATATAAACAATTAAAAATGTGCAAAAATAATCAGAATCAGCTCTTTTAAAACTCTGGAAATTAGCCAAATGCTTTGAGGGATCTAAAAATAATTTATTTAATAAACAAAAAACCAAAAGAGAAAGAAAGGTTAAATTATGGTAAGAACTGTAAGCTTTGTGTTATTTTAGGCTGCTTATTCTCATCACCCGCTCTCAAGTTATACAGTTACCTTGAAAATAAATATCCCTCAATCGCTGACTACAAGCAATCTGGCAGCTTTCAGCTTAGTTCCCTGAGAATTATTGTTTGACCTGGAACGTGGCTTACTGCAAGATACCACTTATAAAACTGTCTTTATTTGACCTCATTTGTAACTGGCCCATGAAAGTCTTTTTAACTAGCATACTTATTGAAAACATTGAAAGGCAACTTTTTTAAATCATGGTAGACTAAAGTGGTAGATAACAGTTAGGGCAAATAATATGGTAGCTGGAAAACTTAAAAAGCTAGGAAATATAAATAGGAGTTTTGAAGACTTCTGACATATTACTGGCACTATAAAAGGTCACACACGTATGATTGTGCACATTCTAAGCACAATGCTTATTCTCAAGGAAAATATGAGAAGGCCCTAAGCTTTCACCTCCAGATGACCATGAAGCTATGGGAAAGCAGAATGTGAAGACTAAGGCAGAGTTGTCAACCAACCGGCTGGGTGTTAAAAGTGTGCCCTGAAATGCACACAGAGCCACTCAGCAGAGACCGGAAGAGTTACGGGTTCCAGGTCTTCAATGAAATTTCTGTCTATTCTTTCACTGACTACTAAGTTAAGCAAACAGAGACTTCAGTGTTCAAACACGATAAAAAACAAAAACTTTAAACAATTAGTTCAGAAAAGTCACTAAAGAAACAAATGACAACAAAAACAAACAGCAAAATCAACAAAATTTGAAGGGAGTAAAATATAATTTCCAGAGTTGTCACATTTTTATTATTTAAAATGTTCAGTTTTCAACAAAAACTTATAAGGCATACAAAAAGTAAGACAATATGGCTCACACACAGGAAAAACACACAATCAATAAAACTGTCCATGAGAAAGCTCAGGTGTTTGGCTTAGTAGACAAAGGTTTTTAAATTCACCATGATAAAAATTTGTTTAATAACTAAAATAAGCTATTTCCAAAAAGCTAAAGGAACATTTGAGAATAAATGTCTCACCAAATAAATAATACTAATAAGCAATTGTATAAATATAAATCTGACTTAACAGCAGATTTTAGAAAGCAGGGAAAAGAGTTAGCTAACTTAAATATAGATCAATGAGATTATCTAATGCAAGAAACAGAAGGAAAAAGAAATAAAGACAAACAGACTCAGAGATACCATCAAGCATAGCAAAATATGTATAATGGAAGTCCCAAAAGGAGAGGGAACAGAAGAGAAATGGGGCATAAAAATAAGTGAAGAACAATACAAAACATACTTAAAAACTTCCAAAACTTGACAAAGAATATTAACTTGCACATCCAAGAAGATCTATGACTCCCAAGTAGCATAAACTCAAAGAGATTCACATTTTTAAAAAATTATAATTAAACAATCAAAAGAAAATGACAAAGAAAGAATCTTGAAAACAACAAGAGAGGAGCAACTCATCATGTGCAAAAGAGTCTGAATAATTTTTCACTGAATTTTCATTAGAAACCATGGAAACCAGAGGCAGTGAGATGACATTTTTAAAGTTTTGAAAGTAAATGATTATCAACGAATAATTTCATAACCAACAAAACTATACTTCAAAAATGAAAAAGAAGTGAAAATATTCTCACTTATTCTCTGAAACCAAAACTGACAGAATCTCTTACTAGCAAAGTTTCCATGCAAGAAATATTAAAAGAGGTATTTCAATATGAAATAAAATTACACTTGACAATATCTAGAGTCCATATAAACAAATGCAGAACAATAGAAAAAGCAAAAATTAGAAACATATGAAAGAGAATGTAAATGTATTTTTTGTAACTATTTTCTTTTCTCCTACCTGATTCAAAAATAAACTGCATAAAGCAATGGTTATAAGTAATGTACTGATTGGCATACAATGAATGAAGATGTAATATGTATGGTAATACAACAAAGGAAGAAGGAGAGAACAATGCTATTTAGAATCAAAATTTTTGTATGCTATTAAAATTAAGTTGATAGTAAATCTAACTAGATTTTCAAAAATTAAGATACTACTTGTAGCCCATCAGGCAACCCTAAGAAAATAACTTACAAAATATAATAAAACCAGTGATAAGGGGATTAATACAGTGCATTAAAAATATCTATTCACTAAAGAAAAGGCAATCTTAGAAAAATAGAGAAATAAAAAAGCAGAAGACATATAGAAAACAACTGGTAAACTGGCAAACATAAATTCTATATATCAGTAATTACATTAAATGTACGTAGATTAAAAACTCCATTTAAAATAGAGTTTGCAGATGGGTTTAGAAAAAAACATAATCCAACTATCTGTTTTAGTCAGCAGACACACTTTATATTCAAAGACACAAACAGTTTGAATACAAATGACTGAATTAAGATAAATCATTCAAACAGTAATCAAGAGAGACCTGGTCATAATAACACACAAAACAAACTTCAAGAGATAAATTGTGATTAGCGAGAAAGAGCATTTTACAATGATAGAAAGGATTAATACATCAAGAAAACATAACAATAAGCACATATGCACCTGTCAAGAGAATCCCAAAATACATGAAGGAAGAAATAAAGTAGGCAATATAAAATTTCCCTCCACCAATACACACATAATCCCTAGAATAGATGGCTTTACTGATACATTCTACCAAATGTTTAGAAGAGTTTACACTAATTCTTCACAAACACACTCAAAAAATAGAAAAGGAGGGATTATTTTCCAAGTCTTTTTATAAGACTAGTAAAACCAGACAAATATGTCACAAGTAAAACAAATTAAGAATCCCTATTTGTTTTTCCCAAGGTGGCAGATTAGAAGCTTTTATGATGCCTCAGCCACTTGGAAGTAGTAAGATAGTGCATAAAGTTCAACTCTGTGAGCTTTAGTTCAAGAAGAAACTGGGAAACCATCAGAATTGTGAAGGGCACTCCAGATCCTGTGGAGGAGAAAGAACACTGACAGACAGTCCGTATGATGGTATCTGTCTGGTAAACATGACTGAAGCTCCAGGAGGATATGAGAGAAGCAGAGAGCCTCCCTATGTGACTCATTTTTCCAGTGGGAACTCAAGGGATCCAGGTCGAGAAACAGCACTGTCTTTCTCCCAAGCCCTAGAGCCAGCATGGAGAGAGGCTTGGAGATGTTGTGAGGGAAAGACACTGGGAAAAGCTGCAGACATTTTCCCAGACCTGGGACAAAGAACAGCATACCATTTTTAATCCAGGCATACAAAGTCAGGCATTCTTTGGCAACTTGGCAGCATGACCACTCAGGAATTTTATTCTTGAGGCAGAGATTGGGGGGGCCTGCTCTAGAGTGGGATAAGGGCCTCCACAACGAGAGCTATGGAAAGCACATCCAGAGCAGACACTGAAATTGTGCTTTCCCTTGTCACAAGCCTGGGGCAGGAGGAGTGCTGCTACAGCTGCAGTTTCTTCTGGGTGGTGAGATTTGCAGCCAAGGCCAGCCTAGTGACCTGGAATTGGTCTGTGTGTGCCATTTCTAGATGTCTCCATCTGCTCTACCAAGATAATAGTGCAGTGAGGTCTTCTGCTCAAACCCCAGGCAAAAATTCAGGCATTTGGCGCAGCCGCTTTCCTGGACTAGCAGCCTTAGTCACTCAACTCTTCATGAACATAGATTGTGGTGCAGAGCAGCCCCCTACACTTTATGCCAAGGCAGATCTCCAGGCATTAGGAGCATCTGTTCACTGGGTTCAGAGCTTAACCTGCTCCACCCTTCCTGTACAGAGATCCTGGTGCAGTAGGGCTTTCTCTGCTCCATACCCAGGCAGGCCTCCAGACATTTACTCACTTGAATCAGCAGCCTGACTCACCACTATTCTTTCTGTTGAGCTACTGGTGCAGGGAGGCCTTCTCTACTTCATGCCTGGGCAGATCTCCAGGCAGTTAAAGCACCTGTTCTTCTGGTTCAGCAGCCGGAGCCACCCAACCTTCCTGGACGTAGATGATGGTACAGAATGGCCCTCTCTACTCCACACTCAGGCAGACCTCCAGACATTCAGAGCACCAACTTGCCTGGATCAGCAGCTTGATATGCCCCACTCTTCCTGGGTAGAGGTCTTGGTGCAGGGGCCTTTGCTGCTACATGCTCAGGTAGATCTCCAGGCATTCCAAGCTTCTGCTTGCCTGGTTCAGCAGCCTGAATCACCCCACCTCTTCTGTGCAGAGATCTTGGTGCAGTTGGTTTCCCTACTCCTAATTCAGGAAGGTGGGTGCTCTGAATGCCTGGAGAACTTCCCACAATCCTGTTGTATTAGTCTGTTCTCAGGCTGCTAATAAAGACATACTTGGGACTGGGTAATTTATAAAGGTAAGAGGTTTAATTGACTCACAGATCCACATGGCTGGGGAGGCCTCACAATCATGGTGGAAAGCAAAGGAGAAGCAAACACGTCTTACGTGGCAGCAGGCAAGAAAGAGTGTGTGCAGGGGAACTCCCCTTTATCAAACCATCAGACCTCATGAGTCATGAGACTTATTTACTATCACAAGAACAGCATGGGAAAGACCCACCTCCATGATTCAATTACCTCCCACTGGGTTCCTCCCACAACACATGGGGATTGTGAGAGCTAAAATTCTGGATGAGATCTGAGTGGGGACACAGGCAAATCATATCATTCCACCCATGGCCCCTCCCAAATCTCATATCCTCACATTTCAAAACCAATCATGCTTTCCCAACAGTCCTCCAAAATCTTAACTCATTTCAGCATTAACTCAAAAGTCCACAGTCCAAAGTCTCATCTAAGACAAGGCAAGTCCCTTCTGCCTATGAGCCTGTAAAATCAAAAGCAAGTTAGTTACTTCCTAGATACAATGGAGATACAGGCATTGCGTAAATACAGCCATTCCAGATGGGAAAAATTGGCAAAATGAAGAGGCTACAGGCCCCATAGAAATCCAAAATCCAGCAGAGCAGTCAAATCTTAAAGCTCCAAAATGATCCCCTTTGTCTTCATGTCTCACATCGAGGTCTCACTGATGCAAGAAGTAGGCGCCCATGACCTTGGGCAGCTCTGCCTCTGTGTCTTTACAGGGTACAGCTCCCTTTCTGGCTGCTTTCATGAGCTGGCATTGAGTGTCTGCAGCTTTTCCAGGTGCATGGTGCATGTTGTCAGTGGATCTACCATTCTGGAGTCTGGACGATGGTGGCCCTCTTCTCACAGCTCCACCAGGCAGTGCCCCAGAGGGTGCTTGACTCCACAATTCCCTTCCACTCTGTGCTAACAGAAGTTTTCCATGAGGACTCTGCCCCTTGCAGCACACCTCTGCCTGGACATCCAGACATTTCCACAAATTCTCTGAAATCTATGTGGAGGTTCTCATACCTCAATTCTTGATTTCTGTGTACCTGGAGGCCCAATGCCACATGTAAGCTGCCAAGACTTGAGACTTTCACCCTCTGAAGCAATGACCTGATCTATACACTGGCTCCTCTTAGCCACAGCTGGGATGCAGGGGAGCAAGTTTGGAGAGTGCTCAAAGCAGCAAGGCCCTGGACCCAACCTATGAAGCCATTTTTCCTCCTAGGCCTCTGGGCCTGTGATGGGAGGGGCTGCCATAAAGACCTCTGACATGCCCTGGAGATATTTTCCCCATTGTCTTCATGATTAACATTTGACTCCTTATTGTTTATGCAAATTTCTGCAGCCAGCTTGAATTTCTCCTCAGAAAATGGGTTTTTCTTTTCTATCACATCATCAGGCTACAAATTTACCAAACTTGTATGATCTGCTTCCCTTTTAAACATAAATTTCAACTCCAAACCATACCTTTCTGAATAAATGAAACTGAATGTTTTTAACAGTACCCAAGTCACTTCTTGAATGCTTTGCTCCTTAGAAATTTATTGCACCAGATGCCCTAAATCATCTCTCTCAAGTTCAAAGTTCCACAAATCTTTAGGGCAGGGGAAAAATGCTGCCAGTCTCTTTGCTAAAGTATAACAAGAGTCACCTTTGCTTCAGTTCCCAACAAGTTCCTCATCTCCATCTGAGACCACTTCAGCCTGGACTTTATTGTCCATATCACTATCAGTATTTTGGTCAGAGCCATTCAATAAGTCTCTAGGAAGTTCCAAACTACCATGTTGTTTTTTTTCTATAAAACCAGAAAAAAACTATTTAATAATTCATATGAAACTCCAAACAGCCAAAATAGCCAAAGTAATCTTAATCACAAAGAACAAAGCCAGAGGCATCATGTTTGCTGACTTCCAAATATACTATCAGGTGACGGTAACCAAAATAGCATGGTACTGGTGCCAGAACAGCATGGTACTGGTACAAAAACAGACACATAGACCAATGGAACAGAACAGAGAACCCAGAAATAAAGCTGCACACCTACAGATATCTGATCTTTAACAAAGTTAAGAAAAATAACCAACAGGGAAAAGACTACTCCGTATTCAATAAACAGTGTGGGCTAGTTGGGTAGCCATATGTAGAAGAATGAAACTCAACCCCACCTTTCACCATATAAAAAAATTAACTGAGGTTGGATTAAAGATTTAAACACAAGACCTCAAACTACAAGAATCCTAGGAAACGCCATTCTGGACATTGGCCTTGGGAAATAATTTATGACTAAGTCCTCAAAAGCAATTGCAACCAAAACAAAAATTGACAAGTGGGATCTAATTAAATTAAAGAGCTCTACACAGCAAAAGAAATTATCAACAGAGAAAACAGGCAACCTACAGAATGAGATAAAATACTCACAAACTACACTTCCAATAAAGGTCCCAATACCCCAAATCTATAAGAAAATTAAACAAATTAATAAGCATAAGACAAATAACATGAATACAAGTGAACAAAAGACATGAATAGACACCTCTCAGAAGAAGACATAAAAGTGGTTTGCAAACATATAAAAAATTATCCACATCACTAATCATCAGAGAAATGCAAATCACTGCAATGAGGTTCCATCTCACATCAGTCAGAATGGATATTATTAAAACATCAAAAAATAACAGATGCTGGCAAGGCTATGGAGAAAAGGGAATGCTTGAACACTTTCAGTGGAAATCTAAATTAGTTCAGCCACTATGGAAAGTAGTTTGGAGATTTTTTAAAGACTTTAAAAGGGAACTACAATTTGACCCAGCAATCCCATTACTGGTTATGTATCTAAAAGAAAACAAATTGTTTTAGCAAGAATACATAGGCTCTCATATGTGCCTCGCAGTCCTATTCACAATAGCAGCCATGAAATCAACCTAGGTGCCCATTAATGGTGGAATGGATAAAGAAAACATGGCAAATATACATGATGGAACACTACACAGCCATAAAAAGAACAAAATCATGTCCTTTGCAGCAACACAGATGTAGCTGGAGGCCATTATCCTAAGCAGATTAATGCAGTAACAGAAAACTAAATACAGTCTTTTCTCAATTATAAATTGGAGCTAAATATTAGGTACTCATAAACATAAAGATGGCAACAATAGACACTGGGTACAGCTAGCAGGTGGAGTGAAGGAGGAGTAGAGGCAAGGGTTGAAAAACCTGCTTTTGTGTACTATGTTTAGTACCTTGGTAAATGGGATCACTTATACCCCAAACCTTAGCATCAGACAATATATCCAAGTAACAAAGCAGCACATATGCCCCATGAATCTAAAATAAATATTGAAAAAAATTCTGATATTCCTTATAAATACAAAGCAAAGAAAAAAAATCCTCAATCAAATACTAGCAAACTAAACCCAATAACTTTAAATAGGATTACACAACATGACCAAGTAGGATTTATCCCAGATACACAAATATGCTTCAACAATGGAAAATCAATTAATAAAATATGTATATTAATAAAATAAAGGATCAAAAAGGATTATCATGACAATAGTTGTAGGAAAATCTTTGGAGAAAATCCAACACTCATTCATATTAAAAAACCTATGACACTTAACAAAAAATATGACACTTAAAACACAAGCAACACGAGAAAAATATTGTTAAATTGGACTTCATTAAAATTAAAGGCTTTTGATCTACAAAATACACCACTTATAAAGGGGAAAACCAATGTATAGCAGGAACCAAAATATTTTCATATTGTATGTCTGACAAGGACTTATGCATAATATATAAAGAACTGTTGCAACTAAAAAATCAAAAGACAAATAACTCAATTAAAAAATGAGCAAGTAATTTGAAAGACTTTATGCCAAGGAAGATATACAAATGGCCAATAGGCACATGAAAATATGCTGACTGTTATTAGCCATTAGGGAAATGCAAATCACAATCATAATGAGATGAAACTTCACAAATACCAGAATAACTATAATAAAAAAGACAGATAATAACAAGTGTTGCTGAGGATGTAAAAGAATTAGAACTCTCATACATTGCTTCTCAGAATGTAAAACAGTTTCTTTGAAAAACAGTTTAGAAATTCTGCATAAAATCAAACATAGAGCTGCCATATGACCCAGAAATTCTACTTGTAGGAATATACCCAAGAGAACTGACCATGTCTGTTCTATTTGTTCACACAAATACTTATACATTAATGTTCATAGTAGCATTATTCATAATAGACCAAAAGTGAAAATAATTCAAGCATCCATTAACTGATGAGTGTGTAAATAAAATGTATTTTTAAATCTAGAATTAAAACCTTGAATGTCAATACTCAAAAATTTCTATTTTAAAAAATATATGGTTATCCATTTCATTATATTTTCTGCAGTTTTATTCCATCCATATGTGGAAAAGATAAATTGTATGAGAAAAGAGGACAGAGTTCATAAAGAAAGACTAGTGTTCCACAAAACCCTTAAATTCACTAGAAGAGAAGGTCCTTGACTCAGCGACCATGAAGAAGAGTCCAATCAAGCCACTTGAAATTCTTAAACTTTTCTTCTTGCCACCTGTTTTGGATAAAATGCAAACGAAAATTGCTTATCTAGGTTCTCTGTAGTCATTCAACATAGGCTCACCAAGTTAAAAGTTTTAATTCTAGATTTTAGACTCTGAGAAATGCAAATCAAAACCACAATGAGATACTAACACCAGTCAGAATGGCTATTATCAAAAATAAAAAAATGAAAGACGCTGGCAAAGTTGTAGAGAAAAAGGGATGCTTATACACAGTTGATGGGAGTGTAAATTAGTTCATCCATTGTGGAAGACAGGGTGGTGATTCTTCAAAGACCTAAAGAAAGGAATACCACTCAACCCAGTAATCCCATTACCTGTACTAGTCTGTTCTTATGCTGTTAATAAAGATGTATCTGAGACTGGGTAAATTATAAAGAAAAGAGGTTTAATGGACTCACAGTTCCACATGGCTGGGGAGGCCTCACAATCATGGCAGAAAGAGAATGAGGATCAAAGTCACATCTTACATGGAGGCAGGCAAGAGAGAACTTGTTAACTTGTGCAGGGCAACTCCCATTTATAAAACCATCGGATCTCATGAGATCTATTCACTATCAGGAGAACAGCATGGGAAAGACCTGCCCCCATGATTCAATTATCTCCCACTGGGTCCCTCTCATGACACACGGGAATTACGGGAGCTATAATTCAAGATGAGGTTTGGGTGGGGTAACAGCCAAACCTTATCAATACCCAAAGGAATATAAATTACTCTATTATAAAGACACATGCATTCATATCTTCATTGCAGTACTATTCACAAAGCAAAGACATGGAATCAATCTAAATGCCCATCAGTGATAGACTGGATAAAGAAAATATGGTACATATTCATCATGGAATACTATGCAGCCGTAAAAAGAATGAGATCATGTCCTTTTTAGGGACATTATGGAGCTGGAGGCCATTATCCTTAGCCAACAAATGCAGAGACAGAAAACCAAATACCACATGTTCTCACTTATAAGTGGGAGCTAAATGATGAGCACATATGGACACAGAGGGTAACAACATCCATGGGGCTTTTCACAGGCTAGAGGGTAGAGGGAGAGGATCAGGAAAAATAACTAATGGGTATTAGGCTTAATACCAGGGTGATGAAATAATCTGTACAATAAACCCCCAAGACACAAATTTACCAATGTATCAAACCTGCACTTGTACTCGTGAACTTAAAATAAAAGTTAAAAGTCTAAGAGTTCATTAAACATGGTAAAGAGCAAAGAAGATTATAAGTAGATTAACAGTGGATGGAGAGATAATGATCCAAACTAATTTTAATAAGTAATTGAACCATTGGTTGTTTCTTCTCAACTTCCTTTCTGTAATATAGACTTTATGAGGGCAAGCCCCGTGACATTTATAAAATTATCTCAATAACCCTCTTACCTTGGAGGTGGGCACTCTAATAAATAAATAGATGAAAGGCAAAGAAAAATGAAAAAACAATGTGTTTGAAGAAGTGACTGTGTTTCTCTGTGTGTGTGTGCATGTGTGTGTGCAGAATCTGTAGGATGTTATGAGCTTATTGATTAGCTTATTGATTATTAGAATGGGAAAGAAAATTTAGGGTCAGATTAAAATGGGCCTTGAATTATAATTATCACATTGGATATGTTTATCATTTGTAGAAAATTTGAAGTCATTTCAGGTGATTTAGCCATGATGTTTTTATTCTCTTCTTCTTTAAACTTACAATGTGATATAAAAAGTAAGGGGCCTCTCACTCAAATCACAGTGAAATTTTTAAATCTTCCTTGCCTAAAAATTAGTTGATATCAGACTTTTAAAACTTGCTTGTCATTTAACCCTTCTTCATCCTCTATTCTCCTTAAACAGTTAACCATGTCTTTAGACACGAGTCTATACCTTGAATTAAAACAAAAGGAAAATGATCAATTTTCACCAGATCCAGAATTTTCTATTCTGAAAGTGGTAAAATGAACAGGAACTCCTTTTCCATTCCATTTAGTTACAATGTAAGCGAATTTGAATTATATGGATTTTAGTTAGCTCCATATGTTATATGAATAAATTCTCGATTTGTGTGTAAAACTCGAAATCATCTTTCAAATATTGCCATCTGGAGGCATTGTAAACTTTGTTTATGCCATTGCCTTGTGCAGGTATTATTTGAGTTTGTAAACACCGTTATTAATTATTTTTCATCTGGATTGATTTTGATTTGCATGAGGTTTTACTAATGTGTTCCCATACAAAACACACAATTACTCTTCACATCATATAGTTCTGGGCACCACGTCAAATATGTGAGAAATATTTCCCCAAATGTATTCTATATATGGGTTCAACTACTACCACATGTTGTTTCAGCATTATATTGAATTAGTAAATTCTCTGTGAAATGTCATCTATTTCTACACATATGCCCCTCGGGACATCTGTCCTATTTGTCAATACCACAATCTGGGCATCTGTCAAAATTACAGGCTATACCGACGTTTAGGCCCCTACATTGATTGGCTCTATCACAGGGTATGTAAAATAAACAAAGTTTAAAACATCATCAAAATGGGACCATATGTCTAAACCTATCTTATGACCCTTAGCAGAAGGAATGAGTGTTACTACAAATTGTCCCATCTTTCCGGGAACCTGAACTAGACACAGTAAAGAAGTCTCTTGCTAAATAAATGGGTCCTTCTGGCTCTACAATAGGTCAATGTAGATATTAGTCTGCTACCTTATGTGTTCTTTTTATTTTCTGGCAGCTGACAAATAAAATTACCTCAAACTCTAAGATGAGAAAACTAAAGTTTGAAAATCCAAATTTCTTATGCCATCTTTGAAGGAATTACAAATGTCTTAAGCCATCTCTGAATGAATGACATTCAGAAACAGCAAAATATTGACATCCTTACCTTCAAGTGTCCCTGTTATCTTCAAGTAACCCTGTTCCAACAGGGAAATTTTAGCCCTGTGAAACAATCCCCAGGGACTGTGAAAATATGAATTGATTTTAAAGGATGGCTGGTTAGCTGACAGGGTCTCTGCTTTCCAAAGCATTGCCAATTCAGTGTTGAACTGCTCATAGGGGTTATTTTAAACTAACCCAACTGACGGTATAACAGTCTTAGGGTTTCTGAACCAACTTGCTTATATGAGCAAGGAATGAAATTATAAGACAGACACGGAGGAATTCTGAAAATTCCTTGTGGACAAAGAGGAGTTGGGCAGAGAAAAGCTTGTGCACTCACTCTTTCAGACTGTGTGAAAAGAAATGAAGTCCTTTTTTACTTTTATTTTATTTTCAAGTCATTATTTTTCAATTGTACTCCTTTGGTTGCTAGTGAAGTAAATATTGTTCCCAAGTGACTTTAATTTCCCCAAATTACAGGAACTATAAATAAACATTCACAAATTTTGCATTTATATTATCAAGTAAGATATTTTTATACAATCATCTTTAAATTGGGTTTGTTTATTTGAATACATTTCATGAACATCTTAGTTCAGCTTAGCATTTTAATGCTACTGAAATATTTTATCAGAAATAATGGGCCTAATTATGAACTCATAATAGGTCACCAATTTCTGGATTTTCTCCCAAATCACCATCAAGTCTGTGAAAAGAGCCGTTGAATCATTTGTTTTTAAACATAAACCAAGCAAACCTTTCTAGGAACTGAAAACTATATTTTCCCATTAATGTGATCATTTCAGGAATTTTGCTAAATAGGGGGTCAATATAAACCAACAAAAATTACCCATACTCACCATCAAGAGGTGGTCGTGGTAACTTATTTTTGTATTTCCTTCAATTCTTTTCTAAGCTTTTTTTTTCAACTTTTATTTTAGAATTGGGGGTATGCATGCAGGTTAGCTGCAAAGGTATATTGAGTGATGTTGAGGTTTAGAGTATGAATCAATCTTTCACCGAGGTAGTGGGCATAAGATCCAAAAAATAGTTTTTTGGCCCTTGCCTCTCACCCTCTTTCCATCCTCTAGTAGTCCCCAGTGACTATCCTTTCCACCATTATGACCATGAATACACAATAGTTAGCTCCTGCTTATAAGTGAGAACATGCAGTATTTGGTTCTGTTTCCATGTTATCTTGCTTAGGATAATGGCCTCCATATGCATCCATTTTGCTGCAAATAACCTAATTTGGTTCTTTTTTATGGCTGTGTAGAATTCCAGTGGTATACATGAGCCACTTTTTCCTTATCTACCAGAAGATATTTTTAATAACTACTTCAGTGGAGAATGAAATAACCTTTGGTCAGAAAGGATGGACTCTCAGCAAAATTTTAGAAAGAGATACAGAAGGAGATTTGGAGCATGTGAAAATGCATAAAATAAGAACACCATTGTCATAATCTAAATTGCAGGTTAACCAGATTGCCAGCAGATCCAATTTATTTTGATTTACAAGAAGTAACATAAGTTTCCCATCAGATTATTGGCAAAAATGTATTTATTGCCAACCTTGGCCACATTTTGTCTTTGAGTTTTCTTGATAAAGTTCAGGTGTTGAAAATGGAGTAGGGGTAAGAGGAACAATCTCAAAATCAGAAAGCAAAATGAATTTCTCTTTCTTTTTAAATCTGCCCTTGGGACAGGCCTGAGTTTTTAGGCATAGTAGGTTCAACAGTGGATCTCCAAAGATATGTTCAACTGGAAGCTCAGAATGTAACTTTATTTGGCATAAGAATCTTTGTAGATGTAATTAAGGTTAGCATCTCAATTTGAGGTCATGCTGGATTGAGATAAGCATGAAATCCACCAATGAGTGTCCTTATAAGAGACACAAAAGGAGAATACAAAGAAATATAGGGAATAATGACATATGAAGACAAAAGTAGAGACTGGAGTTATGCTGCCATCAGCCAAGGAATGCCTGGGGCCACCAAAAGCTAGAAGAGGCAAGGAAGAATTAAAATTTTTCCCTAGGGCTTTTGGAAGGAACATGGTCCTCTGACACTTTGATTCCAAATTTCTGGTTTCTACAACTATGAGAGAATAAATATCTGTTGTTTTAAGTCACCAGCTTGGATGTAAATTATTATGGCAGCCTTACAAAACTAGAAGACTAGATACGTGCTCTTATTGTTAAACCCAACCAACCAACCAACCAACAGACAAACAGCATCCAACATGATCTAATGTTTTCTTCATATCCCTCATGATGAAAGGAAGGTACATAGAAAGAACTGGAATTGTCCTGAGTTAATCCACTCACTGACACTCTAGCCCAAACTTGAGGGGAGCCATCCAAATCATAGTGAGTAGGTCACAGGAGGATGTCACATGTCACAGGAGGATACTGATCCCACCATTCACAATGTCTTTGCCCAGGGAATGGGGTCTGTTATGAGGCATTATACCACCTGGGCCTACACTAGGCAGGGATTGGCCTGAAAGCACATCCTTCATATAGCTTCTGCTGCCTGTAGCATGTATGATGCACTCAAAATCTTAAGAGTCCATGGCTTTGCATACAGATATAAGGTTTTTTATATAAAGGATGGATAATGAGGATGTCATTAAAGCCACAGTGTCCCAGGCTGGGACACAATTTGAGAACCCAGCACTGCACATCTGAGCCTAAACACAAAAATTGGCCATCCTCTGTCAAGCCAGTCAACAAGATGTTACAGGCTGCAGTTGTTATGTGGGACTTAAAGACAGAAAATTTTCAGTGGCAAGGCTTAAATAGGAAAATGTTTGGGAGGCCGAGGTGGGCAGATCACAAGGTCAGGAGATTGAGACCATCCTGGCCAACAAGGTGAAACCCCATCTCTACTTAAAAAAAAAAAAAAATACAAAAAATTAGCCAGGCGTGGTGGCGGGCACCTGTAGTCCCAGCTACTCGGGAGGCTGAGGCAGGAGAATGGCGTGAACCTGGGAGGTGGAGCTTGCAGTGAGCCGAGGTCGCACCACTGCACTCCAGCCTGGGCGACAGAGCCAGACTCTGTCTCAAAAAAAAAAGAAAGAAAGAAAAAGAAAAAATAGGAAAATGTTCGTTGAAATCTTGCTGAAGTCTTAGAATGCAATCTGACTAAAATCATAAATAAATACATAAACAAGCAAACAAACAAATTATCCCTGCCCCTGAAAAGCAGTCAATCAGAAGTTCTTTGTGCTACACTCCTACTAAAAGGAGATAATAGCTAATTGGTATTTACCCTCATGGTAAAAATTCTCTTAGTGCCTTCAGAAAATATTACCATTTACCTAAGAGAGAGTTCAACAAGTGCTCTAGGATGCAAGTGGAGGCAACACAGGCTGAAGAACTATTGTGTCCTGCCTCAGCATCTGCTCTCCTACTTCTGTGAAAGAGGATGCAGCTGTCCTGATGCTCTGGCTATTTCTACAGAGGAGACACAACTAACTGATGGTCTTATCCTTCTTTCATGTATAATATGCATAAGAGGAGATTTTACATATTTTGTGTATTAAAGGGCTTTGACCATGCATTTCATTTCCAAGGTGACAGTAGTTACCTTGTGAAATGATAATGACACCACAACAAAAGTCAGCAGTGAGGATTAGCAAAGAAAAAACTGGGACCAGGAGTGGAGGTGCTGATTGATGTAATGTAGTCACCATGTACATGTTGCTATGGAAATTATGCAAAAATGAAAGAAAAAAGAAACTAAGTAGTTGTATTGAGAAGATAGAAATGACATGGCATGTCTCTGGTAACATTATTGAAGAGATTTCTTCCATTTCCTGAGACAAGCATCTAGAATAGTTAAAAATGGGAAATTAAGGGGTTTAGTCAGAAGATTAAGTTAGCATTACAAATCTCTCACATAATAAGAATCAGCATCTCTCCCCAGTCTCCTGGTGAAACTTTTTGGCACTGTGTTTACATCTCAAGTACAGAAAGCTCACTTGCAATCCTCATGACTAAGCTAATTTCACTGACTTGGTTAAAAAGATATTTTCCATTTTTTTTAACAGCACAGTCTTTGCTAAAGAATGGCTACCAGGGTTTAATCTCTTATCCTAATTCGAATCACACAGTCCATAATTTCCTGGTATCCAAACAAATTCAGTGGTCAGGCATGAACAAAATTTGGCCATAAACACTAGTAATCACCATTTTGTTTCAAGCTTTAATAAGAGATTGTGGCTACAATGCTACTTGCCAATGGAGAGAAGTCCTCATATCAACCTCGGCAGTGGATATGATTTATTTAAAAAAGAAAGAAACCAGGAGTCATCTGGGTAAAATTAACTGCCTGTGGTATGAACTTTGATCAGCCTACCAGAACCACAATCTAGCACCAAAATCCTTGGGTAAATCAAAAACATTAGAATAAAAAATAAAGAAAATACAGGCAAAGAGAGAGAAAGCAAAACTATTCTAAAACTCATGTCAGAGTTAATAGTCTTTAGCAGTGAAAAAAACCTTTTTTTCATTGAGGGTTAATTAGTTGCTTCACTTTCCCTTGTCTAGAAAAGATTGCTGTAGTAATTATTATTAACACTCTTAATAATAATGGTAACCAGTAATAATAATTGAGCCTTTTTACATCCCAGGGTTAGTATTATAATTGGTGCCTTATGTATTAACTCTTCTGATCCTCACCAGAGGAAGCTCACAAAGGTAACTAACTGGCTAAACCTCTCATTGGCAGTAGGTGATACAGCCTGAAGAACCCAGATGGTTCAGCTCCTGAATCCTTCTTCTCACCATTATGTTCTGCCACGTCTCACATAACCAGTGGGAATCCACACAGCAGATGACCCTTAACTTTGTTCTGTAAAAATTCCATAGTAGGTAAAATAAGCTATCACCCAAGGGGTTTCTCTACTCTCCAATACAGAAAATGGACATTAGCCTAGTGATACCAAAATGCTACTGTTCTTCGTGGGAAATCCTAACCAGTTGAAACCATTAAAGGGGACAAATGTCACTGAGCATCTACTGGATGCCAGACATTATTTCATGCATTTCAATGTGATTTATCTCACTTAGTCAAAAAAATATATATATGGTAAATTTGAAGAATGGTTAAAGAAGTGGGTGAACAGCCTTGGCATTTTCTCAACACTATATTTTTTTTGGTTGTTTACTTTGTTTTTTCTTGTAATTAAGTAATAATAAAAAGTTCAATAACAACAGCTCACTTTTTTGAAGAATGGTTAAAGAAGTGGGTGAGCAGCCTTGGCATTTTCTCAACACTATAATTTTTTTGGTTGTTTACTTTGTTTTTTTCTTGTAATTAAGTAATAATAAAAAGTTCAATAACTACAGCTCATTTTTTTTTTTTCTTTTTTGAGACAGAGTCTCGCTCTGTCCCCCAGGCTGGAGTGCACTGGCGAGATCTCAGCTCACTGCAAGCTCCACCTTCCGGGTTCACACCATTCTCCTGCCTCAGCCTCCCGAGTAGCTGGGACTACAGGCGTCCGCCACCATGCCTGGCTAATTTTTTGTATTTTTTTTAGTAGAGACGGGGTTTCATCATGTTAGCCAGGATGGTCTCAATCTCCTGACCTCGTGATCCACCCGCCTCAGCCTCCCAAAGTGCTGGGATTATAGGTGTGAGCCACCGTGCCCAGCCAACAACAGCTCACTTTCAAAATGTATGTTACTCTTTAGAATGTATTCAATCACTAGTTTTTGCTATGTGCGAGTTGTTCTTATAGTGACCAGAGTCCCTCTTCAAATAAGTGATAAAATATCTTAAAGTATGTGAATATTCATATGTCTCAAGTTCAGTTAACAAATATAATTAGATTAGGCCTTGATATTTCTAATAGACTTCTCTAATAAATGTATTTTCTTAATTTCTACTATTATTAATGCTTTTTATTTAAAATTGAGGATGTGATACATAAGAAACAAATATAACTAGATAGCCTTCATATTTCTAAGAGTTTTCTCTAATATATAAATTTCCTTAATTTCTACCACTATTAATGCTTATTTAAAATTAAGCATGTGATAACTATTTGTTGCCACCTCATACAAAATAAAATAATGTAATATTAATTATGCTTATTGTGCATGTGCTTTGTGTCGACTTACTGTGTAAGTTGTCTAGTAGCTCAGTTAGCCCCCACTTGCCAAACTATGTAGTCATACCAATTTTTTTCTCAGATGGATAAAGGGAGGCAAGAGGGTTTTGTAACCACAGAGTTAGTCATCAGAGGTGAACAGGACCAAGATTTGAACCTGACAGTTTTTCTTCAGAGTTGGAAATCTTAATCTCCATACATACTTGAGGTTTTGGGATCCTCACTAAATTTTCAATTATCTAACTTAAATACGGACAATGTGAAGGTCACAAAATTACTTTCAGTTATCTCTAAGATAAATCTCAGAGAGATAAGCAATTTTTCAGCAGATGAAATATAATCAAAACAAGAGATTACGTACCTTCTGGTCCTGTTGCCAAGAGATCACTGGTTTCCCCCAAGTCTTGATCTATTCATGAGTGCAGACATTGGAATACTTCGAATTTCTCCTCATCTAGGTAAGCTTCGGGATGCATTATGGCAACCAGAATAATTTTATTCAAGAATAGGAAAGGCCAGGTAGTTTAGCACACTTAGACATGAAATTTACTATTATCATATTTACTTCAATCTTATTTCTTTTCTATTTTAATTTACAGATAGAAATTATGCAGTAGTTTTATAGGCTGACCTGTGTAAACTCCTTGTCATAATTTTTTAATACAGTCCTGAGGATTCTATACAATAATGTAATTGAGTTGCCTGCCACTCAATAAGTAATTGGCCTTCAGGTTTCTCTTAATGATGGTAAATAAGACGTTATGATTTCCTTTGTTTTCTGTAAGATATTTAATAATGAAAGTCTCAATCTACCACAATGTTTAACTTTGGGGAACAAGATCTGAAAAGAATATACTCTTAAAAACTTAAATGTTGAATTATTCCTTCACATGTAATGTCCTGACACTTATTTTTCTACCAGCATACAGGGAGTAAATATTCAAAATGATTGCATAAGTGTATACAAACTAGAGGCTAGGAACTGGTAAGCCTTGTCCAGATGACAAGACACTCTTTGCTAAAATTAACATTCTCTTTCACCTCAGAGGTTTCATCATTGCTATTGTTGTCGATATTGCTGTTAATTAAAACTGTATTCTGTAAATTACCAGTAAGAGTGAGTGGTTTTAATATTACTTTAGTGTCCACATATAAATTCTTCAGTGATGAGAAGATAAGACCCCAAAAGATTGCTCACTGTACAGGGACTCTTGGCTAGCTAAAAAAAAAAAAAAAAAAAAAAAAAAAGCTAAATATTTCCATTGCTGAGATGTAAAGGAAGAATTCCCAAACATTTGAGGTATCTGTTTAATGTCTAAAATAAGAAGTTGAAACCTTTCACTAACAACTTGTGCTGTGAAACACGTACGTTTAAATGAGTAATTCAACAGTTACTGTTTGGATTTACATAGAAAGACTTTTGTCTAAGCCTGTGCTGAACACATACCAAAACAATTATGCCTAGCACGTACACAGTGATAAGAATGTTTTCTTTTGGCATCCACTAGAGGAGAAACTTAGAGCAGCACCACTTTCTACTGCTACCCTTGGGTCCATGCTGCGGTAGTTATTTACCTGAATTGTCCTCGGAGTAACTGCATTTCCTTGTATAAGAAATGGACCTAAAGTAATGGATTTGCCCATTAGTGAATAATATTAGAAACAGTTTCAATTGTAATGCAGTTCCTGTTCAGTTCCATGCAATTTCTGCATAGAAACACAACTGAAAGGAAAATGAAAACCAATCAACCAGTAAAACTGCAATAAATACTTTTCAGGTGAGAAAACGTCAAAAGAGTGTGGATTTGGAAGTCTTTCCATTGTGCTAATTATAGATCTTTTTTATCTCTCTGAACACTTGTCAATAGTCATTAGGTTTATACAATTTTCTCTTTTTAATGCATCAAAAAATCACCAAATAGGAAGAAGTAAATCTGTATAACAGGACATCTAACAATTGGTTTTAAAATACATAACCTACAGTCTAAAATAAAGAAGAAATATATACATGTGAAGCGTTTTTTTGACTGACTATATTATAAAATATGCTAAAATTGTACTGCAAATGAACTCTCCTCACCTCCCAAATAATAACAAAACATACAGTGAAACTAAATTGTACAAGTTATATTAAGGCTCTCAAATTTAAACTAAGCATAAAAACTGAGCAATTTATCTTGGGGTTCTAAAAAAAAAAAAATGAATCTAACAAAATTCAAATTGATGATACCCGACATGTTGTCATAATATAACAGTCAAAGTTTACTCTCTGAAGAAATATCAAGTTTTAAAAATAAATAGGAACAATACCAAGCATCATCTAAAGTCCAGTTTCTAGTTTTCTCAGCACCATGGGTAACTTTTGTAAGAAATGAGATAATCCTGTAGTCCCAGCTACTCGGGGGGCTGAGGCAGGAGAATGGTGTGAACCCAGGAGGCGGAGCTTGCAGTGAGCGGAGATCGCGCCACTGCATTCCGGCCTGGGTGAAAGAGCGAGACTCTGTCTCAAAAAAAAAGAAATGAGATAATTAGATTTACTGTAAATGAAATTTTGATGAAGTGCTATTGAAGTATAATATTCTATGAAATCCCTTGTTACCTTGAAAGGAGCTAAATGACAACTGCTTGATTATCATGGGACAAAGGATAACTTTAGGTTTTTTTCTTCTAAATTGTGGATAGTGACTATTTCGGTATTTTCTGTAATGGTATTTTCTGTAAGTGATATTACCCAGCTTTTAGGTCCACATCTTAGCCAAATCACTTCCTGAAACCTGACTTTACAACAAAAACCTTCTTTGTTCTTCTTAGCCTGTGCATAGTGGCAGCATTTAAAATTAATACCATGCAATTACCTTCTGTTCTATGATAATCTTTCATATTTTCTCTTGTTTTCTCAAACTCTTCATAACTCTTAGGTCAAATTTCAGGCACTATATAGTTCCCTTCCTTTTGTATCACCTTTATGTAGCTAAGATTATAGTAAGTTCTTAACAAGAATTTATAGATTTATCGGTCAAATTATTAACCGTTCAACAAGAAGACCAAAGCCAATGTAATATTTTTAAAAGTAGGGATTAAGAAAATTACCTTTGGTATTATCCTTAAAGAGAGTTTTAGTCCTTATTTTCCAATACATACACTCAACTATACCTCCCATTTTGTAAGAAAACCAGCTGCATTTGGGAACATTTCTTAAATTGTTGAAGTCTTAACATTGATACATTTAACTATTTACTTACAATCTTTGTGAATATTATAGAGGATATTCACTAAAGATAACTAAAGAGATTGTACTCCACATGTCAGATGAATGGCTTTAAAGCCTTAGTCTGTAGAATTCGCCAGGATTTTTGCTTAAAGTGCAAACTTCTCAGTTAGTTCCAAGTCCAGAGATTCTGATTTAACAGGCATACAACAGGACCTGGGAATCTGCATTTTAAATAAACTCAAGGTCCATCTTAAATGCACTCAGAAATAAGTGATTTTACTACTTGAGAAATGTAACTTGAGGAGTTTAAAATCTGTGAAATCTGTGATAAAAATTAATTATGTGGCTGGGCATGGTGGCTCATGCCCGTAATTCCAACACTTTGGGAGGCCAAGGCAGGCAGATCATAAGGTCAGGAGTTCAAGACCAGCATGGCCAATATGGTAAAACCCCGTCTTTACTAAAAATACAAAAAAATGTAACCAGGTGTGGTGGCTGGTGCCAGCTACTTGGGAGGCTGAGGCAGGAGAATTGCTTGAACTGGGGAGGTGGAGGTTGCAGTGAGCCTAGATTGCACCACTGCACTGCAGCCTGGGTGACAGAGTGAGACTCCAGTTAAAAAAAAAATTTAATATGTGCTTTGGCACTTTAAAGAGAAGTAAATAAATGAGTCGTGTTTGGCTTCTATTCTGTCCATCTCTGCTCATTTTCTTTCTTTCTTTATTCACCTTGGCTGGTCCGTGTATTTACAGGTAACTTTCATGAAAACTCCATCCATCTTCATCAATACACATAATACATACTTTGCAAGGCCCTTTTTAGAAGCCCTATTCAAATATTTCTGAGCTGGATGAATCAGTCTGTGTTAGTCTGTTTTCATGCAAATAAAGACATACTTGACTGGGTCATTTATAAAGAACAAGTGATTTAGTGGACTCACAGTTTCACATGGCTGGGGAGGCCTCACAATCATGGCAGAAAGCAAAGGAGGAGCAAAGGCATGTCTTAGATGGCAGCAGGCAAAAGAGTTTGTGCAGGAGAACTCCCATTATGAAACCAACAGAGGCTTATTAATTAACATGAGAACAGTATGGGGGAGACCGCCCCCATGATTCAATTATCTCCACCTGGCCCTGCCCTTGACATATTGGGATTATTACAATTCAAGGTGAGCTTTGGGTGGGGACACAGCCAGACCATATCACAGTCTCATAATCTCTTTTGTAGTGATAAAAATCACAAATTTGAACCATTCATGATATTTTCTTATACTATAATTTATGAAAGATTTATGGAAGATTTACTTATTTCATTTTGTATCTCCTCCACCTTCACTATTGCAATGGATTAAATGGTTGTTTTTCTCCCCCCCACCCAAATTCATATGTCAAAATCCTAACCCACAATGTATGGTACTAGGAGGTGGGGTCTTTGGGAGCTAATTACATCATGAGACTGGAGCCCATGTGAATGAGATTAGCACCCTTATAAAAAAGACCCCAGAGAACTCTCTTGCTCTTTTTCTATTGTGTGAGGATGTAAAGAAAAGACGGCAGTCTGCAAGTCAGAAGAGGGTCCTCACAAGAATTCATCCATGCTGGCACTCTAATCTCATATTTCTGAATTCAAGGTCTGTGAGAAATAAATTTCTGTTGTTTATAAACCCATCCAGCTTACAAAGTGCCTAGTCTATGGTACTTTGCTCTGGCAGCCCAAACTAAAACAACTATATTTTTAAGAAAAAAAAAATATGCATGCACATACATCTATAAAAGTCTTCCACCTGATAACTCTGAAATAACTTTTACTTTAATGGTATTCATATAAGAAAGAAATGTATGAAGCCAAAATAAATCTCAAAATTAAGGGGGAATATTACTTAGCAAAATGCATGTTTGCTTTGCCAAAGCCTGAGACTTTTTTCTTTTTAAGCAAATTGAAAATCTCAAAGATTTCAACATTTTTTATTACTTATCCCAGCAAAATCATTCAGACCACTTATTTTTAAAATTAAATAGTCACTGATTTATTTCACTTTTATGCAGTTAAGATAGGAAGTGGAGGTCAATTGGAAAATAGAATTACAGGAATAGGACCATCATGAAATGATTTTTTAATTTATTACCATTCAGACCATCTATACTTTTTTGTCACACATTCAGAAGAATGGAAGAAAGGAGGGTAGAGAATGAGTCATATGCATTGAAAATTGTTATTCAGTTTTAAAATGAGTGCCCAAAACTATAGACACTGTAAGACCCTGAATTTGAATATTTTACATTTCATTCTTCTATTAAAATTCATTTCATTGAGGACAAAAAGAAAACAAGAAAAAATAAGAAGATAAGCATCTTCAGAGAAACAACTATAGCCCGAAACCAAAAACTGAGAAGCAAACCTTCCAAATACTGTTATATTTCAACAAAAACAAGGAGTGATCAGAGTGAGTGCTTTCACATGTATAATCAGTACATGTTCAGGATGGTCATTTTTTCCAGATATCATTGCCGCTACTCTGGGAGATGTAACTCAAAAACTATTTTTCTTAAAATTGTTAGATTTTATGGAATAATGTGACCATGATATTAATAAAAGTAGGAAAGTCACTATAGAGTAACTCAGTGTTGTCTAACCATAAAATGGAAAGAATTTGAAGTTGTAAGAGAATTCAGGCTGATGTACTCTGTTCATTTCATATACTCTGAGTTCCAAACAGAATGAAGCTCACAGAAGTGGAAAAGAGCAAAAGAGAAAAGAATTAACCAGCATGTGATAATATAGAGATTAGAAATGAAGATTTAGAAACCTAGGAATCTAAATCTGAGCCACATTACCTTTAGAAAAGTGAATGCTGATAGGAGGAGAAACAATTATCCAGTACTTAGGGAGTAAGAAAATTAGTGTGATGGTATTCCATTACAAAAACATGGATTTAAAAAAAGATACAAACTGCAATGCCACCCCACTCCTGCCCCAGAGGATCCCTTAGCTAATACTGGATCTGTTCTATGAGGAATGCAGAGAGAAAAAAATCAGTAAAATATATATGCCTGGTGTTCTATTTTCTAAATATGAAAATGAACAAAAAGCATAAACAAGATGCAGTTACTAAAACTACATCACAAGTAGAATTACCAAAGTAATCAGAGAACAAATTGAAGTTAACTTAATCTCCATTTAGAAATTGAAGTGAACAACTAAGGAATTATGTAAGAAATACATAGGCACTATATACATCAGCAATTACATCCAGAAAAATAGTGAATATCTAGAAGAAACCATACAAAAGTAAATTATATGAAAAGACAAAGGCATAATAAAAATCCTTAATATGGTGTTGGTAAATATAGATGCATGACAATGGAGACTCAACCTCTGCCTACTTGATGTTTTGAAGAATAAGAAAGAACATTAACATTGGAAACATTACTTGTTGAAAACTTCAAAGAGATAAAATGACACTTGAATCTATAGATTAAAATAGCATTCTGTTTTTTAGACAAAAATATAGAGATACTGATCATCACTAAGACTGACTTTGATTCACTTACTAGATTTGAAGAATAAAGCAATAGGATAATTGTCATCTGGGCAGTTAAACAAGTCTCTGAGAATTCAACTGTTGCTGATGAAGAATTAATGATTACCAGAATTATGCAACTTTTGTAAACGTTTAGAAATCCAGAGCAAGTATATAAACTGTTTTCATTGCATGAAAAAAATAGGCAGCACAAAACTGTGATTTCTCAGAGAAAGAAAACAATATATACCCTTTATAGTGCCAGCATACTTACTGAAAGTGATTTCCAGCCTCCAGCATGGTATGAGACAATCCGAGAGAGAATATCATGATTTGCTGAATTTAAGAGCAAGATATCAAAGTTTATGGAGGCCAAGGTGACTAGAATCATCAAGGCAGACTGACAGAGAGAAGAGGGCTGCACAGAGAGAGAACTGTGGAGATTTACGTAGAGGTTCTCTGGAGTCCTTGAGTGAGAACCGAACTGTGCCTACATAAAGTAAAACTCCATGAGATAGAAAAATGAGTCTTCATTAGCAATGGGCCAGAGAAATTCCTGGAGGTCATATGGGCCTTAGAAGAACCAGTATGTGCTCCAGCCAGAGTGAGAAACTTATAACATCAGATAGAGTTCTCAGAATAATCACACCTTAGTAGAGGGGTGAATCAGCTCTAGAGTCAAGGCTCTGAAGCCATTATAATCACATTTAAAAGTAAACAATATCACCACTGATCTCAGATAACTGCATTTGAAAACAAAGTTCATCTCTCTTTAAATAAAACGAAATCCAGATCCTAACAATGTAGAATTCAGAATTTCCCTTAGACATTAAAAAAATAACAGAAATGCATATAAACAAAAAAATTCATCCAAAACAAGAAAAAAAAATTAACAGAAACAGACCAAGAAAAGACAGAAATTATGGGATTAGAAAATATTAAGCAGCTTAACAACACACATAATTGAAATCCCAGGAAATGGGGGGAGGGCAAAAACTATTTGTAAAGGCAGTGGTTGAGATATTTTTAAAACTTGGTAAAACTATAAACCAACAGGTAAAAGAAGCGCAGTGGAATCAAAGCAAAATGAATAAAAAGATTAAGTTGAAGAAAGTTGTTTCTAAAAAGAAAACTTAAAAACAGTTGGAGAAAAAGAGATGTATTATTGACAATGGAACCAATGTAATAACTACTTTTTATGATAAGCATGTATATCAGAAGACAGTAGCGCAACATTCTATTACTTAAAGCAAGAGAAACAAGTCAACCTGGAAATTCATTCATGTGAAAATTCTAAAAAAATCAAGAAATTTACAAAAATGAAAGCAAATAAAGCTATTTTGACAATAAGTAGCTGATAGATTTTATCAACAGCATACTGGTACTGACAGAAATGGTAGACAAAAAGAAAGTAACAGGATGAAAATTTACTTTTTTTATTATTATACTTTAAGTTTTAGGGTACATGTGCACAACTTGCAGGTTTGTTACATATGTATACATGTGCCATGTTGCTGTGCTGCACCCATTAACTCATCATTTAACATTAGGTATATCTCCTAATGCTATCCCTCCCCCCTCCCCCCTCCCCCCACCCCACAACAGGCCCCGGTGTGTGATGTTCCCCTTCCTGTGTCCATGTGTTCTCATTGTTCAATTCCCACCTATGAGTGAGAACATGCAGTGTTTGGTTTTTTGTCCTTGTGACAGTTTGCTGAGAATGATGGTTTCCAGCTTCATCCATGTCCCTATAAAGGACATGAACTCATCGTTTTTTATGGCTGCATAGTATTCCATGGTGTCTATGTGCCACATTTTCTTAATCCGGTCTATCATTGTTGGACATGGGGGAAAGGATTCCTATTTAATAAATGGTGCTGGGATAATTTACATTTTTAAAAAGAAATGACTCATGTTAGAAATAATACATAGGGCTGTGCATGGTGGCTCACACCTGTAATTTCAGCACTTTGGGAGTCCAAGGTGGGCAGATCACAAGGTCAGAAGTTGGAGACCAGCCTGACCAACATGGTCAAACCCTGTCTCTACTAAAAATACAAAAATTAGCTGGGTGTGGTGGCGTGCGCCTCTAATCCCAGCTACTCGGGAGGCTGAGGCAGGAGAATCGCTTGAACCCAGGAAGTGGAGGTCGCAGTGAGCCATGATCACACCACTGCACTCCAGCCTGGGCAACAGAGCAAGACTCCGTCTCAAAAAAAAAAAAAAATGGAAAAAGAAACAATACATACAAAAGACGTTTTTTCATGTTTTAAGTAATGTTAAAGGTAATGGATTATTTAAAACCAAAATAACAATTATTTCTGTGGCATTCAAAATATATATAAAGAAAGGAGGAAAACCCTATGACAGTAGGGCAAAGAACTGTAGAGAGAAAATGGATAGACAGTTATAATATTTGTTTTTTTATTTGAACATTTATTTTAAATTTATGGAATACATGTACAGGTTTGTTACATGGATATATTGCGTGATGCTGAGGTTGGTGGTACGGTTGAGCCCATCTCCCAGGTACTGAGCATAGTACCTAACAGACAGTTTTTCAACCCCGGCCTCCCTCCTTCCCTTCCTCTCCCTCTAGCAGCGTCCAGTTTCTATTGTTGACGTTTTTATGTCCATGAGTACCCCGTGTTTAACTCCCATTTACACGTGAGAACATGTGGTATTTGATTTTGTTTCTGCATTAATTCACTTAAGATAATGGCTGCAAGTTGCATCCATGTTGCTGCAAATAGATGGTTTTGTTCTTTATTATGGCTGTGTGGTATTCCATAGTGTATATGTACCATATTCTCTTTATCCAATCCACTGCCGATGGGCACTTAGGTTGATTCCATATCTTTGCTATTGGGAACAGTGCTACAATGAACATACAAGTGCATGTGTCTTTTTGGTAGAATAGTTTATTTTCTTATGGATATATAACCAGAAATGGGATTATTAAGTCAAATGGTCGTTCTGTTTTAAGCTCTTTGAGAAATCTCCAAACTACTTTCCCCATTGGCTGAACTAATTTACCTTCCCACCAACAGTGTATAAACATTCCCCTTCTTCTCTAGCCTTAGCAGGAACTTTTCAATAAAAAATATCATTAAACGTTTTTGGAGTTTTTATTAATAGCCATTCTGGCTAGTGTGAGATGATATCTCATCTCGGTTTTGATTTACATTTCTCTGAGATTAGTGATTACGAGCATTTTTTCATGTTTATTAGCCACTTGTATGCCTTCTTTTGAGAAGTATCTGTTCATGGTTTTGCTCATTTTTAAAATTAAGTTATTTGTTTTTTGCTTGTTTAATTGTTTAAGTTCCTTATAGATTCCAGATATGAGACTTTTATTGAACACATTGTTTGTGAATATTTTCGCCCATGCTGTGGGGTGTTTGCTTATGCTGTTGATAGTTTCTTTTACTGTGCAGAAGCTCTTTAGTTTAATTAGGTCCCACGTGTCGATTTTTGTTTTGTTGAAATTGCTTTCGAGGACTTAGTCATAAATTCTTTCCCAAGGCTGATTTTCAGAATGGTGTTTCCTAGCATTACTTCTAGGATTCTCATAGTTTGAGGTCTTACATTTCAGGATTATAGGTTGCTGGGTTTTAGTATCATGGTAATGCTGGCTTCAGAATTGCAATATTTTAAAACTATATAGCAGGTATTATAAATATTATTTGAAGGTTGAGTGTTTTAAGTTAAAAAAATGTACAGATGGTACTCTTTATGCACATCAGTGGGGGGCCTTAGTAACCACTGTGCAAGTTGAAACTGGGCAAAGTTATCTTAATAATTAATGGAAAAACATAAACTTGTTCCTGCAATCATTAAAAACACTTGTCAGTCAGGTGCAGTGACATCACACCGGTAATTCCAGCACTTTGGGAGGCCAAGGTGGGCAGATCACTTGAGCCCAGGAGTTTGAGACCAGTTTGGGCAACATGACGGAACCCTGTCTCTACAAAAACTACAAAAAATTAGCCAGGAGTGGTGATACGTACATATAGTCCCAGCTATCCAGGAAGCTGAGGTGGGAGGATCACCTCAGCCTGGTGGTCGAGGCTACAGTGAGCCTTTTTGATACCACTGCACTCCAGCCTGGACAACAGAGTGAGATCTTGTCTCTAAATAAAAGAATAAATAAATAAACACATTTGTCAAAATATTAAAAATGTCTTACTGTTGGTTATATATGCATAGAAAAGTAAAAACCAAAAAACAACCCTAAAACTAGTATTTATATAGTACACTATAATTTAAAACATTGATAATTAAAATACATGTTTTATATATTTCTTTGAAATGTATTCAGAGTAGTTTGTACAGTATTTGCACAACTTCTCATCATGTGACTCTCAATATTTTTTATGCTTTGGTGAATTGCCATACTTCTTTATAAATTCGATTATTTGTCCAACATTTTATTGTTTGTGCGTTCATTGTCTTTAAACATCTTGGAGAATTTCTTCAATGTAATTTTTTTTCTCAGCATCACATCTTCTGGGAAAACTTTTGTCTTTTCCCTGCAATCAGCTTCTTCATTTAAGTTGTAAATATGTCTTCTGTAAGTTCCCCTGACTGCACATATGAAATCTTTTGGATGGTAGTTGTGTCAGCATTCTCGCAATTAACTATTTCTTCTATAAATCCATCAAGATCCAATCTGAATTTCACTTTCGGTGTTGACACTTTCATTTATTTGCCACACTTTCATTTTTGTTGGCTGATTTTCTGTCGTTTATCAATTTTTGTATAATGTCATGCCTTTATCACTGAAAGACAAAGAAGCAACACTACTGGATGCTTTCCTGTCTCTGTATGAATACAAAACAGATACATAGTAATTGATTATTGATAGATATTGAGAAAAGTGACATGACTGATCATGGATCTTGATGCAAATCTGATATTTACTTAATAGTTTTATGGACTGAAGAGTTAACAGAAAAAAATTATACTTCAATCTGTTAGTCCCAATTAATACACTGCTGTACCTAAACTGTTTTGTTTTGGGGCTTGTGCTATGTAACTAAAGCATGATAACTAAAGCCTTTGCATATCAAAACTAAGGAAAACAAGAACTGTCTATTTTATGAGCCCTATATCAATCATTAAAATTAAAACAAAATGGAACGGTTAAAAGTTAATAGTGGAGATAAAAGCGGATCTTAAAAACTAAATTCTCAATTCAAAAGAAGGCAGAAAAAGGGGGAAAATGAACAGAAATGATGAGATATTTAGAAAACATATAGCAAGAGAGTAGTTACACACCCAATCATATTGATAATTACATTAAATATAAATTGACAAAATATTCTTATTAAAAGGCAGAGATCATAAGACAGGATTAAAAACACTGACTCAACTATATGCTCTTTATAAGAAACTTATTTGAACCGAAAAAAAAAAAGAAAAACAAACAAACCAAAACCCACTAAAACTGTGATGAGCAAAGTAGACATCAGAACAGGAAATATCACTGGGGATGAAGAATAACATTTCATAATGACAAAGGGGAAAATACTCCAAGAAGACATGTAAATAATAAATATGTATGCATACAATAGCATTACTTCAAAATACATAATATAAAACCTATTAAAACTGAAAGGTAAAATAGTAAAACCACAGTCATCCATGGGGATTTCCACAGTCTCCTGCCAGAAATTTTTAAAATTTGTTAAACAAAAAATTGGTAAGGGTAGAGAGGATCTTAAAAATATAATTAGCCAACTTGATCTAATTGAATCTTTTAGAATAATCTAAGGATGAGGGATGAGGTAGCAGAGAAAGAAAAGGCAGACATCAACGTGACATTAGTGTTTCAAGGCTATGAGAATACACCAATAATGGTGTGTGTAGATGGTAAGCTCAATCTTAAAAATGTTGAGTTTTAACTGACAATTCATTATTATGAAAGATAAGAGGAGATGATATCTAGGGAGAGGCTATATGACTGAACTCTAAGAGAAAGGTCACAGCAGAAATTGTGTACTTGACAGCTCTATAAGGTCAGTCAAAAATAAGTCAGTGATGAATTCTCTGGTGTAAAAGCAGAGGAATGAGGATTAGATTTAAAACACATGGAAGCACAGTGACTTATGATAAAAACATGAGCTTGAAAATCCTGCAGACAGGGCTTTAAATCCTGGGTATGATATTCTGCTTGTGTAGGCAATAGTGATAAAAACACAACAACAAAGAGAGGTAAAGAGCATTTTCCTTTGATATAAGTAAAGAGCACGACTTATTGCCCATATATATATAGGTATTCAACTGAGATTCAACATTTTTCTCTCATTGAAACAGCAAGCTCTCCAGGCCTTCATGTTCCCAGTGAGGTAGGTACTCTTCTGATGATTATACTCAGCCTCCCTCATTGCAAAGCTCCCATTGTTATTGTCTTGGCTCTGGATTCCCTCAAAAATAGATGATGAAACAAATATCTTGGGTCAGATACTTTAATCAGAAATTGAGTGAGAAAGCACAGAAGTGGAGAAAATGAAACAGAACACGAAGCCAGTGTGAATGAGTAGTTACTGCTATTGTGCTCAGTAATGATGGAGGTATGGAGATTGTCTCAAAATAACTTTACAAAGAGATGGGGATGCTGGAATCCCCATCTCTTATTGCTTAAGGATTGCCTTAGAATCATTAACTCTCCACCCCTAACTCCTTCTTTGTTCCTATGTGTGGTTGAGAAGCACTGGTTAGCCTCAAGAAGCTTGCAGGCAGGCCCAAAAATCAGAAAGACAGGCATGATGTGGGGAGCTCTCAGTTAGTTGGAAACAGGTGAATTTCAGGTGAACACATTGAGTCCAGGAGATAGAAGACAAGTCATCAACAATATCTGCTGTGGCCAGTTTTCTGTTTCTTTTTAAGAATGTATATACTTTTTACTGGGGGTCCCCAAGTCCCCCTTTGGTTTAATGATTCACATAACTCAAGAAAGCTGATTTTTTTTGTGGTTATAGTTTCTAACAGTGAAAGAAACCAGATTAAAATAATCAGAAGCATAAAAGCACATAAAGTTGAGTCCAGGACAAACCAGATGTGAGCTTACAGGTGTCCTTTCATAGTGGGGACTTCACACTGACTAATTTTCTTTACAATGGTGTGAGACAACATGTGTGAACTTGTTGCCAACTAGGGAAGCTCAGTCAGTCTTGAGTCCAGGGTTTTCATTAGGATTCCACCACATATGCATCGAGCGTCCTGTGACTGAACTTAGCTACTTAGTTCCCAACCTCCCTATGCCCTAAGAGAGGTCATATTAGTATGGCATTACACAAAGTCATAGGCATACAGAAACAGGTGCTCACAAGAAATCACGTTGTTAGCATCAGCTATTTGGTAGGACCTACGTTTTCAGGTATACAAAGACTCTCATCAGGCAGCATATACCAAGGGCTCATAGGTTATCATCTCCCAGGAGCTTGTCGAGGGCCAGTCCTGAAGACCTTTGGAATGCACAAGGTTTTGGAAAGCCATGTCTTGCTTTCTTTTTTCTCCCTTCCTGCCTTTGTCCCTTCCTCCCTCCCTTCCTTTTCTCATTTCCTCCTTCTTTTCTTTCTTCTTTCTTTCTTTCCTTCCTTCCTTCTTTCCTTGCTTCTTTTTTCTTTCTTTTCTTTTCTTTCTTTCTCTTTACTACAATTCATATTACTTTAAAAAATTAAGAGAGGGAGGCAGAAAAATAAAGAACACTTTAATCTGCAGGTAAATAGATTATGTCTGGTGTAGACAAAAGAATGGCCTCCCAAAAATGTTCATGTCCTAATTCCCAGAGTCTAACATACAAATATGTTAGGTTGCATGGCAGTGGGAAATTAGATTTCAAGTGAAATTAAGGTTGCAATAAAATGATGGAGAGATTATCTTAATTGGGTGGGATCAATGAAATCACAAGATTCCTTATAAGTGAAAGAAGAAGGCAGAAGAAAGGCAACCATGGAGGTGGTGGCATGAGAAATTACTCAACATCACTGACTTTTAAGATACAAGAATGAGGACCCAGTGCGGTGGCTCACGCCTAATCCCAGCACTTTGGGAGGCCGGGGTGGGTGGATCACGAGGTCAGGAGATCGAGACCATCCTGGCTAACATGGTGAAACCCCATCCCTACTAAAAATACAAAAAATTAACTGGGCATGGTGGCACATGCCTGTAGTCCAAGCTACTCAGGAAGCTGAAGCAGGAGAATCGCTTGAACCCGGGAGGCAGAGGTTGCAGTGAGCTGAGATCATGCCAATGCACTCCAGCCTGGGCGACAGAAGGAGACTCCATCTCAAAAAAAAATAAAAGATATAAGAATGAGGTCATGTTCCAAGGAATAAAGGTGGCCGCTGGATGCTGAAAAAAATCAAGTATATAGATTCTGCCACAGAGCCCTCAGAAAGACTGCAGCCCTGCCCAAAACTTGATGTTAGCCCTGTGAGTCTCATTTAAGGCTTCTGAGCTCCAGTACTGTAGGATTACCAGTCACTTTATTGTAAGATATGAAGTTTGTGGTAACTGGTTACAGCAGCAAGAGGAAATTTATATAGTAATTGTATCATGAAAATCAGAACCATAATTTACAACTGCTTTTAATACTGCACTTGGATGTTTGAAATCACGTACATGGAAGTGATCACTATGTGTATGAGGGAGGATAGCAAATTAATACCAAAATAACGCAAATGCAAATCTTACACTCATTTCTATGTAGGTTTCATTTAATCTTTGAAATTAAAAGGAAATTAAAGGATTATGATATTTTGATGAAATTAGACTAAAATGAACAATAACAAAATAAGAACTTATATTCTTTATGTAGTCAATAAAGAAGTGATAGTGGAAAAAAACAAGGTCAAATGAAGGTGATGATTTAGGAAGTTGGAAAGATAGCTTAAACTACAAAAAGGTATATAACTAGTGAACACTTAGACACACTGATTTATGAGCTTCAGCTTTTGGCTTGGTGACAGCATAAAATGAGAGCAGCTGAGGTTTGCAAATTTGTAATCTCCTTGTGGAAAAACAGGGGAAAACACATCTCAGCCTAATAAGATTTATCTACTAAAGAGTCAAGACTTGATCCATTTGTCCTTATAATTCAAAAGCTAATTCAAATACTGATTTGATGTATTCTGTGAACAACCATTGCTGATTATCATCGCATACCTGGCATTCTCTTTTATCTGATATCTAAAATATTTGCTAATTCCTGGACTTTCTCTTTTCATACCCAGTGCGGTTTAATTTCAATCTTAGAACAGTTGTCTTTGAGAAATTCTTCCGTCTACTGCATCTGTGAATGGGCATAGCATGGTTACGTACATACTGTCACCCCAGAGAACATTTGTTAAACTAAAGCCAAAGTTTAAAGCAACAGCTTTAACTCACTGGTTTTACTAATGTTTTCCTCCCCAATAGCCACAACAATATTGATACCCTCACACTTTTTAACATAAAGCTAGGTGTTGTCTATTTTTCAGGTGCTGTTATCTATATGATGTCAGTATTTTAAAAATCAGCTTCCAGCCCATATGGTGGCTCATGCTTGTAATACCAGCCATTGAAGAGGCTGAAATGAGAGGATTCTTTGAGCCCAGGAGTTCAAGAGCAACCTGGGCAACATAGCAAGACCCAGCCTCTATCAAAAGTTAAAAAAAAAAAAGGTGGGCATGGTGATGTGCACCTGTTGTCCTAGCTATTTGGGAGGCCAAGGTGGAAGGATTGCTTGAGCTTGGGAGTTTGAGGCTGCAGTGAGCAGTGATTGCACCACTGCACTCCAGCCTGGGCAACAAAGCAAGACCCTATCTCAAAAAATATATATAATAAAAATAAAAATCAGCTGTCATTGAGTTCTACATAAATAGGCACAGGTGATGTCCATATAGACATAAATAATAATATATCTGACAATGGGTCCATATGATCTTCAAAATGTAAAAAGCCTATCTGTGTAATTGACTGGTTAGTCTCATTAATGAATATAGATTCAATTCTACTTTCTTGTTCTAGATAAATTACATAATCTAGCTCTTCATTTCACTTATTTACTGATAACAACAGGAGGAATGACAAGATACCTGTTTTGGAAAATTACTGTCGTAGGAGTAAAGGTGAAACAATGAAAGAATTACATGGAAAACTAGAAAAAAGTATGGTTTTCTGATATTCTATTACATCATATACTAAAGGCCTCATAAAACTCAGATATTTTATCTAAAAATATTATTTTCATCTTAGGAATGATCAAAGCATGAGACTAGAATTGTATTACGATGACTCTCACAAGCACATGTGCTAAAAAGGAGGGGAAAACATCATTACTGATATTTTAAACGTATGTTTTACTTTCCATCAACATGAACCTCAACTTGATATGATGCAGATTGAAGGAAATCACCCATAATTCCATATGAAGAAGGCCTGTGATATTTTATGGGAAAATAAATAGAGAAAATGCTAACAGAAACCCTATTAAGCATTAAGCTTTATGGAGCAAAGACAAATCCAGTGGTGAAAGATACACACTCGAGTTCTGTTTGTTGTCTTGGAACAATACAGTTTAGAGGTGACTGGTGGGTGAGGAGAACATATGCGAGTTCACCAAACAGAAAAGCTGAATGAGGCAATGCCTCTTTCTGATCATATCTCTTACTCAGATAACTATATAATTTATTGTCCAGTAAAGGGTATATTTAAAAATCATATTAAAAGTCATGCAATGAAGTTGTCCAGGGAAATCAAGACTTAACAGTCTCACTCTGACAATAATGAATAAGGGGGTTCCCTCAAGATAGACTAGGACATGACCCCACACTGGCAGGCAGTAGTACCAGAAAAGAAACTATGGAAAATCTTTACCTTATGCTTGAGGTAGGGACCAGGCTAAAGTGAAAGCCAGACATAAAATTCTACCTAAAATATATCCACAATCGAAGAAAATATGTGGTGTACAGGCATAGAATGTCTTTACTGGATCATTGAAATAGTAAGATAAATTCAAATTTTTACATTGTTTTATTTTCCTCCAGTTAGGGCTTGAGGTTTGTCTCTGGAGAGTGACTGTCAATTGGAGCCCTGCCTTTCTTGGGTTCTGAGCAGGGGGTTGTGGATGCTTAACATGTGCCTTTCACAGGGCACTTCCTTACCCCAGCAGTGGCCAGGTGTGCATCCCACAACCAGGCCTCCCTCTCACAGAACATCTGTTGAGACTAGGAGATGCCTGGTGGCTATTGCCTGACCTGTGTCCTGTGTATTTCTGACAAGAGCCACTCCTAGATACCCTGGCCAGGAGGAGAGTTAGGTTCCAGTGTAGGTCAGATCAGACACATGCAGGCCACAGGACAAAACATGGGAAATCACAGAAGTAGTTTTATTACTCACAGATCCAGAGAGAAGAGGGTAGCTGAGAAGAGGGTTTAGCTGTGTCCCCAGCCAAATCTCATCTTGAATTCCCACATGTTGTGGGAGGGAACAGGTGGGAGGAAATTGAATCATGGGGGCAGGTCTTTCCCATGCTGTTCTTTTGATAGTGAATAAGTCTCACAAGATCTGATGGTTTTATAAAGGGGAGTTTCCCTGCACAAGCTCTCTTGTCTTGTCTGCTGCCACGTGAGATGTACCTTTCACCTTCCACCATGATTGTGAGGCCTACCCAGCCATGTAGAACTGTGCGTCTATTAAACCTCTTTGTTCTGGAAATTACCCAGTCTTGGGCATGTCTTTACTGGCAGTGTGAAAATGGACTAATACAGTAGCACAACTCGTAGGGCTGAAGAAAATGGGGAAGATGAGTGGGGAGCAAGAGACAGAAAAGGGGTCTGTGGGACTCCAGCCTTTATTGGGCCCAGAACATTACCCAAATAAGTTTTCCACGGGGCTCTGGTCAGTGGGGTGAGTGCCAGCAGGCACATTTCTTGGCTGCAGCTGCAACTGAGCAGGTCACTCTGGCTTGTGGGGGCTGTCCAAGTGGGCTGTGAGGTCTGTGGGGTGAGTCAGGTAGGTTGTATCCAATGGTTCCACAGTGGCTAGTCACCAGGAGGAGGCAGCTGTGTAGGATCAATATCTGGGCCAGCCACACTGAGGAACTGTGAGGGTTAGAACTGGAAATTGTCAAGGGAATCTGAACCCAGCTACCATATAAGAGAGTTCAACTTACGTTCAATGTGAATGCCATGGCAATATTAAAAGGTAAGAATTCGCTCCATACGTGCTTGAGGTAAATAGGAGAAACCTAGAATTTATGTAAACAGTGAGAAGATTGCATGCGTTTTCCGTCATATATTTTAATACTAGCAGCATATTATATATGTCAATCCATCAGGCATTCAAAAGTACATGCTTATGAAAATTTTTTTGCACCATCAGACAAAAGACAAGGGTAGAAGACATTTGTAACCCTATAAACACTAGTAAATTAAAAACAGAAGGACCTTTATGTCCTAATATATGTTGTGAAAGGCTGCCCTGTGAAATATGGGATATCTTAAACATATTTTAAAAATCATAGGTGTCAATATTTTTTAGAAATCCATTTAAATTTTCTCTTGCTTTTTTACAATTCCTATTTATTTATTTAGTGGTTCTGCTGATTTTGATGTATATCCTAAACTTTACATTTTCTTTAAAGTATGTTTTATACAACTTTATGTAAAATGTTTCAGTATCTTCACATTCTCTCCCTGTCCTTTTGTTTTGCTCTTATATGGTGGCCTTGAGTCTTTTCTCTGGCTTTTCAAACCTAGTAAGACTAAGAAACCAAAGTAACTTTGCCCGTGGTTTGGTAATGCCTTCTAAAGCACATCCTAAGCTCTCATGCATACAGGGGTCTCCTTTGAGCTCTATGCTTTTGAGATCTCATATACCTAAATTCCATTACTCCAAATCAGTACTGCTCAGTTTTAGTTACTAAGTTTAAAAATGTATTTTATTTTATTTTATTTTTTGTAAAATATATTTATTTATTGGACATTATCATTGTATTTCTAGTCACTAAACATTCTGTAACATCTTATTTTAATTCTTTTTTAAATTTTTTTATTTTTAATTTTTTTTATTATACTTTAAGTTTTAGGGTATATGTGCACATTGTGCAGGTTAGTTACATATGTATACATGTGCCATGCTGGTGCGCTGCACCCACTAACTTGTCATCTAGCATTAGGTATACCTCCCAATGCTATCCCTCCCTCATACCCCCACCCCACAACAGTCCCCAGAGTGTGATATTCCCCTTCCTGTGTCCATGTGATCTCATTGTTCAATTCCCACCTATGAGTGAGAATATGCTGTGTTTGGTTTTTTGTTCTTGCGATAGTTTACTGAGAATGATGATTTCCAATTTCATCCATGTCACTACAAAGGACACGAACTCATCATTTTTTATGGCTGCATAGTATTCCATGGTGTATATGTGCCACATTTTCTTAATCCAGTGTATCATTGTTGGACATTTGGGTTGGTTCCAAGTCTTTGCTATTGTGAATAGTGCCACAATAAACATACATGCACATGTGTCTTTATAGCAGCATGATTTATAGTCCTTTGGGTATGTACCCAGTAATGGGATGGCTGGGTCAAATGGTATTTCCAGTTCTAGATCCCTGAGGAATCGCCACACTGACTTCCACAATGGTTGAACTAGTTTACAGTCCCACCAACAGTGTAAAAGTGTTCCTATTTCTCCACATCCTCTCCAGCACCTGTTGTTTCCTGACTTTTTAATGATTGCCATTCTAACTGGTGTGAGATGGTATCTCATTGTGGTTTTGATTTGCATTTCTCTCATGGCCAGTGATGATGAGCATTTTTTCATGTGTTTTTTGGCTGCATAAATGTCTTCTTTTGAGAAGTGTCTGTCCATGTCCTTCGCCCACTTTTTGATGGGGTTGTTTGTTTTTTTCTTGTAAATTTGTTTGAGTTCATTGTAGATGCTGGATATTAGCCCTTTGTCAGATGAGTAGGTTGCGAAAATTTTCTCCCATTTTGTAGGTTGCCTGTTCACTCTGATGGCAGTTTCTTTTGCTGTGCAGAAGCTCTTTAGTTTAATTAGATCCCATTTGTCAATTTTGTCTTTTGTTGCCATTGCTTTTGGTGTTTTAGACATGAAGTCCTTGCCCATGCCTATGTCCTGAATGGTAATGCCTAGGTTTTCTTCTAGGGTTTTTATGGTTTTAGGTCTAACATTTAAGTCTTTAATCCATCTTGAATTGATTTTTGTATAAGGTGTAAGGAAGGGATCCAGTTTCAGCTTTCGACATATGGCTAGCCAGTTTTCCCAGCACCATTTATTAAATAGGGAATCCCTTCCCCATTGCTTGTTTTTCTCAGGTTTGTCAAAGATCAGATAGTTGTAGATATGCAGCATTATTTCTGAGGGCTCTGTTCTGTTCCATTGATCTATATCTCTGTTTTGGTAGCAGTACCATGCTGTTTTGGTTACTGTAGCCTTGCAGTATAGTTTGAAGTCAGGTACTGTGATGCCTCCAGCTTTGTTCTTTTGGCTTAGGATTGACTTGGCAATGGGGGCTCTTTTTTGGTTCCATATGAACTTTAAAGTAGTTTTTCCCAGTTCTGTGAGGAAAGTCACTGGTAGCTTGATGGGGATGGCATTGAATCTGTAAATTACCTTGGGCAGTGTGGCCATTTTCATGATATTGATTCTTCCTACCCATGAGCATTGAATGTTCTTCCATTTGTTTGTATCCTCTTTTATTTCCTTGAGCAGTGGTTTGTAATTCTCCTTGAAGAGGTCCTTCACATCCCTTGTAAGTTGGATTCCTAGGTATTTTATTCTCTTTGAAGCAATTGTGAATGGGAGTTCACTCATGATTTGGCTCTCTGTTTGTCTGTTGTTGCTGTATAAGAATGCTTGTGATTTTTGTACATTGATTTTGTATCCTGAGACTTTGCTGAAGTTGCTTATCAGCTAAGGAGATTTTGGGCTGAGACAATGGGGTTTTCTAGATATACAATCATGTCGTCTGCAAACAGGGACAATTTGACTTATCCTAAATATATATGTACCCAATACAGGAGCACCAAGATTGATAAAGCAAGTCCTGAGCGACCTACAAAGAGACTTAGACTCCCACACATTAATAATGGGAGACTTTAACACCCCACTGTCAATGTTAGAGAGATCAACAAGACAGAAAGTCAACAAGGATACCCAGGAATTGAACTCAGCTCTGCACCAAGTGGACCTAATAGACATCTACAGAACTCTCCACCCCAAATCAACAGATTATACATTCTTCTCAGCACCACACCACACCTATTCCAAAATTGACCACATACTTGGAAGTAAAGCTCTCCTCAGCAAATGTAAAAGAAAAGAAATTATAACAAACTATCTCTCAGACCACAGTGCAATCAAACTAGAACTCAGGATTAAGAATCTCACTCAAAACCGCTCAACTACATGGAAACTGAACAACCTGCTCCGGAATGACTACTGGGTACATAACGAAATGAAGGCAGAAATAAAGATGTTCTTTGAAACCAATGAGAACAAAGACACAACATACCAGAAGCTCTGGGACGCATTCAAAGCAGTATGTAGAGGGAAATTTATAGCACTAAATGCCCACAAAAGAAAGCAGGAAAGATCCAAAATTGACACCCTAACATCACAATTAAAAGAACTAGAAAAGCAAGAGCAAACACATTCAAAAGCAAGCAGAAGGCAAGAAATAATTAAAATCAGAGCAGAACTGAAGGAAATAGAGACACAAAAAACCCTTCAAAAAATTAATGAATCCAGAAGCTGGTTTTTTGAAAGGTTCAACAAAATTGATAGACCGCTAGCAAGACTAATAAAGAAAAAAAGAGAGAAGAATCAAATAGATGCAATAAAAAATCACAAAGGGGATATCACCACCAATCCCACAGAAATACAAACTACCATCAGAGAATACTACAAACACCTCTACGCAAATAAACTAGAAAATCTAGAAGAAATGGATACATTCCTCGACACATACACCCTCCCAAGACTAAACCAGGAAGAAGTTGAATCGCTGAATAGACCAATAACAGGATCTGAAATTGTGGGAATAATCAATAGCTTACCAACCAAAAAGAGTCCAGGACCAGATGGATTCACAGCCGAATTCTACCAGAGGTACAAGGAGGAACTGGTTCCATTCTTTCTGAAACTATTCCAATCAATAGAAAAAGAGAGAATCCTCCCTAACTCTTTTTACGAGGCCAGCATCATTCTGATACCAAAGCCAGGCAGAGACACAACAAAAAAAGAATTTTAGACCAATATCCTTGATGAACATTGATGCAAAAATCCTCAATAAAATACTGGCAAAACGAATCCAGCAGCACATCAAAAAGCTTATTCACCATGATCAAGTGGGCTTCATCCCTGGGATGCAAGGCTGGTTCAATATCTGCAAATCAATAAATGTAATCCAGCATATAAACAGTGCCAAAGACAAAAACCACATGATTATATCAATAGATGCAGAAAAAGCCTTTGACAAAATTCAACAACCCTTCATGCTAAAAACTCTCAATAAATTAGGTATTGATGGGACGTATTTCAAAATAATAAGAGCTATCTATGACAAACCCACAGCCAATATCATACTGAATGGGCAAAAACTGGAAGCATTCCCTTTGAAAACTGGCACAAGACAGGGATGCCCTCTCTCACCACTCCTATTCAACATAGTGTTGGAAGTTCTGGCCAGAGCAATCAGGCAGGAGAAGGAAATAAAAGGTATTCAATTAGGAAAAATGTATTTTAATAGCAAGTTAGTTTAGTGCACTCTTACTTCTTTCTTTACTGCTGGTATACATGTATATTCCTTTAAATAAATCTTGGAATTTATTTAAAAATTTTAAATTATACTAATGAAACTGTATATTGTTGTGGATTCATAGGTGAATTTGGAAAGAATTTGTCTTTATGATACTAAATCCTTTTTATCCAAGAATCATATGTGCCTTTATATTTATTCCAGTCTATATTTATATCACTGAGTAAATATATAGAAAGGTAGATACATACAGCTGTAGTTATAGATAGATACAAATATAGATATAACATGTTAAATCTATATCTATCCCATATAACATATATGCATGTTATATGTGTGTGTGTATATATATATATGTTTGTGTTATTAAAGAGCTCCCTTAAAATTTTTCTTTTATTTCCTATATAATTTTAGGTTGAGCTTGAATTTTCCTTGTAAAAACCAGCAAATATTTATACTAGTTTTAATACTGACGTTTAGACATTCTATCTTATTTTAGCATTGAATATTTTCACAATTATAAATATTATCTAATATTAATAATGTAACTTAAAAATATTTAAAATTGTACCTTTGAATTATTTTATGTTGAATTTATATTCCTTTAAGTATGATAGTAAATTTATATTTTATGCTTTCTCTATGCATATGCAAATTAATCTATCCACTTCTCTACCTCTATGTAGTAACATATGAAAATCAGGCCTCTGTTCTTCTAATGGACATACACATGTTTGCGTATAGAATATCAGACTCTTTATAGCATTTAAAATCTTTAAAGACATGAATATGACCTTTTAACAAATATATTTTAGCGTGTACTGAGAATCCCCTATTTATTTTTTATTTGGGCTAACCAATATATCATTAATATTATTGGATTACCAAATTTGGAATCACACTTTCATCCCCAAGGTGGATATTTGTTTTATTTTTTTTGCCAATTTCTTGTCTTACTGTTTCAAATATTGTTGGATATTATTTTTATTTTATTTGGCATTTTAGTATCAATATTTGTGAGTGATGTACTCTACATATTTTTTCTTCAATATCTGGTGGGTTTTATAATTACTGCTATATTGGATTTGTAGTAGATATTGAGAAAAATTATTCCTGCATGTTTTATAGCTGTATGAAGGAAACTAATATATTTTACCCCAAAATATATTTCCTTGAAATATTTCAAAATGGCTATTGAGAAGGGCTGGAAATGCAAACTTAGCTGCAAAGCTATCTTGGGGAGATTCGCATCGGTAGAGAATCTGCCTTGATGCAGCCAGGCTTTCTCTGAGGTCTGCCCCCTTGTCTGGATCTAGGAAAGGTTAACTGAGTGTCGGAGGTCTCCAAAGGTCTGAAAGAAACATTTTCTGTCTATTCTATCTGAGGACTGCTCCCAGTGAGGTTTCACTTACGTAATAAGTCCACTGTTTCTAGGCAGGGTACTTTTCTCACATAACCTTTTTTTTTTTTTTTTCCCTGTGATCCAAGACCCCATTCTTTCTGTAAACTTCATGTGGTAGATAAGCTTCTGCACCCATCGTGTGTCTGGGTCTTCATTGTAAGGGCTCCAGTGTACACACATTGCAGAAACCTGTTTGCCTTTTCTACTATTTATCTGCCTCCTATTAGTGATTATCAGGGAAACTTCAGAAGGCAAAAGGGACATTCTCCTTTAGCCCATACTCAGACAAAATCCCCCAACATTTAACTGATTCCTAATAGCTTAAAATCACTTTGAAAACTCCATATATTTATAACCTTTTCTTCCCTCTATGATTTCTGTTCAGCTTGTGTTTTGTTTTTTATTCCATTTACTTCATCCTCGAAAAGACCTATTTTATGTCTATTTATTCTCATTTATTGACATTGAGAAAAGAAAATAACTTTCATGTGAGAAATGCAAGTCCTTTTAAATAATCAGGCCCAGAGAGATATTCAAAGGAGACAGCAGTTCTGTCCTGCTCCTCTTTGAGCTGTGTGTTCATCTAGGCTGCTTGCTGTTGCCACAGTAGCTATAAATTAACCAATAACGCCACACCAGACACTATAATCCACACCCAATAATAGTGTAACAGTGTATAGCCAGTCAATAATAAATGTTATTTCCATAAGCCAATGAGAATTTGTGACAAACCTCTTTGCATCATCCCACTTCTGGACCCTTTTTTGCCTTTAAGAAACTGCTTGTTGCAAAGCTCCGAAGGGAGTTCATATCCAAGGATACTTGGGTCTGTTTCTTCCAGGCGGCTGTCCTCATTTTGGCTCAAGTAAACTCTGAATTACATTTTGTGCCTCAGCCTCTTCCACTTAGATTAACAACATGGATTTGTGTCACCATGTACAGCAATTAAAATGTTTACACTTTTCCCCTCGAGGGCATTGATGTGTTTTCCTGAGCACTTGGAATAGCTACATAGTGTTTACTTTCTAGATTATGGTTTCTCAACCTTGGTGCTACTTACCTTTAGGACCAGAGGATTCTTCGTTGTGGGAGGCTGCCCTAGCAATGCTAGTTGATTCATTTGACCTCTAAATTTCACACCTCCACCAGTCTTGACATCCCCACAATAACCCTAGACATTGACAAATGTCTCCTGGGGAAAACTCCACCAGTTGACAGCCAAAGTTCTTGAAATATTGGAATCGTCAATTGAGTTTTTATGTTATCCAAAACAAATATTTTTCTTTGTTTTTAAACGTCTACTTCCATCACTTATCTACTTATTTTTACTTTTATTTGTAACTTAATTCCATCAAGGAGAGAGAGTGCATTTCTTGTTATGCTAAATTTTTGAAGAATGTATTGATTTTTTATGACCTGATATATGGATGATAGGTAGATATTACATGTTTGTATTATCAAATTTCAGGGCGATAATAAAATAAATACTTATAATGTTTATATTGTCACTGTATACTAGTTATTTCTTTCTTCACTACAGGAGTTTTTCAACCTATAGGCTATTTTTCAATTCAAGGTTATCCAGTAGATTTTGAAATGTTATGATTAAATATCTACTTCTCAAGCATTCATCTTTGCAAAGGAATCAATCCCAAGCTCTTATAATGCACATCATATAAAGGGCAGATTAGTCAATATATGGTTCAGAAATAATTATGTAATATTTATAAGAAAATTAAAAATTTAGATCCTTAACTCAGATAACAATAATCCAAATTAAAATTTGATTTAATTACATAATTTAAAATGACACCAGAATACTAGCAAAAATGTAGATAAGTTTATATAATCCTTTTTAGCTGTGGAACTTTATTAGCATAAATTCAAATACAGGAACCAAAATAAGATTGAGACCTATAGTCAAAGGTTAAAATGTACACATTATAGTGGCATGATTAAACTAATTTAAAGCATAATAACATGGAGAAATATTGCAAAACATACATTTTACTGAATTAATTGTTAATATCTAATCATTACGTGAGAACAAAGGTAAAGAGTAGCTACACACACACACCCACACACAAGTGCAATATTGTCAATAAACGTGATGTTCAGCTACACTAGAAATCACACCTATGTTTTCTCCACAGAAAAGTAAAGATTAAAAATCACAATAATATTTATTGTACATATGGAGGTAAAGATACTCAAAATATTACCCTAAAATACTTTTTTTGTTGAGATGGAGTTTTGCTTTTATTGCCCAGGCTGGAGTGCAATGGCACAATCTTGGCTCACTGCAACCTCAGCCTCCCAGGGTCAAGTTATTCTCCTAGCTCAGCCTCCCAAGTAGCTGAGATTACAGGCATGCACCACCACACTCAGCTAATTTTTTGTATTTAGTAGAGACGCGGTTTCACCATGTTGGTCAGGCTGGTCTCGAACTCCTGACTTCAGGTGATCTACCCACTTCAGCCTCCCAAAGTGCTGGGATTACAGGCGTGCGCCTGGCCAACTTTTTGACATATTTCAAGATAGCTACTCGGAAGACTGGAAATAGCTTCTTCTACAAAAATAGCTGAAAAGCTGTGTTTGTTGGGGAGATTTGCATTTGTAGAGAAAATCTGCATTGATATAGACAGGCTTTCCCTGAGATACTCCCTTGTCTGGGTTTAGGAAAGATTAACTGAGTCTGGCACGTTTACATTTCAAAAAACCATTTCCTATCTTTACTTCCCAAGAGGAGGGCTGCTCCCTGTGAGGTTTCATCCATGTAACAAGACAACTTCTGCTGCCAGGCTCCTCTTTCTTCCTTGTCGTCACCTGCCTTCTGCAAAGCCTGATTTAGCAAAGTACAGCTCTGTGTTTTCTGTAACCTCAAGACAGCATAGGCGTGTTGACTACCTTGCCTTTCCTGGAGTTTTTATACATATATAGTATATATTTGTATATCGATTTATAATATACAAATATTTGTATATACATATTTATATATATTATGTAAACTCCAAGTGCATAGTTGTGCACATAATTATATCCGTAAACCTTTTTTCCTGTTAATTGAGTCTATTGTTTGATAGACTCAAATAATTAAAGCTTCAAGGGAAATATAAAGAACTAATTAAGTTAGCACCTACTTTTCAAATATCGCATTTTTTCACAGACCTATTAAATAAGACAAATAACATTTAAACTTTATTTTTAAATTTGCAGAATAGTATTTTTCAGCAGATGGTTTATTTTAGCAAATTCCATCTTCACATTGTGCTATGCTTTTATGAGTTCCAGCTGTTAACGGATAATATTTTACTGCTGAATCTATCATGTGTGATATAATTGCTCATTATGTGCCTTAAAACACAAGCGATATAGTTATTTTCAACTTGGAGCAAATTAAAATCTTATCAGCAATTTAAAAAGTCTAGAGTAGTCTTCTTCTGGTTAATTATTTTAACTTGTATTTTTCTCTTTATGTTTTTAGTGAGTTGTCTTATCAAGGAGAAGAACTCAAGCTGATTATTCTTTTTTTTTCTCTTCCATCCACCTCGCTGGTGTGTGAATAATTTCATTTCTCAGAAAATGTTCTTTCATATCCATCTTACAAGATGAGAGACCTTTTAACATCTTCCATTCGGATGTGATACCAGTAATGGAAAATATTCCAGCTTCATGAATATGGTGATACAAATAGTTATCCGTCTAACCTCTGTCAGTGCCAAATGTTTACTTTACTCAGTGAATTACTCAGCTGACTGTTAATTTCTTCTGAAATCACTAATGAGAGGATCAGAGGTCTGGCTGTTGTCTGTACCTCGTATGACTCCCAGTGCAGACAGTTGTTTCTATGGAGCACAGACAGTTGAATGGATTGACTTCCTGCCTAGAATAGTTTCTGCTGTGCTTCTTATCCTTCTTGTGGAGATTTCAGATTATCTGAATTGCTTTTCTATCTTAAGAAAAAACTCAACAATTCTCCCACCTGAGAGGAACGTAAACTTTAGTAAGTTAGCAGAAGCAATCCGTAAAGTTTTTACATTGTTTGTTGTAAAATGCAGCGTTGGTGTCTCCATCACTAACATTTTCTATCCCTCATTGTTCTTTCTTTGACTGCAATAGGATACCTCTAGGCAAATCTGTATTCCCGAGACAAAGTGCCCTTTCCGTTAGCTATAAGTACACTCAATGGTAGGCTGAAATGATAGTTTTTATCTATGGCGAAATGGAATCATATCAGTGATTTTTTTAAAGGGAAATTTAACTCTTGTTATGGTTTGAATGCTTGCCCCTTCCAAATCTCCTGTTAAAATTTGATCCCCAATGTTGCAGGTGGGGCTTACTGGGAGGTGTTTGGTCATGGGGATGAACCTTCATGAATGGATAATGCCCTCCCTTAGGAATCTCAAGCTATCCTCCCTCCTCGGTGCCCTCAGGAATGAATGTACCATTCTTTATTCAACTATAATTCCCCCACCCATCCCTTTTGAGATATTAATTAAATGTATGTTACACTGCTGCATATTGTCTCACGTATCAGTGAGTTTCTGGATTTCTTATTTTAGTTTACCCTTTGTCCTTTAGTTTGTAAAGCTTCTAATTTTTCTATATATTTTCTGATGTTAGGGTAAAATCCATGACTTATTCTATCTCATGGAATTTTTATTTCAAATATTTATTTTTCATCTATACGTGTCACATTTTTCATTTTATAACTTCCATTTTTCTCCTATGTTCAATTTTCATTTAAGTACTTTGACATATATATGTATTTATCTATATGTATTTATAAAATATAATTACATTAAGGACCTTGAAAATTCCTTCTTCTGTCATTGATAAATGACTTATTTTTTCCTCTTAATGTATATCTTAATAATATATATCTTCCGGCTTCTTTGCATGTCAGAGTTTTTTTTGGGGGGGGGGTATTTTGATGTTATGCTATTGAATATCTAGATTTTATTGGCTACATTTGAACAATGTTGTGGCAGGCAGTTCAGTAACTTCAGGATGACTATTTTTCTGTTGTTGTTTTAAATCTTCTCTTTAGACTTTGTTGAGTTAGTCTAGAGCCATCTGTAATTTGGAGCTAAATGAGCACTGTCACTAGGGCATGAACCTCCAGTGGTCTTTACTGAATATCCTGGAAGTACAGAGGGGATTCCCTTCTCTGGCTGGTCAGAGCTAACATGTCTTCCTGTCATGTGATGCCAGGGAAGTGTTCTTCCAACTCCCTGGTAGTCCTTTGCTGAGCTCCTTAGAATTTCATCCTATGTACATTTGGCTTAGGGACTTGGGAGAAACCTTAGGCTGATTATTGGTTCCTTTTTCTGTAAACGTTCTCTTCTACTACATATTCCAGCTGCTTAACATTTTGGTTTTTATCTGGTTCCTCAGTGCAATGACAATGTCTGCTCTCTCTGGGATTCCTCTCTACTGCTGTCACGGAGAACCTGGGAATAAAGCAGGAGTCATTCTGGCTCCTTCTTTTCTCTTGCGGAGCACAGTCCTGTGCTGCCTGATGTTCAGTATTTCAAAAAAAGTTTCATATATTTTGTCCAGTTTACTATTCTTTAACTCTAAAAGAGTAACTCCAGTCCCAGTTACAGCATCATGTTCTGTAACTCTACTCCTTGTTGCTTCATTCTGCCATTATCTGGTATGAGTGCCCCTTTCCCTTCTGTAATCAGGCCAAGAGCATAACATAATACTAGTTATAACTGCACAGCTTGCCTCCGTTGTGTAAAAAAATCACTGAGACTTAACTGTGTCCAACTTTTTAAATGTGAATATAAGTACAACTAAAGCTATATTTTGTTTAATATTTGCATTGCATGCTTTTCCATTATTTAATTTCAACATATGTGAAATATAAATATAAATTTTAAAAACTTTAAGAGAGTCCATTTAAAAAATCTGGTCTGATTATGTTTTAACTGGTTTATTACAACGTGCATTCAGGGTCTAATATAATTGGTACATTTGTCTATTTGCAAAAAAACTTGACAATATTTTAAAATTAATTTATCCAACTCACAACTTATATGCTTCTGCTGTTGTATGGAAGATGCATTTTAAACTTTATGAGATAGTATTCTGTTATACAGTCGATATCCAATTAAATTTCTCTCTATGTTTATTTCTTTCATTAAAAAAAGCGTTCTTCTAACTGCAAACTTTCATCAGGGATCATAGCTCTTCTACCTGAAGAATAATCTTTAGTATTTCTTTTCCTGTGGGTCTGCTTGGGATAAATTCTTTATTGTATCTTTGCTTTTGATGGATATATCCACCAAGTAGACAGTTCTAGGTCGGCACTTATTTTATTTCAGGACTTGAAAGGTATCAATACCTCACTTGTTGGCTTTCATAGTTTCATTTGAGAAGGTTGTCATCAGTCAACTCTTTCTGTTTATAGTTAGCCCAATTTTTTTATCAAGTGCTTTTGACATTTTTCTTTTACTTTTCAGAAATTGTCCCATTATGTTCCTAGGTGTGTCCTCTCTGTGTGTTTTCATTTGGTTTGCAAAGCCTCCTGAACCTGTGGATTAATATTATTGGTCAATTTTGATAAAACCTCTAACATTGCCACTTAAAATGCTGTTCAGACCAGCTGTTTTCTCCTTCTTAGATTTCAACGTGTTAGATTATTACTGTATGCTTTATATTTTTTAAATAACCTTTCTCTACTTTTTTTAGTTGGTTAATCTGTATTAGTGTATATTTTGCTTTTTTATTTTATTTTATTTTATTATTATACTTTAAGTTTTAGGATACATGTGCACAATGTGCAGGATTGCAACATAAGTATTCATGTGCCATGTTGGTGTGCTGCACCCATTAACTCGTCATTTAGCATTAGGAATATCTCCTAATGCTATCCCTCCCCCCTCCCCCCACCACACAACAGTCCCTGAAGTGTGATGTTCCCCTTCCGGTGTCTGTGTGTTCTCATTGTTCAATTCCCACCTATGAATGAGAACATGCTGTGTTTGCTTTTTTGTCCTTGCGATAGTTTACTGAGAATGATGATTTCCAGTTTGATCCATGTCCCTACAAAGGACATGAACTCATCATTTTTTATGGCTGCATAGTATTCCATGGTGTATATGTGCCACATTTTCTTAATCCAGTGTATCATTGTTGGACATTTGGGTTGGTTCCAAGTCTTTGCTATTGTGAATAATGCCACAATAAACATACATGCACATGTGTCTTTATAGCAGCATGATTTATAGTCCTTTGGGTACATACCCAGTAATGGGATAGCTGGGTCAAATGGTATTTCTAGTTCTAGATCCCTGAGGAATCGCCACACTGACTTCCACAATGGTTGAACTAGTTTACAGTCCCATCAACAGTGTAAAAGTGTTCCTATTTCTCCACATCCTCTCCAGCACCTGTTGTTTCCTGACTTTTTAATGATCACCATTCTAACTGGTGTGAGATGGTATCTCATTGTGGTTTTGATTTGCATTTCTCTCATGGCCAGTGATGATGAGCATCTTTGCATGCTTTTTGGCTGCATAAATGTCTTCTTTTGAGAAGTGTCTGTTCGTGTCCTTCACCCAATTTTGATGGGATTGTTTGTTTTTTTCTTGTAAATTTGAGTTCATTGTAGTCTCTGGATATCAGCCCTTTGTCAGATGAGAAAGTTGTGAAACTTTTCTCCCATTTTGTAGGTTGCCTGTTCACTCTGATGATAGTTTCTTTTGCTGTGCAGAAGCTCTTTAGTTTAATTAGATCCCATTTGTCAATTTTGGCTTTTGTTGCCATTGCTTTTGGTGTTTTAGACCTGAAGTCCTTTCCCACGCCTATGTCCTGAATGGTATTGCCTAGGTTTTCTTCTAGGGTTTTTATAGTTTTAGGTCTAACATGTAAGTCTTTAATCCATCTTGAATTAATTTTTGTATAAGGTGTAAGGAAGGGATCCAGTTTCAGCTTTCTACATATGGCTAGCCAGTTTTCCCAGCACCATTGATTAAACAGGGAATCTTTCCCCGTTGCTTGTTTTTGTCAGGTTTGTCAAAGATCAGATAGTTGTAGATATGCAGCATTATTTCTGAGGGCTCTGTTCTGTTCCATTGATCTATATCTCTGTTTTGGTACCAGTACCATGTTGTTTTGGTTACTGTAGTCTTGTACTACAGTTTGAAGTCAGGTAGCGTGATGCCTCCAGCTTTGTTCTTTTGGCTTAGGATTGACTTGGTGATGCAGGCTCTTTTTTGGTTCCATATGAACTTTAAAGTAGTTTTTTCCAATTCTGTGAAGAAAGTCATTGGTAGCTTGATGGGGATGGCACTGAATCTGTAAATTACCTTGGGCAGTGTGGCCATTTTCATGATATTGATTCTTCCAACCCATGAGCATGGAATGTTCTTCTATTTGTTTGTATCCTCTTTTATTTCATTAAGCAGTGTTTTGTAGTTCTCTATGAAGAGGTCCTTCACATCCCTTGTAAGTTGGATTCCTAGGTATTTTACTCTCTTTGAAGCAATTGTGAATGGGAGTTCACTCATGATTTGGCACTCTGTTTGTCTATTATTGGTGTACAAGAATGCTTGTGATTTTTGTAAATTGATTTTGTATCCTGAGATTTTGCTGAATTTGCTTATCAGCTTAAGGAGATTTTGGGCTGAGAAAATGGGTTTTTCTAGATATACAATCATGTCATCTGCAAACACGGACAATTTGACTTCCTCTTTTCCTAATTGAATACCCTTTGTTTCCTTCTCCTGCCTGATTGCCCTGGCCAGAACTTCCAACACTATGTGGAATAGGAGTGGTGAGAGAGGGCAATCCTGTCTTGTGCCAGTTTTCAAAGTGAATGCTTCCAGTTTTTGCCCATTCAGTTTGATATTGACTATGGGTTTGTCATAGATAGCTCTTATTATTTTGAGATATGTCCCATCAATATCTAATTTATTGAGAGTTTTTAGCATGAAGAGTTGTTGAATTTTGTCAAAGGTCTTTTCTGCATCTATTGAGACAATCATGTCGTTTTTGTCTTTGGTTAGGTTGATATGCTAGATTACATTTATTGATTTGCATATGTTGAACCAGCCTTGCATGACAGGGATGAAGCCCACTTGATCATGGTGGATAAGCTTTTTGATGTGCTGCTGGATTCGGTTTGCCAGTATTTTATTGAGAATTTTTGCATCAATGTTCATCAAGGATATTGGTCTAAAATTCTCTTTTTTGGTTGTGTCTTTGCCAGGCTTTGGTGTCAGGATGATGCTGGCCTCATAAAATGAGTTAGGGAGGATTCCCTCTTTTCCTATTGATTGGAATAGTTTCAGAAGGAATGGTACCAGTTCCTCCTTGTACCTCTGATAGAATTTGGCTGTGAATCCATCTGGTCCTGGACTCTTTTTTTTTGTTGGTAAGCTATTGATTATTGCCACAATTTCAGATCCTGTTATTGGTCTATTCCGAGATTCAACTTTTTCCTGGTTTAATCTTGGGAGAGTGTACGTGTTGAGGAATTTATCCATTTCTTCTAGATTTTCTAGTTTATTTGCGTAGAGGTGTTTGTAATATTCTCTGATGGTAGATTGTATTTCTGTGGGATCGGTGGTGATAACCCCTTTATCATTTTTTATTGCATGTATTTGATTCTTCTCTCTTATCTTCTTTATTAGTCTTGCTAGCGGTCTATCAATTTTGTTGATCTTTTCAAAAAATCAGCTCCTGGATTCATTAATTTTTTGAAGGGTTTTTTGTGTCTCTATTTCCTTCAGTTCTGTTCTGATTTTAGTTATTTCTTGCCTTCTGCTAGCTTTTGAATGTGTTTGCTCTTGCTTTTCTAGTTCTTTTAATTGTGATGTTCGGGTGTCAATTTTAGATCTTTCCTGCTTTCTCTTGTGGGCATTTAGTGCTATAAATTTCCCTCTACACACTGCTTTGAGTGTGTCCCAGAGCTTCTGGTATGTTGTGTCTTTGTTTTCATTGGTTTCAAACAACATCTTTATTTCTGCCTTCATTTCATTATGTACCCAGTAGGTATTCCGGAGCAGGGTGTTCATTTTCCATGTAGTTGAGCAGTCTTGAGTGAATTTCTTAATCCTGAGTTCTAGTTTGATTGCACTGTGGTCTGAGGGACAGTTTGTTATGATTTCTTTTCTTTTACATTTGCTGAGGAGAGCTTTACTTCCAAGTATGTGTTCAATTTTGGAATAGGTGTGGTGTGGTGCTGAGAAGAATGTATATTCTGTTGATTTGGGGTGGAGAGTTCTGTAGATGTCTATTAGATCTGCTTGGTGCAGAGCTGAGTTCAATTCCTGTGTACCCTTGTTAACTTTCTGTTTCATTGATCTTTCTAATGTTGACAGTGGGTTGTTAAAATCTCTCATTATTATTGTATGGGAGTCTAAGTCTCTTTGTACGTCACTCAGGACTTGCTTTATGAATCTGGGTGCTCCTGTATTGGGTGCATATATATTTAGGATAGTTAGCTCTTCTTGTTGAATTGATCCCTTTACCATTATGTAGTGGCCTTCTTTGTCTGTTTTGATCTTTGTCGGTTTAAGGTGTGTTTTATCAGAGACTAGGCTTGCAACCCCTCCCTTTTTTTGTTTTCCATTTGCTTGGTAGATCTTCCTCCATCCTTTTATTTTGAGCATATGTGTGTCTCTGCACGTGAGATGGGTTCCTGAACACAGCACATTGATGGGTCTTGACTCTTTATCCAATTTGCCAGTCTGTGTCTTTTAATTGGAGCATTTAGTCCATTTACATTTAAAGTTAATATTGTTATGTGTGAATTTGATCCTGTCATTATGATGCTAGCTGGTTATTTTGCTCGTTAGTTGATGCAGTTTCTTCCTTGTCTCGATGATCTTTACATTTTGGCATGATTTTGCAGCGGCTGGTACTGGTTGTTCCTTTTCATGTTTAGTGCTTCCTTCAGGAGCTCTTTTAGGGCAGGCCTGGTGGTGACAAAATCTCTCAGCATTTGCTTGTCTGTAAAGTATTTTATTTCTCCTTCACTTATGAAGCTTAGTTTGGCTGGATATGAAATTCTGCATTGAAAATTCTTTTCTTTAAGAATGTTTAATATTGGCCCCCACTCTCTTCTGGCTTCTAGAGTTTCTGCCAAGAGATCCACTGTTAGTCTGATGGGCTTCCCTTTGTGGGTAACCCGACCTTTCTCTCTGGCTGCCCTTAACATTTTTTCCTTCATTTCAGCTATGGTGAATCTGACAATTATGTGTCTTGGAATCGCTCTTTTCAAGGAGTATCTTTGTGGCATTCTCTGTATTTCCTGAATCTGAATGTTGGCCTGCCTTGCTATATTGGGGGAGTTCTCCTGGATAATATCCTGCAGAGTGTTTTCCAACTTGGTTCCATTCTCCCCGTCAGTTTCAGGTACACCAATCAGACGTAGATTTGGTCTTTTCACAGAGTCCCATATTTCTTGGAGGCTTTGCTCATTTCTTTTTATTCTTTTTTCTCTAAACTTCCCTTCTCGCTTCATTTCATTCATTTCTTCTTCCATCACTTATACCCTTTCTTCCAGTTGATCACATCGGCTCCTGAATCTTCTGCATTCTTCACGTAGTTCTCGAGCCTTGGCTTTCAGCTCCATCAGCTCCTTTAAGCACTTCTCTGTATTGGTTATTCTAGATATACATTCGTCTAAATTTTTTTCAAAGTTTTTAACTTCTTTGCCTTTGGTTTGAATTTCCTCCTGTAGCTCAGAGTAGTTTGATCGTCTGAAGCCTTCTCTCAACTCGTCAAAGTCATTCTCCGCCCAGCTTTTTTCCATTGCTGGTGAGGAACTGCATTCCTTTGGAGGAGGAGAGGTGCTCGCTTTTTAGAATTTCCAATTTTTCTGCTCTGTTTTTTCCCCATCTTTGTGGTTGTATCTACTTTTGGTCTTTGATGATGGTGATGTACAGATGGGTTTTTGGTGTGGATGTCCTTTCTGTTTGTTAGTTTTCCTTCTAACAGACAGGACCCTCAGCTGCAGGTCTGTTGGAGTTTTCTAGAGGTCCACTCCAGACCCTGTTTGCCTGGGTATTAGCAGTGGTGGCTGCAGAACAGCAGATTTTCATGAACCGCGAATGCTGCTGTCTGATCGTTCCTCTGGAAGTTTTGTCTTAGAGGAGTACCCGGCCGTGTGAGGTGTCAGTCTGCCTGTACTGGGGGGTGCCTCCCAGTCAGGCTGCTTGGAGGTCAGGGGTCAGGGACCCACTTGAGGAGGGAGTCTGCCTGTTCTCAGATCTCCAGCTGTGTGCTGGGAGAACCACTGCTCTCTTCAAAGCTGTCAGACAGGGACATTTAAGTCTGCAGAGGTTACTGCTGTCTTTTTGTTTGTCTGCGCCCTGCCCCCAGAGGTGGAGCCTAAAGAGGCAGGCAGGCCTCCTTGAGCTGTGGTGGGCTCCACCCAGTTCGAGTTCCTGGCTACTTTGTTTACCTATGCAAGCCTGGGCAATTGTGAGCGACCCTCCCCAAGCCTTGCTGCTGCCTTGCAGTTTAATCTCAGACTGCTGTGCTAGCAATCAGCGAGACTCCGTGGGCGTATCACCCTCTGAGCCAGGTGCAGGATATAATCTCCTGGTGCGCCATTTGTTAAGACCATCAGAAAAGCGCAGTATTATGGTGGGAGTTACCCGATTTTCCAGGTGCTGTCTGTCACCCCTTTCTTTGACTAGGAAAGGGAACTCCCTGACCCCTTGCACTTGCCGAGTGGGGCAGTGCCTCACCCTGCTTCGGCTCATGAACTGTGCACTGCACCCACTGTCCTGCATCTGCTGTCTGGCACTCCCTAGTGAGATGAACCTGGTACCTCAGATGGAAATGCAGAAATCACCCATCTTCTGCATTGCTGACACTGGGAGCTGTAGACCGGAGCTGTTCCTATTCGGCCATCTTGGCTACACTTGGTAGTTTCTTTTCCCTCTGCTTCTGGGTTCTGAGAGTTTGTCACTAACATAGGATTCCAGAACACTGCTTCAGGGTTCTGAGTGATTGTTGCTCACATGGGATTCAAAAACACTCCTGCTGGGTTCAGAGTGTTATCCCTCACATACGATTCCAGAACACTGCTATGAGGTTCTGAATGTTTGTCCCTCACAAAGGATTCCAGAACACTGCTGCTGGGTTCTGAGTGTTTGTCCCTCACATAGGATTCCAGAACACTGCTGCTGGGTTCTGAGTGTTTGTCCCTCACATAAGATTCCAGAACTCTGCTATGAAGTTCTGAATGTTTGTGGCTCACATAGGATTCCAGAACACTGCTGCTGGGTTCTGAGTGTTTGTCCCTCACATAGGATTCTGGAACAATGCTGCTGGGTTCTGAGTGCTTGTCCCTTATATTGGATTCCAGAACAATGTTATGAGGGTCTGAATGTTTTTCCCTCATGTAGGATTCAAGAACACTGCTAAGAGGGTCTCAGTGTTTTTCCCTCACAAAGGATTGCAGAACTCTGCTGCTGGGTTCTGAGTGTTTGTCCCTGATATAGGATTCCAGAACACTGCTATGAGGGTCTGAAAGTTTTTCCCTCACAAAGGATTCCAGAACGCTGCTGGGTTCTGTTTGTTTGTCCCCCACAAAGGATTCCAGAGCACTGCTGCTGGTTTCTTAGTGTTTGTTCTGCACATAGGATTCCAGAACACTTCTGCGGTGGTTTGAATATTTGTCCCTCAGATAGGATTCCAGTACACAGTGGCTGGGTTCTGAGTGTTGGTCCCTCACATAGGATTCCAGAACACTGCTTCGAGGGTCTGAGTGTTTGTCCCTCACAAAGGATGCTGGAACACTGCTGCTGGTTTCTGAGTGTTTGTCACTCACAGAGGATTCCAGAACACTGCTGCTGGGTTCTGAGTGTTTGTCCCTCACAAGGGATTCCAGAAAACTGCTATGAGCATCTGAAGGTTTGTCCATAACAAAGGATTCCAGAACAATGCTGCTGGATCTGAATGTTTGTCCCTCACACAGGATTCCAGAACACTGCTTCGAGGGTCTGAGTGTTTGTCCCTCACACAGGATTCCAGACCACTGCTTCTGGGCTCTGAGTGTTTGTTCCACATATAGGATTCCAGAACACAGCTACAAGGCTATGAAAGTTTGTCTCTCACAAAGGATTTCAGAAAAATGCTGCTGGGTTCTGAGTGTTTGTCCCTCACATAGGATTCCAGAACACTGCTGCTGGTTTCTGAGTGTTTGTCCCTCACATTGGATTCCAGAACACTGCTGCTGGGTTCTGAGTGTTTGTTCCTCACATAGGTTTCCAGAAAACTGCTGCTGGGATCTGAGGGATTGTCCCTGTCATTGAGTACGAGAACACTGCTGCTGGGTTCTGAAGGTTTGTCCTTCAATTAGAATTGCAGAATACTGCTGCTAGGTTATGAGGGTTTGTCCCTCACGTAGAATTCTAGAACTCTGCTGCTGGGTTCTGAGCGTTTCTCTATCACATGAGATTCTGGAACACTGCTAAAATGTAGGAATGTTTGTCCCTCACAAAGAGTCCAGAGCACCGCTTGTGGGTTCTGAGTGTTTGTCCCTCACATAGGATTGCAGAACACAGCTGCTAGGTTCTGAGTGTTTGTCCCAAACATAGGATTCCAAAACACTGCTCAGAGGGTCTGAAAGTTTCTTCCTCACCAAGGATTCCAGAACACTGCTGCTGGGTTCTGAAAGTTTGTCCCTCACATACGATTCCGGAACACTGCTATGAGGGTCTGAGTGTTTGTCCCTCAAAGGGATTCCAGAACACTGCTTTTGAGTTCTGAGTGTTTGTCCGACACAAAGGATTCCAGAACACTGCTGCTGGCTTCTGAGTGTTTGTCCCTCACATAGGATTTCAGAACACTGCTATGAGGGTCTGCATGTTTTTCCCCTCAGAAAGCATTCTGTATCACTGCTACGAGTGTCTGAATTCTTGTCCCTCACATAGGATTCCAGAACACTGCTACTGGGTTCTTACTGTTGGTCCTTCACATAGGATTCCAGAACACTGCTCCTAGGGTCTGAATGTTTGTCCCTCACATAGGATTCCAGAACATTTGCTGCTGGTTTGTGTTTGTCCCTCATATGGGATTCCAGAACACTTCTGCTGGGTTCTGAGTGTTTGTCCCTCATATAGGATACCAGAACACTGCTATTGGCTTCAGAGTGTTTGTCCCTCACATAGGATTCCAGAAAACTTCTAAGAGGTTCCGAATGTTTTCCTTCAGATAGGATTCCAGAACACTGCTGCTGGGTTCTGAGTGTTTGTCCCTCACATAGGATTCCAGAACACTGCTAAGGGGGTCTGAATGTTTATCCCTCCCAAAGGATTCCAGAACACTGCTGCTGGGTTCTGAGTGTTTGCCCCTCAAATAAGATTCCAGAACACTACTATGAGGGTCTGAATGTTTTTCCCTCACATAGGATTCAAAAGACTGTTACGAGGGTCTGAATGTTTTTCCCTAACAAAGGATTGTAGAACACTGTCACTGGGTTCTGTTTGTAAGTCCCTCCCATAGGATTCCAGAACACTAATACGAGGGTCTGAACGTTTGTCCCTCACATAGGATTCCAGAACAGAGCTGCTGTGTCCTGATTGCTTGTCCCTCACAAAGGATTCCAGAACACTGATGCTGGGTTCTGAGTGTTCATCTATCCCATAGGATTCCAGAACAAAGCTGCTGGTTCCTGATTGTTTGTCCCTCACAAAGGATTCCAAAACACTGCTACGAGGGTCTGAATGTTTGTCCCTCATATAGGATTCCAGATCACTGTTGCTAGGTTCTGAGTGTTTGTCCCTCACATAGGATTCCAGAACACTGCTGCTGGGTTTTTCGTGTTTGTACCTCATATAGGATTCCAGAGTACTGCTATGAGACTCTGAATGCTTGTCCCTTACATAGGATTCCAGAACACTGGTTTGAGAGTCTCAATATTTGTCCCTCACAAAAGATTGCAGACAACTGCTGCTGAGTTCTGAGAGTTTATCCTTCACTTAGGAATCCATTGATTCTGGGTTCTGAATATTTGTCCTTCACATAGGATTCCAGAACAGTGCTGCTGGCTTCTGAGTGATTGTCCCGCACGTAGGATTCCAGAACACTGCTACGAGGGTCTGAATGTTCTTCCCTCACAAAGACTTCCAGAACACTGCTGCTGGTTTCTGTTTGTTTGTCCCTCACAAAGGATTCCAGAGCACTGCTGCTGGTTATTTAGTGTTTGTTGCACACATAGGATTCCAGATCACTTCTGTGAAGGTCTGAATGTTTAGCCCTGAGATAGGATTCCAGTACACACTGGCTCGGTTCTGAGTGTTTGTACCACACACTGGATTCCAGAACACTGCTGCTGGGTTCTGAGTGTTTGCCCCGTCACATAGGATTCCAGAAAACTGCTACGAGGACCTTAATGTTTGTCCATCACAAAAGATTCTAGAACAATGCTGCTGGATCTGAGTGTCCCTCACATAGGATAACAGAACACTGCTTCGAGAGTCTAAATGTTTGTCCCTCACAAAGGATTCTAGAACATTGCTGCTGGTTTCTGAGTGTTTGTCACTCACATAGGATTCCAGAACACTACTGCTGAGTTCTGAGGCTTTGTACCTCACATAGTATTTCAGAACACTGCTATGAGGTTCTGAATGTTTGACCCTCACAGAGCATTGCAGAACAGGGCTATCGGGATCTGAATGCTTGTCCCTCACATATGAATCCAGAACACTGCTGCAGGGTTCAGAGTGTTTATCCCTCACATAGGATTACAGAGCACTGTTCTGAGCGTCTGAGTGTTTGACCCTTACAAAGGATTGCAGAACACTGCTGCTGGGCTCTGAGTGTTTGTCCTTCACATAGGATTCTAGAACACTGCTGCTGGGTTCTGAGTGTTTGTCTCTCACATAGGATTCCAGAACACTTCTCTGAGGATCTTAATGTTTGTCCCTCACAAAGGATTCCAGAACACTGCTGCTGGGTTCTGAGTGTTTGTCCATCAAATCGGATTCCAGAACACAGCTGCTGGGCTCTGTTTGTTTGTCCCTCACAAAGGATTCCAGAGCACTGCTGCTGGTTTCTGAATGTTTGTCCCTGACATAGGATTCCAGAACACTTCTAAGAGGCTCCGAATATTTGTCCTTTAGATAGGATTCCAGAACACAGTGGCTGTGTGATGAGTGTTTGTCCCTCAAATAGGATTCCACAACACTGCTTTGAGGGTCTGAATGTTTGTATCTCACAAACCAGTCTAAAACACTACTTCTGGGTTCTGAGCGTTTGTCATTCACTAAGGATTCCAGAACACTGCTGCTGGGTTCTGAGTGTTTGTCCCTCACATAGAATTCTAGAACACTGCAGCTCGTTTCTGAGTGTTTCTCCGTCACTTTGGATTCCAGAACACTGCTAAGATTGTCTGAATGTTCGTCCCTTACCAAATATTCCAGAACACTGCTGCTGGGTTCTGAGTGTTTGGTCCTCACATTGGTTTCCAGAACACTGCTGTGATTGTCTGAATGTTTGTCCCTCACAAATTATTCCAGAGTACTGCTGCTGGGTTCTGAGGGTTTGTCTCTCACATAGAATTAAAGAATACTGCTTCTGAGTTCTGAGATTTTGTACCTCACATATGATTCCAGAACACTGCTATGAGGGTCTGAATATTTGTTCCTCACAGAGCATTCCAGAATGGTGCTATGAGGGTCTGAATGCTTGTCCCTCACATAGGATTCCAGAACACTGCTCTGAGAGTCTGAGTGTTTGACCCTCACAAAGGATTCCAGAACACTGCTGCTGGGTTCTGAGTGTTTGTCCCACACATAGGATTCCAGAACACTGCTGCTAGTTTCTTAGTGTTTGTCTCTCACATAGGATTCCAGAACACTGCTACGAGGATCTGAATGTTGTCCCTCACAAAGGATTAGAGAACACTGCTGCTGAGTTCTGAGTGTTTGTCCCTCTCATTGGATTCCAGAACACTGCCGCTAGGTTCTGAGGGTTTGTCCCTCACATAGGATTCCAGAACACTGCTGCTGGTTTCTTTGGGTTTGTCTCTCACATAGGATTGCAGAACACTGCTACGATTATCTGAATGTTGTCCGTCACAAAGTATTACAGAGCACTGCTGCTGGGTTCTCTCTGTTTGCCCCTCACATTGGATTACAGAACACTGCTGCTAGGTTTGAGGGTTTGTCCCTCACATAGGATTCCAAAACACTGTTGCTGGGTTCTGAGTGTTTGTCCCTCACATACGATTCCAGAACACTGCTATGATTGTCTGAATGTTTGTCCCTCACAAAGTAGTCCAGAGCACTCCTGCTGGGTTAAGAGTGTTTGTCCTTCACATAGGATTCCAGAACAGTGCTGCTGGGTTCTAAGTGTTTGTCCCTCACATAAGATTCCAGAACACTGCTACGAGGATCTGAATGTTTGTCCCTCACAAATTATTCCAGAGTACTGCTGCTGGGTACTGAGTGTTTGTCCCTCACATAAGATTCCAGAACACTGCTACGAGGATCTGAATGTTTGTCCCTCACAAATTATTCCAGAGTACTGCTGCTGGGTACTGAGTGTTTGTCCCTCACATAGGATTCCAGAACAGTGCTGCTGGGTTCTGAGAGTTTGTCCCTCACATAGGATTCCAGAACACTGATACGAAGGTCTGAATGTTTGTCCCTCAGATAGGATTACAGAACACAGCTACGAGGGTCTGAATGATTGTCCCACACATAGGATTCCAGAACACAGTGGCTGGGTTCTGAGTGTTTGTCCCTCATATAGGATTTCAGAATACTGCTATGAATTTCTGAATGTTTGTCGCTCACAGAGGATTCTAGAACTCTGCGGCTGGGTTGTGTTTGTCCCCCACATAGGATTCCAGAATACTGCTGCTGGGTTCTGAGTGTTTGTCCCTCACATAGGATTCCAGAACACTGCTACGAGGGTCTGAATATTTTTGCCTCTCAAAGGATTCCAGAACACTGCTGCTCAGTTGTGTTTGTTTGTCCCTCACAAGGGACTCCAGTGCACTGCTGCAGGTTTCTGAGAGTTTTTCCCTCACATAGGATTCCAGAACACTTCTACGAGGGTCTGAATGTTTGTATCTCACAGTGGAATCTACAAAACTGCTGCAGGGTTCTGAGTGTTTCTCACTCATATAGGATTACAGAACACTGCTGCTGGGTTCTGAGAGTTTATCCCTCACATGGGATTCCAGAACACAGCTGCTGGGTTCTGAGTGTTTGTCCCCCACATAGGATTGCAGAACACTGCTACTAGGGTCAGAATGTTTGTCCATCACAAAGGACTCCAGAACATTGCTGCTGGGTTCTGAGTGTTTGTCCATCACATAGTATTCCAGAACACTGCTCCAAGGGTCTGAATGTTTTTCCCTCTCAAAGGATTCTAGAACACTGCTGCTGGGTTCTGAGTGTCCCTCACATACGATTCCAGAACACTGCTGTGAGGTTCTGAAACTTTGTACGTCACTAAGGATTCCAGAACACAGCTGCTGTGTTCTGAGTGTAGCTCACATAGGATTCCAGACCTCTGCTGCTGGGTTCTGAGTGTTTGTCCCACACATAGCATTCCAGAACAATCCTGCTGGGTTCTGGGTGTTTTTCCCTCACATAGGATTCCAGAGCACTGCTGCTGGGTTCTGAGTGTTTGTCCCATATATAGAATTCCACAACAATGCTACGACGATCTGAATGTTTTCCCCTCACATAGGATTCCAGAACACTGCTGAGTGTCTGAATGTTTGTCCCTCACAAAGGATTCCAGAGCACTGCTGCTGGGTTCTGAGTGTTTGTCCCTCATATAGGATTCCAGAACACTGCTACGGGGGTCTCAATGTTTTTCCCCCACAAAGGCTTCCAGAACACTGTGGCTGGTTTCTATTTGTTTGTCCCTGTCAAAGGATTCGGGAGCACTTCTGCTGGTTTCTTAGTGTTTGTCACGCACATACGTTTCCAGAACACTTCTACGAGTTTCTGAATGCTTGTCCCTCACAAAGGATTCCAGAAAACTGCTGCTGGGTTCTGAGTGTTTGTCCCTCACATAGGATTCCAGAACTCTCCTGCTGGGTTCTGTTTGTTTACCCCTCACAAAGGAATCCAGAGCACTGCTGCTGGTTTCTGAGTGTTTGTCCCTCACTCAGGATACCAGAACACTGCTACGATGGTCTGAATGTTTGTCCGTCACAAAGGATTCATAACACTGCGGTGGGTTCTGACTGTTTGTCCCTCACAATGGATTCCAGAAAACTGCTTTGAGAGTCTCAATGTTTGTCCCTCACAAAGTATTCCAGAGCACTGCTGCGGGGATCTGTGTGTTTGTCCCTCACATGGGATTCCAAAACACTCCTGTTGGGTTCAGAGTGTTTTCCCTCACATAAAATTCCAGAACACTACTACAAGGTTCTGAATGTTTGTCCCTCACAAAGGATTCCAGAACACTGCTGCTGGGTTCTTAGTGTTTGACCCTCACATAGGATTCCAGAACACTGCTGCTGGGTTCCGAGTGTTTCTCCCTCACATAGGATTCCAGAACACTGCTGCTCGGTTCTGTGTTTGTCTCTCACATAGCATTCCAGAACACAGGTACGAAGTTCTGAATGTTTGTCGCTCAAATAGGATTCCAGAACAATGCTGCTGGGTTCTGAATGTTTGACACTCACACAGGATTCCAGAACACTGCTGCTGGGTTCTGAGTGTTTGTCCCTCACATAGGATTCCAGAACACTGCTTCGAGGGTCTGAATGTTTTTCCCTCACAAAGGACTCCAGAACACTGTTGCGGGGTTCTGAGTGTGTGCCCCTCATATAGGATTCCAGAACATTGCTACGAGGGTCTGAATGTTTTTCCCTCACAGAGTATTCCAGAACACTGCTGCTGGGTTCTGAATGTTTGTCCCTCACATAGGATTCCAGAACACTGCTGCTGGGTTCTGAGTGTTTGTCCCTCACTTTGGATTCCAGAAAACGGCTACGACGGTCTGAATTTTTGTCCATCACAAAGGATTTTAGAACACTGCTGCTGGATCTGAGTGTTTGTCCCTCACACAGGATTCCAGAACACTGCTTCGATGGTCTGAATGTTTGTCCCTCACAAAGGAGTCTAGAACACTGCTGCTGGTTTCTTAGTGTTTGTCACTCACATAGGATTCCAGAACACTGCTGCTGGGTTCTGAGTGTTTGTCCCTCACATACAATTCCAGAACACTGCTACTAGGTTCTGAATGTTTGTCCCTCACAAAGGATTCCAGAACACTGCTTCTGAGTTCTGAGTGTTTGTCTGTCAAATAGGATTCCAGAACACTGCTGCTGGGCTCTGTTTGTTTGTCCATCACAAAGGATCCCAGAACACTGCTATAAGTTTCTGAGTGTTTGTCCCTCACATAGGATTCCAGAACAATTCTACGAGGCTCCGAATGTTTGTCCTTCAGATAGGATTTCAGAGCACAGTGGCTGGGTTCTGAGTGTTTGTCCCTCACATAGGGTATCAGAACACTGCTGCTGGGATCTGAGTGTTTGTCTTTCACAGAGGATTCCAGAACACTGCTGCTTTGTTCTGAGTGTTTGTCCCTCACATAGGATTCCAGAACACTGCCGCTCGGTACTGAGGGTTTGTTCCTTACATAGAATTCTAGAACACTGTAGCTCATTTCTGAGTGTTTGTCCCTCACTTAGGATTCCAGAACAATGCTACGATTGTCTGAATGTTTGTTCCTTACCAAGTATTCCAGAACACTGCTGCTGGGTTCTGAGTGTTTGGCACTCACATTGGTTTCCAGAACACTGCTATGAGGGTCTGAATGTCCCACACATAGGATTCCAGAACACTGCTAAGAGGGTCTGAATGTTTTTCCCTCAGAAAGGATTCTGGAACCCTGCTACTGGATTCTGTTTGTTTGTCCCTTACAAAGGATTTCAGAGCACTGCTCCTGGTTGCTGAGTGTTTGTTCCTCACATAGGATTCCAGAACACTTCTACGAGTGTCTGAATGTTTGTCCCTCAGATAGGATTCCAGAAGACAGTGGATGGGTTCTGGGTGTTTGTCCATCACATAGGATTCCAGAACACTGCTGCTGGGTTCTGAGTGTTTGTCCCTCACATAAGGTTCCAGAACACTGCTTCTGAGTGTTTGTCCCTCACATAGGATCCCAGAACACTGCTGCTGGGTTTTGAGTATTTGTCCCTCTCATGGGATTCCGGAAACCTGCTGCTGAGTTCAGACTGTTTTTCCCTCACATAGGATTCCAGAACACTGCTGCTGGGTTCTGAGTGTTTGTACCTCACATTGGATTCCAGAACACTGCTGCTGGGTTTTGAGTGTTTGTCCCTCACATAGAATTCCAGAACACTGCTACGAAGTTCTGAATGTTTGTCGCTCACACAGAATTCCAGAACACTGCTGCTGGGTTCTGAGTTTTTGTCCCTCACATAGGATTCCGGAACACTGCTACGAGGGTCTGAATGTTTATCCCTTACAAAGGATTACAGAACAGTTCTGGAATCCTATGTGAGGGACAAACACTCAGAACCCAGCAGTGTTCTGGAATCCTATGTGAGGTCAGTGTGGGGGGATGGGTGAGGGATAGCATTAGGAGATATACCAAATGCTAAATGATGAGTTAATGGGTGCAGCACACCAACATGGCACATGTATACATATGTAACAAACCTGCACATTTTGCACATGTACCCTAAAACTTAAAGTGTAATAATAAATTTAAAAAATTAAATAAAAAAATTTAAAAAAGAATTAACATAGTTTTATGTAGTCTTCAGTAGACAACATTCATCCATGTAAATTAAACAGTATTTTCTACAATCATGTGAATATAAGGCCACACTATTTACTATGAATAAATCCCTTAAATAGTAATTTTAATATCAGTATTTATTCTTTTGAAATATAATTACAACTGAGTTAAGGTTACAGATAATTTTAAAAATGTATGCCATTACTAGTATATTAAGATTATTTATACTTAGATATTTATATCTAATATCCAAAGAAAATTTACTATCTAATTGTTACAGTAGATATTAATCTGACATGCTTATTAATTCATCCCATAGATATAATAATAGGTCAGCTGGGCGTGGTGGCTCACGCCTATAATCACGGCACTTTGGGAGGCCGAGGCAGGCAGATCACCTGAGGTCAGAAGTTTGAGACTACCCTGACCAACATGGAGAAACCACGTCTCTACTAAAAAAAATACACAATTAGCCGGGGATGGTGGTGCATGCCTGTAATCCTAGCTGCTCGGGAGACTGAAGCAGGAAAATCACTTGAACCTGGGAGGTGGAGGCTGCAGTGAGCTGAGATTGCACCATTGCACTCCAGTCTGGGCAACAAGAGCAAAACTCTGTCTCAAAAAACAAAACAAAACAAAAAGATAGAGTAGTAGGTTAGCAAAATTTTACATTCTATCTTTTTTTGTTGTTTTTGAGATGGAGTCTGGCTCTGTCACCCAGGCTGGAGTGCAGTGGCATGATCTCAGCTCACTGCAACCTCTGCCTCCTGGGTTCAAGCGATTCTCTTTCCTCAACCCCTAAGTAGCTGGGATTACAGGTGTCTGCCACCACCCCTGGCTAGTTTTTGTATTTTAGTAGAGATGGTGTTTCACCGTGCTGGCCAGGCTGGTCTTCAACTCCCGACCCAGGTGATCCGCCTGCCTCAGCCTCTCAAAGTGCTGGGATTACAGGCGTGAGCCACCGCATCCTGCCTCACAGTCTATTCTTATGTTTTACTATATTTGGAATGCCACTCTTACAGAACAAATCAATGCAAGTGATGTGACTACCCAAAAATCATGAATCATAATAGTCTTCAGTTAGATATGTTGCAATCTCAGATATAGTTCTACTATGTAAACAGAGTCAAATTCCAATTCTTTATCAAAAAGTGCTGGCGAAGGTTGCCTGATGTGTTCCAGTGTAGATCCTCAATCCAATGGCCAGCAGATGAGAGAGCAGCAGAGATGGAAGAAAAATCTTAAGAAATTCTGCTGAGAATATGCCCCCTTTCTTCATAACACTGTGTTTCTTGTGTTGAGAGCAGCTGTGCATTTTGGGTGTTTAGAGAGAAACTGTCTCAGGGGAGTATTTTCTGGTCGACTTGGCTAATATTATATGTAATCTGAATTTTTCTTTCAGATACCTTTAACCTCTTAATACAATTTTATTCAGACTGAGAGCTGTTTTTCTCTTCAATGCTTTCGGTGTCTGTCTTCAGAAGGGACACCCAAAAGTGTCTCATGGTGTTTCTGAGTGAGTTGGGCTGTCACAATGAGAACTCTTTGGCACTCTATCCAGACCCATGCTGGGAATCCAGCAGTATTTTTTTGTCACCATTATAAATAGAAACGTAGCTGAAACATTGCTCCCATTTCCATTATTGCAAAAGTGCAATCCTACCCAGGAGTCCTGCAGGTTCTCCTCCTGCAGTTCAGGGACCCTGCTCCATAATGTGACTCTGGAGTGCAGCTGTGGTGGTTGGAGTCCATGTGGAATGTGGGCTGCCAGCTGTGTGCTGTGAGCTGTGCCTCAGTGGTAGATGGTAGGGGAAGAGATGGGACACAGGCCACCAGGACAGGGCAAGCAGGATTACTGCAGCCCGTGGCCTAGGGAGTAGGGACCCTTTGCTTTGAAATGTAAATAGCCAAAAGAATAGTATCCTATTTCACAGTGTCTGTAAAAGAACCAGAGCCTACATTCAGCAGGCACCTGGCTGTAAGTTGCAAAACTATCTCGTATCATGAAGATGTCAGAAGTTTATTTTTCCTTTCAATATAACCAATTAACATACACAGATGGCCTCCCCAATTACCAGGTGAATTCAGGATAAACTGTGTATGACAAATGGTGCTGTCAAGTCTTCTACTTGAGGACTAATTATAGAGACCTTTCTGTCTTTGCAATCTCTTGAGCAGATTGTCTGTGATTCTTGTCACATCACATTCTGGTTTTGTTGTGCAATAAAACACTTTTCTTTCTGGTCTGTTATTGTGGGGTTTTTCTAGGACTGGAGATAATTTTCCTTTTAATTATATTTCTCAAACCCTGTTCACAATTACCAGACATTGTATATATGTATAAATTGCCCCCCAAGCTTCATTTTAGAGAAGGCTTTCCCCCTCAGGCTTCCAGTCAACTCAGTCAGTTGTGCTTCAAAGTGCACACTGCCCCCAGAGTATGCAGGCAGACTTGTGTCTCTGCCTGTTTCACATCTATAGTCCTCTACAACCACTCGTAGAGAGGTTAAGCCTTTCTACAAGTGGTTGACAAAATTCACAGGACAGTAATCAGCCATTTCACCTCTTTCAGTGACCATAGTGTCTTCAGACCTGAAACTGAGTTGGAGACTATTAGGCCCAGAAGAACAATTAGGGTGACATGTGTGCATTGAGTAAATGTGAGTATCTCAAAGTTCCTCTTTCTCCTCCTCCCCAAATTCCCATAAATGTGCAGTTAACACCTGCCATTTCTCCATCCATCCAGGACCTAAATCTACAATACCAAATTCTGAATCTCGGTCTTGAGATTAGAGGAAAAAGAATAACTTTGATCTGAGGATTGCAAGTCCTTTTGGTTTTATCAGGCTCGGAGAGACATAAAAATGAGAACATAATTATGTTCTACTGCCTCCTTTGAGCTACATGTTTGCCTCTTGAAACTGTTTGCTATCCCTACAAGTAGATATAAATTAACCTAATAATGCCACACTAGATGTTATAAGCAATACCTCACAGCTTAAAAATATATAGCCAATTAGTCATCAATGTATTTTTGTAGATCGAGAAGAATTTCTGACAAACAACTTTGTTTCAGTCCACTCCCTGTCCCTCTCTTTTGCCTTTGTAAATCCACTTGTAACTGCTGCTAAGTAAAGTGTACATTCAAGGTAACTTGAATCTATGCTCCCAGATTTCAATCCTCAGGCTTGGCCCAAATAAATTCTCTACTTAAATGAGTGTTGCCTTAACCTTTTCTTTTTAGGCTGACATATCATGTCCTAGAGCAGACTTTATGATGGAAACTTTTTTTTTTTTTTACTCTCCTTGCTGTAACACCAAAGAATGAAGAGTCAGGTTGATCTTACCTGTAATCTGTACATAAGAGCTGAGCTCTCCCTGGGAATCACAGGAGAGAGCCAGATTTTGGATTGAGAATGTACAGAAAACCCATAGGAGACATTTTCTGATCTGTGAGATGTCAGCATAGAAATCTTAAAGCCCTCCTTTCAGAGTGTATCCCTTTGAGCTTTCCAGATCTTTTCCAGTGACCTGCTATGTTTATGTGAGAGGCTGCTGGTGTAAATAGAATCTGGTTGCACAATCTGTAAGTGTAAACATGCATGTCAGCAGGGAGAGATCAAAGCCACAAAATACCCAGAGCAATGACATAAGTTTACCTATTTGTAAAATGTGATACTGGAGTAGAGTATTCTTGTCCTTTCTCTTACCTAAGACCTAGCTAATCAGAACAGGTGATATCACACATAGATCCAGGTTCTGGAGCTGTACCAGGGCAGTTCCATTTTCTATTTATAATCAGCTTGAGTCTTTCCTACCTGGATCAACATACGGTCATCAGTCCATGGTCACTAGGAATCCTCTCACAATCACCCGGGAATCTTTAAGACATTTCAGGATGTCCTGTACAGACTTGGGTCAGGCTGGCAGGAGTGTCTAATTCTGCTTCCATGTGAGAGGAAGGGAAATGAGTCATTCAGTGTCTGTTCCTTCTTTTGTAGAAATAATCTCCTTGGTTGGTACCTGGACGAGAGTTTCTCCAGTTTCCTTGGCAAAAAATTCAGGAGTTCTGGAGACTCAGACTGATAAACAAATTGCCTCCATTTCATATGGCCTTTAGAAAAATAGATGAAGCAGTCATGGTCCCTGTCATTCAAAAACTCTCAGTCTAGAACAACTGGATAAATAGTTTAATTAAGCATCATATAGTCAATACAATAAAGTGGGAGTGTTAAGGGGACTTGGGCAATGGCTCTGATGTTGTTGTGACTTCTGATGTCACCACCAGAAGAGCTATTCTCAAACAGGAGAGTTATTTGTATTTCTATTGCTTTTACCTTGCTAAGAATACATATTTTCTAATAAAATTATCCTAGAAAGCCCTAAAAATTTTGGTTAAATTGCTTATTATTATACGTTATAAAATAGAGTAGTGGCTAAATGGATTAAAATTATACAAACTCTTAAGTTTCTCTTGGACAGGCTTAGGAAAGACAGAACAAGAAGTACTCCAGCAGTATAGAGATCATAATTCAACATAGGACAGTTTCTCCACCCCAGCTCTGTCCAGATTCACCATTTTCTGAGACTCATTCAGGTCTGGTCCCACCCTGGAGTCTCTCCTCACAGAACTCATTAGAGGAGACCAGAGATTTGGGAGGTGGCTCCTGCTGCCTCTCCAGAGCTTATGCTCACAATATTCTGAAACCCAAAAGCAGATAAATTAGAGCAATAAACTATATATTTTGAGGTCTTAACTTCTTTCTTTCTAATTAAAACCAGTGCTTGTAGAGACATTCCATCCCAGTAGTTACTCCACAAGTCACAAGAAAGTAAATAGAAACACACTAAAAAATCCCTCTAAACTACACTTAACCCTTTCCTTTCTGTATCCCTCCCATCTGTCTATATTTATCTCTTATGCCATACATTTTTTTAAAAAAATCAGTGAGAGGCCGGGCTCTGTGGCTCATGCCTGTAATACTAGCAATTTGGGAGGTCGAGGTGCGTGGATCACTTGAGATCGGGAGTTCAAGACCAGCCTGACCAATATGGAGAAACCCCATCTCTACTAAAAATACAAACTTAGCTCAGTGTCGTGGTGCATGCCTGTAATCCCAACTACTCGGGAGGCTGAGGCAGGAGAATGGTTTGAACCCAGGAAGCGGAGGTTGTGGTGAGCTGAGATCGTGCCATTGCACTTCCAGCCTGGGCAACATGAGTGAAACTCTGTCCCCCCCCGAAAATAATCATTAAGAGATAAACAGGGAAGAAAACAATGCTGGTCCCTTCATCTAAATTCTGAGTATTATTGAACACTTAGTACCCAACTCTCAAGTTGTTTTGAAGATTAAATCACATAATGTGATGTTCCCAGCACAGTGCTCTGTAACACACTCCTGAGCACATAGTACCTGCTTAATAAGCATTGCATAAGTATATGTGTACATGTTGTTTTTCAGTGCAGACTTACTCAGACATTGTTGCCTTCTCCTGTCTCTGTAAACTTTAAAGAGCTAGCAAAGAATGTGTTTTTTCAGGATAGAGATTGATTGTTTATTTGATCAGAAGTATTTGTGTTGTGATGAATGATGAGTGTGAGAGTCTGTTCTATGCCTGCTTTTTCTAGCTAAATGCTACTAATGATGGGTCTGTGGAAGCTACATCAGCATTGACAGGAGATGTGTTTAAAATGCACTTTCATGGATGCTTTTAAAACCTGCAGAATCACATTACATAGTGTGGGGCCAGGGTTACCAAATGATTTATATGCACATTGAAGTTTGAGAGGCAATGCTTAGCTAAGTGGTTCTTGGCCCAGGCTTCTAATTAAGATTCCATGGCCAGGTTGCAGAAATCTTTTCACTTGTGCCCTTCCCGCAGGCTCTGTATATTGTTCTGGGTGGAAGCATCCTTGTTGATATAATTAAGTGCCTCATGTGACTCCAGGTTGAGGCCAGGGTCAAACACGAGGAATTCAAAATACATTCATGAGAGTTGAGTTCAAACTTTATTCCAAAGGGAGGTCACAGGGTCTACTATGGTTGGATTTGGTAGGTACAAGTTAATGTGGTCCATATCCCCATTGCTGTAGCAGAAATTGTGGCGTCTGTGGCAGGAAAAGAGAAAGATAAATTTTGATCTTTGTGGAGCAGCTCACTGTCCTTGAATCTCACCTGTTATAAAGAACATAAATGGGTGGACATGTTCTGCATGCCTGGATCTTTCTACCTGTGTTTGTGGTGGTAGCAGGTGAAGAGATTGTGCTGATTCCTTTAAAGGCATATTCCAAAGATGCAGGTGTGACTTGTCCAGAGAATATCACCTGAGAAGAAATGCTAGAGAAGGATGATGAAGAGAAAAATGGCTTTTTCTCAGGTGACTGTGTCTCAGATTAGGAGCAGTGTTCACTCTGCCTCCTGGAATGCCATATGTTTAGAACTTACAAACCTGTACTTCTTGACTTTATGCTGTTTCTCCCTATAAGTTTGTTTAAACATTTTTTCTTCTCATGATAGTCAAGCAACTCTGAAATATATTATTTTCTATATACTAGAGTCTTCTCGACATTCTCTTCATCTTGGCTTCTTCTCTGCCATGCGGAATTCTCATCATTAATTATGACTCGTAATATTAAAAATATTCCCTTTGGCTGGGCGCGGTGGCTCATGCCTATTATCCCAGCACTTTGAGAGGCCGATGTGGGTGGATGACCTGAGGTCAGGAGTTCAAGACCAGCCTGGCCAACATGGTGAAACCCTGTCACTACTAAAAATACAAAAAATAGCTGGGCATGGTGGCGGGTGCCTGTAATCCCAGCTACTTGGGAGGCTGAGGCAAGAGAATCACTTGAACCCAGGAGGTGGAGGTTCTGGAGGTTGCAGTGAGCCTACATCGTGCCACTGCACTCCAGCCTGGGCAACAGAGGGAGACTCCATCTCCAAAGAAAAAAAAAAAAAGAAAAATACCCTTTGTTGCTGGTGCTGGTGCACATGGAAAGGTATGGATACCCAAGATTCCTACTGGGGAAGAGGTGGGGTTCTTAGATATTCATGAAAAAGGGGAATATGTAATGTTGAAGTTCTGTCTGTGTGCTCCATCAACTCCATGTGGAACAGGATTAAAATATGCACATTTGAACAGGATGGTATTTGTTACCCAGAATAATTCAGAAAGTTTTGAAAAAAATAATTAGAAGATACTCGCTTTCTAGAATGCTGAAGAAAGTCTGCGTAAATACTTTAATAGAGATTACACAACATGAGCGATTACTGTAGTTTGCATTTTGCATAAAACTTGTTTCTTTATGATTAGATTTGAATTATAATTTACTTCTTTGGCGGGGGCCAGTATCACAGCAGTGATATTGTGTCGTTCTGTGAGCATCAGCGCATGATGAAAATTTGTTCTGTTATAATTGGTGTTAATTTGATTCGTTGAGTTAAATAGTTCTCTGAGAATTTTTTTCCACTGTAGAGTTATTTTTCTCTTTATTATTGAGTACCTTGGGGACATTTACCAGCTGATGTGAATAAAGCATCCCATGTAATCTGGAAGTTCTCTTTTCTTCTTAGATTGTCTTTGCATATGTCTTTCTTTAAAAAGTGAAGTCTCTCATCTTTGTTTACTGGTCATAAAAACCCAGGCTCTGTCACTTAATGAATGTTTGACAAAATATTTATCTTGGGCCAGAAAGATTGGTGTCACTTGTGAGCTTGTTAGAAATTCAGAAACTCAGGTTTTACCTCAGGTTTCTTGAAACAAAATCTGCATAAAAAGATCTCCAGTTTATTGTTGTACACATTAAAATTTGAGAGGTACTTTATAACTAAGCCTGACTTTTTAATCTGAGAAATATGCAGAACTTATACTGTATGATTAAATGGAGCACTCAAAAATGTACATGTCTATGTTCCTGTTGTTAATTTTGTACTTTATCATTCAAAAAATATCATCAATACACTACACTGGTATTGTGAATCTTATGCTCTCTTTTCTCAGAGATAGAGAATGCAACAGAGAATATTTCTTTGTTGGGAATTATTTTATAGGACAATTTTGGTCGTATCAGTCAGAATCAGTTCTCTTCACTCATTTTATCTTGAGTCAATTTAAGAATTCTGCCTATGGCCACTTGAAGTGGGTGTGTGTGTGTTTTCAGGGACTGTTGACATTCAGGGATGTAGCCATAGAATTCTGTCTGGAGGAGTGTCAATACCTGGATGCTGCTCAGCAGAATTTGTGTATGGATGTGATGTTACAGAACTACAGAAACTCTGTCTTCTTGGTTGAGGATAACTTCAATATAGAATTTCTAATTTACCCTGAAGGTTTCATTTTCTTCCTTTGTAGGATGTGTTTTGGTAATTTCTGCTTTGCATGAGTAAATTTCAGATCCCTGTTTTTAAGACAATCTTGCGGATTTTTTGGTGTGGAAAATGAATTCTTCAGGTTGTTTCATTTTGACCTGAATTTTCCCCTTTCCTGAGTTTATCTATGTTATTCACTCTAGATAAGTGGTAATTTCAGAAACTTAGTGACATAAAATAATGTTGTCCACACCTTAAAATTCAATTGCCACCACCAATTTTTGATTCAGTAATACTGGGGAGTGAAACAGAGGACACTCATATTTAATATACTTTCTGAATACGCTAAAGGTTCTGTCAGTAAAAAGTATTTTGGGATTAATTTTCTAGAATCTTCTATTATGTCCTCTTTTCTCTACTTAGCACAGTATTAGGTTGGTAAATGGAGAATCCCAGGAAAAGTCATGCTCATGATGCTTTTTAAAATAAAACAGGTATTGTCTTCTCTAAGCCAGACCTGGTCACCTGTCTGGAGCAAAGGAAAAAGCCATGGAGTATGAAGCACCCAGGTAGGTGAAAGCGAATGAAGAAGAGGATGACATAGATGAGGCATCCAAAGGCCGAGAGGAACCCGGACTTTTACATGTGATTTGGGAAGCTGTGCTCCAGTGGAAATCCTTTCTGAGAAGCCTGGGTTTTTTCACTTGTTCTCACATAGGGGCATCCTCTGTCCCATGCTCTCTAGTGACTCTACATTTTCTTCAATAATTTTTCTTCAGATTTGCAGTGAGAGCCAAAGTTCTCTTTATGGCTTATAAAACAGTGCACAATCTGACTACTTTTATTGCTTTTAGGGATATACAAATAGCTGCATATTTTTTAGAAACCCTGTGTTTACCCATTTTTAAGTTCTCTTTCTGCATTGTGTCTGAAATATGTAAAAGTAGTGATATTGAGATTTGGTTCAGAAATCCCAGAAATACAACCCACATATGTTGTATGTTTTCTGCTTTATAGTTTCTTATTTTATGGAGGTTTCAAATGTGTTTCTACAGAAATTCATACTCGGTAATTTAATCAGAATATTAAGTATCTCTTTAAGAATATCTAATGTTATTTGAATTGAAATTTTTATTCTTTTAGTACTAACTGAGGTTGGTAATTTCAATTCTGTCTTAATTTCTCAACTGTAATATAACGTAGATATTTCCTACATTTCTACAATTCACTATGTCAGGGAACTTAGAACATTACTGAGCATATGTTAAGCTCCCACTTCTTTCCTTGTTTTTTAAATTACTATTTTTTAATTTTATCTTGTTCAGGATAAAGTTTACCAGAACTGTAATTTATATGTGTGTATATATATGTAGGTGTGTATTGTGGATTTTTTTATAAATAAAAATTGTATATATATTTATTGTGTACAATGTAATGACTTACTGCATGTGTATATTGTAAAATGATTAGCACAATTATGTTTCTGAGCATTTTTATCACCTTTCCTCACATAGGTACCTTTTTTGTAATGAAAACATCTAAGGTCTGCTGACACCAAATTTTAAGCATACAAAAATTTAGTGTTAACTGTATCATGAAGCTATACATTACATTTGAAAAACTTACTCATAACAGAAAATTTGTCTTTTCAATATCTTTTCATTTTCTCCCATATCTAGTCCCTGACAACTTCCATTGTAGTCTCTGCTTCTGTGAGTTCAGCTTTCTTAGATTCCCCATATAAGTGAGAATGAACAGTATTTCTCTTTCTATGTCTGGCTTATTTCCCTTGGCATAATGTCTTCCAGTTTTACCCATGTTGTTGAAATGGCAAGATTTAGTTATTTTTCAGGCTAAATAATATTCTATTGTTTATTTATACCAGCTTTTCTTTATTCAGCATCCACTAACATTTAGGTTTTTTATATCTTGGCAATTGTGAATAATGCTGCAACAAATATGGTGGTACAGATATGTCTTCAAGTTACTTATTTCATTTCCTTTTGTTATATACACAGTATTATATGCACAATACTACTATTGCTAGATTGTGTAGTAGTTCTGTATTTCAGATAACCTCTATTGGTTTTTGTAATGACTCCATCAATTTATAACTCTCCAAGAATGTACAGAATTTTTTTTCTTCAAAGTGTTGTCAACACTTGTTATGTTTCTTCTTTTTACATTATCCATTCTAACATGTTTGAAATGATACTCATCATAGTTTTGATTTGCAATTGCCTGATATTTGGTGATATTGAGTACTTTATGGCTTATGTGTTGGCCATTTGTATGTCTTCATTGGACAAATAACTGTTTAGTTTTTTGCCTATTTTGAACTGGGTTACTGTTGTTTTTGCTTTCAATCTGCTTGCATTTCTTATATATTTTGTATATCAATCTTTTATCAGATGTATGGTTTGCAAATATTTTTTCCCATTCTACAAATTTTTTTATTTTATTGTTCTCTTTTCTGTGCAGAAGGTTTTTAGTTTGATGCAGTCCAGCTTGTTTATATTTGCTTTTGTTGCTGTACTTTTGGTATTATGTCTAACAAATTATTGTTAAGACCATATCATGAGGGTTTTCCATGTATTTTTTTTCAGGTTTTTTAAGGATTCATATTTAAGTCTGTAATTTAACTTTTAGCATGGTGTAAGAAAAATAAGCTAATTTTATTCTTTTGCCTGGAGGTATCCAGTTTTTTCAGAAGCAAATATTAAAAAGACTATACTTTGTTCATTGTATATTTTTGGTGCACTTATCAAAGATTAGTAAACTTTATATGTCTGGGTTTATTTCTGGGCTCTATTCTGTGCCATTGGTTTATTGTGTCCATATTTTGCATGTATCATCTGTTTTTTTACTACAATCTTAAAATATAGTTTGAAATCATAAAGTATGAAGTTTGGTTGCTTTGTCCCTTTTCCTCTAGATTGCTTTGGTTTTTCAAAGCCTATCGTAGTTTCATGTAAATTTTAGAATTGTAATTTCCATTACTGTGAAAAATGTCACTGGATTTTTAATAGAGAGTTCATTGAAACTGTAGATCACTTTGAATCATATGGTGCTTTATAATATTTATTCTTCCAGTTCATAAACTTGAAATCTTTTTGCATTTATTTGTGACTTCTTCCACTTCTTTCATCAATATATGTTTCAGTGAAAAGATCTTTTGCCTTCTTTGTTAATTTTTCAGAAATTTATTATTTTAATTCTATTGGAAATGAGATTGTTTTCTTCCTTTTTTATCAGATGGTTTGTTGTTAGCATATGGAATCATAACTGATAATTATATGTTAATGTTATATATTGCTAATTTTCTGAGGGCATTTGTTATTTTTTGATGTATTGTTTATGGTTTTCTATTTATAAGATCATGTCACCTACAAACAGCAACCTTTTAATTTTTTTCCTCAATTTGAATGTCATTTTTAGGGTCATTTTCTTGACTAATTCTTCTGCAAAGTACTTTCACTGCTATGTTAAAATAGAAACATTGACAATGGAACCATGTAGCCTTACCCCGGTGTCTATAAATTTGAAGAAGCAAACAGCTCTTTAATTTTTTATAAACTGTTTTCAGGAGGTACAGATCTTCTTTTGTTCCCAGGGTAATGGGAAGCCCTATGAGCTTGTAGTAAGGAAGAGTTTATAACTGTGTCACAAGGCTGCTGGGTATGCAGTGGATTCAACCTTCAAGTGGCTTTTTACCAGGGGCTTTGGTTGTTGTGATTCCCATCTAATGTCTGGGCGGGCTGGATTTCCTTCAGGACTTTTATTTATAGTGCAGAAACTAGGACAGATTTCTGCAATTGGGTGTGCATATGGTGGACCTTATGTCGGGATGTGGTAAGTGTGGCTACCACTGAGTATTTGGAAGTTTTTTTCCACATCACTGTGTGGGTTCCTGTGTTGGCAGGAATTGTTGTGAACTGTGGCAAAGACAGCTGAAACTGAGTCACTGAACTCCTTCAGCGGCCACAGTAGAGGCCAAGGTCTGCAGGCCACAGTAGAGGCCCAGCTGGAGTGCAGTGGCACAATCTTTGCTCACTGCAACCTCCGCCTCTCAGGTTCAAGCAATTCTCCTGCCTCGGCCTCCCGAGTAGCTGGGATTATAGGTGCCTGCCACCATGCCCAGCTAATTTTTTTGTGTTTTTAGTAGAGATGGGGTTTCACCATATTGGCCAGGCTGATCTCTACCTCCTGACCTCAGGTGATCCGCCTGCCTCGGCCTCCCAAAGTTCTGGCATGACAGGAGTGAGCCACCATGCCCAGCCTTCTTGGCTGATTTTCAACAGTTGTCTTATTATGTGAAGGTGAGTAGTCATAGAAACAGTGGTATATTCACTAGGTGTTTAATGATAAATATATATATTTTCTTTGTGTGAGAGAAACACTTTAGTGATTTGAAGGTGATTTATGTTTATATATTTATGTATTTTATGATTTATAGAAAGACCTATATCACTTTTAGTTGTTTTCAAAAAAAAATGTGAAAACACATGACATAAAATTTACCATCTTAAAGTTTTTTAAGTCTATATTTCAGTGCTGAGTGTGGTGGAGGCTCATGCCTATAATGCCCGTACTTTGGGAAACTGACGCAGAAGTATTGCTTAAGCCGAGGAACTTGAGACCAGCCTGGGCAGCATATAGAGAGCCCTTCCCCACAAAAATTTAAAATTAGCCAGGTGTTGGGTTGTCCACCTGTGGTCCTAGCTCCTTGTGAGGCCGTGGCAGGAGAATCACTTGTGCATGGGAGGTTGAGGCTGCAGTGAGCTATGATTATATGACTTCATTCCAGCCTGCAGGACAGAGTGAGAACCTACCTCAAAAAAGGTGTACATTTTAGTTGTTAAGAGTATTTACATTGTTATGTAAAGACCTCTAGAACTTTTACGTCTTCTAAAATTAAGACAATACCCATTAAGTAACAACTGCCCATTTTACCCTCTCTTTAGACCTTGAGTAATACCATTCTCCTTTCTGTTTCTATTTGACTACTTATGATGACTCATATCATGGAATCATATAGTATCTGTCACTTTATTACTATCTTATTTCAGTTGACATAATATCTCAATGTTTATGTAAGAATGTGACAGATTTACTATTTTAAGGCTGAATAATATTCCACTGTATGTATATGTCACATTTTTAATTTGTTTATCAGTCAAGGGATATCTGGGTTACTTCTGCCTTTTGGCTTTTGTAAATATTGGTATAATATATTTATATATTGTATATATATAAATATATGTGTATATATTTATATATAATATATTGGTATAATATATTATACCAATATTTAATTTTTAATATATATAAAATATATATTTATTTATATAATATATTTATTTATTTAATATATATTATATTTATATATAAAATATATAAATATTGGTATAATATATTTAATATATATTATATTAATATATATTAAATATATAAATATTGGTATATTTATTATACCAATATTTGAAATATATATTCAAATATATCTTCCACGTTCTTTGTTTGGATATAGATTTATATTTGGAGTATACATTTATATTTATGTTTGAATATAGATTTATAAGTGGAATTCTTGGATTCCATTTATATATATATTAATATATAAAAATGTATTTTATATTCCAGTCAAATAATATGATTTATATTTGAATCTAGGTTTATAAGTGGAATTATATAATTTAAATTTTAAGAAACATTCATAATATGATGGTTGCATCCTTTTTCCCCACTCAATTCACATGAGTTTTAATTTCTTTACATCCTCAACAGATTCGGCATTTAAAAAATTTATCGTGGCCATTCTAATGGGTATGAGGTGGTTTTGTTTTGGATTGTAATTTTGTTTTGTATTTCTCTACAATTGGTACTTTTTTTGCATTATTTTAAGTGCTTTTTTCTACTTACATATATATTTTTGATTAAACATCAGTTCAATTCTTTGTGCATTTCTAAATCAATTTATTCATTGTTAGTTTTTCAGTTTTAGTTGTTTATAATTCTGAATATTAACTCATCACATGTAATTTGCAAATATTTTCCCCCATTTCTTCGGTGGCATTGTCATTCTACTAAATATTTTCTTTGGTGTGCAGAAAATTTGAAGTTTAGCACAGTTAAATTTTGGGGGTTTTTATGTTTTTCATAAGTATGATGTCATATCTACAAAAAAGTGCCAAAACCAGTGTTCTGTATTTTCCCTATTTTTTTCTTCTAAGAGTTGTATTAGTTATATGTTTTTTAGTTTCATTATTTTATTTAAAATGTGCAAGAAAATAATCCAACTTTATTTTTTTCAGTGTAGATACTCAGTTTTCAGCATCATTTGTTGAAGATATTTTCTTTTCTCTATTGTGTAGTCATGGCAGCTTTGTGGAAGATTATTTGATTATATAAAGAAGGGTTCATTTCTGGGCTATTTTGTTCTATCATCTGTTCATTTGTCTCTGTTAGTACCACATTGCTTTTGTTTATTATAGCTTTTTAATATATTTTGAAATCAGGAAATTTAATGCCTCTTTGTTCTTTCTCATGGGTGTTTGGCTAGTTTTAGCTCATAATCAATTTAAAAAGTTTTAAACAATATTTCTGGTCAACAATGTACCATTGGAATTTCTTCACCACCGTGAGTTGTTTTCACATTTAGATTAAATTATCTGGACCTTGAGCAAGAATATATTAAAGAGTGTGTTTTATTTCCATATATTTTTGAATTTGCCAGTTTATCTCTTGATTTTGATGTCTAGTTTCATTTTATTTTAGTCAGAAAACATAACTGTATAATTTTGGTCATCTTAAATTTATTTATTTATTTTTGTTGCTATTGAGAGACAGATTCTCACTGTGCCACTCAGGCTGGAGTGCAGTGGTACAATCTTGGCTCACTGCAGCCTCAACCTCCGAGGCTCAAATAATCCTCCCACATCAGCATCCCAAGTAGTTGGGACTACATACGTGTGCTTTCACGCCTGGCTAGTTTTTTGATTTTTGGTAGAAATGCGGGTTCTCACTATATTGCCCAGGCTGGTTTTGAAATCCTGGTCTGAAGGGGTCTTTCCTCCCAAAGTGCTGGGGGCTACAGGCCTGCGCCACCACACCTGGCCAGGCTTCTTAAACTTAATAAGACTTGTTATGTGTCCTAACAGAATGCACCAAGTTCGAACAAGAATATTGTGTAATCTCTTCCTTTTAACTGGAGAGTCCTGTACATATTTTTAATGTGTAGTTGGCCTATGATATGATTTGGATGTTTGTACCCTTCAAATCTCATGTTGAAATGGGATTCCCAATGTAGGATGTGGATCCTTGTGTGATGTGTTTGGGTCATGGGAGCAAATCTCTTGTAAATGACTTCACGCCATCCCCTTCGTGATCAATAAGTTCTCACTCTGTTAATTCACATGAGAGCTGCGTGTTTAAAGAACCTGGCACTTTCCTTTCACGCTTGCTCCCTCTCTCCCCATGCAATATGTCTGGTTTCTCTTTGCCTTCACCATGATTGTAAGCTTACTTAGACCCTCACCAGATGCAGATGCTGGCACCACACTTATTGTACATTTTGCATAACTATGAAGAAAATAAATCTTTTTTCTTTATAAATTACACAGTCTTAGGTACTTATTGCAATACAAAATGAATTAATACAATTTATAATGTCATCCAGGTTTTGTTCTCTTATTGATGTTTTATCTAAACTTTCACTCATTATTAAAGTGGGGTCTTAATGTCTGTGATTATTATGTTGCTATGTATTTTTTGCTTCACTTCTGTCAATATTAGCTTTATATATTTTGGAACCCTGATCTTTTAAATAGATGTAATAGTTATAGATTCCTGGTAAATGACCAATGTTACCATTATATAGTAACAATCTTTACCTCATGCTAGTTTTTGATTTACAGCGTATTTTGTCGAATATAATTTATGACCACCTCACTTAATTGTGGATACTGTTTGCATGGAATATGCTTTTTCATTCTGTTTCTTTCAACCTATTTGACTCAAAGTTAAAGTGAGTCTCTTGAAATCCTGGTCTCAAGCAATCTTCCAGTCCTGGCCTCCCAAAGTGCTGGGGCTACAGGCATGAGCCACCACACCTGATTAGTCTTCTTAAACTTAATAAGGCTTGTTATGTGTCCTAACAGAGTACACTATGTTTGAACAAGAATATTGTGTGATTTGTTGCATATTGTGTGATTTTGTTTGTTCTTATTCCATTGGGCCATTTAATTTCTTATTATTAGTTTAATCAATTTATGTTTAAAATGATTCCATAGAGAAATGAAGTTACTATTACCATTTTGATTGTTATTATTTTTTGTGTTTCTTGTAGAGATGTTTTCCATAATTTCCTATTTTACTGTCTTAATTTTTGCTTTTTTGAGTTTGTAGTGTTATGCTTTGTTTCCTTTCTCATTTTGTATTGCATACTTTCTATAAACTTGTAATTATCTAGGTAATTGGAGATTATGTAAAACATTTTAAAGTTATAACAATATTAGTACGTCATAACTTCAGTTGAATACAAAAACTATACCTCTTTACATCCCGTAGTGGGTTTTTTGTTTGTTTGTTTTGTTTTGTTTTGTTTTGTTTTTGAGATGGAGTCTCGCTCTGTCACCCAGGCTGGAGAGCAGTGGTGTGATCTCGGCTCACTGCAACCTCCGCCTCCCAGGTTCAAGCAATGCTCTGCCTCAGCCTCTCAAGTAGCTGAGACGACAGGCACCCACCCCCATGACCGGCTAATTTTTCATATTTTTAGTAGAGATGGGGTTTCACCATCTTAGCCAAGCTGGTCTTGAACTCCTGACTTTGTGATCCACCCATCTCGTCCTCCCAAAGTGCTGGGATTACAGGCATGAGCCATTGTGCCCAGGCTTACATCCTGTAGTTTTTCATTATTACAAATATTATTTTATATTGTGTATCTATTAACAGATTTATGCAGATTTTTTGTTGAAATTCTATAGCAGAATTTTAAGAGATTTTGCTTAATGATTATGGTAGTAAACAATTGTATATGTGTTTATATATTTACATTTAACAGAAAGTTTATAGTTTCATGTAGTTTTTTAAGATTGTTCAGCATCATTATATTTTTCAACATATGGACTCTTTTCGGCAATAAAAAAATAAACAGCATCTCACTATGTTACTCAGGCTCATCTTGAACTCTTAGCCTCAACTAATCTGCCTGCCTTGGCCTCACAAGACTCTGGGATTACAGACATGAGCCACTGGTGCCTGGCCACCATGTAGCATTTCTTGTGGGACCATGCCTGTGGTGATAAATACCTTCACTTTTTGTTTATTTTGTAAGTTCTTTATTGTTTCCTTATTTTTAATTCCAGAATAATTCCAAATAATTTCAAAGCAAACAGTATTGATTGGTATTAGTTTTTCTTTTATCACATAAAAATTTGGAAAGTTCTCATCCTCTTTTATCTTCAAATAACCCCTCTAACTACTTTTTCCCTACATTCGTCTTCTAAGATTTCTTTTCCAAATGTAGTAATCTACTTAATGGTGTTCAGTAAGTTTAACATTCCATGTTTTCATTTTGTTTTGCAATTTTATTTTATTTCATTTTACTTCATTTAATTTTATTTTTTTTTGAGACACAGTCTTGCTCTGTCGCCCAGACTGGAGTGCAGTGGCATGATCTCGGCTCACTGCAAGCTCCACCTCCCAGGTTCACGCCATTCTCCTGCCTCAGCCTCCCTAGCAGCTGGGGCTACAGGCGCCCACCACCATGCCCAGCTAATTTTTTGTATTTTTTAGTAGAGATGGGGTTTCACCGTGTTAGTCAGGATGGTCTCAATCTCCTGACCTCATGATCCGCCCGCCTCAGCCTCCCAAAGTGCTGGGATTACAGGCATGAGCCACCACGCCCAGCCAATTTTATTTCTTTTTTGTTTCATATTTTAGAGTATGCCAAGTGACATCAGTTAATTGTGTTTTTAGTTTTTATTTTTATGACAATTGTGAATGACAATATTCAATTCTGTACACTTTAAGACAGCGTGGAGCCAAAGTTACATATGAATCAGTCATATCTCTATTCCCAATATAATAATTTCTGTGTTTGTGTATACACATATTATTTCTGTATTGTTTATGACTTGTATGTTTGTGAGTGATCAATGGTCGTTTTATCTGAGTAGTCATAAAAATTCTCCTACTTCTAATATCTATTTGGGAATCTATTTTTGTGTGGGAGAAACACTTTTTTGATTTGAAGGTAATTTTAAAAACTGTCAATTTTGTCCCTTTTTTAAGGTATTATTACTGTTTACTTTTAATTATCAAGAACATAAAATTTAGAATCTTAATTTAAAAATATGTAGTTTATATTAACTATATTGACATTATTATACAATATATCTGTAGAATGTTTTTGTCTTACAAAACTAAAACTGAATACACATTAAACAACTACTCAATTCTCCCATTTTCTGGCCCTTTACAAACAATTCTGTTTTCCTGTTTTTGAGTCTAACTGCTTTAAATATCTCATGTAAGTGGATTCATACCATATTTTTTGTGGCTGACATATGTTATTCTGCATAATTTCATGAAAGTTTGTTATGGTTGTTTGTTAGAATATTTCCTTTTTTTTAGGCGGAGTTTCGCCCTTGTTACCCAGGCTGGAGTTCAGTGCAGCGATCTCAGCACACCACAATCTCCACCTCCCAAGTTCAAACCATTCTCCTTCCTCAGCCTCCTGAGAGGAGGCTGGGATTACAGGCATGCACCACCATGCCCGGCTAATTTTTGTAAGTAGAGATGGGGTTTTTCCATGTTGGTGAGGCTGGTCTCGAACTCCCAAACTCAGGTGATTCACCCACCTCGGCCTCCCAATGTGCTGAGATTACAGGTGTGAGCCAGTGTGCCTGGCCTGTATTTCCTGTTTTTAAACACTGAGTAATATTCCATTATTTTTATGTTTCAAATTATATTTATCCAGTAATCTGGGGAGAAAATTTTGCATTGCTTTCACCTATTGCCTTTCAATAACAATGCTGTAAAAATTATGGATGTGCAGCCGGGCGTGGTGGCTCATGCCTGTAATCACAGCACTTTGGGAGGCCAAGGTGGGTGGATCATAAAGTTAGGAGATCGAGACCATCCTGGCTAACACGGTGAAACCCCATCTCCACTAAAAATACCAAAAAATTAGCCGAGTGTGGTGGCGGGCACCTACAGTCCCATATACTTGGGAGGCTGAGGAAGGAGAATGGCATGAACCTGGGAGGCAGAGGTTGCAGTGAGCCTAGATTGTGCCACTGCACTCCAGCCTGGGTGACAAGAGCGAGTCTCCATCTAAAAAAAAAAAAAATATGGACGTGCAAATAACTCTTCCTGTGATTATATGTGTGAGAGTTTATATTTATACTACATTCTCTTTATTTGGTCTAGTTCACTTTTTATAACCAAACCAAATTTTTTTAAGTCTATATAATGTGTTTTGAAATCAGGGAGTTGTGATGCCTCCAACGTTGTTCCTCTCTTTGAAGATTATTGGGTGTTTCATTGTTTCTTAAAATTTCATATAATTTGGGGATTGCTTTTTCTATTTCTGCTAAAATAAAATTAGATATTTGAAAGGGATTGCATTAAATCTGTAGATTACACTCAGCAGTACGGGCATCTTCACAATATTAATTATTTTACCCTTTGATCATGCTGAATATTAATTATTTTACCCTTTGAGCATGCTGAAGAGTGTGTTGTTTAATTTTCATGTATTTGTAAATTTTTTAGTTTTGTTTTTGTTGATTTCTACTCTTATTCCATTTTGGTCATAAAAAGTAATCTATCAATTTCAATTTTTAAAGATTTAGTAAGTTTTTATTTTTATCATGGCCTAACAGGCAGTTTATCAAAGAGAATATATGTGAGCTATTGAGAATGGTTATACCCTGCTATTGTTAAGGGGTATTCTTTGTTAGGGCATAATATTGTTTTATACTTCTTTCTTTGTATATTTTTTCTTTTTGAGATGGAGTCTTGCTCAGTCACCGAGGCTGGATTGCAGTGCCGCAATCTCGACTCACTGCAAACCCCGCCTCCCTGGTTCAAGCAATTCTCCTGCCTTAGCCTCCTGAGTAGCTGGGATTATAGGCGCCTCCTACCGCACCTGGCTATTTTTAGTAGAGATGGGGTTTTGCCATGTTGGCCAGGCTGGTCTCAAACTCCTTACCTCAAGTAATCTGTCTTTCTTGGCCTCCCAAAGTGCTGGAATTACAAGCATGAGCCACTTGTTCCCATCTGTACTGCTTTCAGTTTCTCTTTTCCTTTTTTTGTTTTCTTGAGACAGAGTCTTGCTCTCACCCAGGCTGGAGTACAGTGGTGCGATCTTGTCTCACTGCAAGCTCCACCTCCTGGGTTCATGCCATTCTCCTGCCTCAGCCTCCTGAGTGCCTGGGATTACAGGCACCTGCCACCACGCCCTACTAATTTTTTGTATTTTTAGTAGAGACTGGGTTTCATCGTGTTAGCCAGGATGGTCTCCATCTCCTGACCCCGTGATCGCCTGCCTTGGCCTCCCAAATTGCTGGGATTACAGGCGTGAGCCACCGTACCTGGCCCTCTTTTCCATTATTAATATTGTTTTGTTTTATTGTTCATTGCAGAAATTGAAGTATTAAAATATCTTATTATAATTATATTGCTCTTTATTTGTTGCTTTAATTCTGTCAATTTTTGTTTCGTATTTTTGGAAACCTAATGTGAGAAATACACATACACACACAAACATATAAATATATGTATGCACATATTTGTCATACATTTTCAATAAATTATATCTTTATTATTGTTTAATGACCTTTTTTCTCTTGTGAATTTTGACATAGAGTATATTTTATAAAATAAGAGAGTTGTTGACTTACGATATATTTTGTATAATACAATTTTGATCTCTTCTGCTCTCATTTGGTTAATGTTTGCCTAAAATGTCTTCTTCCACTTGCCACTTTCAGGCTGATGTCACTACTAGATCTCAAGTGACTCTTGAAGAAAGGCAAGTTGGATCTTGGTATATAAAATTTTATATAATCCCACTATTCAATGTATGTGTATTGATTGGCAAGTCTATTTTTAAAATATTTATTTTCTGAAGACAAAGATTATTGTTATTTTATTGTTTAATGATTCTTGTAGGTCTGTTTCTCATTCTATCTTCCTTTGTGTCTTTTTGATTTTTGTATGGATAGGCTGTCACTTCTTTCTTATTTCCTTTTTTGTACCTATACAGACATTTTCTTTGTGGGTGCCTTCAGGATTATATAAAAACCTCTTAAAATTTCAACAATATATTTTGAAGTGGTGAAATTTAAATTTGGGTCCATGCACAAATTATTTCTTATTATATCTGTCTTCAGCTTAGTTATTGATGTCACTAAACATATCTATTTATGTTATATATTTATTAACAGATGTTCATTATTATTTTTAGCTTTTATCTTTAAATTTTAGAGAATAATTAAATAAAACATTTTTTGGTATTATAATAATGCTACAGGATATTTTTTCTATAATATTTGCATATCTTTATATCTTTCCTAGAAAGCTACCTATTTTTATATGATAGTTTTGTTTTTTAGCATCATATAGTTTTAGTAGGAGGACTCTTCTCAGCATTTTTTGTAGGGCACATGTAGTGTTGATATAATTTTTCCACATTTCATTATCTTTAGAGGTCTTTCCTTTTTCTTCATTTTTGTAGCACAGTTTTGCTGGTTATATTATTCTTACATAGAAGCTATTTTTCGCTTGGCATCTCGACTATAGCACACAATTTCCTTCTGGCCTGCAAGGTTTTTGTTGAAAGAGTCACTGGTTATATCATGGAACCATAATTATGTATTTTCCAGCATTTGAGATTCTCTTCTTGTCTGTGACTTTGGGAACTTTGCTTTGCATGTCTTGTTATGGATCTGTGTGTTTCCTAGTTTTAGTATGTTGAGCTTCTTCATTTTTACAACCTTATTTTCTTACTTTTGAGAATTTCTCAGGTATTCTTAATTTTTCGAGACAGTGTCTTGCTCTGTCACCCAGGTTTGAGTACAGTGGCATATTGCAGCTTACTGCAGCCTTGGGTTCCCTAGGCTTATGTGATCCTCCTACCTCAGCCTCCTGTTTACTGGGACCACAGGTGTGTGCCAATACACCTGACTAATTTTAATTTTTATAGAGGAGAAGTATTGCCATGTTTCCCAGTTTAAACCTGAACTCCCTAGGTTCAAGTGATCTGCCTGCCTCAAACTCCAAAGTGCTGGGACTACAGACATGAGCCACTACACCTGGCCTCAGTTATTATTTCTATTTCTATTTTCTACTTCCATAATTTCTATTATATTTTTCATCTTTTCCTTGATATTCTATTTTTTTCTGATTTTATTTAGTTACCTGTGTTCCCATTTAGGTTAAATTTTTAAAATTAATGTGTACATCTTTATTTTCATGGTTGTTTTCTGACAGTTTTAAGTTTTTTTTTTTACTTAGGCCATGTCACTGTAATATTTTGTATGTATTGTACTCTTTGGTTGAGATTTGGACATTAACAAACAGCTACCTCTCACAATCTTTATAATGTGGTGTTGTCCTAACATAATCTGAAACCAGTTGTCTCAACTAGAGATTCTGGGAGCCTATCAAATATGTTATGATGTGTCTTGTGTGGAATTTTGTGTTGATTATTCAGTTAAAGAGGTTTGTCTGTGTTTCTTAACAGTCTGTAATTACTTCCTACACATATTGCATGCCTGTGGTACTGTAGTTTGTTGCTGTAACATTTACCTTTGATCTCAGCAGACTCAAGCTGTTATTTCAAAGTATACCATCATTTCTTTCAGCACATTTTGTCACTGGAGACAGAAACAAGTCTCTGTAAAAGTGCCCAGAAGCCAGAAGTAAAACTACACGAGCCAGTTTTTTCTTTTTCTATATTGAGGAAGATGCCAGGCATTGCAGTTTACTTCTAAAAGTGCCATGCTGCATTATGGAGGAGTAAAGGTGTTGGGCAAATGTAACAAACTTTTCTATCCATTCAGTATGGCTTGTGGCATTTTGCTCACCTGGTACACTGAACACACTTAACTCATTTCTAGATTTTCCATAGACATTTTGGTCAGTACAGTTTTGTTATAAGTCTATAAAATAATTAAGACCTGTGGTATTTTTGTTATGCCATGTTGCTAATGTACTTTGTATAATTTTATGTATTAGATTTGTAAACAATAGATTTGTATATTTACATGGGCCTAGTGAGATAATTTGTTATTTTTATTTCTTTCAGCTGTGTTTTCATTTCACCGAAGACCTTTGGCTAGATCAGAACACAAAAAATTCATTTCAAAAAGTGATGCTGAGAAGATATGGGAAATGCAGACATGAGAATTTACAAATAAGAAAAGGCTGTAAAAGTTTGAATGCATCTAAGGTGCAGGAAGGAGGTTACAATGGACTTAACCAATGTTTGTCGATTACTCAGAGCAAAATACTTCAATGTAATACATGTGTGAAAGTCTTAAGGAAATTTTCAAATTCAAATAGACTTAGGAGAAGACATACTGGAGAGAAACCTTTCAAATGTAAAGAATGTGGCCAATTCTTTCACAGGTTCTCACACCTAAGACAACATCAGATAATTCATACTGAAGAGAAACCCTACTAATGTGAAGAATATGGCAAAGATTTTAAGCAGTCTTCAGGTCTTACTATACCTGAGAGAATTCATACTAAAGAGAGACCCTACAAGTGTGAAGAATGTGACAAATCCTTTAAACAATCTTCAAGACTGAATAAACATAAGAAAATTTATACTGGAGATACAACCTACAAGTGTGAAGAAAGTGGCAAAGCTTTGAAGTAGTCTTCAAACCTGACTATACATAAGATTATTCATATGGGAGAGAAACCCTACAAATGTGATGAATGTGGCAAAGCCTTTAGAAAATCCTCAAAACTGAAAGAACATAAAAGAATTCATACTTGAGAGAAACCCTATAAATGTGAAGAATGTGGCAAAGCTTTTTACTATTCCTCAGGCCTTACTCAACATAACATAGTTCATACTGGAGACAAACCCTACAAATGTAAAGATTGTGGCAAAATTTTTAAGTGGTCTTCGAACCTTACTATACATCAGAGAATTCATAGTGGAGAGAAACCCTACAAATGTGAAGAATGTGGCAAAGCCTTTAAGCAATCTTCAAAACTGAATGAACATATGAGAGCTCATACTGGAGAGAAATTCTACAAATGTGAAGAATGTGGCAAAGCTTTTAAGCACCCTTCAGGCCTTACTCTACATAAGAGAATTCATACTGGAGAGAACCCTTACAAATTCGAAGAATGTGATAAAGCCTTTTATTGGGTTTTAAGCTTTACTAAACATATGATAATTCATAGGGGAGAGAAACCCTACAAATATCAAGAATGTGGCAAAGCTTTTAAGTGGTCTTCAAACCTTACTATACACAAGAGAATTCATACGGGAGAGAAACCCTGCAAATGTGAAGAATGTGGCAAAGCTTGTAAGCAGTCTTTGGGGCTTACTATTCAAAAGAGAATTCATACTGAAGAGAAACCCTACAAATGTGAAGAATGTGGTAAAGCCTTTTACTGGTCCTTAAGCTTTACTAAACATGATAGTTCATACTGGAGAGAAGCACTACAGTTGTCAAGAATGCATCAAAGCTTTTAAGGGTCTTCAAATCTTACTATATATAAGAAAATTCATGCTGGAGAGAAACCATACAATTGTGAAAAATGTGGCAAAGCGTTTTACTGTTCCTCAAACCTTATTCAAAATAACATAGTTCATGCTGAAGAGAAACACTACAAATGTCAAGAATGTGGCAAAGCTTTTAAGAAGTCTTTAGACCTTAATGTACATAAGATAATTCATAGTGGAGAGAAACCCTACAGATATGAAGAATGTGGCAAAGTCTTTAAACTATCCTCAAAACTGAATGAACATTAGATAACTCATAGTGGAGAGGAATCCTACAAATGTGAAGAATGTGGCAAAGGCTTTTACTGTTCCTCAAGCCTTACTAAGCATATGATAGTTCATACTGAAGAGAAACTGTACAAATGTGAAGAATGTGGCAAAGCTTTTAAGTGGTCCTCTGAGCTTACTATACATCAGAGAATTCGTACTGAAGAGAAACCCTATAAATGTGAAGAATGTGTCAGAGTCTTTAAACACTCCTCAAAACTGAATGAACATAAGAGAAATCATACTGGAGAGAAACCCTACAAATGTGAAGCATGTGGCAAAGCTTTTTAAGCAGTCTTCAGGCCTCACTATACATAAGAGAATTCATACTGGAGAGGAATCCAGAAATGTGAAGAATGTTGCAAAGCCTTTTACCAGTCCTTAAGCTTTACTAAACATAAGAGAGTTCATACTGGAGAGATACCCTACAAATGTCAAGAATGTGGCAAAACTTTTTCTTGTTGCTCAAGTTTACTCGATATAAGAGAGTTCATACTGAAGAGAAATCCCACAAATGTAAAGAATGTGGGAAAGCCTTTAACCAGTCCTTTAGCCTTACTAAACTTATGAGAATTCATACTGGAAAAAAATCATACAAATCGGAAGACTGTGGCAAAATCTTTTAAGTATTGCTCAAATATATCCAGCCATAATTCATACTAAAGATTATGCCTATGAACCTAAAAAAGTTTAGCAAAGCTTATGAATACACCTCAAACTTTCCTAAGCATTGGAGAAATATCAGTCAGAAACCTTAGAAAACTGAACAATGTGGCAAGGCCTTTAAATGGTTGTCACATCTTACTGTAGGTAAAATAATTGATAGTGGAGAAAATCTCTACAAACAAAGAATGTGTCAAAACTTCTAACATGCTCATACCTTATGGCACATAAAGGCGTTTATACTTGAAAAATTGTACAGAGTGTGGAAAAGCCACTTCTATTTGCTCACATCATAGTCAACATCAGGAAGTTCATACTTAATAAAATTATTATAAATGTAATTACTTTTGAAAGACCTTGGAAAATTTAAACCCTTAAAAAAGAGTACTCTGGAGACAAACATTACAAATATAAAGAGGGTTGTAATACCTTTACTTGCCCTATATAATGTACAGATTTTATGCTAGAAGAAAACTCTAAAGGAATTACTCAAACTTGTTCAGCGTCAGAGAATTTATGTTGAAGGAAACCATACAAATGTAATAAATGTGGAAAAACATTTGTTCAGAAACTACAGCTTAAAAAACACCATGCAGTTTATAATAAAAGATATTTTTGCAGATGGAATACATGTGTAAAAATATTTAGTCAAAATTAAGTCTTTGTAAACTTTAGAAAATTCACAATAGGAAGAATTAAGGCACTGGCACTTAAGACGTTACACTAAATCAGAATGTTCTGTATAGAAAGTAATCCAAAGCTAAAACTGTTGGATAATTTATTTGTATATAAGTTTAAGAGGAGTGGAAGATTATTTTTTGGAGAGTTATAATTACATTCAAGATATACGTTTTTCCTTGAAAAAAATGTAGATTTTTTGAAAAGCAAATAGTGAGGTAATTCAACTGTAAAACTGCTTCATTCTGCTCCTTTTTTCCTGTTGTTTGTGTAAAAGCATGTCATCAATTTCTGTTGCATCAGAAATCTGAGAGATTCCTTTCTTATTAGGTAGGCATCATTCATTAACTTTTCCGTGGAAGAGTAAGGATATTAAAATGTAAGATGTATATTGAAAATCTAATTGGAGAGGCTCTTTATGGCTGACTTTTAACATTTTTCATGTGATACATGAGTTATGTGTTTAGAGTAATATTCTGCATTATAGTGAAAGGAAAACTTTGAGTTTTAGTAGTAAATTGTTTTACCAATTGTACTTTTATGTAATAAAATGTAGGGAATTTTAAAATTCTTTTATAAGACTGTGATAACTTAGCTTTTAAATTAAAGGGAATAGTTTTAAACTTTTTAAGACCTGCATTTAGTTAAGTGTTATGTCACCAACTTTAACGTGTCCCACCTTATTAAAGATGTAGATAAAAATGGTAACATAGTAGAATGAGCTCTCTAGCAATCTCTTTTGCCTGTGGCATTAAACTGAAAAGTTTAAGAGTATTGTTTCAATGGGTAAAAATGTACATTTGTTTAACGTTTTAAATTTTTGTAGGAACATAGTATTGTTTACCTATTTATGGCATATATAGAATATTTTCATACAGGCATACAACTTGTAATCACATCAGAGTAAATGAGGTATTCATTACATAATGCATTTATTTTTTGTGTTACAGACAATCCAATTAAACATTTTTAGTTATTTAAAAATGTACAAGTAAATTATTACTTGCTACAGAGGTTTTTTATGGTCATAATAATAATTACATAGTAGTATAATAAGAAATCCCACATTTCTAAGTCCTGAATGAATATTTTTAAAAATTGTTCATATATATGTTGAACAAGTGGCCTCTCTGCCCGTAAACTCATACAGACTGTTAGTTTTTTACTTACATGGTGTTAAATATACAAATATTTTACTCTTAATATAAACATTAGGTGTAAGAAATTTGTGGGGCAAGTAATTGTGTGAGTGTGAGTGTACCTATTTTCAGAAGACAAGAAATATTGGAACAAAATATCACTTTAATAAAGTGGACAAATCATTTACTAGAAGACCAGAAACCTCCGTGATTTTGAATAATATCTGTATTCTCTGTATTTTATTTAATTAATTACTGTGAAGTCTTATGGATTGCGTTTCCGAATCTTTCCATGCAAATTCTTTCTTTCATGTGCCTGGTACTCATGGTAGACTGATATTTTTTTTCATATTTTTTGTGTTTATAATTTATTAAGTATTCATTATGTGAGTTGCTCAGGTATTCTAAGAATTTTTGTAAAATTTACTAATGCATGCAAAATAATTTTTCAATGTTATTTCACAATGAGTGTATTAACTTATATTTCTTTTGTTGCTTTCTTTTTTCTTTTCTTTTTTTTTTTTTGAGATGGTGTCTCACTCTGTCACCCAGGCTAGAGTGCAGTGGTGGGATCTCAGCTCACTACAACCCCCACCTGCTGGGCTCAAGCAATTCTCTTGCCTCACCCTCCTAAGTAGCTGGGACTACAGGCATGTGCCACCATGCCCAGCTAAAGTTTTTGTATTTTCAGTACAGACTGTGTTTCACTATAATGGCCAGAGTGGCCTTGAACTCCTGACCTGGTGGTCCACCCGCCTTGGCCTCCCAAGGTGCTGGGATTACAGGCATGAGCCACTGCATCCTACCAACTTATATTTCATTTAGTTAGAACACCCCATTTTGTTATTTTAATTGGAGAAACCTGTGTAAGCTAAGTTTCCTTTATTATTGTTCCTTTTACTCTTTATAATTGACATACGTGAATTTATTCATTCAGCCAATTTGTTTAGGTAAATGCTGGGGAGGCTTCATAAGTCATAAAGATATTTTGATATGTAAATGTAGCAAACACAATGCTTGCTGTGTAATAGATGCACCATTATTGGCCACAAATATTTCTGCTGGAGTTAGTTTGTAGCTCCAAGTAAAGATAAGGAAATACACATGGTGAAGAAATAAAATCGATTCTGTATATGGAGAGGACATTGTTCTTATGCTGCAAAATTGACTCTTTCTGAATTTAAAGAGACATTCTGCTTATTTTCTGATTATCTTTAGTTTTGTTTGTGTGTCTACTTATGTTTATCCCAACTGTGTATGCATCACAGCCCTTCTTTTTATTCTTTGTGTTATGGTTACATCTTTATTGCTGTTTGTTTTGTGCCATGTCACTTCACACAGTACTTTGTAGGTTCTGATGAAAGTTTGTCAATGTAAATTTCAGATCTGTTAATTGAGATAAAAGGCATGCAGTGTTCACAGGTGAGAGGAATAAATCAGTCAGAATTTATTATCTTTGTAAAACCAAACTTTTATTAAATTTTAACACAGTCTGTGTGTGGTGGCTCACACCTATAATCCCAGCACTTTGGGAGGCTGAGGTGGGAGAATCACTAGGTCAAGAAGTTGAGACCTTCCTGGCCCATATGGTGAAACCCCATCTCTACTAAAAATACAAAAATTAGCTGGGCATGGTGGCATGCACCTGTTGACCTAGCCATTCAGGAGGCTGAGGCAGGAGAATCACTTGAACCCAGGAGGCAGAGGTTGCAGTGAGCTGAGATTGCACAACTGCATTCCAGCCTGATGACAGAGCGAGACTTCATCTCAAAAAAAAAAAAAATTAACACAATGTGTGGAAAATATAAAATTAGTTAGAAGATATGTCTTAGAAATTAAACTTTTAGAAGAGTTAATGGTAAGTGGAGAATGTTAAACTTAATTTTTTATTACATACTTACAGCTCAACTTAAGTTTTCATTCAGAATCTTTTTTTTGGTGTGAATGTTAAATATTCAAAAATAATAGAATGACACCTGTGGATTTCACATGTGAAATAATCTTTTTCATATTAATGTTAAAATCTTGAGGAATTTCTCACACTTGTATAATGTACTTTTTTATTGGGTGCAGTTTACACTTTAGAGGTTTCAGTCTTTGTCACCTAACTAGTCAACTCCTTGGTCATTTTATCTGGAAAAATTTTAAAGATCATGGCATCTTTTGAATTAAAAAATTTCTTCAGTGATCTGGGATGCAAACTTATTTACTCTCTTCAGAGTGGTTTAATCATGTGAAACACAGCAAGAGCTGCCCTTTTTGTGTCTTCCCTATCATTACCACCAGCACCAGAAACTCCAGTTGTCCCAAGCTCAAAATAAAAGCCCTAAGGTACATTGGCTTCTCCCATGCTCTGTGCTGGGTGCCGAACATGGTGGTAAATATTAGAGTTCATATGGTCATGACTGACTAGGTGACAAAACAGCACAGAAATTATGTATCTTTCATACTATTCAGACAGGTTTATGACAAAAACACCGGTCAGAATTTGAAACATTGTCATTTTTAATAGTTTTTATAAATATATTTTTAAATTCACAGATGAAATATGTATTTATTTTGTGAAATAGTATTTTGAAGTAAATATACATTGTCAATGCCTAATTTTAGCTAATTGTCAAATGCTTTGCCTCACATAGTTATTATTTTTGTGGTGAGAAGACAATATTTACTGTCAGTATTTTTTCAGAAATACAATACATGCATTATAATCTCTTGAACTTATTTTTCTTATTCAACTGTAATTATGTAATCAAGATATGTTTTGTAGAATCCACATGTGAGTGAAATCATGAGATATTAACTTTTCTGTGCCTTATTTCAACAACTATAGTGTCCTTTAGGTTTATCTTTGTGATTAAAAATAAGATTTTCTGTTGAAAATACAGTATTCGATTGTATATATATACCATAGTGTCTGTATTTCATCATTGGATGATGGACACATATGTTGATTCTATGTTTTGGCTTCTGCAAAGTGTGCTGCAACAAACACAATTGCAGATGTCTGTTCATCAATCTAGTTTCATTTGTTTTGTGATAGATATCCAGTAGTTCAATTACATGTTAGAGTTTGTTTTGCAAAATTTCTATTTTTCATAATGGCTGTTTTTATTTACATTGACACAAACAGTGTGAAAGCTCCCCTCTTTCTCTTTTTTCAAGTTTACCAACAATTTTTTAAACATTTTAACAGGAGTGAGTTTATATGTTAGAGTTGTTTTGGTTTGCCTTTCCTTGATGATAATTGACTTTGAGCCATATTCATCTGTCTGCCAAGCTATATGTATGTCTTTCTTTGAAAATTATTTATATAGATCTTTTGCTTATTTTTCATGGTTATTTGTTTTTTGTTGTATAGTCCTTTGAGTTTCTTGTATATTTTTGATATTAACTGCTTTTCACATGTGTAATTTGCAAATATTTTCTTCCATTTTTCAGTTATGTCATTCTGCTGATTGTATCTGTTGGTGTGCAGCAGCTTCTTAATTTTAAGGAATCTGATTTGTCTATGTTCCCCTAAAATTTTGAGGTTAAACCCAAGAGTCACTGCCCAGACCAATGTTATGGGGCATTCATTCTATATGTCCTCATCTTAGTTTTAGATTTTCAGGTCTCATATTTAAGTATCTAATTTGAGTTAATTTTTATATATGGTGTGAGATGAAGGTCTGATTTTATTATTTTGCATGTGGATATATATTTTCTCAATATCATTTATAAAACAGACTGCTCTTTTTTTAAAAAAATTGTCATCTTTATTTACAATCAGTTGTCTGTAAATACATGAATTTATTTCTGGTCTTTCTCTTTTGCTCTGTTGGCCTTTGTGTCCATTTTTATGTAAGTAACACTCTGTTTTGATTACTGTAGCTTGTTGGACATTTAAAAGTCAGGTAGAGTGATTCCTTCAGCCTTTTATTTTTCATTTTTTGCTTGATTTTCTTAGCTATTAAGGCCTTTTGTGGGACAATATACATTTTAGATTTTTAAAAAATTTTCTGTGGAGAATTTAACTGGTATTTTAATAGAAGTTTTATTATATCTGTATATCAGTTTGTGTAATGCAGATATTTAACAATATTAATCATGCCCATTTATGAATTAGAATATCTTTTTGTTGGAATATTATTTTCTAACTTTTTTTTAAGATTATAATGTACAGATCTTTCACCCTTTTGGTTACATTCACTTCTAAGCATAGTTACTGCTGCAATTATTGTAGATGGGATTGTTTTTTGGTTTTATTTTCAGATACTTTATTGTTAGTATATAGAAATGTTACTGAATTTTTTATGTTGATTTTGTATCCTGCAAGTTTAATAAATTTGTTTATTCTAATAATTTTTTGTGAAGTCCTAGGTTTTTCTATGCTTAAGATTATATCATCTGCAAGGAAAATATAATTTATCTTCTTCATTTTATTTAAGATTGCTTTGATTTTATTGAATAATTTTTCTGTCTTGGTCATTTTGTATTATGTTCAGTAAGATCAAAGAAATTGGGCTGGGCATGGTGGCTCACACCTGTAATCCCAGCACTGCGGGAGGCAGAGGTGGATGCATCACGAGGTCAGGAGACCAAGACCATCCTGGCTAACAAGGTGAAACCCCGTCTCTACTAAAAATACAAAAATTAGCCAGGCGTGGTGGCAGGCACGTGAAGTCCCAGCTACTCAGGAGGCTGAGGGAGGAGAATGGTGTAAACCTGGGAGGCAGAGCTTGCAGTGAGCCAAAATTGCACGACTGCACTCCAGCCTAGGCAACAGAGTGAGACTCCATCTCAAAAAAAAAAAAAATGGATTGGAGAAATTGGACATCCTTGTCTTGTTCTAGCTCTTAGAGAAAAGGCTTAGTTTTTCCTTATTTAGTATGTTAGGTGTGCATTGTTGTTACATATGACATTAACTTGAATTGCATTTATTTTATAACTGGTTAAAGAGATTTATTATGAGGAGATATTGTTACACTTTCATTATGCATCTATTTAAATGTTACATTTGTGACAACCAATCCCACAAAAATACAAAGGATACTTGCAGACTACTATAAATATCTCTGTGCACACCAACTAGAAAGTCTAGAGGAAATGAATAAACTCTTAGAAATATACAACCTCCCAAGATTGAATCAGGAATAAACAGAAGTCTTGAAGAAACCAAAAATGTGCAAGCAAATTGAATTGGTGATAAAAAAAAACTACCAATTATAAAAAGTGCTAAACCAGATGCATTCACAGCATGATTTTATCATGTATACAAAAATGAGTTGGCTGTAATTCTACAGAAAGTATTCCAAAAAATCAAAGTGGGACTCCTTCCTAATTAATTCTATCATATAATATCAGTCTCATCTTGATATATTAATCAGGTAAAGACACAACCAAAAAAAATTACAGGCCAATATCCCTGATGAATACAGACACAAACATTATTCATGAAATGCTTGCAAACTGAGTCAGGAAATCAAAGTTATTTCACTGCAACTATGTGGACATTATTCTGTGAATGCAGGAATGTTTTAACATGTGCAATCTATAAATGTGATTCAGCATATAAAAATAATTAACAAACAAAACCACATTACCTCAATAGATGTGGAAATAGCAATTAATAAAATGTAATATCTATTTTTGAAAAAAATTCTCAAAAAACTAGGCATTGAAGGAACATACCTCAAAATAATTACAGCCATATAGGACAAATCCTCAGCCAACACCATACTGAACAGGTGAAAGATTAATGCATCCTTCCTAAAAATTGAAATAAGAAAAGAATGTGCACTTTCACCACTCCTATTCAACACAGTTCTGAAAGTTTTAGCCAGAACAATCAGGCAAGATAAAGAAAGAAAAAGCACTCAAATAACAAAAGAGGAAATCAGCTTATCTGTCTTTACTGATGATATAATTTTCTACCTACTTCAAAGACTCCTCCAAAAGACTCCTAAGCCTAATAAAAGACTTCATCAAAATCTCAGCAACAACAACAAAAAGCAAAACAACATTCAAAAATGAGGAACATTTCTATACACCAGTAACACTTAAGCAGAGCAAAATTAAGAACACAATCCAGTTTACAATAGCCAGAAACAAAAAATAAAATAGTAATCCATTAAACAAAGGAGGTTAAATATCTCTACTAGAAGAACTACAAACCACTACTGAAAGAAATCAGACACAGTGCAAATAAATGGAATAGTATTTCATGATAATGGATTAGAATTATTAAAAACTTCATACTGCCCAAAGCAATCGACAGTTTATTTCTATTTCTATCAATCTACCAATGCCATTTTTTATAAAATTAGACAAAAAAACTATTCTAAAATTTATATGAAAACAAAAAAGCTCAAATGTCCAAGGCTATACTAAACAAAAAGAATAAACCTGGAGACATTATGTTACCAAACTTCAAACTTTACCACAAGCTACGGTAACCAATATAATATGGATGCAGATACACACACACACACACACACACCCCTACTGAATAGAAGAGAGAGCCCTGAAATGAAGCTGAACTCTTGCAATTAATTGATTTTTGACAGCATCAACAGAAACAAATGGAAAGAACTCCCTACCCAATAAAAGGTGCTGGAAAAACTGTTTAGTCATATGCAGAAGAGGAAAACTCGACCACTACTTCTCATGATATAGAAAATTAACTCAAGATACATTAAAGACTTATCTGTAAGAGTTCAACCTATAAAAATCCTAGAAGAACACCTAGAAAATTCTCTCCTTGGCATTGGTCTCTGTAAAGAATTAATGACTACATCCTCAAAAGTGAAAGCAACAAAAATAAAAATTAAAAATTGTGACCTGCACAGCAAGAGAAACTATTAACAAAATAAACAGACAACCTATAGTATGGGCTAAAATATGTGTAAACTGCATACAATAAATAACTAATATATATGTTTTATAAGGAATTTAAGAAAAAATGTTGACAAAAAATGTGAACCTATACTTTTAAAAGAAAGACAAAAAAAGCAGCCAACAAACATGAAAAATTGATGAACATTTCTAATGATTAGAGAGATGTAAATCCAAACCACAATGTGATACCATCTCACCCCAGTCTAAATGGCTATTATGAAAAAGTAAAAAAAAAAAAAAAACAGATGTTAAAATTGTGTAGAAAAGAGAACCCTGATATAATCTTAGTGGGAATGCAAATTAGTTCAGCTTTTGTAGAATGTATTTTGGGGGTTTCTCAAAGGACTAAAACCAAAGTTACCATTTGACCCAGCAGCCTCACTACTGGGCGTATACCCAAATACAAATAAATTACACCTGCACTCGTATGCTTATTGCAGCACTAGTCACAATAGCAAAGACATGGAATGAAACCATGTGCTCATAAATTTTAAGATGGATTTTAAAAATTATGTAATTACACACCATCCAATACTATGCAGCCACTGAAGAAGAATCATGTAATACTCTTTGCAGCAACATGGATACAGCTCAAGGTCATGATCCTAAGCAAATTAACACAGAACAGAAAACCAAATACTACATTTTCTCACTTATAAGTGGAAGCTAAACATTGGGTACACATGGAAGCAAAGATGAGAACAATAAACACTAAGGATTCCAAAATGGAGGGAGAAGGGGTACAGGGGTTTAAAAGTACTTGTGATGTATAATGTACCCTATTTGGGCAATGGGATTATTAATTGCCCAAACCTCAATGTCATGCAGTATACCTATGTTACAAATCTGCACGTGTATCCTTGAATCCAAAATAAAAATAATAAAATACTTTGTGATATAATGCCATGTTAGATTTCTCCAGTTTTGTTTAATGGTTGGAATTAAGGGTGGAAGACATAGAATTTTGTCCCCTTTAGACATAGGGGTGAATGTTTCTATAACAGGTCTCCTGACATCCTATAAGCTACTTTCTCTGAAAGCTCTTGGCCTTAGTCTTGGGTGTGCAGCTAAAATAAATGACTGTCCATCAAGCTTGTCCAACTCACGGCCTACAGGCTTCACGTGGCCCAGTATGGCTTTCAGCACAGCCCTAAACAAGTTCATAAACTTTCTAAAAGCATTATGAGTTTTTTGTGATTTTTTTATCATCATTGGTGTATTTTATGTATGGCTCAAGACAATTCTTCTAGTGTGTCCCAGGGAAGCCAGAAGATTGGACACCCCTGCTCTACATTTTTATTTTTCATCTATTTACAGTATGCTAGATGATAGTGTTAACTTATTACTCTTTGGGAAACAAAGATGGTCAGTGGTTTAGTTTTTTTAGAACCATTTTTGAAAATATGAAGCTATGATAATCACACCTAAGTGACATAATTAGGAAATAAAATTTCTATTATGGTTAAAGTTCAAGAACAATGAAACAGGAGTATTGGTTATTTAAGACAACAGTCCTGCAAAGGCAATTATTTCATCACAACCATTTTGGTGACAAAGAATAATGTGTCAGAAGGAATTTTTAGAATAATTTTCTGATTATATGGCAGTGTTAAATTTTTATTTGTGTTATTTGTCATATATAAGTCTGTAAATCAAAAAGAAGATGGCATGACTTTCAGATGAATCTTTTCACACATATATTCTCTGTAGAAGGGCACTGGTGTGTTTTTCAAAAGGGTTAGCATTGCTGGCTTTCATTGTGCCGATATGCTTGTGTGCTAAATGAAGGCAGAAAGTGAAGCAGAGTCAACCAGGACGTCTCTAGTTTCTACATCCACATCATCTGAAATCTAGTGTTATGTCAACTAGAAATAATCCTGGGGCTAAGTATTCTAAAACCAAAAAAAATGCATTGATAAATATAGTTTTAGTTTATTTTTATAGTTTATAAAAATTTATTGTTTCTGACTTATTACAAGTTAAAACAATTTGAACATGCAGATAACTAAAAGTTCCATCTAGATGATGGTATTAATATTTAATAACTTATGATTGTGAGCCACAATTGCCCCATTTGGCTTACTGAAAAGCAGTATTTTAAATGGAGAATAGGATTTCCATAATTCCAAGCATACAGATCTTTTAAGATAAGCACTATGTTTAGATTTGAATAGATTGTAGTAACAGAAACTTTAATATTTTTTCTAATAGGAGCAAAAAAGCAATAAAAATAGGTAGTTAAAATTAGTTCAAAAGAAACTTCACATGTGGTCATTAAAGGAGTAGCTGGGGTTACAGGCATGTGCCACCACGCCCAGCTAATTTTGTATTTTTAGTAGAGATGGGGTTTCACCAGGTTCATCAGGCTGGTCTCAAATGCCTGACTTCAGGTGATCCCCCCACCTCGGCCTCCCAAAGTGCTGGGATTACAGGCGTGAGACAACATGCATGGCCGGAAAAAGTATTCTTATGTTACTGTTTCTGAAACTTTCAGAAACTTTAGTCGACTCAATGGATGATGATGTACATGCAGACCACAAATTATAAATAAAATAATAGGCTCCTTTTAGCTTTTAACATTAAAACTAAATATATGTCAAAAGTAAAATTAGTGGCTCTTTTAAGTCATGAGAAGAATGTCAGTGTTAGAAAGCCTTCACCAAAATATTTGTGTTAGGCTTAGTAATGAGTGCTTTGCACCAAAAATTAAGTTCGTTTGTTTTTATATGTGTCTTTTTTCTTTCTTTGTTATTTCTAGAAGTATTTTAATTTTAAAATGTAAACTATGACTGTGTTAAATGCCTTCATTTCTATGCCTTTTTGTTAATATTTTGCCTGACTGAAAAGATGAGTTTTTAAAAAAATTTTCTTGAATCAAGACCATTAATTAACATAGAGACAAAATAGTAATGAAAATCGACCTTGATTAGTAAAACAATTATCTACCTCCTAGTAATCCTTACCTGTCTCACTCAACATAAAGTCTACATCTTTGCATCTCTCTTAGTTATAAGGAAGTGGCGTTTGATCGAATTGGTCAGCATGACATTGGGTAAAATGTAACTATGTTTTGGTCTGACAGTTGCACTTATTTATTACCAAAGAAGTTGATTTTTTTAGTATGTGATATTTTACTATTTTCTATTTATTTAGGGAAACTAAACCGACAAAGCATGAAATTAAAGTTTTATTTCAAATAGAAAATGCTTAAACATGTTTTATCACAACTAAAGCTAAAAATATTTTTGGATTTTTAAATTAAAGAACATCTCAAGTACTTCAAGTTACCTTCCCCTGACAGTAGATTATATTTTACTTTATTGCTAAAATTGAGTTTGGCTGTCTTTTTTGGCTGTATTCATCATTTTCATTCTATTTTTTTGTGCAATATTTGCATCATGCATTTCTCATTTTAATAGTTATAGTTCATGCGATGTGATTTTCAAACAATTGTCCTATTGACATGGCAAGCCATCTGCTTAATCAGCAGTCACTTTACTTTCAGTCTTTTCAAAGCCACTTTGTCTGAAAAGCAAAGAGACAATTCAACCCAGTGTGCCAAGCTGGTCCCCTCCAGTGACCATCTATTCAAATTCACACAGGCAATCTCTGGTGAAGGAAGGAAGGTGCACTTCAACAGCATTTTCACAGAAATGTGGAACAGATATTATAACATAAAAGATGAAACATTGCCTTCAAGGAAAAATAGTTGATTTTTCTTATTCTGTGTACAGGAGTATCTGATGGTTGTAAGGTTGAGAATAAAGAGTAAAGTTGGGCCAGGCTCGGTGGCTCAGGCCTGTAATCCCAGCACTTTGGGAGGCTGAGGCAGGTGGATCACAAGGTCAGGAGATCGAGACCATCCTGGCTAACACAGTGAAAGCCGGTCTGTACTAAAAAATACAAAAAATTAGCCAGGCGTCATGGTGGGTGCCTGCAGTCCCAGCTACTAGGGAGGTTGAGGCAGGAGAATGGCGTGAACCCGGGAGGCGGAGCTTGCAGCGAGCCGAGATTGCACCACTGCACTCCAGCCTGGGCAACAGAGTGAGACTCCATCTCAAAAAAAAAAAAAAAAAAAAAAAAGTAAAGTTAGAGAAAGAAAAAGCTTTACATTAGTAGTACCTTCTTGTTTTTCTAACACATCCTGAATGGTTTTGTCAAGTGTTAGGTTGCCATATCCATCATTTGTTAGACTCTGATAATCAGTTTCTATCTTACCAGTGTAATTATGCAATTGACATCATCTGGAGTTGATGTCGTTGATTCTTAAGTTCTCAGACATAAAACTATTAAATTATTATTGATAAAAATATTAGGTTTTATTTGCCTGTTTGTTTTACTACAGAACATTTGATGCCAGTAAGCTTAAGTCCCTTGAACCTTTGAAAAAAATGCTTTAGCTTTTCTTGTTTGGAAAGTCAAATTTGGTCAAAAGTAAATATAACAACAAACTTGAATATAAATTATTTTTTAATTGAATCCAAACAATTGAATAAAACAATACATTTGATATTTACTTCAGTATATGTCAGAAATTTTCAAAAAATTCAAATAGATACAAATTTGTGACTGAGCTGAAACTTGAAAAATATACCTGCTTTCACTCTGATGGTAGTTTCTTTTGCTGTGCAGAAGCTCTTTAGTTTAATTAGATCCCATTTGTCAATTTTGTCTTTTGTTGCCATTGCTTTCGGTGTTTTAGACATGAAGTCCTTGCCCATGCCTATGTCCTGAATGGCAATGCCTAGGTTTTCTTCTAGGGTTTTTATGGTTTTAGGTCTAACATTTAAGTCTTTAATCCATCTTGAATTGATTTTTGTATAAGGTGTAAGGAAGGGATCCAGTTTCAGCTTTCTACATATGGCTAGCCAATTTTCCCAGCACCATTTATTAAATAGGGAATCCTTTCCCCATTGCTTGTTTTTGTCAGGTTTGTCAAAGATCAGATAGTTGTAGATATGCGGCATTATTTCTGAGGGCTCTGTTCTGTTCCATTGATCTATATCTCTGTTTTGGTATCCATGTCCTTTGTAGGGACATGGATGAAATTGGAAATCATCATTCTCGGTAAACTATCGCAAGAACAAAAAACCAAACACCGCATATTCTCACTCATAGGTGGGAATTGAACAATGAGATCACATGGACACAGGAAGGGGAACATCACACTCTGGGGACTGTTGTGGGGTGGGGGGAGGGGGGAGGGATATCATTGGGAGATATACCTAATGCTAGATGACAAGTTAGTGGGTGCAGCGCACCAGCATGGCACATGTATACATATGTAACTAACCTGCACAATGTGCACATGTACCCTAAAACTTAAAGTATAATAATAAAAGAAAAAAAAAGAAAAATATACCTGCTTTCATGACAAATCATTTTATGATCACATTAATTTTCAATTTAGCCATGTTTTATAGTAGACTTCAGTAAAAGTCAGCTGTGGTCCAAATGTAAATACTGACATATTAGAGAAGAAAATGTTGGTGATAAAGAATATAAAACAAAGCATAAAAGTGCTTGCCTTGATTTATTCCCAACCACCAACTCTGAGACCAAGATTTAACTGTTACATCACCATTGTCCACAGTGGAAAAAGCAGAATTTTAAAATCAAACACATCTCAGCTTAATTTGGGACATTAGTTGTGTGTCCAGGATAAATTATTCCACAAGCTTGAAGCTTTACTTTTTTTTTAGATGGATTCTCACTCTTGTCACCCAGGCTGGAATGCAATGGTGCAATCTCAGCTCACTGCAACCTCCACCTCCCAGGTTCAAGCAATTCTCCTGCCTCAGCCTCCCAAGTGGCTGGGATTACAGAGGCTTGCCACCAGGCCTGGCTAAGTTTTGCATTTTTAGTAGAGATGGGGTTTCACCATCTTGGCCAGGCTGGTAGTGAACTCCGGACCTCAGGTGATCTGCCCACCTTGGCCTCCCAAAGTGCTGGGATAATAGGTGTGAGCCACTGCACCCTGCCTTAATCTTTATTATGTATAGAATTACTATTTCTTCCAGGGCTATTTTAATTCATACATTGTAGCTATAAGTATTTTTCATTAAAAGTCTTGTCTAAATGTGGTAAATATTTGAAAATAAGATTATCATTTAAAAATATTTTATTGTAATTGTATACGTTCTGTTATATTTAATGTATTTTTAAATGGTAATTTTTTATTTGTTGCAGGATGTCACAGTACCCAAATGGAGGGACTGACTGAAGCCACGGCAGAAGAATGTGGATTGTGAAGATTTCATGGACATGTATTAGTTCCCCAAATTAATACTTTTATAATTTCCTATGCCTGTCTTTACTGCAATCTCTAAACACAAATTGTGAAGATTTCTTGGACACTTATCAATTCCCCAATCAATACCCTTGTGATTTCCTATGCCTGTCTTTACTTTAATCTCTTAATCCTGTCAGCTGAGGAGGATGTATGCCACCTCAGGACCCTATGATAATTGCATTAACTGCACAGATTGTAAAGCATGTGTGTTTGAACAATATGAAATCTGGGCACCTTGAAAAAAGAACAGGATAACAGCAGTTGTTTAGGGAATAAGAGAGATAACCTTAAATTCTGACCACTGGTGAGCTGGGTGGAACAGAGCCATATTTCTCTTCTTTCAAAAGCAAATGGGAGAAATATCACTGAATTCTTTTTCTCAGCAAGGAACATCCCTGAGAAAGAGAATGCACCCCTGAGGGTGGGCCTATAAATGTCCTCCTTGGGTGTGGCCATCTTCTGTGGTCAAAACTGTAGGGATGAAATAAACCCCAGTCTCCCGTAGTGCTCCCAGGCTTATTAGGAAGAGGAAATTCCTGCCTAATAAATTTTTGTCAGACTGGTTGCTCTCAAACCCTGTCTCCTGATAAGATGTTATCAATAACAATGGTGCCTGAAACTACATTAGCAATTTTAATTTTGCCCCGGTCCTGTGGTCCTGTGATCTTGCCCTGTTTCCGTTTGCCTTATGATATTCTATTACCTTGTGAAGTACGTGATCTTTGTGACCCACACCCTATTCGTACACTCCCTCCCCTTTTGAAAGTCCCTAATAAAAACTTGCTGGTTTTGTGTCTTGGGGGGCATCATGGAACCTACTGACATGTGATGTCTCCCCTGGATGCCCAGCTTTAAAATTTCTCTCTTTTGTACTCTCTCCCTTTATTTCTCAAACTGGCAGACACTTAGGGAAAATAGAAAACAACCTACTTGACTATCGGGGCAGGTTCCCCCATATTTATTGGCATAATAGACTAAGGGTTTCTATATTGACTTTGGTAATTTCTACAAATGGTTTTTGCCTGGTACTGTTGAAGTTAGGCTGAATTTTGGACCAGTAGATTTGTTGTTTACCTTATGTGGTTTTGGGTTCATTTGTTCTATATGCATAATGTGTATCCTTTTGGGGGTAATTTGGCTTTATTTCTGCTTTTTTATTTTTACATCTGGGACTGGAGAAATTGCTAGAATTTCAATAAGGTTGATTTGAAATCAGGCAACAGAAAATCCCAGAAAACACTCAAGGTTGTATGTACTGGATAATGCCTTTAGGTGAGGCTTATACATAAAACACAATTCAGTAAAATTTATATAATCATTACAAGTTTGTTAAATTTGATAACAAAATGCCTATGACATATTAGGCACTTGTCTTAGTTTGTCTTTGACATCCCTATCTTGGAGAAGCTGATATTACATGAAAGGATATTACTAATATAATATAATAAGAAGTGGAACAAATACTTATGTGCTAGAAACATTCCCATTAATAACCCTTAAATACATTTTATTCTGGCTCAATTCTTTTTTTTTTTTTAATTGATGGAGTTTCTCTCTTGTTGCCCAGGCTTGAGTGCAATGGCATGACCTCGGCTCTCTTCAACCTTCACCTCTTGGGTTGAAACTATTCTCCTGTCTCAGCCTCCCAAGTAGCTGGGATTACAGCACCTGCCACCATGCCTGGATAATTTTTTGTATTTTTAGTAGAGATGGGGCTTCACTATATTGGCCAGGCTGTTCTTGAACTCCTGATCTCAGGTGATCTGCCCACCTCGGCCTCCCAAACTCCTGGGACTACAGGCATGAGCCACCACACCCAGCTGGCTCAATTCTTTTGGCACCACTATTTTTTGTCCCACAGGCTTCTTCCCACCAAATTTAAGCCATGGTGTTTTCAAGTTTGTATTTTTAGTTTTATTTGCTTGTTTTGTTTTTTACTTTTTTGGAAAGGGGAGTGTGGGCTTACCTCTGTGAAATGAGATCAGCCTATTTGTAGTTTTACCTAGTAAGCTTCATAGTTGACATCATTATATTGAGTTTCCCTAGGCCACCCTGAGCTTCAGAGCTGACCATCCTACCTCATTCCTCTTGGTTTTTCAGGCTCTGATGTTAAGTCCCTCTCACTTCAAATTTGAGCTTTCATAATGTCTCAGTTCGAAAGAAGCAGAAGAAAGTGTTGCCATATTTATCTGGGTGAGGATCAAGACTTTACATCCATCATTCATAGTAAAAAACAACCCTTTTAATAATGTGGACATGTTTCACTCAAATTAAATATAAGCAGTTTTAGCAACATGCCAATATAGTCAAAATAAATAACTATCAAGTTAACCAAAATGTTCTGCTTTAGATTTTCCCAGCACAAAGATCAATATGTATGCATTGGTGGATGTTAGGGTTTTGTTGGTGTAGGTTTTTGTTTCTTTGTTTTTATTTTTTACAGATTTTCATCCTACTTTACACTGATGTAAATCTAACTACCCAAGGCTTACCAGAAGCTTTATTTTACATTATTTCTACCAAAAATTCATATCCTCAACTATTAAAAGTGGCATTCTGTATTACCATTTTTCAAGTAATGTAGTCTGCATTTATTAGTACATTTCAATATATGTTTTTTACATGGGGTAAGGTTATAAAAATGCCATGCAGTTGATTTTCTAGGTAACAACGGAATCTGTTTTCTCAAACAGTAGCACGAGAATTCTTGATATACCACCCTCAGAGGTACTGAAAACAACTATATAATTTTGCTGAAATTTGGATTTTTTCATAATTTCTTCAGAGGCTGAGTCACGGCAACATACGACAGCTGAATTTATTCTTCTTGTCTAAATGTTGTGGAGCCACATCCACCTGTGTAAATAACACTAACTGGGTAAAATATTTTTTATACTAAGCCAGAAATCATTATACCTGGTGGTTTTATTTTAAATATATGAACAGTATTCTATAACATTCAAATAAGTAATAGAAATTTAATTCTATATATATGGAAAGAAAATTTATACAGGCACACTGAGAATAAATTGGAATCTGGAACTGAATGCTGATTAGCATGGCCTATAAAATCATAAGCAAGTTAATTACTTCTAAGATACAATGAGGGTACAGGCATTGGATGAGGATGCTCCTATTCCAAATAGGAGAACTGGACAAAACAAAAGGGCTAAAGGCCCCATGCAAGTCCAGAATCCAGCAGGGTAGTCATTGAATTTTAAAGCTCCAAAATAATCTCCTTTGACCCTGTGTCTCACATTCAGGTCACACTGGTGCAAGAAGTAGGCTCCCATGGTCTTGGGCAGTTCTGCCCCTGTGCCTTTGCAGGGTACAGCCCCATTCCAAGCTGCTTTAATGGGCTGGCATTGAATGTCTGCAGCTTCTCCAGATGTACAGTGCAAGCTGTTGGTTAATCTACCATTCTGGGATCTGGAGAACAGTGGCTCTCTTCTCACAGCTCCACTAGGCAGTGCCCCATTGGGTACTGTGTGTGAAAGCTCTGACCTCACATTTCTTTTCTGCACTGCCCTAACAGAGGTTCTCCATGAGGGCTCCACCCCTGCAGCAAACTTCTGCCTGTATATCCAGGCTTTTCCTTACATCTTCTGAAATCTAGGTGGAGGTTACCAAACCCCAATTCTTGACTTCTGTGCACTCACAGGCTCAATGCCACATGGAAGCCAACAAAGCTTGGGGCTTGTACCTACAGAAGCAATGGTCTGAACTGTACCTTGGCCCCTTTTAGCCACAGATGTAGTGGCTGGGACACAGGGCACCAAGTACCAAGGCTGCACAAAGCAGCAAGGCCTGGACCCCACACACAAAGCCATTTTTTCCTCTTAGGCCTCCTGGTCTGTGATGGGAAAGGCTTCTGTGAAGGTCTCTGACATGCCCTGGAGACATTTTCCCTATTGTCTTGGTGATTAACATTAGGCTTCCTGTCGCTTATGCAAATTTTTGCAGCTGGCTTGAATTTTTCCCCAAATAATGGGTTTATCTTTTCTATAGCATTATCAGGCTGCATATTTTTCCAAACTTTTATGCTCTGCTTCGTTTTTAAATATAAGTTTCAATTTCAGATCATCTAAATTCAAAGTTCCACAGCTCTTTAGGCAGGGGGAAAATGCTGCCAGTCTCTGCTTAAGCATAGCAAGAGTGACCTTTGCTCTAGTTCCCAATAGGTTTCTCATCTCCATCTCCAGACCCAAAGTCGCTTTTACATTGCTGGGTATCTTTATAGCAGTACCCAACTCTACCAGTATGAATTTACTGTATTAGTCCATTCTCACACTGCAATAAAAATCTTCCCAAGACTGGGTAATTTATAAAGCAAAAAGGTTAAATTGACTCACAGTTACTCATAGCTGGGGAGGCCTCAGGAAACTTATAATCATGGCAAAAGGCAAAGGAGAAGCAAACTGGACCTTCTTACATGACAGCAGGAGAAAAAACATGTGTGTGTGTGCAGAAAAAACTACCATTTATAAAACCATCAGAATTCATGAGAATTTACTCAGTATCACAAGAACAGCATGGGGGAAACCACCCGCCATGATCCAATCACTTCCCACCAGGTGTCTCCCTTAACACCTGGGGATTACAATTCAAGATGAGATGGGGGTACACAAAGCCTAACCATATCTATCATAAAGACATAGTCCCAATTCCCTGATATCCCTGCTTCCTGACCCCTGTGTGAGACAGGCTATGTGTGTCCCAGAATGGCCTGTTTCTCTTGATTTGGGGGGCAGTGTATTAAGCACCTTTCAGCAGAATTCACCTTCTCTTTATGAATTAAGTCCTAGGCACCATTCACAATGCCAGCTCTCAATAAATTTGTTACTGTAATTTTTTTCCAGAAATGATATTGGAGTGGAAACACAAAGCAAAAGAAACCTAAAGATAGGTAATGCTGAATGGCTGGAAAGTATATTTATGAAAGAGCTATGCTTCACAAAAGCATCTTTGCTATGATTCAAGGGAGAAATCGTTAAATACCAACCCCATCATATCCACATAAATCCAGCAATCTAGAGACTGTTGGTCTTTTTTCTTTTCTGCATTATGTTTCTGCTCTCAGTAAAGCAAGGTTTTAATTGTAATATTGAAGCACTGGAAATTTAACACTAAGATACTTTCAAAACTAAGTGCTTTTTTTGTTTGTTTTTTTGTTTTTGTTTTTTTTGAGAGTCTCACTCTGTCACCCAGGCTAGAGTGCAGTGGCATGATCTCGGCTCGCTGCAATCTCTGCCTCCCAGGTTCATGCCATTCTCCTGCCTCCTGAGTAGCTGGGACTACAGGCGACCGCCACCACACCTGACTAATTTTTTTTTTTTTTGTATTTTTAGTAGAGACGGGGTTTCACCATGTTAGCCAGTATGGTCTCGACCTCCTGGCTCCGTGATCCGCCAGGCTTGGCCTCCCACAGTGCTGGGATTACAGACGGGAGCCACCGCACCCGGCCAAAACTAAGTTTTAATTATAGTAGGGAAACTAATGCAAGGCCAGAAATTATTGACTTTGTTCACAGAATGCTAATTTTCCCCATACAAAATATGCAGAGCTATGTTTCATTAATATGCAGAGCTATGTTTTATTACCAAAACACACTATTCCAAATGCTCAAAAGGAAAAAAGATATTTGTACTCTGTGCTAAAACAGATTCATCTGTGGTATTTAAATGACAAAACTGGAATTGTTTCAACCTGGAAATCATTGGTTAAAATTTCCATGGTTAAAGGTTTGCTCAAGCAAATCTTAAAACACAGGTATGTATTTCAGAAGATCAACCAAATTCAAGAGTTTGGATCCCATTTTGGGTACCTTATAAGTAGAAATTTCAAAATCTTCCTCAAAAAAATCTGCATCTGTTTTCCAGATTCTTGCAACCCAAAACAAAACTTCACAGAAACTCTCCACAAGAGTTGGTAGACAGCTAAACCTTCTCCAAATTGAGTTATGGACAATAAGGTATTGATTATAGCAGAACTGGAAGGTCTATTTACAAGCCTGCACACAGTGCTATGTAAGTTGGCTGCTGGGGCACATAGATTGACAGGGAAAGGCCAGGGAGGCAGTTGAATTCCTGGCATTTTTCAAAGCTTTGTTTCCTAGTTTCATTATTCCTAGAATTTTGAAGCTTATTAAGACATTCCCTATCCTATGTCATACTCTAGAGCACTCTAGTCAGAATCCTGATAGAATAAACTCTTTTTGTGTTTTTTAAAGTGTACATTTCAATGACTTTTAATAATTTTTTTATACTTTAAGTTCTAGGGTACATGGGCACAACGTGCATGTTTGTTACATATGTATACATAGGCCATGTTGGTGTGCTGCACCCATTAACTCGTCATTTACATTAGGTATATCTCCTATTGCTATCCCTCCCCGCTTCCCCCACCCCACAACAGAGCCTGGTGTGTGATGTTCCCCTTCCTGTGTCCAAGTGTTCTCATTGTTCAATTCCCACCTATGAGTGAGAACATACAGTGTTTGGTTTTTTATTCTTGCGATAGTTTGCTGAGAATGATGGTTTCCAAATTCATCTGTGTCCCTACAAATGACACGAACTCATCATTTTTCACGGCTGCATAGCATTCCATTGTGTATATGTGCCACATTTTCTTAATCCAGTCTATCATTGATGGACATTTTTGTTGGTTCCAAGTCTTTGCTATTGTGTAATAGTGCCCCAGTAAACATACATGTGCATGTGCCTTTATAGCAGCATGATTTGTAATCCTTTGGGTATATACCCAGTAATGGGATGGCTGGGTCAAATGGTATTTCTAGTTCTAGATCCTTGAGGAATCACTGCACTCTCTTCCACAATGGTTGAACTAGTTTACAGTCCCACCAACAGTGTAAGTGTTCCTATTTCTCCACATCCTCTCCAGCACCTATTGTTTCCTGACTTTTTAATGACTGCCATTCTAACTGGTGTGAGATGGTATCTCATTGTGGTTTTGATTTGCATTTCTCTGATGACCAGTGATGATGAGCATTTTTTCATGTGTCTGTTGGCTGCATAAATGTCTTCTTTTGAAAAGTGTCTGTTCATATTGTTCACCCACTTTGTGATGGGGTTGTTTGTTTTTTTCTTGTAAATTTGTTTGAGTCATTTGTAGATTCTGGATATTAGCCTTTTGTCAGATGAGTAGATTGCAAAAATCATCTCCCATTCTGTAGGTTGCCTGCTCACTCTGATGGTAGTTTCTTTTGCTGTGCAGAAGCTCCTTAGTTTAATTAGATCCCATTTGTTAATTTTGGCTTTTGATGCCATTGCTTTTGGTATTTTAGACATGAAGTCCTCACCCATGCCTATATCCTGAATGGTACTGCCTAGGTTTTCTTCTAGGGTTTGTATGGTTTTAGGTCTAACATTTAAGTCTTTAATCCATCTTGAATTAATTTTTGTATAAGGTGTAAGAAAGTGATTCAGTTTCAGCTTTCTACATATGGCTAGCCAGTTTTCCCAGCACCATTTATTGAATAGGGAATCCTTTCCCCATTTCTTGTTGTTGTCAGGTTTTTCAAAGATCAGATGGTTGTAGATGTGTGGTATTATTTCTGAGGGCTCTGTTCTGTTCCATTGGTCTATATCTCTGTTTTGGTACCAGTACCATGCTCTTTCGGTTACTGTAGCCTTGTAGTATAGTTTGAAGTCAGGTAGCGTGATGCCTCCAGCTTTGTTCTTTTGGCTTAGGATTGTCTTGGAAATGTGGGCTCTTTTTTGGTTCCATATGAACTTTAAAGTAGTTTTTTCCCAATTCTGTGAAGAATGTCATTGGTAGCTTGATGGCGATGGCATTGAATCTATAAATTACCTTGGGCAGTATGGCCATTTTAATGATATTGATTCTTCCTATCCATGAGCATGGAATGTTCTTCCATTTGTTTGTATCCTGTTTTATTTCATTGAGCAGTGGTTTGTAGTTCTCCTTGAAGAGGTCCTTCACATCCCTTGTAAGTTGGATTCCTAGGTATTTTATTCTCTTTGAAGCAATTGTGAATGGGAGTTCACTCATGATTTGGCTCTCTGTTTGTCTGTTATTGGTGTATAAGAATGCTTGTGATTTTTACACATTGATTTTTTCTCCTGAGACTTTGCTGAAGTTGCTTATCAGCTTAAGAAGATTTTGGGCTGAGACGATGGGGTTTTTTAAATATACAATCATGTCATCTTCAAACAGGGACAATTTGACTTCCTCTTTTCCTAATTGAATAATTTTTATTTCTTTCTCCTGCCTGATTGCCTTGGCCAGAACTTCCAACACTATGTTGAATAGGAGTGGTGAGAGAGGGCATCCCTGTCTTGTGCCAGATTTCAAAGGGAATGCTTCCGGTTTTTGCCCATTCAGTATGATATTGGCTGTTGTTTGTCATAAATAGCTCTTATTATTTTGAGATACGTCCCATCAATACCTAATTTATTGAGGTTTTTAGCATGAAGCGTTGTTGAATTTTCTCAAAGGCCTTTTCTGCATCTATTGAGATAATCATGTGGTTTTTATCATTGGTTCTGTTTATATGCTGGATTACATTTATTGATTTGCGTATGTTGAACCAGCCTTGGATCCCAGGGATGAAGCCCACTTGATCATTGTGGATAAGCTTTTTGAGGTGCTGCTGGATGCTGTTTGCCAGTATTTTATTGAGGATTTTTGCATCGATGTTCATCGGGGATATTGGTCTAAAAATCTCTTTTTTTTGTTGTGTCTCTGCCAGGCTTTGGTACCAGGATGATGCTGGCCTTGTAAAATGAGTTAGGGAGGATTCCCTCTTTTTCTGTTGATTGGAATAGTTTCAGAAGGAATGGTACCAGCTCCTCTTTGTACTTCTGGTAGAATTCGGCTGTGAATCCGTCTGGTCCTGGACTTTTTTTGGTTTATGTCCAATCAAAAATTCTTATCCAGAATATATGAAGATTTGTAGGAGATTTTTTATATATTCTGGACATAAATTTTTGATTGGACATAAACATTGCAGATATCTTCTCCCACTTTGTCTTTTCTTTCTCTTAATGGTGAATTCGTTAATACCAATTTCTTAATTTTAATGTAGTTCAAGTTATCAGACTATTTCTGTGTAGTTAATGCTTATTTTGTCTGGCTTAAGAAATTTTTGTCTACCCCATTGTCATAAAGGTATTCTTCTATGTTACAGAAGCTTTTCTTTTTGAATTTTTAACGTTTCAGATTGAGCTTTATAACCCACCTACGATTGACTTTTGTTTGTGAAGTAAGATAAGGGCTAAATTCTTTTATTCCCCCATTTTGATATCCAAATTATCTAACACCATTTATTGAGAAGATTATTATTTCCTCACTGCACTGCAGTTTCACCTTTGTCATAAATCAGGTGATGGTATAAGTATGAGTTTGTTTTTGATTTCTCTATTTGTATGTCCTGCTAATAGCATCTTATTTTAATTGTAATAAAGTTGGAAACATCTGATGGTATACATTCTTGAGCTCTGTTCTTCTTCAGAACTTTCTTGGTTCTTCTTGTCCTTTTAAATTTTCAAAAAAATTTTAAATTAGCTTGTCAATTTTCAAATTACCTGATAGGATTTTGAGTAGGATTGCATTTAACCATAATTTAATGAGTAGAAATTACTTATTCACAATATAAAATCTTTCTATTCATAAACATTGTGTGTCTTTTTTATGTATACAATATTTATATCTGTTTTAAAAATTTTACTTTAAGTTCTGGGATACATGTGCAGAATGTACAGGTTTGTTACATAGGTATACATGTGCTGTGGTGGTTCACTCCATCTATCAACCTGTAATCTAAGTTTTAAGCCCCACATGCATGAGGTATTTGTCCTAATGCTCTCCCTCCTCTTCCCCTCCAACCCCTGACAGGTCTCTGTGTGTGAGGTTCCCCTTCATGTGTCCATGTGTTCTCATTATTCAACTCCCATTTATGAGTGAGAACATGCACTGTTTGGTTTTCTGTTCCTGTGTTAGTTTGCTGAGAATGATGGCTTCTAGTTTCATCCATGTCCCTGCAAAGAACATGAACTCATACTTTTTTATGGCTGCATAATATTCCATGGTGTACTCTAATTTGTACATGTACAAATTAGAACTCAGGATTAAGAAACTCACTCAAAACCACACAATTACATGGAAATTGAACAACCTGCCCCTGAATGACTACTGGGTAAGTAACGAAATTAAGGCAGAAATAACAAAGTTGTTTGAAACCAGTGAGAACAAAGAGACAACATACCAGAATCTCTGAGACACAGCTGAAGTAGTGTTAAGAGGGAAATTTATAGCACTAAATGCCCACAACAGAAAGCTGGAAAGATCTAAAATTGACCCCCTAATATCACAATTAAAAAACCTAGAGAAGAGTAAACAAATTCAGAAGCTACCAGAAGACAAGCAATAACTAAGATCAGAGTAGAACTGAAAGAGATAGAGACATGAAAAACCCTTTGAAATATCAGTGAATCCAGGAGATTAATAAAATAAATGGACCACTAGCTAGACTAACAGAGGAAAAAGAGAAGAATCAAGTAGACATAATAAAAAATAATAAAGGGGGCTGGGTGCAGTGGCTCATGCCTGTAATCCCAGCACTTTGGGAGGCCGAGGCAGGTGGATCACGAGGTCAGGAGTTCGAGACCAGCCTGGCCAATATGGTGAAACCCCATCTCTACTAAAAATACAAAAATTTGCTGTGTGTGGTGGTTTGTGCCTACTGTCCCAGCTACTGGGGAGGCTGAGGCAGAAGAATTGCTTGAACCCCAGAGGTGGAGGATGCAGTGAGCCAAGATTACACCACTGCACTCCAGCTTGGGTGACAGAGTGAGACTCCATCTCAAAAAAAAAAAAAAGAATGATAAAGGAGGTATCACTATTGATCCCACAGAAATACAAATTACCCTCAGAGAATACTATAAATGCCTCTCTGCAAATAAACTTGAAAATCTAGAAAATATGGATACATTCCTGGCACATACCCCCTCCCGTGACAAAATCAGGAAGAAGTAGAATCCCTGAATAGACCCATAACAAGTTCTGAAATTGAAGCAGTAATTAATAGCCTACCAACCAAAAAAAGCCCTGGACCAGATGGATTCATAGCTGAATTATACTGGAGATATAAAGAAGAGCTGGTACCATTCCTTCTGAAACTATTCCAAACAATGGTAAAAGAGGGACTCCTCCCTAACTCATTTTATGAGGCCAGCATCATCCTGATACCAAAACCTGGCAGAGACTCAACAAATACAGAAAATTTCAGGCTAATATCCCTTATGAACATTGATGTGAAAATCCTCAATAAAAGACTGGCAAAGTGAATCCAGCAGCACATACAAAAGCTTATCCACCATGTGCAACACTTTTTTTAAAGGCATGCTTCAATAAAGAAACACTTCCATTTAGTCAGGAGACTATCTCTTTGAGTCTAACATAGATTACAGCCTTGACATGAATAAGATTCTTCTTTTATGTACTCAATAAATGTTTACTTACAGCCTATTTTATGCTGGGTAGTATTATGGGAACTGGAGAGAGAAGGTCTGTCTTTATGGAGCTTGCAGTACAGTGACAGAGATAGAACATAAATGCGTAAACAGTTGCACACTAAAGTGATGGATGTACTAAGTGCTATGAAGAAATACATTAGCCAAGTGTGGTGGTGCTCACCTGTGGTCCCAGCTACTTGGTAGGCTGAGACAGGAGGTCTGCTTGAGCCCCAGAGTTTGAGGCTGCAGTGATCCATGATTGTGCCACTGCACCCTAGCCTTGGTGACAGATTGCGGCCCTGTCGAAATAAAAAGTATAATAATACAAAGAAAACAAGGTAGGGTAATCACATTCATGGTGTCAGCAACTGCTACTTTAGATAGGGAGCTCTGGAACAATCTTTTTGAGAAGATGACACTTGAGCAGGTCAGAATGGTATGACAGAGTAAGTTAAGCGAATGTCTAGAGGGCAGAGAGAAGAGACACTGTGCAGAGTCTGAATACAGACAGCACTTGATGAGCTCAAAGATCACTACAAAGTCCAGTCAGGCTGCAGGCACTGGGAGGAGGAAAGGAGAATGCACAGTCTGAGGAGCAGATAAACACAGACCATAGTAAAGAGCTTGGATTTCTTTGTTAATTGTGATAGGTAACCACTGGAGGATTCAGAGCTGGGAATGAAATGGTATAAGATATGTTCTTACAGGAATAGTCCAGCTTTGTGGGAGAATAGATTACAGATTACCATAAATAGAATAATAATAAATGTAAAGGCAGCTTAGGAATGATTATATCTGTCCAGGGGTTGATACTGATGGTGTTAGAACTGTGAGGTCCAGTATGATAGCCACCAGCTGCTTTTAGTTTTTTACACTTAAATTAATTAAAATGCCATAAAATTTATTCCTACCAGGGACTTGGGAGGAAAGGGAGAATGAGGAGTTGTTGCTTAATGAGTACAGAGTTTCAGTTTGGGGTGAAAATTTTTTTTGGAAATACATAGTTTTGATGATTGCACAACATTCTGAATGTAATTAATGCCTCTGACTTTTATGTTTAAAATGGCAAAGCTTATTATATGTGCTTTACCACAATGAAACATTATAAAATTAATCACAGAACCAAAACTCTAAAACCATTTTTTAAAACTGTATAAATTTAAGGATTGCAAGTGCAATTTTGTTACATGGGTATATGGGGTAGGAGTGAAGTCTGAGCTTTTAGTGTGTTTATCACTGGAACAATGTACACTGTATCCACTAAGTAATTTCTCATCACCCTTACCCCTCCCACCTTCTCACCCTTCTGAGTCTACAGTGTCTTATCATTTTACACTCCTTGTTCATGTGTACACATTATTTATTTCCCATTTTTAAGTAAGAACATGCAGTATTTGATTTTATGTTTCTGAATTGCAAAACTATAAAACTCTTAGAATAAAAAATAACAATAAATCTTTATGGCCTTTGATTTGGCAGTAGTTTCTTAGATATGGCACCAAAAGCACAGTGATAAAAGAAAATGTACTGGGCTTCATCAAAATTAGGAACATTTGTGTTTCAAAGGACGTAACAAAGAAAACAAAACGACAACCAGAAAAGTAGAGAAAATGTTTGCAACTTATATATTTGATTAGAAATCTGTATCCAAAATGCACAAATAGCTTTTACAACTCAACAACAAAAAGAAAAAATACATAAAAATAGGCAAAATATTTAAATAGACATTTTTGTGAAGAAGATATAAGAGCGTCCAATAAGTGCTTGAAGAAAAGCCTAACATCACAAGCCATCAAGAAAATGCAAAATCAAAACCACAAGCAGATATCACTTAACACCCACTAGTGTACCCACAATAAAAAATGACAAATGGTTGGGCACGGTGGCTCACGCCTGTAATCCCAGCACTTTGGGAGGCTGAGGCGGACGGATCACGAGGTCAGGAGATCAAGACCATCCTGGCTAACATGGTGAAACCCCATCTCTACTAAAAAATACAAAAAATTAGCCGGGCGTGGTGGCAGGCGCCCGTAGTCCCAGCTTCTCGGGAGGCTGAGGCAGGAGGATGGCGTGAACCCGGGAGGTGGAGCTTGCAGTGAGCTGAGAGTGCGCCACTGCACTCCACCCTGGTGAGGCCGTAGAGAAATTAGATCTTTCATACATCGCTGGTGGGGAAGTAAAATAGTGCACACATTGGAAAACTGTGAGGTGATTGATGAAAAGGTTATGCATAGGTACCTTATGACCCAGCAATTCCATTCCTAGGTACATACCCAAAAGAAATGAAAACTTATGAATGAAATATACAAAAGTTTGTACCTAAATATTATAGCGGCATTATCATAATTCTGAATAATACATACTAAATCGAAGGGATATTAAAAGTAATATTGATGAAATAAAGTTAGAAATATAAAATTTTTACCAGCGATTGATTGAGCTGATTCAAATTACTTCTTACAGTCTTCAATTCCATATTTTGTATATTCGGAGAGTGAGCTCAAGTTGCTTCACTTCTAACTTTTTCTTTTGTTGCTCTTCGATTTTTCCTAATTCTTCCCTAATTTTTCATTTAATATATTGGCATTTCTTCTCTTCTCTTCTTCTTGGTTTAAAGTCAATCTGCCATTAAATATACTTATCTTAAAATTCATTTTGTTAGAACATAGAATTCACTTTGAGATCTACTTCTTCGTATATTGGTTTATTATTCCAGTAAAATTTCTATATTCTTGAATATGTTTTTTCTTTCTAGTTCTGAGGTATTTAATTTATTACTGAACTCTCTTCCAAATGATGCACATACTTGAAAAATAATGAGAAAGAACATCTTCTAGTTAGAAAGATTCTGTTACCAGTAACTTCAACAACAGTTATGGAAAAGAATACTGGAAGTTATCCAGTAAAATTATAAGTTGAAAATTATTATTTTAAAAATATAACAGTCAAAATTACTCCTCAATAAGGACAGATCATTTAGAGTTAACTAATTAAAATGACGTTACTTTTTGTAAACAAGTTTACATATTCATTAGACATAAATATTCATCTTTATAAAATAAGGCAAGTATCCTTAAAAATAATTATATTAAAATCTGAGACTAGGCTGAAAAATCTAATATCTGTTATCCCATATATGTTTTGTTTCTTTTTTTAGTAATACTTTAAATGTATCTTGTTGATTATTATACATTTTATCAACAAATTTTAAATCTCTTTTAGAATAACACAGAATATATTTAATTAAAATATAAAAATAATAAGTACAACTCTGAATTAATTTTATTTATGTAGGAGAGAGAGATGTTGAATATACTAGTCATAAATTACCTATATTTTTCTTTATACTCCATGCATATTAAGATTACAAGTGTATAATTAAAGGAAAATGATTATTGGGGGTAGAGCAACCTATAATTTAACCAAATATTTTTATAGTGAAGAATTTATTCCAAGTCAATAATTAGAATGATAGAAAAAGATTTACATGCAGTTATGCCTTGCAGCACTTATTATAACACAAAAAATTAAAAATAAAAAAAATTAATTTGTTAAGTAATAATGGGGTTTCCAAATAATGGCCTTCTATGCAGCCATTAAAATTGTGATTTAAATAAATATGCATTTAATTATCAGGAGATGTATTCACAGTTAAGAAATTGTATTATTTAAATGAATTTGACACTCTACAAGACAGAGATTTCTTTCTCCAGTTAAACCTCAGAAGGTATGTCAGCTAGTACAAAAAGTATCCTATATACTAGTATGTCATACCTCACACTGCAGAGCTCTTGTTCTCTTTTAAGTTTTTGATTCTCTATGATTTTATTTATTTTGCTTCTGTTAGTTCCTTTTGTAGTACACGAAGCTTATTTTTCATTTGTTTCATTTTTGCTGTAAGTTGTTCACAGGGATTTTTTTTTCTTTTATTTTTTTTGACGGAGTCTCGCTCTGTTGCCTAGGCTGGAGTGCAGTGGCGCGATCTCCACTCACTGCAAGCTCCGCCTCCCGGGTTCATGCCATTCTCCTGCCTCAGCCTCCCGAGTAGCTGGGACTATAGTCACCTGCCACCACGCCCGGCTAATTTTTTTTTTTGTATTTTTAGTAGAGACGGGGTTTCACTGTGTTAGCCAGGATGGTCTTGATCTCCTGACGTCATGATCTGCCCGCCTTGGCCTCCCAAAGTGATGAGATTACAGGTGTGAGCCATGGCGCCTGGCCCACAGGGATATTTTTTAAGTTCCCTTGCTCTTTCACAAGAAAGAACTGCATCCAAGATTTTTGATAGGCTAGTTGAATGTGTCTCAAGGAGGAGATAGAAATAAAATATATTAGTACTTTTGGGATACAGAGAACTGCATATTTTAACAATCATTAATTCATACACTGATCAAATATATATTGATTGCCTGCCACGTGGAAGGCATTATACTAAGCTCTGCAGATTAAACAGAAAAAAACAAAAACCTCTGCATTTGTTTAACTTAAAATGTGCTAAAAGACAAAGCCCCAGAAAAGTGACAGTTATAAATTCAGATAAATACTGTAAGAAAACAGATTGCTAAGATTTAGATCTATACTAGGCTCATGGAAAATTCCCCCGAGGGATGTATAGCTACACTGAGGAATGAAGAATGAAAAGGAAGCAGTTGAGCAAACAGGGAAGGAAAGCATTTTAGCCAGTCTGTGGCATGTGCTGAAACTCTAGTGTAGTCTTCCTCTAGCCAAGGGAGAGCAACAGGTATGATTTTTCTTCTTAGCTAAAATAACTAAAAACAAAACACACAAAATACATTAAACAATTTTTCAGATACTGGACATTAGGCAAAGAAGATAATAATCCCTGAAAAACAGAAAATAAAAAAACGAAAGAAAGCAAACCTTCTGAATGTTTCAGCTTCCTGTCTTGGCAGAGATTCCGAGACATGACACAGGAAGAAAAAACTGAGGTGGGATCTACCAGACTCTCTTGGTTACACTGATGAAGCTTAGAGTCTAGTAAAACCAAAGCAGGCAGATATTACAGAACAAACACTGAGGAGGAGAGAGAGATACAGAAGCAACGGCAAGAAACCCCCTGTCAGTATTTAGCAAAATTTTGAAAATTGCATGTGAGATAGAAAACTACCTAAGAACAAACCGGATGGGGGTGGGGGTTGGCTTATAAAATTAGAGGAAATCACACCTGGTACTCATACAGTGCCAAGAAGAGTGTCTGTTTTTATAGATTTGCCTGGGAAAACTCAGACTTCACAGGAAAATGAATACTCAGAAAGGCCTTGTCTCAGGTATGGGGAGTTAGCTCACACCATAAAAAGAAAAATGAAAAGGATCAAGCTGTTTATAAGTAACTCAACTATAAAAATCAAGAAGATAAATAAAGCAATAGAAGATACTTTTAAAAACCAAATTGCACTTTTAGAGATACAAATTACAATGCTGGAGATGAAAGCTACACTGAGTAGATATGAGCATAGATTAATTCGCCATCATGAAAGAAAAGATTCACAAATTTGAGACACTAGTGAACGATGAGCAAACTTCCAGCAGGTAGTATATAAGTCCCCAAAGAGATAGGAGGAGAGGCAGAATCAAAAATTTGAGGAAAAATTGGCTAAATATGTTCTAAACTTAACGAAAGCCATAATCCCACAGATCTAGGCTGGGATCTGGTTGATAGAAAAGAAGTGAAAATATGATTGTAATTTCTTATACCATCTATGATATGATATAATATTACTTGAAGGTGGATTGTGATGAGGTAAATTCATACATTATAAATCCTAAAGCAACTACTAAGACAGCAAAGAGTTATACCTAATACCAAATAAACTTATACCAAAAAAGATATGACTAAATTGTAAAGAAATGTAAAACTAGATTAATAACTAAAAAAGTTATGCATATACAGATATGTAACTAAATCATAAAAATTACTAAACTAGTCTGAAGGAAGCAGAAAAAGGAAAAAAGCAAAGCAAAGAAGATCTGAGACTAATAGAAATCAAACAGTGTGATGACAGACAACTCTAATCATATCAATAATTACATTATAAATTAAACTGGTCTAAAAACCTCTGCTCAAAGGCAGATTATCAGAATGGATAAAAGAGCAAGTCTTATCTGTATAATGAGTATAAGAAATAAACTTTAAATATAAAGACAAAAATTGGTTAAAAGATGAAACGAGATATATCACACTAACACTACAAAAGAAGGCTGAGGAAGAGTGGTTGTATTAATACCAAAGTACATTTCATAGCAAAAATATTACCAGCAATAAACAAGGTCATTTCATAGTGACAAATGGTTCAATTAATCAAGAAAACATAACAGTCCTAAATATTTATGTATATAATAACATAAATGCTTCAAAATACATGATACAAAAATTGATAGAACTGCAAAAGAAATAGACAAATTCCCAAGTAGAGCCTAAAATTTCTAAACCCCTTACTCAAGTGGTATAATAAGGAGGCAGAAAATTCTGGAAAAATGTTGGTATGTGTACTCACCAGTCTAGACATTTTCCCACTACCTGTGTATGTATGCCGCTTTAGTTACAAAAAGTTAGGTAGGATCTTGGGAGATTTCTTCTTGGATACCAGAATTATCAACCACATCAACAGTATACCTAACAACTAAAATAATTCTTTTGAACAGATTACCACTGAAGAACTTGTAAGTTAAATCCAGTAGCCTTTTGAGTAATTTTACTGCTTGAAATTCTCACATTTAAAAGAAATTTGCAACATCACTTTCTCAGACTCCTCTCCTACATTTGTTTAACCACTGCTCAGTCTCCTTTACCAAGTCCTTTGACTCTTGTGAAATGTTGATATTCCCAGGGTTTTGTCAATGGCTTTCCTTTTATTCTACATCTTCTGCCTCATGGATAAGCTCATTGAGATCTATGGCTTTGCCTAATAATTATAATAAAGGTATTCTAAGCCTGCATCTTCAACCAGAGTTCTATCTCCAGCTAGAAATGCATATAATCCAATTACCTACTGAAAGTATCCCTCACAAATGTTTCATTGAACTCAATATGTAAAGAAAACTGTTGGTCTGTCCCATGACTGTTTGCACTTCCCTGTTAACCTGACAAATTCCTACTCCTTCCCCATGAGCATTGTAAATGCTTGTGCACAATCTGAAAACTTATGAATGACCTGAGATTTTATCTGTCCCCTAGCTTTTTAAACTCAATTATCACTAAACCATATTAACTGCACCTCTTTTCTGCCTTTGCTTTATCTTTCCAGTGCCACTGGAAATACAAACTTATTTATTTTATATTTATATTTCCTTGTTAAACGTGGCCCCTTAACTGATGGCTTTCACAGGGAAAAAGAAACCCTACAAATTACTGTTCTTATTTTTTAAGTTAAAAAAATTAATCAAAATAAAATAATGCCAAAGAAGGACCTACATGTTTAAATGTGTAAATTGAGCTTCTGAACTTTATTCATTTTACCCTTGATGGATCAAACTTTCATAATAGATTGATACTAGGCCACAGATTGTTTACAAAAAAAAAAGACTATCACATGAACTACTACAAAAGCTTAATCTTTCAATCTTTTTACGTGATTATCCTCCATCTATCTACTATATGAAGGGCCAAAAACTATAGGCCACAGGCCAAATTCAGCTTTCTAAATGGTTTTTTATACAAACTTTTATTGGAGTACAATCATGCCTCTTTGCCCATACATTATCTATGACTCCTTTCACTCTACAATGGCAGAGTTGAATAGCTGTAATAGAGACCACATGGCCCAACATATTCGCTATCTGGCACTTTACAGGAAAACTTTGCCAATCTCTGCTTTATACCATGACCAGAATGCCCTGATACTCAAATCTAATCTTGTGACTCCCCTGCTCAAACTTTTCCACTGAATTCCTGCAGAAAACATTGCTGGCTTCCTATGCATAGTCATTATTTATTCTTTATTGCTGCAGAAACACATGCTCATTTAGATATTTATTATTCCATTACACCCATCCCATCTTAAAAGAAAAATCATTATTGTAAGCTAATCACAGTAATTACATTTGCTTTCCTAGTGATTGGTATAGAAATAAGCATGTGGTATAATCCAGCCAATAAAATGTTACAGGAAGATTACTGAAAGCTTCCAAGTTTTCTCCCATTAAAAAAAAATGTGAACAAAAGCAGCCCTCCCAGCCTTCAGATATTGTCTTGAGATAGCATGATGATTGGAGCTGTTGCTAATTAGCCAACCAAGAAAGGAGACATGAACAAAACACTGCCAATAGCACAACTAATAATGGGGGGGTGAGTGAGATCCTATAACATCCCTGTACCACCAAAACAACTTTGGTTTCTATGGTTTTAGCAATTGTTAGTTAGTTCATCTATTATTTACAGCCAGAACTATTTTGGGAATTTTTCCAGGGCCTACAGAATAAGATCTACTCATTTCTACACTATTAAAATGTGTTGCCTAAGCTTGCGTTATCTAGACATTCAAGCCATTCCCAACTACTCCCATACCACACTATTTCCATTAGGCAACCCAGAGTGCCAATAAACTCTACAAAGTTCACTCAAGCATCTTACCATTTGTACTTGCTTTTGTAGCTGTTTTTTTGTAGGACATGTGATCATCTTAGATGTTCCTTCTTCCAAAACTTCAATTTTATTAAATGTTACTCCTGCCACTCATTCAGTCTTTACAGATGTTTCTTTTTCCTCCCGTGTGGTCTTTGAAGGCCTTTCTTGTGGCCATGCAAATTTCTCAGATGTTTCTTTCACAGGCCTTGTAATTTTCCTAGGTGTTTCTCCTGCTGACTGTTCAATCTTTCCAGATATTGCTTTCCCCAAACATTGAACTTCGTCAGATGTTCCCTCCACCAAGGGTGCACCTTCATGTTGGAAATAACTTTTTGGTGACACAAAGAAGAGTTAGCACTCCAGCAAGGCAAATTTACTTCTATAGAAGGGTGAGTCTTGCGGATGGAGCAATGGCAAGAGCACACTGGATAAGAGAGGGGAAAGGGTTCTTATTCCTAATGCAGCTAGTCCCTACTTTTGTGTCTCTCCCCTGTTGGCTAGGGTTGGACGGAACACTCTAAGCTAATTTTGACTGGCTACTTCAAAGAGGACAGGGGTGCAAGCCAGAGTGGCGGGGTGGGTAGTTTCTGCAGGAAGGATGGTTACAGAGCGGGCGACTAAGGATGACTAAGGAGAGAGCAGGTGACTAAGAATGGCTAAGGATAGAGTAGGTGATAGGGACTAGGAGGGGGTCATTTACTGAAACTAGGGGCAAGGATGCATAAATAATGAGGAAGTTAAACTTTAAAATGGAGAACAAAGAATAGAGAAGCTGAACATATTCACATATTTGTTCTTTGAAGAGGAACTCAGAACTCACTGTACTTAACAATCTTCCCTCTCTTGAACTTTAAAGGACATTAACAGGCTAAAACCTTTGAAGAGGAATTCACTGTATTCTACAATTCCCTCTTTCAATTTTTATAGCCCTTCCTCTTCAAACCTTTTTAACATGTCTTGGCTTTTTTTTTTTTTTCAACTTGATCCTCTAAAAAGAAAAGCCTATCTGAATAAGGTGGAGGACAGCTAAGGGAGGTTTTAGAAAGTGTTGTTTCTATAAGCCTTTGCACTAGCCCATGGATGCATGGTATGACACAACACCCAACAAGAATGAGTACAGCCGTTACTTCTGTAAGAGAAGTAAGAATTGAGGCTATGATTTCTTCCCATTTACTGAAACACCTTTCTAGCCATCTGGAGAAAGGGTTATTGACCCCAGAATTTTTAGCTAATTCATTGGATAAAGTGGTAAATCCTTGTAGGGCCCTTGTTATGCTCCCATTGGGGGCAGTGTTGTTTGCCCCCAATGGATAAAGGTGTATCACTGAGTTTTAATGATAACACAAACACCACCTTTTTCAGCTAATATCATATCCAGGGCCATTCTGTTTTCCCAGGCCATCTGGCTAGTTGGCCTCAATTGTTCTGCTATTCCTTTGACAACATCCCTGGTGGAATTAATAAACCACTGTTGATTATTATAGATGTAATTCATCAAATCTACATTTTTATTGTCACCCACCAAAATATTGATTCAAATCCTGTAGCTATTTGATCTTAGGCTTAAATGTATCTGGTACTCCTCATGGGATTCCAATAGCATCTAAATAAATGTGGGAGTCAAAAGACCCGTAAGGGACTTCCCTTGCTTTACAATGTTGTGTTTTCCCTTTTTCTGGTTGATGAAATGCCAGAGTGAAAAGTATAGCCAACAGGACTAGAGCACGAGGGCTGCTCCAGTTACTTGGCAGAGTGTCCAGTAAAGGTCCACCACAATACCACCATACATCTGCTCAGGGGTGTATAAGCGATGACTGATTGGTAAGCTCTTGGAAAGTCTTAAGCTTACTGCATCCTTTTAGGCCTCCAAACAATGCTAAGTTTCCTCCTTGTTGTGAGAGACATGAAGTGAACTTAGTGTCGGGAGACAGAAGCTGGATGGCCCTTGGAGGCTGACCTGCAGGGTGTTGAACTTTGGGATATAGCAGAGAGAGAGATTGACATGACTTGTTACCCCAGGCTGTGGAACCCTGGAAAAGAGCTACCATACAGACCATGCCTGGTCGACTGAAGGACCATCCTAGTGGAAAGGGGACAATCTGGGCCTTTGGTGTGCTGTGTGCACAAGCGTAACAGTTGCTTTTGTTTAAAGTGCGAACGGAGTATTTGATGCATTCCAACCAGGCATTCACATCTTGATATCCTGCCTCAGTTACCAAAGTTTGTTTTAGGTCTTTAACTTCTACAATAGCTACCTTGGTCTTCTCATTAGATGGAGGAGGAACAACAGTTTCATTGTGAGAGTTTTTGGAAGAAGACTTAGGGGAAGCTGTAGGCAGTAGGGGAGCAATGAAGCATATTCCAAAAGATCCAATAGGGTCCGTTTCTGAAAACTCAGCCCCCATATCATAAAACCAGCTTAAAGAAGGGAATTGGCTTAGAGAAGGGGAAGATCTTTGAGGGTTTGAAATAATAACCTGTATTGGGTTGCACTAGTTTACCTGAAAGTTAGGGGGAGCTATATCTTTAGTAAAATGAATGTATGATTTTAGGAATTACAACTACTTGTTGGGGCAGTCCATCCTTGCTCTCACTTGCACGTAGTTGGACCAACTACATCATAAAAGCTCTGTGTCAAGGGGGCAAGACTCCCAGTTGACACTGGGGTCTTCATTGAAACTTTCGCAGACTAAATGATCCAAATTCTCTAATGTCCAGTCTGAGGAGAGCCAGGAAGTACAGAGGTACTTTTCTGAAGTTGAGAGCTGTCTTCAACTTGACAAGTCTCCAAAGGTATAGCAAGGCAAGGATCAAATGTAATAGTTTCAGGCAAAATGGGTTCCATTGTCTGAGTCAATGTTTTCTATTAGCCTAAACCTGGGCACTATATTTTCAATTAAGGCCTTAACTACATCATTGGCCATCACATTTGAAAAGGGAATAGCTTTGACCCAGTGAGTAAGGTGATCTACTGTCACTAGTAAATATTTTAGACGACCTATTGGAGGCATCTCTGTGTAATCAATCAGGATACTTTAAGTCTGGACTCCTTCTCCCAAGGGGTAATCTTTTTATAGTTTTTTTATTAGTTTTCTTACATACTAAGCAAATGTCTGTAACCTGTTTGGTCAGAGTATAAATTCCTATACACCCAAAAACTTTCAGAACTGTGTCACACATGGCTTGGGACCCCCAGTGGGTCCCTTGATGCAGTTGGGACAAGTTTTCCCTCATAAAGGGTTTGAACAACATTTCCCTCTGGTCTGACAATATTCATTTTTATTCTGAATTCTCTTTAGCACCTATTTTTATTAGTTTCTCTTTTCAGTGGAAGAGAAAATGGAGATTATGGTAGGAGGAGGAAGGTAAAGAGTTCAGTGAAAAATAGATGTTTTAAAAGAAATGGCAGCCTGTTTCCCTATGTAATCTGCTAGGCTATTTCCTGGACTGTCAAAAGAAAGACTTTTCTGGTGTCTGGGGACATGGACAATCACTATTTCCTCTGGCAACTGAAGGTTATTCAATACTTAGGTGATTAGATCCTTATGAACAAGATCTTGATGTTTACTATTAATGAGACCTCGTTCAGTCTAAATTTTTCCCAATGTATGAGCCACTCCAAAGGCATACTTAGAATTGGTATAGATGGCTACTTCCTGGTTCTGCAAGTACTTTAAGGCTCAGCTGAGTGCAAACAGCCCACAAGTTTGGGCAGACCAATTCTTAGGCAATTTTCCTACCTCAATTTCTTCAAGAGTTTCCCTATCAATTACTGAATACCCATTGCATCTTTTTGCCTCAATCACCTGGGAGCAACCATCTATAAATAAGTGTCATCCCATCCTGAAGGGAGTTTCTCCTAGGTCTGGTCAGACCTTTGTATGGTAATCAGTTAAATGTAAACATGTGTGCTATCTCTTTAGATTTGGATCCCCTATTAGGAAAACTGCTGGGTTAAGGGAATTATCAGTGGTTAATGTTAAATCATCTTTTTCTAACAGAATAGTCTCATACTTTAAGATTCTTGAGTCAGTAAGCCACCTCCCTGCTTTCTGGTTTAAGATAGTTCTAACTTGATGGGGCGTTATTACTGTCAATTTTCCTCCAAAGGTTAACTTCCTGCTTTCTTTGACCATTAGTGCTGTAGCCACAATGGATTGGATGTATTGAGGCCACTCACAAGTAACTGGATCTAAGACTTTTGACAGGAAGGCCACCATGGTCTGCCAATGGCCTCCATGTTCTTAAGTGAGCACTCCTAAAGCTACCCCATTATCCACGTTGACAAAAAGGTGGAATGGCTTTTCTAGGGAAGGTAAGGCTAAGACAGGGGCTGTTATAAGCCTTTTTTCAGCTCTTCAACCTGATGGACTTCCTCAGAAGTCCACAGGAAATGGTCAGTCTTCCCCTGGGCAAGTTTTGGATATAGAATTTTACTGTTTAGTGCATGTGAGTTAATCCATAAGCAGCAGTATCCAAATAACCCTAAAAATTTCCTGAGTTCTTGTTTAAGTTTGAGGCAAGGGTAGGGACACGATTCCCTCAACTCGTTCAGGCCCTATTCTTCACTTCTCTGCACTTAAAAGTGGTCTAAATATTTAATTTCAGGTTCTACATACTGAAGCTTTCCCTTTGAGACTCATAACCCCTCGAACTGCAGATGGTTGAGAATATGTGTAGAGAAGCCAGCTACCTTCTCTATATCTTCACCAGATATAAGAATATCATCAACGTATTGGAGCAGGCATATTTGTTTGGGATGATAACTTTTTCTAATACTTGTTCTAAAATTTGACTGAAAAGGTTAGGGGAGTTTGTGAACCCTTGGGGTAAGACTATCCATCGATATTGTTGTTTCTACCCTGAATGGGGATCCTCCCACTCAAAAGCAAATATATCTGGCCTATCTTCAGCCAGGAGACATACCCAAAAAGCATCCTTCAAATCTATTACAGTAAACCATTGATTATTATATGGAATCTTGCTGAGAATGGTGTAAGGATCGAGGACAATTGGATGGGTAGTTTGGACTATTTGGTTAATAGCCCTAAGGTGCTGTACCAGCCGATATGACCCATCTAATTTCTTGGCTGGCAATATTGGGTTGTTATAAGGGGACATAGAGGGCCCAAGAAGCCCATCTTTAATAAGACCTTCAATTATAGGTTTCAACCGTATCCTACCCTCTAGGGGAATGGGGTATTGTTTCCTCCTTACTACTTCCCTGGGGTTTTTTACCTTGATGTGCTTGGAGGGACTCAGAGTTTCCCTCAGTTTCCTTCTTTGGATCAGACATTAGAATTAATATATTTTTCATCTGCAGTGGTGAGTAGCTTTAATGAGGTGAGGAATCCTCTTGTGCTGAGTTGCAGGCCTATGCCTAACTTCAACATTAAATCCCTGCCTAGTAAATTAGTCCCTGCTTTAGGGATTAACAAAAACTGAATATGAGCTGATTGAGCCTGGTATCTGACTTCTGTGTTTTCTAAAATTTTTGCTTTAAATCCTTCTCCCTTTACCCCACACACCAAAAGTTCCTCTGAAGAGCAGGCAATATTAGATGGGGGGGAAACAAACAGAGGATCGAGCCACTCCTGAATTGACTAAAAAGGTTATAAACTCATGCTTAGGTCCCACTTCTAGACTTATCAAGGGCTCCTGGTGGGACTCAAGATAAAAGAGACAGAACCCCTGACACCATTATTCTTCCTCAAAAGCCATGAGTGGAAGGGCTTCTTTTTCCTTTTCTAATTTGGGACATTCTCTCTTGAAGTGGCCTGTTCTTCCACATTTGTAGTGCCTACCTTGCCCTTCCCCACTCTCAGTTCTGGGATTCTTTGATTTTACTCCCCCATGCTATTTAGATGGACTGGTAGACGAGAGCCTTGATCCTCCCAATGGAGGCTTGGGTCCTTTAAAGGAGGGTTTGGAACCTTTATAGTTTCTGGCCCACTGGAAGCTCTGTTTAGGGGTACATGGGTTTGGAGCCATCTGTTGGAAGGTGAATAACATAAGTTTTGTCTTTTGTTTTCGCTTTTCTTCGTCTCTCTTCACAGATACTTTTTGAGTCTCTCTGAGGTTCACTTGAGGTTACTTCACTTGAGGTTCACTTCTCATTGAAGTTCACTTGAAGTCAGTTTTCCCAATCTTCTAATTTTTGTAACTTTCTTGAAATATCTGGACAACGTTGGCCAGGCACAGTGGCTCATGCCTGTAATCCCAGCACTTTGAGAGGCCGAGGTGGGTGGATCACGAGGTCAGGAGATTGAGACCATCCTGGTTAACACGGAGAAACCCCGCCTCTACTAAAAATACAAAAAATTTGCTGGGCGTGGTGGTGGGCGCCTGTAGTTCCAGCTACTTGGGGAGGCTAAGGCAGGAGAATGGAGTGAACCTGGGAGGCGGAGCTTGCAGTGAATCAAGATCGCACCATTGCACTCCAGCCTGTGTGACAGAGAGAGACTCCATCTCAAAAAAATAAAAAGAGACATCTGGACAACTTTTAGTGACAAAAATGGAGATTTAACATTCCCTGTCCCAGGGGATTTTCCAAATTTAGGCCTGCATATTTTCTCATTTGCTCCTTTAGTCTGTCTAAGAATTTCATGGTCCACTCACCTCTCTCCTGTTGTATATCAAATGCTTTGGAGAGATTTTGAGTTTGGGGTACTGATTCCCTAGTTTCTTTCATTATCATTTCCCTTATGTCTTGCATGTTTTCTTGGTGAGCTGCGTTATTATTATCCCACCGGGGATCTTGGGCAGGGAATTTTTGGTCCGTGGTAGGAACGTTTTGACAAGGAGTGTGTTCATATTCCCAAATTGCCATAGCAGCCCTACGGATCAGATCATGCTTCTTTCCTCCTCCGAAAAGAGGATGCCTAGGATGGACATAAACTCGACCAAAGTGTATAACTGAGGTCCCAAGAATTGATCAACCTGATCTGCCACCTCATAAGGGTCGTCTAACAATGGCTTAATTTCCTTTTTCAAACTTCAGACTTCTGAACTGGTCAAGGGAGCATTCACAAATACAATGGCTCCTCCTCCTTGTGGCATGTCTTTTAAGGGGAAGAGAGTTGGGGCTGACTCTTTAGGTGTGGACGGAAAAGGGAAGTTCTGAACGTCCTTTTTACATTGCTGTACCTCATGCTGGAGTCCCTTTAGGGAGAGGTATTTAAGCTGACAGGGGACAGGCTCATGGGATGATAACTCCCAAGAATTAGAGTTGTAAGGAGGAGTAACAGCGTGAGCAGGAGAAGGATCTGGGGTGGGATATGGGGTGGCAGCAGCTGCCCGAGGGGAAGGGTCAGAGGTACTGAGCAGGGCAAAATGGTATAGGGGATCCCATGTGGTGGCTTTAGGTGTGGGAGTCAGCTCGTCTGACTTTTCAATTTGAGATACTGGATCGGGTTCTTCCCTAGTTGTCTTTATGGGAATAAAGACAGGTCCCTGTCTCCAACAAAGAGCATAGTCTAGTTCTTCTTGAGAAACCAGATTTTTATCATTAACATATTGAATTAGAAGTTGACATATTACATTCTCAATCGACCCAAACTTTGGCCAGAAGATTGAGTGTTTGAAAATGGGACCTTGGGTCCAAATGAAACAGCAATATTTTATCCTCTAATGCTTTTTCTTATGTTTAGTCCTCTCATTATCCTTCCAATATTTTAACATGAGACCCAGGGGACTATGAGGGGCATGTCTTTGTTACTATCCTCTTCTTTTTTGCTCCCTATCTTATTTGGGGCTTTTCCCATGTTAGGTCCTGGTTAGGCTCAATCCCGCATGCTAGAGATTTCTTCCCTATCCTTTATCCCCACCTGCTGGAGGCTCCTCACACCCTTCTTTCACTTCATCCACTCTGGCTGCTTCCCTCCCAGGAATTTTCCGTCCCTCTTTGCATTGGCATCATGGTATAAACCCCACAGCAAGATCTGCCCTGAGCCCTATGAGGATACAGTGAATTCCTCTTCAAAGGTTTTTTATTCAAATAAAAAACCGCAGATAGGACCCACTCACTCCTCACAGCAATAATGCTTAGTATCATCCACACAAACAGCACCACAAGCAGTAGTGCTTGTGATCATTCACACACACTTTCAACCTCCAGAATATCCCGACCACCAAGGAAATACTTTGTCACCCCTGCGACATTTCTTACCTCGGTCTGTGCACAGTTACCTGGTCGCCACGGTATGTGAAGATCCTTTCCCCAGAGTTGCTGGCCTGTTTCTTTCCACGTTGCTGAGAGCCCGGGTTTATTAATCGCACCAGTTGAGTCTTGATTCCTTACCTTTATGGCCACTGCAACGAGGCAGCGGGGTGCACCTCCTCAAGGGAGAGGACTGGACCCTCCCCCAGAGGAGAATGGGAATGTTGGGTGGGCCCTCAAATTTTTGGAAAATAATTTTCGGTGCCACAAAGAACCGTCAGCACTCCAGCAACAAGTTTTTACAGCAAGGCAAATTTACTTCTATGGAAGAGTGGTCTTGCAGATGGAGCAAAGGCAAGATCACACCGGACAAGGGAGGGGAAAGTGTTCTTATTTCTAACGCAGCTAGTCCCTACTGTTGTGTCTTTTCCCTATTGGATAGGGTTGGACTGCACACTCTAAGCCAATTCAGATTGGCTATTTCAAAGAGGGCAGGGGTATGAGCTGGAGTGGCAGGGTGAGTAGTTTCAGCGGGAAAGACAGTTACAGAGCAGGTGTCTAAGGATGACTAAGGACAGAGCAGGTTACTAAGAATGACTAAAGACAAAGCAGGTGTTAGAGGCTAGAAGGGGGTTGTTTAATGAAACTAGGGGCAAGGAGGCATAACGAACGAGGAAGTTAAACTTTAAAACGGAGAACAAAGAACGGAGAAGCTGAACATACTGACATATTTGTTCTTTGATGAGGAACTCAGAACTCATTGTACTTAATCTTCCCCCCTCTTGAATTTTAAAGGATGTTTACAGGCTAAAATCTTTGAAGAGGAATTCACTGTATCCTATTCGTCAGGTGTTCTTTCCACCAAGCTTTCAGCCGTGTCAGGTGTTCTTTCCGCCAAGGGTGCAGCCTCGTCAGGTGTTCCTTCAGATGTTCCTTCTGCCAAACACACAGTCTGGTTAAATTTTCCTTCTGCTAAATATCATCCTTCTGACTCTTTACCTGGAAAACTTCTACTCATTCAGCTTGCTTTCCTTAAATACCACCAAACTTTTGTTTTCTCCTTTTTTTTTTTTTTTTTTTTTTTTTTGAGACAAGAGCCTCGCTCTGTTGCCCAGGCTGGAGTGCAGTGGCACGATCTCAGCAGATCACTGCAACCTCCGCCTCCTGGGTTCATGAAATTCTCCTACCTCAGCTTCCCATGTAGCTGGTATTACATATGCATGCCACCCAGGCCCAGCTAATTTTTTGTATTTAGTAGAGATGGGATTTCACCATGTTAGTCAGGGTGGTCCCAAACTCCTGTGCTCAAGCAATCCGCCCGCTTTGGCCTTCCAAAGTGCTAGGATTACAGGAGTGAGTCACCGCTCCTGGACACTACCAAACTTTTTAAAGCTTTAATTCTTCACGTTGGATATAAAATGTCTGACACATACTGAATATGGTAATGACATAATAAGTGATAGTTATAAGCTCCCAAAGGGGTTCTGGCACAGAGTAAGCACTAAATAAAGTAGTAAATAATAAAAAAGATGATAATAACAAGAAAAATGCTTAGTAACTTAATAAAGTAGTAAATAATAAAAAATGACAATGATAATAACAAGAAAGATGCTTAGTACCTTAAAGATACCTGACAGTTATTTGTTAAGTGGACAAGTGGATACACAAATAGAAAACATAGTTAGGAAATTCTGTTGGAAAAATGAAGAAATTCAACAGAGACAGCTCTACTGTATTATGAGCACCTTAAAGACCCAGACTATGTGTATTCCATGTTGGTCTCCTGCAACTTGCAAAATCTAACTTATAGAAGTCCTTTGATAAATATGTAATAAATTAAAGATGTGTTCATACAGTTCATATTGTACAATGTATTCTGTCACATTTAGGTATCACAGTAGCACTTTTGTTATTGTGAAAATTTTTTCCACTTTTATTATAATTCGTTGAGCCTAGAGTTGAGCTAGTTGTATATTTATAATGATAATATTTTGGCTAGTAGGAACAGAGTAACTTGTTGTAACAAAATTACTATCAACACACTAATTATCCAGCAGATAGAACAACACATCTTGTTCTAATGAAGTAAATATATCTTATTTGGTTTCAACTTAGAGGGAATGAAATTGATAATAGTGAGACCTTGTTGGTACAAGACTATGTAACATAACCTGTGCTTCTCAACAAAGAATTGCTTTTCTGACTTCTGCACTCAGTAGGTATCTTTGAAAAATAATCTCCTATTGGTACTGATGCATCCTTGCTAAGTTATGTTAATTCTTATTGACATTCATTTATGGTGCAAGAAAAGTATTATTGAGTTCCAAATTCTAAAGATAGTTACTTTTTTAGTGACGCAAGTCACTATGCCACACAGTTGATCTTTGAATAAGGGTTCTCACTCTAGGAGCCCACTAATAGACAGATTTTTCTTTTCCTTTGCCACTGCAAGATACTAAGAAAAATCTCGCCTTTGCCTCCTCCTTATCAGCCTACTCAACATAAAGGCAATGAGAATGAAGTCCTTTATGTATAATAATTCACTTCCATCTAATAAATAGTGAATATATTTCTTCCTCTTTATAACAGTTTCTTTTCTCCAGCTCACTTTATTCTAAGAATACAGTATATAGTACATATAAAATAGAAACTATGGGTTAATTGACTGCTTAAGCTTTCACCTTTTTTCAGGCTCCAGGTCAACAGTAGAATGTTGTAGAGTTTTGGAAGAGTCAAAAGAAACAGATTTTCCTATAAAGCAGATTTTCAGCTGCATGGGGGGATCAGCACCCTAACTCTCATGTTGCTCAATACTCAACTGTAATTAATTCTAATTTTCTAAATGCAAATCATTTATTGTAAAAATTAAATAAAGCCCAGAAGTTCAAGACCAGCCTGGGTAACATAAGGAGACCATGTCTCTACAATAAAGAAACAAACAAATAAATTATTTATTTGTTTATTTAACAAATAAACATTTTGTTTATGTTTAATAAACAAACAAATAAATTATTTATTTGTTTATTTAACAAATAAACATTTTATATGTTTGTTTATGTTAAATAAACAAATATTTGTTTATTAAACATAAACAAATATTTGTTTATTAAACAGTTAACTGTGTTCCTTTATAGGTTATAATATTCAAATGTTGCAGTTTTCTGTTATTAATTCCTACTTTTCATTATTAGAAGTTCTATTATTTGTGGCTTGTAATTCAAGGCACCGATGCTATTTTATAATTTGTAATAAAATTTATTTATAAATATATTAATTCATTAAATTGGATAAGCTGATAATCCCCTATTACTGAGCTCATCAATCACACCAAGGATTATACATTTTATAACAAGCATAAATTTTTATGACAGTTTGGGAAACATACTATAGATAAACTTAAAAATTGTTTTACTTATTTATACAAAAGTATTATATAGGATATTAGGGACCACAATTAAACAAATATTTTTTCAGATAATATTTTTGAGATTATAAACTACCTACAACTAAATTCTTAATGAATTCTGAATTATAAACTAAAAAATTAAATCAAAGCTTTGTATATAAAAAAACACTTACATATAGGTCTATATGTAAACACATGCTACTTACACATTGCTTTTCTAATAGCTCTTTTGTGATTAACACTCCTATAATCTTATGGTAGCACCACCAAGAGTAGTTTACTATCAGAGGTCTTACCTGGATTACTATTTTGAGAATTTTTAGATATCTTTTGTTTATATTCCAAAAGTTGTTGATGAATGCTATGTATAAAAATGAAATAAATAAAATCACTATTTTAACACTGATATAAAAAAATTTACCAAATTTATTACATTCTTAGAGTATTTCAGACAATATTAGAGCTAACATCAGAACATTACTTTTTCCATAGACTTTAAGTATACAAGCTCTATGAACTTATTAAGCTTCTAATTAAAGAAGAAAGAAAGATAAAACACTCATAAAGTGAGGGCAGTATAACTCAGTAAATTAACTAAAGTTAGCTTGACATATGGAAAATGTCCCTAACTCGGAATAAGTCCTAGCATGGCTACCAACAGGTATCTTTTCTTGAACAAGTTGCTTCTCTTAGACTCAATGTCTTCTAAAAATGAGGATTTTAGGGCCTTATTTCACTAGGTTATTATAAAGATTTAACAAGATAACATTTTTAAAATGCTTAAAATAAAAAATGAAGCAAAAAAATTATTTGTTCTTCAACCTTATTGCTGAAACAATTTAAAATTCCCAATAAAACCCAATATATTGGCCTGGTGCAGTGGCTCATGCTTGTGAGGCAAGCACTTTTGGATGCTGAGACAGGAGGATTGCTTGAATCCAGAAGTTCAAGACCAGCCTGGGCAACATAGGGGAGGACCAATGGTCCACCAAAATTTAATTCCCACTAAACATAAGACACAAAAAACATGTTTTTCTTCATAGGTTATAATATTCAAATATTGCAATTTTCTGTTATTAATTCCTACTTTTGGATATTAGATGTTCTATTCTTTGTGGCTTGTAATTCAGAGCATCTAAGCTATTTTATATTTTGTAATGAAATTTATTTATAAATATATTAAATCATTAAATCAGATAACCTAATTATACTCTATTACTGAGCTCATCAGTCACACCAAGGGCAGAAAACTAATAGATGTCAGCATCTGGCTTGGACTACTACTACTCTTTATCTACCTCCTTAAACTCTGAACCAACAAATCTTTGTTAGAATGATGCTTAGTCACTATGTTCATTTCCAGCTGCTGTGGAAGACAAAACCCTACCTTTATTTTTTGTAAGTTCCACAAAGAAGATGCAAGTTGGTATTTTCTCATTTCTGAGATCCCTACTAACAAAATATTGCACACAAGATCCTATGTGTTACCACATCTCATTTCATAGATCACCTTATGTAAATAATTTTTTGTATGAAAATCACAATTGCAATACTGGGTGTCACCCATTTTGCTTTGACTCACACCATTTCCTTGGAGCTAGTTAGAAAGTAGTAAAATGTCCTTTTGGGGACTGCAAGAAATATGCAACACCTTACAGATTTCTATGTCATCCTTGTGCGGGGACCATGCTGATCTTCTCAACGTTGTCTTAATTTTACTATATGTACCACTGAAGCCAGCACAAATCCTTACTTTTATACGTGAAGACTGATGAGGGATGGATGAGGCTTAGCTCTGTTAAATCTAACCAACTTACTTGAGATTTAGTGAAGTCTATTGAATGGCTTCATGGTGATGCAGCATTTGAAAATATTTTAGAAACTCGAGGTGGAGATGTAAGTAGCATGGGAGATTTTTACTTTTAGGAAAAAAGAATCACTTGAGGGGACAACCACAAGTTGGAACCCACTACAACTTGGGAAAGATGACATGGGATTTTATAGAATAAGATGAGACCTTCCACTACCTACAAAATGGTGCTACACAGGATATAAAGGGCCAGGGATATAGATCTGGTAACAAAGACAAAATGGATCTCTAATTTCTTCCTGTAACATTATTTCAACCTGACTTACAGTTTCAAACTACCACAACTAATATTGGCTAGAGAAAATAGAAAAAAGCCACTCAAAGGATAATTTACCATGAAGGTCTAGGCCATGTCCAGGCTAAGATGTGGGTTTCACATCAGGTTTTGAGTGTGAGGAGAAGGGTCAATTTGCTCACTATGTGTGTGGCTAAAGCTAAAAGTTCTAGCTGCCAGAGTGGGGTGCTGGTACTTTGGAAACAATGGCTGAGAATATGTACGTGAACTTTAAAAACATGTCATAACTTGGAAGTCTATACCATGAAGACTGAGGAATCTGTGTTAGTAAGGGCATCCTGGTCACAAAGGTCAATCATTACCAGACTGCAGGAGCAGTTTCAATGGCAACGATGCAGCAACAGAATCAATGGAAACAGCAAAATGAAGAGAATGGCCATTTCCCACCCCCCAATCCTTCTGACTTGTACAAAAGGAATGTCTTCCTTGGACTTAGGTTCAGATTCTTTTAAAAAATTCAAGAATGAAGGTATGGAAGACAGCCCCCTGGGGACACTATCAGGTTTTCTGCTTAAAGTGGACATTTTGAGACCCAAATAACTAATTAGAAAAACCAAAATTGTGACATTATATTTATCCCATGCATAGGGGTTATACTTCAAATCAAGTAGACAACATTAGCGTCCCTAAAGCCCTAAAATAAAGAATCCTGGAGCCATTAATCTTTCTAACTAGTCTAGCTTTTTGCCTAGTTTCTGGCTGATGAAGTGAACTAACTCACTGTCATTCAAAAACTACCTGAAACAAACTATAAAATCTCACCTAGCCTTTAAATGTAAACACTTAGAGATTAAATCCACAAGCAACAGCATAACGTTCTGCAATCATTCCACATGTAGCTTCAGCACAGATGTCAACATTTTGCTGAAGAACCGTGCCAACTATCTCTGATGATCCATGACATATGGCAAGCATGAGGGCTGTGCTAAAATAACAGACATAACTTCATTATTAGGAATGAACCAATTTAATATGTGCCTGTCAGTATAGAATTAACCATTTACATGTATTAACAAATGTTAAGTATCTTGAGTGCTCAAGTGTTTATCCTTGTAAATCACGACCAAGGCTAAAAGGAAGGGGTGAAAAGACTCATGTCTCACTGGGATATGGCATAGTAGAATTGGCTAACATAAAGTCCACTGAGGGGCAAGAAAATATGTTCTGTTCACTAATCTAAAAGAGGCAAAGTTTTAAGTGAAGAATTATCTATTTCCTCCTTAGTCTGATATAATATTTTGTACTTCAAAATTAGCTAGAAGTCGGACAAGTGAGAGCAATCTGAAGACTTAAAACAATATTAGGAATAATATTGTCCTGAGTACCTGGGACTACAGGCTTGTGCCACCATGGTTGGCTAATTTTTATATTTTTCATTGAGATGAGGTTTTACCATGTTGGCTAGGCTGGTCTCAAACTCCTGGCCTCAGGTGATCTACCCACTTGGCCTCCCAAAGTTGCTGGGATAACAGACAACAGCTACCATGCCCAGCAAATATTGCATTTTTTAAAAGTGTATGAAAAACAGAAGTTAGAAAAATACTATAAAGGTGTTAATCATTCAATATTGAATTATAAAGTAAACTAAAAATTCATACTTCTTAAAACTAATACAGAACCACTTTAGCTAATAGAAGATAATGCAACCAAAAACATCAGATTACAAATAAGAATCAGTCAGTATAATAAAAGAAGAAAATCCTACTGTATACTGTTCTTTGTGTTGACCAGTCCAAATAATTGCTTTTCTTCCTAACTGATAATTTGTCTTGATATTTTTCTGTATAATCTAATAATTTTAAGTAAATGTTATTAATTTAATATTTCTGACTTGAGTGTTATTACTCTAGCACACTACTCAAGTGTTTTTTAATAAAAAAACTACTATACCATTTAAACTTATCAACTCCATTTGCATTTGCATTTTTTTGTCAGTAAAAATTCCACAATTTGCTCACTTCTTTTCCTTATGGCCAATAAAAGTGGTGTGTGGCCAGCCTGTAAAACAGCAAAAACAATTTATAATTCATGAAATTACATATTTCTCAGCTGAATTGAATACCTTATATAATATCCTATGAACTTAAACAATGGAAAGTAAATCAATAGCAATCCCTTCTTTCTCACTTTTCTGTGCTTTCCCATGCACTGCACCTTCTCTTGTAAACATTCAGCCTCTGCATCACCACATTAACTCTGGTTATCTCCAAAAATCATTACATTGTAATGATTTTATTGTTTCCCATGTAAACCAAGAGCTTCTTGAGGGCAGGGGCTGTATCTTTTACCTCTATATCCTTAAACCCTAAGACATAGTAGTAAATACTTTATTTTTTACTAAATTAGTAATCTAAATTATTACTTCTAGAACAGTGTTTCTTCAACTTTATTCCAAAGAATAATTACCTTACCAGAAGCACTGTACCCCAACAGATTCCACCATTATCTATGTTCAAGAAATGTTATAAAACTGTGAATTAAATGTTCATTATTCAAGAAATGAATTGAACTTTACCTAATCCTTATTTGACAGTATATTTTTGTGGCAAACATTAACATTTGACAAATTAGAATTTCAGGGATGCAGTTTTGAAAGCTTCCCCCCAAAAATGGAGGTTTCCTCTGGGTGATACAAACTCACTTGATTCTCTTCTATCAATGATCCCAAGATTCCAAATGCCAATGTCAGGCACTCCTGCTCTAAATGGGTCACTAAGGAAGTGGCTGTAAATTAAAAGAGATTGGCTTCAAATAAACTTTGATTGCATATTCTTAAATGGTCCATGGGGTTTATCCTATTACCAGACAATAGGATTTTATCTCAGCTATTAGAAATTCAGTATAAAAGGCCAGGCAAAGTGGTTCATGCCTGTAATCCCAGCACTTTGAGAGGCCAAGGCGGGCAGATCACAAGGTCAGGAGATTGAGACCATCGTGGTCAACATGGTGAAACCCCATCTCTGCTAAAAATACAAAAAATTTAGCTAGGCGTGGTGGCACATGCCTGCGTCCCAGCTGCTCAGGAGGCTGAGGCAGGAGAATTGCTTGAACCAGGGAGGTAAAGATTGCAGTGAGCCGAGATCACACCACTGCACTCCAGCCTGGTGACAGAGCAAGGCTCTGTCTCAAAAAAAAAAAAAAAAAGAGAAAGAAAAAAAGAAAAGAAATTCAGTATAAAAGTTTATTCTCTATTAGAATGATACTCCTAGGATCCTAATGCATATCTACTTCTTAAAATGCAATAATCCATTTTTATTCTGGTTTCTATTGTAATTGATACTATTTTTTGGCAAAATATCAGAAGTATGAATAAAATGGCTTATTAATGAAAGTTCTAACTCATGTATGTGGCTTAGCAAAATAGAAGCCACTAAATCACTTGAATTTTAAGGGACAATTCTGTGGAGAAAGATATAATATTTTTTCTGCAATATGCATAACCTATTCAAATATAACCATGATTAATCTAAAAAGGCTTAAAGGCCTTCTAATAGAAGATGATTATTTATGGTTTATATGAGAAAAATCATCATTTATAAAATATTCTAAATTCTAGAAGACAACCCCATTATTAATGAATTAATGTAAAATATAAACTATATATTATAAACACCTATAAACTGCCTTCAATAACTTGAAATCTTTACCAAAATGTACTATGAGAGAGGAATTGATAACTGAAATATTTACAGAGGCAAAATAGGTAAGTTGAATAAGTGATGTAACTAGGTGGGCACAGTAGCAAACTGGAAACATATGCTTTATGTAAAACTAGAATGTCTTCATAGCATACCAAACAGTCATACGGGCTCAAGAGACACAAGATTCAATCCTTTAAGAGGAAATCCAGATTTCTGCATGTCTCCTAAATTTTACATGTTGACTCAATTTATGCAGGCAAATTTTACTTTCTTGTAGTTTTACACTAACTGGAAAGAAAAAAAAAAACTTGGGTGGGAAAGAATATTTGAAAATGTTTTACCTTTAACAAATTTAAATATTTATCATAATGCACAGAAAAGCCATACTAATAGTTCTTGTAAAAATATTAATATTTAAAGCAAAATCCTAGACAATTAAGTTTTGTCAAACTATTTTCATAGAAAAATAGGAATGTTTGAGCTTCCAAATATAAAACAATTTACATATGTTAATGTTAAAACAAATGGATTTCAAATATTTTGAAAATAACATTGGTTAATGTCTACCTTGTTCTTCACTTTAATGTCTGTACCACAGGACAGCAATTTTGCCACCACTGACAAATTCTCACTGTTAACAGCATAATGGACAGCTGTGTTGCCATACACATCTACAATATTTGGATCAGCACCAGAATCTATGAGAATATTTGCACAAGCCTCCCTCTGGCATTGCAGAGCCTGTCAGTATTAAAGCAAGAAGTAAATTATAAATTATAGGAAATATAAATAAATATTCCACAGGTTTCACAAACTAGTTATATTTCAATGAGATAAATTCATTTTTATTCTATGTATTTAAACCAAATCCATCTCCTGCTGAAAGAACTGGCTACCATTTACCTTCATCAGAGTTGTCCTGTTTTCGCCATCAAGGACGTCAAGCTGGCACTTTCTATCTACCAGAAGTGTTACTACTTCTGCATGGCCATTGGCACAGGCCCAGTGTAGAGCAGTCCTACGAGAGTGAGAGGCCTTTTAAGGAAAGTTTAGTCCACTGTCTCAAAACATAGAATGATTTATGTAATTGTCAACATTAAATACCATGCTCTTTCTCTGCCTTCAAAACAAATATTTAATATTCTCCTGAAGAAACTACAACATTCATTCACTGTTATTACTCACTATATTAATGAAAGAGTGGCCTATTTGAATAGAAAGAGCTTGGCCTTTGGATTCAGTTCAACTTGGGCTTGAATATTACTTTAAAGTCTTTCACCTTCTAGCTATCACTTAACCTTTCTGTGCCTCAATTTTCTCATCAATAAAGTGAAGATGAATACAGCAGTTATCTCACAGGACATCACTGTGATGCCTCATGAGAATCTGTGCAATGTATTTCGAAGAATTCCTAGCACATGTAACAGCTCAGTGATTGATAGATATTGTAATTATTTCTACTACTTAACAAAGAAAACATTTTAAGTAAAATGGTAAAATTATGCCTACTTTGTGGTATGTTTTAAAGGTTAGAGATAAAACTATTTTAATAATTCTAAGATACTCTATTTCTCATATTTTAACATCTCTGACATTGAAATGCCACTTATAAGTCATTATTTGTTACAAGTATATTTTGCAGAAATTTAAACGATCTTTTATTGGTACATAAATAAGGAGGCATCACACCATTCACCGTGCCTTCCACGAAGTGGAATATGGTATATACAACAGGACGATGGCAGTCCTAGTCATAGGATTAACACTTAAAGAAATTTTAGCTTTTAAGAGTGCTATACAAAAGGAGAGTTGAAATAAAAACAAACTGTTAAAACAAAGTACTTCTTTAATATTTTTAAAACTTCAAGCCAAAGAAAACTTGGGATTCAAGTAGGTATGGCTCATTTTATTCCATGTTTAGATTTACAGAATGTATATAAATTCATATTTAAATTTATAGAATGCATGTAAATTAGGTATTTCCAATGATTAATATTACTATTTAAAGCTGTTATAAATTTCCAAAATCGTGGTTGGTAGTTATCTTTTACTAGTTTCTTACTTCAGAAGTGTTTTTGTTTTAAAGATGAGAGGAAAAGCTTCAATTGAGATTCATTCCTAGTACTCCAACTTTAAATCTCTCACTTTGCTAAGGCTGAGCAGGTAAATGTGAAATTTTTAAGGATGAAAGGATCTTGAGAGTTAATGTATCTTCTACATAATAGGCATTCAGCTTACATGTGATAAATTGATTAAAAGGATAAATACAGTTGAGAAGTTCAATACCTTAAAAAAACTGCTATAAATAAAGCACTTATATTTTCTATTTTATTTTCTTAATAATAAAACTACACTAATCTATAATTATTGACATATGTGTAAGAAATCTATATACAATAAAAATATGTGCCTAATAAGATGTATATGTAAATCAACAAGCACAGGTAAAAAGATTGTCTTTTGAAGATGCTAAAAGTTCACAGAATATACTAATCCACAAAAAATAATAATTAAAATATGGAAAGTGAGAAATTATTTTTATTGGTGCAAAATTATATTCCTGCTCTTCCCAAAAATTATTTCATTAATAATAAACTTTTTCTAACAGCATTGTACATGCTCAATGTGGAAATCAAAGATAAAAAAAAGGAAAAACATTTTATATTAAAACAAATGCCCTCAAATAACAAATTTTATCATATTTCATACACAACTTCAGATAACGCAAGTCTGTGTGTATGTATAATGAAACTGAACTTTACCCTCACTTGATACACCAAAATACATTTTCAAATGTCACCTACTTCTCTACATATTTCTACCTTCAGTGGTCACATATTATCCCATGCTGTAAATTCACTGAAATGTATTTATAAAAGTCATTATATGGATTCTTCTTAATAATATGGTACTTACCACCAAATTGTCTATTTGAAAAGTTATCTGCAACTTAAACTTTAAACAGTAGTATAAATATCACTGCTCTTTATCCTCACAAACTTTGTAGGTAGAAAGCAGTATTTGATTCCTCTTTTAACTTAAATGCCTTCTGTAACCAGGAACACTAAATATTGTTTTCTGTGTGCATAGGTCACTTACAGATCTTAAGAAAATATTTTCCAAATTTTAAATTAGAAGCAAAGTACTATTTTTAGATCTGCAATTTAGATCTCTAATTTAAATTGCTCAATTTTAAATTAGAGGGTTTTTTTGTTGATTTAAGTGAATTATCTATAAAATGATGATTTAAAAATCTAATATGTATACACACACGCACATACATGTGTAGTAAATATTTTACAAGTATGCTGCCTTTTATTTTTTCTCCTTACAGTTTAATTTAATTTTGTTTTGCTTAATTATCCTTCAGACTGCTTGCTTCTGAGCTTCTTAGAAAGGTGTTGTCAACATAAAAATGTACCTGTGTAAATAGGCATTTATGTTTTCTTCTGGTGCTTTTATCATTTTGTATATTAAAAAAATTTAATCTATATTCCATCAGAAATTTACTTTGTGGCATAAAAATCTAGTTTTCTCCAAAAAGCAGGCATTTCACTTATGAAACTAATTCTTTCCCTACTAGTATAAAGTGTGAGCATTATCAAATTCTGAATTCTTAGATATTTGGGTGTTTCTGGTTTTCTACTGTGTTGTATTCATTTACCTGTCTTTTCAGCTGTTATCAAATAATTTGTGATTTATTTATTTATTTTTGAGACAGAGTCTCACTGTCGCCCAGGCTGGAGTGCAGTGATGGAATCTCAGCTCACTGCAACCTCCGCCTCCCAGTTTCAAGCGATTCTCCCTCCTCAGCCTCCCGAGTAGATGGGCTTACAGGCTCCCGACATCGTGCCTGGCTAATTTTTGTATTTTTGTAGAGTTGGGGTTTCACTATATTGGCCAGGCTAGTCTTGAACTCCTGACCTCAGGTGATCCACCCACCTCGGCCACCTGAAGTGCTGGGACTACAGGCATGAGCCAACACGTCTGGCCCTTTTTTTTTTTTTCTTTTTCAAATTTTATTTATTTATTTATTTATTTATTTATTATTATTTTGAGACGGAGTCTCGCTCTGTCACCCAGGCTGGAGTGCAGTGGTGCGATCTCGGCTCACTCCAAGCTCTGCCTTCCAGGTTCACACCATTTCTCCTGACTCAGCCTCCCAATTAGCTGGGGACTACAGGCGCCCACCACCACACCCGGCTAATTTTTTGTATTTTTAGTAGAGACCGTGTTAGCCAGGATGGTCTCAATCTCCTGACCTCGTGATCCACCCACCTCGGCCTCCCAAAGTGCTGGGATTACAGGCATGATCCACCGCGCCTGGCCATGGCCCATTTTGTGCAAATTAATAGCACATTTTGAAATCTAGAAGGGCAAGACTTTTCTACTCCGTTACAAAATTTGTTAAATGTCATCACAATAGTAAAAGACAGCGTGTGTAATTTTAAAAATGTTAAAACGTTGATAACTTTATTTGGTTTATGTAAAACTGATAAAGAACTTGCATCTTCAGAAAAATGAGTCTTCTTAAATTCGAAAACATAAACCATCTTCCCACCTCAAAGTTACCTTCTAAGGTCCCTCAGCAAAGAATATATTTACATAGACATTCATTGATATTGAAATGGTTACTGGACTTTATCCAAAAAATTTTTAGCCAAGAAGTTAATATATTATGGGAATTATTTCATTATGCACCATTTCATAATGTATCTAACATTATCTTTTAAAACCTGTACATTAAAAGTAAAACCCTGTATGTACTTAATTTTGTAAGTTAAATCACTTTAAAATTCTCTACACAGTGCTCTGTGAGAGGAAGTGGGAGTGAAGGAGAAAGCAGCTAACTAAAGTTTGGGGTTGATTTTAAGGTGGCCTGGGCCCTCTGCCCTGCAGGGCTCCCCCATCCAAGGCCTGGGGGGCCTTCCCGGGAAGAAAATCAAGACCTCGGGGCCAGGACGGCCGCCCCGCTGCCCACCACTCCTCCACCTGCTCCCCTCGTCCCCAGGACCCCCAGCCCCCACTCTGAAGGGGCGATCCTCCCACAGCCTCCTCCTCCTCCTGCAGCCCCGGCTCAGGCAGGGCCTGGTACCTCTTCTTCGCATCTCTTATGTTCAGGTCCATTGTCGTCTTCTTCATCATCCTCTCCAGCTTCCAGGCTTGGCCCGGGAGGCAGCTTTGTGGATCTTCCTGAGATCCCCATGGTGAATCACGTAAGAGTCGTTGTTGGTGTAGACCAGCTGACTGAAGGGGCTTGGGCGCTCTGGGCCCGTCTGGCCCTTGACAGCGGCGGCACAGAGCCTCTCCATGGCTGCAGCCACCTGCTAGAGAGAGCCCGTGCCTCCCGCTGCTCGCCCTTCCCCAGTCCCCGCCGCTCGCCCTCGCCCTTCTTCAGTCCCGCACCCGCCCTGACACGACTAGCAATCTCAGTCGGCCAAGCTTTTGGACACTCCAGCCTCTCCAGGGAGAAAATGGCTGCGCAAAACCGTTAGGCAGCTGAGCAGAACCGTTAGGCAGCTGAGCAGAACCGTTAGGCAACAGCGCATGCGCAACTCAGCAGACCTGGGAGGCACGCGAGGCAGGAAACCGCCCTGGCTGCGCTTCGCCCAGCACGGCGTGCAGGTGGCACCTGCTACTGAGGCGCTATCGGGCTGGCAGGGCTCCTTACAGCGGAACGTGGGGGGCTCCCTGCCACATGGCCTGCTTGACAGAGCCGCTCCTGGCCCCTCCTCAACCTGAGATCCAGGAGCTGGGCCCTGGCGCTGGGCATCGTGCAGCCTCCAGGGTGGCGCTGAGCGTCGGTTCCCGGCCTCCTGCAGCCAGGGACCCAACCCCTGACTTAGGCTCCCTGGAGGCTTCTGGCCCAAGTATCCGCGCGGCTGGTGGCGCTGGCAGGGTCAGGGTTGCAGCCTCTTCTGCCACGTGCCATGTTCAGGTGGCAGCTGCAGCTGAGCCCATGGTAGAGGCTACAGGGCTGGGCCCAGACCGCTGAGCATCGCCGAGTACATCGCCCTTCCACCCGGGGCTCTGCTCTTCCTCGGCTCGCGCTGGCAGCGCAGGCTTGCGACCACTGGGCCCTGTACAGCTGCGGCGACGAGGCTTTGCAGCAGGTTCCCACGATCCTGCAACTGAGGTCCCACTGCCTGACTTAGGCGCAGTGGCGGTGTCCGACCCTGGGGTTCGCCTGCTGGTGGCGCGGACAGGTTCTGGGGTTGCCACCGCTGCTGCCACCTTCAAATGCCAGCTGCAGCTGAGCCCACGGTAGAGGCTGCAGGGCTGGGCCCGACGGCCTTAGGGTAGCCGTGTGGCACACGCCCTCCCACTCTAGGCCCTGCTCTTCCTTGGCTCGCGCCCTGAGCGCTGGTTTGCAGGCTCTGGGCACTGTGCAGTCGCCAGGATGCGGCTGAGCAGCAGGTTCAGCGCCGCCTGGGCCCAGAGGGGAAGAGGGGAGTTTGGGGTTGCTTGGCCATATTTGCCTGTGTGCCAAGTGCAGGTAGCGGCACCAGTTCTGACAGGCACGGATGGCGGGTCCCGTTTAGAGGGCTTCAAGGTTCCTGAGAGCGCCCGCTGCCAGGCCTCAGGATCCCTTCCTCGTTGACCAGCATCTGGAGTATGGCAGTGGCGCTGGGTCATCTGCAGCCATCCTGGATGGGGCTGAGCTGCAGTTCTCACCCTTGGACTGAGAGGGAAACTCGGCTGAGTGGATCAGATGGAGAAACAGTTAAATTGAACTTATCTATAAAGACTTCCAGGCTGGGTGCAGGACCTCATGCCTGTACTTACAGCACTTTGGGAGACCGAGATAGGAGGATCACTTGATCCCAGGAGTTTGAGACCAGCTTAGACAACACAGGGAAACTTTATCTCTATAAAAATAAAACCAATCAGCCAGGCATGGTGGTGCATGCCTGTGGCCCCAGCTACTTGGGAGATTGATTGTGGCATGATCACTTGGGCCTGGGAGTTCGTGGGTACAGTAAACTGATTGTGCCACAAACAAGGAATGAGAGGTCCTGTTGCTCCCCATCCTTGACAGCATTTGACCTTTTCATTCTTCTGGATTTTGGTTATTGTTTGATTGTTTGTGCCACTGCACTCCAAGCCTGGGCAACAGAGACTCTCTCTCAAAATAAATAAAAGACTTCTAGTCACTATATCTTATCTATGTCGAATTGTTTACACATCTAGCTTGAAGAGTTAAAACCCACAGCGCCCTCTGATTATGTGATAGGGACCATGTGATTAAAGTGGGTGACCATGTTCTTGCCTCCAGGGGTCCCAAGTCAAGGGATGGGTCCCCAGCTGCAGGAGGGTGGGAATGGATGCTCAGCACCATCCCGGAGGCTACACAATGCCCAGCCCCAGGGCCCAACTCCTGGATCCCGGATCATGAACAAAAACCCACGAATTGAAGACTTGAGTGTTAGATATGCTCATTTCTGCTGTGATATCATTGGTTCTAGAGACCGTCTTAGTTTACAGAGCAAAGAAATAAATGTGTGTATACAAAGCTGTGTATACACATAACTATAAATATTTCTAAATGTAATGTGTATAAGTGTTAGTTCATACTGATGTCTACGACTCAATTCTTTTATCACATGATCATTCTGGCCTTCTCCCCTTGCTTACATGTAACCTCCCACTTTAATAGTGAGAAACCAGGCTCCTGTCATTTGTCATCCATTTGCTTAACTGTCTAGTTCCAATATACATTTATTCTCTATCAATATCAGAATCGCTATCCCATTTCCTGTAGGAAACAGCTACACCACCCAGATCACATGAGTTGTTTGCAGTTTCTCTTCCTTTCAGTCTTCATGCATTTTCTTTGTTTCTTTTTCTTTTTCTTTTTCTTTTTTAAGATGGAGTTTTGCTCTTCTTGCCCAGGCTGAGGCTGGAGTGCAGTGGCTTGATCTCGGCTCACTGCAACCTCTACTTCCCAGGTTCAAGCGATTTTCCTGCCTCAGCCTCCTGAGTAGCTGGGATTACAGGCACCCGCCATCATGCCCAGCTAATTTTTGTCTTTTTAGTAGAGATGGGGTTTCACCATTTTGGCCAGGCTGGTCTCAAACTCCCAGCCTCAGGTGATCCGCCCACCTTGGCCTCCCAAAGTGCTGGGATTACAGGTGTGAGCCACCACAGAAGGCCCATCCATTTTCTAAGATGCTTATGTCAGCACGTTTTTCCCACTCCCTAGAGTGAAGTGGCTTTATACATTTGTAGTACTTTAGATTTTCTATCACATTCTGCATTCCATCCCAGGATCCCCAGAACACCTACTTTGTTGTTGTTGTTGTTTTAAAATTTGCATATATTAAGTGACACTCTTTGTGCTGTGAGATTCTTTGTTTTTTAACAAACGCAGGCCGGGTGCAGTGGCTCACGCCTGTAATCCCAGCACTTTGGGAGGCCGAGGTGGGCAGGTCACAAGGTCAGGAGATGGAGACCATCCTGGCTACACGGTGAAACCCCGTCTCTACTAAAAATACAAAAACAAAAGTAGCCTGTCGTGGTGGCAGGCACCTGTAGTCCCAGCTACTCGGGAGGCTGAGGCGTGAGAATGTCGTGAATCCGGGTTGCAGAGCTTGCAGTGAGCCGAGATCGTGCCACTGCACTCCAGCCTGGCCGACAGAGCAGACTCCATCTCAAAAAAAAAAAAAAAAAAAAAACGCAAACGCATACTATCGTGATTCCACAGTTGTGGTAACATGCAGAATACTTTGACTGGTCCAAATAATGCCCACGTGCTTCACCTATTAAACCTCCTCACTGAATCTTTTGCCAGATCATTTACTTTTTTAGGAAGTAATATTCCCTTATATGACGTATCACAGTTTTTTTTTTTTCCATTCATCAATTATGAGACCTCGAGGTTTCTTCCAGTTTCGGGAATTATAAACAAAGCTGCTATATATATATTCATGCGTCAGTTTTGGTGTGGACATGGTTTTCAAATAAGGTGGATAAACACCTAAAAACACATTTGCAGCCAGGCACGGTGGCTCACACCTGTAATCCTAGCACTTTGGGAGGCCGAGGCGGTCGCATTGCCTGAGCTCAGGAGTTGGACAACAGCCTGGGCCACATGGTAAAATTTCCCAAATCAAAAGGTTATACTGTCTCTAGTAAAATACAAAAAAAAAAAAAAAAAAAAAAAAAAAAAATTAGCCGGGCATGGTGGTAGGTGCCTGTAGTCCCAGCTACTCTGGAGGCGAGGCAGGAGAATTGTTTGAACCCAGGAGGTGGAAGTTGCAGTATCCTTCTATTGCACCACTGCACTCCAGCCTGGCTGACAGAGCAAGACTCTATCTCAAAACAAACAAAAAAAAACACAATTGCTATATTATATGTAAGACTTTTTTTTTTTTTTTACATATAGTATAGCAACTATGGGCCTAAGAAATTGCCCATCTGTCTTCCAAAGTGGTGGTTTCATTTTGCAAGTGGTGAAAGAAAAAAAACAAAAAACAAAATTCTTCTTGCTCCTGGTTTTTGGGAAAAAGTATCCCAATTCTCATCATTAAGTATGATAGTTTTAGGGGTTTTGTAGATGTTCTTTGTCAAGTTATGAAAATTCACCTCAATTCCTAGTTTTCTGAGAGTTTCTCAAATTATAGATGGGTGATAGATTTTGCCATAAGCTTTTTCTACATCAATTGATACAGTCACATGATTTTTCTTCCTTAACCTGTTGATTTAGGAAATTCTGCAGATAATTTTCTAATATTGAATCAGTCTTGCATACTGTCTTACCTAAAATAAATACATAGTTAGATTCAATTGTCTAGTATTTTGTGAAGGATTATTGAATCTTTTTTCATGAGAGATATTGATATATTGATTTTATTTAATTTTATGTCTATTGGATTTGGTAAGAGGGTAATATTTACCTCATAGAATGAATTAGGAAGTGTTCTCTCTAATTCCATTTTCTTGAAAAGTCTGTGGAAAATTGGTATAATTTTGCCATTAAATGCTTGATAGAATTCACCACTAAAGCCATTTGGGCCTGGAACCATTGGAGGGGTGGGTGGGTTATTAACTATTTATTCAATTCCTTTTATAGATATAAGAGTACTCATGTTATCTATTTTTTCTTTTGTGAGTATTGGCATATTGTGTCTTTCAAGGTATTTGTCCATTTTATATAGGTTATTGAACTTGTGAGTATAGAGTTTTTAATATAGTAAATATATCATCCTTTTAATGTCCACAAAATCAGTAGTCATAACCCATACCCCTGTTTCACTTCCAATATTTGTTAGTTGTGCATTCTCTCTTTTTTTCTTTATTAGTTTGTCTAAATGTTAGCAAGCTTATAGATCGTTTCAAAGAAACAGCTTTCTGTTTCATTGATTTTCTCTATTGTTTTCCTGTTTTATATTTTACTGATATCTGCTAAACTTTATATATTTTTTCCCTTGTTATTTACTTTGGATTTTCTTTTTCTAGTTTCTTAAGGCAGAAGCTTAGGTTATTGATTTTATCTCTTTTTTCATAATAATACGCATTTAATGCTATAAATTTAGGTACTAGTTCTACTGTATCTCATATATTTTAATAAGTTGTGATTTCATTTTCATTTAATTCCAAATATTTTAATTACTGTTTAGTCTTCTTTTGGGATGCATTTAGATGTTTTGTTAAGTCTTCAAATATTTGAAAAATTTTTCAATTCTTCCTGCTATTTATTTCTACTTTAATTTTTATTGTGGTCTGAGTGTGTACTTTGTATGAACTTTATTCTTTGAAAAATTTTAAGACATTTATGGCCCATAATGCAGTGTGTCTTGTACAAACTAGAGAAGAATGTGTATTCTACTTTTGTTGAAGTAGAATATAATCATTAATTATATTCATTTATTTTTATTTTATTTTATTTTATTTTATTTTAATTTTATTTTATTTTATTTTATTTTGAGATAGAGCCTCACTCTGTCACCCAGGCTGGAGTGCAGTGGTAGTCTTGGCACACTGCAACCTCCACATCTCAGGTTAAAGTGATCCTCCCACCTCAGCCCAGAGTAGCTGGGATTACAGATGTGTGCCAAAACACCAGGCTAACTTTTGTATTTTTAATAGAGACGGTGTTTCATCATGTTGGTCGGGCTAGCCTCAGGTGGTCCAACCACCTTGGCATCCCAAAGTGCTGGAATTACTGGCAGGAGCCACTGTGCCTGGCCTGCCTTCTCTTATTTTAATTGAGCATCTTCTATGATTGCATTTTTGTCTCAGCTCTTGGTGTATCTCATCACCTCATGAGATGTGATCTCATCACTTCTTTTAAAAATTTGCGGTGGTTTTCTTAGGATTGATTATATGCATTTTAAGTCTATCTTTAAATTAATTAGAATTGATTATATACATTTTATGTCTATCTTCAAATAAAATTGTTACTTCACACGTAGTGTAGGTATCCCATAAAAATACTACCAGATTGTACCTCCTGTACCTTATGACATTGCTATTGTTAATTTCATCTGTCCACATTCTATAATTACCCATTTCTTGTGACTAAACAGTTATCTTATGGATCACTAAGAATAAAAAAAGTTTTTAACTTTAATTTATTCTTTTTCATTTATTACTTCTTTATTGTGTATCTGAATTTCTCACTTGCATCATTTTCTCTCCACTTGAAGAACTTCCTTTAGTATTTCTTGCAAGACAGGTCAGCTGATGATGTATCACTAAAGTTTTGTTTTTCTGAGAAAGTTTTCTATTTGCTTTCTTTGTTAAAGGAAATTTCAATATATAGAATTGCTTTATCCCCCTAAAGTCATATGTTGTTGAATATATTTTCAAATACTTACTTGCCATTTTTATATTTCCTTTGGTGACTTATCCATTTATACTGTTTCCCCATTTTTAACTGAATTGTTTGCTTTCTTGTGAAATTTGAAGGGTTTCTTGTGTATTTTGAATAATAGCCTTTATTACAGATTAGTGGATAAAGAAAATGTGGCATATACATACAATGGAATATTATTCATCCTTACAAAAGAAAGAAATCCTAAAATTTGTGATAGCATTGATGGACTGAGAGAACAAAATGCTAAGTAAAATAAGCCAGACACAGAAAGACAAATATACTGCATAATCTCATTTATCTGTGAAATCTAAAAAATTTAAACTCATTAGATGCTAGGGATTAGAAGGTAGGAAAAATGGGGAGATGCTTTTAGTTAAAAGATGAATAAATTCTGGATACCTAACATATATAGCATAGTAGCTACAGCTGATAAGAATGTATTGTATACTTGAATTTTGCTAACAGGGTAGGTCTTATGTATTTCCATACAAGCACACATAGACACACACAGAGAAAGTGTAACTTTGTAAGTTGATGAAAATGTTAATTGACTGCGGCTATTACTTCACAATGTATACATACATCACATCATATTATATAACTTAAATATGTACAATTTTTATTTATCAATCATACTTCAATGAAGCTAGAAAGAAAAATAAGAAAAAAACATTTGTACAGCATAATTAATTATGAAACGGATACATTTTCTAACAATTATGATATATTTTTCTATGCTTATTTTAGAATATTGTATTGTCATTGGGATTATTGCCACCATTTTCTTCTCTGTACCTGTATTCCTATCTTTATCACAGTGACCAAATCTCCTCTGATAACACTTAATTTTTGCCCATCTGAAATTATATCTTAAATTCCAAAAAGTAAATATTTTCTGATTTTTAGGGAAAAATAAGAATTTTTTAGATTTCCTAGGTGACCTCTAGAAAAACTGTGACAATTTTTGCCTTATAAAATGGATGAGGCTAAAATAAATTGGGCTTCTTTGGTATGCCCCATATTTCTTCATTAGTTCCACACATCTGTGTGAGTTGCATGAGGTCAATTCTAAAAGACTCAGCCTTCTCAGTTCATTTTACATAATCTTACATATTAAGATGAATGGTGGTGGGGTGCGGTGGCCCACGCCTGTAATCCCAGCACTTTGGGAGGCTGAGGTGGGCACATCAGGAGGTCAAGAGATTGAGACCATCGTGGCCACCATGGTGAAACCCCATCTCTACTAAAAATACAAAAACTAGCTGGGCGTTGTGGTGCATGCCTGTAGTCTCCTCTATTCGGGAGGCTGAGGCAGGAGAATCACTTGAACCCAGGAGGCAGAGGTTTCAGTGAGCCAAGATCGCACCACTGCACTCCAGCCTGGTGACACAGGGATACTCTGTCCAAAAAAAAAAAAAAAAAAAAAAAAAAAAAAAAAAAAACAGGTGAATTGTTTAGGAACTGTAGACATTTAACTCACAGATTAGAGACTGTAATAGGAAATTGGAGAGGTATATGCCCCCAGGTGAAACATTGGTCAAGTCTTTATGAGATAGTATTGAACCTAATGCAGAATTTTATTCTTCTCCATTTTTATATTATTGTTTACTATATAAATTAAACAGCCATTTAGTTGCTTCTCTAGGTGGTTTTTGTTTTCCTCTGACACTTACTTGAATGTTCTCCTATAAAGTACTGAGCATAACAACTTACTTTTAAATCTCATTGTTTTAAGGATTTATTTTTTGCCTCATTGGTAGATAATTTTATCAAAGCAAAAAACTGACTCAACATCCAGTAGAAGGAGTATAATTACACAGTTTCTTTTTCTAGCTCTGATCCTCAATTTTATATACTACAGCTTGTAAGTGAAATACATCCTTCAAACGCTGTCTAATTTCTATTTTTCTCTGAGAATTCAGAAAAATATATTTGTACTGACTCTCCATGCTTGTAAGACAACATATTATTATTGTAAGACTTTCTCCTTAGTTCAGCTAAAAGCTGCGTTCTTGTCACACAGCCATGATATATTAGGCTCACCGACGCTTTGAAGGGTAAGAAAAATGGAATTTATTGGGCAAAAGGGAAAAAAGGAGAAACAGAGACTCCTGCTACCCAGCTTCCTGCCTCATAGATTGAATCCCAGCCTCCGTCCTGGAACAGAAGAGGCCAGGCTCCTCCCCGCTGCAAACTTCCTGAGGCTCCACCTCAGTGTGCACTCCTGTCAGTGTGCAAGCTGGTCGGAGGTTCTGCTGGGGAGCCCTTTTTACTTGCTGTCTCATTATTTGCCTAGTTTCATCAAGAATCTGTCCTTTTTTCCTGGGATTTAATTGGACATCCAAGGTCATACATGTGTTTATAAGGTATGAAAATACCTATTAAGGAAAAAGATTGTACTTTAAATGTTGAGCCAATACCTACTAAGTCCTCCACCTGTTCTATGGTTCCAGCCTCACATTGGTAAGGGAGTGTTTTCAGAAGGCCATGAATCTTACATTTTAGAACCTGGTGGAGGGAAGACTTCACCTATGTGTTTAACTCCTCTTTCTGAAGCTACATAAATAATCAGGGTCGAATATAGTCAGATAAACTTTTTCTTTTTTTGATTAAGAATAACACTTGGAGGCCGAGCCAGTGGCTCACGCCTGTAATCCCAGCACTTTGGGAGGCTGAGGCGGGCGGATCACGTGGTGAGGAGATCGAGACCATCCTGGCTAACACGGTGAAACCCCGTCTCTACTAAAAGTACAAAAAATTAGCTGGGCGTGGTGGCGGGCGCCTGTAGTCCCAGCTACTCGGGAGGCTGAGGCAGGAGAATGGCATGAACCCGGAGGCAGAGCCTGCAGTGAGCCGAGATCATACCACTGTACTCCAGCCTGGGAGACAGAGCCAGACTCTGTCTCAAAAAAAAAAAAAAAAAAAAAGAATAACACTTGGAGATTATTGACATGAAAATAAGGAACTGAGTTAGTTATGGATTAGCACTAACAGAGGACATATTTGTGATAGCGGACTGCTAAGGAAAAGTATCTAAAACTCTGACATAAAACATGTATTTTTAGTGTAATATTACATTATTAAAAGCTATCCTCTAAAAGGTTAACCCAAAGATTACTTCATTTTCTTTTGACTTGGCCATGTATTAGTTGATTTGATCCTAGATGCTATGCGATTATGTGATAATTTCTAGGTTTCTCTCTAGTAGAAAAAGACAATGCCAGACCTTATGGATCTGTTTCCATGAAGGATATTAATCAGTTTTAATTCACAACTGATAGGAGTTCATCAAACGTCAGAAAAACTGCTCTTGAGTGCATTTACTGTACACATTTTTGTGAATTACTTCATTATATCACATTTCCAATTCCCTTTTTCTAATAAGTTTAATAAAGTTTAAATTTTATGCTTAATAACAAAAAATACAGTGCAATTGGGAATACATATTTTTGTCTTTTAATTTTCTTCTTTAACTTGTGGTAAAATACACATACTGTAAAATTTATCACTTTAATGAATTTTAAATGAACAGTTCAGAGGACATTACATTCACCAAATTGCACAACCTTTACCACCGTCCATTTCCAGAACTCTTTAATCATCCCATATAGAAGCTCTGTACCCATTAAACAATAACTTCTCACCCACACTAGTCCCTGGTAATGATTATTCTGTCTCTGTAATTTGCTTATTCTAAGTACTTCAAGCAATATTTATCCTTTTGCATCTGGCTTATTTCACTAAGCATAATGTTTTCAAAGTTTACGTAGGTTGTAGTCATTGAAGTTCTGTAGTGTATATTAGAATTTCATTCCTTAATAAGGCTGAATAAGTTTCCATTATGTGAATATGGTGTATTTTGTTTATTCATTCATTTATTGATGAACCTTTGAGTTGCTTCCTGCTTTTTGTTACTGTAAATCATGGTACTGTGAACATTGGTGGTTAATATCTGTTGGAGTCTCTATTTGCAATTACTTTGGGCATGTATATAGGCATAGAATTGCTGGATCACATAGTAGTTCTATGTTTAACCTTTGAGGAGCCACCTAACTGTTGTCCACAGAAGCTACACCATTTTACATTCCCACCAGGAATGCACAAGGGTTCCCATTGACTCTGAATCCTCACTAACCCTTGTTATTTTCTGGAGTTTCTGTTTTGTAATCATCCTAATGGGTGTGAAATGATATCTCATCATTACTTTCATTTGTGTTTTTCTAATGCTAGTGATATTGAGCCTCTTTTCATGTGCTTGTTGGCCATTCGTATATCTTCTTTAGATAATTATCTATTCAAGTCCTTTGCCTATTTAACAAATTGAACCATTTATTATTGTTGAGTTGCTGGAGTTCTTTATTCTATTATACATATTATATCCACATATACTGATGTCATATCACATATGTGATTTGCAGACATCTTCTCCCATTCTTTGAGTTGTTGTTCCACTGTCTTGAGGGTGACTTTTTTTTTTTGAGATGGAGCCTCCCTCTGTCGCCCAGGCTGGAGTGCAGTGGCACAATCTCAGCTCACTGCAACCTCCGCCTCCCAGGTTCAAGTGATTCTTTTGCCTCAGCCACCCAAGTAGCTGAGATTACAGGTGCACACCACCATGCCCAGCTAATTTTTGTATTTTTAGTGGAAATGGGGATTCACCATATTGGCCAGGCTGGTCTCAAATTCCTGACCTTGTGATCCACCTGCCTCAGTGCTGGGATTACAGGCATGACCCACCACACCTGGTCAATGGTGACTTTTAATGCACAGAACTTTTACTTTTGATGAAACTAATTTTTTTGTTATTTTTTTATTCCCTGTACCTTTGATATCATATCTAAGAAATCATTGTTAAATCTAACATAAAGAATATTTTCTCCTATGTTTTTTTTTCTAAGAGTTTAAGGGTTGTAGTTGTTACTTTTAAGTCTTTGATCTATTTTAGCTTATTTTTGTACATTATGTAAGTTAAGGGCCCAAACTTTATATTTTGCCTGTGGATATCCAGTTTACCCAGTACTATTTGTTGTTATTAATCAATTTTGCTTCTTTTTTTTTTTTTCAGGGCGGAGTTTCCCTCTGTCGCCCAGGCTGGAGTGCAGTGGCACAATCTGGGATCACTGCAAGCTCCACCTCCTGGGTTCACGCCATTCTCCTACCTCAGCAACCTGAGTAGCTGGGACTACAGGCCACCATGGCCGGCTAATTTTGGTTTTGTATTTATAGTAGAGACCGGATTTCACCATGTTAGTCAGGATGGTCTCAATTTTCTGACCTCCTGATCCGCCCGCCTTGGCCTCCCAAAGTGCTGGGATTACAGGTGTGAGCCAGCGCTCCCAGCCCAGTTTTGCTTCTAACATAGTTGTCTTATTCTAACATTTCTTGTTTTTGGGGAAAGAAAATCTGTAATTTTTTTTTTTTACTTGTTCTGGAACCAGCTTTCCCACCTACTGATTTCCTCAGGAATAAGTGAAATAAATTTTGACACAGGTTTATTTTGTATTTGTATGTGAGTTTTATTATTAAGCTCATTATTAAGTTTTATTATTAAGCAGAGAAAATTATACTCTGGCCATGTAAATATCCACAGTGTATTACTTTCAGAATGTCCTGATTTTTTCTCTTGCTATAAAGAAGACTCAGGGAATTTACAATAACACACCAGAGTGTTAGAGTCAGGCAGCCATTGTCAGTTGGTGGGTCAGAACTGTACATAGATTTTGAAACAAACAACAGCTACAATGACAATTTCTTATAGACAGAAAATGTAAACCCATGCTTTAATTACTTCTCTCCCAACGAACATAACTAGGCCTATTTTTTATTCTGAGACTTCTCTAAAGGGGCCTTTCATTTGCTCTATGACAGATAACTTGATGGATCAAGTGGGTTAAAACTAAAATAATAGTGTGAAACACCCAGTTATGTCCTTGTAAGCATTATATGTTGACATTTGCATCTAGACATTTAAACATCTAGAGAACACTGATACCATCTTCACTTATTGACAATGGCATATTATCAATTCACTTTTCCAAAGAGATAGAAGTTACTTCTTTTGACTTAGATCTGACTTCTTAAACTGTTAAATGAAGTAGCTGAGTATAACTCAGCTACTGAGTTATAACTGAGTATAATCATGAAATGATTTAAGGCTTTGAGACCCTGGAACAAACTTAGAACCACTATATTAATAGTGGCTACAAACTAGTATTAGCCAGAGGGTTTTGAAAGATTATGTTGATTTCTTAGATATATTTGTCAGAGAGGCAACTGCAAGTTAATCTCTTCTCTCAGTGAAAGGCTTAATGTGGACACCTATAAAATCCCCAGTGGTCATAACTTGCAGGAATCTCTCCAGAGGGACAGCATCATACCCAGTAGGGCGACATTAATTTCCTCAGGACAGATCAGCAATTAAAAAAAAATACAGAACTAGGCATGAGTCAACTTCTCCCTTAAAATTGTATTTCTCATCTAAATGAAAGCACATTTTTAAGAGAGAAAGATGTGTAAGATATAGAAATATTAAAGTAAGGGCTACAGTACATATAATACAAAGCAAATGAAGAGAGGAGGCTAAATATCAAAGTTGTAGGTGGTGAGTTATACTCAGCTACTTCATTTGACAGTTTAAGAAGTCAGATCTAAGTCAAAAGAAGTAACTTCTTTCTCTTTGGAAAAGTGAATTGATAATATGCCATTGTCAGTAAGTGAAGACGGTATCAGTGTTCTCTAGATGTTTAAAATATTGTAAGACATTTGTTCATATAAAAATTGTTAATCATCTTGCTTACTATGGGCTTTTTAAAAAGAATTAAGGGCTACTCCTTTTAGTAAACATGTAACTCTATACATTGAAAAAATCCAATTGTAAATTGACTTGCTATCCTTTCCTTCAATACAAACATTAGCCTCAAATGCAAAAGTGGCATAGATTCAGAGTAAATTAAGTGAAAATATGAAGGGGTGGCCAGCCCCTCCACACCTGTGGGTACTTCTAGTCAGGTGGGATGAGAGACTGAGAAAAGAAATAAGACACAGAGTCAAAGTATAGAGAAAGAAAAGTGAGTCCAGGGGACCAGCGCTCAGCATACCAAGCACCTGCACCAGCACCGGCCTCTGAGTTCCCTCAGTTTTTCTTGATTATTATTTTCATTATCTCAGCAAGAGGAATGTGGTAGGAGAGCAGGGTGATAATAGGGAGAAGGTCAGCAAAAAAACATGTGAGCAGAAGAATCTGTGTCATAATTAAGTTCAAGGGGAGGTACTATGCCTGAATGTGCACGTAGGCCAGATTTATGTTTCTCTCTGCCCAAACATCTCAGTGGAGTAAAGAACAATAAAGCAGCATTGCTGCCAACATGTCTTGCCTCCCACCATAGGGTGGTTTTTCTCCTATCTCAGAATTGAACAAATGTAAAATCGGGTTTTATACCGAGACAGTCCATTCCCAGGAGCAGGCAGGAGACAGTGGCCTTCCTCTATCTCAACTGCAAGGGCTTTCCCCTTTTACTAATCCACCTCAGCACAGACCATTTATGGGTGTTGGGCTGGGGGATGATCAGGTCTTTCTCATCCCATGAGGCATATTTCAGACTATTACATGGGGAGAAACCTTGGACAATACCCGGCTTTCCAGGGCAGAGGTCCCTGCCATTTTCCGCAGTGCAGCGTGCCCTTGGTTTATCGAGACTAGAGAATGGCGATGACTTTTACCAAGCATACTACTTGTAAACATTTTGTTAACAAGGCACAGCCCTAGATCCCTTAAACCTTGATTCCATACAACACATGTTTTTGTGAGCTCAAGGTTGGGGCAAAGAGGTTGGGGCACAGTGATTGGGGCAAAGTTACAGATTAACAGAATCTCAGGACAAAGCAATTGTTCAAGGTACAGGTAAAAATGGAATTTATTATCTCTTCCCTTTCTACATAGACACAGTAACAGTCTGATCCCTCTTCCTTTTCCCTACAAAATAGAAATGATCGTTAGCAACAGAAGAAAACTAAAATGAATAACTTATTTTTTTAAAGTAACATATTGGCTAGGCATAGTGGCTCTTGTCTGTAATCCCAGCATTTTGGCAGGTGGAGGGGGGCAGATCACTTGAGGTCAGGAGTTCGAGATCAGCCTGGTCAACATGGTGAAACCTCACCTCTATTAAAAATACAAAAAATGGGCTGGGCATGGTGGCTCACGCCTATTATTCTAGCACTTTGGGAGGCTGAGGCTGGTGGATCAGGAGGTCAGGAGTTTGAGACCGGCCTGACCAACATGGTGAAACCCTGTCTCTACTAAAAATACAAAAATTAGCCAGGCATGGTGGCACATGCCTGTAATCCCAGCTACTCAAGAGGCTGAGGCAGAAGAATCGCTTGAACCTGGGAGGCAGATAGCCGGGCATGGCAGCACATGCCTGTAATCCCAACTACTCAGGAAGCTGAGGCAGGAGAATCGCTTGAACCTGGGAAGTGGAGGTTGCAGTGAGCCGAGGTTGTGCCATTGTATTCCAGCCTGGGTGACAGAGCAAGACTGTGTCTCCAAAAAAAGAAAAAACATAAAAAACAAAAAACAAGCTGGGTGTGACTGGTGTCTGCCTGTGATCCCAGATACTTGGGAGGCTGAGGCAGGAGAATAGCTTGAATCTAGGAGACTGGGGTTGCAGTGAGTCAAGATGGCACCACTGCACTTCAGTCTGGGGGACAGAGTTAGGCTCTGTCAAAAAAAAATGCAGCAGTGTATTATGCTTATGCTTAGGATTTAGGCTGAACTACCATTTAAAATGTATTGTATCCTTTCATTCTTCCTTTCCTAAGATTCCACATAGATATTGTAGAGAAGTCCAAACTCAACACCATTTGTTTACATTACTAAGGTCTTTAAAATTTTAAATAGATTTAAGTATTTAACTTAACCAAAACTAAACGCCTAGAGACTTGTCTCCACAGAAAATGAGCTTAATTCATATTTTTCTCAAACACTTGCCAAAACCTTAAACTTGAACCCATTTTCAATGCAAGTAGTGGCTAACTTTTTTTGTGCATATCTTTTTGCCTTTTTGCCATTTCCTTAGCCAGATGTGACTATTTATCTTTTTATTTTTGAGATGGAATTTCGCTTGGTCACCCACGCTGGAGTGCAATGGCACGTTCTCATCTCACTGCAACCTCAGCCTCCCAGGTTCAAGCGATTCTCCTGCCTCAGCCTCCTGAGTAGCTGGGACTACAAGTGTGCACCACCACGCCCAGCTAATTTTTGTATTTTTAGTAGAGACAGAGTTTCACCATGTTGGCCAGAATGGTCTTGATATCTAGACCTCGTTATCTGCCCACCTCAGCCTCCCAAACTGCTGAGATTACAGGACTGAGCCACTGTGCCCAGATGTGCCTATATTTTTAAAAGATCAAAGGTTTATCTGAAATAAAGAGAAACTACAGGATTTTGTTCTGAGATTCAGTCAAGACCTGGTAAGACAGAAAATTTAGAGCAAGCTTTGATCTTATCAATGTTTATATCAGCTGAAAGAAACACTCTCACACTCAGAGTCTTTCCTAGTGATTAAAGAATTTAATTTTCATTCACAATTCACAGTAAGGAATTGTTGTAAGAAAATACTGGATTTCAATATAGCATTTTCTCCTTTTTTTGTTGTTTTAATGGCATAATATGCTATGTGTGAGGTCAACATGAGGATAGACAAAAAGAATAAGTTTATAAATGTGGTTATATTGTCCCCTAACCTAGGAAAAAATGACAATATTGACATTAAAATTTGCATTGTTTGCCTCTGGCTTTCATGGGAATTGTTTTGTTTGTTTGTTTGTTTTTGTTTGTTTTTTTGTTTTTGGTTTTTACAGTTGGTATGCCATTTTTTAATGTTACCTATAACTATCATTAGAATTGTATGGGAGCTTTTGTTTCTTTTGTTTTGGAGGATGTGATTCTTAAAATGAAATTAATTTTTTAGAACATAAAATATATCAAGGAAAGGACATTTCTAAGAGTAATACTGGAAAAGAACAGTTAATCGGTGAATTCACCAGTAAGTTTAAGTCAATTTAAAATTAACTTAGCAAATTATATGTTCATAGCACTCTGTGGACCAGTAGGGAATACAAAAATGAAAAAATCCTGACACTGTTTTATCAGTGAAAAGAGACAGGTCATTAACTTACTAAAATGTATGGCAGAGTAATGTATGTGCTAAATTATGACATATACAATAAAGGCTGCGGGAACCAAAGGATATGTCAATGAGTTTCAGTAAAGGTTCAGGGACATCTTCAGAGAGGACAGAACAGTGGAATTTTTTAATTTAAATTTTATGGGGGATGGTAGGAAATTCCAGGTGGACAGATGGTTTGACTAAATGCATGGTAGTTAGAATGTGTTGGCTTTATTCATGAAACAATGAATTCCATATGTCTGGGAGATTAGGTACTGATGTGAACATGGAAGAAAAGTGTGGGGGCAAAGGAGAAAAAGGATAAATGGGAATTTCTGTCTACATTATGCCAAGCATTATAATTTTACTTTCTAGACCAAGAAGATATTTTTTTTTGTTTTTTGGGGGGGCATACAAGTGACAAAGTGAGATATTTATGCTTTAGAAAGGTTAGTTGTATAAAAATGTAGAAAATATTTTAAGAAATAAGAAATAAAGACTGTATGGAAAACTTTGAGATTTTTTTAAAATAGGCTAAATTAAGATCTTAAACTAGAAAAATGTTTTTCTAAGAGAAATAATGTGTTGGTACTATTAAACATGATAGGGGAAAATTGATGGGAATCAGTGACTAATTAAACATGAGATGTAAGGAAATGAAATAATTTGATAGAATTCTGAGGTTTTAAGCCTGGGTAACTGGGAGAATGGTGATGCATTTTGCAGAGGTAGGAAATGTTGAAGATACAACTGATTTTTGAAGACTAGTAATTTTACAGTCATGCACCATGTAAATACATTTCAGTAAATGGTGGACCACATATTGGTCCTGTAGGATTGTAATGGAGCTGAAAAATTCCTGTTTCCTAGTGATGTCATTGTCAATGTAATATCATTGCACAATTCATTACTCACATGTCTGTGCTGATGCTGGTGAAAACAGACCTATTGTGCTGCCAGGCTTCTAGCACATATAATTACTTACAGAACATAATACCTGATAATGATAATAAGTGACAATATTACTGGTTTATATATTTACTACTCTATTCTTTTTTTTTTTTTTTTTTGAGACGGAGTTTCGCTCTGTCACCCAGACTGGAGTGCAGTGGCACGATCTCGACTCACTGCAAGCTCCGCCTCCCGGGTTCACGCCATTCTCCTGCCTCAGCCTCCCGTGTAGCTGGGACTACAGGCGCGCGCCACCATGCCCGGCTAATTTTTGTATTTTTAGTAGAGACGGGGTTTCACCGTGTTAGCCAGGATGGTCTCGATCTCCTGACCTCGTGATCTGCCCGTCTCGGCCTCCCAAAGTGCTGGGATTACAGGCGTGAGCCACCGCGCCCGGCTTACTCTATTCTTTTTATCTTTTTTTTTTTTTGAGATGGAGTCTCCCTCTGTTGCCCAGGCTGGAGTCGCAATGGTGTGATATCGGCTCACTGCAACCTCCACCTCCCGGTTTCAAGTGATTTTTCTGCCTCAGCCTCCCAAGAAACTGGGACTACAGGTGCCCACCACTGCACCTGCCTAATTTTTGTATTTTTAGTAGAAACAGGGTTTCACCATGTTGGCCAGGCTGCTCTTGAACTGCTGCCCTCAAGTGATCCTCCCGCCTCAGCCTCCCAAATTGCTTGCATTACAGGTATGAGCCACCATGCCTGGCCCTTTTTGTCATGTTTTGAGAGGGTACTACTTATTAAAAAAGAAAAAGAAAACTGAACAGTAGAGCAATTTCAGGCAGGTCCTTCAGGAGGTATCCAGAAGGAGGGATTGTTATCATAGGAGATGTCAGCTTCATGTGTGTTATTGCCCCAAGGAACTTCCATTGAGACAGAATATGAAGGTGGAAGACAATGATGTTGATGATCCTGACCCTGTATAGGCCTAAACTAATGTGCGTGTTTGTGTTTGTTTTTATAAAAGAGTTAAAAAGTAACACAAAAATTAAAAATTGGAAAAAGCTTATAGACTTAGATATAAAGAAAATAATATTTTTTAAAGTTGTACAATATGTTTATCTTTTAAGCTAAGAGTTGTGACAGAGGAGCCAAAAGGTTAAAAAAAGTATATTAAATAAAAAAATTACAGTAAGCTAAAGCTAATTTATTATTGATAAAAGAAAACAATTTAAAAATAAATTTGGCATAGCTTAAGTGTACATCCAGTACTGCTAAAGTCTACAACAGTGCCCGTAATGTCCTAGGCCTTCATATTCACTCACCTCTCACTCACTTACCCAGAGCAACTTCCAGCTGTGCAAGCTCCATTCATGGTAAGTGCCCTCTACAAGTGTACCCCTTTTTTTTTTTTACTGCACCTTTTCTATGATAAGATGCAAAATACCTACCACTGTGTTACAGTTGCCTGCAGTATTTAGTACAGTAACATGCTGTACAGATTTGTAGCCTAGCAGCAACAGGCTACATATACTCTATCATATACTCTAGCAGAGTAGTAGGCTATCCCATCTATGTTTGTGTAAGTACACTCTGAGATATTTGCACAATAACAAAACTGCCTAAAGACATATTTCTCCAAATTTATTCCATCATCAAGTGATTCATGCCTGTATGCACACATATGCAGGGGCATGCAGAGAGGGCAATTCCTGTGTCCCAGGCACTGCTTTATGCTTGATAAATCTGTTATTCACCCTCACTACAATCTTACCCAGAGACAGGCACCATTATTTTCCCCATTTCACAAATAAATAAACTGAACACAGGTAATTTATGTAACTTGCCTAAGATCACATAACTAGAAAAGAGAGAAAAGAAATTTAAGCTGATTATAGAGCTCTTTCTGTTAACGATTATGATATACTTTGTAATGTTATTTCTAGCTTTGATCATTTTATGAAGGAAAATAAAATAGATTAACAAAATTCAAAAATCTTTAACATAAAATTATAAAAGAACTTGATTAATGTTATAAAGTGAGGGATAGTCCAGGCGAGGTGGCTCATGCCTGTAATCCCAGCACTTTGGGAGGCTGACGCAGGTGGATCATGAGGTCAGGAGACTGAGACCATCCTGGCTAATGTGGTGAAACTCCATCTCTACTAAACATACAAAAAATTAGCCGGGCGTGGTGGTGGGCACCTGTAGTCCCAGCTACTTGGGAGGCTGAGGCAGGAGAATTGCTTGAACCTGAGAGGCCAAAGTTGCAGTGAGCCAAAATCCCGCCACTGCCCTCCAGCCTGGGTGACAGAGCAAGACTCCATCTCAAAAAAAGAAAAAAAATATTAAAAAATATTAAAATGAGGGATAAATGGGGCCGGGCATGGTGGCTGATGCCTGTAATCTCAGCACTTTGGGAGGCCGACGTGGGCAGATTGCCTGAGCTCAGGAGTTTGAGACCAGCCTGGGCAACATGGCGAAACCACATCTCCATTAAAATACAAAAATTAGCTGGGCATGGTGGTGGATGCCTGTAATCCCAGCTACCTGAGAGGCTGAGCATAAGAATCACTTGAACCCAGGAGGAAGAGGTCGTAGTGAGTCTAGATCATGCCACTGCACTGACAAAGGAAGACTCTGTTTCAAAAAAAAAAAAAAAGAAAGAAAATGAGGGATAAATGGAGAGAAAAAAAAACAATCATAGAGATTCCCCTTAACTTCTACCACTAAAAGCAGACACACACACACACTCACCATAAGAAACAAGGTCAAAAGGAAAATGTCTTTACATATGAAGCCTTCCATTTACAGCTTAACTATCCCTGGAGGCCACATCTAAGGACAACCCTTTTAAAAAGCCATGGTGTGTAAATGAATATGTATTTTGTATATATTCAGTATATTCAAGGTAAATAGTTGTTTTTATTAAAATAACAAGGGAAAAATAGTGGACCTTCATCTCTCATGAAGAACATGACAGGATGAACTGTTTAGGTCAAATTTTAAAAGACCAGGCTGGGTGCAGTGGCTCACACCTGTAATTCCAACACTTTGGGAGGCCAAGGCAGGCAGACCACCTGAGGTTGGGAGTTTGAGACCAGCCTGACCTACATGAAGAAACCCTGTCTCTACCAAAAATACAAAATTAGCCGGGCGTGGTGGTGCATGCCTATAATCCCAGCTACTCTGGAGGCTGAGGTAGGAGAGTGGCTTTAACCCGGGAGGTGGAGGAGGTTGCTGTGAGCTGAGATTGCACCACTGCACTCTAGCCTGGGCAACAGAGCAAGACTCCGTCTCAAAAAAATAAATAAAAAATAAAAAACAAAAAAATAAAAAAATAAGAATTAGGAAGACCAATTTAATAATAAGGTAAGTTACAAAGAAAATTTGTAGGCTGGGCACGGTTGCTCAAGCCTGTATCCCAGGACTTTTGGAGGCTGAGGTGGGCAGATCACAAGGTCAGGAGATCCATACCATCCTGTCTAACATGGTGAAACCCCATCTCTACTAAAAACACAAAAAATTAGCCAGGTGTGGTGGTGGGTGCCTGTAGTCCCAGCTAATCGGGAGGCTGAGGCAGGAGAATGGCATGAACCCTGGAGACAGAGCTTGCAGTGAGCCAAGACTGCACCACTGACTCCAGCCTGGGCGACAGAGCAAGATTCCATCTCAAAAAAAAAAAAATAGAAAATTTGTGAATTTGTATGCAGTTCAGTTGCCTGACCCATAAATAAACATGAATGAGTAAAATGGAAGCTCAGCTTAATAATGAGCTATTGCACAATAGGAAGAAATAAATTAGGGATGGATACAAATTGAAAGAAGGATAAGTGCATGCTAACTTCTTATCTTGATCTATAAGTCTAAAAACATCTTAAAAGACCAGATGATTAAAAAAAAGTAACTTTAATTGTTAAAAATGATCATTTATTTTTCCTCAGGTGGTGGCTCAGTGTTCACTCTGAAAAATGAAAAATTGCCCATTTTTGTGAAAAAGTTCTACGATATGTGAAGTTACCACATTTATTCATTGAATTCTCTTCCTGAGTGAATGACATAGAACCCCGATAGATAAATTAATATGTTAAAATTAAAAGATTATCTAATAAACAACTTTTCTGTTTTAATAAAATTGTATTTTGATATATTTGAAAGATTTTTATTGTAGTGAAAAATATATATAAAATAAAAAATAATGATGTTGGATAATACCATAAATGATTTCTAAGGTAGAAGGTTCTATTGTTTAGAAAAACATCCTTGAGAGTCTTTTTTCATGAGGCACTAAATTCCTTGGTATAATAGGGTACCCTAGACAAAGTAGCTTGTTTTTTTTTTTTCTTTTTTTTTTGAGAGTCTTGTTCTGTCACCCAGGCTGGAGTGCAGTGGCACAAATCTCGGCTCTTTGTGACCTCTGCCTCCCAGGTTCAAGTGATTATCTTGCCTCAGCCTCTTGAGTAGCTGGGATTACAGACACACGCCATCATGCCCAGCTAATTTTTGTATTTGTAGTAGAAACAGGGTTTCACCATGTTGGTCAGGAGGTTTTGAACTCCTGACCTCATGATCCGCCCGCTTTGGCCTCCCAAAGTGCTGAGATTACAGGCATGAATCACTGCACCCGGCCACTTTTAGAATATTTAATGCTTCATAAATATGATGTAAAAAAGGGTGAGCTGTAACGTTAAGTAGTAACTAAGTGGAGTGCCAAGTTACCACCAGGCAGTTAGCAAGAGGGGGCAAGGCAGCCCCAGGTGTAGAATTAATAATGTGAGAGAGACTAGAAGTTCCAAGAAAATGGTAGGGTGGGGTGGAGAAATTCCTTCTGATGGGAAAAAATGAGGAGATTCAGGATAGTGGTGGCAATATATGCATGTATATATGTGTGTGTGTGTATATGTGTATACGTGTATATATGTGTGTATGTATATATGCATATATATGTATATGTGTGTATATGTGCATATACATGCATATGTGTGTATATATATGCATGTTTATGCATTTTGCTGCTCTTCGTGGGATGTAATTCTCCCTTATCTCCTCCACATAGTGGTCTTGAATTAATGGTGCTTGGTGCTAAGGTGGGGGTGAAAGTGGAATGAGTCTCCTCACTAGAGGGAACTGAGTAGAGAAAACATGATCTGCTCTGGAGCACAGAGAAGAGGGCAGGCTCCAACAGTAAGTGAGGAGAGGCCAAGCCCAACTAACCAAGAAACTCCCAGAAAATATGGAAGACTCTGAATGCTGTGAAGCACAGGGGATAAAGGAATCAAGATTTTTTTTTTTTTTGAGATGAAGTCTCACTCTGTTGCCCAAGATGAGTGCAGTGATGTGATCTTGGCTCACTGCAACCTCTGCCTCCTGGGTTCAAGCTATTCTCCTTCCTTAGCCTCCTGAGTAGCTTGGATTACAGGCACCTGCCACCATGTCTGGCTAATTTTTTTGTGTCTGCGATAATATTTTGTCTTCAGCAAAATTCTATTATTGACCTTAATACATAGAACCTTATTTGTCTGCATGTCTGGTTTGTGAGCAGAGATTATTTTGAGTCCTCAAAACCTAGAGCAGTGCAGTTGTAAAAGGCTTTGACTGAAGTCTTAACAAATATTTGCTAAACTGAATTTTGTAGAAATGTTCCAGACTTTAGCATGGCATTTACAATTCACACATTCTTGTTATATTCAAATAATAAACTTTACTGAGTCAGCAGCATTTAATATTAACAAGAAAACAGTGAAATAATGTATGGATTAATTCTGAATTGCAAATTTAACTTTAATGTTAAAAGTTTCCATAAGTTATCTCCAAGCCTGGAAATAAATCCAAAATTGGTCTTAGTTATATATTTGTAAAATGCATATTCATATGAAGAATGAAACGCATCATCCTATATCTTCCCTTTTTTTTTCTGATTTTGTGACTTGGATTTGTTTTTACCAAAATTCAGGGATTCCCCCGTAATCCCAATGAGAATAATGTCTTAAATAAATGGAATTAAGAAGCTTCAAAATTCTTTTTTTTTTTTTTTGAGATGGAGTCTAACTCTGTCACCCAGGCTGGAGTGCAGTGGTGCAATCTCAGCTCATGCAATTTCCACCTCCCCAGATCAAGGGATTTTCTTGCCTCAGCCTCCTGAGTAGCTGAGATTACAGGTGTGTGCCACCATGCTCGGCTAACTTTTTGTATTTTTAGTAGAGATGGGGTTTCACCGTGTTGGCCAGGATGGACTCGATCTCCTGACCTCGTGATCCACGTGCCTCAGCCTCCCAAAGTGCTGGGATTACAGGCGTGAGTCACCGCACCTGGCCCAAAACTCTTTAAAGTACTCAACCTATCACAAGACTAGTAGGTGTTTCTCAACTCTCCTTCTCAAAACATGAGATCATGAGGTCTTAATGCTGAAGATTATTGATTATTTTATGTAGAGAACATGGAAGAAAGCTGGACTGTGCTCAGGCTCAATCAGCTCCACTTGCACACCTCTCAGCAATTCTCAATTCTCACCACCAGAGAGAAGAAGGCAGTCCCTACCTGACCATCTCCTGGCCAGGCTACCTTATCTGTCTAAACAGTGCATTGCAGGAGCCCCTTTCCTTTCTGTGCTGTTTTATTTTTTCTCCCCCAGCACTATTTTTCTAATTAGAATAATTGAGGAGAAATACAAGATTTTCATGGAATGAAAGCAAAAGTCTTCCAAGTATGAGAAAAATAGAACAAAGGCTGTTTATATCCATATTGATTATAGTGGGAAGGTATTATTGTAATAAATGTGGTGCTTATTAAAGCAAGTCTTGATTTTAAGGAAATGTTTTATCTTGGGACTGTGACAGGAGATTATGTGATGTTCATGAGATAATCATACTGTCTCTGTCCAGGTCTCTGTAACATGTAGAACACAACCACGGTAGAGGTTCAGTCCCATTTCATTTACAGAAACAGCTTGCTCCTCAGTAGTATTCTATATATAAAAAGTAAACACACACACTATAGTTCATAGAGAATACATTCACATGGATTACTAGGAAAACTAAAGTATCCTTTAAAAATAATTTAAAAAGAGGTAGCTCATGCCTGTAATCCCAGTACTTTAGGAGGCTGAGGAGGATGGATCACTTGAGGTCAGGAGTTCAAGACCAGCCTAGCCAACATGGTAAAACTCCATGTTTACTAAAAATACAAAAATTAGCCAGGTGTGGTGGCATGCTACTCTAATCCCACCTGCTCAGGAGGATGAAGCAGGAGAATCACCTGAACCTGGGAGGCAGAGTTTGCAGTGAGTCAACATCACGCCAATGCACTCCAGCCTGGGTGACAGAGCAAGATGTTGTCTCAAAAAAAAAATAAAGAAATAAAAATAAAAATAATAAAAAAGGCATTCTTCTCAAAAAACTACCTTTCTATTAGATATTTTTTATCTCAAAACATAAAAGGTAAGTTTTGAAATAACTAATAGTTAATAAGAAAAACATGTAAATAGTATGTAACTAGAATTGTTAATTTCTTGAAACTTAAGGTTTGTTTTTATGTTATGTTAGCAGGATATGTAAATCTAATGGCATTCAAAAAACATAAAGTGAGAAAAAAAGAGGCTGGTATTGAACATGCGTGTATTTACTATCTTCTAATAATGGTCAAGTTGTTTAATTTCTTCATGAATGTCTAGGCTTCATTATAAGTCTTCAGCTAAAATTTTGCCCATTTTGGTGAAGGAACTGTGTGTGTCACATAAGGAGAGCTTAATGTTAGTATTTACCACAGCCTTACTAATATAATCCTATAATATTGTTCTCCATGTTCCCAAAATTAAAAAAGTAGTCTAATTCTACATATGAACTCAAAATAAATGTATACTGTTATGTGTTATGTGGCATAACTCAAAATAATTAGAACTAAACACATCTTATTTTCTCACACATACTGAGTATGGAATTACTATTATTTTTGTTTCCTTGATCAGAGGTAGGTGAAACTTGATAATATAGTCACTGACTGAAGGGCATTGTTTTGCCAAAGTTCGTTAAGTTAAAAAATATTTTGAATCAATAAATGTCTTTCATTAAAATATTCACCTACATAAAATAAGTATTCAGAATTGCATAGGACATATGAATGTCATCTTTCTTTTGCTGTTCATTTACCCAACATTTTTCTTCTTTTTATATATGCCAGGTTGAAAATTGTCATCCCATACTCTTTTCAGCTAAGAATATTTCTGTGTTAGGAATATCTTGAATTTCCCTCAAGGGTTGATGATATTGCCCACAAAGAATTTAGGCAATTTTGATGGCCAGAATGAAAACAGGCAGCTAAGATATTTATTTTTAAAAGAAAAGAATAGAAAACTTTGTAATTTAATCATGCATCGTAGGAAGTTTTTGTTTTTTTTTTTTGTTTTTTGAGAGACAGAGTTTTGTTCTGTAGAGCAGGCTGGAGTGGAGTGGCGTGATCTCGGCTTGCTGTAACTTCCGCCTCCCGGGATCAAGCGATTCTCTTGTCTCAGCCTCGGGGAGTAGCTAGGATTACAGACATGCGCCAACAAGCCCAGCTAATTTTTGTAGTTTTAGTAGAGATGGGGTTTAGCCATGTTGGCCAGCCTTCCTCAAGCGATTCTCTTGCCTCAGGCTCCCAAGTAGCTGGGACCACAGGCGCCCGCCACCATTCCCGGCTAATTTTTTGTATTTTTAGTAGAGGCAGGTTTTCACCGTGTTAGCCAGGATGGTCTCGATCTCTTAACCTCGTGATGAGCCCACCTCGGCCTCCCAAAGTGCTGGGATTACAGATGTGAGCCACACCCCACTCTGGAAGTAATTATTAATAATGTTGTTTCTCCTTCCAGTTCTTCAGTTTGTTAAGCGCAACTGTTGAAAACATTTACTTGTCTCAGGAGATTATAGGAAAAAATTAAGTGAATCTACTTAAACATAAAATTCCCAGTTTTAGAGTAGATTCTTTTTTTTTTTTTTTTTGAGATGGAGTTTTGCTCTTGTCACACAGGCTGGAGTGCAATGGCACAATCTCAGCTCATTGCAACCTCCGCCTCCCTGGTTCAAGTGACTCTCCTGCCTCAGCCTCCCAAGTAGCTGGGATTACAGGTGCCTGCCACCATGCCCAGCTAATTTCTGTATTTTTTTTGCAGACCATGTTGGCCTGGCTGGTCTCGAACTAACCTCAGGTGAACTGCCTGCCTCGGCCTCCCAAAGTGCTGAGATTACAGGCGTGAGCCACCGTGCCCGGCCAGATTCAGATTTTTATTAGGGATGTCATTTAGCTAATTTAATGTATTTCTATGCCATAGTTCATATTTTCTGTGCTGTAAGTATTTTCTATATGTCTGATTTATGTTGGAGAATAGTATCTCTTTAGATGCAGGGGCATACTGTGAGCATCTACACCATGGCAAATGGCTTTGCATTTTGCACTCTATACCATTGCCAAAAAAAGGTTTGATTATGCTACTAAAAATCCGACATGAATCAGTGAACATCAAAAGCCAATAATTTTAGAATCTCAAAATAGTGGAATGTTTAGAATTGTGATATTTTCAGTTTATTTTCTCCATCAATTTTCATTAGAAAGCGAGTAAGGAAAGTGGTAGAATTTAGGAGTTAAAAAATCAAATTAGCGGGTAGGGCGCGGTGGCTCACGCCTATAATCCCAGCACTTTGGGAGGCTGAGGCGGGCGGATCATGAGATCAGGAGATCTAGATCATCCTGGGTAACAGGGTGAAACCCTGTCTCCACTGAAAATACAAAAAATTAGCCGGGCATGGTGGCAGGTGCCTGTAATCCCAGCTACTCAGGAGGTTGAGGCAGGAGAATGGCGTGAACCCGGGTGGTGGAGCTTGTAGTGAGCCAAGATCACGCCACTGCACTCCAGCCTGGGCGACAGAGCGAGCCTCTGTCTCAAACAACAACAACAACAAAAAATTAACACCTTGCTTATTATAATAAAGAACTAAAGTAATCCAATACCTGTAACCTAGAGAATAAGGTTCACATCACTTAAAATGGCATTATATATAAAAGAAAAGATTGGTTCTACTACATACATCAGGCTTATTAAGTCACACTAGACAACTGAGGTTGCCTAAGACGTCATTGTCCTGGACTTGCAAGGGCCTCCAACTCCAGTTAAGGTGATAAGAAAAAATGAAAATGAGCTACCTAGCAATTTTCACAGGCCTCAGGAAACTGGGGCCACATCGAACCCAGTCACAGGTTATACCAATTTGATTTACAACAATGAAAGAACCATCTGCTTATACTTGAGTTACAGCACATCCTTTTGTAGAAATCCATACAATAGAAAGCCCCAGCAGTTGATTCACAGTAGAACAAAGTGTTTGTGTCAAGCAAAGGAAATTCTGCACTTAGAAATTTTATCGGCACATTTAATTAAAAGATGGTGTAGGTAGGCATAAGTAAGAAAACCATAAGCAGACATAGTCAACATGGTAAGTAAAACCAAATCCAGAAGGTTGTATTTAGTAATATTCATTTCAGATTTCCTTGGATAATTGTGGTTTGCCTTACATCTTTTGACTATGACACAGAGATTTTATTCACTTTTTAAAATATCTCCTAGAATGTAGCTTGAGTCAGTCAAACAAGAAAACATATTGCAGCATTCTCTCTTTCACCTCCCCCAAAGCACTGTAATATGGCTTTTGGAAATATTTCCTCATTGCCCTTTAGTTTTTGGAGTGATGTCTGAGATACTGCTGTATGTAAATACAATGATATTCCATAATTCCTGTAAGTTTGCCTATTCAGAAAGCTGCATTTACATACATGCTGAAACACAATCGCTGGTGATGTATCAACCAGAAATTTTATGTGTGAGCCTAAAAGGAAGTGTTGAGTCTTTCTCTACTTAAATAATTAGAAATTAAAAGTACCTCTTCTGCATTCTACAGTTTATGTAATATTAAAAGAAGGAATTTTGGCAAAGTAACTGAGGTTATCAGTTCAGTTCAATTTATAAATTTAGTGACATCAACTTGTCCCAGCAAAATAATCAGTAGATACTCCATAATCACCACTGTTTCTGTTTTCAAGTGGAGAGAAAAAAAAATAAATTAATTGTATTACATGTTACAATCTTGGGTAAATTCTTTTCTAAATTGGTGGGTATAGCAGAGCAAATCAAAGGTTGATAACATAAAATAGTGGACTAAACTTCAGCTCTAAAAAGTTAACAAATCTTGAAGTCTGCTTGCTCAGTTGTAAAATGGGGATAATATTCTCACCTTTGAGCATGTCACACAGTTGCTGTAGGATTTATTTGAGAAAAAATATGCGTAAAGATGCTTTGGACATTATAAAACTGCATCCTAATACAGAGTAAAATTATAAAATTTGATTTGAATGATACCAACTAGTTGGGGATAAAATATTTTACATAAGAACTCCCTGAAAAAGGCAATCATGTGTCATGTCATGTTTGTCATCAAGGATGACAAGGTTTCAATTTGCCTAGGTCAGAAATGCTGTGGTTCTATTCCCTCAACAACTAGTTACTTCTGCTTCAAGTACATGTTTTCCAAAAGCTAGAAAACACCCATCCAAAGGCTACTTTCCAAACATAAAAAACAGGTTTACTTCAACACATTATGTCTGTAGGAAGAGTCAAATGAAACAAAACTACTGAATCATTTCCAGGATAGAGTCATAGTATCCAAAATTTGGAACAGAATTGGATGATAGTTGTAGGTCAAGTCCCTTTGCAGGTATAAATCCCCCCTTTAAAGTGGAAAAGTATACAAATTGTGTAATATAGGTATACATTATAGACTATACATGACTGGAATTTCAGAGGCATGTATGCAATATGAGTTTAGCATGGAGAAATAGCCAACTGGGTAAACAAAATTGATCCATGCTGCTATGAAAGATAATCAAAGCTAAAGCTGATTGCCAGTTACACATTTAGATCTTTTATGCAGCGAATTATGATAAGCAGATGCAGATTTTTTTGTTTCAGGCATTTCCCCTAAAAACTATCCTACATAAGGAAATTTCCTTTATGAATATGCCAGTTACTGTGTCTATTACAGGTCTTCCAAAACATACTATTGTAGGATTTGTGAACAAATATAATGGATGGAAGCAAATTAATGTTTTAGAATCTAATAAATTATAAAAGTCAACTTAACTGAGGTTTACTTTCAATACAATAAAATGCATCCAAATTAAGTACAAACATATAAAGTTATGTGGCTACCACCGATGAAGATATTGAAGCTGTCTATCACCTCAAAAGTTCTTTTGTATTCCTTACCAAAACCTCTGGCTCCAAGCAGCCATTGATCTGCAACCTACCACTATAAATTCAGTTTCTAGAATTTTGTAGTAATAAACTTTTATAATATGCCTACTGTTGGTTCATTCTCTCAATATATTTTAGGATCACCTATGTTGCAAAATCAGTGGTTCTTTCTATTTTTTTCTATTGTATGGAAATACTACAATATGTTTATCCTTTAGCCTGTTGGTGAACCATTTACAAATGTTTCTATTCCTTGATTATTACAAGTAAAGCTGCTATGTTCATTTGTATGCACATGTTTTCATTTCTCTTCAGTAAGTAAGAATGGAATATTCTAGGTCAAATTGTAAGTGTATGTTTAACTGCCAAACTGCAATCCAAACTGATTATCCACTTTATACTCCCACCTAAATATGATAATTCAGGGTGTTGCATGTCCTCTCAAACATTCAGAATTGACATTTTTTTGGATCCATTATAGTTTCTGTGCAGTATTATTGCATTTTGATTTTTAAATTCCATTCCCAGGTGGTTAATGATGCACTTTTCAGTGTTTATCAATCATTAATATATCTTTGGTTATTGTCGTCTACTCAAATCTCTTGCCCATTTTGTTATTGTGTTGTTTGACTTCTCACTATGGAGTTTGATTTTTTTTTTTTTTTTTTGGAGATAGATTCTCGCTCTATCACCCAGGCTGGAGTGCAGTGGCAAGATCTCGGCTCACTGCAAGCTCTGACTCCTGGGTTCACGCCATTCTCCTGCCTCAGCCTCCTGAGTAGCTGGGACTACAGGCTCCCACCACCACGCCTGGCTAATTTTTTTTGTATATTTTTAGTAGAGACGGGGTTTCACCGTGTTAGCCAGGATTGTCTCGATCTCCTGACCTTCTGATTCACCCACCGTGGCCTTCCAAAGTGCTGGAAATAGAGGTGGAGTTTGATATTTTTTTCTACATGTCCAGTAAAGTCTTTTGTAAAATTCTTTTTCTTCTCTCTTACTCTTCCTCTTTGACCATATCTATATATATCCATCTATATCTATACAGTTATAAAAATACAAACTCATGAAACTCAAGAAACCCTAAGCAACATAACACAAGTAAGCCACAAGACAAGTCAGGGAGATAGGAAGACCACAGGGTTTGAAGAGTGCAGGGCAGGACAGGGCTCCACAGCATGTCCAGGTTCCATTGTGAACAGCCCTGCAGCTTGGGTCATATGATCTTGCAGGACCTGTATTCTTGCAGGTGTCAATGGTGGTCACAGTGTGGCACACATGGCAATTCTCAGTGAAAGAATTACAACACCAGTTCCTGGGATTCTGAAACAAAGCCATGCCTTCCATAGCAGAGAATTATATGTTGGACCTAGGAGAGATGCTGTGCTTGATAAGTTACCATGCTTCTGGCACTACCTCTTGCAGGCTGAGTTCTATTGGAACCACCAAGTCATGACACCAGAAGGGAAAAGAAGTAGTTCATCATGAGGTGGAAAGAGTAAATATGAGACAAAGGCCAAGCAAGATGAGAGCAAGTGGATAAGTTGAATAGCAGGTAACCCAGATCCTCATGTCACCCACCATGTTTGCACCAGCAACCTTCCTTCAGCTCACACCTGTGACTGCATTTGTGTCCCTGTGGCCATCTGAAGGAGGGAGAAAGGGGCAATCTCTGTTTAAAGGTGTAGTTGCATTGCAGCCCAATGCAAGAATGACTCTGAAGGACAGAAGGAAATTAAAATATTCCCTATTAGCAGCACTGGGAGCAGTGGCCCTGGCCATCTACTTTACATAGAAGAAACATGGCCTAAGGCAGGAATATAAACAGATTTCTTTGCCGTAGTCAGTGGGTGAATCATCTGATCAGAGGCTTAGATAGAAAAGAACTGAAATATCTGAGACAAGGAAGCTGGGTTAGAAGCATATGAGTGGACATGCAGGAGCAGGCACGGAGTGTAAAGAATCTTGTATTGCACGTTAACACTCACAAGAAAGCACTCACCACAGAAGAGGCACTCAATAACCAATCAGACAAAATGACTTGACAAGCTGCCAGCCTTGGAGATTGGCTTTCCCACAACAAGCACAACAGTCATACATATGCAGTCACTCATATGACCATGTTGGCAGAGATGGACGATACATATGGGCCCCACAGCCTGGACTTCTATGTATCAAGGTTTATCTAACTACTGCTGCCTCTGACTGTCCTACTTTTCAACAGCATAAATCAATAATGAGACTCTTATATGGCAAGTCTTTTGACCTTGAATGACCACCTTTTCATCCTCAGAGGGATATATCCTTATTCCAGGGCTGGGTTTGGCACTTCTGTTCACAGAGCCTGAGCCAGGACCACTTTTCTGAGGCTTCCAGAATTCCTGATCCACAGGCATAAAATCCCACATGGTATAGCATCTGACCAGGGTTCCTTGTTCACAGCAAAGGATGGGCAGAAGTGGGTCCATGACCATGTAATCTACTATTTGTATTACATACACTCTTCAAGAAGCAGCTAGACTCATGGAGCCCTGGAGAAACATTCTAAAGATGCAACTGAGACACTATGCTAAAGGAGACATTCTGAATGCAGGGGGCACCATCTTTTATATATATTCTATCACAGATCTTTATATAGTAGTTCTTCTTCCATAGGAAGAATCTACAGGTTCAGAAAACCAGAGGTAGAAACAGGAATGTCCCTAATTACAAATGCTCCCAATAATCTTCTCAGGTTTTCCTGTGCTTCTCATCACTGCAGCTCTGGGATCTGGAAGGCAAGCAAGTCCTGCTCTCTAAAGAATGTTATCTGTTGGGTGCTTTAGATTCCTTAGGTCCAGTAACCAAAAGACAAGAAATACGTCACCACTGGGGCAGGATGAATACACCCTGATTAGCAGGAGGAGGTAGGGCTACTTTTCTACAAAAGAAGCAGAGATAATTTCTCTCTTTCTCTCTCTCAGACACACACACACACACACTCACACACACACACACTCCCCACTCCCATACTCTCTCTCTCTTTCTCTCCCCCTCACACAACTGGGCATTCAAAGGCAGTTCTGAGACCAACTGCTATAGCATGGGCTAGAGTTGGTCTCATTAACCTTCCTTTTCTAAGATTCCCCTTGGAAAAGAGAGGATCATGGGAATTTTGGAAGAGCTGGTATGAAGAACCTGTTTGGACAAATATGTGTGTGCTGTGGTGGGGTTAGGAGGTGGGGGTAATGGATTTTAATGACCAAGGAAGTTTGCAATGCAGATATCCTGAATCAGACAGCATAAGTCAACGACAGCCTGGCTTTAGCCCTCTGTCTCTGGAAGCACTTCTACACTTGTGCAGCAGTCATGTTTCCAACAGTCATAGAGCTACATGGGGATTGTATGTGAGGACGTTTCCAGTGAGTTGTGACAGTCTCCAATGAGTAACTTTAATTTAAGGAGTCCGCAGTGACCTAGGCCAAAGCATTCTTGGAACCATGCTGCAGTCTCTTTCTACCCCAATCAGCCTTCCTTCCCTCTTTCCCTCTACAGATGTAAGATCTGCACCCTAGTCTGAAGACTCTATCCACCTTCTCCTGCTTCCTCCTTCTTCCCTCTTGCAAATTTAATTCCATGGTGGTGTTTGCCCTTAGCAGATCTAAACATTAATTCAAGTCATATGATCAGATAAGATGAAAAATGACTAAAAATGTCATTCATGACATGTGAGTGGTGAGCTCTGCCTGGCAGTAGGGAGGAGAGAATTCTGAGAGAAATTAATTTGGAAAAAACGATGTTGCACATCCCAGCAAATACCACCCCATCTTATCTCTGCTAGGAATATTTTTTGTAACATGCATATAATTCACTTTTGCTTTATGAAGTAAATTTATATTTTTAGAATACAGCAGCAATTTGAGTGCTGTTCACAGCTAGTGTGAATTGAAATTTGAGGTTGGCTATAGAAGAAGGCCAATGACAGACGGATTAGTAGAACAAAATGGATATAAATAGGAAAAAGTGAAAAATCAGTAAGACAGTATGTTGGAAAGGAGTACAATAGTTGGAAGAATTAATGATTCAATATTTCTATAAAGAGTCTCCATTTAGATGATTCAAAGAGTATCCATGAAGAAATGCACATTTTATTGAATATACAGAAGTGTGATTTGTGGTGAAGGAGGGTGAATTCTGTTTGTTATATGACTATGACATGTAGAGAACTTTTCATTCAAGGTGAGTGTGCAAAAATATTACAAAACATGTGGAGAATTAACTATTAGACAGATAATGAAATAATTATACAAAGAAACCTCCTAGAGATGAATTCACCACAGCAAATATGAGAAATATTATAGCAAACTAAATTTTCCTTTTAAGTGAGTACACTTAGAAATCTCAACTGGCTTTTTAAGAAGAAAACATCCAGGGCCAGGCATGGTGGCTCACGCTTGTAATCCCAGCACCTTGGGAGGCTGAGATGGGTAAATCATCTGAGGTCGGGAGTTCAAGACCAGCCTGGCAAACACCGTGAAACCCCATCTCGACTAAAAATTCAAAAATTAGCAGGGCACGGTGGTGGGTGCGTGTAATCCCAGCTACTCAAGAAGCTGAGGCAGAAGAATTGCTTGACCCCAGGAGGCGGACTTTGTAGTGAGCCAAGATGGCATCACTGTATTCCAACCTGGGCAACAGAGTGAGCCTCTGCCAAAAAAAAAAAAAAAGAATAAAATTCATCAAAAAGAATAGAAGACTTAAAAATAAAAACAGACGCCGAGTGTGATGGCTCACTCTTGTAATTCCAGCACTTTGGGAGGACAAGTTGGGTGGATCACGAGGTCAGGAGATGAAGACCATCCTGGCTAACACAGTGAAACCCTCTCTCTACTAAAAATACAAAAAAATTAGCCCAGCATGGTGGCGGGCACCTGTAGTCCCAGCTACTCGGGAGGCTGGGGAAGGAGAATAGCGTGAACCTGGGAGGCAGAGCTGGCAGTGAGCTGAGATCATGCCACTGCACGCCAGCCTGGGCGACAGAGCTAGACTCCATCTAAAAAAAAAAAGAAAGAAAGAAAAGAAAAAAATATAAATAAAAACAGGCAAAAGGCCAGGCGTAGTGGCTTACGCCTGTAATCCTAACACTTTGGAAGGCCAAGGTGGGTGGATCACCTGAGGTCAGGACTTCAAGACCAGCCTGGCCAACATGGCGAAACCATAGCTGGGAATGGTGGTGGGTGCCTGCAATCCCAGCTACTCCAGAGGCTGAGGTAAGAGAATTGATAGAACCCTGGGGAATTGCAATGAGCAGAGATCACGCCATTGCACTCTGGCCGGGGCAACAGAGTAAGACCCTGGGGAAAAAAAAAGCAGGCAAAAAAGAACAAAGTAAAGATTGATATAAAAAATTAAAAGCAGCCAGGCATGGAGGCTCACACCTGTAATCCCAGCACTTTGGTAGGCTGAGGCGGGTGGATCATGATATCAGGAGTTCTAGACCAGGCTGACCAACATAATGAAACCCCGTCTCTACTAAAAATTCAAAAATTAGCCGAGTGTGGTGGCGCATGCCTGTAATTCCAGCCACTCAGGAGGTTGAAGCAGGAGAGGAGGCTGAGGCAGGAGGAGAGTCACTTCAACCCAGGAGTAGGAGGTTGCAGTGAACCGAGATCATGCCACTGCACTTCAGCCTGGGTGACAGAGCACGACTCCATCTCAAAAAAGGAAAAAAAAATAAAAGCTCTAGAAATGAAAATTATATAAAAAAGAAGTGTAAATGCAATAAACACAAAGAATTAGTCAATTGGGAGATAATGATGAATTTATCCAGATAAAAGGATTTAAAAGTCAGAAAGACCAGTCAAGAAAGTCCCCAACACATGTATGATAGGAGTTTCAAAAGGAGTCCAAAGAGAATGGAGAAGCCATATTTAAGGACAGTATTCATCCACTCAGCAAACTCTCACTAAGGGCCCACTTTGATGACGTTTCCATTCTAATGGTAGAGAATACTTATACAGAAGAAAACACTGGCAATGCCTTCACTATTTGTATACTTTACATGATGCCATAAAATTTCCATTGCAGAGGAAAGACTTGAGGACTCTAATTTAAAGTATAAAACAAGTGCTGAGCAGAAGAAATAAAAATGAATCCGTATCCAGACACATTGATGACTCTGAGTTTTAGTGTTTAAAATTAATTCTTTAAAATTAATTTAAAGTTCTTTAAAATTAATTTTCAGTAAGAGGATGTGTATATCACCTTCACTGTTTTCCTTTTTGTTTTGATCTATTCCTCTTGCTTATTCTAGTTTGAAATGATTTCTTCAAAAAAAGTCTTAAAAGTCTTATCCATTTATGAATCGATTTATATCTTTCATTTTCTAGATTATAATTTTTACTTTTCTGTTATTAATTTCCTTCCATTAGGTATGTTTTTTGATCCTGTATTTACTTACTGACATGAATGATTAACTCATTTATCTTCTCTGGCTTAGTAAAAAAAATTGAAAATCTTGAAATTATATATGTTTCTTATTATCTTTCTTAATTATATTGTGTGTAGAGAGGTTTGTTAACTTTTCCAAAAAGTAAATTATTTATTTATAGGTTAGTTGTTTCTTCTTATAGTAATTTCACTTGGAGGATAAATGTTAAAATTTGAAGCACAATAACTTTTTGTTGACCTTTAAAACAGTATATTTTTATTTGAAAGGTACAGTGTTGAATATTTTTACTAAAATAACATAATTATTTACACACCGTCTTATCTAATTACCCTGTTTTAGTTCCTATTAACCTTATTATAAACTAGCAATATTTCTTCTGGCCTATGTATAAGCTTTTATTTTTATATTTAAATAAAGCTATTTAATGAAAGAAATACCATTGTGTATTTTTAAATTGTAGACAGTAGATTTACTCAAATAAAAATTTCTTCTCTCTTCTAGTTGATAAACTTATTTCTGATTCACATTTCTCTAGTTTATATATCTACAATCACAGCTGTTTCCTATACTAATGTAATCATTTCTGCATACACGGAGGGTGTCTTATTTACAATATGACATGTAAAATATTTTAACAAGAGTTATTGTTTTGCAATTGTATAGTTTTTATTATTTTCATTTTTCTTGTTGAAGATGCTTATTCTCTCTTTTTCATAATTTACTATACCTTCATCCATCTTTCTTTCTTTTCTTTCTTTCTTTCTTTCTTTCTTTCTTTCTTTCTTTCTTTCTTTCTTTCCTTCTTTCTTTTTTGAGACAGAGTCTCCCTCTGTCGCCCAGGCTGGAGTGAAGTGGCGCGATCTCGGCTCACTGCAAGCTCTGCCTCCTGGGTTCACACCATTCTCCTGCCTCAGCTTCCTGAGTAGCTGGGACTACAGGCATCCGCCACCATGCCCTGCTAATTTTTTGCATCTTCAGTAGAGACGGGGTTTCACTGTGTTAGCCAGGATGGTCTCCATCTCCTGACCTCGTGATCTGCCCGCCTTGGCCTCCCAAAGTGCTGGGATCACAGGCATGAGCCACCGCGCCCAGACTTTTTTTTTTTTTAGACAGTTTTTGCTCTGTTGCCCCAGGCTGCAGTCCAGCAGTGAGAACTAGCCTCACTTCAACCTCCGCCTCCAGGTTCAAGCGATTTTCCTGGCTCAGCCTCCGGAGTAGCTGGGATTACAGGCGTCCACCACCATGCACAGCTAATTTTTGTATTTTTAGTAGAGACGACGTTTCGCCATGTTGGCTAGGCTTGTCTCGAAATCCTGACCTCAGGTGATCCATCCAGCTCGGCCTCCCAAAGTACTGGAATTACAGGCGCGAGCCACCAAGCCGGCCCAGTCCTTGTATTTTTAAGGTTTCATTTGTGTATTTTCTTTAGGAAAATATTTCAATAATTTATCACTGCAATTAGCTGAAGTTATAAAATTACTTCTGGATTTGGGAAGATTATACCTGAGCATGGCAAAGGATTAGAAATAATAGCTAGCAGCTGGGTGCAGTGGCTCACGCCTGTAATCCCAGCACCTTGGGAGGCCAAGGTGGGCAGATGAGAAGGTCAAGAGACATAGACCATTTTGGTCAACATGGTGAAACCCCATCTCTACTTAAAAAATAAAATTTAAAAAAATTAGCTTGGCGTTGTGGTGCATGCCTGTAATCCTAGCTACTCAGGAGGCTGAGACAAGAGAATCGCTTGAACTCGGGAGGCAGAGGTTGCAATGAGCCAAGGTTGCGCCACTGCACTGCAGCCTGGAGACAGCAAGACTCCGTCTCAAATAAATAAATAAATAAATAAATAAATAAATAAATAATAGTTAACCTTTTCTATCTGCCAGGCACTGTGCTAAATACTTTGCATGAAGATGATAATTTTGAAACTAAACACAGAAGAGCAAGTGTAAAAGAAGTAATTTCTTTCTTTTCTTTTTTTTTTTTTTATTTTTTGTTTGAGACAGTCTCGCTCTGTGGTCCAAGCTGGAGTGCAGTGGCGGGAGCTCGGCTCACTTCAACCTCCACCTCCCGAGTTCAAGCAAATCTCCTGCCTCAGCCTCATGAGTAGCTGGGATTACAGGCATCCACCACCACAGACGGCTAATTTTTTCTTTGTATACTTTTATTTAATTCGGCTTAGGTTACTTGTTTATTAGTAGTAGTTTTGCATCTATGGGATTGTTGTATAAAATAAATGGTTTAAATATGTAGGATATTTAAAAGTCATTCTTTCTGCATTTGAGATTTTGAGCCTTTAAAGAGGGCAATATATGGGTAGAGACACAACGAAAAAAGAGAATTTTAGGCCAATATCCTTGATGAACATTGATGCAAAAATCCTCAATAAAATACTGGCAAAACGAATCCAGCAGCACATCAAAAAGCTTATCCACCATGATCAAGTGGGCTTCATCCCTGGGATGCAAGGCTGGTTCAATATATGCAAATCAATAAATGTAATCCAGCATATAAACAGAACCAAAGACAAAAACCACATGATTATCTCAATAGATGCAGAAAAAGCCTTTGACAAAATTCAACAACCCTTCATGCTAAAATATCTCAATAAATTAGGTATTGATGGGACGTATTTCAAAATAATAACAGCTATCTATGACAAACCCACAGCCAATATCATACTGAATGGGCAAAAACTGGAAACATTCCCTTTGAAAACTGGCACAAGACAGGGATGACCTCTCTCACCACTCCTATTCAATATAGTGATGGAAGTTCTGGCCAGGGCAATCAGGCAGGAGAAGGAAATAAAGGGTATTCAATTAGGAAAAGAGGAAGTCAAATTATCCCTGTTTGCAGATGACATGATTGTATATCTAGAAAATCCCATTGTCTCAGCCCAAAATCTCCTTAAGCTGATAAGCAACTTCAGCAAAATCTCAGGATACAAAATCAATGTACAAAAATCACAAGCATTCTTATACACCAACAAGAGACAAACAGAGAGCCAAATCATGAGTGAACTCCCATTCACAATTGCTTCAAAGAGAATAAAATACCTAGGAATCCAACTTACAAGGGATGTGAAGGACCTCTTCAAGGAGAACTACAAACCACTGCTCAAGGAAATAAAAGAGGATACAAACAAATGGAAGAACATTCCATGCTCATGGGTAGGAAGACTCAATATCGTGAAAATGGCCATACTGCCCAAGGTAATTTACAGATTCAATGCCATCCCCATCAAGCTAACAATGACTTTCTTCACAGAATTGGAAAAAACTACTTTAAAGTTCATATGGAACCAAAAAAGAGCTGGCATCGACAAGTCAATCCTAAGCCAAAAGAACAAAGCTGGAGGCATCACACTACCTGACTTCAAACTATACTAGAAGGCCACAGTAACCAAAACAGCATGGTACTGGTACCAAAACAGAGATATAGATCAATGGAACAGAACAGAGCCCTCAGAAATAACGCCACATATCTACAACTATCTGATCTTTGACAAACCTGAGAAAAACAAGCAATGGGGAAGGGATTCCCTATTTAATAAATGGTGCTGGGAAAACTGGCTAGTCATATGTAGAAAGCTGAAACTGGATCCCTTCCTTACACTTTATACAAAAATCAATTGAAGACAGATTAAAGACTTAAACGTTCGACCTAAAACCATAAAAACCCTAGAAGAAAACCTAGGCATTACCATTCAGGACATAGGCATGGGCAAGGACTTCATGTCTAAAACACCAAAAGCAATGGCAACAAAAGACAAAATTGACAAATGGGATCTAATTAAACTAAAGAGCTTCTGCACAGCAAAAGAAACTACCATCAGAGTGAACAGGCAACCTACAAAACGGGAGAAAATTTTCGCAACCTACTCATCTGACAAAGGGCTAATATCCAGAATCTACAATGAACTCAAACAAATTTACAAGAAAAAAACAAACAACCCCATCAAAAAGTGGGCAAAGGACATGGACAGACACTTCTCAAAAGAAGACATTTATGCATCCAAAAAACACATGAAAAAATGCTCACCTTCACTGGCCATCAGAGAAATGCAAATCAAAACCACAATGAGATACCATCTCACACCAGTTAGAATGGCAATCATTAAAAAGTCAGGAAACAACAGGTGCTGGAGAGGATGTGGAGAAATAGGAACACTTTTACACTGTTGGTGGGAATGTAAACTAGTTCAACCACTGTGAAAGTCAGTGTGGCAATTCCTCAGGGATCTAGAACTAGAAACACCATTTGACCCAGCCATCCCATTACTGGGTATATACCCAAAGGACTATAAATCATGCTGCTATAAAGACACATGCACACGTATGTTTATTGTGGCATTATTCACGATAGCAAAGACTTGGAACCAACCCAAATGTCCAACAATGATAGACTGAATTAAGAAAATGTGGCACATATACACCATGGAATACTATGCAGCCATAAAAAATGATGAGTTCATGTCCTTTGTAGGGACATGGATGAAATTGGAAATCATCGTTCTCAGTAAACTATCACAAGAACAAAAAACCAAACACCGCATATTCTCACTCATAGGTGGGAATTGAACAATGAGATCACATGGACACAGGAAGGGGAATATCACAATCTGGGGACTGTTTTGGAGTGGGGGGAGGGGGGAGGGGTAGCATCAGGAGATATACCTAATGCTAGATGATGAGTTAGTGCGTGCAGCGCACCAGCATGGCTCATGTATACATATGTAACTAACCTGCAAAATGTGCACATGTACCCTAAAACTTAAAGTATAATAAAAAAAAAAAAGAAAAGGATATAGCTCCACATAAAATCTAGACAGAAGCAATCTGAGAAACTTCTTTGGGATGTGTGCATTCATCTCACAGAGTTAACTCTTACTTTTGATTGAGCAGTTTTGAAACTCTCTTTTTGTTGAATGTGCAAGTGGATATTTGGAGTGCTTTGAGGCCTACGGTGGAAAATGAAATATCTTCACATAAAAACTAGACAGAAGCATTTTTAGAAACTTCTTTGTGAAGTGTGCACTGATCTCAAAGAGTTAAGCCTTTGTTTTGATTGAGCAGTTTTGAATCTCTCTTTTTGTAGAATCTGCAAGAAAACATTTGGAGCGCTTTTAGGCCTGAGGAGGAAAAGGAAATATTTTCACATCAAAACTACACAGAAGAATTCGGAGAAGCTTCTTTGTGATGCATGCGTTTATCTCACAGAGTTGAACCTTTGTTTTGATTAAGCAGTTTGGAAACACTCTTTTTGTGGAATCCGCAAGTGGACATTTAGAGCGCTTTGCAGCCTATGTTAGAAAAGGAAATATATTCCCATAAAATCTAGATAGGATGAATCTGAGAGACTTCTTTGTGATGTGTGCATTCATCTCACAGAGTTAAAACTTTCTTTTGATTGAGCTGTCTTGAAACTCTCTTTTTGTAAAATCTGCAAGTTGACATTTGGAGCGCTTTGAGGCCTACAGTGGAAAAGTAAATATTTTCACATAAAAACTAGACAAAAAATACTGAGAAACTTCTTTGTGATTTGTGCGTACATCTCAAAGAGTTGAACCTTTCTTTTGATTGAGAAGTTTTGAAACACTCTTTTTGCAGAATCTGCTAGTGGATATTTGGACTTATTTGAGGCTTTCATTGGAAACGGGAATATCTTCACATTAAAACTAGACAGAAGCATTCTCAGAAACTTCTTTTTGATGTGTGCATTCATCTCACTGAGTTGAACCTTTCTTTTGATAGAGCAGGTTTGAGACACTCTTCTTGTAGAATCTGCAAGTGGACATTTGGAGAGCTTTGAGGCCTATGGTGGTAAAGGAAATATCTTCACATAAAAACTAGACAGAAGCATTCTCAGAAACTTCTTTGTGATGTGTGCATTCAACTCACAGACTTGAAACTTTCTTTTGATAGAGCAGATTTGAAACACTTTTTGCAGTATCTGCATGTGGACATTTTGAGAGCTTTGAGGCCTATGGTAGAAACGGAAATATCTTCACATAAAAACCAGATAGAAGCATTCTCACAAACTTCTTTGTGATGTTTGCATTCAACTCACAGAGTTGAACCTTCCTTTTCATAGAGCAGTTTTGAAACACTCTTTTCGTATAACCTGCAAGTAGATATTTGGACCGATTTGAAGCCTTCTTAGGAAAAGGGAATATCTTCACATAAACACTAGACAGAAGCATTCTCAGAAACTTCTTTCTGAGGTGTGCATTCAATTGACAGATTTGAACCTTTCTTTTGATAGACCAAGTATGAAACACTCTTTTTGTAGAATCTGCAAGTGGACCTTTGGAAGGCTTTGAGGTCTATGGTGGAAGAGGAATTATCTTCGCATAAAAACTAGACACAAGCATTCTCAGAAACTTCCTTGTGATGTTTGCACTCAACTCACAGAGTTGAACACACGTTTTCATGGAGCAGTTTTGACAGATTGTTTTTGTAGAATCTCCTAGTGGATATTTGGACTGCTTTGAGGCCTTCGTTGGAAACGGGAATGTCTTCACATAAAAACTAGACAGATGCATTCTCAGAAACTTCTTTGTGATGTGTGCATTCAACTCACAGAGTTGACCCTTTCTTTTGATAGGTCAGTTTTGAAACACTCTTTTTGTAGAATCTGCAACTGGACATTTGGAGAGCTTTGATGCCTATTGTGGAAAAAGAAATATCTTCACATAAGAACCAGACAGAAGCATTCTCTGAAGCTTCTTTGTGATATGTGCATTCACCTCACATCGTTGAACGTTTCTTTTGATAGAGCTGTTTTGAAACATTCTTTTTGTATAATCTGCAAGGGGACATTTGGAGAACTTTGAGGCCTATGGTGTAAAAGGAAATATCTTCGCAGAAAAACTAGACAGAAGCATACTCAGAAACTTCTTTGTGATGTGTGCATTCAACTCACAGAGTTGAACCTTTCTTTTGATAGAGCAGATTTGAAACACTCTTTTTGCAGAATCTGCAAGTGGACATTTGGAACGCTTTGAGGCCTATAGTGGAAAAGGAAATATCTTCACTGAAAAACTAGAAAGAAGCATTCTCAGAAACGTCTTTGTGATGTTTGCATTCCACTCACAGAGTTGAAAATACTTTACCATAGAGCAGTTTTGAGTCACTCTTTTAGTAGAATCTGCAAGTGGATATTTGGACCGCTTTGAGGCATTCCTTGGAAACGGGAATATCTTCACATAAACACTAGACAGAAGCTTTCTCATAAAGTTCTTTGTGCTGTGTGCATTCAACTCACAGAGTTGAAACTTTCTTTTGATAGAACAGGTTTAAAACAATCTTTTTGTAGACTCTGCAAGTGGACATTTGAGCAATTTGATACCTATAGTGGAAAAGAAAATATCTTCCCATGAAAACCACAGAAGCATTCTCAGAAACTTCTTTGTGATGTTTGCCTTCAACTCACAGAGTTGAACAAACCTTTTCATAGAGCAGTTTTGAAACACTCTTTTAGTAGAATCTGCACGAGTTTAATTGGACCGGTTAGAGGCCTTCATTGGAAACGGGAATATCTTCACATAATCACTAGACAGAAGATTTCTCAGAAACTTCTTTGTGCTGTGTGCATTCAACTCACTGAGTTGAACCTTTCTTTTGATAGAGCAGGTTTGAGACATTCTTTTTGTAGAATCTGCAAGTGGACATTTGGAGCACTTTGAGGCCTATGGTGGGAAAGGAAATATCTTCACATAAAAACTAGACAGAGGAATTCTGAGAAACTTCTTTGTGATATGTGAGTTCTTCTCACAGAGTTGAAACTTCCTTTTGATAGAGCAGTTTACAGACACTCTTTTTGTAGAATCTGCAAGTGGGCATTAGGAGGGCTTTGCGACCTGTTATTAAAGGAAATATCTTCACATAAAATCTAGACAGAACCAATGTGAGAAACCTCTTTGTGATGTGTGTATTCATCTCACAGAGTTAAACCTTTCTTTTGATTGAGCAGTTTTGAACCTCTTTTTTTGTAGAATCTGCAAGTGGACATTTGGAGTGCTTTGAGGCCTATGGTGGAAAAGGAAATATCTTCACATAAAAACTAGAGAGAAGAATTCTGAGAAACTTCTTTGTGATGTGTGCGTTTATCTCACAGAGTTGAAACTTTCTTTTGATTGAGAATTATGGAAAAACTCTTTTTGTAGATTCTGTAAGTAGACATTTGAAGCGCTTTGCAGCCTAAGTTAGAAAAGGATATATCTTCACATAAAATCTAGACAGAAGCATTCTCAGAAACTTCTTTGTGATATTTGCATTCAATTCACAGAGTTGTACCTTTCTTTTGATAGAGCAGGTTTGAAACACTCTTTTGTAGATTCTGTAAGTGGACATTTGGAGCGCTTTGGGGCTTATGGTGGGAAAGGAAATATCTTCACATAAAAACTAGGCAGAAGCATTCTCAGAAACTTCTTTGTGATGTTTGCATTCTACTCACAGAGTTGAATATTCATTTTCATGGGGGCAGTTTTGAAACACTCTTTTTGTAGAATATGCTAGTGGATATTTGGACTGCTTTGAGGCCTTCGTTGGAAACGGGAATATCTTCACATAAAAACTAGACAGAAGCATTCTCAGAAACTTGTTTGTAATGTGTGCATTCACTTCACAGAGTTGAAACTTTCTTTTGATAGAGCAGTTTTGAAACACTCTTTTTGTAGAATCTGCAAGTGGACACTTGGAACACTTTGAGGCCTATAGTGGAAAAGGAAGTATCTTCCCATCTAAACTAGAGAGAAGCATTCTCAGAAACTTCTTTTTGATGTTTGCCTTCAACTCACAGAGTGGAACATACCTTATCATAGAGTCATTTTGAAACACTCCTTTAGTAGAATCTGCAAGTGGATATTAGGTACCCTTTGAGGCCCTCCTTGGAAACGAGAATATCTTCATATAAAATCTAGACAGCAGCATTCTCAGAAACTTCTTTGTGATGTGTACATTCAACTCACAGAGTTAAACCTTTCTTTTGATTGAGAAGTTCTGAAACACTCTTTTTGTAGAATCCGCTAGTGGACATTTGTAGCGCTTTTGGGCCTATAGTGGAAAAGGAAATATCTTCACAGAAAAACTAGACAGAAGTATTCTCAGAATCTTCTTTGTGATGTGTGCCTTCAACTCAAATAGTTGAAACTTTCTTTTGATTCACCAGTTTGGAAACACTGTTTTTGGAGATTCTGCAAGTGGACATTTTCAGCGCTATGCGGACTATGGTAGAAAAGGTAATATCTTCACAAAAAATCTAGACAGAAGGAATCTGAGAAACTTCTTTGGCATGTGTGCATTCATCTCACAGAGTTCAAACTTTCTTTTGACTGAGCAGTTTTGAAACTCTGTGTTTGTAGAATTTGCAAGTGGACATTTGGATAGTTTTGAGTCCTATGGTGGAAAAGGAAATATCTTCACATAAAAACTTGACAGAAGAATTCTGAGAATCTCCTTTGTGATGTATGAGTTTATCTCAGAAAGTTGAATCTTCCTTTTGATTGAGCAGTTTAGAAACATTCTTTTTGTAGAATCTGCAAGTGGACTATTGGAGTGCTTTGTTGCCTATGGTAGAAAAGGAAATATCCTCACATAAAATCTAGATAAAAGCAACCTGACAAGCTTCTTTGTGGTGTGTGTATTCATCTCACAGAGTAAACCTTTCTTTTGACTGAGCACTTTGGAAACCCTCTTTTTGTAGAATCTGCAACTGGACATTTTGAAGGCTTTGAGGCCTATGGTGTTATCTTCACATAAAAACTAGACAGAAGAATTCTGAGAAAGTTCTTTATGATGTGTGCATTCATTTAGAAAGTTGAACATTTCTTTGAATGAGCAGTTTGGAAACACTCTTTTGGTAGAATCTGCAAGTGGACATTTGGAGTGCTCTGAGGTCTATGTTAGAACAGGAAATATCTTCACATAAATTGCAGACAGAAGCAAACTGAGAAACTTCTTTGTGATGTGTGCATTCATCTCAAAGAAGTAAACCTTTCTTTTGATAGAGCAGATTTGAAACTCTCTTTTTGTAGAATCTGCAAGTGGACATTTGGAGCGATTTGATGCATGTGGTGGAAAAGTTAATACTTTCATATAAAAACTACACAGAAGAATTCTGAGAAACTTCTTTGAGATGTCTGCGTTCATCTCACAGAGTTGGAACTTTCCTTAGATTGAGCAGTTTGGAAACACTCTTTTTGTAGAATCTGCAAGTGGACATTTGGAGAGCTTTGCAGCCAATGGTAGAAAAGGAAATATCTTCATATAAAATCTAGACAGAAGCAATCTGAGAAACTTCTTTGTGATGTGTGCATTCATCCCACAGAATTAAAAGTTTCTTTTGATTTAGCAGTTTTGAAACTCTCTTTTTGTAGAATCTGCAACTGGACATTTGGAGTGCTTTGCGCCCTATGGTAGAAAAGGAAATATCTTCATATAAAATCTTGACAGAAGCAATCTGAGAAGCATCTTTGTGATATTGTGATATGTGCATTCATCCCAGAGAGTTAAAACTTTCTTTTGATTGAGGTGTATTGAAACTCTGTTTTTGTAAAATCTGCAAGTGGACTTTTGGAGCCCTTTGTGTCCAATGGTGGAAAAGGAAATATCGTCCCATAAAAACCAGACAGAAGAAATCTGAGAAACTTCTTTGTGATGCGTGCATTAATCTCACAGAGTTGAACCTTTCTTTTGATTAAGCACTTTGCAACCACTCTTTTTGTCGAATCTGCAAGTGGACATTTGGAGGGCTTTGTGGCCTACGGAAGAACAGCAAATATCTTCACATAAAATCTAGACAGAAGCAATCTCAGAAACTTCTGTGTGTTGTGTGCATTCATCTCACAGAGTTAAAATTTTCTTTTGATTGAGCAGTTTGGAAAATCATTTTTTAGGATCGGCAAGTGGACATTTGCAGTGCTTTGAGTTCAATGGTGGAAAAGGAAATATCTTCACATAAAAACTAGACAGAAGAATCCTGAGAAACTTCTTTGTGATGTGTGCATTCATCTCACAGAGTTGAACTTTTCTTTTGATTGAGCTGTTGGAAACATTCTTTCAGTAGAATCTGCAAGTGGACTTTTGGAGCGCTTTGCAACCTATGGTGGAAAAGGAATTATCTTCACATAAAAACTAGACAGAATTATTAGAAACCTCTTTGTGATGCGAGTGTTCAACTCCCAGAGTTGAAACTTTCTTTTGATTCTGCAGTTTGGAAACAACTCATTTGGAGATTCTGCAAGTGGAAATTTGGAGCTCTTTGTGGCCTATGGTAGAAAAGGAAATATCTTCACATAAAATCTAGACAGAAGGAATCTGAGAAATTTCTTTGTGATGTGTGGATTCATCTCACAGAGTTAATCATTCTTTTGACTGAGCAGTTTTGAAACACTCTTTTTGTAGAATCCGCTAGTGGATATTTGGAGCGCTTTGAGGCCTATGGTGGAAAAGGAACTATCTTCCCATAAAAACTAGACAGAAGAATTCTGAGAAAGCAGTTTGTGATGTGTGGGTTCATCTCACAGAGTTGATACTTTCATTTGATTGAGCTGTTTGGAAACACTATTTTTGTAGTATCTGCAAGTGGACATTTGAAGCGTTTTGCAGCCTATGGTAGAAAAGGAAATATCCTCACATAAAATCTAGACAGAAGCATTCTTAGAAACTTCTTTGTGATGTGTGCATTCATCTCACAGATTTAAACCTCTTTTGATTGAGCATTTTGGAAACACTCTTTCTGTAGAATCTAGAAGTGGACATTTGGAGCACTTTGAGGCCTATGGTGGAAAAGGAAATATCTTCACATAAAAAATAGAAGAATTCTGAGAAACCTCTTGGTGATGCATGCTTTCATCTCACAGAGTTGATAATTTCTATTGTTTGAGCAGTTTGAAAACATTCTTTTTGTTGAATCTTCAAGTGGACATTTGGAGAGCTTTGCGGCCTGTGGTAGAAAAGGAAATATCTTCACATAAAATCTAGGCAGAAGTAATCTGAGAAACTTCTTTGTGATGTGTGCATTCGTCTCACAGAGTTAAAATTCTCTTTGGTTGAGGAGTTTTGAAAATCTCTTTTTGTAGAATCTGCAATTGGACATTTGTAGTGCTTTGTGGCCTATGGTAGAAAAGGAAATATCTTCACATAAAAACTAGACAGAAGAATTCTGACAAACTTCTTTTTGATGCGTGAGTTCATCTCACAGAGTTCAACCTTTCTTTTGATTGACCAGTTTGGAAACACTCTGTCTTTAAAATCTGGAAGTGAACATTTGGAGCGCTTTGAGGCCTACGGTGGAAAAGGAAATATCTTCACATAAAAACTAGACGGAAGAATTCTGAGAAACTTCTTTGTGATGTGTGCATTCATCTCACAGAGTTGAACTTTTTTTGGATGGAGCAGTTTGAAAACACTCTTTTTCTAGAATTTGCAAGTGGACATCTGGAGCTCTTTGCAGCCTATGGTAGAAAAAAGGAATATCTTCACGTAAAATCTAGACAGAAGTAATATGAGAAATTGCTTTGCTATGTGTGCATTCATCTAACAGGGTTGAACATTTCTTTTGATTGAGCACATTGGAAATACTCTTCTTGTAGAATCTGCAAGTGGATATTTGGAGCGCTTTGCGGCCTATTTTAGAAAAGGAAATATCTTCACATAAAATCTAGACAGAAGAAATCTGAGAAACTTCTTGGTAAATGTGTGCATTCATCTCACAGAGTTAAACCTTTCCTTTGATTGAGAAGTTTTGAAACTCTCTTTTTGTAGAATCTGAAAGTGGACATTTGGAGTACTTTGAGGCATATGGTGGAAAAGGAGATATCCTCAGATAAAATCTAGAAAGAAGCAATCTGAGAAACTTCTTTACAATGTATGCATTCATCTCACACAGTAAAACCTTTCTTTTGATTGAGCACTTTTGAATCTCTCTTTTTGTAGAATCTGAAAGTGGACATTTGGAGGGCTTTGAGGCCTATGCTGGAAAAGGAAATATTTTCACATAAATACAAGACAGAAGAATTCTGAGAAACGTATTTGTGATGTGTGCGTTCATCTCACAGAGTTGAACTTTTCTTTTGATTGAGCAGTTTGGAAACACTCTTTTTGTAAAAATCTGCAAGTGGACATTTGGAACGCTTTGCAGCCTATGTTAGAAAAAAGAAATATCTTCATATAAAATCTAGACAGAAGCAATCTGAGAAACTTCCTTGTGATGTGTCCTTTCATCTCACAGAGTTGAAACTTTCTTTTCATTGAGCTGTTTGGAGACCCTCTTTTTGTGGAATCGGCAAGTGGAAATTTGGAGTGCTTTGCGACCTATGGTAGAACAGGAAATGTCTTCAGATAAAATCTAGACAGAAGCAGTGTTCATCTCACAGAGTTAAATCTTTCTTTTTTTGAGCAGTTTTGAAACTCTCTTTTTGTAGAATCTGCAAGTTGACATTTGGAATGCATTGAGGCCTACGGTGGAAAAAGAAATATCTTCACATAAAATCTAGAGAGAAGCAATCTGAAAAACTTCTATGTTGGAAAAGGAAACATCTTCAAGTAACAACTAGACAGAAGAATTCTGAGAAACTTCTTTGTGATGTTTGGGTTCATCTCACAGAGTTCAACCTTTCTTTTGATTGAGCAGTTTGAAAACACTCTTTTTGTAGTATCTGTAAGTGGACATTTGGAACGCTTTGCGGCCTATGGTAGAAAAGGGAATATATTCACATAAAATCTAGACAGAAGCAATCTGAGAAAATTCTTTTTAGGGTGCATTCATTCAACAGAGCTGTCTGTACCTTTCCTCTGATGGACCAGTTTTGAAATACTCTTTTTGTGGAATCTGCATGTGGACATTTCAAGCGCCTTGAGGCCTGTGGTGGAAAATGAAGTATCTTCACATAAAAGCTAGACAGAAGAATTCTGAGAAACTTCTTTGAAATGTGTGCGTTCATCTCACAGAGTTGAACCTTTCTTTTGATTGAGCAGTTTGGAAAATTTTTTTTTGTAGAATCTGCAAGTGGACATGTTCAGCACTTTGTGGCCTATAGTAGAAAAGGAAATATCTTCACATAAAATCTAGACAGAAGCAATCTGAGAAACTTCTTTGTTATGTGTGTACTCATCTCAAAGAGGTAAACCTTTCTTTTGATTGAGCAGTTTTGAAACTCTCTTTTTGCAGAATCTGCAAGTGGACAGTTGGAACACTTTGAGGCCCATGCTGGAAAAGGAAATATCTTCAGATAAAATCTAGAAAGAAGAAATTTGAGAAAATTCTTTGTGACGTGTGAATTTAACTCACAGAATTAAACATTTTTTGACTGAGCGGCTTTGAAAGTCTCTTTTTGGAGAATCTGCAAGTTGACATTTGGAGGCCTTTGAAGCCTATGTTGGAAAAGGCAATTATCTTCACATAAAAACCAGACTGAAGAATTCTGAGAACCTTCCTTGTGATGCGTGCCTTCATCTTGCAGTGTTGAATCATTCTTTTCATTGAGCAGTATGGAAATACTGTTTTTGAAGGATCTGCAAGTGGATATTTAGAGCTCTTTGCAGCCTATGTTAGAATAGAAAATGTCTTCACATAAAATCTAGACAGAAGCAATCTGAGATACTTCTTTGTGGTGTGTCCTTTCATCTCAAAGAGTTAAAACTTTCTTTTGATTGAGCAGTTTTCAAACTCTCTTTTTGTAGAATCTGCAAGTGGACATTTGGAGCGCTTTAAGGCCTGTGGTGGAAAAGGAAATATCTTCACCTAAGAACTAGACAGAAGCAATCTGAGAAACTTCTTTGTGATGTGTGAATTCATTTCACAGAGTAAAACCTTTCTTTTGATGGAGCAGTTTTGAAACTCTCTTTTTGTAGAATCTGCAAATGGACATTTGGAGTTCTTTGAGGCCTATGGTGGAAAAGGAAATATCTTCACATAAAAACTAGATAGAAGCATTTTGAGAAACTTCTTTCTGATGTGTGCGTTCATCTCACAGAGTTGAATTTTTGTTTGGATTGAGCTGTCTGAAAACACTCTTTTTGTAGAATGTGCAAGTGGATATTTGGAGCGCTTTGAGGCCTATGGTAGAAAAAAGAAATATCTTCACATAAAATCTAGACAGAAGCAATCTGAGAAACTTCTTTGTGATGTGTGCGTTCATCTCACAGAGTTGAAACTTTCTATTGATTGAGCAGTTTGGAAACACTCTATTTATAGAATCGGCAAGTGGAAATTAGGAGCGCTTTGCAGCCTATTGTAGAACAGGGAATATCTTCACATAAAATCTAGACAGAAGCAATCTGAGAAACTTCTTTCTGATGTGTGCATTCATCTCACAGAGTTGAACCTTTCTTTTGATTGAGCAGTTTGGAAACACTCTTTTTGTAGAATCTGCAAGTGGACATTTGGTGCACTTTGTGGCCTATGGTAGAAAAGGAAATATCTTCACATTAAATCTAGACAGAAGCAATCTCAGAAACTTCTTTTTGATGTGTGCATTTATCTCTCAGAGTTAAAACTTTCCTTTGATTGAGTAGTTCTGAATCTCTCTTTTTGTTGAATCTGAAATTGGGCATTTGGAGCTCTTTCAGGCTCTTGGTGGAAAAGGAAATATCTTCACATAAAAACTAGACAGAAGAATTCTGAGAAACTCCTTTGTGATGTGTGCGTTCATCTCACAGAGTTGAACCTTTCTTTTTATTGAGCCTTTTGAAAACACTGTTTTTGTAGAATCTGCAAGTGGACATTTGGAGCACTTTGCAGCCAATGGTAGAAAAGGAAATATCTTGACATAAAATCTACACAGAAGCAATCTGGGAAACTTCTTTGTGATGCGCACGCTCATCTCACAGAGTTAAACCTCTCTTTTGATTGAGCAGTTTTGAAACTCTCTTTTTGTAGATTCTGCAAGTGAACATTTGGAGCGGTTTGAGACCTATGGTGGAAAAGGAAATATATTCACATAAAAATTAGATAGAATCAATATGAGAAACTACTTTGTGATATGTGCATTCATCTCCCAGATTTGAACCTTTCTTTTGATGGGCCAGTTATTTATTACTCTTTTTGTGGAATCTGCAAGTGGACATTTCAAGCCCCTTGAGGCCTACCGTGGAAAATGAAATACATTCACATAAAAACTAGACAGAAGAAATCTGAGAAATATCTATGTGACGTGTGTGTTCATCTCACAGAGTTAAGCTTTTTTTGATCGAGCAGTTTGGAAACACACTTTTTGAACAATCTGCAAGTGGACATTTGAAGCTCTTTGAGAACTGTGGTGGAAAAGGAAATATCTTCACATAAAAACTAGACAGAAGAATACTATGAAATCACTTTGTGATGCGTGCATTCATCACACAGAGTTGAAAGTTTCTTTTCATTGGGCTGTTTGGAAACACTCTTTTTGTAGAATCTACATGTGCACAATTTTAGCGCTTTGCGGCCTTTGGTAGAAAAGGAAATATCTTCACATAAAATCTAGACAGAAGCAATCTGACAAACTTCTTTGTGATGTGTGCATTCATCTCACAGAGTTAAACCTTTCTTTTTATTGAGCAGTTTTGAAACTCTCTTTTTGTAGTATCTGCAAGTGGACATTTCGAGCCCTTTTAGGCCTGTGGTAGAAAAGGAAACCTCTTCACATAAAAACTAGACAGAAGAATTCTGAAAAACTTCTTTGTGATGCGTGCTTTCATCCCCCATAGTTGAAACTTTCTTTTGATACAGCAGGTTGGAAACACTCTTTTGTAGAATCTGCAAGTGCACATTCGGAGCGCTTTGAGTCCAGTAGTAGAAAAGGAAATATCTTCACATAAAGTCTAGACAGAAGAAATCTGAGAAACTTCTTTGTGATGTGTGCATTCATCTCATGGAGTTAAACTTTTCTTCTGATTGAGCAGTATTGAAGTTCTGTTTTTGTAGAATCTGCTAGTGGATATTTGGAGTTCTTTGAGGCCAACAGTGGAAAAGGAAATATCTGCACATAAAAACTAGACAGAAGAATTCTGAGAAACTTCTTTGGGACGTGTGCATTCATGTCACAGATTTGAACCTATCTTTTGATTGAACAGTTTGGAAACACTCTTTCTGTAGAATATGCAAGTGGACATTTGGAGAACTATGTGGCATATGGTAGAAAAGGAAATATCTTCACATAAAATCTAGACAGAACCCATCTGAGAAACTTATTTGTGATGTGTGCATTCATCTCACAGAGTTAAACTTTTCTTTTGATTGAGCAGTTTGGAAACACTCTTTTTGTAGAATCTCGAAGTGGACATTTGGAGCGTTTAGAGGCCTATGGTGGAAAAGGAAATAGCTTCACATAAAAACTAGACAGAAGAATTCTGATAATCTTCTTTGTGATGTGTGCGTTCATCTCACAAAGCTGAAATTTTCTTTTGATTGAGCAGTTTGGAAACACTCTTTTTGTAGAATCTGCAAGTGGACATTTGCAACGCTTTGCGGCCTATTGTTGAAACAGAAATATCTTCACATAAAATCTAGACAGAAACAATCTGAGAAACTTCTTTGTGATGTGTGCATTCATCTCACAGAGTTAAACCTTTCTTTTGATTGAGCAGTTTTGAAACTCTCTTTTCGTAGAATCTGCAAGTGGACATTTGGAGCGCTTTGAGGCCTATGGTGGAAAAGGTAATATCTTCACATAAAAACTAGACAGAAGAATTCTGACAAACTTCTTGGGAATGTGTGCATTCATCTCACAGACTTGAACCTTTCTTTTGATTGAGCAGTTTGGAAACACTCTTTTTTGTAGAATCTGCAAATGGATATTTGAAGCGCTTTGCGACCTATGGTAGAAAAAGTAATACCTTCACATAAAATCTAGAGAGAAACAATCGGAGAAACTTCTTAGTGATGGGTGCATTCATCTCACAGAGTTTAAACTTTCTTTTGATTCAGCAGTTTTGAAACTCTCTTTTTGTAGAATCTGCAAGTGGACATTTTGAACGCTTTGAGGCCTATGGTGGAAAAGGAAATATCTTCACATAAAAACTAGAAAGAAGAATTCTGACAAACTTCTTTGTGATGTGTGCGTTCTTCTCACAGAGTGGAACCGTTCTTTCAATTGAGCAGTTTGGTACCACTATTTCTTGTAGAGTCTGCAAGTGGACATTTGGAGCGATTTGCGGTCTATGGTAGAAAAGTAAATATCTTCACGTAAAATCTAGACAGAAGAAATATGAGAAACTTGTTTGTGATATATGCATTCATCTCACAGAGATAACCCTTCCTTTTGATTGAGCAGTTTTGAAACTCTCTTTTTGTAGAATCTGCAAGCGGACATTTAGAGTGTCTTCAGGCCTATGGTGGAACAGGAAATATCTTCACATAAAAATTAGAAGAATTCTGAGAAACTTCTTTGTGATGAGTGTGTTCATCTCACGGAGTTGAACGTTTCTTTTCATTAAGTAGTTTGGAAACACTCTTTTTGTAGAATCTGCAAGTGGACATTTGGAACTCTTTGCGGCCAATGGTAGAAAAGGAAATATCTTCACATAAAATCTAGACAGAAGCAATCTGAGAAACTTCTTTGTGATGCGTGCATTAATCTCACGGAGTTAAACCTTTCTTTTGATTGAGCAGATTGGAAACTCTCTTTTTGTAGGATCTGCAAGTGGACATTTGGCAGGGCTTTGAGGCCTGTGGTGGAGAAGGAAATATCTTCACATAAAAAGTAGATAGAAGCATTCTGAGAAAGTTCTGTGTGATGTCTGCATTCATCCCCTGGAGTTCCAACTTTCTTTAGGAGAACCAGTTTTCAAATACTCTTTTTGGAGAATCTGCAAGGGGACATTTCAAGCACCTTGAGGCTTAAGTTGGAAAAGGAAATATCTTCACACAAAAAAACAGAAGAATTCTGATAATCTTTTTTATGATGTGTACGTTGAGCTAACAGAGTTGAAACTTTCTTTTGATTGTGTAGTTTGGAAATACCCTTTTTGTAGAATCGGCAAGTGGACATTTGGAGCGCTTTGCGGCCTATGATAGAAAAGGAAATATCTTCACATAAAATCTAGAAGGAAGAAATTTCAGAAACTCCTTTGCGATGTGTGCATTCATCTCACAGAGTTGAAACTTTCTTTTGATTGAGCAGTTTTGGAACACTCTCTTCGTGGAATCTGCAAGTGGATATTTGGAGCCTTTTGAGGCCTATTGTGGAAAAGGAAATACCTTCACATAAAAACTACTCAGAAACATTCTGAGAAACACCATAGTGATGTTTGCATTCAACTCACAGAGTTGAAACTACGTTTTGATTGAGCAGTTTTGAATCTCTCTTTTTGCAGAAACTACAAGTGTATGTTTGGAAAGCTTTGAGGCCTATTGTGGAAAAGGAAATATCTTCACGTAAAAACTACACAGAAGCATTCTGAGAAACTACTTTGTGAGGTGTGCATTCAACTCATAGAGTTGAAATTATCTTCTCTTTGAGGAGTTTTCAATCTCTCTTTTTGTAGAATCTGCAAGTGGATATTTGAAGACCTTTGCGCCCTATGTTGGAAAAGGAAATATCTTGAAATAAAAACTATGCAGTAGCATTCAGAGAAACTTCTTTGTGATATGTGCACTCAACTCACAGAGTTGAAGCTATCTTTTGATTGAGCAGTTTTGAATCTCTCTTTTTGCACTATCTGAAGGTGGATATTTCGAGCCCTTTGAGGCCTACAGTGGAAAAGCAAATATCTTCACATAAAAACTATGCAGAAGCATTGTGAGAAACTACTTTGTGAGGTGTGCATTCAACTCACAGAGTTGAACTTATCTTCTCATTGAGCAATTTTTGAATTTATCTTTTGGTAGAATATCCACGTGGATATTTGGAGCCCTTTGCACCCTATGATGGAAAAGGAAATATCCTCAAATAAAAACTATACAGAATCACTCAGAGAAACTGCTTTGTGATGTGTGCATTCATCTCACAGGGTTGAACCTAGGTTATGATTGAGCAGTTTTGAAACACTCTTTTTGTAGGATCTTCAAGTGGATATTTGGAGCGCTTTGAGGCCTACAGTGGAAAACCAAATATCTTCAAATAAGAACTACACAGAAGCATTCTGAGAAACTTCTTCACGATGTATGCGTTCAACTCACAGAGTTGAACCTATCTTTTGATTGAACAGTTTTGAATCTCTCTTTTTGTAGAATCTGCAAGTGGAAATTTGGAGTGCTGTGAGGCCTACTGTGGAAAATCAATTATGTTCACATAAGAACTACAGAGAAGCATTCTGAGAAACTTCTTTGTGCTGTGTGCATTCAACTCACAGAGTTCAACCTGTCTTTCAATTGAGCAGTTTTGAATCTCTCTTTGCAGAATCTGCAAGTGGATATTGGGAGAGCTTTGAGGCCTATGGTGGAAAAGGAAATATCTTCACATAAAAACTACACAGAAGCATTCTGAGAAACTTCTTTGTGATATGGGCATTCAACTCACAGAGTTGAACCTATCTTTTGATTGAGCAACTTAGAGTCACTCTTTTTCTAGAATCTGCAAGTGGATATTTGGAGCCCTTTGCACCCTATGGTTGAAAAGGAAATATCTTCAATAAAAACTACACAGAAGCATTCTAAGAAACTTCTTCATGATGTGTGCATTCAACTGACTGAGTTGAACTTATCTTCTCATTGAGTAGTTTTCAATCTCTGTTTTGTAGAATCTGGAAGTGGATGTTTGGAGCCCTTTCACCCTATTGTGGAAAAGGAAATATCTGCAAATAAAACTATGCAGAACCATTCAGAGAAACTTCTTTGTGGTATATACATTCAACTCACAGAGTTGATCCTATCTTTTGATTGAGCAGTTTTGAATACCTCTTTTTGCAGAATCTGCAGGTGGATATTTGGAGCCTTTTGAGGCTTACTGTGGAAAATCAAATATGTTCACATAAAAACTACACAGAAGCATTCTGAGAAACTTCTTTGTGATGTTTGCATTCAACTCACAGAGTTGAACCTTTTGATTGAGCAGTTTTGAATCTCTCTTTTTGCAGAATCTGTTAGTGGATGTTTGGAGAGCTTTGAGGACTATTGTGGAAAAGGAAATATCTTCACATAAAAACTACACAGAAGCATTCTGAGAAACTTCTTTGTGAGGTGTGCATTCAACTCACAGAGTTGATCTTATCTTCTCATTGAGCAGTTTTGAATCTCTCTTTTTGTAGAATCTGCAAGTGGATATTTGGAGCCCTTTGAGCCCTATGGTGGAAAAGGAAAATCTTGAAATAAAAACTACACAGAAGCATTCAGACAAACTTCTTTGTGATGTGTGCATTCAACTCACAGAGTTGAAAGTATCTTTTGATTGAGCAGTTTTGAACCTCTCTTTTTGCAGAATCTGCAGGTGGATATTTGGAGCCCCTTGAGGCCTATTGTGGAAAAGCAAATATCCTCACATAAAAATTACACAGAAGCATTCTGAGAAACTACTTCATGACGTGTGAATTCATCTCACAGGGATGAATTTTGTCTCATGATTGAGCAGTTTTGAAACACTCTTTTTGTAGAATATGGAAGTGGATATTTGGAGCCCACTGAGGCCCATAGTGGTAAGGAAATATCTTCACATAAAAACAACACAGAAGCATTCTGAGAAACTTCTTTGTGATATGTGCATTCATCTCACAGGGTTGAACCTTTCTTTTCATTGCGCAGTTTTGAAACACCTTTTTTGTAGAATCTTCAAGTGGATATTTGGAGAACTTTGAGGCCTATTGTGGAAAAGGAAACACCTTCACATAAAAACTACTCAGAAGCATTCTGAGAAACTTCTTTGTGATGTGGGCATTCAACTTACAGAGTTGAACCTATCTGTTGATTGAGCAGTTTAGAGTTTCTCTTTTTCTAGACTCTGCAAGAGGATATTTGGAGCCCTATGCGCCCTATGGTGAAAAAGGAAATATCGTCAATAAAAACTGCACAGAAGCATTCTAAGAAACTTCTTCGTGATGTGTACATTCAAATCACTGAGTTGAAATTATCTTCTCAATGAGCAGTTTTGAATCTCTGGTTTTGTAGAATCTACAAGTGGATATTTGGAGCCATTTGTGCCCTATGGTGGAAAAGGAATTATCTTTAATTAAAACTACACAGAACCATTCAGAGAAACTGCTTTGTGATGTATGCATTCAACTCACAGAGATGAACCTATCTTTTGATTGGTCAGTTTAGAATCTCTTTTTTGAAGAAACTGCAAGTGGATATTTGGAGCCCTTTGGGCCCTGTGTTGGAAAAGGAAATATCTTTAAATAAAAACAACACAGAAGTAGTCAGAGAAACTTCTTTGTGCTGTGTGCATTAAACTCAGAGACTTGAAACTTCCTTTTGGTAGAGCAGTTTTGAAACACTCTTTTTGTAGAATCTGCGGGTGGATATTTGGAGCACTTTGAGGCCTATGGTAGAAAAGGAAATATGTTCACACAGAAACTAGATAGAAGCATTCACAGAAACTACTTTGTGATGTGTGCATTCAACTCAAAGAGTTGAACATTCCTTTAGTCAGAGCAGTTTTGCAGCACTCTTTTTGTAGAATCTGCAAGTGGATACTTGGACTGCTCTGAGGCCTATGTTAGAAAAGGAAATATCATCACACAAAAACTAGACAGAAGCATTCTCAGAAACTTCTTTGTGATTTGTGATTCAACTCACAGAGTTCACCATTCCTCTTGACAGAACAATTTTGAAACACACTTTTTGTAGAATCTGCAAGTGGATATTTGGAGTGCTTTGAGGCCTTCAGGGGAAATGGGAATACCTTCACATAAACACTAGACAGAAGCATTCTCAGAAACTTCTTTGTGATGTGTGCATTCAATTCACAGAGTTGAACCTTCTTTTTGATAGAGCAGTTTTGAGACACTGTTTTTGTATAATCTGCAAGTGGACATTTTGATCGCTCTGAGGCCTATGGTGGAAATGGAAATATTTTCACATAAAAACCAGACAGAAGAATTCTCGGAAACTTCTTTGTGAAGTGTGCATTCAACTCAGAGAGTTGAACCTTTCTTTTGATAGAGCAGGTTTGAAATACTCTTTTTGTAGAATCTGCAAGTGGACACTTGCAGTGCTTTGAGGCCAATGGTGGAAAAGGAAATAACTTCACATAAAAACTAGACAGAAGCATTCTCAGAAACTTCTTTGTGATGTTTGCATTCAACTCACAGATTTGAACATATCTTATCATAGAGCAGTTTTGAAACACTCTTTTAGTAGACTTCGTAAGTGGATATTTGGACCGCTCTGAGGCCTTCGTTGGAAACGGGAATACCTTCACATAAAGATTAGACAGAAGCATTCTCTGAAACCTCTTAGTGAGGTTCAACTCACAGAGTTGAACTTTTCTTTTGATAGAGCAGGTTTGAAACACTCTTTTTGTAGAATCTGCAAGTTGACATTTGGAGAGCTTTGAGGCATATGGTGGAAAAGGAAATATCTTCACACAAAAACTAGACAGAAGCATTCTCAGAAACTTCTTCAGGATGTTTGCATTTAACTCACAGAGTTGAACATACATTTTTATGGAGCAGTTTGGAAACACACTTTTTGTAGAATCTGCAAGTGGATATTTAGACCGCTTTGTGGCCTTCATTGGAAACAGGAATATCTACACATAAACACTAGAGAGAAGCATTCTCAGAAACTCCTTTGTGATGTGTGCATTCAAATTACAGAGTTGAACCTTTCCTTTGATAGAGCCGGTTTGAAACACTCTCTTTGTAGAATCTGCAAGTGGACATTTGGAGCGATTTGAGGCCTATGGTGGAAAAGGAAATATCTTCACATAAAAACTAGACAGAAGCATTCTCAGAAACTTCTTTGTGGTGTTTTCATTAAACTTACAGAGTTAAACTTTCCTTTTCATAGAGAAGTTTTGAAACACTCTTTTTGTATCTACAAGTTGACATTTGAACTGCTTTGAGGCCTATGGTGGAAAAGGAAATAGCTTCACATAAAAACTAGACAGAAGCATTCTGAGAAACTTCTTTGTTATGTGCGAATTAAACTCACAGAGTTGAACCTTTGTTTTTATAGAGCAGGTTTGAAACACTCTTTTGCAGAACCTACAAGTGGACAATTCGAGCCCTTTGATGCCTACGGTGGAAAAGGAAATATCTTCACATAAAAAGTATACAGAAGCATTCTCTAAGACTACTTTGTGATGTGTGTAGTCAACTCATGGAGTTGAACAGACTTTATCTTAGAACAGTTTTGAAACACTCTTTTAGTAGAATCTGCAGGTGGATATTTGGACAGCTTTGAGGCCTTCCTTGGAAACTGGAGTATCTTCACATAATCACTAGACAGAAGCTTTCTCAGAAACATCTTTGTGCTGTGTGGATTGAACATACGGATTTGAAACTTTCTTTTGATAGAGCAGCTTTGAAACAATCTTTTTGTAGAATCTGCAAGTGGACATTTGGAGTGTTTTGAGGTCTATAGTGGAAAAGGAACTATCTTCACATAAAACGTGGAAAGAAGCATTCTCAGAAACCCCTTTGTAATGTGTGCACTTAACTCACAGAGTTGAACTTTTCTTTTGATAGAGCAGCTTTGAAACACTCTGTTGGTAGAATCTGCAAGTGCACATTTCGAGAGCTTTCAGGCCTATGGTGGAAAAGGAAATATCTATAAATAAAAACTAGACAGAAGCATTTTCAGAAACTTCTTTGTGATGTTTGCATTCAACTCACAGAGTTAAACCTCCTTTTTCATAGAGCAATTTTGAAACACTCTTTTCTTATAATCTGCAAGTGGATGTTTGGACTGCTTTGAGGCCTTCATTGGAAACGGGAATATCTTCACATTAAAAACTAGACAGAAGCATTCTGAGAAACTACTTTTGATGTATGCATTGAACTCACAGAATTGAACCCTTCTTTTCATAGAGCAGGGTTGAAACACTCTTTTTGCAGGATCTGCAAGTGGACATTTGGAGCTCTTTGAGTCCTATGGTGGAAAAGGATATATCTTCACATAAAAACTAGACGGAAGCATTCTCATAAACTTGTTTGTGATGTGTGCATTCAACTCACAGAGTTGAACCTTTCTTTTGATAGAGCATGTTTGAAACATTCATTTTGTAGAATCTGAAGTGGACATTTGGAGAGCTTTGAGGCCTATGGTGGAAAAGGAAGTATCTTCACATAAAAACTAGAGAGAAACGTTCTCAGAAACTTCTTTGTGATGTGTGCATTCAACTCACAGAGATGAACCTCTCTTTTCATAGAGCAGGTTTGAAACATTTTTTTCTTAGTATCTGCAAGTGGACATTTGTAGAGCTTTGAGTCCTATGGTGGAAAAGGAAATATCTTCACACAAAAACTAGACAGAAGCGTTCTCAGAAACGTCTTTGTGATGTTTGCATTCAACTCACAGAATTGAAGGTACCTTCCCTTGGAGCAATTTTGAGACACTCTTTTTATAGAATCTGCAAGTGGATATTTGGACTGCTATGAAGCCTTCATTGGAAACGGGAATGTCTTCACATAAACACTAGACAGAAGCATTCTCAAAAACTTCTTTGTCATGCGTGCATTAAACTCAAAGAGTCGAACCTTTCTTTTGATAGAGCAGCTTTGAAACACTCTTTTTGTAGAATCTGCAAGTTGACATTTGGAGAGCTTTGAGGCCTATGGTGGAAAAGGTTATATCTTCATATAAAAATAAGAGAGAAGAATTCTCAGAAAATTCTTTATGATGTTTGCATTCAACTCACAGAGTTGAAGATACCTTTCCATAGAGCAGTTTTGAAACACTCTTTTCGTAGAATATGCAAGTGGATATTTGAAACGCTTTGAGACCTTTGTTGGAAACGGGAATATGTTCACACAAAAACAGGCAGAATCATTCTCAGAAACTTCTTTGTGATGTGTGCATTCAACCCCAAGAGTTGAAACTTTCTTTTGATAGAGCATGTTTGAAACACTCTTTTTGTAGAATCTGCAAGTGGACATTTGAGAGCATTGAGGTGGAAAAGTAAATATCTTCACATAAAAACTAGAGAGAAGCATGCTCAGAAACTTCTTTGTGATGTGTGCATTCTACTCACAAAGTTGTACCTTTCTTTTGATAGAGCAGTTTTGAAACACTCTTTTTGTAGAATCTGGAAATGTATATTTGGACCGCTTGGAGGCCTTCTTTGGAAACGGGAATGTCTTCACATAAACACTAGACGGAAGCATTCTCCGAAAATTCTTTGTGATATGTGCATTCAACTCACAGAGTTGAATCTTTCTTTTGATAGAGCATGTTTGAAACACTCTTTCTGTAGAATCGGCACCAGACATTTTTAGAGCTATGAGGCCTATGGTGGATAAGGAAATATATGTAAATAAAAACCAGACAGAAGAATTCTAAGGAACTACATTGTGATGTTTGCATTCAACTCATAGAGTTGAACACACCTTTTCATAGAGCAGTTTTGAAACACTCTTTTTGTAGAATCTGCAAGTGAATATTTGGACCACTTTGAGACCTTTGTTGGAAAGGGGAATATCTTCACATAATCACTAGACAGAAGCTTTCTCAAAAACTTTTTTGAACTGTGTGCATTCAACTCACAGAGTTGAACCTTCCTTTTGATAGAGCAGGTTTGAAACACTCTCTTTGTAGAATCTGCAAGTGGATATTTGAACCGCTTTGAGGCCTTCGTTGGAAAAGGGGATATCTTCACATAAACACTAGACAAAATTATTCTCAGAAACCTCTTTGTGATGTGTGCATTCCAGTCACAAAATTGAACCTTTCTTTTGATAGAGCAGGTTTGAAGCACTTTTTTTGTAGAATCTGCAAGCAGACATTTGGAGAGCTTGGAGGCCTATGGTGGAAAAGGAAATGTCTATAAATAAAAACTAGACAGAAGCAATGTCAGAAACTTCTTTGTGATGTTTGCATTCAACTCACAGAGTTGAACCTCCCTTTTCATAGAGTAGTTTTGAAACACTATTTTCGTAGAATCTGCAAGTGGATATTTGGACCGCTTTGAGGCCTTCATTGGAAACTGCAATATCTTCACATAAAAACTAGACAGAAGCATTCTCAGAAACTACTTTTTGATGTGTCCATTCAACTCACAGAGTTGAACCTTCCTTTTCATAGAGCAGGGTTGAAACACTCTTTTTGCAGGATCCGCAAGTGGACATGTGGAGCTCTTTGAGGCTTATGGTGGAAAAGGATATATCTTCACATAAAAACTAGACAGAAGCATTCTCATAAACTTATTTGTGACGTTTGCATTCACCTCTCAGAGTCTAACATACTTTATCATACAGCAGTTTTGAAACACTCTTTTAGTAGTATCTGCAAGTGGATAATTGGAGGGCTTTGAGGCCTTCGTTGGAAACGGGAGTATCTTTACATAATGATGCTTTCACAGAAAGTTCTTTGTGCTGTGTGTATCCAACTCGCAGAGTTGAACCTTTTTTTTTTATAGAGCAGGTTTGAAACACTCTTTTGCAGAATCTACAAGTGGACATTAGGAGTGCTTTGTGTCCTATGGAGGAAAAGGAAATATCTTCACATAAAAACTAGACAGAAGCATTCTCATAAACTTATTTGTGACTTTTGCATTCAACTCTCAAGAGTTTAACATACTTTATCATAGATCAGTTTTGAAACACTCTTTTTGTAGTATCTGCAAGTGTATAATTGGACTGCTTTGAGGTCTTCGTTGGAAACGGGAGTATCTTCACACAATGAAGCTTTCTCAAAAACTTCTTTGTGCTGTGTGCATTCAACTCACAGAGTTGAAATTTTCTTTTGATGGAGCAGATTTGAAACACTCTTTTTGTAGAATTTGCAAGTGGATATTTGGACAGCTTTGAGGCCTTCCCTGGAAACAGTAGTTTCTTCACATAAAAACTAGACAGAAGCATTCTAGGAAAATGCTTTTTGATGTGTGCATTCAACTCAGAGAGTTGACCCTTTCTATTGATAGAGCAGGTTTAACACTCTTTTTGCAGAATCTGCAAGTGGACATTATGAGCGATTTGATGCCTATGGTGGAAAAGGAAATATCTTCATATTAATACTAAACAGCAGCATTCTCAGAAACTTCTTTTTGTTGTTTGCCTTCAATTCTCAGAGTTGAACATACTTTATCCTAGAGCAGGTTTGAAACACTCTTTTTGTAGAATCTGAAACTTGACATTTGGGGTGCTTTGAGGCCTATTGTGGAAAATGAAATATCTTCTCATAAAAACTAGACAGAAGCATTCTATGAAACTTCTTTGTGATGTTTGCATTCAACTGACACAGTTGAACTTTCCTTATCATAGAGCAGTTTTGAAACACTCTTTTTGGAGAATCTGCAAGTGGATATTTGGACCGATTTGAGGTCTTCATTAGAAACAGGAATACCTTCACATAAAAACTAGACAGAAGCATTCTCAGAAACTTCTTTGTGATGTGTGCATTCAACTCACAGAGATGAACTTTTGATAGTGCACGTTTGAAACACTCTTTTTGCAGAATCTGCATGTGTGCATTTGGAGAGTTTTGAGGCATATGGTGGGAAAGGAAATAACTTCACACAAAAACTAGACAGAAGCATTCTCAGAAACTTCTTTGTGATGCGTGCATTTAACTCACCAAGTTGAACCTTCCTTTTCATAGAGCAGGTATGAAACACACTTTTTGCAGGATCTGCAAGTGGACATTTGTAGCGCTTCTATTCCAATGGTGGAAAACGGAATATCTTCTCACAAAAACTACACAGAAGCATTCTCAGAAACTTCTTTGTGACGTTTTCATTCAACTCTCAGAGTTGAACAAACTTTATCACAGAGCAGTTTTGAAACACTCTTTTAGTAGTATCTGCATGTGGGTAATTGAACTGCTTTCATGCCTTTGTTGGAAAGGAGAGTATCTTCACATAAAAACTAGACCAAAGCATTCTCAGAAACTTCTTTGTGATGTGTGCATTAAACTCACAGAGTTTAACCTTTATTTTGATAGAGCAGGTTTGAAACACTCTTTTGCAGAAACTACAAGTGGACATTTGGATTGCTTTGAGGCCTAAAGTTGAAAAGAAAATACCTTAACATAAAAATTTGACAGAAGCATTCTGAGAAACTGCTTTGTGATGTGTGCATTCAACTCACGGAGTTGAACAGACTTTATCATAGAGCAGTTTTGAAATACTCTTTTAGTAGAATCTGCAAGTGGAAATTTGGACCTCTTTGAGGCCTTCATTGGAAAAGGGAATAGCTTCATGTAAATACTAGATAGAAGCATTCTGAGAAGCTACTTTGTGATGTGTGCATTCAACTCACAGAGTTGAACATACCTTATCATAGAGTAGTTTTGAAGCACTCTTATAGAGGAATCTGCAAGGGGATATTTGGACTAATTTGAGGCCATCGTTGGAAACGGGAATATCATCACATAAACACTAGACAGAAGCATTCTCAGAAACTTCTTAGTGATGTGTGCATTCAACTCACAGAGTTGAACCTTCCTTTTCATAGAGCAGGTTTGAAACACTCTTTTTGCAGAATCAGCAAGTGTACATTTGGAGCGCTTTGAGGCCTAGGGTGGAAAAGGAAATATCTTCACATAAAAACTAGACAGAAGCATTCTCGGAAACTATTTTGTGATGTTTGCATTCAACTCACAGAGTTGAACATACTTTATCTAGAGCAGTTTTGAAACAGTCTTTTAGTAGAATCTGCAAATAGATATTTGGACTGCTTTGAGGCCTTCAATGGAAAGGAGAATATCGTCACATAATCACGAGATAGAAGCATTCTCAGAAACTTCTTTGTGCTGTGTGGAGTCAACTCACGGAGTTGAACCTTTCTTTTGATAGAGCGGGTTTAAAACCCTCTTTTTGTAGAATCTGCAAGTGGACATTTGGGGCGGTTTGAGGCCTATGTTGGAAAAGGAAATGTCTTCATATAAAAACTAGACGGAAGCATTCTCAGAAACTTCTTTGTGATGTTTGCATTCAACTCACAGAGTTGAACATACCTTATCATAGAGCAGTGTTGAAACACTCTTTCAGTAGAATTTGCAAGTGGATATTTGGACCGCTTTGAGGCCTTCGTGGCAACGTGAATATCTTCACATAAACACTTGACAGAAGCATTCTCAAAAACTCCTTAGTGATGTGTGCATTCCATTGGCAGAGTTGAACCTTTCTTTTGATAGAGCAGGTTTGAAACACTCTTTTTGTAGATTCTGCTAGTGGATATTTGGACTGCTTTGAGGCCTTCGTTAGAAACGGGTATATCTTCATATAAACACTAGACAGAAGCATTTTCAGAAACTTCTTTGTGATGTTTGCATTCAACTCACAGAGTTGAACCTTCCTTTTGATGGAGCAGTTTTGAAACACTCTTTTTGTAAAATCTGCTTTTGGACATTTGGAGAGCTTGAGGCCTCTGGTAGAAAAGGAAATATCATCGCATAAAAACTAAACAGAAGCATTCTCAGAAATTTCTTTGTGATGTGTGCATTCATCTCACAGAGTTGAACCTTGCTTTTGATAGAGCAGGTTTGAAACACTTTTTGGAGAATCTGCAAGTGGATATTTCGACCGCTTTGAGGCCTTCATTGGAAACGGGTGTATCTTCACAGAAATGCTAGACAGAAGCCTTCTCAGAAACTTCTTTGTGATGTTTGCATTCAACTCACAGAGCTGAACCTTTCTTTTGATAGAGCAGGTTTGCAACACTCTTTGCGTGGAATCTGCATGTGGACATTTGGAGAGCTTTGAGGCCTATGGTGGAAAAAGAAATATCTTCACATCAAAACTATACAGAAGCATTCTCAGAAACTTCTTTCTGATGTTTGCATTCAACTCACAGAATTGGTCATACTTTATCACAGGGCATTTTTGAAAAACTCCTTCAGGAGAATCTGCAAGTGGATATTTGGAACGCCTAGAGGCCTTCATTGGAAACGGGAATATCTTCACATAAATACTAGACAGCAGCAGTCTCAGAAACTTCCTTGTGATGTGTACATTCAACTCACAGAGTTGAACATTTCTTTTGATAGAGCAGTTTTGAAACACTTTTTGCAGAATCTGCAAGTGGATATGTGGACTGCTTTGAGGCCTTCATTGGATACGGGAATATCTTCACATAAAAACTAGAAAGATGCATTCCCAGAAACTTCTTTGTGATGTGTGCATTCAACCCACAGATTTGACCCTTTCTTTTGATAGAGCAGTTTTGAGACACTCTTTTTGTAGAATCTGCAAGTGGACATTTGGAGAGCTTTGAATCCTATGGTGGAAAAGGAAATATCTTCATATTAAAACCAGACAGAAGAATTCTCAGAAACTTCTCTGTGATATGTGCTTTCATCTCACAGAGTTGAACATTTCTTTTGATAGAGCAGGTTGGAAACACTCTTTTTGCATAATCTCCAAGTTGACATTTGGAGCACTTTGAGGCCTATGGTGGGAAAGGAAATATCTTCACATAAAAACTAGACAGAAGCATTCTCAGAAACTTCTTTGTGATGTTTGTTCTCAACTCACAGAGTTAAGCATATCTTATCATAGAGCTGTTTAGAAACACTCTTTTAGTAGAATCTGCAAGTGGATATTTGGACCACTTACAAGCCTTTGTTGGAAACGGGAATATCTTCACATAATCGCTAGACAGAATCTTTCTCAGAAACTTCTTTGTGCCGTGTGTATTCAACTCACACAGTTGAACCTTTCTTTTGAGAGAGTAGGTTTGAGACACTCTTTTTGTAGGATCTGCAAGTGGACATTTGGAGCGCTTTAAGGCCTACGGTGGAAAAGGAAATATCTTCCCATAAAAACTAGACAGAAGCATTCTCAGAAACTTCTTGGTGATGTTTGCTTTCACCTCACAGAGTTGAACATTCCTTATGAGAGCACTTTTGAGACACTCTTTTTGTAGGATCTGCAAGTGGACATTTGGAGCGCTTTAAGGCCTACGGTGGAAAAGAAAATATCTTTCCATAAAAACTAGACAGAAGCATTCTCAGAAACTTCTTGGTGATGTTTGCTTTCACCTCACAGAGTTGAACATTCCTTATGAGAGCACTTTTGAAACAATCTTTTAGTAGAATCTGCAAGTGGATATTTCGAATTGTTTGAGGTCTTCGTTGGAAATGGGAATATGTTCACATAAAGAGTAGATAGCAGCATTCTCAGAAACTTCTTTGTGATGTGTAAATTCAACTCACAGAGTTGAACCTTTCTTTTGATAGAGCAGTTTTGAATCACTCTTTTTTCACGGTCTGTGGGTGGATATTTGGACCCCTTTGAGGCCTTCGTTGGAAACGGGAATATCTTCACATAAAAACTAGACAGAATCATTCTCAGAAACTTCTTTGTGATGTGTTCATTCATCTCACAGAGTTGATCCCTTCTTTTGATACAGCAGGTTTTAAACACTCTTTTTGTAGAATCTGTATGTGGACATTTGGAGAGGTTTGAGGCCAATGGTGGAAAAGGAAATATCTTTATATAAAAATGAGACAGAAGAATTCTCAGAAACTTCTTTGTGATCTTTGCATTCAGCTCAAAGAGTTGAACATAAATTTTCATAGAGAGGTTTTGAAATGCTCTTTTTGTAGAATCTGCAATTGGATATTTGGACTTCTTTGAGGCCTTAGTTGGAAACGGGAATATCTTCACATAAACATTAGACAGAAGCATCCTAAGAAACTTGTCTGTGATCTGGGCATTAAACTCACAGAGTTGAACCTTTCTTTTGGTAGAGGAGTTTTGAAACACACTTTTTGTAGAATCTGCAAGTGCACATTTGGAGAGCTTTGAGGACTATGGTGGAAAAGGATACATCTTCACACAAAAAAACAGACACAAGCATTCTCAGAAACTTCTTTGTGATGTTTACATTGAACTCACAGGGTTGAACATACCTTTTCATGGAGCAGTTTTGATACACGCTTTTTGTAGTATCTGCAAGAGGATATTTTGACCGCTTTGAAGCCTTCGTTGGAAACGGGAATATCTTAACACAAACACTAGACGGAAGCATTCTCAGAAGCTTCTATGTGATGTGTGTATTAAACTCAAAAAGTTGAACCTTACTTTTGAGAGAGCAGTTTTGAAACACTCTTTTTGTAGAATCTGCAAGTGGACATTTGGAGAGCTTAGAGGCCTATGATGGAAAAGGATATATCTTCACACAAAAACTAGAGAGAAGCATTCTGAGAAACTTCTTTGTGATGTTTGCCTTCAATTAACAGAGTTGAACATTCCTTATCATAGAGCAGTTTCGAAACACTCTTTTAGTGGAATCTGCAAGTGGATATTTGGACGGCTTTGTGGCCTTCATTGGAAATGGGAATATCTTCACATAAAAACTAGACAGCAGCATTTTCAGAAACTACTTTGTGATGTGTGCATTCCACTCACAGTGTTGAAGCTTTCTTTTGATAGAGCAGCTTTGAAACACTCTTTTTATAAAATCTGCAAGTGGATATTTGGACGGTTTTGAGGACTTCGTTGGAAACCGTAATATCTTCACATAAATATTAGACAGAAGCATTCTCAGAAACTTCTTTGTGATGTGTGCATTCAACTCACAAATTCGAACATACTTTATCATACAGCAGCTTTTAAACACTCTTTTAGTAGAATGTGCAAATATTTAGACCACCTGGAGGCCTTCTTCGGATACGGGAATATCTTCACATAAAAACTATACAGAAGCATGCTCAGAAACTTCTTTGTGATGTGTGCGTTCAACTCACAGTGTTGAACGCTTCTTTTGATAGCACAGTTTTGAAACACTCTTTGCACAATATGCAAGTGGACATTTGGTGTGCTTTGAGGCCTATGGTGAAAAAGGAAATATCTTAACATAAAAAATAGATGGAAGCATTCTCAGAAACTTCTTTGTGATGTGAGCCCTCAACACACAGAGTTAAACCTTTCTTTTGACAGAGCAGTTTTCAAACACTCTACTTGTAAAATTCAAAAGTGGATATTAGGACAGCTTTGAGGCTTTCCTTGGAAACGGGAATATCTTCACAAAAAAACTAGACAGAAGCATTCTCAGAAACTTCTTTATGATGTGTGCATTCAACTCACAGAGTCGAAACAGAAGTTTTGAAACAATCTTTCTGTAGTATCTGCAAGTGGATATTTGGATTTCTTTGAGGCCTATGGTGAAAAAGGAAATATCTTCACATAAAAAGCAGACAGAAGCATTCGCAAAAACCATTTGTGATGTGTGCATTCAACTCATAGAGTTGAATCCTCCTTTCCATAGGGCAGTTTTGAAACACTCTTTTTGTAGAATCTGCAAGTGGACATCTGGAGCGCTTTGAGGCCTTCGTTCGAAACGGGAATATCTTCACATAATAATTAGAATCATTCTCAGAAAATTCTTTGTGATGGTTGCATTCAGCTCACAGAGTTGAACATTCCTTTTCATAGAGCAGTTTTGAAACACTCTTTTTGTAGAATCTGCAAGTGGACATTTGGAGCGCTTTGAGGACTATTTTGGAGAACGAACTATTTTCACATAAAAACTAGACAGAAGCATTCTCAGAAACTTCTTTGTGATGTGTGTACTCCACTCACAGAGTAGAACCTTTCTTTTTATAGAGCAGTTTTGAAACACTCTCCCTGTAGGATCTGCAAATGGATATTTGGACAGCTTTGAGGCTTTGGTTGGAAACGGGAATATCTTCACATAAAAACCAGACAGAAGCATTCTCAGAAACTTCTGTGTGCATTCAGCTCACAGAGGTGAAACTTTCTAGTGATAGAGCAGCTTTTAAACACTCGTTTTGAGAATTTGCATGTGGATATTTGGACAGCTTTCAAGCCTTCACTGGAAACGGAACTGTCTTCAGGTTAAAACTAGACAGAAGCATTCTCAGAAACTTCTTTGTGATCTTTGCATTAAACTCATGGAGTTGAACATTCCTTTTCTTAGAGGAGTTTTGAAAAACTCTTTTTGTAGATGCTGCAAGGCCTATGTTGAAAAAGGAAATATCTTCCCATAAAAACCAGACAGAAGCATTCTTAGAAACTTCTTTGTGATGTGTGTAGTCAACTCACAGAGTTGAACCTTTATTTTGATAGAGCAGATTTGAAACACTCTTTTTGTAGAATGTGCAAGTGGATATTTGGATAGTTTTGGGGCTTTCGCTGGAAACGGGAATATCTTCACATAAAAACTAGACAGAAGCATTCTCAGAAACTTCTTTCAGATGTGTGTCCTCAACTCACAAAGTTGAACACTTGTTTTGATCTACAAGTTTTGAAACACTCTCTTTGTAGCATCTGCAAGTGTACATTTTGTGTGCGTTGAGACGTATGGTGAAATAGGAAATATCTTAACATAAAAACTAGACAGAAGCATTCTCAAAGACTTCTTTGTGATGTATGCATTTATCTCACAGATTTGAGCATTTCTTTTCATACAGCAGTTTTGAAACACTCTTTTTGTAGCATCTGCAAGTGGACATTTGGAGGGCTTGGAGGCCTATGGTGACAAAGGAAATATCTTCACATAAAAACTAGACAGAAGCATTCTCAGAAATTTCTTCTTGATGTGTCTACTCAACTCACAGAGATAAACCTTTCTTTTGCTGTAGCAGTTTTGAAACACTCTTTTTGCAGCACTTACAAGTGGATATTTGGACAGCTTCGAGGCTTTCGTTGGAAAAGGGAATATCTTCACATAAAAACCAGACTGAAGGCATTCTCAGAAACTTCTTTGTGATGTGCACATTCAACTCACAGAGTTGAAACTTTCTTTTGATAAAGCAGCTTTGAAACACTCTTTTTGTAGAATTTGCAAGTGGATATTTTGAAAGCTTTGAAGCCTTCGCTGGACACGGAATTATCTTCCCATAAAAACTAGACAGAAGCATTCTCAGAAACTTATTTGTGATGTTTGCATTTAACTCACAGAGCTGAACATTCCTTTTCATTGAGCACTTTTGAAACACTCTTTTTGTAGTATCTGCAAGTGGACATTTGGACAGCTTTGAGGCTTATAGAGAAAATGGAAATATCTTCACATAAAAACTAGACAGAAGCATTCTCAGAAACTTTTTTTTGATGCTTTTATTTAACTCACAGAGTTGAACATTCCTTTTCATAGAGCAGTTTTGAAACACTCTTTTTGAAGGATCTGTAAGTGGAAACATG